>NC_000020.11:32449811-33737998 GCF_000001405.40 Homo sapiens | reverse complement strand
TGCCTGGCTAATTTTGTACTTTTAGTAATGACAGGGTTTCTCCATGTTGGTCAGGCTGGTCTCAAACTCCTGACCTCAGGTGATCTGCCCGCCTTGACCTCCCAAAGTGCTGGGGTTACAGGTGTGAGCCACCGCACCTGGCCCCAACATCATTATTATAGAACCTAAGATTAGCCTTTTGAGATATCTTTTCAGATTTTTGCATTTCTGACAACCAATGGCTCCACGTAGACTCGCCAATGAGTCCTGCAGCCCCACCCAGAAGCAGACTCTGCATGTAGGAGGACCATTTTCCACAACTCTATGATTGCACCTCCAACCAATCAACAGCACCCATTCCCTTGTCCCCCAAACTATCTTTGAAAAAACCTAGTGTCTGGCTGGGCATGGTGGCTCACGCCTGTAATCCCAGCATTTTGGGAGGCCAAGGTGGGCAGATCATGAGGTCAGGAGATCAAGACCATCCTGGCTAATACGGTAAAACCCCATCCTTACTAAAAATATAAAAAATTAGCCGGGCATGGTGGCAGGTGCCTGCAGTCCCAGCTACTTGGGAGGCTGAGGCAGGAGAATGGCGTGAACCCAGGAGGCGGAGGTTGCAGTGAGGTGAGATCACGCCATTGCACTCCAGCCTGGGCAACAGAGCGAGACTACGTCTCAAAAAATAAAAAATAAAAAATAAATAAATAAATAAAAATAAAAAACCTAGTCTCTGAATTTTCTAGGAGGCTGATTTGAGTAATAACACAATTCCAGTCTCCTGTTCAGCTGGCTCTGTGTGAATGTAACTTTTTCTCTGTCGCAATTCCCCTGTCTTGATAAATTGGCTGTATCTGGGCAGCAGGCAAAATGAACCCATTGGATGGTTACAGTTCCACCAAAACACTTTCCCCATCATCACCAAAGACCATCTGGCAGCACCTGCCACTCCCTGAAACACTCTGTTCTTGGCTCCAGGGCACAGCCTTCCTGGGTCTTCTCTACCTTTCTGTGCCTCCTTTACTCTCTTCTCCTGGCCACCCCCTAAGTGTTTCCATTTTGAGGAAACACTTTGTCCTTTGTTCCTTTGTCTGGACTCTCTCACCTCTGCCTCTCATGCTGTCCCTGGGCAGTCTCACTCACCCCAGTCTACTTCCTTCCAATATCTGGAGTTTCAAGCCTGGGGTTCAAGCTCTCCTGAACAAGCTTCAGTGAATCTTCTACCATTTTATGCAAAATTGTGAGTGTTTTAGCATTTGTGTGCAAATCTGTATACAAATGTTCATAGCACTTTTAGGTATAACAGTAAAAAATTTAGCCTGGGCAACATGGTGAAACCCGTCCCTACTAAAAATAGAAAAAATTAGCTGGGTGTGGAGGCACGCACCTGTAGTCCCAGCTACTCGGGAGGCTGAGGCAGGAGAATCGCTTGAACTTGGGATGTGGAGGTTGCAGTGAGCCAAGATCATGCCACTGCACTCCAGCCTGGGCAACAGTGAACACTTTGAGATGGAATCTCCCCATGTTGCCCAGGTGAAAACCTGGTGGTCTTTCAATAGCTTTACAAAGACAGTTTAGTTTTGGGGAAGGGCTATTATCATTTAAACTGTAAATTAAATTTCTGCCGAAGTTAGCTTGGCCCAAGCCCGGGGATGACTAAGGGCAGTTTGGAGGTTAAAGGCAAGGTAGGGATTGGTTAGGTCAGGCGTCTTTCTCTGTCATGATTTTCTCACTGTTACAATTTTTGCAGAGGCAGTTTCAGAATGGTGGGGGGCTTAAGCCCCACTAGAGTGGGGGAGGAGGGCCAGAAGGTAGTAGAGGAGATAGAGGGTGTAGGAAATGGTTCAGAAGAACATCTGAACTGTTTCCAGTTTTTACTTTTTTTTTTTTTTGAGACAGGGTCTAAAAAAAAAAATAGTAAAAACTGGAAACAGTTCAGATGTTCTTCAGTGAGTGGTTAAATGGTGAAATAGCCATACTATGGAATACTACTAAGCAATAAAAAGGAACAAACTATTGCTATACACAACAACTTGGATGAATCACTAGGGAATTATGACGGGTGAAAAAAGCCCATCTCAATGGTATACACTTTATGATTTCATTTATATAGTATTCTTGAAATCACAAAATTTTACAAATGGAGACAGATTAGTGGTTGCCAGGCATCAAGGATGGTGGGAGAAGGGGAGGATTTAGGGTGTGGCTATAAAAGGGCAACTCCTTGGAGTGATGCCCCTGTTCTGTATGTTGACTGGTGGTAACACACTGTAGTTGTGCAAAATGTTACACCAGGGGAAATGGGGTCAAGGACACGTGGGATCTCTCTTTATCATTTCCCACAACTGCATGTGAATCTACAGAAAAAGTGATTTCAAAATAAAAAAATTTAAACAAATGCAGGGTGGGTACAGTGCCTCATGCCTGTAATCCTAACACTTTGGGAAGTCAATGCAGGAGGACTGCTTGATGCTAGGAGTTCAAGATCAACCTGGGCAACATAGCAAGACCTCATCTCTAGAAAATTTAAAAAATTGGCTGGGTGTCCTGGCACGCACCTGGGAGGCTGAGGTGGGAGGATCACTTGAGCCCAGGAGTTTGAGGCTGCAGTGAGCTATGAATGCACTACTGCACTCCAGCTTTGGAGACAGAGTGAGATCCTGTCTCTACAAATAAAAATAAAAAAGGCTGGCTGGACACAGTGCCTCACGCCTGCAATCCCATCACTTTGGAGGCCAAGGCGGGCAGATCACTTGAGGTCAAGAGTTCGAGACTAGCCTGGCCAACATGGTGAAACCCCGTCTCTACTAAAAAATACAAAATTAGTCAGGCGTGGTGGTAAGCGCCTGTAATCCCAGCTACTCAAGAGGCTGAGGCAGGAGAATCGCTTGAACCTGGGAGGCAGAGGTTGCAGTGAGCCAAGATCGCACCACCCCAGTCCAGCTTGGGTGACAGAGTGAGAGTGTCACAAAAAAATAAAAAATTAAGTTAAATTAAATTAAAAAGGCAGCCTGGGCCAGGCTCAGTGGCTCATGCCTGTAATCCCAGCACTTTGGGAGGCAGAGATGGGTGGATCACTTGAGGTCAGGAGTTTGAGACCAGCCTGGCCAACATGGTGAAACCCCCTTCTCTATTAAAAATACAAAAATTAGCCAGACGTGGTGGCATGTGCCTGTAGTCTCAGCTACTCGGGAGGCTGAGGTACAAGAATCACTTGAACCCAGGAGGTGGAGGCTGCATTGAGCCAAGATTGCACCACTGCACTTCAGCCTGGGAGACAGTGTGAGATGCTGTCTCAAAAACAAAAAAAAGGCAGCCTGTGTAAAACTGAACTTGAATTAAATGTCATCCTCCACCCCAAAGTTTGTTCTTCCAGTAATCCTCATCAAGGAGAACAGGGCACCAGGGCACCCTCTGGGGCGGCACCACTTGGGTCTTCCCTCAACCCACTGCTCCCCCTCCCCACTCCCCATTTCTGGTTCTTCTGCAAGTCTAGCCTATTCTGTCTCCCCAATACATCTCAAATAAACTGTCTTTCCATCCCCACAGTTGTTTACCAGCCCAGTTCTCTGCTGTACAACCTCAGCAGCCTCCACCCCGACCCCCCACTGCCACTCTGGCCCCCTCCAGTCTGTTCCAGAGCAGCTAGGGTGAACTTTATAAAACATACATCACATTGTGCTGCTCCCCTGCTGAAAACCTTTTGTTAGCTCCACACTGATCCCAAGATAAAGTTTAGCTGCTCCATCAAACCCCATCTCTAGCAGTTCACCCACACCCAGCTTCTGTGAATCCCAGGAGACCTTTCTCCCCAGGGCTTTGAAAATGCAGTTCCTGCTGCCTGGGCCATTCTCCTGCCCTCCTCCCCTAGATCTCCACAGTCCTGCTGCCCTTTCTTCACCCAACATGCATCCCACTGTCCTAGGAACTGATTTCTCTTTAACTGTCTTCATTACTCAATACACAAACACATTCTTGCAGTAAATATTCAAACAATGAGGAAGTCCAAACAGCCTAAAGAGAAAGTAAGCCTCACCCCATTCTATTGGCCTCTGGGAGGGAACTACCACTGACCTCGGCCTTCCTGATCCACCACCTCCTGCTTATGTTATTCACAGTAGGAATGGCCAGCTGAGGTCATCTTATTCTACATGACCTTTTCCATAATTCTATAATTTCTATAATTGCTTGTTTTATAATTTCTCTCCTCTACCAGACTGCAGGGCAGAAACTACAGGGAGTGTCTGTCTCAGTCAGTCTTTGAATCGGAACCCCACTAGATGGAGACAGGGCTACCCCGCCCCCCATTTCCTGGTGCGAATTGTGATCCTTCAAGAAGTGAAGGGAGTCCTGGAGCAGTCGCTCACGCCTGTAATCCCAGCACTTTGGGAGGCTGAGGCGGGCAGATCACTTGAGGCCAGGAGTTCAAGACCAATCTGGCCAACATGGTGAAACTCCGTCTCTATTAAAAATACAAAAAAATGGCCGGGCGCGGTGGCTCACGCCTGTAATCCCAGCACTTTGGGAGGCCAAGGCGGGCGGATCACGAGGTCACGAGATCGAGTCCATGCTCGCTAACACGGTGAAACCCCGTCTCTACTTAAAATACAAAAAAAAAAAAAAATTAGCCGGGCGTGGTGGCGGATGCCTGTAGTCTCAGCTGCTCTCGAGGCTGAGGCAGAAGAAGCAGAAGAATGGCGTGAACCCCGGGAAGCGGAGGTTGCAGTGAGCCGAGATCGCTCCACTGCACTCCAGCCTGGGCAACAGAGCAAGACTCTGTCTCAAAAAAAAAAAAAAAAAAGGAAATTAGCCGGGTGTGGTGGTGCACGCCTATAGTCCCAGCTACTCAGGAGGCGGAGGCACGAGAATCGCTCAAACCTGGGAGGGGGAGGTTGCAGTGAGCCGAGATCGCGCCACTGCACTCCAGCCTGGGCGACAGAGTGAGACTCCGTCTCAAAAAATTAAAAAGTGCAGGGAGTGGCTGAGATCTCCTAGGAAGCTGCAGGACTCAAAGCTTCAGCTTCATCCCGCCAGTCCAGTACTTCGAGTTTGCACCCTATCTGTATACTCATCTCATCCCACTCCTCCAAGACCATTCTTGGTCTGTATTTCCCACAATATCTATTCTGCGCCATGGCCCCGAGTCGCTAAGGCTGCCCTTCCTCCCCGACGCCCAGCAGATGCACACATGGAGGTGCTCAGTGTTTGCTGTCTCCAAAGCCCACAGTTTTGAGCCTGAGCACCAACCCCATCCCAGGTTCTTGCAGAGCACGGAACAGTCTGTCGGCACCCAGCGTTTGCTGGCCTGGGTCTGGGAACACCGCGTCCCGGCCGGGCACACCGCGCCAGCACCCACGGTGTCAGTTTAATTTGTAAAACTGCACCGGCCACGGTGCGCACTGCAGGCGCCAGGTGTTTGCTGGCTTGGGTCCCTAAGCTCTGAGTCCAGGCTGTGCACACAGGTGGCGCCTCTGCTGCTGTGGTCTGATTTTGAGACTACGTCCTAGCACGAGGCATACAGTCCGCTCCGCAGAAGTTCTTCGTGGTCAGGCCGCCGAGGCCCTCCTGCCCGCAGCTGCGACCGCACCCCCGTCCCGGGCCCCGCGCGCCGCCAAGCCGCCTCCCTGGCCGCGGCTGTTCCAGACCGCCCCGCCGTCGCCTCCCGCGCAGTTCCCTGCAGGGAGCCCCTCCCGCGCCCGCCCAAGGCCGCCCAGGCTGGCGCTGTTCCGGACCCGAGCCCCCTCCCCGCCGGCCTGGCTCTCCCCGGCTGTTCCGGCCCCGGAGCTCCCCCGCCGGGCCTCGGCTCCCGCGCTGTTCCCGCCCGCGCCCCTCCCGCCCCGCGGCTGTTCCAGCCCCGGCGCCCTCCGCCCCGCGGCCGCTGCGCGCCCTAGGCCGGGCGCTGCGAGGGCGCGGCGGGAGGGGGCGCAGCGCGGAACAGCCGCCTCCGCCGGCCCCGCCGCCGCTCACCCTCCAGGGCCTCAAAGATCGCCTGCGCCATCTTGGAGCCGCCGCCGTCGCCGCCACAGGAACCGAAGCCCGGCTACGCGAGCATTGTGGGAGCCGTGGCGGTTGAGTCGGGGCCGCCAGGGGGCGCCCAGGAGCCGCCGCCGAGCCCCCAGCCCTGGAAACCCAACCTAGGCTCGCGGGACCCCAGCATCTCTGGGCTGCCCTGGCTCCACTCGATAACCCAGTCACCGGGCCACCGAGTGTGGACCCCGCCTCACTTGAACGACCAAGTCTACACCGACCTTATATCCGCCGCACACGCGGAACTTCCCATCCCTATTATCTAAATCCGCATCCCCATCTCACCGGACCCGACCCCCCAGCTCTGACACAGAATCCCCCATTCCCACAGCACGTGAGTCCTCCAGGTCTGCTGCACGGACCCCATTTCCGCTGAGCACAGTATACCCCGACTCTGCAACAAACCATGACCCCTATCCCATCTCACCCAGACCACCCAACTGTCACAGGGATCTCCAGGCTGTACAACATAGATTCCCATCCCTCATCCCCTATTAGAGACTTCCCGCCCCTACTACCCTGCTCAACTCTGCCTGTTGGGAGCCCGCCTCAGCCTCCAGAGTAGCGGGGACTACCGGCACACGCCACCATGTCCTACTAATTTTTATTTTTATTTTTTTGTAGAGATCAGGGTCTCACTATTTTGTCCAGGCTGGTGTCAACTTCTGGCCTCCAGCGATCCTCACGTCTCGGCCTCCCAAAGCACTGGGATTACAGGCGTGGGTCTCCGTGCTGGGGATCCCATTATCTCTTAAGTAACTCCATCTCTTCACCCTCCATCCCTGCTTGTTGGGACCCCATTTCTGTCACATAAACCCCCAACACCCACCCCAGCCACTCCTAGCCCAGCCTCCGAGGGGTCCTATCCAGGTCTCACAGAATGAGAGGTGCTCCTCACTGGGACTTCCCCTACACACACAGACCCCTCTCATCTTCATTCATCCTCCATCAACTGCTTATTAACGGCCTGCTATGCACCAAGTCCCGTAATAGCTCTAGAGACATGGTGGTCCTTTCCCATGGAGTTAGAGGTGGGAAGAAAGACCGACATTAGGCCAGGCGCGGCGGCTCATGCCTGTAATCCCAGCACTTTGGGAGGCCGAGGCAGGCGGATCACGAGGTCAGGAGTTCGAGACCATCCTGGCCAACCTAGTGAAACCCCGTCTCTACTAAAAATATAAAAATTATCTGGGCATGGTGGCACGTGCCTGTAATCCCAGTTACTTGGGAGGCTGAGGCAGGAGAATTGCTTGAACCAGGGAGTCAGAGGTTGCAGTGAGCCGAGATCGTGCCACAGACTCCAGCCTAGCGACAGAGCAAGACTCTGTCTCAAAAAAAAAAAAAAAGACCGACATTAAATCTTAAAGGTTATTTAATTACAATGTGTATGCCGGCCACAGTGGTTCACACCTGTAATCCCAGCACTTTGGGAGGCTGAGGCTGGAGGATCATTTGTATCCAGGAGTTTGAGACCTGTCTGAGCAACATAGTGAGACCCCGTCTCAACAACAACAACAAAAGTAGCTGGGCATGGTGGTTTGCACTTGAGTACCAGCTACTCAGGAGGCTGAGGCAGGAGAATTGCTTAAGCCTAGGAAGTAGAGGCTGCAGTGGGCTATGATCTCACCACTGCACTCAAGCCTAGGCAACAGAGTGAGACCCTTTCTCAATAATCAATGTGTGATAGTGGTTTCAAAGTACCCTTGGGAAACAAGCAAGAGTTTAGGGAGTGCATAGAGGGGAGGGGGAAACTAAGGAAGGGGCTATTGTTAAAGAAAAAATTAGGCCGGGCACAGTGGCTCACGCCTGTAATCCCAGCACTTTGGGAGGCCAAGGTGGGCAGATCACCTGAAGTCGGGAGTTTGAGACCAGCCTGACCAACATGGAGAAACCCCGTCTCTACTTAAAAACAATAAATAAATAAAATTAGGTGGCCATGGTGGCACATGCCTATAATCCCAGCTACTCGGGAGGCTGAGGCAGGATAATTGCTTGAACCCGGGAGGCGAAGGTTGCGGTGAGCCGAGATCACGCCACTGCACTCCAGCCTGGACAACAAAAGCAAAACTCCATCTCAAATTTAAAAAAAAAAAGAAAAAGAAAAAATTATTTACCTGGGTGTGGTGGCTCCTCTGTAATCCCAGCACTTTGGGAGGCTGAGGTGGCGGGAGGATTGCTTGAGCCCAGAAATTGGAGACCAGCCCAGGTAACATAGTCAGACCAGCATCTCCACAAATGATTTTTAAAAATATTAGCCAGGTATGTGGCACATACCTATAATCCCAGCTACTAGGTAGGGATGCTGAGGTGAGAGGATTTCTTGAGCCAGAGAAGTCAAAGCTGCAGTGAGCCATGATCATGTCACTGCATGCCAGCCCGGGTGACAGAATGAGACCCTGTCTCAAAAAAAAAAAAAAAAAAAGAAAAAAAATTGTTCAATGATCTTTGCTAAAACACAAACACAATAAGGAAGGCTTTATTCAGAACTACTGCGATAGGTACCACTACAAAGGGGCCTTGCAGTGGGGGAGAGAGACTGGGCTCAACTCTGAATACAGCATAGGCAAGTGGGAATTTATAGCCGAGGAACATCATGGGGGCTGGGGGTAGGGAGGTCAGTTGATAGAAAATTACCAAGAGGAAACATCGGAGGTAAGGGGAATTCTGGCTAAACCGACCTAACAGGATTCTTGCTGAAGATGGGCTAGGGTAATCAACATCACCTAGGAGATGGTGACAGATGAGGAACCTGATCAGATATCTAGGATGATTAAATATTAAGGATGGGGGTTCCTGCTAAACTGACTTAAAGCATTCTTTGTGAAAACTAGATTTTACAAAGAAGTGCACAGGTGGGCCTAGCAGAAGATTCCAAAGTCTGACCAAGCAGTTACAGCAAGCAAAGAATCTTTGTCACCATCAATCATGAATCTCTCCCATGATCATGGCCACATCGTCATACAACGGGACAACCATGGATTGGACTCTAAATGTTCTCATTGGTTTTACTAAAATACCTATTTTAGCCTCAGCTAAATAAATAACAAATATCATAATTTTCATTTTCTTGTATTCACTATATAACTCCTACAATTAAAAATTATTTGTTTGCAGCTGGGCATGGTGGCGCACTGCTCTAAGCCTAGCACTTTGAGAGGCCAAGGCAGGAGGACTGCATGAGCCCAGGAGTTTGAGACCTGTGAACTACAATTTTTTAAAATTGTTTTTTCAAAGTTCCTCTCCCCTTGGGGAACCCTGCTAGCCACTGTTCCTGACAAGTTGTCTCTGTGGAGACAAAAGTGACTCCATCTTGGATGCTAATCCCCCATGTTGACTTCTGATTAGCCCCAGTCCCGTGAATGCCTCCTGATTCCTACTTTATTTACTGTCCCTAGTCAGCCTGATGTTATTGCACAAATTATAAGCTATATGCCGCCCTGATGTTATTGCATAAATTATAAGCTATGAAACATACAGCATTCTTGTCTGCTCTGGAAGTTTCCTTTAATTGTCTTGCAGAGAGCACTTAAAACTCTTTCCCTGTGGAATATAAGGCCTAAGTCTTGGGGTAACAGAGGGAGAGATCTCCTGTCTTGCTGCCGCCCAAGCCCATGCTGCTTTTAAGATCCCCCATTAAAACACCCTTTACTGACAAACTGAATTTGTCTGCCTCATTCCTTGGTTTTTTGGCTCCGTTGGCATTTGGGGACCACTTTGTATATATGGCCCTTTCACAGAATAGCCTCACAGACTCTCTGCCTATTTACCCCCTCAAGGCCCATTTCTGCCGGTGAACTCCTTGTACTTCCCTGAACACCACCCCTGTGCACACCACTGCTACCCCCTTACCTCCATTTCCCTTCCCATTCCCCCCTGCACAGTGAGCCCTGAGCAAATGTTCCCCACAGAAAACCCAACCTGCCAGGGGCAGTGGCTCAAGCCTGTCATCCCAGCATTTAGGGAGGCAGAGGCTGGAGGATCGCTTGAGCCTAGGAGTTCAAGACCAGCTGGGGCAACACAGTGAGACCCCATTCTCCACAAAAAGGAGAAAAAGAAAAAAGAGGAAATCCACTCTTCTCCAAGACACCACACCCCACCTACCTTCCTGGGAATCTTGAAGGGCACACCCCAAGCTGTGAGCGCCCCCTTCCATTGCCTTGCTGGCAGGGTAAAGTCAGGGTTCCTTCCTCCCTGTCTCTAACATGCTCACTGATCCAATGGCCTCAGATTCTCCCCTCTCCCCTGCAAGTTTCTCCATATAACTATTCTTTGTTTGTCTGCATCACCAAAGCCTGCAAAGTATACCTATTGTTTTTGTTTTATTTATTTATTTATTATTTTTTGTTTTTTGAGACAGAGTCATGTTGTGTTGCCCAGGCTGGAATGCAGTGGCCAATCTCTGCTCACTGCAACCTCCACCTCCCGGGTTCAAGAGATTCTCGTGCCTCAGCCTCTCAAGTATCTTAGACTACAGGTGCCTGCCACCATGCCCAGCTAATTTTTGTATTTTTTGCAGAGACAGTGTTTCACCATGTTGGCCAGGCTGGCCTCGAACTCCTGAGCTCAGGCAATTGCCTGCTTCAGCTTCCCAAAGTGCTGGGATTATAGGCGTGAGCCACCACGCCCGGCCTGTTTTAGTTTTATTATTCAAATAAGAAATGAATATGTTCACATTTATTTGATTACTTTCAAAATATTTGTTGAGCACCTACTGTGTGCTAGACACCATTCTAGATGCTGCGGATGCAGGCATGAACCAAAAGACAAAAATCCTTGCCTTCATGGAGTCTTAGTCTAGCTAGGTGAGATGGGCTGTAAACAAGGGGAAAAAAAAAGAGAAAGAGAGAAATTTTCTATGACTTTAAATACTTTTTTTCCAGAAAGAGGGGAAGCTACTTTTAGACAGAATGGTCAGGGGGAGTCTGTCTGAGGAAGTGGGCCTGAGAAATAAGCTGGAGTCAGCAATGTGAAAAGAGAAGAGAAAGGCAGAGAGACCAACAAGTGCAAAGGCCCTGAGGCCAAAATGAAAAGAGGCCAAGAACTGTAAAGGGGCAGCTGAGAGTAATAAGTGATGTATGGGTATTTGTATTTTCAGTAGAGACGGGGTTTCACTGTGTGAGCCAGAATGGTCTCGATCTGACCTCGTGATCCACCCACTTCGGCCTCCCAAAGTGCTGGGATTACAGATGTGAGCCACTGTGCCTGGCCAGCTTCCCATATATTTCCATACCACCAGGTGCATATGCAGAGTAGATTTTCATCTATGCTGTTGCATAGATGCATATTGCATATGCTGTTCTCTCCTGCTGAAACGCCTGCAACAATAGGAGCTTGGCCATGCGCCATGGCTCACACCTGTAATCCCAGCACTTTGGGAGGCCCAGGTGGGCAGATCACCTGAGGTCAGGAGTTCAAGACCAGACAAGACTCTTGTCTCAAACTGTGTCTCTACTAAAAATACAAAAATTAGCCAGGCATGATGGCGCATGCCTGTAATCCCAGCTACTTGGGAGGCTGGGGCAGGAGAATCGCTTGAACCCAAGAGGCAGAGGTTGCAGCAAGCTGAGATATGAGCCACATATGCCTGTAGTATACCTGTTGTCTCAGCTACCTGTAGCTGAGATCTGGGCTACAGAGCAAGACTTCATCTCAAAAAAGAACCCCACCACCACCCCCACACACACAAATTGGACCCCAGGGCTTGGCACAGAGGCAACTTGGGAAATGCTTCACTGAAGGCTTGACCGATGGAACTGAATGAGTTTCAGGGAGGTAGAGCCCCACCTCTGGCAGGCTCCCCAGTCAGGCTGCCCCCACTCCAAACTTTCCACCCCTTACTGGCATCTCTTCATCCACCAAACACTTATCAGTCACATGTCCAGTTCCCTTGGGGCTACCTGGTTGGCACCGAACAGAATCCAATCACAGCTTAGAGACTCCTGGGGTAGGTAATGTAATAATTCCAGGCAAGGGGTCAAGCAGGGAGGAGGGAGAGTGGGAAACGTCCAGTGTCCCACTCCACAGTGAGTGCTCCAGCCACCCCAGAAAAATTAACTTCTCTGTGGGGAGGGAAGAATCTCATGCTTAAATCAGACTCCCAGCTACAAGGGGAAGAATGTGCTGACACACAAGGCAATGCTGGGTCCTGACATCTTGTTAGGTTGGTTGGTGTTGGTAGTAAGCAGCAAAGCATGTGGCTGTTATGGATTGAATTGTGTCTTCCCCACAAAATTCATACGTTGATGTCCTAGCCCCTAGTACCTCAGAATGTAACTGTAACCTGAGTCTTTAAAGAGCTAATTAAGGGGCCGGGTGCGATGGCTCATGCTTGTAATCCCAGCACTTTGGGAGGCTGAGGTGGGTGGATTAGCTGAGGTCGGGAGTTCAAGACCAGCCTGGCCAACATGGTGAAACCCTGTTTCTACTAAAAGTACAAAAATTAGCTGGGCATGGTGGCGCGCACCTGTAATCGCAGTTACTCGGGAGGTTGAGGCAAGAGAATCACTTGAACCCGGGAGGCAGATGCGCCACTGCAGTCCAGCCTGGGTGACAGAGCAAGATTCTGTCTCAAATAATAAATAAATAAATAAATAAATAAAGAGCTAATTAAGGTTAAACGAGGTCCGGCCAGGCACAGTGGCTCAGGCTTGTAATCCCAGCACTTTGAGAGGCTGAGGTGGGCCTTGGAGTTTGGCAAGGTCAGGAGTTCAAGACCAGCCAGGCCAACACAGTGAAACCCTATCTCTACTAAAAATACAAAAAAAAAAAATTAGCTGGACATGGTGACGGGCACCTGTAATCCCAGCTACTAGGGAGGCTGAGGCAGGAGAATCACTTGAACCTGAGAGGCAGAGGTTGCGGTGAGCCGAGATTGCGCCACTGCACTCCAGCCTGGGCGCAACAGAGCAAGACTCTTGTCTCAAAAAAAAAAAAAGGTTAGGGCCAGGCGCGGTGACTTTAGGAGGTCCAGGCGGGAGGATCACTTGAGGTCAGGAGTTCAAGACCGGCCTGATCAACATGGTGAAACCTCATTTCTACTAAAAATACAAAAATTAGCTGGGCGTGGTGGTGGGTGCCTGTAATCGCAGCTACTCAGGAGGCTGAGGCAGCAGAATGGCTTGAACCTGGGAGGCGGAGGTTGCAGTGAGCCAAGATCACGCCACACTGCACTCCAGCCTGCGTGACAGAGCAAGACTGTGTCTCAAAGAAAAAAAAAAAAAGAAAGAAAGAAAGAAAAGAAAGCACTCAGGAAACAATCCCTGGCCCACAGGCAGTACTCAGTACTGTACTCTCTGTAAGTGCTTACTGGGCAAAGGTGAACAAACAGGCCCTGCACTGAGGAACTCAGAGTTACGTAAAATTAAAAAGGTCACCAGATAATAAGCGTCCCCATTATTGCAACTCTATCCTTAGCACCCTGCAGGGCCCCTTGAGGGCAGAAACTTATTCAACTATGTGAGAAAGTACTTAGCAAAAGAGAGCACCCAGGAAGAACTTGCCAAACCAAATAGTTTCGAAACACCTTCTGATGCCGGGCCGTATGTCAGGACTTTGTGACTGACTCCTCATGGGAGCAGTAGAAGTAGATTTCTAGAAATTCTGTTTGGTTCCTTTTCAAATCTGCCATGAAATAAATAGTTTTTTGCTCCCAATATTGATTTTTTTAAGTTTTAAATTTCGTGAGCACAATTTTTTTTTTTTTTGAGATGGAGTCTTGCTCTGTCGCCCACGCTGGAGTGCAGTGGTGCCATCTTGGCTCACTGCACCCTTCGTCTTCTGAGTTCAAGTGATTCTCATGCCTCAGCCTCCCGAGTAGCTGGGACTACAGGTGCCTGCCACCATGCTGGGCTAATTTTTGCTTTTTTTTTTCTTCTTTTTTTTCTTTTTGAGACGAAGTCTTGCTCTGTTGGCAGGCTGGAGTGCAGTGGCATGATCTCGGCTCACTGCAACCTCTGCCTCCCGGGTTCAAGCGATTCTCCTGCCTCAGCCTCCTGTGTGACTGGGACTACAGGCGCGCACCACCATGCCCAGCTAATTTTTGTATTTTTAGTAGAGATGAGGTTTCACCATGTTGGCCAAGCTGGTCTCGAACTCCCGACCTCAGGTGATCCACCTGCCTCAGCCTCCCAAAGTGCTGGGATTACAGGCGCGAGCCACTGTGCCCGGCCTGTATTTCCTTTTTGCCAAGGGTTTGGAGAGCACATCTACTCGGTTATCATCTCAAACCAGGTTCCCAGTTCATAGCTTGAGCTTTCTTGATCTATTATATCAGGCTCTACTCCCTGGGGTACAAAAAAACTCATCAATGATCACAACTTCCTAAGGAAGAGCTTTAAAAAAAAAATTCCTCTTTCCTTCTCCTTCAGCTGTTCTGCTTAGCACCAAGGCAGCCTTTTCTGTAGTTCCTAGGGGCTGGTGGTGTGGGTTGTGCAGTGGATTCATTTCACATTAGACTTGAGGGCAACACCCTTTGGGGCTCAGCTTAATGTGAGGAGATCTGCTATATGGCTCCCCACCTGGGGAGGCCCTAGATTTTCACTTGTGTCCCTCTTGCCCTGTGTGGTTGACAAGCTGAAACTTGCAGGTTTAATATTGGTAAACGCCCTCATGTCATAAGTAGCCTTGGTGCTCCAATATCCCAATCTTCCCGTTAAGCATCTGGTTACCAGCTTTCACTCCATAATTGGCCTGAGCATTCCTCATACTTTTTTTTTTTTTTTTAAGATGGACTTTCGGGCCGGGCGCGGTGGCTCACGCCTATAATCCCAGCACTTTGGGAGGCGGAGGCGGGCGGATCACGAGGTCAGGAGATCGAGACCATCCTGGCTAACATGATGAAACCCCATCTCTACTAAAAATACAAAAAATTAGCCCAGCGTGGTGGTGGGCACCTGTAGTCCCAGCTGCTCGGGAGGCTGAGGCAGGAGAATGGCGTGAACCCGGGAGGTGGAGCTTGCAGTGAGCCAAGATCGCACCACTGCATTCCAGCTTGGGCGACAGAGCGAGACTCCGTCTCAAAAAAAAAAAAAAAAAAGATGGACTTTCGCTCTGGTTGCCCAGGCTGGAGTGCAGCGGCGCGATCTCAGCTTACTGCAACCTCTGCCTCCCGGGTTCAAGCGATTCTCCTGCTTCAGCCTCCTGAGTAGCTGGGATTACAGGCACGTGCCACCACGCCCGGCTAATTTTGTATTTTTAGTAGAGACAGGATTTCTCTGTGTTGGTCAGGCTCGTCTCGAACTCCGACCCCAGGTGACCCACCCACCTCACCCTCCCAAAGTGCTGGGATTAAAGGCGTGAGCCACCGTGCCCGGCCACATTCCTCATACTTTTAAGCACTTCAGTTTGACACAGGGTCTCAGTCACCCAGGCTGGAGTCCAGTGGCGTGATCACCGCTCACCGCAGTGTTGACCTCTCCAGGCTCAGGTGATCCTCCCGCACCTGTAGTTGGGACTACAGGTGTGTGCCACCAGGCCTGGCTAATTTTTGTATTTTTAGTAGAGATGGGTTTTCGCCATGTTGCCCAGGCTGGTCTTGAACTCCTGGGCTCAAGAGATCCACCCACCTTGGCTTCCCAAAGTGCCGGGATTACAGGCGTGAGCTACCTACCGCACCTGGCAGAGCTTCAGTGTTTTTTTGTTTTTGTTTTTGTTTTTTAATTTTTTAGAGACGGGGTTTCACCATGTTGGTCAGGGGTGGTCTCGAACTCCTGGCTTCAAGTGATCCGCCCGCCTCGGCTTCCCAAAGTGCTGGGATTACAGGCATGAGCCACTGTGCCCAGCCAAGGAACTTCAGTGTTTTTAAGAGGATATTTTAATATATTATCTAACATAGTCATTATCTTCAGAGGAAGGATGAACTGAATAAAGTAGCCTACCATCACAAAAGAAAAATCCCGGACAACCCAGTTTCAGTGACAAAATAGGCCCAGCACAACTCCCTCCTTCATTGACCTCTGAAATTGTCCCCTGACACTGAGCAAATAACATCACTGGTAAATACCATATGGCCCAAGTACCAGGGGACACCCTCACAAGTCACAGCCACCACTCAGTGTGTAGCTGTTATTCAGTGACAACTCCACATAGTGACATCATATGTTAATGTCACCCATCAATGCTCTCAGAGATGACAACCCAAAACTATGTGTTGCTTAAACAAGCAAGTGTTGAGTACCCACCATGTGCCTAGTGTTGGGGTTACAGCAGAAAACAAGACAAATAAGATTTCTTCCTTCATAGAATTTACAGTTTGATAAGGGCAATGGACAATGAACACATAGTAAACAAGTCTAAAGTGTCAAAAGTTCTATAAAAAAAAAAAACACATAAGAACCAGGGTGGCCGGGCACGATGGCTCACATTTGTAATTCCAGCACTTTGGGAGGCCGAGGCGGGCGGATCACAAGGTCGGGAGTTTGGACTAGCCTGGCCAATATGGTGAAACCCCGTCTTTACTAAAAATACAAAAATTAGCCGGGCGTGGTGGCATGCACCTGTAGTCCTAGCTCCTCAGGAGGCTGAGGCAGAAGAATCCCTTGAACCTGGGAGGCAGAAGTTGAAGTGAGCTGAGATCACACTACTGCGCTCCAGCCTGGGTGATAGATCCGAGACTCAGTCTAAAAAAAAAAAAAAAAAAAAAAGAGCCAGGGTAATGAGTCAGAGTGGACAGTGCTACTTCAAATTGGATGTCTCAGAAAGTCTCTCTGATGAAGTGGCATTTGAGCTGAAACCTGAAGGATGAGAAGAAGCCCATCATGGGAAGAGCCCAGGATGGCGAATATCAAGCAGGGAACCAGCAAGTGCAAAGGCCCTGAGGTAGAAGGGTTCTTGGCCCAAGGAACAGAAAGGAGGCTGTTTGGCTGGGAAGCAGTGAGGTGGCAAGTGCTGGAACGTGGGGTCAGAGGGAGAGGCACGGACCAGATCACAGGAGGTCTTCTCTCTTGGGCCTTGGGGAGGAGTTTGGATTCTAAGAATAAGTGGACGCCGGCTGGGTTCACGCCTGTAATCCCAGCACTTTGGAAGGCCGAGGCAGGTGGATCACCTGAGGTCAGGAGAGCAGCCTGGCCAACATGGTGAAACCCCGTCTCTACTAAAAATACAAAAAAATTTGCCAGGCATGGTGGTGGGTGCCTGTAGTCCCAGCTACTCAGGAGGCTGAGGCAGGAGAACTGCTTGAACCCTGGGGGGTGGAGGTTGCAGTGAGCCGAGATCGCGCCACTGCACTCCAGCCTGGGTGACAGAGCGAGGCTGCATCTCAAAACATACATACGTACATGGAAGCCATTGAGGGGCCATGTGACTGACACTCTGGGAAGATCGCTATGGTAAAGGATATCCCAGTCAGAACTATCTCGCATAAAGATGGGGCCCTGCTCCTCCCTGTATCATCACCTGTCGCCCATCCCATCTCTAAGCAGGGCCACTCCTCATTCAGGAGCCCTCCTTCCAAGTACACGCCTCCTTCCAAACCCACTCGTGAACCCAACATGGCCCAAGGGAAAGTGCCTTCTGATTGGACAAATCGTGTGTGACCTTGGGCGGAGCCCACTGTGATTGGCTACAAGCTTTCCTTTCTCTTCCAGTCAGACAACTATTTCGATGAGTGCTATTGTCCCATGAGACAAGTACGCTCTCTGATTGGTCTTCCATGCATGAGTGACGCAGAAACAGCCTATAGACGCCACGAGTCGGCGGCGCTACCGAGGGGCTGTGGGCGCGCAGCTGGAACCTCCGGCTGTCAGTGCGCTTACAGTTCCTAACCCCGACCCTGCGCGCAGCCCGCACTATGGCAGCCCCGCCGCAGCTAAGGGCTCTGCTCGTAGTCGTCAACGCACTGCTGCGCAAGCGCCGCTACCACGCTGCGTTGGCCGTGCTTAAGGGCTTCCGGAACGGGGCTGTGTGAGTGGGGCCGTCGGGCCGGGCTGGGGCTGAGGGATGTCCTGCCTGGGGTCAGAGGCGCGAGTTCGAAGTCCGATGCCGCGGTGCTGTTTGCCCTGGAGCAGTCCTCGTGTGTCTCTAAGTCTCGGAGGTCACCATCTGTGCAATGGGAGCTGGATTTTGGCTTGCGCGCCTTCCCAGCTCTGAACTGGGGCTCCCACTGCACATTTTCTGGGTCTTCCAACCTTTGCAGCCTGGCCCTCTTGCTTTGACTCCTCCCATGCCAGCTTCTGTATCCCCTCATTTGGGTTCAGTTCACCTCACCTCTCTGTGTGCCTTTGGGCCTCAACGGCCCCATCTGCACAATGGGGAACTGGACTCTGGCCTCTAGCTGGCAGGCGGATGCCTCCTGTCTATTCTGTCCCCATGAAGCTTGCCCATGGGCTTGCATCCTGCTTCTCACTTCTCACCTGTAGGACTCCAGCGCTAAGTCCCGTTCGGCTCAGGGGGCTCCTGGGACGTGACAATGAATGTAAAAGAAGCTGCAACTATCCTGGCATCTTACCTGCAAGAGAGGTCTTGGGGTCATTGCCCTGGCTGGTGCCTAGAGGGGAGCTCAGTCTCCTTTAAACCTAGTGCATAACAGCCACCATTTATTGAGGGCCTACAGTGCCAGAACCGGGGACAAAGCAGAGAACAAACCAGAGAAAGTGGTTTGTGTCCCCCAGAATTGGCATCCTAGTGGCAACGTGGGATGGTGGGAAGGATGTGGATGCCTTGGCTTGAACCCTGGCCCCACCTACCCGTGTGATCTGGAGGAAGTCATTTAGCCTCTCTAAGCCTCAATATCTGTAAAATGGGCATGGTACTAGTACTTATACTATCAGGATTGAGTCAATATGTGTGAAATGCTTAGCACAGGCTGGCCACGGTGGCTCACACCTGTAATCCTAGCACTTTGGGAGGCCGAGGCAGGCGGATTATCTGAGGTCAGGAGTTCGAGACTAGCCTGGCCAACATGGCAAAACCCCGTTTCTACCAAAAATACAAAAATTAGCCGGGTGTAGTGTCACATGCCTGTAGTCCCGGCTACATGGGAGGCTGAGGCAGGAGAACCGCTTGAACCCAGGAGGTGGAGGTTGCAGTGAGCTGAGATTGTGCCACTGCACTCCAGCCTGGGTGACAGAGTGAAACTCCATCTCAAAAGGAAAAAAAAGAAAGTTTCATGAGGCCATAACTTTATCTATTTTGTTCCTTGGTGTATTACTAGCACCTGGTATTTAGTAGTTTCTGAAATATTTATTGAATGAATGAATAAGTGTGCAAGATCAGAATTGCCATTGTCCCCATTTTCCAGATGAAAAGGCTGTAGCTCAGAGGTAGACCCATTGCTCGTGGCCACAGCACTTGGTCACGGTTGGAGCCGGGATTCAAACCCAAGGATGCCTGGCACCAGTGCCAGGCTCTTGGCTCCCATGGACACTCAAGAGTCAGGTAGAACTGGTTCCCACTGGGTCTGGCCAAGGGCATATCCTTGATGTGCCCTGAGATAACATCAGTAACCCTTTTGCCAAGTTTTTTTTTTTTTTTTTTTTTTTTTTTTTTGAGATGGAGTGTCGCTCTGTTGCCCAGGCTGGAGTGCAGTGGCGCAATCTCGGCTCACTGCAAGCTCCGTCTCCCAGGTTCACACCATTCTCCTGCCTCAGCCTCCTGAGTAGCTGGGACTACAGGCACCCACCACCACGCCCGGCTAATTTTTTTGTATTTTTAGTAGAGACAGGGTTTCACCGTGTTAGCCAGGATGGGCTCGATCTCCTGACCTCGTGATCGGCCTGTCTCGGCCTCCCATTGTGCTGGGATTACAGGCGTGAGCCACCACACCCAGCCTTGGACACAGGTTTGATTCCAGTCTTTTGTTTTTTCAAACAAGCCTGCAGTGAACATTCATGTATATTTGGGGAGACAATAGTATGTGGCTCATGACCATTGTCTCAAGGAGGCTGTCAGGATTTTTAGACCTTGTAGCCTGGTAAGACCAGGGTTGGGTACCTGGAGAACTTAGGGATAGGGGTAGGGGTGGAGGTGTCCAATAAAGAAGAGTAAGAAAAGAAGAGACACTAATATTGATTGACCTAGGAACTTTTATATGTGCGTAACTGCCAAAAGCCATTCTGTAAAATGGAGAATACCTTTTGTTGATGGGAAAAGGGAGGTTCAGAGAGGTTAACTAATTTATCCAAGCTCACATAGCAAAACATGGCAGGGCTTTGGCCCAAATACCACTGTCTTTCTACTATTCATCTGAGTATAGTTAAAACAATGAAAGTAAACATGGTCTTGTTCACGTCATTCCTAGATCCCTAAATGAGGAGGGGAAAGGAAGGGTGGGGGAAGAGGTTTGAATCTTAAAAAGAGGCAATTATGTAACAATTATGTAACATTTAAAATATTTAATAATTTTTTTTTTTTTTTTTTTGAGACGGAGTCTCGCTCTGTCGCCCAGGCTGGAGTGCAGTGGCGCGATCTCGGCTCACTGCAAGCTCCGCCTCCCGGGTTCACGCCATTCTCCTGCCTCAGCCTCCCAAGTAGCTGGGACTACAGGCGCCCGCCACTACGCCCGGCTAATTTTTTGTATTTTTAGTAGAGACGGGGTTTCACCGTTTTAGCCGGGATGGTCTCAATCTCCTGACCTCGTGATCCGCCCGCCTCGGCCTCCCAAAGTGCTGGGATTACAGGCGTGAGCCACCGCGCCCGGCCTAAAATATTTAATAATTTTAAAAGCAGTACTTAATCATAGATAATTCTGGAAGTCTAGAAAAGTTTAAAAAGCAAGCAAAAATAAATTATATCTATTATATATTCCTCCAGTGCAGTGGGCATTGCTAATAACAGTGGCATATTTCCTTCCAGTTTTTTATTTTATTTTATTTTTGTTTTTGAGACAGAGTCTTAGTCTGCTGCCCAGGCTGGAGTACAGTGGCACGATCTTAACTCGCTGCAGCCTCTGCCTCCTGGGTTCAAGAGATTCTCCTGCCTCAGCCTCCCGAGTAGCTGGGATTACAGGTGCCTGCCACCACACCCAGCTAATTTTTGTAGTATTTTTAGTAGAGACAGGGTTTCACCATGTTGTCCAGGTTGGTCTCAAACTCCTGACCTCAAATGATCTGCCCACTTCAGCTTCCCAAAGTGCCAGCCTTTTTATAAATGCATTTTTACAAAGTTGAGGTCCTTCTTTGTATAATAGTTAGAAAGAGGTACATTTTGAATAGGTACAGTGTTACCTAACAGCTGTTTTAGGGAATCTGTTAACTTTAAGATGAGCTAAGCTGAAGACAGAACCTTCTAGAAATGACATTGTCATGGGTAAGGGGTGTTCTGGCATCGGTCAGTCAACAGTTATTTATCAAGCACATGTTATATGTCAGGTACCATGTGGGGTACTATGCTAGGGACTATGCAGATGACAAGCCAGACACATTCCCTGTCTTCACAGAGCCCACAGTCTAGCACAGGAAAGAGATCATTATAATAGAATAAATACTGAATAACCGAGTCATTAAATTGGGAAGATGAAGTGCTGGAGAGAAGTTTTGGGATCTGTGGCAATGAAAAATTGCTCAAACCTAGGCTGGAGCATCAGGAGGCCTTTGCAGAGGGCCCAGCTGAGACCGGAAGGCTGAGGGAAGGTGGCTGGGGAGGAGCACGCCAGGTAGTAGGAACTGCCAGGCCAAAGCCAGGAGCAGAGAAGAACCTGATGTGTCAGATGCAGTCCAGGAAGGACAGTGTGGCTGGAGCAGCAGAGGAGGGCCCTGGGGTGAGGTAGGAGCAGTGAGCAGGGGCCAAGGCTATAGCACTTTCAAGGCTGCAGGGAAGAGCTTGGAATTTGTTCTGTGAGTAGTGGAAAGGTGTTAGAGGATTTTAAGCTGGGAGTGATGTGATGAGATTGATGTTTTTAAAAGATGAGACTGGCTAGGACAGGCAGGATGGCTCACGCCTGTAATCCCAGCACTTTGGGAGGCCGAGGTGGGCGGATCACCTGAGGTCGGGAGTTCGAGACCAGCCTGACCAACAGGGAGAAACCTCGTCTCTACTAAAAATACAAAGTTAGCCAGGCATGGTGGCACATGCCTGTAATCCCAGCTACTCGGGAGGCTGAGGCAGGAGAATCGCTTGAACCCAGGAGGCGGAGGTTGCAGTGAGCCGAGATCATGCCATTGCACTCCAGGCTGGGCAACAAGAACAAAACTTCGTCTCAAAAAAAAAAAAAAAAAAAAGAGACTGGCTGCAGTGAGAACGTCAGGATGGAGCAGAGGGAGCAATTCCACAAAGCCAGTTGAGCAAGGATGGTGGACCTTTTACATGTACCATCTCCTTCCATCAAAATTATGGGGCGGGGCACAGTGGCTCACGCCTGTAATCCCAGCACTTTAGGAGGCCAAGGCGGGCAGATCACCTGAGCTCAGGAGTTTGAGACCAGCCTGGCCAACATGGAGAAACCTTATCTCATACTAAAAATACAAAAATTAGCCAGGCATGGTGGCACGTGCCTGTAATCCCAGCTACTTGGGAGGCTGAACCAGGAGAATTGCTTGAACCCAGGAGGTGGAGGTTGCAGTAAGCTAAGATCATACCACTGCACTCCAAGCCTGGGCTACAGAGAGAGACTCTGTCTCAGAAAAGAAAAAAATTACAACCAGCCCTCTGAAGTTTAACATCCCTTTTTGAGGTGAGTGGATCACCTGAGATCAGGAGTTCCAGACCAGCCTGGGCAACATGGTGAAACTCCATCTCTACTAAAAATACAAAAATTAGCCTGGCATGGTGGCTGGCGCCTGTAATCCCAGCTACTTGGGAGGCTGAGACAGGAGAATTGCTTGAACCCGGGAGGCCGAGGCTGCAGTGAGCCAAGATTGCACCACTGTACTCCAGCCTGGGCGACAGAGTGAGACTCCATCTCAAAAAACAAACAAAAAACATCCCTTTTTATGCTGAGCGTGATGGCACACACCTGTAGTCTCAGCTACTCAGGGAGGTGAGGCTGGAGGATCGCTGGATTCCAGGAGTTCAGGGCTGCAGTGAGCTATGATCGTACCACTGCACACCAGCCTGGGAGACAAAGTGAGGCTCTGTCGCTAAATAATTAAAAATAAACATCCCTTTTTATGGTGCGGAAACTGAGTCTGAGAGAAGTTAAAGGACGCGCCTGAGACCATACTACCAGGAAGTATCAGAGCCAGGATTTGCATCCAGCATGATTTCCCCTCCCAAAGTGGTGTTAGAATTTGGGATGGGGGGAGAGAACAAGGGGTCAAAAGGACAGCCCAAAAAGAAAGTGCGACACAGTGACATTATAGTAACTGTTTTCTTCTGTTTCTACAGCTATGGAGCCAAAATCCGGGCCCCTCACGCGCTGGTCATGACCTTTCTCTTCCGGAATGGCAGGTACACATCCCTCAAACTGGGAGAGAATGTGGTCAGCCCTCAGTGCCAGGACAGTCGTAATAGCTTCTTAGCTGGGTCTACCCTGTCCCCCCATCACGCCTTCTAAAGTTCAACTCTTTTTTTGTTGTGTTTTGTTGTTGTTGTTGTTGTTGTTGTTGAGATGGAGTCTCTCTCTGTCACCCAGGTCAGAGTGCGGTGATGATCTCGGTTCACTGCAACCTCCGCCTCTGGGGTTCAAGCGATTCTCCTGCTTCAGTCTCCTGAGTAGCTGGGACTATAGGCACCCACCACCACACCTGGCTAATTTTTGTATTTTTAGTAGAGATGGAGTTTTACCATATTGGCCAGGCTGGTCTTGAACTCCTGACTTCAGGGGCCTTCCACAGTGCTGAGATTACAGGTGTGAGTCACCGTGCCCGGCCCTAAAGTCCAACTCTGATCCCATTATCCCTGCTTGAAAACTCCCTGTGCCCTCCAAGGAAGCCCAGCTTCCAGGCCTGGCCTTCAGGGCCTTCTGCAGTCTGGCCTCAGCTGACCCCCGTTGTGTCCACCCTGGCGTGCCCTTGGCACACAGAACTCGCTGCCATTCCATGCACATGCCATGTGTATAGCTCCACCTGCACACATCTGCTCACGCAGCACCCCCGCCAGGAGTGCCTTTGGCTCGCACTCCACCTTTACTTCCCTCCTGGCAATCCAGACCAGTTCTCTGAGGATCACTTCCTCCTCAAAGCTCCCTGATCTCTTGTCTCTCGCTGAAGCATCTTCACCTTCCTGTCATCTCCCGTAGCTCTTCCCTCAAGGCACTTCTCAGAAAACGGGTTGCGGTCTAGTGTTTAATGCATATAGGCTCATGTGGAACATACAGGAATCATGCACTGGCAGCCTCCAGGCCAAATCCAACTTGCAAGATGTGCTCATTTTGTATTTTTATCTTATTTATTTTTTTCTATTTTGTTTTTGTTGTCCTCCAAGTCATTTTTTGAAAAACTGAACTCATGTGTTCATTCAGCAGATATTTATTGAGCATCTGCTATGTGCCAGACACTGTTCTAGGTACTGGGGATACAGCAGTGAACAAAACGGACAGTGACTCCTGCTGACATTCTAGCAGGGGGTGGCAGAAAATAAACATAGTAAGGAGAGTCTGTGGTATGTTAGAAGGTGCTATGGTTATGGAAAAGCAAAATTAGAGCAGGGAAAAAGGGAAAGGGCATCAGAAGTGCTGAGGGGACAGGTTGCAGAATTAAATAGGGAAGGCCGCTATGAGAAAGTGACATTGGAGTAAAGACTTGAAGGAGACAGAGTTGTCCAGGTGGATATGAGGGGAAAGAGTGAGTGTTCCAGGCCACGGGCATAGCCAGTGCAAAGACCTTGAGATAGGATCCTGCTTGATAAGTGTGAGGAGGCTGGAGCAGAGGGGCTGAAGGGGAGAGAGGACAGAGAGGCGGGTCACAGCTTGACCTGGGTTGGTCCTTTCCAGCTTTGGGTCATAGAGAGGAATTTGGCTTTTCCTTTAAGTGCAATGGGAAATTGTTGTAAGATTTTGAGCAGGGCTGCACCATTATTTGACTTATGTGTTAACAGCGTGAGAGTTAAGAATTTGCTGCTAGGCCAGGCGCAGTGGCTCACGCCTATAATCCCAACATTTTGGGAGGCCGAGGTGGTACACTTGAGGTCAGGAGTTCGAGACCAGTCTGGCCAACATGGCAAAACCCTGTCTCTACTGAAAAATACAAAGATTAGGTTGGGCACAGTGGCTCATGCCTGTAATCCCAGCACTTTGGGAAGCCGAGGCAGGCAGATCACGAGGTCAGGAGATCAAGACCATCCTGGCCAACATGGTGAAACCCCGTCTCTACTAAAAATACAAAAATTAGCTGGGCTTGGCGGCGCACACCTGTGGTCCCAGCTACTCGGGAGGCTGAGGCAGGAGAATTGCTTGAACCTGAGAGGCGGAGATTGCAGTGAGCCGAGATTGCGCTACTGCGCTCCAGCCTGGGCCACACAGAGTGAGACTCCGTCTCAAAATAAATAAATAAATGAACAAACAAAGATTAGTCGGATGTGATGTTGCACACCTGTAGTCCCAGCTACTCGGGAGGCTGAGGCAGGAGAATCGCTCAAACCCAGGAGGAAGAGGTTGCAGTGAGCCCAGATCATGCCACTGGACTCCAGCCTGGGCAACAGAGCTAGACTCCATCTCAGAGGAAAAAAAAAAAAAATTGCTGCCAGGTTAAGAACAGATTGGTGTGGGGGGAGGGGAGCAGGGCCACCCAAGGGCAGAAGCAGGTTCCCTCCAAGAGGCTGTGGCAGTGATGCAAGTGAGCAAATGTCGGGCTTGGACCTCAGTGGTGCTGGTGCAGGTGAGAAGAGTGGTCAGTCTCTAGACACATTTTGAAGGCAGGGTTAGTGCCAACATTTAAAAACTGGTAGATTCCACATGGAAATCCAGCTTTCCTGCCTTAGAACTGGCAACACTGGGGCCTGTGTTTGCGCGGGGTGAGAGCCATCTGCTCCCGGCTGTCCCCAGTCACCTGGAAGATTTCCCCGTGGACCCTCTCACTCATTTAGGGTCTTCGTCTAGCCTTAAGAGCACCTGAGTTTGCCATTCCTGAATTGGGAGGAGTAGACTCTGCTCCTTCTCTGTGTTATCCTTCCTGCCCCCTAGTGATTTTTTTTTTTTTTTTTAATTTTTAGAGACAGGGTCTCTGTCACCCAGACTGGAGTGCTGTGGCACAATCACAGTTCACTGCAGACTCAAGCAAACCTCCTCCTTCAGCCTCCCAAGTAGCAGGAACTACACGCGTGTGCCACCACACCTGGCTAATTTTTTCTATTTTTTATAGAGACGAGGTCTCATTATGTTGCCCAGGCTGGTCTGGAACTCCTGGGCTCAAGGGATCTGCCCGTGTTGACCTCTCGAAGTGCTGGGATGACAGGTGTGAGCCACTGTGTCTGGCCTCCTAGTAATTTTTTCTTTTTTTAAGGTAGAGTCTCTGTCGTCCAGGCTGGAATGCAGTGGCACCATCTCAGCTCAGCCTCCCAAAGTGTTGGGGTTATAGGTGTGAGCCACTGCACCTGGCCTCTAGTGATTTTTAAGAGATAAAAAGAATAGCCTCCTCTATCTAAATGTTCACTTCTCAGGATAAAGACCAAACTCAGCATGGCCCCACTGTCTTTGCCCTGCACCCTCCCCACAAACTCTCTGGTTCTCTGCCCATGGCCACGGTGGCTTCTCTCTGCTCCTTTCCTCATACTCCCTGACCCTCCTCCGGGCGTGGCACGTGCTGAGCCCTCTGCCTGGGATGTGGCTCTCCTCCCCTCTTGACCTCCTCATCGGGAAGATCCCAGCGCCATCTCTTGTCAAGGTCAAAGTTCTTTTTGTGATTATTTATTTAACATTTTCCTCTCCCAGTAGATCATAAGCCCCTGAGGGTGGCGAGCAGATCTGTTTCTTCTCAGAATCGTACCCCCACATCCAGCACATGGCAGACACTCACTCCTTCACATGTTTACTCAAAAAAACATTTATTAAGCACCTACTACGTGCCAAGCCCTGCAGATGAACAAGCCAGATCCAGACACCACCCTCCTATAGCTGCTACTGGGGTGAGGGAAGATAATAAACAAGCACATAAATGTCGGTTGGTGACCATAGCTAGGAAGGAAAAGAAAATTAGGGTCAGGACAGGATGTGATGGGTATTCTGTTCTGTAGGGTGATCAGGGAGGGTCTCCTTGGGGAGGTGGCACTGAGTCAAGGCCTGAATCAAGGGAGAGAACATGAAGGGTAGAGGCCGGTGACTGAATGAGCATTACTCCGAGCTCCTTGGCTGGTTGTTAGGCATGCCCAGTGCGTAAAAGCCCTTTGGGGCTGCTGAGCCTGCACTCATGGCAGGGGCACCTGTGTTTGTGCAGCCTCCAGGAGAAGCTGTGGGCCATACTGCAGGCCACATATATCCACTCCTGGAACCTGGCACGGTTTGTGTTCACCTACAAGGGTCTCCGTGCCCTGCAGTCCTACATACAAGGCAAGACCTACCCAGCACACGCATTCCTGGCGGCCTTCCTCGGGGGTATCCTGGTGTTTGGAGAAAACAATAACATCAACAGCCAGGTAAAGATCCTCCCGAGATGGGGGTAGTGAAGGGGGCGTGGTTCAGCACAGAGGTGGGGGTGACAGAAGGGGGCGTGGTTCAGTACAGAGGTGGGGGTGATGGAAGGGGGCGTGGTTCAGTACAGAGGTGGTGACGGAAGGGGGCGTGGTTCAGTGTAGAGGAGGGGGTTGGGGAAGAGGGCTTGTTTCAGTATAGAGGTAGGAGTGGGGGAAGGGGCGTGATTCAGTGTAGAGGTAGGAGTAGGAGAAGAGGTGTGGTTCTGTATGGAGGTAGGAGTGGGGGAAAGGGCGTGGTTCTGGATAGAGGTGGGAGTGGGGGAAAGGGCGTGGTTCATTGTAGAGGTGGGAGTGGGGGAAGGGGTGTGGTTCTGTATAGAGGTAGGAGTGGGGAAAGGGCGTGGTTCTGGATAGAGGTGGGAGTGGGGGAAGGGCGTGGTTCTGGATAGAGGTGGGAGTCGGGGAAGGGGTGTGGTTCAGTGTAGAGTTATGAGTGGGGACAAGGGCGTGGCTCAGTGTAGAGGTAGGAGTGGGGGAAGGGGTGTGGGTCAGTGTAGAGTTTTGAGTGGCAGAAGGGCGTGGTTCTGTATAGAGGTAGGAGTGGGAGAAAGGGCGTGGTTCAGTGTAGAGTTAGGAGTGGGGAAAGAGCGTGGTTCAGTGTGGAGGTGGGAGTGGGGGAAGGGGCCTGGTTCCGTGTAGAGGTGGGGGTGGGGGAAGGGGACGTGGTTCAGTGTAGAAGTATGGGTGGGTGAAGGGGCGTGGTTCAGTGTAGAGGTGGGGGTGGGGAGGGGCGTGGTTTATTCTAGAGGTAGGGGTGGGTGGAGGGGCGTGTTTCTGTATAGAGGTGGGGCTAGAGGAGGGGGCCCTGGTTCTGTATAGAGGTTGGGGTGGAGGTGATTAAGATGATAAGCTCTTGGCTCTTTTGCATGTCTGAGTTCTGTGACTCACCAGTCCCTCTGTGACCTTGGGAAGGTCACTTTCCTCTCAGTTTTTCCATCTGTAATTTCATGGTTCCCAAAAATCAATGCATGTGCTGCTCTCTGGGGCAAAGATTGTTTTTAAAAATCACTCTGTAGTGAAATGAGGGAAAAAAATGACCCTGAAGTAAGGTTTTCATAAAAGAAAACTTAATACACTCTAAAAACTGTCTCTCATTCTGTGACTTGTCCTTTTTCTGGGTTAAACTTCGCTTTTGTTATGAAATGATGATGAATAAGAGACTAAAAGCTAGTCGTTGGGTTTTTGTTCTGTTTTGTTTTTGTTGAGACAGTCTTACTCTGTTGCCCAGGCTGGAGTGCAGTGGCACGATCTAGGCTCATTGCAACAACCTCCACTTCCCAGGTTCAAGCATTTCTCCTATCTCAGCCTCCCAAGTAGCTGGGACTACAAGCGCCTGCCACCATACCAGCTAATTTTTGTATTTTTAGTAGAGATGGGGTTTCACCATATTGGTCAGGCTGGGTCTGAAACTCCTGACCTCAGATGATGCACCCCCTCTTGGTCTCCCAAAGTGCAGCGTGAGCCACCACACCTGGCAGAATGCTAGTTGTTTTTTAATGTTCTTTGGAAACCTGAAAAGTTGGCAGCCTCTCTCTACTTGCCTCCCTCAAATTTCTTAAATATTTT
The DNA here is from genome assembly GCF_000001405.40 of Homo sapiens. NCBI lineage: Eukaryota > Metazoa > Chordata > Mammalia > Primates > Hominidae > Homo > Homo sapiens. The sequence goes on along the minus strand of NC_000020.11, from coordinate 33,708,931 downwards.
TAAATTGTAAAAATAATTTTTAGGCCAGGCATGGTGGCTCATGCCGGTAATCCCATTTCCATTAAAAATGCAAAAAAATTAGGCATGGTGGCGCACACCTGTAGTCTCAGCTGCTTGGGAGGCTGAGGCAGGAGAATCGCTTGAACCAGGGAGGCAGAGGTTGCAGTGAGCCAAGATCGTGCCACTGCACTCCAGCCAGGGTGACAGAGCAAGACTCTGTCTCAAAAAAAAAGAAAAAAAAATTTTACCATTTTTTAGCCATAATTTTTATTGGCTGTCACATATAATCCCAGCACTTTGGTAGGCTGAGGAGGATTGCTTGAGGCCAGGAGTTTGAGACAGCCAGGGCAACAGACCAAGACCCTATCTCTAAAGTTTTTTTTTTTTTTTAACTACATCCAAAGTAAGCTGAAGAAAAGAAGCAATAAAAATAAGTGCAGAAATCAGGCCAATGCTGTGGCTCCCACCTGTAATCCCAGCACTTTGGGAGGCCAAGGTGGGCAGATCATCTGAGGTCAGGAGTTCAGGACCATCCTGGCCAACACATTGAAACCCTATCTCTACTAAAAATATAAAAACTAGCTGGGCATGGTGGGCGCCACCTGTAATCCCAGCTACTCCGGAGGCTGAGGCAGGAGAATCACTTGAACCTAGGAGGTGGAGGTTGCAGTGAGCCGAGATCCAGTAAGCCCACTCTCTCTAGCCTAGCCGACAGAGCCAGATTCTGTCTCAGAAAAAAAAAAAAAAAATTAGTACAGAAATCAATGAAATTGCAAACAGGAAATCAATAGAGAAAAGGACCTAAACCAAAAGTTGATTCTTTGAAGAGATAATTAAAATAAATAAACCCCTAGCCAGGCTCTCTAAGAAAAAAAGAGAAATGAAACAAATTATTAATATCAAAAACAAAAGAGGGACATCACTATTGATCACCAGTAATTCCCATCATTCCCTCTTTGCAGATCAACATGTACCTGTTGTCACGCGTCCTGTTTGCCCTGAGCCGCCTGGCTGTAGAGAAGGGCTACATCCCTGAACCCAGGTGGGACCCGTTCCCGCTGCTCACTGCGGTGGTGTGGGGGCTGGTGCTGTGGCTCTTTGAGTATCACCGATCCACCCTGCAGCCCTCGCTGCAGTCCTCCATGACCTACCTCTATGAGGACAGCAATGTATGGCACGACATCTCAGACTTCCTCGTCTATAACAAGAGCCGTCCCTCCAATTAATGCAGCCCTGAGGTGTCTGGCTGTGGCTCAAGATTTGGCCCCATGCAGACCCTCCCAAAGGATACTGCCTTCTCAAGATCATAGGCCTCAGACTCCAACTGGTGTTATCCCAGGGTTCCGTTTGCTGAAGTAAAAACACTGATTTTAAAATCCCAGTGGGTACCTTTGTATGGTGGCACAAGTGGCCGAATCAGGCTGAGGAATCTACGGCTTGGTTCCAGCTGTGCAGCTGACTTCTGTGAGACTGGGGCCAGCCACACTACTCTCTAGGCCTCAGGGGTCAAGGAGCTCAGAGGAGGGCCCTGAGGTCTCTTTCCGGTGGGTATGTTCATTCTTCAACTGTTCTTATGTCACAGAGGGCTCCTTGCTGGTGGGCAGTGGGTTGTAAATACTTTTTAAAAAACACTAAGTTCCTTATCTCAGATGCTGTTCTACTGGAGAAGTTCTAGATTCCCACTGTCCAATAGAAACACGTGAGCCATATATGTAATTAAAATGTTTCTAGTAGCTGCATTACAAAAAAGAAGCCTGGGCACTGTGGCTCACTCCTGTAATCTCAGAACTTTGGGAGGCTGAGGCAGGTGGATCACTTGAGCTCAGGAGCTTGAGACCAGCCTGGGCAACATGGTGAAACCCAGTTTCTACAAAAAATACAAAAAATTAGCCGGGTTCCATCACCTGTGGTTCCAGCTGAGGTGGGAGGATCACTTGAGCCTATGAGGTCGAGGCTACAGTGAGCAAAGATCACGCCACTGCACTCCAGCCTGGGCGACAGTGAGACCCTGTCTCACCAAAGAAAAAAAAAAGGTGAGATTAATCTTCACTATATATTTTAACACAAATTTCTAAAAGTTATTTCAACATATAATTAACATCATTAGATATTTTGTACTCTTTTTTGTATTAAGTATTCAAAATTGGGTGTATATTTTGCCACCCACATTTTCAGGACCCAGTAGCCACATGTGGCTAGTGGCTGCTGTGACGGGCAACACAGATATGGAACACTTGTATCCTCACAGATTATTCTAGTGGACAGTGCAGATCTAGAGCTAGAGGACATGGGTTTGAGTCCCCACTCCCCCACTGTGTAACCTTGGGGAAGGTTCTGGACCTCTCAGAGCCTCAATTTATCATAAAATGAGGATAATCATAATGCCGTGGTCCTCACTGGACTTGTGCAACTACCACTGATGTGCTACTAATTACTTTCATTTAGTGCATTCATACTTCCACTTGGGTGTTTTCCACATATTATTATTATTTTTTTTTTTTAAGTAGCGACAGGGTCTCGCTCTGTCACTAGGGCTAGTCTCGACCTCCTAGCCTCAAGCAATCTTCCTGCCTCAGTCTCCCAAAGTGCCATGATTACAGGCATGAGCCACTGCCCCTAGCCTGCACATATTATTTTTAAACCATACAGTGGCCTTGCAAATGTGTGTTTTCGTCCCCATTTTACAGATGTAGAAACTGAGGGTCAGGCCAGGTGCAGTGGCTCACGCCTGTAATCCCAGCACTTTGGGAGGCTGAGGCAGGCAGATAACCTGAGATCAGGAGTTCTTGACCAGCCTGGCCAACATGGTAAAACCCCATCTCTACTAAAAATACAAAAATTAGCCAGGCATGGTGGCACGTCCCTGTAATCCCAGCTACTGGGGAGGCTGAGGCAGGAGAATCGCTTGAACCTGGGAGGCAGAGGCTGCAGTGAGCTGAGATCGCACGACTGCACTCCAGCCTGGGCCACAGAGCGAGACTGTGTCTAAAAAAAAAATAAAAAAAGAAAAGAAAAGAAACTGAGAATCAGAGAGGAGAGTAACTTGCCCAAGGTAATACAGCTAGTATAACAGCCGAATCAAGATTTGAACTCAGATTCGTCTGATTTCAAAGCCCATGTTTTTTCCAGTGCCTTGTTTCAAATTTAGAAACCTAAGCCATGCTATGCAAATGTTAGCTCATTATAGGATATGGGCCAGAAAGGGGTACACATTCAAATGCCCATAGGGGCCTACAATGACATAGTGCTATGCGATGAGGAGTGATGGGGACATAGGGAACTGGAGACTTGTGTACCAGTCTGATTTTTTCTTTTTTTTTTTTTTTTGAGACAGAGTCTTGCTCTCTCGCCCAGGCTGGAGTGCAGTGGCGCGATCTTGGCTCACTGCAAGCTCTGCCTCCCAGGTTTACTTACACCATTCTCCTGCCTCAGCCTCCGGAGTAGCTGGGCCTACAGGTGCCCGCCACCACACCCGGCTAATTTTTTGTATTTTTAGTAGAGATGGGGTTTCACCGTGTTAGCCAGGATGGTCTCAATCTCCTGACCTCATGATCCACCCACCTTGGCCTCCCAAAATGCTGGGATTACAGGTGTGAGCCACCATGCCTGGCCAAGTCTGCTTTTTTCGAAACCACGATCCTAGACCAGGCACGGTGGCTTGCACCTGTAATCCCAGCACTTTGGGAGGCCGAGGCGGGTGGATCACCTGAGGTCAGGAGTTCGAGACCAGCCTGGCCAACATGGCGAAATCCTGTCTCTACTAAAAATACAAAAATTAGCTGGACATGGTGGCAGGCACCTGTAATTCCAGCTACTTGGGAGGCTGAGGTGGGAGAATCTCTTGAACCTGGGGGGCTGCTGTGAGCCGAGATAGTTCCATTACACTTCAGCCTGGGTGACAGAGTAAGACTCTGTCTCAAAAAAAAAAAAAAAAAAAAAAACACAATCCTGGACAAATCAAACAAGTCTCCAGGAAAATCTGGTCCATGGGCTACCAATTTGAGACCATTGGTCTGGTAGATACACTTTCATTAATATACTTACTCCATCACTCTTTCTATATTTTAGAAGTTACTAGTAGAAATGTATGCAGGAGTCACTGGAGACCTTATTAAAATGCAGCTTCTGATTCAGTGAGCTGGGGTGGGGCCTGAGAGTCTGCATTTCTCCCAGGCTCCCTGGTGCTGCCAGTGGTGCTGCTCTGAGTAACAAGGGGGTGGGGAATGATATGGAGCCGTCCATTATTATCCCATCTGACAAATGAGTCACAGAGCCCTTAGGTAATTGAGGTGGGATCAGTCTGATTCTGTAAGCTGTGTTTTCAGCCACAACATTTACTGCAAACTTGGAGTAGGTAATTATGAAGTTCCTTTAACTTGCTGTGGAGGTTGAATGAGCTCTAGAGTAAGGGGTCCGCAACCCCGGTACCGGTCCATGGCCTGTTCGGAACCAGGCCACGCAGCAGGAGTTGAAAGGTGGGTGAGCTAGCGAAGCTTCATCTGTATGTACAGCCACTCCCCACTGCTCACATTACCACCTGAGCTCTGCCTTCTGTCAGATCAGTGGTGGCATTAGATGCTCGTAGGAATGCAAACCCTATTGTGAACTGCGCATGCAAGGGATCTAGGTTGCATGCTCCTTATGAGAATCTAATGCCTGATGATCTGTCACTGTCTCCCGTCACGCCTTGATGGGACTGTCTAGTTGCTGGAAAACAAACTCAGGGCTCCCACTGATTCTACATTATGGTGTGTTGTACAATTATTTCATTATATATTACAAGGTAATAATAATAGAAATAAAATCCACAGTAAATGCAATGTGCTTGAATCATCCTGAAACCACGTCCCCTCCCCAGTGGTCCGTGGAAAAATTATCTTCCCCAAAACTGGTCCCTGGTGCCAAAAAGGTTGGGGACTGCTGCTCTAGGGGTTGGGGAGGGCAGAGGGCTTGGGCCATCACCAGGCAGGTTTTATAGCAGATGGTGGGGGTGCCCTGCCTATAGCTCCTCTAAATAACGACTCTGGTGCACACTAGCCAGCTTTGCCAGTGGCCGCCCCTCTGTCTTTCTGCCTGAGGACTCTAGCTTGTCACTGGTGCCTCCTTTGCCAGCCTCTGGCAGGCCTGAAGGGCTGGAGAATGAACACATCCTTGGAGCAACCTTCAACCAATGACTGATAAATACCCCCACTCCCACAGCCCGCATCCCTCACCCCTCGGGTGGGATAACTCAGAGGTGCGTGCTCCACACTGACTCCCAGGGCCGCCCAGCAGGGCTGAGCCTCAAACACCCTCCCCATCTCCCTTCCTCATGCCCCTACCAGTGCTTCCTGGGACCACTTCCCATATGAACCACTTGCACTCAAACCCTTGTCTTAGAGTCTGCTATTGGGGGAACCCAAACTAAAACTGGCCTCTGTACAGCAGGTTGAGAGGCAATATAGCATGGTGGTCAGGGACATAGGCTTTGGAGCCAGAGTGCCTGGGCTCAAGCCCTGGCCCCACAGTTTCCTTGGGCAAGTGACTGAGCCATTCTGTGCCTCTATTTCCTCATTGATAAAGTAGGCGTTGTCGTAGCACACACCTCATCGAGTGGTGTGGAGGGTTAAAGAATATGACACAGTTAAAGTGAGTCCCCAATAAATGCTGTTATTTCTAAGAGCATCCAAATGTAGAGGAAGTGTGCCCCTGAGGACTGAGCACACCCTGCTTTTAGCCTGTCCTGCCCCCAGCTGAAGGTGAAACCTTGGCCGCCTGCCCTCCTGAAGTCCCGCCACTGCTGCTGGGGGTTGGCCAACTCCGCTACCGACTGTCTCTGCTCTCTAAGAATAGGTTTCCCTCACAGATGGCATCTCTCTGGATGCTGCTAGAGCATCTGGTGCTTCCAACTGCACACTCCAGGGAGGAAGGCAGTGTGGTCTGTGCCGGGGAGCAGGGCTCTGCCTTCCAGCAGATCTGAGAGGAGTCCCATTTGGCTCCTTCCTAGCTGCCCTCCATTCTCTAAGACCTGTAAAACAGGGATGGCCAGAGGGCTCTTGTTGCACAGTAAGTGCTATGCTTCCTAAATGCTAGTTCCTGAAATAGAATGGTTTAACCTCTACTTACTAAACACCTGCTACAATCCTGTTAATTCTTTTGACATGTAAGACTAAAATAAATAAATAAATAAATAAATATATATGTGTATATATTTTGAGATGGAGTCTCGCACTGTCGCCCAGGCTGGAGTGCAGTGGCGCGATCTCGGCTCATGGCAAGCTCCTCCTCCCAGGTTCATGCCATTCTCCTGCCTCAGCCTCCCGAGTAGCTGGGACTACAGGCGCCTGCCACCATGCCCGGCTAATTTTTTCATTTTTTTTTAGTAGCGATGGGGTTTCATCATGGTAGCCAGGATGGTCTCGATCTCCTGACCTCATGATCCGCCCACCTCAGCCTCCCAAAGTGCTGAGATTATAGGCATGAGCCACCACGCCCAGCCTAAAAAAATATTTTTTTTTTTTTTTTTTAGAGAAAAGAGTTTAATGAACCCCATGTACCCAACGTCCAGTTCCAACAGTTATCAAGATGTTGCCACATTTGCTTCTGTTCCTTTTTTCTTTGTTTTTTTTTTTTTTTCCATTGATCACTCTTGGGTGTTTCTCGCAAAGGGGGATTCCGCAGGGTCATAGGACAACAGTGAAGGGAAGGTCAGCAGACAAACAAGTGAACAAAGGTCTCTGGTCTTCCCAGGCAGAGGACCCTGCGGCTCTCCGCAGTGTCTGTGTCCCTGGGCACCCGAGACTAGGGAGTGGTGATGACTGTCAACGAGCATGCTGCCCTCAAGCATCTGCCCAACAAAGCACATCCTGCACCGCCCTCAATCCACCCAACCCTGAGTGGACACAGCACATGTTCCAGAGAGCACAGGGCTGGGGGCAAGGTCATAGATCAACAGGATCCCAAGGCAGAAGAACCTTTCCTACCACAGAACAAAGTGAAAAGTCTCCCATGTCCACCCCCCTCCACACAGACACAGCAACCATCCGACTTCTCAATCTTCTCCCCACCCTTCCCCCTCCTCTACTCCACAAAACCACCATTGTCATCATGGCCCGTTCCCAATGAGCCGCTGGGCACACCTCCCAGACGGGGTGGCGGCCGGGCAGAGGGGCTCCTCACTTCCCAGTAGGGGCGGCCGGGCAGAGGCGCCCCTCACCTCCCGGATGGGGTGGCCGGCCGGGCGGGGGGCTGACCCCCCCACCTCCCTCCCAGACGGGGCGGCCGGCCGGGTCGGGGGGCTGACCCCCCCACCTCCCTCCCGGACGGGGCGGCCAGCCGGGCGGGGGCTGACCCCCACCACCCTCCCGGACGGGGTGGCTGCCGGGCGGAGACGCTCCTCACTTCCCAGATGGGGTGGCTGCCCGGCGGAGGGGCTCCTCACTTCTCAGACGGGGCGGCTGCCGGGCGGAGGGGCTCCTCACTTCCCAGACGGGGCGGCTGGGCAGAGACACTCCTCACCTCCCAGACGGGGTCGCGGCCGGGCAGAGGCGCTCCTCACATCCCAGACGGGGCAGCAGGGCAGAGGCGCTCCCCACAGCTCAGACGATGGGCGGGAGGGCAGAGCCGCTCCTCACTTCCTAGATGGGATGGCGGCCGGGCAGAGACGCTCCCCACTTTCGAGACTGGGCAGCCAGGCAGAGGGGCTCCTCACATCCCAGACGATGGGTGGCCAGGCAGAGACGCTCCCCACCTCCCAGACGGGGTGGCGGCCAGGCAGAGGCTGCAATCTCGGCACTTTGGGAGGCCAAGGCAGGCGGCTGGGAGGTGGAGGCTGTAGCGAGCCGAGATCACGCCACTGCACTCCAGCCTGGGCACCACTGAGCACTGAGCACTCCGTCTGCAATCCCGGCACCTCGGGAGGCCGAGGCTGGCGGATCACTTGCGGTCAGGAGCTGGAGACCAGCCCGGCCAACACAGCGAAAACCCGTCTCCACCAAAAAAATACGAAAACCAGTCAGGGGTGGCGGTGCGGCCCGCAATCGCAGGCACTCGGCAGGCTGAGGCAGGAGAACCAGGCAGGAAGGCCGCAGTGAGCCGAGACGGCGGCAGCACAGTCCAGCCTTGGCTCGGCATCAGAGGAAGACCGTGGAAAGAGAGGGAGAGGGAGACTGTGGGGAGAGGGAGAGGGAGACCGTGGGGAGAGGGAGAGGGAGAGGAAAAAATATATTTTTTTTTAAATTCTTTTTTTTTTTTTTATTGATCATTCTTGGGTGTTTCTCGCAGAGGGGGATTTAGCAGGGTCATAGGACAATAGTGGAGGGAAGGTCAGCAGATAAACAAGTGAACAAAGGTCTCTGGTTTTCCTAGGCAGAGGACCCTGCGGCCTTCCGCAGTGTTTGTGTCCCTGGGTACTTGAGATTAGGGAGTGGTGATGACTCTTAACGAGCATGCTGCCTTCAAGCATCTGTTTAACAAAGCACATCTTGCACCGACCCATTTAATCCTGAGTGGACACAGCACCTGTTTCAGAGAGCACAGGGTTGGGGGTAAGGTCACAGATCAACAGGATCCCAAGGCAGAAGAATTTTTCTTAGTACATAACAAAATGAAAAGTCTCCCATGTCTACTTCTTTCTGCACAGACACGGCAACCATCCGATTTCTCAATCTTTTCCCCACCTTTCCCCCCTTTCTATTCCACAAAACCGCCATTGTCATCATGGCCCGTTCTCAATGAGCTGTTGGGTACACCTCCCAGACGGGGTGGTGGCCGGGCAGAGGGGCTCCTCACTTCCCAGTAGGGGTGGCCAGGCAGAGGCGCCCCTCACCTCCCGGACGAGGCGACTGGCCGGGCGGGGGGCTGACCCCCACCTCCCTCCCGGACGGGGCGGCTGGCCGGGCGGGGGGCTGACCCCCCCACCTCCCTCCCGGATGGGGCGGCTGGCCGGGCAGAGGGGCTCCTCATTTCCCAGTAGGGGCGGCCGGGCAGAGGCGCCCCTCACCTCCCGGACGAGGCGGCTGGCCAGGCGGGGGGCTGACCCCCCACCTCCCTCCTGGACGGGGCGGCTGGCCGGGCGGGGGGCTGACCCCCCCACCTCCCTCCCGGATGGGGCGGCTGGCCGGGCAGAGGGGCTCCTCATTTCCCAGTAGGGGCGGCCGGGCAGAGGCGCCCCTCACCTCCCGGACGAGGCGGCTGGCCAGGCGGGGGGCTGACCCCCCACCTCCCTCCTGGACGGGGCGGCTGGCCGGGCGGGGGGCTGACCCCCCCACCTCCCTCCCGGATGGGGCGGCTGGCCGGGCAGAGGGGCTCCTCATTTCCCAGTAGGGGCGGCCGGGCAGAGGCGCCCCTCACCTCCCGGACGAGGCAGCTGGCCGGGCGGGGGGCTGACCCCCCCACCTCCCTCCCGGACGGGGCGGCCGGCCGGGCGGGGGGCTGACCCCCCCAACTCCCTCCCGGACGGGGCGGCTGGCCGGGCGGGGGGCTGACACCCCCCACCTCCCTCCCGGACAGGGAGGCTGGCCGGGCGGGGGGCTGACCCCCCCCCACCTCCCTCCCAGACGGGGCGGCTGGCCTGGCGGGGGCTGACCCCCACCTCCCTCCCGGACGGGGTGGCTGCCGGGCAGAGACGCTCCTCACTTCCCAGATGGGGTGGCTGCCGGGCGGAGGGGCTCCTCACTTCTCAGACGGGGCGGTTGCCAGGCAGAGGGTCTCCTCACTTCTCAGACGGGGCGGCTGGGCAGAGACGCTCCTCACCTCCCAGACGGGGTTGTGGCCGGGCAGAGGCGCTCCTCACATCCCAGACGGGGCGGGGCGGCGGGGCAGAGGCGCTCTGCACATCTCAGATAATGGGCGGCCGGGCAGAGCCACTCCTCACTTCCTAGATGGGATGGCGGCCGGGAAGAGGCGCTCCTCACTTCCTAGATGGGATGGCGGCCGGGCAGAGACGCTCCTCACTTTCCAGACTGGGCAGCCAGGCAGAGGGCCTCCTCACGTCCCAGACGATGGGCGGCCAGGCAGAGACGCTCCTCACTTCCCAGACGGGGTGGCGGCCGGGCAGAGGCTGCACTCTCGGCACTTTGGGAGGCCAAGGCAGGCGGCTGGGAGGTGGAGGTTGTAGCGAGCCGAGATCACGCCACTGCACTCCAGCCTGGGCACCATTGAGCACTGAGTGAACCAGACACCGTCTGCAATCCCGGCACCTCCGGAGGCCGAGGCTGGCGGATCACTCGCGGTTAGGAGATGGAAACCAGCCCGGCCAACACAGTGAAACCCCGTCTCCACCAAAAAAATACGAAAACCAGTCAGGCGTGGCTGCGCGCGCCTGCAATTGCAGGCACTCGGCAGGCTGAGGCAGGAGAATCAGGCAGGGAGGTTGCAGTGAGCCTAGATGGCAGCAGTACAGTCCAGCTTCCGCTCGGCATCAGAGGGAGACCGTGGAAAGAGAGGGAGAGGGAGAGCGAGAGCGAGAGCGAGAGCAGAAAAAATATTTTTAAATCAATACTACACATAGTACAAAACTCAAAGTTATAAAAAGTTGATAGCCAGCATAGTGGCTCACGCTATAATCCTAACACTTTGGGAGCCTGAAGCAGGCTCATTGCTGGAGCCCAGGAGTTCAAGACCAGCCTGGGCAAGAGGGAGACCCTGTCTCTATAAAAATTACAATTAGCCTGGTATGGTGGCATGTACACCATGGGGAGGCTGAGGTGGGAGGATCACCTGAACCCGGGAGGTTGAGGCTGCAGTGAGCTGTGATCATGCCATTGCACTCCAGTCTGGGTGACAGAGTGAGACCCTTTCCCCGCCCCCTGCAAAGAAAAGGGCCGGGCATGGTGGCTCTCACCTGTAATCCCAGCACTTTGGGAGGCCGAGGCAGGCGGATCACTTTAGGTCAGGAGGTCAACACCAGCTGGCCAACATGGTGAAACCCTGTCTCTACTAAAAATACAAAGATTAGCTAGGTATGGTGGTGTGCGCCTGTAATCCCAGCTACTTGGGAGGCTGAGTTGGGAGGATCGCTTGAACCTGGGAGGTGGAGGTTGCAGTGAGCCGAGACCACACCCCTGCACTCCAGCCTGGGTGACAGAGCGAGACTTTGTCTGAAAAAAAAAAAAAAGTGTGTAACAGGGAAAAGTCAGGTTCCTTCCTACACCTGTGCTGCATCCCTAGGCCCTTCCTTTGCTGGGGCACCCACTGTTAGCACTTTCTCATACAGCCTTCCTGGAATATTCTATGCACAGCCACCTATTTTTATCTTAAAAGAAACTTTTACATTGCAATGTCATCTCAACTCTTTGGCATTTCTTCCTTGTCCTCTGTGTGTTCGGCGATCTCTTTGATCAATAATCCAATATAAAAGTGAGTCCTTTCTTTGAGCCTGTTTTCCCCCTACGCCCCTGACAGCTTCCTCTCCCAAATATCTTGGGCAGATCCTTGCCGTGATCAGTGTGAAGACGATGGCCCCAGGTGTCCTGAGCCTTACAGTAGATGACACCAAGCATTCAGGCCCACAGAACTCCAAGTAAAAGGGGAAGGACAAAACTCAAGTTAATTTGGGCCTCTTCTGCTGCTCTGCTCCCAAATTAGAGATGCTAAGTGAACCCATGTGAGCGCGGTGACTCACAGGCCCAGACGCCAAGAAGCTGCCTTGTTTGATGCTCGCCGCTGCAGCCTTCCACACTGAAGCTGCAGAAGGGATTCTAGTGACAGTGTTTCCTTCCACATTGTTCACTTTTACCTCTCCATGAGTGCATTTGGGGTGTATAAGAATCAGACTTTGAACGTGGCTCTCTCCTAAACCAGAACACCATGCTGTACTCAACCTCTCAAAACGAAGCCCACGTCACCACAATTTGTGACTTCAGATGGGTTGCTTTCTATGACAAATTTGAGGATCTTTATAAAAATAAATTTTTTTTCCTCCGCTTGTCTCGTTCCAGATTCACAGGGGGAGAGTTTGTCTTAGTTCAGCCTTGAAGGGCATTTGGGGTGAGCAAGTTTTGATTTTCAGCAGAGGGTGCCCTGTAGAGTGGGACCCACTCTCGTGCTGCCCAGATAGAAGACAGAGGGAGATGATGATCATGTAATCCTTTAGATAAAAAATAAAAATGAAATTAATTAAAAAATAAAGAAGACAGAGGGAGAGCTGAGCTCTCTTCTGAGTGTTGTTCTGAGAAAGGGCTTCTGAACGGAGGGGACCTGTTTTCTGTGCTGGGACTCTGTGCTCAAAGCTGCTGCAGATGTCATAATTTAATAAACAAGACAGAAGCCAGGCGGAATGCAAGTGTGGGTCCCAGTGTCTGCGACAGAAACCTCATTCTCATTGCTCTTCTGGCCTCTCCCTCCAGCTTCTCCTTGTGGGCTGGATGTCAGCTGGGAGAAGGATCAGGGCCAGACCACATCAGCTCCTTTAGGACACTCCTTTTTATTTTTATTTATTTATTTTTGAGATGGAGTCTTACTCTGTTGCCAGGCTGGAGTGCAGTGGTGCGATTGAGGCTCATTGCAACCTTCGCCTCCCAGGTTCAAGCGATTCTCCTGCCTCAGCCTCCCAACTAGCTGGGACTACAGGCGTGTGCCACCACGCCCAGCTAATTTTTGTATTTTAAGTAGAGACGGGGTTTCACCATGTTGGCCAGGCTGGTCTTGATTTCTTGACCTCTTGATTCGCTGCCTCAGCCTCCCAAAGTGCTGGGATTACAGGCATGAGCCACCGTGCCCGGCCATGTTCTTTCTTTAACACATTAAATAACAACATCTGGCCAGGCACAGTGGCTCACGCCTGTAATCCCAGCACTTTGGGAGGCTGAGGCAGGTAGATCACCTGAGGTCAGGAGTTCGAGACCAGATTGGCCAACATGGTGAAACCCCATCTCTACTAAAAATACAAAAATTAGCTGGACGTGGTGGCACATGCCTGTAGTCTCAGCTACTCGGGAGGCTGAGGCAGGATAATTGCTTGAATCTGGGAGGTGGAGGTTGCAGTGAGTCAAGATCGCGAAATTGCACCCCAGCCTGGGGACAAGAGCGAGACTTCGTCTCAAAATAAATAAATAAATAAAATAAAAAGATCTAGCATCAGGTTCAAAATGGCCATGATTTCAGAGGTAGGATAGGCATGAGCATATCCCAGGGTACCCACAGCACTGGGAGGGGAGATGGAAACAGCTGTGATTTCTATTGGGGACAAAGTCCCACGTGCTGCCAACAGTCGTCTGGTTTGTTGCCTACATTCAAAATGGAACGAAATGTTCCATTTCAGTTAGAGTCTAGTGAAAATAAAAATGTAATTTTTTTTCTGTCTAAGTTCATGGAACTTGGGGTCCATGGGTCCCAGATTCTGACTCCCTGCTCAAGAGTAGCCTTCCCCGGCCAGGCACGGTGGCTCACGCCTGTAATCCCAGCACTTTGGGAGGCCGAGGCAGGCGGATCACCTGAGGTCAGGAGTTTGAGATCAGCCTGACCAACATGGAGAAACCCCGTCTCTACTAAAAATACAAAATTAGCCGGGTGTGGTGGCACATGCCTGTAATCGCAGCTACCAGGGAGGCTGAGGCAGGAGAATGTTTGAACCTGGTAGGCGGAGGTTGCAGTGAGCTGAGATCGCACCACTGCACTCCAGCCTGGGCAACAAGAGTGAAACTCTGTCTCAAAAAAAAAAAAAAGAGTAGCCTTCCCCACCTGACCACATAGCAGCGGGCATTGTGCCTTTTTTTGGGTTGTTTTTTTTTTTTTTTTTTTTTGAGAAGGGGTCTCATTCTCTTTCCCAGGCTGGAGTGCTGTGGTGTGATCTCAGCTCAGTGCAAACTTTGTCTCCCGCATTCAAGTGATCCTCCTGCCTCAGCCTCCTGTGTAGCTGGGATTACAGGCAAGTGCCACCACGCCCAGCTAATTTTTGTATTTGTAGTACAGACGGGTTTTCACCATGTCGGCCAGACTGGTCTTGAACTGCCGGCCTCAAGTGATCCACCCGCCTTGGCCTCCCAAAGTGCTGGGATTACAGACATGAGCCACCGTGCCCAGCCGCAGCTGGCATGGTTTACCAAGCCCTGAGCACAGGAATCATACAAATACTAGCTAATGTTGGCTGAGTTCTTAGAAAGTGCCAGGTGGTGGTGGAGGCCAGGATTCAGTGACAAAAGAAAGCAGTTCCCACGTGGGGCTCATAGCCTAAGGAGGGAAGACTGACCAATGATGACCACATTCCAGAACTTTGGAGGGTGGGGGGTGCCATGAAGTCATACAGGGCAGTGTGATAGAGGGGGCTTGGGAGGAGAGAATGGGAGGCTGTTTTCCGGGGAAGGCCTCTCTGAGGAGGTGATGTTTGCTCTGAGCCCTGAATACCAAGGGGGGAGCTCTGCAAGCCTGGAGGAAGAGCGTTCCAATCAAGAGTTCTGCAAGTGCACAGGCTTTGAGGAGGGAGCAGGCCAAGGCATTCCAAGGCTGGGAAGGGGCCAGCCTGGCTGACTGAGTGCAGGGGTGGGGCTCACTGGAGATGAAGCCGGAGGCCAGCTGGATCCACCAGGCAGGCTTCATGGGCCAGGGCAAGGGGTCTGGCTTTTTTTCTAAGTGTGGCGGGCAGCCTGTGGCAGGTATAGACGAGAGTGACGTGATGTGGGTTATGTTGGGGGAAGATCCTTCTAGTTCATGTATAGAACAGAGTGTAGGAGCCAGGCCGGTGGCATACATCCCAGTGAGGAAGCCACGTGGTGGTCCTGCAGGGAGACCAGGGTGGGTGACGACAGAGGTAGAGAAGAGTGGGCACATCTGGGGTGCACTTTCGAGAGAGACACAGTGGCCCAGGGCTTTGGAGGGGGTGAGGGAGGGGTGTAGTGAAGGACGCCCATGTTTCCCCTCCTAGGCCTTGCCTCCCAGCTAAGAAACAGACCCTGACCTTCCTTCCCCCGCACCCCACCTCCTCAGCCTCCGCAGTGCCCTCCATGGCCCCTCGGGGGCCTACCTCCTGCCCACTGGGCCCCTGGCATCCCCGGCTTCCCAGCTGGCCCAATTGTTGTTACTCCCCAGGGAGTCATGGGAACACACTCCCCCTGCCCCGCCACCCCCCTTTTCCCAGACAGGGCAAGGCCCTAACAATGTCCCTCAGCCAGCCAGTGGCCTGGACACAATACCCCTGTTTCGGTTTGCTGCCAGCTCCAGGAGGCCTGCTGGGTTTCCTGGCCTGTGTGGCATATATATAACTCTGGCTTCCAGCGGGGATTTTTTTGTTTGTTTGTTTGTTTTTTAAAAAAAGAATCTCTGGCTCCTCCTCTTTGAATATCTTAATATATTATAAAAAGTCTTTCTCTTCCCATCCTGAGCCCTCCCCATATGCCTCCCTGACTGCATTTGCCATGTGCCTGTCAAGCCGGGGACCAAATGCAGGTCAGCAGGTGTCAGTGAGAAAATGACAAAAAGAAAGAAAAGCTGATCACTCCACCATGACCAGCCTCGAATGTGCTGGGGATGCTGAAGGTCATGAGGACAACCTGAGGGCCTGTGACGTGGCGGGCCCTGAGCCTGGCACTTTTTGTACACCACAGCTTGTCACTTCTAAGATGCCATCCAATATGAGATATGCCGTTTTGAGCCCCTAAGAAAAATAGTTACTGACTACAAATGGATATTCCACTGATCCTAGGATGCACCTCAATTTCAGAGAGGTTAAAATATGAAAGAAAAGGTGTCAGAATCAATGGAATATGGTATTATTTCATTTTACACGCTTCGTTGCCCTCCAAACATAGTTTTTTTTTTTTCCTCCTTGTGGCTAATAGAATGTGGGAGGCAGTGCAGGAATTGCTTCATGAAAATTCTGCTATTCTGCAGCCTAACAAGTTTTTCGTTTTTTTCTGTTTTTTTTTTTTTTTTTGAGACAGAGTCTCATTCTGTCACCTAGGCTGGAGTGCAGTGGCGCGATCTCAGCTCACTGCCATCTCCACTTGCTGGGTTCAAGCAACTCTCCTGCTTCAGCCTCCCAAGTAGCTGGGATTACAGGTGTGTGCCACCACAACCAGCTAATTTTTTTATTGTTTTGTTTTTTTATGAGACAGAATTTTGCTCTGTCGCCCAGACTGGAGTGCAATTGGCGTGATCTTGGCTCACTGCAACCTCCTCCTCCCAGGCTCAAGCGATTCTCCTGCCTCAGCCTCCTGAGTAGCTGGGATTACAGGCGTCTGCCACCACGCCCGGCTAATTTTTGTACTTTTAGTAGAGATGGGGTTTCGCCATGTTGGCCAGGCTAGTCTCGAACTCCTGACCTCAGGTGATCCACCCGCCTTGGCCTCCCAAAGTGCTGGGATTACAGGCGTGAGCCATTGCGCCCAGCAAGAAGCATTTCTTCAGAGGAAAAATTGAGAGGGGAGTGTAGGCAAGCCACTTCAGGGAGTCATTCTGCACTCTTCACAACAGCTGACATTCATTGAGCTCTCCCTATGTGCCAGGCATGTTAATAACTCAATGTCCTAACAACTCCATCAGGTAAACACTATGATTATTATCATCACTATTTTACAGATGAAAAAACTGAGCCCCTCAACTGTAAAGGCCTCCTACTCCCACCTTCGCTGTGGCCCTGGTCAGAGGAGGCATAGTCATATGTCCGGTTTCGCCCCACTCCTTGGAAAAGCATGACCCCTCCTGAGAGGCTTGGGTGACGCAGAGAAAGGAAGTTGCCATGGGTGAGGCTTGGAGAGAAGGGAGGTCCCCAGAGCGTGCACTCAGAGAGTGACCAGGGCTGGGGGGAGACTTGAGAATCGACTGAGACCTATGCAGTTACCTTGGACCTCAGACCCTCTGGCCTGAACCCACGGAACATATGGGCCAACTGATGGTGAAGGACTTGGCCAAGGCCACACAGCCAGGCTGCTGGCTGGCACCAAACCCCCTGTCTGCTGTTTGATTACAAATATCTGCCTTTTTTTTTTTTTTTTTGAGATGGAGTCTCACTCTGTCACCCAGGCTGGAGTGCAATGGCTTGATCTTGGCTCACTACAACCTCCACCTCCCCGGTTCAAGTGATTCTCCTGCCTCAGCCTCCCAAGTTGCTGGGATTACAGTCGCCTGCCACCACACCCAGCTAATTTTTGTATTTTTAATAGAGATGGGGTTTCACCATGTTGGTCAGGCTGCTCTCGAACTCCTGACCTCAGGTGATCCACCCACCTCGGCTTCCCAAAGTGCTGGAATTACAGGCGTGAGCCACCGCACCCAGCCACGAATATCCACTTTTCCCTCTCTTCTATGTCCATGTTTTTGTTGTTGTTGTTGTTTGTTTGTTTGTTTTTAGATGGAGTTTCACTCTTGTTGCCCAGACTGGAATGCAATGGTGTAGTCTTGGCTCACTGCAACCTCTGCCTCCCAGGTTCCAGCAATTCTCCTGCCTCAGCCACCTGTGTAGCTGGGATTACAGGTGCCCACCACCACGCCCAGCTAATTTTTGTATTTTTAGTAGAGACGGGGTTTCACCATGTTGGCCAGGCTGGTCTCGAACTCCTGACCTCAGATGATCCACCTGCCTCGGCCTCCCAAAGTGCTGGAATTACAGGCATGGGCCACGACACCCGGCCTGTCCATATGTTATCTTTGGTTACTTGCAAGGCAGAGAAGCTGTGCTGGTACCAGTCAGTTCCTTGGCGGTAATAAGACTAACAGCAGCTCACATTTTTTGGGTGCTCACTCTGTGCCAGGCACTGTACATGAGGGGTGGCTGTTCATCCCTGGAATGGCAGGGCAAGAACTGAGTGAGGCATGCCAGGGAAGGACTCTGGTGGCCTGGAGGGTAAGGCCCTCGCTAGCTGGGGGACAACAACTGTTTAGCACCGTGATGGCCTGGCCAGTATAGCCAGATACTGCTGTTTGAAAAGAAAGCCAGAGGCCAAGCGTGGTGGCTCACGCCTGTAATCCCAGCACTTTGGGAGGCCGAGGCGGGTGGATCATCTGAGGTCAGGAGTTCCAGACCAGCCTGGCCAACATGGTGAAACCCCGTCTCTACTAAAAATACAAAAATTAGCCTGGTATGGTGGCACACACCTGTAATCCCAGCTACTTGGGAGGCTGAAGCAGGAGAATTGCCAGAACCTGGGAGACGGAGGTTGCAGTGAGCTGAGATCACGCCACGGCACTTCAGCCTGGGTGACAGGGAGACTCCCATTTCAAAAGAAAAAAAAAAAGAGGCCAGGCACGGTGGCTTACGCTTATAATCCCAGCACTTTGGGAACCCGAGGCGGGCGGATCACCTGAGGTCAGGAGTTCGAGAACAGCCTGACCAACATGGAGAAACCCCGTCTTTACTAAAGATACAAAATTAGCCGGGCTTGGTGGCAGGCGCCTGTAATCCCAGCTACTGGGGAGGCTGAGGCAGGAGAATCACTTGAACCCGGGAGGCGGAGGTTGTGGTGAGCCGAGATCACACCACTGCACTCCAGCCTGGGCAACAATAGTGAAACTCCGTCTCAAAAAAAAAAAAGAAAAGAGAAAGAAAAGCCAGACATGTTAATTTTTATATGGTATTTTCCAATTTCCTCAAATCTTAAAACAAATTCATAATTCAAGAAAAATCTTCTATGGGCAAATTGAGTTATATCTGGGGGCCAGTTTGCAAACTCTGCTTGTTTTGTTTTCTTAAACTTTGACACGCATCGTGTAAAGAAGCTGTTATCTGTTGTTCTGCAGATGAGGCAAGCAAAGCTCTTCAAGAGGGTGAATCACTTCCCCAAGATCACAGAGGCGGGAAGCCACAGGGTTGGGGGCCACCCGACTCCAAAGGCTTGTTTCTATGTTAGACTGCCTTTTGGATGGGCAAGAGGTCTGTTCAGATATAGCCAGAACTGGCACAGTGACAGAATATCTCCAGGGACAGTAAACTGTCAGTCAGGGTAGCATTGAGGGATTGTTGCAGATGCAAAACTCCCCACCTCCCTCTGCCACAACTCAACAATGGACATCTCTGTGCCCTTCATAAAATTAAGTCATCACAGAATCTTTTCTCCCAATTATGCATTCCTTATCATGACTGGATATTCATGTTTGGTGAATTTTTGTTTTTTTGTAAGCTAAGAATGTATGCTTAGGGGAGGTGCTGTTTGTGGAATAAATAGGTTTAAATTATTTGTGTCACTTGTCAAACTTCTTAACAAGCATACTGTGCAGTGACAGAGAAATAATTCCTAACTTTCCCACTGGACTGTGAGTTCCAGGGGTCTGTTTTACTTATAACTGTGTCCCCAGCACCTAGCACAATGTCTGACACATAATAGGTGCTCAGTAAATATCTGTGGATTGAATGAAGTGAATTGACTTGTCCAAGGTCATGTTGACCAAGATTTCTGATTACACCCACCTGATTTAGAAGCCCATGCTATCACCTCTACACCACTCTGCTTCTTGGAAAGAACCAAGGGAAAGAGGTCTCCAGGCACAGGATTGTGGGCCCAACAGATTGCATCCCCTCGAACTCCTCTAGTTTGGTTGGTGAAGGTGGTGATGGAAATAAGCACCTATGAACCAAGCCACTATCCACCATAATACCCTTTAGAAACTACACTTTATAATCTTGACAGCCCTGAGCCTGGCTTTTGGGGTATTTACAGAGGGTGGCAAGGGCAGGTCCTGGGTTTTGCAGTGGGACAAGTGAAGTTCTCATCTCAGTTCTGCTGTGTGACCTTGAGCTATGAATGCCCCTCTCTGAGCCTCTTCCTTCCTGCACCATGTGGATAAACAAGCTTACTTACGGGATTATGGGGTTGAAAGGAGATCATCAATGGAAGTGGCTGCCCAGTGACTGTGGATTTTTTGGAAACTGTTTTTTGAAAACTGTTGACATTGAGAACAGCCTTATCAGGAGCTGCCAGGCTTAGGGCCAAGGGGCCTCATCTATCAGGCTTTTCTGCTTTCAAGTAGGTATTAATAGGTACAGAAGGCCCTTATCTCTTCCTCAGTTTCATGCTAGGAATGCTGGTCTTCACTCCTTTCTGCTTCAGCAGGACCTGAAGGATTGTGGGACGGAGGGCGCCTACTTCTACCTGGATGTGTACTTGAATACTCTGGGGCGGGCAGGACTTTGGAAAACCCCCAACCTCAGCCTCACCAAGCCTGAAAAATAACCTTTTCATCTACTTGGTAAACTCAGGCCCTTTTGGCCTCAAATTTCCTCATCATAAAATGGAGCAATAATAATAGACATCTCTCTTTGCCAGCCACCACAGTTAAACCAGCACAGTGCTTGGTATATAATAGGTGCTTAATAAGTGTTTGTTGAATGACTTGGGTTTGAGAGGGCTTCACACAAATGAATGTTAGTGTTACTGGGACCCTGTGGGAAGGTGCAGGGAAAGGACACTCTTTCCATCTGGAATGGGAATGTGCTGGTTTCTCTTGCTCTCTGCCAGCACCTGCGTTGGTTGTTTAGAATGGGACCTACCCCTCAGCTTCTTTATGGAGAGGGGATGGGGAAGGGGGACAGGCAGACCTCAGGGCTGGGAATGCAGTGTAGGCCCAATTTGGTCACTGGTTGGCTTCACAGTTACTTTCTCCTGAAAGGGCCTCAGTTTTCCTATCCATACAGCAAGAGGCTTATGTGGTCTCTGTGGTCCCTTCTAGCTATGATACATTCTAGGATTTGCAATGAGTAATTTCAGAAACTACTCATTGGAGGGGAAAACAACTCCTGATTTCCTAAACCACCTCATAGTTTGTAAAACACTTTCCAATTCCTTATGCTTTTCATTCTCCTGGCAACCCTGGAAGGGGCCAGGGCAAGGTCTGTGTGCCCATTTGAAACTAAGGGTGAGAAGCATCCTCAGGAGCTGTGATTTGAGGCTGCACCACTCATTTTGATTATGCTGGTACACCAGTTTGCTTTCAAATGTGAGTATGCATAAAAATAACCTGGAAGCTTGGTGAGGTGGCAGTCACCTGGAGTACCAGCTATGCTGGAGGCTGAGGCGGGAGGATCTCTTGAGCCCAGGGGTTTGAGACTACCCTGGGCAACATAGTGAGACCTCGTCTATATAAAATAAATAGGAAAAAAAAAATAAGATACTGGCTTTTCTAATTCCCTAAGTGTCAAAAAAAAAAAAAGAAAAAGAATAACAAATATCACCTGGAAAGGGGACATGGCATTGTTAAAATGCAGATTCTTGGGCACCTAGAGATTTTAAATTGGCAGGGCCAGGGTGGGCCCAAAATTAGCAAGTGACCACGTGGTTCTGAAGCCAGTGGCCTAAGGACCACCCTTGCAGAACCGTGGTCTCCTTGTCACAGTCTAGGCAGCCTCTGGCTTAGCCTCTGTTTCTTTCATAACCTTTCTCAGCGCCTGCTCTGGGCCAGACCAGTGTTGGGAGGAGTCGCTACTGAGCTCCTAGATTGGCAGGGGAGGCAGATGGAGAAAAGGAGTGTGTGTGGTCAGCATTGGAGCAGAGGCAGCAGTGGGCAATAGAGGAAGTGAGTAAATCCTTGGGAGGGCTCCCTAGAAGTGATGTGTTTTCTTTTTTTGTTTTAGAGACAGGATCTCGCTCTGTCGCCCAGGCTGGTGTGCAGTGGCATGATCATAGCTCACTGCAGCCTCGACTTCTCGGGCTCAAGCAATCCTCCCACCTCAGCCTCCCAAGTAGCTGGGACTACGGGCACACGCCACCATGCCTGGCTAATTTTTGTATTTTTTGTAGAGATGGGTCTTCACCATGTTGATCAGGCTGGTCTCGAACTCCTGGGCTCATGCGATCCACCCCGCCAGCTGATTACAGGGATTCCGGTGGTGAGCCACCGCGCCCAGACGCCACTTCATCGTATTGTAAACGTCTGTTACCTTTCTGTTCCCCTGTCTACTGGACTGTGAGCTCCTTAGGGCCACGAATTGAGGATGGGGCACAGAGCAAGCTCTCCAAACGTTTGTTGAATGAGTGAGGGAATGAATGAGTTCAAGCAGATGCTATACGTTGGCTGTTGGAGATTTTGGCTAAAATGGGACTTGCAGGAAAGCCCGACGTCCCCCTCGCCATTTCCAGGCACCGCTCTTCAGCTTGGGCTCTGGGTGAGCGGGATAGGGCTGGGTGCAGGATTAGGATAATGTCATGGGTGAGGCAAGTTGAGGATGGAAGAGGTGGCTGATGGCTGGGCTGTGGAACTGATGATCCTGAAAAGAAGAGGGGACAGTCTCTGGAAATCTAAGCTGAGGCTGTTGGGGGCTACAGGTTGAGGGTCACGTGCAGAAGAGAGGCTCTGTTCTGAACCTGCACTATAGAAAGGTCAGTGGGATGCGGGAGCGTCGGGGCGGGGCGGGGCCTATGTTCCGGTGTCCCCACGCCTCCAGCAGGGGACGCCCGGGCTGGGGGCGGGGAGTCACACCGCGCCTGGTACCATCCGGACAAAGCCTGCGCGCGCCCCGCCCCGCCATTGGCCGTACCGCCCCGCGCCGCCGCCCCATCCCGCCCCTCGCCGCCGGGTCCGGCGCGTTAAAGCCAATAGGAACCGCCGCCGTTGTTCCCGTCACGGCCGGGGCAGCCAATTGTGGCGGCGCTCGGCGGCTCGTGGCTCTTTCGCGGCAAAAAGGATTTGGCGCGTAAAAGTGGCCGGGACTTTGCAGGCAGCGGCGGCCGGGGGCGGAGCGGGATCGAGCCCTCGCCGAGGCCTGCCGCCATGGGCCCGCGCCGCCGCCGCCGCCTGTCACCCGGGCCGCGCGGGCCGTGAGCGTCATGGCCTTGGCCGGGGCCCCTGCGGGCGGCCCATGCGCGCCGGCGCTGGAGGCCCTGCTCGGGGCCGGCGCGCTGCGGCTGCTCGACTCCTCGCAGATCGTCATCATCTCCGCCGCGCAGGACGCCAGCGCCCCGCCGGCTCCCACCGGCCCCGCGGCGCCCGCCGCCGGCCCCTGCGACCCTGACCTGCTGCTCTTCGCCACACCGCAGGCGCCCCGGCCCACACCCAGTGCGCCGCGGCCCGCGCTCGGCCGCCCGCCGGTACGGACCCCAGGGACGCCGCGCCGACAGCGCCGCCTGTGCCCCCCGCGCAGACCCGGGAGGGCGCCGTGTTTGGCCTGGAGGCGGCAGGGGGCGGGGGAGGGGTTGACTGAGGCGCCCAGGCTGGGCGGTGCAGAGCCGGGGTTGGGCCTCCGGGCCCCGCCCTGGGGTGCGGGGTGACCTCGGGCCGGTCCCTGTTTGCTGCTCTGTGCTCTGCGCCTCAGCTTCCTCACCGGAGCCTCCCCAGCGTCGGACTCAGTGATAATAATAGCCCACGTGTATTCAACTGGCGTTTACTGCATGCCAGGCCTTTGGGCGACTTCAAGCCAGCTAAAACTCACAACCCCGCTGTGAGCTGTGTTGTCACTGTGCCCATCTGACGGAGGAGGAACTGAGGCCCAGAGAGGGAAAGTGACTTGCCCCTGGTCACACGGCTGCAGGTGGTGGGGCTGGGATTTGAACTGAGGCCTGCTGGCTTCAGCTCAGAATTTGCATCTCGGTAGTGAGCACAGCTGCTAGGGGAAGTGAAGGCGGGGCGGAGGAAAGTCCTGGGGCCTAACCGTTGGTGAGCCATTGAGGAGACCCTCCTTCCTGCCTCGATGCTGACTGCCAGGTGCAGGCCTGGCCGGCCAGGCCTCTGGGGACAGCCCTCCTGGCTGGGAGGCCTTCTCTGCAGGGGCGGGGCAGCTGGACCAGCTGCTGATCCCCTCCCTCTGCCTGTCCTTCCATCTGCCACCCTCCACCCTCCCAGGCCCTGGTTGCCATGGAACCTCATTAATCAGGCAGGCCGACCCCTGAGTCTCTGTAGAAGGACTAGGTGGGCTGGGCCTCTGGGAGCTGGAGAGGAGGCCCCCAGTGCCAGGAGAGAAAATGTCTCAGGGAGATCCTTTAATAAAGCCCTCCCTGATCGCTGAGCTCAAGACGAATTCAGACTGGAGGGCCCAGAAGAGGCGGCTGAATTCCAGTGGGAGAAGGGATTGGAGGCGTAGAAGCCTGGAGCTGGGAACTGTGGGGCACAGGGCAGGGTGTGGAGACCAGTTTGACTGGCGCAGCCTATGGGTGAAGGTGGGGCTCTGGTGTGCAGGCGGGGTCTGGCCAGGCAGGATGGGGTCTCAGCAGGGAACTTGGAGCAAGTGGGAGGGGTGAGGCAGGACTCAGGACAAGGAGGTAGAAGCTGCCTAACTGCTGATGGGGGTGTGGGTGGCAGCTGGTCCCTGAGGCATCCTGAGGAGGCTCCCCCAACCCCCTTGGCCCCATGCCCAGTGCTGCCTTCCGGAATCACCACAATGCTAATAATAATAACAATAGCAGCCACCATTGTTTTGAGGATGTCTTGTGTGCCAGGCTCTGTGCCAAGCGCTTTACTTAATTAACTCATTTAACCCCATCAGCAGCAGTCCCTTTTTACAGATTGGGAAGCTGAGGCCTAGAGATGTTAGAATCTTCCCATGTCATTCTGCTCTTGAGTGGGGAGAGCAGTCTGCGTTTCCTCTGAGGTTGACCTCTGGGATGCCTTGCTTTCTGGGGATGCTGATACAGGTTGAAGAAAGGGCAAGAAGGGCTTTTAGGGGCCCTCCCTCTTAATGAGTGGGTGGGAGGGGGTTGTACCAGGGGTGGGCCAGGTGGCCTGTCTCCTGTACTCCAGGGGCCTGTTCCTGTGGGTACCACTTGGGACCTGGGCAAGCATCTTCCATTCAGCTGTGTGACAAGCATTATAGAAGGCTCAGGTCTGCGGAAATCTAACAACCTGAGGGTCTTGTCCTCAAAGATCTGAACAGGATTATGGGTTCTAGGATCAAAGGGAGGGACAGGGGCAAAGAAAAATGCCCTCCACTCCACCTGTCAGGGGCAGGCTCATTGGCCTGGGCATTCCATTCATTCAACAGTTGTTGAGTTAGTGAATGCCCAGGAGGCACTAGGCCCAGAGACAAGGAGCCCTGGCCCCCAGTGTACTTAAGGGCCAGGAGGCTGGCACCATTCTGGAACTGAAGTCCAGAAAGTCCACAGGTTTGGCTTTTGGCCTCTCTGCACTGGCATTTGTCTGGCACAGTCCTTGAAATAAGCTACAGGCTTAGCTTCTATACCAGCAGGCATTCTGTATACAAGGCTCTGCAATTCAGCCATTCCTCTTGGCCCTGCCTGTCCACTTCCACAAACTCAAGTATTATAACTATAATACATGTTTAATGTAGAAAACTTAACTTTTTTATTTATTTATTTATTTTTTTTTTGGAGACAGGGTCTCATTCTGTTACCCAGGCTGGAGTGCAGTGGCGTGATTGCGGCTCACTGCAACCTCTGCCTCCCAAGTTCAAGCTATTCTGTGCCTCAGCCTCCCGAGTAGCTGGGATTACAGGCGTGTACCACCATGCCCAGCCAATTTTTGTATTTTTAGTAGAGAGAGGGTCTTGCCATGTTGCCCAGGCTGGTCTTGAACTCCTGAGTTCAGACAATCTGACTGTCTCAGCCTCTCAAAGTGCTGGGATTACAGGTGTGAGTCACCATGCCCAGCTGAAAACTTAACTCTTAACTCTTTTTTTTTTTTTTTTTTTTGAGATGAAGTCTCGCTCTGTCACCTAGGTTGGAGTACAGTGGCGCCATCTCGGCTCACCGCAACCTCTACCTCCTGGGTTCAAGCGATTCTTCTGCCTCAGCCTCCCGAGTAGCTGGGACTACAGACGTGCACCACCATACCCGGCTAATTTTTGTATTTTTGGTAGAGATGAGGTTTCACCATATTGGTCAGGCTGGTCTTGAACTCCTGACCTCAAGTGATCTGCCCGCCTCGGCCTCCCAAAGTGCCAGGATTACAGGCGTGAGCCACTGCGCCTGGCCAAAAACTTAACTCTTAAGAAACTAGAAAGTTGACGGCAGGATCCCAGCCCTATTCATTTTTTTCCTTTTTTTCCCTAAGGCTATTTTTGTTTGTGGTGGTTGTGACAGTTTTTGTTTTTTAAAGTTTTAAAAATTGTAGTTTTTCCTGTATCATTCACACCATTCAGATATGGCACTGGTCTCCCACAGTCCTTCCAGAGGCTGCCCCGAAATGTATTCTATAATAATATAAACTGAACCAGAGAAAAGTTTCATGAGCTTTTTAATCCAAAAGGGATCATATAAATATATCGCCCTGTGACAGTGTTTTGCTTGTCTGTATGTGTGAGGGGATTCTTGTCAACCTGCCTCGGTCCTTGACAGCTGCGTGGTGTTCAAGGGGCTAAACAAAGCACAGCTTTCGTGACCCCCTTCATGGATGGGTGTTCGAGTCATCCAGATTTTTTCAGCAGTGAATGTCTTCACCCCTGCGTTTCGGGGCCCCTCTGCCAGTGTTTATCTAGGGAGAAGTGGCAGAAATGGCATCCACTCAAGCCTTTGTTTTAGGGCGTGGCACTGACCTGCCTTCAGGGGTGGACAAGGGTGGGGATCCCAGGGAGAAGGCAAGGGGTGCAGATGGCAGAAGCATGCTAGGGTTTGGGCCCCAGGGGCGAGTATGGAGGGGGATACATTCTGGCTGGGTTCTGGGGAGGTGGGGCACGTGGCGGGTATGAGTGTGGGCTCTGTACCAGCCAACTAGGGTGCAAGTCCTGGGTCCACCTCTCACTGTGTGGCCTCTCTCAGGTGGAGGCCATCATAGCACCTGCCAAAAGGTGGCCGGAGGGTTGCAGGGGAAGCAGTTGAGTACACAGTGCTTAGAGCACAACAGCTCTTCTTTCCCCTGGGTGCCTTCAAAAGTCAGTGAATGTGCACAAGAGGGAGTGGTTCATCAGCATGGGGGGGGTTCATTCAGCAAACATTTGTTGATGCCAGGCTCCATGGCAGACACTATAGATTCTCAAGTGATTCAGACACCTCTGAGGGTGAGATAGATACATCTGCAGAAATGTGTAGGGAGAGACAGAATGTGGCAAAAGGTTGGGTTTGAGGCAGTTCAGAGGGAGAAGAGGTGACACCTCCTAGCTGATGCGTAAGGTTTCTGCCCACAGAGGTAGAGGGAGCAGGCGTGAAGTGGGGAGGGTGGGAGGGATGCAAGGGCAGTCTAGATTTCTGGGAAAACGTGACTCGGGTTCCTCTAGAGAAGCAGTGGCAGATGAGAGTACAAAGGCAATGGGGAGCTGGAGGAAGGCCTTAAGCAGGGGCGGCGGCATGGTAAGGTTTGTAGGAGGACTGGCTGCAGCAGAGGCAGGGAGACCAGTGTGGAGTCTGCTCAGCAGCCCACTGGGAAGGTGGTGATCGCCGTGGTGATGAGCAGTTCTTGGTAGCTGCATGTGAGGAGGGTGACAGGTCAGGAACTCTAGCTCAGGAAACCCTGTGGATGGTGGAGGGGAAGATCAGTCTGGTTTTGGTCCGGGTACTTTTGAGCAGCCTGTGAGACCTCCAGGACAGTCCCAATCCTGGAGTGTCTGAACTAAGCCAGAGTGCTTAGAGCTTGGGTTCTTCCTCAGACCGTCTTGGGTACAAATCCTGACTCTACCACTTCCTGGGCCTCCCTGGGCTTTAGTTGCCTTATCTGGAAAATGGGGCCATTTTTATACAGCCAGTCCGTTGAATGGAATGAACTAATGGATGCAAGGAACTTGATGAGCACCAGCTGCTACCATGCGTATAGATTAGTCAAAAACCAGAGAGAAGGTGATTTAGCCAAGGGACCTATGTAATCAGTGGCTTAGCTGGGCATGGTGGCTGACTAGTCCCAGCACGACTACAGTGAAGGCTGAGATGGGAGAATTGCTTGAGCCTAGGAGTTTGAGACCAGTCTGGGCAACATAGGGAGACCCCATCTCTACGAGAAATAGAAAAGTTAGCTGGTCTTGGAGGGATGCGCCTGTGGTCCCAGCTGTTTGGAAGGCTGAGGTGGGAGGATTGCTTGAGCCCAGGAAGTCTAGGCTGCAGAGAGTTGTGATCATACCACTGCACTCCAGCATAGTCAACAGAGCGATACCCTGTCTAAAAAAGAAAAAAAAATAGTGCCTTAAAACAACAAACATTTATTATATAGTTTTTGTGGGTCAGGAATTCAGGGAAGACTTATCCAGCTCTGGCTTGGGGTCTCTGGAGATTCAGCCAGTGTTTGGGTTCTGGCTGCTAACAGAAGTTGTGACTAAGTGTTGCTGTTGGGAGGAGGCCATGGTTTCTTGCCCATCATTAGGGCTACTTGAGTGCCCATATGATATGGCAGAGTAAGTGACCCAATACAGAGCAAGGAGGAAGCTCCAGCGCCTCTGACCCAGTCTCAAAAGTGACAGGCCATCCCTTCCACCACATTCCATTCATTCATCCCCAGAAGCAAGTTACCAGGTCTGGCTCATAAGGGGAGAATTAGGCTATATCTTTTGAAGGAGAAGGATCAGAAAGTTTGCGGATGTGTTTTAAATCCACCGCTAGACCCCAGAGAAGTGGTGAAAATGGAATGTCCTGTGTGGTAGGACTGTGACTCTCAGGCTATGTCCCCTCTGATCTCCCTCAGTCACACACTCAGGCATCCTGCTAGAGAAACTGAGGCGAGGGTAGCCCAGAGGCACCCAGCCTTAAGCCAGGTCTCTTCTGGCCTCACTCCTGGTTACTGGGCATCCTCCCGTTTTCGCCACAGGTGAAGCGGAGGCTGGACCTGGAAACTGACCATCAGTACCTGGCCGAGAGCAGTGGGCCAGCTCGGGGCAGAGGCCGCCATCCAGGAAAAGGTACCTATGGAGCTTGGGCTGGGCAGACCCCCTGTGACCAGGCCCAGGTTAGGGATGTGAACAGACAAACATGCTTGCAAGCTAACGTCTGGCTTGTCGGGCTTGAGCCAGGCCTCTGAGGACCCTGATGGGCAGTTGGAGTGGCCACCTGGCTTGGTTTCTCCAGGCCCTGAGGGGTGAGGAGTTCCCCAGCCAGAAGAAGAATGCTGTGGTTGGCCTCGCCAAGGGGAAGGAGCTGGCTGTCCCCCAGCCCCCATCATCCTGCTGCCCTGCACTGCCAGAGTGGCAGGCCTGGCTGGAGGTGGGGGTGGATGCTGAAGGGCCCTGTCTTGCCTGACCACACCCCCACAGGTGTGAAATCCCCGGGGGAGAAGTCACGCTATGAGACCTCACTGAATCTGACCACCAAGCGCTTCCTGGAGCTGCTGAGCCACTCGGCTGACGGTGTCGTCGACCTGAACTGGGCTGCCGAGGTGCTGAAGGTGCAGAAGCGGCGCATCTATGACATCACCAACGTCCTTGAGGGCATCCAGCTCATTGCCAAGAAGTCCAAGAACCACATCCAGTGGCTGTAGGTACCGGCCACACAGGAGGGCAGGCACACCTGCCCATGCCAGCCTGGAGGAGCTGGTAGTAATACCCACTGTGGCTGCCTGCATCCCCATCTTATAGCTGGGGAAACGGGCTCAGAGAGGAGAGGTAGCTTCCCTGAGATGATAGATGGTAAAAAGCACACAAATCTTACATATCCACCTCAGTTGCAGCTTTACTTTTTTCTTTTTTAGATGGAGTTTCACTCTGTCACCCAGGCTGGAGTGCAGTGGTGTAATCTCAGCTCACTGTAACCTCTACCTCCCAGGTTCAGGTGCTTCTCCTGCCTCAGCCTCCTGAATAGCTGGGGATACAGGCGCCTGCCACCATGCCCAGCTACTTTTTGTATTTGTAGTAGAAATGGGGTTTCACCATGTTGGCCAGTCTGGTCTCGAACTCCTGATCTCAGGTGATCTGCCTGCCTCAGCCTCCCAAAGTGCTGGGATTACAGGCATGAGCCACTGCGCCCCGCGCAGCTTTATATATTTATTCATCTGGGTTGCCACCATTCAGATCAAGATAAGAGCATTTTCAACACCCTAGAAGGTTCTCTTGTGCCCCTTTCCAGTCATTGCCAACCCCTCACACCGCCAGGTCACCACTATCCTGGCTTCTCATGCCCTCGGTGAGATCTGTCTGGCATAGATATTTTATTCTTGTTTTATTTTCCCCCTCTCGCCTTCGCGCCAGTCATCATGCTACTACCCTTTCTTTGATACACCTGCCGTTTCATTTTTTGGTAGATCGTTCCATTCTGCATCTTTTGTGGTTTTTTGGGTGGAGGGGGGTGGTTTGAGACAGGGTGTTGCTCTGTCGCCCAGGCTGGAGTATGGAGGCACAAATACAGCTCACTGCAGCCTCAACCTCCTGGGCTCAAGCTCCGTACCTGTAGCTAGGACTACAAGTACATGCCACCATGTCTGGCTAATGTCTTTGATTTTGTGTAGAGGCAGAGTCTCACTGTGTTGCCCAGGCTGGTCTCAAACTCCTGAGGCTCAAGCAATCCTCTGGCCTCAGCCCCCCAAAGTGCTGGGATTATAGGTATAAGCCACCAAGCCCAGCCTTTTTTTTTTTTTCATTTGACAGCATGTCTTGGAAATGCATGTGTGTGTGCATGTGTAATATTTCGTGGCATGTCAGTCCCATCATTTGTTTATCCCGCCCTGGTTGAGGGACATGTAGGTGTTTATATTCGGGCCAGACTTCAAGCCCATGACACTCTGATTTGGAGCCCAGCTGAGGAGCCAGACCCAGACAGAAGCAAGGGCTTGCCTAGGCCTCACAGAACAGAGGCAACAGCAGACTCTGTCCTGAGGCCCAGGGCTCCTGGCCAGAGGGGCCAATCGCTGTTAACCCTACCCTCCCTGGTGCCTCCCCACAGGGGCAGCCACACCACAGTGGGCGTCGGCGGACGGCTTGAGGGGTTGACCCAGGACCTCCGACAGCTGCAGGAGAGCGAGCAGCAGCTGGACCACCTGATGAATATCTGTACTACGCAGCTGCGCCTGCTCTCCGAGGACACTGACAGCCAGCGATATCCTTGGATTGGCCGTAGGGTGTGGAAGGCAGGCTTAGCAGGCAGGGGCTCCACCCAAGTGGGACTAGAGAGGCTTGGATTTAAGAGAGAGCTCTGATTTTGGTTGCAAGTCCTGGCTCAGCATTTTCTCACTGTTGTGACACTGGATAAATTGCTTAACCTCTTGGCCTCAGTTTTATCTATAAAAGGGGAATAATAATATCCAATTCTGAAATTGTACAGATTAAAAAAGAAAAGTGGCTAGGTGCGGTGGTTCATGCCTGTAATCCTAGTGCTTCAAGAGGCTGAGGTGGGAGGATCACTTGAGCCCAGGAGTTTGAGGCTGCAGTGAGCTCTGGTTGAGCCACATCACTCCAGCCTGGGTGACATAGCGAGACCCTGCCTCTAAAAAATAAATTCCCAGCACCAGGCCTGGAGTTGTGTTGAACATTTTACATGGAATCGTTCCCGGTAGCCATTATTACCTTGGGATTCAATGGGTAGAGTGATTTCATTATACAGATGTGGAACTTGAAACTCAGGCGTGAGGTAGGTTTTGAGTGGGTAGGAGGTTGGGAGGACAGGAGTGACTAGGCAGGTGTGAGCCCTGCCTTGTGAGCTGTTGGAGTGAGTGACCCCCTAGAAGTCAAAGGTCATGTGGTCCTTGACTCTGCCAACCCTGGCCTACGTGACGTGTCAGGACCTTCGTAGCATTGCAGACCCTGCAGAGCAGATGGTTATGGTGATCAAAGCCCCTCCTGAGACCCAGCTCCAAGCCGTGGACTCTTCGGAGGTGAGATCTGGGAACTCCGGGCCCAACTGGGCTGGGCTGGGCTGGGCTGGTGGTCACCTGGGCCTCAGTTTACCCTGCCTGCTGCTTCCACCCAGAACTTTCAGATCTCCCTTAAGAGCAAACAAGGCCCGATCGATGTTTTCCTGTGCCCTGAGGAGACCGTAGGTGGGATCAGCCCTGGGAAGACCCCATCCCAGGAGGTCACTTCTGAGGAGGAGAACAGGGCCACTGACTCTGCCACCATAGTGTCACCACCACCATCATCTCCCCCCTCATCCCTCACCACAGATCCCAGCCAGTCTCTACTCAGCCTGGAGCAAGGTGGGTGATGGGTAGGTGGGTGGGGTGGGGCAGGGCCCCTCTTCTGGGGGGTGGGCAGGCACGACAGCCCCTGCCTTCCTCCCTGCTGGGGCATCCCCGGCCTGTGATGCTCCCCGTCTCCCCAGAACCGCTGTTGTCCCGGATGGGCAGCCTGCGGGCTCCCGTGGACGAGGACCGCCTGTCCCCGCTGGTGGCGGCCGACTCGCTCCTGGAGCATGTGCGGGAGGACTTCTCCGGCCTCCTCCCTGAGGAGTTCATCAGCCTTTCCCCACCCCACGAGGCCCTCGACTACCACTTCGGCCTCGAGGAGGGCGAGGGCATCAGAGACCTCTTCGACTGTGACTTTGGGGACCTCACCCCCCTGGATTTCTGACAGGGCTTGGAGGGACCAGGGTTTCCAGAGATGCTCACCTTGTCTCTGCAGCCCTGGAGCCCCCTGTCCCTGGCCGTCCTCCCAGCCTGTTTGGAAACATTTAATTTATACCCCTCTCCTCTGTCTCCAGAAGCTTCTAGCTCTGGGGTCTGGCTACCGCTAGGAGGCTGAGCAAGCCAGGAAGGGAAGGAGTCTGTGTGGTGTGTATGTGCATGCAGCCTACACCCACACGTGTGTACCGGGGGTGAATGTGTGTGAGCATGTGTGTGTGCATGTACCGGGGAATGAAGGTGAACATACACCTCTGTGTGTGCACTGCAGACACGCCCCAGTGTGTCCACATGTGTGTGCATGAGTCCATGTGTGCGCGTGGGGGGGCTCTAACTGCACTTTCGGCCCTTTTGCTCTGGGGGTCCCACAAGGCCCAGGGCAGTGCCTGCTCCCAGAATCTGGTGCTCTGACCAGGCCAGGTGGGGAGGCTTTGGCTGGCTGGGCGTGTAGGACGGTGAGAGCACTTCTGTCTTAAAGGTTTTTTCTGATTGAAGCTTTAATGGAGCGTTATTTATTTATCGAGGCCTCTTTGGTGAGCCTGGGGAATCAGCAAAGGGGAGGAGGGGTGTGGGGTTGATACCCCAACTCCCTCTACCCTTGAGCAAGGGCAGGGGTCCCTGAGCTGTTCTTCTGCCCCATACTGAAGGAACTGAGGCCTGGGTGATTTATTTATTGGGAAAGTGAGGGAGGGAGACAGACTGACTGACAGCCATGGGTGGTCAGATGGTGGGGTGGGCCCTCTCCAGGGGGCCAGTTCAGGGCCCCAGCTGCCCCCCAGGATGGATATGAGATGGGAGAGGTGAGTGGGGGACCTTCACTGATGTGGGCAGGAGGGGTGGTGAAGGCCTCCCCCAGCCCAGACCCTGTGGTCCCTCCTGCAGTGTCTGAAGCGCCTGCCTCCCCACTGCTCTGCCCCACCCTCCAATCTGCACTTTGATTTGCTTCCTAACAGCTCTGTTCCCTCCTGCTTTGGTTTTAATAAATATTTTGATGACGTTTGGGCCGGGTTTTGGGACTCTGTTGGGAACATTTCGGGGCGGGAGAGGCCAAGGTTGCTGGGGAAATGCCCATTCTCCACTTCCCTTCTCCCTGTCCGTGCCCGATTTGATTTGAGCCTCATAACTCGAAGAAAGGTCAGCTTCCTCGCTGTTTTGGTCCTAACTCAAAAGCAGATCCAGTAAAGGTTTTTGTTGTAGAAAGCCAAGAATGCTATTCAGTGCTGCCCGAAGTGCAGAGTAATGAGTGGCCTCTCCTTTCCCCAGCCCCAGAGGCCACTCTGCTCAGTTTGCTGTCTTCCTTCCAGACGTTTCTGGACATTAGTAAACATGTAACAAATACAGTGGGCTGGTTCTGTGTCAGGTATTTAACAGTTCTGGGGACACGGGTGTTACCTCCTTTCATGGTGCTCTCAGGGTCTGAAAGAGGAGATCTGCATAAATGAGAAAATCGGGAAAGGCGTTCTGGAATGGGTGGTGCTTAAGCTGAGCGCTGTAAAATAAGTAGGAGTTAACCAGAGGAAGAAAACACCAAGCAGAGGACACGATGGGCAAAGGCCTTGGGCAGGAGGGAGCGGGATAGAGGACCGGAGAGAAAGCAGTGTGGCTGCGGTCCTGAGGTGAGGGTCAGAGTGGTGCTCCTGGAGTGGGGCGTTCAGTCTTAAGCTTTATTCAGGGGCCAAGGAGTCACTGGAGACCGAAGTGACA
This sequence comes from Homo sapiens, assembly GCF_000001405.40. NCBI lineage: Eukaryota > Metazoa > Chordata > Mammalia > Primates > Hominidae > Homo > Homo sapiens. The sequence continues at coordinate 33,674,977 of NC_000020.11, read as the reverse complement.
CCTCCTCTTTCGCATCTTAAAAGCTCCCCCCGGCTGCTGTGTGGAGAACGGGTTGAAGGGAGGGCCAGAGTCACGGAGGGGAGGGGAAAGGGCTGCGCTTAGTGCCAGAGAGGGCGGGCGTCGGGATGCCTGGGATTCGGCCGCACGGACCTGTGGGCTTCCTCTGCGCCAGCCCCCGTTGTAAGCACTTGACATTGAATGAGTCCCAACAATTGCATAGGGTGTCTGCCAGTACCATTTTTGTAGATGAGGATACAGACGCCCCAAAAGGTGAAGTCCTGGTGGGTTTTACCCACTTGTGTCACCCTGACCTCGGCACTGGCTTGGTCATCCTGTCCCTCTGGGTAGGCCCGCAGCCCCTAGGTTCTGCTCCCGACAGGCCGTCGCGGGACCGGAGCCCTCGGGCGCCTCCCCCTCCGCCGTGGCCGCGGAAGCGCGGAGGCCCGCGGCGCTGGAGTTGGACCTTGAGGCGAGGGAACCCGGCGTCCGCGGGGGCGGGGCGGGGGCGGGGCCTGAGCCCGCGCGTCGGCGCCGGCGCCAAGGGGCGGCCTCTAGCCACACCGAGTCCGCCGCGGCGTCCAGGGTCGGCAGCAACCGCAGCCGAGCCCGAGCGGGTGGCGGCGCCATGGCGTGCGCGGGGCTGCTCACCGTGTGCCTGCTCCGGCCGCCCGCGCCCCAGCCCCAGCCCCAGACCCCGCGGCACCCCCAGCTCGCGCCCGACCCGGGGCCCGCCGGACACACGCTCTTCCAGGACGTGAGTGGGCGCGGGCTCTGCTCGCGGTGTCTCCCTACCCGAGTCTCTGTTAGTCTCACCCTCCGGGGTTGTTCGGGCCCCGCCGCTGTTTCTGGGTCTCTTCCCCTCTCTCTGGCCCTGCTGTTTTCTCTTGACCTTTCTGCCCTTGTGTGACCTGTTCTGTCTCTCCATGTCTCCTCTTGTCCCTGCTCCAGTGTCACTGCCCCTGCTGCCTCCCACCCCTCAGCCCACCCCATTTGTGTGTCTGGTGTTGGCGGGGGGCTGGCGACAATCACAGCAGCGGTCACCCCACTCTGTGGCAGCTCCAGGCTGGGCTGACTGGGGAAGGGGAGCCTGGAAACGCAAGGGCCCCTCACTCCTGACTCTAGTGCCGCCCCCAGAGTTCTTCAGGCCCCACTCCAGGGCAGCAGAGTCCTACAGTTGGTAAGGGCTGCTCAGAGTCACCCTCCCATGGGGCCATGGGTGGCCCTGCGGCCACCATGGGCACCAGCCACGGCCCTGAGCCCTTTCTCCACCGTTCACCGCTGTGCTCGGCTCTGTCCTGGCCCCCTCATGCCCCAACTCCAGAGGGAGGCAAAGCTGTCTCCCACCCCCTCCCCACTGCCCCTAGTGACTCAGCACCTTGACCACAGCCCTGGCTGGAAGGGACCTGACCCTCCTTCTTCCCAAGTAGGAAAACCAAGGCCTGAGGGGATATGTCTCAGGTCAGTCATGGAGGCAGGGATACAATAGGGTGACCCCAGATGTCCCCATTCCCAGCTTAGCACCCCTGCCCACTCCCAAGATCTCCATCTACCCTACCTGGGCCTCCCTGGCTTGCTGCGTGCCCCTCAGCCAGTGGCAGACCTTCTCTGAGTTAGGCTAGAGGTTAGAGTCTTTCCTGAGCCCCACTGACCCTGACAAAACAGGACCCTGGAGGGGGCTGGCGTTCAGGACCTGGAGTTCATGGGGGCTCTCGGCCCAGGCTTGGCCCACCCCTGCTTGCCAGGCCTGCCAGTCTCCCCTTTGCTGGGCTGCTTTGGGTGACCTGGGAGCAGGTCACTAAGAGAGACGGGGACCTGTCTTGACTCTGCTCCTCTCTGCCTCTGTTGCTCTTCATCTCCACTTCTCCATAAATGAAATCTGCCGAACTTGCCTTCTGCCACCCCCACTCCCCCTTGGACGTGTGTGTGTACACACACGCCTGCCGAAGGTCCTCAGAGTCAGCCCCATAGGAAGCCCCAGCCCTGAAAGAGTTAACCCCAGCTGCTCCTGATCTATTTGCTAGTGGGTAACTCAGGCGCCTGCAGAGACAGAGTAGCCACTGCCTGCTGTTGGTTTTCAACAGCACGCAAGGAAACAGCTCAGAGAGGGCAGCTGGGGTAGACCATGGCCACACAGCAGAGCTCGGGGCTCAGGTCTAGGACGGCTGTGCAAGATTCCTGGGCCACAACCTGGCCCATCTCCTCAACCTTCCTCAAGCTGGAACTGTGCCAGGGGCTGATGTATCAGATAGAACTTGGGCTGCACTCTGGGTGTGGGAGGTGGGGACGCAGGGGACTGGCCAGGAGCACCCCCCACGAGGCCAGGCCCTGCAGGAGAAGTGAGCAGAGGTGGCACCCGCTGCGTGCTCTTCCTGTGCCCCGCTTGCAGGAAAAGCTCCTGCAGGGCTGAGCTGGGCAGGTGGTTTGGGACCAGGCTGGGCGGGAGGAAAGGCGAGGCAGGGGGTAGGTCGGCCAGCTGGGACCCTGTCGGGTTGAGTGGGGGCCTCTGGCTTCCCAGGTGGCACTCACAGTTCTCTCTATGTCCCTTTGTCCTCTAGGTTTTCCGCAGAGCAGACAAGAATGGTGAGTGTGGCTTCCCCTGGGTCCCACAGTGGGGCAGGGTGGGAGGCATCCAGGAGGCCCAGGGAGAGTTGGGAGGTTGGGTGGGAAGTCAAGAGTTGAGACAAATCTTGGGGGCCCAAAACAGGAGAATCAATCAAGGCACTTCCCAGAGGAAGTGCTGTTCTCAGCCAAGTTTGGCAGGATGGAGAGTGGAGAGAATGTGGTTTGGCCACGGACTGGAGATAGGGGCTGACTTTCACACAGCACCCTGGCATGGTGATGGGCACTTCCTGTACGTGGCCCTCTGTTGTCCTCACAACCACCAGCTAGATTGGAATTCACCCTATTTCATAAAGGAGCAGAGGGCCAGAGAGGTGAAGCAAGTTGCCTAAGGTCACACAGCCTTTAATTGATAGGCTCGAACTTGGGTCTTTGCAGCATTTAATCCCAGGCTCCTTGTGTGAGGCACTTGGAAGAGTGAGGTAATGGAGATGAGGCCTTTTTGGAGATTTTACTCAGGTTTTTAGAGGGCTCAGTAACTTGTCATGTGACCAACCATCTGGACCAGGGAGGTCTTGGAGGACACAACTAAACCCACGCCTTGGGCAAGGATAAAGCTGGGTCCAGTGCCAAAGGAGTCGGCTCCTCCTGCCTTGGGTCCTGGGCAGTCTCAGACCCTGGTCTGGGAGAAACTTGGAAGCTAAAGCAGGAGCCCTAGGGGACCCATCCAGCAACAGGCTGCTCCCCCTAGATGACTTGGAGCAGCCCACTGTGCCCTGTGTGGCCCGTGGAGGGTCTGAGCTTCGCAGTCAGCCTGGGGCTCCTTTCATCTGGGTCTTCACGCCCTCTTGTGTTTCATCCTCCTAGAGACGGGGTCCTGTCCCCACTCTTTGCCCCTTCTCCTTGGGTCTCTTCAAATTGATGGGGATTGTTTGTCCCAACCCATTGATCAGGACACATGCTCTCACTTGGACCAGGGAGTTCTGTCTGGGGAGGTTCAGATCCTCCCCCGGGTCAGCTCCCCGCACCCATCTGCTCAGAGACCTCACACATCATTCAGGCCAAATCCCATGTCTTTGTCCCACATAAGTACTCCCAGCCTCTGCTTACATGCCCCTGTGATGGGGAGCTCATTCCCTTCTGAGCCAGCCTGCTGCTGCCTACAGAGGCTCCAACTAGTAGGAGGATTCCATCTGCCTCCCCGTGGCTTCTCTGTGAAGGTCCTGGGTCCAGAGAATGGAGGTTCCTTGTGCCCTGCAGTGAGGCTGGTCCCCAAGTCCTTCCAGGTGACATCTAGGCCCTGCCACAATGTGGCCGTGTCCCAGCCTGTTGCTTGTTTTTTCACTTGGCAAACATTTACTGAGTTCCTACCCAACGCTATGTACATACTGCCCTGTCCCTTTGGTGCCTGCAAAGTAGGTTCTGTTGCCTTCACTGGACACCTTCAAGGACCCCAGTCCTTTTGTCCCCAACAGTCAGGCCCCCCACTGACCTCAGACTCCCATCTCACCTAGCTAGATGGTTGTCAGATGCTATGAGGCCTTTGGGACCCTGGACCTGGTGGCAGGGGTGCAGTCAGGGTCAGGGATACCTCCTCTGCTCCCTGTCCTCCCCCTGCCACCCCAGATGATGGGAAGCTCTCATTTGAGGAATTCCAGAATTACTTTGCCGATGGGGTTCTCAGCCTGGGGGAGCTGCAGGAACTGTTCAGCGGCATTGATGGGCATCTCACCGAGTGAGTATGAGAGGGGGCCGTGGGTAGATGCGAGGCCAGGTTGTCTTTACCCCACTGTGTCCCCTGCTGCCTTGGTTCCTTTTGTAGGATGAGGAAGAGGGGGCAGGGAGAAAGGTACCAGGGCTCAGTTCCAACTTTACCCGCCTGCCTACCCCCTCTCCAGCTACAGCCTTGCCCACTACACTGCTTCCAGCTGGGACCCCAAAATAGCCAAGTCTGAGTCACCACCCATGGCTCAGCTCCCCATTCCCGCTTCCCACAGGGACCAGAGGATGCCTGGGGACAGCTGGGCCCCGCCTGCTTCCACCCGAGAATGCAGTGCATAAACACGCAACCATCTACCCCTTGTGTGCTCCCACATCTACGCGTCTTGGCAGGAGTGTGCACGCTCCTTCCCGTGCCTGCTCCCAGGGGTGCACACGCATGAACCGCTGTTACTCCCTCTACTTCCCTTCTCCCCTTTCCTGAGGGTCAGTCTCAGGCTCCTGAGACTTGGGCTGGAACCTTCATCTGCAGTGCTTCCCCTCCCCTCCTGGCCAGACTCCCCACCCAGTTCCTTGTCCTTCAGGGCCTCACTTAGGCAGCTCTTCCTCTAGGAAACCCTCCCTAACCTACAACTAAATACCCCATGCCGTCCCTGGACTTCATTGCCTTGCACCTGGCTTCCCCTTCGCAGCTCTGACCACTTCTCACTGGCCTGTGTCCACATCCATCTTCCCCTGGCCTGAGATCCTCTTGGTAGCCAAGAATGGGTCTGAATCTTTGCCCTTAGAGTGATTGGTGGGGGCAGTAGAACCCATTCTCCAACCCTGCAAGGACTCTGTCCACAGGAGCAACTTAATCTGGGGTGGAGCAGAAGTGGCCTTGTTAGGCTAAGCTGGGAGTTGGTGGGGTGGGATGTGGGGCATTGGCCCCATTAGTCCCAGTTTACCAGGCCCAGGTCTGAAGGGCGCCTTCTCTTTTCCCTGCAGCAATTTAGAAACAGAAAAACTGTGTGGTGAGTAGGCCCATGGGAGCTCTTTTCTCCTGTGGCCCCTGGGCCCCAGGGTACGTGTGGCAAGGGACTGTTGCTGGTCTCCTGATGGGACAGGTTGGGCTGGGCTCAGGATATAAGGCCTGCTTGGCTGCTGAGGAATTCCAGGGGGCCAGAATCCCAGGGTGGGTAGATGGGTGGGGGTCCAGGAACCCTTGAGCACCTCTTCTGCCTGCAGACTACTTCTCAGAGCACCTGGGTGTCTACCGGCCGGTGCTGGCTGCATTGGAATCGCTGAACCGTGCAGTGCTCGCTGCCATGGATGCCACCAAGCTGGTGAGTGGAGTGGCTGATGGTGGGGGATCCACTGTGAGGCAGTGGGCATCTGCTGTGCTGTGGGATCCTCCACAGTCTTGACTCAGGGTTATAGAGCTAGGGGCTTGGGTTCAAATCCTGGCTCCCACTTTGTAGCTGTGCCCCTTGACCTCTCTGGGCCTGTTTCCTCATCTGTAAACCATCATAACAATAGAGCTGCCCTTCATACATCACTGTGACCAGTGAGAACGAAGGCAGGGATTTTTGTCTGTTTTATTCTGTTTCCAGCACCCAGAATAATGTCTGGCATACACTGGGTGCTTCATACTAGGGGCTGCTGTTGCTTTAGTTGCTGGCCCATCACAACTGTGGTGGGATATCATTCAGGGCTGGGCTAGGCGTGGAAGGCTGTGCTCACAGGTTCACAGGGCAGGGCCTGGCCCGAGGACATACGTGAGTAGGCAGGTACGTGAACACCCACGCGTTTGTGTGGACACGTGTATACACAAGCTCGAACAGTGCTGATAGCCAGGGCTTGAGGCCCTTGAGTGGTGACTTCCAAAAAATAAGCTGCCCTTCCCTTTGTGTGTTCAAGAAATATCTCCACCTCCCTTTGCTCCATAGCTCTTGTAAGGGGGAGGGAGCAGTGAGCAGGCCCGGGATTGTGCCTGACCCCACTTTTTACAGAAGGGGAAACTGAGGCACTCATAGTCAACAATGACCTGAGCACATGGCTAGGCACAGGGCTCCTCCTCCTGGTGACTTTCACATGAGATTTAGTAGCTTTTCAAGGGATCGCCCCTTGGGGCCTGGCATCGGATGTATGTCCAAATGGTACATGACGAGGGTTTGGAGGAACTCCCATATCTGTGGCATGGACACAAGTGGGGCATCACCTTTATTGCCATAAAGTAGGGCCCTGTGGGTAGGCAGCTGGACTGGCATTCTCTGAACTGGCAGTGGTTGGGGAGATTCAAACTGCAGTTCAAAATGAGGGTCCCATGGGTCCCAAATACCTTCTCCTGGCCCAGAAAGGGTATGGGGGTGACCCATCCAGTCAGCTCCAACCTCCAGGAGGACCCTGCCAGCTCCAAACACTTGACTCTTTAGATAGAGAGCTGTCCCCCAACGCAGTGCCACCCCCCCCAGTCCAGCCTGACTCAGTTGAACACATCGTACAGCAGCCTGGAGCCACACTCCTGGTACATGGCCCGAGTTATCCAGCGGCGCTGGAAGGAGTGCAGGGAGGCCACCATGGAGCCGCCGGTCCACACAGCCATGCCACGCCCATGCTTGGCCACCAGGTGGGGCCGCAGGGCCGCGTAGCCGTGCCGCCGGCACTGCGCCTCCAGCTCCTTGTCCAGGCGCTCGGCGAAGCCAGGAAACAGTGTGGAGCCGCCGGCTAGCACCACGGTGTCTGCCAGGCGTGTCCGCAGCGTTTTGGGCATCTTCTGCAGCGCCCGGAAGGCCAGCGCGGGCAGCCCCTGCTCAGCCTGGCCCAGCAGGCCCGGCTGGAAGATGGGTTCGGGGCAGCGGAAGCGCTCACTGCTGAGGCAGACGCAGCACCCGTTACCCACGCTGAAACTGGCCGGATGGTGGCGGGCGGGGTCGCGGAGGTCGCCCTCGAAGTCCAGGGACACGTAGCAGCTGCGCTTCTTGAGATGTGTGATGGCCTTGCGGGGCAGGGCCTGCTGCAAGAGGTCAGGGTTCGCCGCCACCAGCAGATCCCGCAGGTAGCGCGACAGGGTGCTGCCTGCCACGTTCAGTCGGAAGGTGGCCTGGTGCCACGAGTGACCCGCGTAGATGGGCGTGGCGTGGCACACGCCCGCGCCCGCCTCCACGGCCAGCCCGCTGAACGCGCCGGTGGAGCAGAGCGCCAGCAACGCGGTGCTAGCCATGTGGCACGCGGGCACTGCCAGGGTCTCGAACAGCAGCTCCGCCACCCTTTCGCGGCCCGCGGGCGGCGCCAACGGCGAGTCGCTCACCAGCACGGGCCACTGCTCTGGGCACACCCGCAGGCCGCCCACCAGCAGGCGCTCCCACAGCCCTTCCAGCGCCTCCCAGTCCGCCACCACGCCGTGCTTGATGGGGTGCGCCCGCGCCACGCCGCCCGCCAGCTCGCAGCCCGGCGCTCCGGGCAGCACCGGCCGGTCCCAGCTGGGCACCAAGCTAGAGCTCTTCAGCACTATGCGCGGCTGGTTCTCGCCCGCGAAGCCCGCCTTGGTGAAGCCCGAGCCCTGGTCCACCACCACCGCGATGCGGCCCAGGGAGGACGGCCGGTGCACGCGGCGGCTCCCCGACACCGACGCCACCTTCGGGCTCGGCCCAGCCGCGGGGCTGAAGGCTCCGCTCCTCCGCGCCACTCGGCTTCGTCGGCCCGATACCTCCCGGCCTCTGTCCTAGGGAGTAGTCCCCTTCAGCCTTTGGCTCTGCCTCCGGAGCCTAAGTTCTTCCTCTTCTGGACCAAATCACCACCCTTTTCAGCTCTTGGCTCCGCCCTCTGGTCTGAAAGCCCCGCCTCTTCTGTCCGGGCCATCCGCCTCCTTTTCAGCTCGTGGCTAGTTCCTAGGCCTGAGGCCCGGCCCCTAGTTCAGGCTTCAGTCTCCGCTCTGGCTGGGTTCCAGCCGCATCTCACCCTCTTGGTCTCCCTCTGGCGCCGGGCTTCAGGCTCCACGCTCTCAGGACCCGCCTCTGCTTTGCTGTTCCGCCCCGTCAGCCCTTGCTGAGATGGCTGACGAGATGGCTAGGACTGATCCTTTTAGATCCTAAGAAGCCCCCGGGAGGAGCAGAACTTTGAGGGCGAAGGGGCCTTGTGGTAAGGCCATTTGGACATATATCCCCCTTGAGGACCCAGGCAGCCTCCTGGCACCTCTCACCTGGGCTTGACGGAAGTTCCTGGTTGTGGAGAGGGGAGGGGCTGGTCAGAAGGCAGAAAAGAACTTGGATTGGGCTCATTGTGACCTCACTCCCCAGCAGCTGCACTTCGCAGCTCCCTACCTTATGACAACTCCCTGGACCCATCCTCTCTTCTGGACAGAGCCAAGGGCAGTGATTTTGGCATCCAGGGGTCTGGCTTCAGCAGCCCAGCACAGTCTGATTCCTTTCCCAAACCACTTAGAATTATCTGATGTACTCTGTCCAGATGTGTGGCCCCCTACCCCTCCCAGTGCTGAAGAAAAAGCTTTTTCATCACAGATCTGCAGCTTCCCTGAAGAGCCCCCGAGAGGCTCTGGCCCTACCTTTATGGGCTTCCACGGATGGATTCACGTGGGCCTCAGTTTGAGACTCAGTTCTTTTTTTTATTATTATTATTTTTGAGACGGAGTCTCGGTCACCCAGGCTGGGCGTGCAGCGTTGCAATCTCAGCTCAGTGCAACCTCTGCCTTCCGAGTTCAAGTGATTCTCCTGCCTCAGCCTCCTGAGTAGCTGGGACTACAGGCATGCACCACCATACGCGGCTAATTTTTGTATTTTTAGTGGAGACAGGGTTTCGCCACGTTGGCCAGGCTGGTCTCGAACTCCTGACCTCAGGTGATCCACCTGCCTTGGACTCCCAAAGTGCTAGGATTACAGGTGTGAGCCACCGCACCCAGCAAGACTCAGTTCTGAAGCTGACTCACTGTGCAGTCCTAAGCAAGTCTTGATCTTTCTCTGGGTTCGGTTTTCTCCTCCAAAAGGTAGTAATAATCCCCCCACACAGGAAAGAGGTCACTTCTTGTCTCTGCAAAGCCTCATCCTCCTGAGGACCAGTTTGGTTGCAGGTAGAAGACTCAGGTGAATGTAACCCAAAATAAGGACTTTATTGAAAGGATCTTACATGTTATGGATATCAAGAGCAAGGGTGAAATCAGGTTTCAGGAACAGAATCTGACTGCGGGGCTGTGGGGAACCCAGGATGTGCACTGCATTGTGTTGTTTGTTTTTTGAGATGGAGTCTCGCTCTCTTGCCCAGGCTGGAGTGCAGTGGTGTGATCTCAGCTCACTGCAACCTCTGCCTCCTGGGTTCAATTCCCCTGCCTTAGTCTCCCGAGTAGCTGGGACTACAGGCGCCCGCCATGATGCCTGGCTAGTTTTTTGTATTTTTAGTAGAGACGGGGTTTCACCGTGTTAGCCAGGATGGTCTCGATCTCCTGACCTCGTGATCTGCCTGCCTCAGCCTCCCAAAGTGCTGGGTTTACAGGCGTGATCCACTGCGCTTGGCCTGCATTGTGTTTTTATTCTGAAGGCTGGCTTAGCCTGTGCATGTTCAAGTAGAGAACATGGTCTCTTACAGCTCCTGAATCACAGTCCTAGGGGGAGGGGCTGACAGGACCAGCTTGGGCCAATCACTGTATGGGCAGGAGGTGCAGCCCCATGGAAGAACATGGTTACCCTGATTGTAACCATGTGGATGGTAGGGAAGAGTCAGTTCTCACAATTAGCAGGAGTGATGTTATAGCTCTTGCAGCCTCCAGCCTGGTGCAGGCAAGGTGGAGGAGATGTTCATCCTGGTGGCGGTGACAAAAGTGCATCTTCAGCAGAAGCTGGGCTGATGGCTGTAGTGAGCTGGGACTTCAGTCCTGCTGCATCTGCCCCCAAAAGAGGGCATCCTGAGGTTGGTCACCAGAGTGTGGCAGGAAGGCGGGCTGCAGGTTTGGCAGGCCAGGGGTGGCATTGGGTGTGGAGCTGGATTTGGGACCCGGGAGAGTGAGGAGAAGCAGCAGCAGGATCCCGCCCACAGAAAGTGTGGCAGGGCTTCTTCTAAGTGATTTGGGGAGTGAGACTGAAGCTGTGGGCTTTTTCCCTGTTGGTAATGGAGACCTGTTGAAAGCTTATGAGCAGGGGAGTGAGCTGCCCTAGACAGGTAAGTGGTTTGGAATTAGTCTTTGTCACGTGGGGAAGGAGATGGGACAGGGTAGGTTGGGAGACAGGTGCCTTGGGGAAGACTGGGGGGCCTGAATGCTTTGGGGTTACCAAGCACAATGTGTAGGAGTGAGGGGCCAGAGAGAGGCCCAGGGCTTCCAGCTTCTCCTGGGTGCGTCCCCAGGCAGAATCCACGTCTCAGGCCTTGCCCCAGCTGACTGCCATCCTGGCTGTTCTTACCCAGGATGGTGCCTGTTGGCCGGGAACCCTCCCTCATGCCTAAGAGGGATTTCTGGATGCTGGGGGGATGTCAGGCTTTACCGGAAGCAGGTCCCTCTCACTAGCGTGGCCAAGCCTGGGTTTGCCCAAGCCCACCTCCCTTGAGCCTGCAGACTGGGCAGGATGTGACCTGGATTTGGAGTGTTGGGGGAAGGAAACTGCCTCCCGCCACTGTAGCAAGGTTTGGGGTTCTGTTCTGACCCTTGGCACAAGGAAGGAGAAAGCAAAAGACAGCCCTGGCTCCAGACCGTGGCGATGGCTCTGCCTTCATCACGCCCCGTTCACCCCTCTGCGGCTCCTAGGCTGAGCTTTGCCCACCCCGACTCCGCGCCCAGACGCCTCCGACAGGGTTCGCAGGCGCCAGGGTTGCCACGCACTCTTTATTGGGCGGGGTCCGGGCCAAGCGTTTAAAGCTGCGGGCGAGGGCAGCGGCACCGTTTGCGCGGCTGCTCCTCGGCGGGGCCGGCTTCGCGGGGAGCCTTCCCCGGGGACCGGAAGCGCGAGAGCAGCCGCGGCCAGCTCAGAGCTGCCCTGGCCCCGCCCTCTTCCGGCCGCCGCGCCTCTTGCCGCCGCAGCAGCAGCAGTACCGGCATCCTCGGCTCGCGCTCGCTACCTTCGCCCGCTCCGCGCAATCTGGGTGCCGCCGGGGAGCCCAGCCCAGCGCCGGACGCGTAGTCAATCCGTTGCCCAGCGTTGGCCAGCGGCTGCCGCTTGTCCAGGGGGAGAATCAGCACGATCCTGGTCTGGGGGTGGAACAGGGGCGTGAGGCGGGAGAGCGCGCTAGGGCCGAGCCCACGACCCGGGGCCGCTCCGCGCTTCTCCTGGGACCCTCGTCCACCCGGGTCCTGTCGTCCACCCGGGTCCTGTCATCCTCTCGTGCACAGGGCTGGAGGGGACCCCTGTCCAATTCAGGCCGCGGGGAAGCCCGCCCTTCCCTGCGTGGCGCCCCGGACTCCGCCTCCTTTCTGGAAACCCTCATCCATCCCAGGCTGACTTCCTGAGACCAGCTCCGTCTAAGTTTATGAGATCCCTTCCAGGCCCTATGTCAGGGGCTTTCAGCACCTCCCACCCCCGCCTGGTCCAGGGCTTCTGCTCATTTGAGAGGGAGACAGGGAAGTTCTGAGCCTAGGAGCTGAAGAGAGGACACTAGGGAATTCCCCCTGCCTCTAGCTCCAGTAGTACCAACTAGAACTGATTCTCCGTGTTGGGATCTCCACCCGTTCGTCCAGGGTTGGGAGAGAATCCCACTCATGCTCACCCCCCGGGGCTCTCAAGTCTCATCCACTTTCTGGTTCTGGAATCTCTGCCCTCCCTTCTGGGCTTTTTTTGTTTAAGACTGAGTCAAACAGGGTCTTGCTGTGTCCTACAGGCTGGAGCAGTGGTGCTGTCAACGGCTCACTGCATCCCTGACCTCCTGGGCTCACGTAGTCCACCTCAGTCTTCTGAGTAGCTGGGACTGCGGGCATTCACCACCACAACCAGCTAAGTTTTAATTTTTGTAGAGATGGGGCCTCCCTATGTTGCCCAGGCCAATCTCAAACTCCTGGGCTGAAGTTATCCACCCACCTTGGCCTACCAACGTGTTGGGATTACAGGCGTGAGCCACCTTGAAAGGACCCCCATCCACACCCATATGGGCTCCTGGGATCCTCATCCTTGGGAGAGATTTTCGAATTCCTCCCTCACCCCCTAGGACTTCTGCATACAAGGCCTAGACTCCCAGCATCCCTTCCCACCCACTTGTCCAGCTTTCTCTGCCCCCCAGCTGCCTCCCCAGCCCTGCTCCCCATCCCCCGCCCTCACAGCCGGCTTCTTCCGAGTGAGGTGGTTGAGGAACGATTTCCACCAGGCCTTGTCCATGTCAGCCGGCCTCTCCTTGCGGGCCTGCTTGGGTGCTTTGGTCCTTTTGTGGGAACTATAGTTTCCCATGGCAGGGCTGGTCACCACTGGGGACGATGGCCCACACTCCGTCTGCTCTGCCCCCTGGGCCCTGGCAACATTGTGACCTCACGGGCTGACCTCACCAATTGCAGGCTCTGAGCACCGCCTTCCAGGGCCCACAGGTGAATCTGGGCTCCACTCAGTCACTTCTAGCCTTGGTTTCTCAGCTGTAAAACTGGGCTAATGATCATAAATGAGGCAATGCATGTAAGGTGCTTAGTGGTGAATAGAGGGGGATTTCTGTGGTTTGGGTATGAATTTTGGCCCTGCTACTAACTTGCTATGTGACCTTAGCCCAGGTAATCAACCTCTCTGGACCTGTTTTCTCATCTGCAAAATGGGGTCAATTATGGTTCCTGTAAATTGTTACAAAGGTTAAATGAGGCCTGGCATGGTGGCTAATGCCTGTAGTCTCAGTACTTTGGGAGGCCGAGGCGGGTGGATCACCTGAGGTCAGGAGTTCGAGTCCAGCCTGGGCAACATAGTGAAACCCCGTCTCTACTAAAAATACAAACATTAGCCAGGTGTGGTGGCACAGGCCTGTAAACCTAGCTATTCAAGAGGCTGAGGCAGGAGAATTGCTTGAAGCTGGGAGGCAGAGGTTGCGGTGAGCCAAGATCATGCCGCTTCACTCCAGCCTGGGTGATACAGTGAGACTCTGTCTCAGAAAAACAAAAGACTAAATGAAATTCTTCTTGCAGTAGTGCTTGGCTCTGAGTGGGTGCTTCTGTCTGTTCTCTGGTTGAAAGCAACAGAAACTAATCATCTCAAATACCCAAAAAGGAATTTTTTGGGAAGATTTCATGGAGATAGAAACCCTGGCCTGTCTGAGAATGAAAAGACCCAGCCTCTTCTCTGTCCCTGTCTCCTAGCTCATAAGCCTGGCCCAGGAGGTCCCATCCGATGGCTGAGCTGAGGCAGGTCATGGCAGGAGATGAAGTCTCTGATGGATGGGGCTTCTGGAGTCTCCTCGGAGAGGGCAGGCACCTGGACTGCAGCTCCCCAGGACTCCCACCCTGATGCGTGTGTGTGTGTGTGGTAGGGGTTAGGCAATTCTCAGGACATCTGTGACTCCTGGGTGTACAAGTGGGCAGGCCCTTTATTGTATTACACTTGACGATAGATGGCTGGTAGGTCTGGCATCGAGAGCTTACGTGCCAGACCCTGGGCTGAGTCCTATGCAGGAATTAACTCCTGGGACGTTCTTGCAGCTCCATGTGCTGAGTTTCATCTTTCCTGTTTGATAGATGAGGAAATGGAAGCTCCAGGAACTGACGGTTGTTGAGGAGCCTCAGAATCCCATGCTGGGCCATGCAGGGCCTAGCATTTGGGCAGCCTCCCTGCCTCTCTGCCACCCTGAGAGGGGCTGGGAGGAGGCTGGCAGTGTCGGTTGGGGTCAGTGCCGGCGTGTGTGTCTGAGTGAGAATGGCAACCTGATTGTCTTTTATCAGCAGCTCCTAGTAAAAAGCACCCAGTGTTGTGTGTATGAGTGAATGAATGAATGAGTGAATACGTAGATTGTGAGTCTGGGGCCACACCACGCCATTATTTTGCCTTGTGTCAACATTGGCCCTTGGATACCTCGTGATAGCCCCCACCCAGCCTAGCTGTGGCTGGGACTCACTGGCTATGACAGTGCTGAAGGTGGTAGCCCCATCAGGGAAGGGGCCATGAGGTCCAGAGAGGCCAGGCACTTCGCTGGGCAGATGCCCCCTGTGAGTTGGCCTCACACCTCCGGGGAGGGAGGCCAGTCCCGGACAAGGAGGGATCCAGACCCTCCCTGCCCATCAGGTCTCAGTACCCTCCTGCCTGTGCCAGGTTTGCGTGCCCCTGCTCTTGGCACTGCCACCGCTGCTCTGATGGGCAAGAGGCAGGGGACCCACTCAAGAGATCAGTGCCCGGGCTGGGAGATGCTGACCGTCCCTCCTTGGCCCACAGGAGTACGAGAGGGCCTCCAAAGTGGACCAGTTTGTGACGCGCTTCCTGCTGCGGGAGACGGTGAGCCAGCTGCAAGCCCTTCAGAGCTCGCTGGAGGGGGCGTCAGATACCCTGGAGGCCCAGGCCCATGGCTGGCGGTATGTAAGGGTGCTGTCAACCTGTGGGGCTAGTGCACAAGCGCCCATTGTACCCCCATTCCAAATCCCCACAGTCCCAGCATCCTGGAGCCTGCATTTTCGGGCGGGGAAGCCATGGCAGGGTAGCCATGGCGGGGTGAAATGAGACTGGCTTTGGGGCTAGGCCTCGGAGTCCCAGGAGGCTTGTCTTCCCCACCCAGGCTTATCCCGTCCTGGGGCCCCAGTCCTCGGCCCTGTGAGCCTCACTTCCTCTAGGTCAGATGCAGAGAGCGTGGAGGCGCAGAGCAGGCTCTGCGGCAGCCGGCGGGCAGGACGCCGAGCCCTGAGGAGTGTCAGCCGGTCATCCACCTGGTCCCCCGGCTCTTCTGACACAGGTGCGCCTGGGGTGGGGTGGGAGGCCTGGCCGAGGCAGGCACCGCATCCCCCCTTCCCCCAGGGCCCGCTCCTTCACTGCCCCTCACTTCATTCTGAGCACCTGCGGGACCTGAGAGGCCCCTGCCTGACCCTGCACGGGCCCCACACACAGGGCGCAGCTCAGAGGCCGAGATGCAGTGGCGGCTCCAGGTGAACCGCCTCCAGGAGCTCATCGACCAGCTCGAGTGCAAGGTGAGGGCCGTGGGGCCAGGGCCCCACAAGGGAGGACCCTCCTGGTATCCACCAGAGCCAGGCCCATGCTGGAGGCCCGGCCCACACTCTGTGCCCTCACAGGCCCCCCGGCTGGAACCCCTGCGTGAAGAGGACCTGGCCAAGGGGCCTGACTTGGTGAGCCCAGGAGAGGGGCAAGCGGCTGGATGGCCGTGTCTGGGGGTGCTCATGAATTGGGGATTCATGGGGCCGGTTGCCCACCAACCCTCTGCAGTGCGCATGTGCCCCGCCCCCAGGCCTGGCAAGCAGGTGCCGGGTTCTGAGAACCTGCAGGAACCACCACCTTTCTCTGGGCTTTGGTTCCCCATCAGCATTTCCGAAAGCCAGGTCTGGGGCAGTGTGGACGGAAGCTGGAGGGTGGAAGGAAGTGGTGGCATACTGCAGGAGGAGGAACAGTGGCTGGATCAAGCAGCACCCTTGGAGACAGGGAGAAGAGGATGGAGACAGGGAGGCTGGGGGGCAGGTTGGCGGCAGGAACCCAGCTAAAGGGTAGGTTGGATCTGGCATCAGTCAAGAAGGCTAGGGGCCAGGTGTGATGGCTCATGCCTGTAATTCCAGCACCTTGGGAGGCCAAGGTGGGAGGATTACTTGAGCCTGGGAGATAGAAGCTGCAGTAAGCCGTGATCCCACACACCACTGCACTCCAGCCTGGGTGAGAGCAAGACCCTGTCTTAAAAAACAAACAAACAGAAAAACAGCTGAGAACCTCCTGGAGGCCACAGCCAGTCCCTCCCCTGTGCCCGGCCCCGCACCAGCTGACCGGCTGCCTCTCCCACCAGCACATCCTCATGGCCCAGAGGCAGGTCCAGGTGGCAGAGGAAGGCCTGCAGGACTTCCACCGAGCCCTGCGCTGCTATGTGGACTTCACAGGGGCCCAGAGCCATTGTCTGCAGTGAGTCCCCAGCTGGCAGGTGGGATGGCCAGTGGGGAGGGGGTGAGCAGAGAGGGGTGCTGGGGCTGGCCATCCTGGGTGGGTCAGGGTTCCCATGAGGCCCCAGGCCGGGGAGGCAGAGGTGGTGGCAGCCCTGGCCTGGCCTGCCCATCTCTTTGGCCCTACAGTGTGTCCGCCCAGAAGATGCTGGACGGTGCCTCCTTCACCCTGTATGAGTTCTGGCAGGATGAGGCCTCCTGGAGAAGGTATGAGTGCCAGTCTGGCCGCTAACACCATGGAATGTGGCCCTGGAGTGAGTCAGGCCAGGGTTCTAATTCTGCTCTCCCGCTCACTGGCTCTGTGACCTCAGATGAGTGACCCCACCTGCCCGAGCCCCCGAGTCCTTTCCAAAATGGAAGTGATAACAGTTCCAACTCCTATGGGCTAAAGGAGGTGACTGGGAAGAGCTGAATACAGCACAGGGACACAGGAGGCACTCAGTGAATACACACTTGTCACCATGTATGTGACAATGCCTATGCCAAGCACCGTGTGCAGTGCCCTTCATTCCACCCACACAGCTTCCCCGTGTCACAGGGGAGAGGACTGAGGCTCCAGAGGCAGTGTGAGAAGGGCCGGGGTCTGATCCTGGCAGCAGGATGGGGCGGGAGTGGGGAGAGCGAGGTCACTGTAGCCTGGGTCTCTGCAGGCACCAGCAGTCGCCTGGCAGCAAGGCCTTCCAGCGCATCCTCATCGACCACCTGCGGGCCCCGGACACCCTCACCACTGTGTTCTTCCCAGGTATGCGGTGGACCCCCACTCACTGTGGCCCTGGAGGGGCAGTGGGCTCCTGAGGGCTCCTGACCCCCTGCCTCTGACCCCCAGCCTCCTGGTGGATAATGAATAACAACTGAGCCAGACCTGCACACGCCGAGGGCCCCGGGACCCTGCCTGCCTCCCTCTGGAGCCTTCTGGACTGGCCAGCCCAGCGCAAAGACCAGGACTTGTCTCCTCCTGGACTTGGGCCTGGTGGAAGGGCTCTCAGCCCAGGGATCAGGGACTGGGCTGCTTGCTTTCTATTTATTATTGATTTATTTATCCCTGTATTTTATTGTTTGTCACTTCAGCCTCCAAGCTACTTTGGCTTCTGCCTGGCTCAGGAGACCTGGATTCTGGTCCCTGCTGTCCCTGCCTGGCTGAGCGACCCAGGGCAGGTCCCGTCCCTGTCTGGGTGGGCCTCAGGCCATCTGGCCGCCTAGCGAGGGTCCTGCTTTCTTCCTGCTGTCTTGGGACCAGGCTTCTGCTCCTCCTCAGCCAGCGGCAGAAGCAGGGCTGATGCTCAGGGACCCCCCAACCCTCAAACCTTGCCTCCGAGGCTGGGCCTGAGCTGGGTGCCCCGTCGCCCTCCCAGGCCACTAGGCTCTGACTCTTCCAGCACCCATGGATGTGCCAGAGGCCTCTGGGTTGGTTTGCATGTCATTTGCATATCGTTTGCATGCCCTCATCCCACCCATTCTCAGGGCAGTATGGGAAGCCCCAAGGTGACCTGGCCAAGTAGCAATAATTTGGGTCCAGGGTCACCTATTGCCCCCAGAGGCCTCTGAACCCCAGGCTGGGACCCCAGCACAGAGGCAATAAAGGCAGTGGTCCCTTCCAGTGTTGCCTCCTGTCTCGCAGGTCTGGGCTGTGGGGCCTGTGCGCCTCCCAGGCCAGAAGCTCCAGGCAGGGCACCTCTCTTGGGAAGCCCCCGGGTTCCCACCTTGTGCCCTCACGCTCGCAGAGTGGATGCTCACAAGAGCTGACGCAAGTTTTCCCACTTCAGGGTCCCTGGCCCTGACACACCCTGGTGCTGGGTCCTGCCTGAGGGAGGGGGTGACGTGTCTCTGCAGGTTTTATAGGGGTTCTGGCTTCACCCACACAGAGCCTCCTCTGGGCCCAGATCGCTCCTGTGGGAAGACCTGTCCTCACCAAGCTGGACTTGTCACTGCCACCCCACATAGAGTGGTTCCAGTTGGACAATGGCTGAGTCAGTCCTACTAGCCCCTGGGGGTGTCCTCCTGCCCCCCTCCATTACTGGGGGCATGGAGGGGAGGTGACCAAGAGGGACATCTAAGCAGCTGCTCTGAAGAGGAGGCCCCTGGCACCACAGAAGCACAGGATGGCATTTGACCTGGCCTGGGAGTGTTGGCGTCAGTTTTCCAGACAGAGGAGACGGCACATGGGCTCTGAGGAGAAGGAGGGCTTGCCTGGTTGAACCAAGGGTGACCCAGTAGCGGGGCTGAGCTGGGGGTGCCAGGGGGAGAGGGCTGGGTGAGGCTGGGCCTCTGAGGTGCTACATCCCAAGGAGGCCATGGGAGGCTTTAATTCGGGGTGAGGGGGTGGCCGGTGGGTTGAGTGCCCTTTCCATGTTCCTGAACGCCCTGGTGTTGCCAGGTCCTTACTGGGCTGAGGCCTGGCTACAAGGCAACTCAGATGGCACCAGTTCAGGGTGGGCATTCCCATCTGGGACTCCAGGCAGGGTCTTCCCTGCGGTTTCTCCCTGGCAGCCCCTGTGGGAGACAGTTTCTTCCACCAGCCTGGCTCCCTGGGCCACCTGCACAGAGGTCCCTGCTGGCACCCTGGCCAGTCCAGTGCCAGGCCGTCCTCCCGCCACCCCGCTTCCCAGATCTCTGGGAGCTCCTAGAAAGTGCTGCCACCATCTGAACCACATGGGGCTCTGAGCAGGCTTGAGGCTTGTTCGGGTGTAGTTGTGTGTGCCTGTAATTCCAGCTACTTGGGAGGCTGAGGCAGGAGAATCGCTTGAGCCCAGGAGGCGGAGGTTGCAGTGAGCCAAGGACTACAGGCGCACACTACCACGCCCAGCTAATTTTTGTAGAGATGGGGGTTTCGCCATGTTGCCCAGGCTGGGCAGTGTGTCTTGTTAGAGAAGACAGCTGAGGAGGACATCGCCCTGCTTTACGTCCTGTGTTGTAAAGGCTTCTTTTGTCCTCCACAAAAACTGTAGCAACAAATCCTCAAAACTAAAAAAACTTCCCTCTGCCATCTTTATTTATTATTGTTATTTTTTGAGACGGAGTTGCTCTGTCGCCCAGCCTGGAGTGCAGTGGTGCGATCTTGGCTCACTGACCCTCTGCCTCCTGAATTCAAGCGATTCTCCTGCCTCAGCCTCCCCAGTAGCTGGAATTACAGGCACACACAACTACACCTGGCTAATTTTTTTTGTATTTTTAGTAGAGATGGGGTTTCACCATGTTGGCCAGGCTGGTCTTGAACTGCTGTCCCCAAGTGATCTGCACACCTTGGCCTCCCAAAGTGCCGGGATTACAGGCATGAGCCACTGTGCCCAGCCCACTGCCATCTTTAGACATGCCCAAGCCCTCAGGCTGACTTATCTGTGGTGGGCGTCTCCTTAGTTTTTGTGCCCTGGGCACCCTGCCTGCCTCGCCCTGCAGTGCAGTTCTGAAGGTGGACACCTCTTTATTACAATTTTTAATAAGAAAGGCTGTGTCCTCCCTCCTGAAAGCTGGAGCTGCAGAGGAGGGCACGCAGGCAGGGATGTCCAGCAGGGTCAGGGGGCCTCTTAGGACAGTGTTTGGTTTGAGCTGTGGAAGTAGAGCAGAGGTCTCCGGGCAGGTGCGAGGGCAGAAGGGATCCTTGGAGTGTGAGGGCTGGGGCGAGCTGAGGAGGCCGGGTGCATGGGAGTGGAATGTTGTCTTGCAGGTGACAGGGAGACAGGAGGGTCCCAGACAGGGAGTGGGTGGGGGTGGAGCTGAGCGCAGACATGGCTGGAGCTGCAGCCACAGAACAGACGTCTGAGCTGGGCTGGGGCTGTGGGGACCTGGAGGAAGCCCTCAAGCCTCTGCCTTGTCTGTCGATCTCACGAGCCCACCTCATCTGTAGCCTGCCATCCCCACCATTGTGCCTCGCCCCAGCCCCCAAGTCAGGGCCACCGTCCTCTCTGGCGTGGAAGACTGCAGCAACTTCTTTACCTGGCTCCCACCCCGTCCATTCCCTGTAAAGACACAGCCAGAGGCGGCTTTCGAAATGTTGCCATTTTGAAAAACGCACCTCTGGCCAAGACCCTTCAATGGCACCCACTGCCTTCAGCATCAAGGTCATAATTTCATGTCCTGGCAGCCAAGGCTGGGCCATTTACAACCCCAGTCACCCTGTCTGTGGCTTTTGTCCCAAGCCACCCGTCCGCCACAGAAACGCTTCCACTGTAAGGAGCAGGTGAGTGCCATTGTGCTGGGGCGCCTTTCCCAATCCTGCGCTGGGCACCTGCTTTGTGGCAGGTGCTGGGGATGATCAAATGTTCTGGGCTGGTGACAGCACTCGGTCAAGGGCAGGCAGAGCCCTGAAGTCAGGAGAGCTCCGGGCTCATTGGCCAGCTGCCGCCCCCACCCTTCCACCCACTCCCTGCACCTGTCCTCTCCCCTTCCTCACACCTGCACCTGTGACTCACCTGTAAATATTCAAACCTGTCCCAGGGATTGGCTCAGTGCCAGGCCAGGCTGGAGATAGCAACAGTCTAGATGGTGGCCAATGCCCTACAGCTCTCCTAACAAGTCCCCTTAACACAGTCTCTTATGAGCCGAAAGGGACTGAGAATTAGGTGGTCTTCAAAAAATTATTCTCGAAACATACTACTTCAGCAGGACACCAGGCTCCACATAGAGTGCTGGACACAAAGATCAATCCTCAAAGAAACCACAGATTGGTGGGGAGAGAAACAGGTTATAGCAGCAACCAGTTTACAGGGGTGCCTTGGGTGCCAGGCCCTGTGCTAGGGGCTATACCCATGTTGTTGATTGCATTTTACCCTCGCAACACCCCAGAGGTATAGGCATCGTTAGCATCCCCAGCTTACGGAGGAAAAAGCTCAGTGAATAAGTGCCTTGCTCCGAGTCACGCAGGAGGGATCCACTCCCTGGCACCAACAGCTGCTAGCCATCAGGAGTAAACAGCGCTGGGAGAGGACACCCTCCGGTAGCAGAAACCCGCCCCAGCTGGAGGAGGTAGAGGCAGCTACACCAAAAGAAGGAACAATGCCAGGCCTCGGGGCCTGCAAAATGGCAGACGGGGCAGCAAGGACGAGCCCAGTGCGAGGGCCTGGGTGAGCCAGCCCTCAGAAGGTGGGGAGACTGATCCCCGATCACTTCTGGAACTCTAGGAGGAACCTAGCAAATATTAACTCATGGGGTGGAAAGGCAGCCTGAGAAAATGCTGATGCGAAGGGGAAGGAAAAGCTGCTGGTGTGTACTCTGGAAAGGAATCTGGCTTAGGGATGGTGGCAACCCAGGGGGAAAGTCCAGCTCTGTCCACAAGAGGGCTCCTGGCAGCAGGCAATGAAGCCCACCTGAGGAGTGGAGTGGGGACTGTCGCTGGTTCCCCCAAGCCTCTTGGAAGGAAGGCTAAGAAGGAGACATGCCTAATCGTGACCCTGACCCTGAAATACCAGCAGTCAGAAACAAGCAGAGACGGGCAAGAGACATGTTTGCTTCCCAAGATCCTATCCCCACCTCAGGACAGTGCCCTTTCTGCTGAGAAACACATTAGCAGGCTCTTGGATGCTGCTCTTGGTAACACATGAAAAGGCTTTCCCTTCCTAACCTTCCAGAGGAACAGATCTTTCACAGTTCCCAATTATTTGTCTCTTTTTTTTCTTTTTTTTTTTGAGATGAGGTCTTGCTCTGTTACCCAGGCTGGAGTGCTGGAGTGCAGTGGCATGATCTCGGCCCACTGCAACTTCTGCCTCCTGGGTTCAAGCGATTCTCCTGCCTCACTTTCCTGAGTAGCTGGGACTACAGGCTCCTGCCACCACACCGGGCTAATTATTTGTATTTTTAGTAGAGGTGGGGTTTCACCATGTTAGCCAGGATGGTCTCGATCTCCTGACCTCGTGATCCACCTGCCTCAGCCTCCCAAAGTGCTGGGATTACAGGCATGAGCCACTGCGCCCGGCCTCTTTGCTCTCTTTCTGACAAAGGTAACGCACCACTAATTTTTTCTTTTTCAGGTTGATGTAATCTATTGGTGAATAACACATTATTTCAATGATTGTCATTTCCAGAATTCTATTTTCAAATCTGCCTAGTCATTTTCAGACTCTTTTTGCTCATTGTTTTTCAGTGCCATCTTCAGAGGTTTCATATTTTGTATTCTGTATCTGGTGTGCTTTTTTTTTTTTTTTTTTTTTTTTTTTTTTGAGATGGAGTCTCTCTGTCGCCCAGGCTGGAGTGCAGTGGCGTGATCTCGGCTCACTGCAACCTCTGCTTCCCAGATTCAAGCGATTCTCCTGCCTCAGCCTCCTGAGTAGCTGGGATTACAGGCGCCTGCCACCACATTCGGCTAATTTTTGTATTTTTAGTGGAGACGGTTTCACCATGTTGCTCAGGCTGGTCTCAAACTCCGGACTTCATGATCTGCCCTCCTCGGCCTCCCAAAGTGCTGGGATTACAGGCGCGAACTGCTGTGCCCTGCCTGTATCTGGTGATTGTAATATCTGAAGTCCCAGGGGTTAAATCAATTATTGTTCCTGTTGACTTTGCTAACAATGGCTCATTTTCTTGAAGGTTCAGTAGTGTTTCCGGACAGCTTATAATTGGTTGACACACAATATTGACCCTGAAGGTCCTTAATTATCTTAATTTCTCAGCACCAGGATTCCCTGACCTTCCTTCAGTATATACCTGACATGTACAGCTAAGTTTTTAATTTTTGAGACGGGCGTCTCACTATGTTGCCCAGGTTGGTCTCAAACTCCTGGAATCAAGTGATCTCAGCCTCCGAAAGTGCTGGGATTACAGGTGTGAGCCGCCACGCCCGGCCCAGTTTTTCTTTCTTTTTCTCAAGCAGGGACAGAGCTGTTTCCAATTCAGTTTCCATTGCAGATGGGCAGATTTTCCCTGCCGCCTTTTCACGGTGCCAAAGGTGCTGAGCTACCTGCCATTGTGGAAAGGCCCCGGTTTTGTTTCCGTACTTTGTATATGCTCAAAACCAAGCCTCACATTGCGCCTAGAGGCAATCTCCCTCCAACTCTTGAGTTCTTGGAAATGTCCTATCTGTGACCTCAGCAATACAGTTAAAAGTACATTCATTATAATTTATCTGGCATCTGGGTGTTTTGTGGTCACGAAAAGATTTTCAGCCTGCCATTTCTATGGCACATTCCGTTTCCACCAACATAGTGCTCTTGTGGAGGGCTGACAGTCCCATGACTGAGATCTTGTCATTGTTCTAGGTGGGCAGATTGCAGTGCAGCCCAGAAAGGTTTGCAGTTGGCACCACCTGCACCAAAGATCATACAGCCAACCCCTACGCCATAGGCTAGCCCTTCTCCTCGTCTCCAGATCTAGTAACCAGTCCCTCTCCCCTTGCATTCTAGGGGATTGTGAAGCTAGTGGTCCCAACGAGCCTCTTGGGCAAGGCTGTTCAGGAGAGGCGGGTCTCAGGGAGAGAGCACAGATGGGTATCTGAGTGACAGAAGTGAGGCCTCAGCTCACCAGCTGGTAAACCGGACTGGCAGCCTGAAATTCCACACACAGGTGTGCCTGCACCAGCCTTAGGGCCACGGAAAGTACCACCCAGGGGCTGCTGGAGGCAACACAAGCTGTTGGGCTTTTAGGGAGAGTAGTTTGTACAGATTTCAAGGATCCAAGAAATGTTCAGTATCAAAAACCCCCACTTTGGAAAATTATCCTAGGGAAATAAATAATGCGAAGAAAGAGTATGCATAGAAGATGTATGCCACACTGGAAAACGCGAAAGCGATCCAATTGCCCAACAGAAGGTGAAGGGTTAAAAAAAATTATGGCCTCAATTAAATGATGCAACCATTTAGCAAATAAATTAAATTGGAAGGCAACAGTAAAATTACCTGTGATTTAACATCAGTGTCATAAGGACATAAGTGAATATTTGACAAGTCCAGGTATGTTTGTTAACATTTGTGTTAAAATTTTACAAGAAAATACATGTTACTAGAAAATATATCCACAAGTCCACCACCCTGTTCAGGCAGGACAGATGGTCAGATTCTCTGTGGTTCATTTTTCCTTATTACAAGATAATTTGGCCGGGTGCAGTGGCTCATGCTTGTAGTCCCAGGACTTTGGCGGGGGCGAGGCAGGCAGATCGCTTGAGCCCGGGAGTTTGAGGCCAGCCTGGGCAACATGGTGAAACCCTGTCTCTATAGAAAATACAAAAAATCAGCCAGGCGTGGTAGCCCATGCCTGTAGTTCCAGTTACTTAGGAGGCTGAGGTGGGAGGATTGCCTGAGTCTGGGAGGTGGAGGCTGCACTGAGCTGTGATCGTGCCACTGCATTCCAGCCTGGGCAACAGAGACCCTGCCCCCTCCCCACAAAACAAAACGAAACACCACTTAAAAGAAATAACGGGGAGTGTCTGGAAGCTGTTGTTGGCCCTTGACCGCAGGCCCACTGGTGGGCTCCAGCAGCCAGCCTGGTTGGGCCTGGTCCCCACAGGGCACTGACCAGTTGGTGCAGCTGGCTTTCCAGAGAGGCCAGTTCCAGGCACATGGGGTGCAGACACCCCCTGCTTCATGCCCTTGGATGCTCTTCAGGCCACGACTAGAACCAGTTGAGGCCCCTCTCTCCCTCTTCCTCAAGGATTTGGGAATTAGGGTGAGGGGACACCTCCTAGTGTAGGGACCACCTTTCCTCCCGGTCCCATTCCAGCTTGAGGCAGAAAAGGAATATAGCCTTTTTATTGACTACTTTAAGTAGAACAAACTAAATACATATTTAACAGTTTTGGTTCATTTATACAGTACATTAAATAAGTTATGCACAGAGTTAGGTAACAAAAATTCCTATCAGAGTAAAATGACAAAGCACAGAAAAACCAGATTCTAATGCATTCTGTGGGTGGTGTCACATTCATCATCCCCCTTTAAAAACCACGCGTGGAGGCTTCGTTTTCTATTTATTTACATTATTGGCTTTCTTTTGTGAGCGGAGCCTTTGTAGCCTCGTCAGGAAGTTGGAAAGCCACGTTAAGGGGACTGAAGGCCTCTTGGCGCAGCAGCCCTTTCAATCATTCGCCTAATGCTTATTGCTGCTTCTCTGCCGACTCCAAGGTAGGGATGGGGCTGTCCCCAACAGACACCAGCGCACATGCCCTATTTGGTATAAGCATCACTGAGTGTACACTGGGCAGCCGTAGGCTCGACCAGATGGGGTCTGTGAGGGAAGCTCCACCTCAGGGGCTGTGGAGGGGGAGGAGGGGACACAAGGCCCGCCCCTCAGGCCTCCTAACCTTCTCTTAGCTCACGATGGAAAAGGTCACCTGCACCATCATCTTTGGAAATGAGCACGTCGATGCCCGAGGAAAGAGGCAGGTAGTCAACGTTTTGGTTTCACAAGAACTACAGACACTCCAGAGTTGGAAGGGCCCTGCGGAGCCGCTGGCACAGCCCCCACCGCAATCTGGGCAGGGCTGCTCTCGACAGCTGGCCATCTGGCCCGTGCTGGAACAGTCCATGCTCCGCTGGCTATTCTTCCGTTTGGTTCAGACACGCTACCACCCAGTTTTCTGCAAACAGCTTAAAAAAAAAAATCTAAGGAAGTTGGTTTGGTCTACTGACCTGGGAGCCTGGAAACCTTGTTTCTAGTTCAGTTCTGAAGAAAGCCTCCAAGAAGTGTTCTATTTTCAGTGATTTATTCAATTCTACAGTTTCCAGGACAGATGGCCATCCGGTCATTCTGTTTTCATTTTGAAGAGCTCACTACCGTACAATTCCAGCTGTGCTGAACCTTCAAACGCACTTGTTGCGATATCCTCTAGAACTACCCAGAATGATGTCTATACCCTTTGCAAGCAGGTGACAAGCCGAGGCTTACTAACTCTGGGACAGGGCTGTACAAAGTAAAGCATGGGTTTTCTGTCTGGAAGCTGAAGATGTCAAGTTGACACTAAGCAGTGATGAACTCCTGGTGACCTTCTGGCCCAAATGGGCAAAGGAAATCCACGCTGCAGAGAGCGGGCAGCAGCCAAGGCCAGGTGTGGACTTGTGGTGGCAAGATGTGTCCTGTTTCCAGACAGACATTTCTAACCCAGCACTGCCCTAGAAATAATCTACGCAATCGGTGACCCCACGGTCACCCAACCGTGCCTGAGCGGATCTGCTAGAGCACCAGCCCTGGAGCTGCAGGGCCCCCCAGTGTGGAGTGCCCCCACCTCCCGAAGTGGACTGCCTAGGCCTAGGCTTAAACAACTTCTTGAGTCACCTTCCCCACTGGATGAGTCAGGCACGGTGCAGGCAAGTGGGGACAAAAAGGACAAGCAAAGACGTGAAACCCAGCCCTCAAGAAACTCTGGGGACATCTGGCATCTTTGGTCTTCTCTGGTCCCTGCAATCATTCCTCACTTGGCCGACCATAATGTCCCACAACTCATCAGTGTTCCTTGGCGGGTGGTGCTGAGCACTGGTCTCACCCTAGACATGTCTGGCTGATGGCCAGTCACATGTTGCATCTCTTTTTAGTTTCTAGGTTTCTGAAGAGCCTGCGCTTGACTGATACCTTCTGTACCACCATGCCAGCTCCTCTTTGCCTTTTATGTCACTGCAAATATGAACTGTAGAGGTCAGTCCTCTAAGCAGGCTGAATTTCCACTCCCCACCTGGTAGCTGAGGTGCTGTCAGCAGAGGCTGGGAACCACGCAAGGAACCTGGATTCGCTCCTGCGCCTCTAGCTGCCTACCCCGCCCCAATGGTGCTCCTCCTCCTGACCAGAGAGTTGGAGAATTTCAGAAAGGGATTCTTGAAATGTGAATAGAAGGTCCTGGGCAGAGGCCCTCGTGACTTCTGTGTGAAACTGACCAGAATTAACACAGCAGAAGGTTTGCAAACTGAGCTTCAGTGTGGAATACTGCCCAGGTTTGCAGATCAGCCTCTGGGCAGCACGAGCAGGGTGGAAGAGCATTACAAAGATTCAGAAAACGAAACTGTCACAGCAACCACAGCCCACAAGAGCAGGCCAGGCTCTGCACACCAAACCTAAGCCTTAGCCACAGAAATGGGCATCGAGCCCTAATAAATATTATTTTGTTGGTTTTGGCTCCTTATTCCAACCAGTAAAAGCATGAGCTACCCTGGCTAGTTTTATGGCCACTGGAGATTTTAAAAACCTGCTCAAGACCGGACACAGTGGCTCATGCCTGTAATCCTGGCACTTTGGGAGGCCAAGGTGGGGGGATCACCTGAGGTCCGGGGTTTGAGACCAGCCTGACCAACAAGGAGAAACCCCGTCTCTACTAAAAATACAAAATTAGTTGGGCGTGGTGGCGCATGCCTGTAATCCCAGCTACTCAGAAGGCTGAGGCAGGAGACTCGCTTGAACCTGGGAGGCAGAGGTTACCGTGAGCCGAGATTGCGCGATTGCACTCCAGCCTGGGAGACAAGAGAGAAACTCCCGTCTCAAAACAAACAAACAAACAAAATAACAATAAAAAACCTGCTTAAGGTGTTAATCCAACAAATCCATGAAAAACTAGTAAGCTGTTGTAATGGCTCTGTGACCTGTGAGACAGCCATGTCTCATGCAAATGTGGCCCTGTCCGGGGTACTGACTCCGTCCCCCTTAGAGTTCCCCACCAAGGACTGTGGCTTAAGGAGGCAGATGGGGTCGGGGGATACCCATGTATTAGGCTGACTGGAAAACTGTGGGGCTTATGTGTTCCACAGCAAAGGAACATGATTCTCTGCTGTTGTTTCACTGGTCACACCTTACTTTAGGCAATGGAAATCTAGGCATTTTAAAGGTGTCGTGCACTAGATTTCTTTGTAAGACTGAAAATGCTTGGTTAGAGTAAATTAGGGACTTGAAATTCTTTAATTTTGCCTTTTTTTTTTTTTTTTTGAGACAGAGTTTTGCTCTGTTGCCCAGGCTGGAGTGCAGTGGTGGAATCTCGGCTCACTGCAACCTCTGGCTCACAGGTTCAAGAGATTCTCTTGCCTCAGCCTCCTGAGTAGCTAGGATTACAGGTGTGTGCCACCACACCCGGCTGATTTTTCTATTTTTTTTTTATTAGAGACAGGGTTTCACCATGTTGGCCAGGTTGGTCTTGAATTCCTGACCTCAAGTGATCTGCCTGCCTCGGTCTCTCAAAGTGCTGGGATTACAGGAGTGAGCCACTGCGCCCAGCCAGGACTTGAAATTCTTACAGTAAGATGTACCTGTATCCAAGGAGAAGGCTACCTGTGTGGATCCCTTTTCCTTTATGGTACTGACAACTTTTATTTTAGACTCTGGTCAGTGCACAGAAGGTGGAGATTTAAACTTGTGCTTCAAAGGCCAGCTGGAGCAGGGCCAATTAAACTTACTCCAACTGATTTCTGGGTGTGAGAGGATGCCAGAGGCTCAAAGATGGAGAGCAGGAGGGGTCGGGGTCCTCAGACTCCCATCAAAACCAAAAAGACAGGCCGGGCATGGTGGCTCACGCTTGTAATCCCTGCACTTTGGGAGGCCAAGGCAGGTCACCTGAGGTCAGGAGTTCGAGATCAGCCTGGCCAACATGGTGAAACCCTGTCTCTACTAAAAATACAAAAATTAGCTGGGCGTGGTGGTGGGCGCCTGTAATCTCAGCTACTCGGGAGGCTGAGGCAGGAGAATTGCTTGAACCTGGAAGGCAGAGGTTGCAGTGAGCCAAGATCATGCCACTGCACTCCAGCCTGGGCAACAGAGTGAGACTTTGTGTTAAAAAACCACCACAACAACAAAAAACAAAACCCAAAAAGACAGGGAAGAATGTGGGAGGCAGTTCCTAACATTCTGAAAGGGATATGAGTGATGTCCCATTTGAAAATGGGAAGCTAGGAAGAAAAATTGATCAGCTTTTCCCAAAATGGTTCACATTTCATAAAACCTTTCTGATGAGCTCAAGGAGGGACGCTATCAGATAACACAAGAGAAGGAAACAGAAGTTGTGTGCCTGATGATAAATCAACATAGTAGATATAATGACCTGTAACTATGAGGTCTGAAGAATTCTTTGAGGTCCAGGAGGGCTTTTCAGATGAGACCAGGCCTTGACAGTGGGGGCAAGTCCTACCAACCTGCACAGCACATCCAGCAGGACAACTGTGGCTCAGCAGGTGCCAAATGGAGCCCATGGGCAGAAGATGCCCACAGCGTTCCAGATGTGTGTGGTCTGAGAGATAAAAGGACACAGAACAAGATGACTGTGCAAATAGCCAAGTGGTGGCAGAAGTTCTGCATTTCCAAGAGATGATCCACTCAATAATTTGACGATACTAGTTGGCCAACATGCTCAGAGAAAACAGACTATCCACAACTGAGCCTCATTCTCTCTCAGATCAATCCATGTGCTGGAAACTATTTTCTGCACAAGCAAAATCAAATGAGAAAAAAAACAGGTCCCAAACTAAAGTAGCCAGCAAGGTTGGAAAATCTTGTCCAAAATCATCTGTGATGTGGGGGAAGTTTTATTTGTTTTATGTTTTTGCTACTACGGGTGCTTTTATTGCAACAGTGACTTCTTTCCTGTGGACTCTGAGATCTTATCAAGTCTGAACAGCAGGGTTGAGAAGAGTCCTGAATGCCGCCTGTTGCTTACCCAAGTCCCCGTGAGGCCAATCAGTGTCATCTGCTGAGGATGGAGATGGGGCCGAAGGAGCTATTCAGGGGTGAGGCAGGCCGCTCCCTGACCGAGGGGCCTCCTCCACAGCCTGCTGCCTGCCGCCTGCCGCCTCCAGCCTGGCTGAGCACATTGGACAGTCTGCTGACTCAAGGAGATGGGGAGGGGAGCTGGTGGTCTACACTGAAAAGGGGCCGGCTAAGTCAGCTTCAGTGGAGAGAGGAACAAACCAGGAAAGCCATGGAGGAGGCAGCTCAGGCTGGCTGCCCATGTGCAGAGAATGGCACACTGGCTCCGCAGACAGCAAGTGCACAGAGAGGCTGTGGGGTGTTATTATTCAGGCTTGGACTCTTCCTGCCTCCAATTCATTTCTTGCTGATGACCCGGCAGCTACATGCACGGGTTCCAACAGTCAGTCCCTCAGCCCAAGCACTCTGTGGTGCTGAGCAGCCATCAGGGTAAGCAGAGTCCGGGGCTCAGAGTCCGTTGGTGTCGATAGCTGTCACAGAAGCAGGTGTTGAGGAACGCGATGTGGTTGCCGAGGTCTTGTCGAGGGCTGGGCTGGGCACGCTGCAGTCGGCGGACCTGGCAGAGGAGCCCCTGCCTACAGGAAGCAGCGGCCGGCCCTGGCCGTGGGGGCTCTGGCCATGCAGGTTCTGACCACAGAGGCGGTGGTGCCGCTCCCAGTCCTTGTGCTGGCAGAAAGAGCCACAGTATCGCGCGATATTGCAGCCACTGCATGTCTCGCTGGCTTTGCGGCCACAGTTCCAGCAGTTCTGCAAGACACAGGCATCAGTTAGTGGTTGCTGGGATTGAGGGGCAGGCTTGCCATTCATTCCCTGCACAGTAAAGCAAGGGGCTGTATGTAGAGAACCCCAGCTTTGGAACTACATACACCTGTGGTCAACTCCGCCCTCTACTGCTGTTTAACTATGAGAAATACACACTGCCTTTCTGAGTTTCCTTCATCTGTAAAACAAGAAAACTACTTCCCTGCAAGATGACAGGAACAGTGAAATGAGATGTGTGTGTGAAAATACCTTACACAGCACCAGCCTAGGGCAGGTGGCCATCTCTCCTGCCTAAGGCATGGACTCATCTTTTGGCTCATTTTAATAGTCAGAAACCAAACCAAACTCTGTGCCAGGGTCTCCCCCAAGAGCCATCTATCCTAAGACCACATGTGTTAAGACGAACATTTATCCTACTCCTTTCTGCATGTGCCACCATGCCTGGCTAATTTTTGTAATTATACATTATATACACACACACACACACACACACACACACACACACATTATATACTATATATATATATATATATATATATATATATATATATATATATATATATATATATATATATATAGTAGAGATGAGGTTTTGCCATGTTGGCCAGGCTACGCTTGAACTCCTGGGCTCAAGTGATCTGCCTGTCTCAGCCTCCCAAAGTGTCAGGATTATAAGCGCCCAGCTGATATTGCTTCCCTCATTAGAGAATAATCTTCATTGTTTTTACTGATAATCTGACTCAACGAAGGCTGCTGCTGCTGTTTTGTTTTTTCTTTTGGAGACAGGGTCTTGCTATGTTGCCCAAGCTGGACTTGACCTCCTAGGCTCCAGGGATCCTCCCACACTCCCACCTTAGCCTCCTGAGTAGCTGGGACTACAGGCATGTGCCACCATGCCTGGCTGATTCTTTAATTTCTTGTAGAGACAGAGTCTCCTTATATTGCCCAGGCTGGTCTTGACCTCCTGGCCTCAAAGGACCCTCCCACCTTGACCTCCTAAAGAGCTGGAATTACAGGCATGGGCCACTGTGCCTGTTCCCTAATAACTATCAGACCAATAGGATAGGAGCTGCTATACTCATTGAACAGAGATGGAGACTGACTCCTTTAAGGGTATACTGCCAGTATGAGAGGGAACTCGGCTAGAAGTCAGGGCTCCTAACCTCCAGTCCTGGCCTCCTTCCTCCCCCACACCAGACCACCTTTCACAAGATGAACAAGAAACTCCAGGAATACCTGCCAAATTTCAACAAGGATATTCTAGCTGAACATTCTTGATGGACGAGAATCAGCCGTTTTGGTCCAATGCAAACTCATCCAAAGGACAGGCCCTCTATCCCTTCCCTGCTTTTGAAAGTGATTTTGCAGGGATAGGTCCAGGTGTGCACCTCACCTGGAGGCTACTTTGTGGCTTATTTAAAATTACAATTCCTTAAAAGCACAATGCTCAAAATGGAGAGCTGGGATTTAAACCTACGCAGTCCAGATCCAGGATCTATGCTCTAAGCCAAAAGCTATACTCTTTCTTTGGAGATAGACATAGTTAAAGATAAACAGAGATAAAAGTAGATAAATAAGGACAAATACAGATACTGATATGGATGGCTATACATACACAGTTAAACATAGAGAAGAGAAACAGATATCTCACTCTCAAAAACAATTCTCTTTTCTTTCCCCCTCATCTTGCCATCGTCATCACCTTTTTTCTTTTTTCTTTTTTTTTTTAAAGAGATGGGGTCTTGCTCTCCCACCCAGGCTGGAATGCAGTGTTACGATCATGGTCAGGCTTGCACCTCCTGGGCTCAAGCGATCCTCCTGCCCCAGCCTCCAAAGTACCTGGACTACAGGTGCATGACACCATGCCTGGCTAATTTTTAAATTTTTTTTTTGGCAGAAATGGGGTCTCACCATCTAGCCAAGGCTGGTCTTGAACTCCTGAGCTCAAGTGTTCACACTACCTTGGCCTCCCAAAGTGCTGAGATTACAAGCATTGGCCACTGTGCCCAGCCTCAAAAACAATTCTAAAGAAAAAGGAGGAGGAGAAGCTGGGCGTGGTGGCTCATGCCTGTAATCCCAGCTCTTAGGGAGGCAGAAGCAAGAGTATATATAGCTTGAGCCCAGGAGTTCAAGACCTGCCTGG
Source organism: Homo sapiens (assembly GCF_000001405.40). Classification (NCBI taxonomy): domain Eukaryota; kingdom Metazoa; phylum Chordata; class Mammalia; order Primates; family Hominidae; genus Homo; species Homo sapiens. Next base: position 33,642,188 of record NC_000020.11, on the reverse strand, counting down.
GCAATATAGTGAGACCCTGTTATCCACACACACACACACACACACACACACACACACACACACACACACACAAAAAAAAAAAAGACAAAGGAGGAGGAGAGAACGAAAAGGGAGGGGGATTAAAGAAACTATTTTCTCACAATCCATAGTATCTGTATTGAAGAGCTGTAATAAGGAATTTCACCACATCCTCTGTGATAGCCACGTGGTATTTAGGCATTTTCATCTGCACATTGCCATGTGTGACAGTACAATACTGAAATGGACCATTTAAATTACAAGAAAATAACATTTCTATTGTTTGTTAAAAAAAAAAAAAAAGCCCATCTGTAATCCCAGCACTTTGGGAGGCCAAGGTTGGGTGGATCACTTGAGGCTAGGAGTTCAAGATTAGCCTGGCCAACATGGCGAAAGCCCATCTCTATTAAAAATATGAAAATTAGCCAGGCACGGTGGTGTGCACCTGTACTCCAAGCTACTTGGGAGGCTGAGGTGGGAGAATCGCTTGAACCCGGAGGTAGAGGTTGCGGTGAGCCGAGACCGCACCATTGCACTCCAGCCTCGGTGACAGAGTGAGTGCTGAACTTCAAGAGAATGTCCCAAAGACAGCCGGTCTCCCATCCAGTAGATGAGATCTACCTACTTACAGAAAGAAACTGGTTTCTTGTTTTAAAGCTGAAAAATGACTAAAATGAAATTTACAGAAAAACTGCATTAAATTCAAAAGGGCTGTTCTCATGTTGTCACAGATTCTTTTTCAGTTTGTTGATTTTTCTCCTCACTGTAGTACTCAAGCGTCCTGTATAGAACCATCACCAAGTCCTGGGCCCTGGATCCTGGGTCCTGGACAATCAGGCAGATACACCCAACCTGTTACTTCAGTCCACAAACCAGCTATCCTATTTGTAAAAAGCCTAGGTGCTGGTCAGGAGATCGAGACCATCCTGGCTAACACGGTGAAACCCCGTCTCTACTAAAAATACAAAAAATTAGCCGGGTGTGGTGGCAGGCACCTGTAGTCCCAGCTGCTCGGGAGGCTGAGGCAGGAGAATGGCGTGAACCCAGGAGGTGGAGCTTGCAGTGAGCCAAGATTGCACCACTGCACTCCAGCCTGGGGGACAGAGAGAGACTCCGTCTCAAAAAAAAAAAGCCTAGGTGCTATAGGACCCTGCACTTTCTTACTCCTGTATCCTGACTTCAGCACCAAAGGGGTATATTAGTTGCATTCCCTGAGCCACAGTCTCCTCATCTGCAAATTAGGGCCATTGTGAGACTCAAAAAGAAAATATACAACTTTGCTGGGTGTCTGGCACACAGTAAGCCCACTCCGTCAATGCTGGTCATCATCATCATCGTGCAATCACACAAACTCTGTCTTTAGGGTGAATTCTCAAAATTTACACCAATACACTGAGCCTCTCTCTCTCTCTCTATATATATATGTATGTATGTAAAAATACAATGTAATAATTCACTATCTTGGCATGTAAAAGAGTCTTAGCATGAGAACCAAAACTCTCCTGGCACTGGATAAAAATTATCCTCATTGAGCTCAAGAGTGGACTGCCTGTGTCTTCCTGCCCAGCGTATGAGAGGAAGGCAGCGGGCGTGGTCACTCCAGCTGCTCACCCCAGCCCCCAGGGCGCAGAGCTCTGACCTCCGTGGACTCCTCTTGCTCATTGATGACGAGGAAAGCATCCTCTGCGGCCTGCCGCTTGACATCCGCTATGGTTTGCTCCATTCGTGCTCTCTCTGTTGCAATCACTTCAAAGGCTTTCTGCTCTGCCTCAGCGACGGCCTTCTGTACTTCTGACATGGCCTGAATTTTCACCTTATTCACAGCTTCTTCTAGAAGAAAGTGACAGTAAAATCAACTGGCCGAGAAATCTTTTCCCTCCCATCCCACGGCAATTCTAAGTAAGGAGAGAGCTGACACAAAGTGATCTTTTCTAAAACTCCACAGGGAGGAACACATGATCTTCACACTCATGTGTCCATCCATGCAGGTGCTGGCTGGGTACGGAGATGGAGGTGGGCACCGAGCTAGGGCTGTGGACGCAAGTGACTAGACACAGGCCACACTCTCCTGACTGCTTGTGACCAAGTATGAAAGTGTTTCAGGTGCCATCGTGTATGTCATCGTAAGAGACTAGAGTTCCAAGGAGAAAAGTGATCAGCTCTTCAGTGGGCAGGGGAGAATCAAGACATGTGTTTTGCTTGAGATGGTAGATGGAAATGAGATTTTGCAAAAAGTCTTGCATGCCAGACTAAGAAATTTGACCTTCTTTTTCTTTTTTTTTGAGACAGGGCCTTGCTCTGTTGCCCAGGCTGGAGTGCACTGTTGCGATCACAGCACACTGCGGACTTGACCTCTCTGAATCATGATCCTCCCACCTCAGCCTTCTGAGTAGCTAGGACTACAGGCGTGTCCCACCATACTCGGCTAATTTTTAAATTTTTTTGTAGAGACGATGTCTCACTATGTTGCTAAGGCTTGTCTCGAACTCCTGCGCTCAAGTGATCCTCCTACCTCAGCCTCCCAAAGCGTTGGTGTTAAAGTGTTATAGGGGTGAGGCACCACCCCCGGCTTGAACTTATTTTCTTTTTTTTTTTTTGCGACGGAGTCCCGCTCTGTTGCCCAGGCTGGAGTGCAGTGGCGTAATCTCTGCTCACTGCAAGCTCCGCCTCCCGGGTTCACGCCATTCTCCTGCCTCAGCCTCCTGAGTAGCTGGGACTACAGGTGCCCGCCACCACACCTGGCTAATTTTTTGTATTTTTAATAGAGACAGGGTTTCACCATGTTAGCCAGGATGGTCTCGATCTCTTGACCTCGTGATCCGCCCACCTTGGCCTCCCAAAGTGCTGGGATTACAGGCATGAGCCACCGTGCCCAGTCGGCTTGACTTTATTTTCAAAGGAAACTCCATAAAGGATTCTATGCAAGGGGAAGATTAAAGACAGAGATAGCAACCGGGAGGCTGGTGCAATGATTGAACTGATAGAAGAGGCTGAATTTAGGCAGGAATAAGTGGCACTGAGGAAGGGATGAGGCAGAAAAAGGTTGGGAGCACCGAAGGGCCTGGAAGTGGAGGTGAAAGAGAAGAATGCTAAAGCTAGGCAATGAAATGGACAGTCCACACAAAGCTAGTGTGGAGGCAAGTGAGAAGGTGGAGGTGCCTCTGGGGCATCCAGGTGTAAATGGCCAGGAGGCAATTAAATAAATAAGACTAGGTGCACAAACAAGGGCTAAAGACATAGATTTGGGCAGACTGCCAAAAGCCCTGGGTTTTTAAACCCTGTCCACTTACCATCATCCTACCTGGTTCCTGTTCACTTCCTCCCATCACCAATGCCCTGCTTGATTTCCCTAATGTAGACGCTGCAAAATAACACATTCCATATGTTTGAGCCTCAGCCCAATGAGAATGTGAATGTGAAGTCCCAAAATACGTAGCTCCCTACGTAAGTCCACAGGACTAGACAATCCAGAAGCCTAAGGACACTCCCTCACGGTTTACCTCTTGCACATGGCACAGGCTCAAGGGAGGTTCAAACACAGAGTTCTAGGCTACCATGAAACAACTTTCCATCTTATGGCTCTGGCCTTAAGAAAATCTTCACCCCAGAGGCCAAGAACTTTTCATAAGTCTCTTATCAGATGCCTCTTATTGAGCCAGTGTAACAATGCTCTTAGGTACATTTTATCCCCTCAGCTTAAGCATGAATTAATAATCATCTCGGTTTGGCTAGCTATCTTACTGGAGGTCGTCTAAGGTCACAGATGGCACTGTAGCAGAGCAAGGACTCAAACCTAGCTGGCCCAACACCAAAGTTGGGCTCTTAACCATAGTTAACCAAAGGTATCTCCCAAATAATCAAACTCACTAGTTTAAAAGAGATCTTGTGGCTGGGCACATTACAGGCTCATGCCTGTAATCCTAATCCTAGCACTTTGGGAGGCCAAGGCGGGTGGATCACCTGAAGTCAAGAGTTCGAAACCAGCCTGGCCAATATGGTGAAACCCCATCTCTACTAAAAATACAAAAATTAGCCGGGCATGGTCGGGGGTGCCTGTAATCCCAGGTACTTGGAAGGCTAAGGCAGAAGAGTTGCTTGAACCTGGGAGGTGGAGGTTGCAGTGAGCTGAGATTGTGCCACTGCACTCCAGCCTGAGCAACAGAGCAAGAATCCATCTCAAAAAAAAAAAAAAAAAAAAAAAAAAGGCCGGGTGCAGTGGCTCACGTCTGTAATCCCAGCACTTTGGGAGGCCAAGGCAGGCAGATCACCTGAGATCAGGAGTTCGAGACCAGCCTGACCAACATGGAGAAACCTCATCTCTACTACAAATACAAAATTAGCCAGGCGTGGTGGTGCATGCCTGTAATCCCAGCTACTTGGGAGGCTGAGGCAGGAGAATAGCTTGAACCGGGGAGGCGGAAGTTGCAGTGAGCCGAGATCACACCGTTGCACTCCAGCCTGGGCAACAAGCGCGAAACTCCATCTCAAAAAAAAAAAAAAGGAAAAGTGAGGAATGATTCCAAGAATCTGCAGGTACTCACTTAATTTCTTATATAAGCCTCTGATCAATTATTGAGTGTCATCAACAAGGTCTTTTAAAATTGTCAATAACGGACGGTTAAAGACAAGGGGTTAATTTATCAGATATGCTTTATCTTACATTATCCTGACTACTAGTAAGGAAAAATATTTTGCAATATGTTTATTTGTATTTCTCATAGCATAATGTGTCTGTTCATATCTTTTATTTGTTTACTACTGTCTAGATGCTCTTAAAAGAGTCTTTATGAATGTAGGTATTACATTTTTGTAGAAATAAATTTTATCTTAGTAAGAAAACCAAAAGTTGTATTGGACTTAAAAAATGAAACTGGGATGGGGAGGCAAGAAGTGAAAGAATGCCAATATTTGGATAAGGCTGACATTAGTGATGTGAGGTTCATCCTTGAACTTACAAAATAGGCAGTCCCCACCCTCCTTTATTCTTGTAAAAGAGGAGGCCTACCAAGAACAGTCTTCACTATGGTAGGCACAGAGAAGGTGAAAGAAAGCACAGGGGGATTACAGAGCTGTGCCCAGAGCAGAATTTGGGCACAAATGTGGCAGTAGTGTGAACACAGTATACTGTAGCCACCAGTGAAGAGATCAGGCAAAATGAACTCTGTTGCAAGCCCAGAAACAGGACATGTCAACAGGTACTTATTGCCTCAGCGTGACCCAGTGGAAGAGTGTGAAAGGGACTGGAGGGAGCTATTCCAAACTCCTGACCTGCAAATTAACAAGACAGGTATCAGGAGACATGCAGGACAAGCCAGAGCAGGAGAGGCAGGAGCCTAGAGCTCTATGAGGAGCAAGTTATTATACAACCAAAGGACCCAGTTACCAACCATTCACCCAGTTATCTGTTCTCTGCTCCCACAAATTAGTGAGTATGTATGACCTACAAGCAGTCAGACACATACCTGTTTTTTTCCAAAACTCCACAGGTACGTATCCTGTACCTGGCCTGCTGTTGAACTCTCTCTGAGAATCTGCAGAAGAGACATAAAAAGCATAGGGTCAGAAGCTGTCTATGATCAGCAGTTTTATTTTTGATCAGATTTCTCATTCACCACTTAGACTCAAACATATATTTCATTTAGTATAAAAAAATTCTCATATAAGGGCTAAAAACCAGATTATAAAATAGTACAGTAAATATTTAGTTTTAAAACACACACCCCCATCAAATGAACAAATTAACAGTATTTCAAAGTAGTGAGATTAAAAGTGATCTTCACTTTCTTCTTTTTACTTACCTATTATGTCCTAATTTTTTCCCCTATAAACATCGGTTTTTAAGGTACAGTACCCCCTAAAATATAAATGTATAAAACATAAATGCACACAGATTTTTTTTTTTTTTTTTTTTTGAGACGGAGTCTCACTCTGTCACCCAGGCTGGAGTGCAGTGGTGCGATCTTGGCTCACTGCAACCTCTGCCTCCCGGGTTCAAGTGATTCTCCTACCTCAGCCTCCCGAGAGGTAGCTGGGAGTACAGGTGTGCGCCACCCTGCCTGGCTATTCTTTTTGTATTTTTAGTAGAGATGGGGTTTCACCATGTTGGCCAGGGTGGTCTCTTTCAAAATTTCTACGTGTTTCGGAAATTTCAAAATAAAACATTAGGAAACATTATCTTTAAATATGTACATAGAAAATTCTACAAGAATACATTAATTGTTAACCATTGAGCCTATGGAAAAATGTAGGGGGAGGAAAGGCAGCATTTTTACAAATTACTTTTTTGTGTGTGACAGGGTCTTGTTCTGTCACCCAGGCTAGAGTGCAGTGATACACAGCTGATCACTGGCTCACTGCACCCTTGAACTCCTGGGCTCAGGTCATCCTGCCTCAGCCTCTTGAGTAGCTAGGACTTTAGGCATGTACCACCATGACCGCCTAATTTCCCTTCTAAATTTTTTGCACAGACAGGGTTTCACTATCTCAGGGTTTCCAGACAGGTCTTGGATTCCTGGCCTCAAGCAATTTTCCTGTCTCAGTCTCCCAAAGAGCTAGGATTACAGTTGTAAGCCATTGTGCCAGGCTGCTATGTAATTACTTCCAATTCAATCTCAAATTATCCTCCTGTTGTGTAAATCTTTTATAAATTTCATTTACTTAAGGAAATCTCTAGCAAGGTTCTGGGCTGTTCCAGCGTGGACTGGGCGCTTTCTAGGCCTGCTTTGCCACTAATGCTTGGGGCTCTCCTTCACCAGCCTAGGGATTCCTTTCCTTCCTTTCTTGTGTTGGATCCTCTTTCAGGAATTCAGTGTCTCCCATTTTCTGGTTTACTTTCACATATTGAGGCATATCCTACAGTAGATACTGTGGAGAAAGGGTAGGCAGGAGGTGCATTTTTTGAAAAATTGTAGGTTACTAATCTAACACTTAATTGTTTTGGTTAAGTATAGAATTCTAAATTAAAATAATTTTCCTTCAGAATTGTCTTCTAACTTTCAATGATGCTAAACGACTAAGTCTATTTATTTTCCTGTGTTGTCTACTTGGTAGACTGATTCAACCTGGAACTGTCTTGCAGGTCTTGGTAATTTTTTGGAATTATTTCAATAACTATTCTATCCTCTCTACTTGTTCTGCTCATTCTTTTTGAAATTCATGATTTGGATATATAAGTTGGGTAGATTTCTAATGTTGTTCTCTTTTTCTCACCAGAGATATTAACAATGCTACATTATTGGTAGTTTTCTTTTCCCTGAAGAGCTACTATTAATTCCCATTTCTGTTTATTTCAGTCTCCAATATTAGAGGCTTACCTCTAGAGAGTGGTCACCCTTAATTGTGCACACATGTCACTAAAAAGTTGCCTGGAAGCCCTGTGACACTGAATGAGGTCCATCTGCTATGGACTTAACTAGAGGCAGTTTTCCCAAACTTGCCTGCTTATTGAACTCATTAAACACATATATTCAGATTCTTTTTTTTTTTTTTTTTTTTTTTTTTGGACATAGGGTCTTGCTCTGTTGCCCAGGTGGAGTGCATTGGCACGAACTCAGCTCACTGCAAGTTCTGCCTCCTGGGCTCAAGCCATCCTCCTACCTCAGCTTCCCAAGTAGCCGGACTATAGGCACATACCACCACAATCAGCTAATTTTCATATTTTTTGTAGAGACAGGGTTTCACCATGTTGCCCAGGCTGGTCTTGAACTCCTGAGTTTAAGCGATTTGCCAGCCTCTGCCTCTCAAAGTGCTGGGATTACTGGCGTCAGCCACCACAGGTGGACTATATTCAGATTTTTGGGTCTCAGAATCATAACATCCAGAAGGGCCCGGAATGTGAGCTTGACTGTCATTCTGAGGAAAAACTGATAGCTGATTAAGTATTCTTTTTCTTTGTTTAAAAATTTGGCCAGATGCAGTGGCTCATGTGTGTAATCTCAGCACTTTGGGAGGCCAAGGCGGGTGGATCACGAGGTCAGGAGTTCGAGACCGACCTGACTAACATGGTGAAACCCCGTCTTTACTAAAAATACAAAAATTAGCTGTGCATGGTGGCAAGCACCTGTAATTCCAGCTACTTGGGAGGCTGAGGCAGGAGAATCACTTGAAGCCAAAAGGCGGAGGTTGCAGTGAGCCGAGACTGCACCACTGTACTCCAGCCTAGGTGACAGAGCGAGACTCCGTTTCAAACAAAAACAAACAAACAAACAAAAAAAAATTTTACTTGCAAAGTTAGATGGCTGACCAGTTCATAAAATATTAACATACAATATAATAAAAATATTAATATACAATTTAACATCATAAGCCTGAGTTCAGGAAACAGAACAGTACCAGCAACCCCAAATCCCTAAGAGGTAAGTCATGGCAAGCCATAGTAGTATTTAAATAATGCTAGCCAGACTGACAATCCTGTCCCAAGAATAGACGTAGTTAGAACTCACTAACTCTGCACCCTCCACCCACACAGCCAGAGGAAACCAGTCTCCTGATCTCTGTGATAAGCATTTTCTTCTTTTCCTTATGGTTTTTGCACTTATTTATGCATCCTTTAATGACACCTAAATACACTGCTTGCTGTCTGAACAAAATCTATTTGTGAAAACATTGTGAATCATAAATTTTCAGGTAAGGAAACCTACATTGCATTAATTTAAATGGGAAAAGTAATAATGCCATCTAAAGCCTCTAGTCAATTTCTCTCCAAATCACCAAACCACTTTACTTCAATAACTATCCACACCATGGATTTCTGCATAACCCAAGACTTTTATTTATTTATTTATTTATTTATTTTTTTTTTGCGACAGAGTCTCACTGTGTTGCTCAGGCTGGAGTGCAGTGTGTGATCTCGGCTTACCACAACCTCCGCCTCCCAGGTTTGAGTGATTCTCGTGCCTCAGCCTCCCAAGTAGGTGGGAGTACAGGCATGTGCTACCATGCCTGGCTAACTTTTTTTGTTTTTAGTAGAGACAGTGTTTTGACATGTTGGCCAGGCTGGTCTCGAACTCCTGGCTTCACGTGATCCACCTCGTTCAGCCTCCCAAAGTGCGGGGATTACAGGCGTGAGACACTGCACCCAGCTAACCCAAGACTTTAAAAACACTAATTACTTGGCCAGGCATGGTAGCTTATGTCTGTAATCCCAGCACTTTGGGAGGCCAAGGCGGGCAGATTACTTGAGGCTGGGAGTTCGAGACCAGCCTGGCAAACATGGTGAAACCTCATCTCTACTAAAAATACAAAAATTAGCTGGCTGTGGTAGGGCACACCTGTAATCTCAGCTACTTGGGAGGCTAAGGCAGGAGAACTGCTCGAACCTGGGGAGCAGTGAGGCAAGATCGTGCCACTGCATTCCAGCCTGGGTGACAGACAAGACTCCGTCTCAAACAAAAACACTAATTACTTATTTAAAAGTCACTGGTGAGGCCGGGCACGGTGGCTCATGCTTGTAATCCCAGCACTTCGGGAGGACGAGGCGGGTGGATCACAAGGTTAGGAATTGAAGACCAGCCGTCTCTACTGAAAAAAAAAAAACTCAGCCGGGTGTGGTGGCAGGCGCTTGTAATCCCAGCTACTCAGGAAGCTGAGGCAGGAGAATCCCTTGAATCCAGGACGCAGAGGTTGCAGTGAGCCGAGATCATGCCACTGCACTCCAGCCTGGGCAACAGAGCTAGACTCTGTTAAAAAAAAAAAAAAAAAGTCATTGGTGAAATTCTTTGAAATGTCTAAGAATACTGCCCAATATAGGACAATGCTACTCAAACTATGATTATTGGTATAACATATGCCAGAATGTAAAACAACTATGTGTCTAAGAACTCATTTCAGGCTGGGCATGGTGGCTTATGTCTGTAATCCCAGCACTTTGGGAGGCCAAGGTGGGTGGATCATACAAGGTCAGGAGTTCGAGCCCAGCCTGGCCAACATGGTGAAACCCCATCTCTACTAAAAATACAAAACGTAGCCAGGCATGGTGGCAGGTGCCTGTAATCCCAGCTACTCAGGAGGATGAGGCAAGAGAATGGCTTGAACCCAGGAGGTTGCAATGAGCCAAGAATGTGCACTGCATTCCAGCCTGGACAACAGAGCAAGACTCCATTTCAAAACAAACAAACAAAAACGAACAAACAAACAAACAAAAAGAACTAATTTCACAGTAAGACTTTCTTGATGAAGCCAACCGTGCCCAAGCTCCTCATGTAATCAGACCAGTGGCACTTTTTGGAGTCATTTTGGTTCACATTTTGCATAGTACATTTATTTAGGATATGAATTATACTGTCATACTATACTAAAATGGACAAGTAATAAACATGAGATAAACATATAAATGACACTAAAATATACTATCTAAATCAGGTTGATAGTGCTGTCAGAAACCAAACCTAGAATGACAATATAACTTATCATCCAGATTGCCTTCATTGTTGAGAATGAGGGAAATGCTAGTAATAACTATTAACAGGACACAGGTATAAACTGGACTGTCTCAGGCAAATCAGAAAACATGCTCCCCAGAGCTAATCCTTGATGCAAAAGGTGAGAAAGGTGAGTAGTGGTCATGCATAGCCATGTTTAAATGACTCCAGCAAGACCTGAATGACTCCAGCAAGAGCTGTATCTTGGCTCAGCAACCACTGGCTCACGACTGCAGCTCCCTCTGTACTCTATGCTTCTCACCTGCACACATGTGGACTCACTGATGAATGAGGTATGGCTTGGGTGTAAACTTTAGCTACGTCTCCAAAAGCCTTTCTCCCTGTCCGAAAGTCGCACAGGGATCTGCAAATGTTCAGAAAGTGAGGGAGACCAGAAGATTAGCTTTGTCTGTTTTTGGAGTTTTTTGTTTGTTTTTTTGAGATGGAGTCTTGCTCTGTCACCCAGGCTAGAGTGCAATGGCGCGATCTCGGCTCACTGCAAGCTCCGCCTCCGGGGTTCACGCCATTCTCCTGCCTCAACCTCCCCAGTAGCTGGGAGTACAGGCGTCCGCCACCACGCCTGGCTAATTTTTTGTATTTTTAGTAGAGACGGGGTTTCACCGTGTTAGCCAGGATGGTCTCGATCTCCTGACCCTGTGATCTGCCCACCTCAGCCTCCGAAAGTGCTGGGATCACAGGCATGAGCCACCACGCCCGGCCTGTTTTTCGAGTTTTTACGAAAGGAATCATACTATATAACTCTACATATGTGTTGACGCCTTGTTGTGCTAGATATTCCACCTAATGGTTGTAATTCCATGGTTGGCTCCAGAGCTGCTGCTGTGGGTGGGGTGGGGAAAGGTGAGCCTTTAACTCCCACTGTCTGTACATACTGTATTAATTCTGGCTTTGCCTCAAGTTTTCCTTACAGTCTTTTAGAGACTAATAGCTGCCTTCAATGGAACATACTAGGTCTGTCGTAAGAGACTTGTTCTTCGTGGTGAACATTTGGGAACTCAGAGTGCGTGGGAAGAGTCTTATCACAGATGGCCTGTCACTCAGCTATGCCTTTGGATAGGGCACTTTCTCAGTTACTGGGTGAATGTGCTGGAACATTTTGAGGGGAATAACTGAGGTTTGCTGGATGTACTCTGGATTGCTGCTGCTTCAGACTCTGAAAGGCAAGGGGAAACAACCCAGCGTGGTATGGTAAAACCTTTTGTAGGAGGCCACCAGGCCATGGTGGATTGAGTGGTATTTTCCTGAATGGTGGGCTGGGGACAGGAGGAGGGAAGGTAAGGTAAACACTTTCAGGGCTACTGTGAGAAATGAAAGTGATGACACAAGAGTGCCTAGTACATACATCCAGCCAGGCTGAATTTGACAACCAAACACTCTGACCAACACCTAGCACACATATATGTAAAGAGTTAAAGACAGAACAAAATCACAAATATTCTCATTCTCCACGAAGAATTAACATTTTTTGAACACGCCAAGTACGAGGCTGGGCACAGTGGCTCAGGCCTGTAATCCTGGTGCTTTGGGAGGGTGAGGCAGGAGGATTGCTTGAGGCCAGGAGTCCAAGGCCAGCCTGGGCAACACAGTGAGATCCTGTCTATCCAAAACAAAAAAACCCCCTTCCTGCGCCACCCACCAAAACATGCCAGGGGCTTCATATATTTTCTCATTTACTTTTCATAATCACCTGAGTTTCCCTAAATCCACAATTGAGTACCACCTTTCTTTAAAGTCAAGTAGAAAACGCCTTCTGTGACAGATTGGTGGGCTCTAAAGGCTGACATTTATTTTGGGTTTCCCGTAGACTCTCCCCTTACCATTGCTGAGAGAATCTGCACTCCCAGGGCTGTGCTGCCTGGAGACCAACTCGGTCCCCGTTTTCCTCAGCTCTGTGTTTTCATTGTACCGTCTTTTCCAGTAGTTGAGTTCTTCACGATCTGATTCCTGACAGCGCCGCAGAACTGCCATAGAGCGCCTTGTTTTCTCTACCATTTCCATAATGCAATTCAGCGCCTGAGTCACAGAGGGGGCCAGGCAGAGATGAGATAAGAACATTCAAACAACCAACACTGTAAATCAGGCCAACGCAATATGAGGAATTCAGGTTCCTTAAAGTACAGATTTAGGAATATCAAGTTTACATTTAAAACCTTTATTGCTGTCTGTTTCTCCATCAGCTAGGAAGGACATTGGTGTTGAGGCTGACATACCTAAAGAGGACAATAACTACCAGGGCTTCCAGTGTTTGGACAAAACCTCAGATGCATGGCCTTCTGGCCAACAGTCTACTATTTCATGTTGCAGCAGCATTTGTTGTATCCCTAGGGTCTGCAGCACTGTAAATTTGCTGTGGCTGAACCATAAAATAAGGCACACACACATTTCTAACAGAAATTATGAATTTTGATGAGATGAGGAAGGCTGCTATCTTTCAGAGTGCAAAATAATTTTGGAATATAAACAATTTTGGGGGGTTGAATTACCTAGAAGTTTGTTACTGACCTGTGTTCTAAAACTACGAAACATGAGTATGTGGGCTAAAAAGCAATCTCTTTACTACAGAAGGAGCAGAATTGAAAAAAATAAAAAGAAAGTTTCTTTTGATAAAAATTTAACAAATACAAATGAATTCCATCTTGCTATGTTGCCCAGACTAGACTTGAAGTCTTGGCTCCTGGGCTTAAGAGATCCTCCTGCCTTAGCTTCCCGAGTAGCTGGGACTACAGGCATGTGCCACTGCACCTGGCTACAAACCTTTGTTGTTAACCATTATACTACATGACTTTATTTGGTTTCTGACCTGAAGTGATCATCCCATCACAAAGATTAGGGAGTGACTCTGTAATTCCTCAGCTGAGGGAGTAGTAGCTAAACCAGCTTTTATTAAAAGCAAAGGATGTCATGGCTGTGGTTATGTTCACTTCAAGCATACATGTTCCATTAATTATTGGTAGCATTAAGTAGGCTGAGTGCGGTGGCTCACACCTGTAATCACAGCACTCTGAGAGGCTGAGGTGGGGAGATCACTTGAGGTCAGGGGTTTGAGACCAGCCTGGCCAACATGGCAAAACCCTGTCTCTACTAAAAATACAAAAATTAGCCAGGCACGGTGGCGTACACCTGTAATCCCAGCTACTCCGAAGACAGAGGCAGGAGAATTGCTTGAACCTGGGAAGCAGAAGTTGCAGTGAACTGAGATCATACCACTGCACTCCATCCTGGGTGACAGAGCGAGACTCCTGTTTCAAAAAAAAGTAATAAAGAGTTAGGGACATTACACACTACAAGATTCTTACATGGTCAAGATGTTTCCATTCATCAGCCCATTCCCTTTCTGTCAAACGATGATCTACCAACTCATCTTGATAGCCTCCATTTAGACCTATTAGAAATTACAGATTAAATTCAAAGATAGCAGGAAAAACACAATAGAAGCAAATTCTACCAAGTAAATACACACATATTCATAATAACTTTGATCACACTACTAAGGCAATGATTCACAATGGGGTGGGGGACCCACAAAATGACAATATAACCAACAAAGGATCACGATTCACATTATATAAAAAACTCCAACAAATCAATTGTAAAACACGAAATAGCCCTAAAGAAAAAGAGGTAAAAGAAATAAACAGGTATGTCATACATAGCATTTCACATCTAACATACTGGAAAAAATTAAAATGTCAGATAATACTAAGTGTTGACAAGGATGTGGTGCAATGCGAATAATTAACCACCAAAACTAGCGTGTGTACTGGTATAACCACTTGGAAACAGCTTAATATTATCAGTAACTTAAAAAAATTTTTTTGGTGGGGGGATAGTTTTGATATATACTGAAACTTCCAGGAATGGAACAACTGTGTGAATTAAGGGTATACCAGTAAGAATTGTCTACTATTTTAAACCTAAGTCACATACAGTAACAGTGCTTAGTCTTTGAGTCATTAACACAACACCCCTGTTACCAGTCTGAATTTATAGTCATAATATTCATAGTGACTATGTATTAGTGTGATAATCTGTTTATTTCAGTATATATTGAGTTCCTCATGATTTGTAAAATCTGTCAAAAAATGTAGTAATAAAAGCCAGGTGTGGTGGGGTGGGCCTATAGTCCCAGCCACTCAGGAGGCTGACACAGGTAGATCACTTGAGCCCAGGGGTCCAGCTTGGGCAATATAGTGAGACCCCATACCTAGTTTTTAGCATACTTCTTTCTCAAGTCAAACTGGCAAAAAAGGTCCAGAAGAAACCATTAATTAGCAAGCCAGTTTTTTCCCCCACTGTGCTATTTCCAATCAAAGCAAGCCAGTTTTTTTCCCCCCCCTTGACGGAGTCTCACTCTGTTGCCAGGATGGAGTGCAGCGGTGTGATCTTGGCTCACTGCAACCCCCACCTCCCAGGTTCACGCCCTACTCCTGCCTCAGCCTCCCAAGTAGCTGGGACTACAGGTGCCTGTAACCACGCCCAGCTAATTTTTTGTATTTTTAGTAGAGACGGGGTTTTACCATGTTAGCCAGGATGGTCTCGATCTCCTGACCTCACGATTCGCCCACCTAGGCCTCCCAAAGTGCTGGGATTACAGGCATGAACCACCACGCCAGACCGCCCGCAAGCAGTTTTTAATAGATAAAAGAGAGGCATAGGAGTAACAGGGGTTGAACACTAGGATAAGTATCATAACATACTGCCAGTACATCTAAACCTTGGGCATAAGACAATTGGGGTCTGAATTTTGTCTCTGCCAATTATTAGCTAAGTGATTTTTGGCCATAGCTCCTTCATCTGTAAAAAGGGGATAACAATTGTCTGGGACTCCTGTGAGGATAAAATAAGACAATGTACTTACAACACAATCTAAGTGGTAGCTACGACTCAGTAAATGTTGGCTCTGAGAACACCATGGCTGCTACAGCCTTCCCTATTCAGCTACTATCCCACTACATGATGCCAGGGGCCCCACTGTGGCCAAGCGTCTGAAAGATGCTAGTGAGCCTAAGTAAGAGGAAGTGAGGGCAAATGTATTGCAGTTTTTTACTCAACAAGGTATACATGGAAATTTAGGGAAACCCTGGAAGCTGATAGCCCTTTGGTTCTCTGCTCAGCAGTTTTACTCCAAAAAACCTTATGCTGAAAACGTGTAAGAGTACATGACAAACCGCTCTGTCCAAAACTAGAAGAGGTTTGTTAAGGTTTCTTTTCTGTTTCTTCCTAAATTTAAAGGTTTCTGAGCACCTATATACCAGGCATTCCAAATGGAACAACAACCTAGCACAGGGGGTGGCGTTACAATCATTTAGAAATTACTCTTCTGAGGCTCAGAGAGCCCAAGCAACTTGCCTGAGATCACACAGCTAGTTAGGATGCAGAGCCAAGATTTCGATATGCCTCACCTCCTGACCTAAATGTCCATGCACTTTCTCCTCCAAGGTGAAATCTTGCATCTTTCCTGCTTAATTTTAAAAACATTTTTTATTGTGTTGAGGCAGGGTCTCACCATGTTGCCCAGGAGGGGAGTGCAGTGGCACCATCATGGCTCATTGCAGTCTTGACCTCTTGGGCTCAAGCAGTCCTCCTGCCTCATTTTTTTTGTTTGTTTTTTGTTTGGTTTTGTTTTTTTGGAGACGGAGTCTTGCTCTGTTGCCCAGGCTGGAGTGCTGGGGCGTGATCTCGGCTCACTGCAAGCTCCGCCTTCTGGGTTCACGCCATTCTCCTGCCTCAGCCTCCTGAGTAGCTGGGACTACAGGTGCCCACCACCACGCCCAGCTAAGTTTTTGTATTTTTAGTAGAGACAGGGTTTCACTGTATTAGCCAGATTGGTCTCCATCTCCTGACCTCATGATCCACCCACCTCAGCCTCCCAAAGTGCTGGGATTACAGGCGTGAGCCACCACGCCCAGCCCCTCCTGCCTCATTTTTAATTTTTGTTGTTGTTGTTGTAGAGATGAGGTCTCTCTATGTTGCCCATGCTGGTATCAAACTTCTGGCCTCAAGTGATCCTCCTGCCTTGGCCTTCCAAAGTGCTGGGATTATAGGCATGAGCCACTGAGCTTGGCCTAATTTTAAAAACTTTTATTCTGCAATAAACTCAGATTTATAGAAGAGCTGCAAAAGGAGCACAAAGAATTCTCACATATCTTCAAACAGAGTTCTCAAATGTTAACATTTTACCTCCTTTGCTTTTTCATTCTCTTCTTCTGAACCATCTGAGAATAGGCGATACCCCTTTATTCTTTTTTAGACAGGTCTCACTCTGTCACCCAGGCTGAATGCAGTGGCAAGATCATGGCTCAATGTAGTTTTGACTTCCTGGACTCAACTGATCCTCCCTCCTCAGCCTCCCTAGTAGCTGGGACCACAGGCGCATGCCACCAAGCCTGGCTAGTTTTTAAAATTTTTTGTAGAGATGGGATCTCACTATGTTGCCCAGACTGGCTTCAAGTGATCCTTCCACCTCAGCCTCTCTAAGAGCTGGGATTACAGACACCAGTCACCACACCTAGCTGTACTTCTATCATATCATAGCAACAAGGTATCAAATGAGATTGATATCAAATAAGATCAACTATGATTCTAATAGTCTATGTATAATATTGTTTTATCCAATCAGTGGGAAAAAGCAATCATATTATTTGACTTTATCATTGAGTTGGAAAGAAATCCAAGAATCCAGTCTGAATTTACCATGCTGCTTCGGTTGCTTACCAAGACTGTGGTGTCTATCACGAACTTCTCGATGCTCTAGCATCTTGTTGGGTTCCCGATACAGGTGAGAAGTTGCAATATCCTCTAAGGTGTAATGCTGAAGAGGTGGAGGGGTAGGATGGAATTGGCCCCCGGGATTCATGAGGGGCACAGTGAGAGCAGGACTGTGCCGAGGAGCAGGGCTGATGGTACATACTCTCTTGGCAGGAGGCTCAGGAGCAATTGTGTCTCTATCAAAACTATTCTCTTCTCTCCTGTAGAAGAAGCAGAAGTGCGTATCTGATCCTGTCAACAAGTGTTCATGCAGACATTTCCTGAGAACCTACTATGTATTAGGTATTTTGCTACATGCTGGCATAAACAGGAAGCCTCTAAGGAAAGGTGTGACATGAGGCATGAGCTGAATTGTCTTCAAGGGCCAGGCACCTCATGTAAATTGCTGACTTATACCAGCATGAAAAAAGAGGTCAAATCCATCCATAACCAGACAGAAACATTAACCCTTATAAAGCAAAGGAGAGACTAAGGAGATGACACCGTTTTTCTGAGTTACGGGTTCAACCATACTTAGGAAAGTATTAAGGTCAAATTTGTTACTGTGGAGATGAGTTACTGGAAAGAAACTACATGGGAGGAAAAAGGCTCATATAACAAATCCAATTGTGTCTTTTTTTTTTTTTTAAAGCCAGTCAAATTAACAGTGGGTCCAATTGTGTAGTAGCAGGGTTTTCAGTCACTCAGATTCAACTGTAATAAATTTTCTTTTTTTTTTTTTTTTTTTACTTTTAAAAAAATGTCATTAAAGCCTATCCACTATTGTTGATATTGCCTTCTTTGATAACCCATAGAATATTTTGATAGCCACTCATAGGGAGTTTTCTAAAATAAATTCATATTAATTTTAATCTCAGTAAAGGTGAGTCATTGGCAAATATTAATAATTAATTGCTATACTTTTTCAAAACTTCTCAGATCAGAAAAAAATGCGTTTGACATAAAAGGCATTTGGCAGATTGTATTTCTTTTTTTTTGTTTTTTCTTTTCTTTTCTTTTTTTTTTTTTTCCAATTCTTTCTACAAACAGCATCAAGGAAAAGGCAGAACTGTACTCCTGAGGCTTCTGGAACAGTCGACCCATAAATTCTCTAGAGTAGAGTTTCTTACCGGGTGTGCAGGCATCTGAAGAGTTCCCGAAAAATACTCATGTCTGGAAGCTACTCCCATAGATTTTAGATGTATTATGCAGCTAGGTATTGGAATAAAGCAAAAATAACCACAGAAAGTCTGAGACATTGGGCTGGGCATGGTGGCTCACATCCATATAATCCCAGCACTTTGGGAGGTTGAGGCGGGCAGATCTCTTGAGCTCACAAGTTTGAGACCAGCCTGGGCAACATGGTAAAACCTCATCTCTCCAAAAACAAACAAACAAACAAACAAACAAACAAACAAACAAACATTAGCTGGTCATGGTGGCACGTGCCTGTAATCCCAGATACTCAGGAGGCTGAGGTGAGAGGATCGCTTGAGCCCAGGAGATGGAGGCTGCAGGGAGCAAAGATTGCACCACTGCGCTCCAGTCTGGGCGACAGAGCCAGGCCTTGTCTCAAAAAAAGTTTGAGACATTACAACCACAGCAATCAAATTCTCTCTCTTTTATAAGCAAAGGGGAGGACCAGTGCGGTTCCAGGAAGGCAAGGACAGCAAAGCTCATCTGCTCACCTCTCTGGACTGGGCCTCTTCCCATTTCCGTGCACCTCCATGAGCAACTCTGACGAGTCAGCAGGCGATGCAATGCTTGTGTTGAGCAGAAGGTGTTCGTGCTGAGCCAGGTACTGGGATGGGGTCTGCTTGGCCGCCCGAGCGCAGTGCAGCAGTTCCCGCTGCAGCAGGGGCAGGTTGGCCTTGAAAGGAAGAGGCAGTTTTTCCAGTGTTAGGCCCTACACAAGAAGGCTCAGCACCTCAAAGGGCTTTCACAAAGCAGATGATACAAGATAAAAGCCTTTCTCTCCTTGGCAGTCTGATTTTCAAATGCTTCTTCTGTGAGTCAATGATATCTCTTATACTGCACTTGAATTACTGGTTCAATTGTCTCTTGCCCCAACCAGATGTAAATATGCTTAAGGAAGAGATTGTACCTTATTTACCTTTGCAGCCTAGTATACAGTCAAAGCTCAATAAAGGGTTGTTGAACATAATAATTTTAAAACATACGCTTCTGAAGACTTTAGTCAGTGAGAGAATTACTACTGCCTATGTGGGAGTCATTCCAAGCCCTGGTTTCTCTCTTCTGGACCCCAACTCATCTCTGATAGCACTACTCAACCTTCCTTCCAGCTCTGTATAAAAGCTGCAACAGAATTCTGGAAACTGTGATTATTCTGAAACATGGGAGTTTGAAAAGGAGCACTGGGAGTGATGTAAAATGTAAAAAGATAATTCATTAAGTAGGTATTTTTCTGTCTCTCATACTTAGAAAACCTGCAATAGGAACAAATCACATTTTAAAACCCTATACATCTTTAAAAGCTCAGAACTCGATCTCTTTCATATACAGAATTTACTTTTCCCATTTTTATTAAAAAAAACATAAAGTAGAAATTATATTTTTCTCACCAAATTTAAAAGCAATGCAGGCTGGGCTCATAAGCAAAGGCTTAATCCCAAGGGACAGATGAGCAAGTGAAAGGAGAGTTTTAATACATGCAAGTAGCCATCCCTTCACTGAGGGTTAATTTAGCAGGCACCATAATTAGTGACTGTTTTAAAGCAGAAATAAATTGACAAAACCCCAAATGCTAGCCAAAAAGCTGCCATAACAACCTACCTCATGCTGTTTTCCAAAATAACAGAGTTAAGAATAAGGAATTTGACTATATAAAACTCTTTTAAAGTCTGTTCTATAACCTCAATCTTGTTGCAACTGTAAAAACTTAATTGAAAAAAACACCATGTCAGATCTTTACACGGCTGACATGTGTCCCATGATGAATAAAAAACATGCTAATTATTTCCTATTAACACAAATTTCACAAATCTTTCTTGATTCTAGAGTCTTGGGGAAATAATTGTCTACCAGCTCTGACATACATAAAGGAGACCAAGATAGAACCAGCACAGCTGTTTCAGGGCTCAAAAAGGCACCACAGGCTGCTCAGAGCAGCCGAGGCTTCAATGCCATTAGAACCGAGCCATGATACAGGCTGTGCACCTTAGACCGATGCATTTTCCTGTGTATCTGCTGTGCTCCAATAGAAGGTTTTAAAAAACTGGTATTAGTACTTTAGTAAGATAACCCATCTGTATGATGCTGTTACATTTTCTTAGGAAATGAAAATAAGGTAAAAGAAAGTAAAAGGGGCATATTTATTTGACCAGACAGTAAATATTTTAGGCTTTGTTAAGAGGCAAAATTAGACGCTGGGCACGGTGGCTCACACGTGTAATCCCAGCACTTTGGGAGGCCAAGGAGGGTGGATCACAAGGTCAGGAGTTTGAGACCAGCCTGGACAATATGGTCGCTACTATTAATAGTCTCTACTATAAATACAAAAATTAGCCGGGTGTGGTGGCGCGTGCCTGTAGTCCCAGCTACACTGGAGGCTGAGGCAGAAGAATCGCTTGAACTCGGGAGGCAGAGGTTGTAGAGCCGAGATCGCGCCACTGCACTCCAGCCTGGGCAACAGGGCGAGATTTTGTCTCCCCAAAAAAAAAAAAAAAAAAAAAAAAAAGGCAGTAAAATTAAAGGTATTATAGAGATACTCATAAAAGAGAGAAAACAAATTTCCATAAATATTGACAAAATTCAAAATACAGTAACAATTGAATACAGTTTTTCTGTTAAATGATTCTAATCAAATCAACACCAGAGAAAACCAAATCCAGGTGCGCAGATAGAATAACTATCTTGTATTCTGTAAAAACGTCAAGATCACAAAGAGCTGAGTAACTGTGCCAGATTAAAGTGGACTAAAGAGACGTGACAACAAAATGCAATGGGTGATCCTGAGTCAGATCCAGAACTATGCTCCCTCCCAAGTTTTTCTTTGTTGTAAAAGACATTAGTGGGACATGTGGTGAAATATGAATAAGGTCTATAGGTAACAGTGTTGTATGAATGTTACTTTCCTGATTTGATACCTGTATTTAAGTATTTAGATGTATAATGTCTGCAGCTTACTTTTCTTTTTTGAGACAGAGTCTTGTTCTGTCACCCAGGCTGGAGTGCAGTGGCACAATCTTGGCTCACTGCAACCTGCACCTCCCAGGTTCAAGCAATTCTCCTGCCTCAGCCTCGTGAGTAGCTGGGACTACAGGCATGTGCTAATTTTTTCTATTTTTAGTGAAGACAGGGTTTCACCACATTAGTCAGGCTGGTCTCTAACTCCTGACCTCAGGTAATCTGCCTGCCTCGGCCTCCCAACGTGCATGGATTATAGGCGTGAGCCACCACACCCGGCCTTGCGGCTTACTCTTAAATATTTCTTTTTTTATTCTTTATTTTATTTTATTTTTGAGAATGTCTCACTCTGTCACCCAGGCTGGGGTGCAGTGGCACAATGTCAGCTCACCTGCTTCCTCTGCCTCCCAGGTTCAAGTGATTCTCCTGCCTCAGCCTCCCAACTAGCTGGGACTACAAGCGCCTGGCTATTTTTTTTTTCTATTTTTTTTTGGCAGAGACGGGGGTTTTGCCATGTTGGCCAGTCTGGTCTTGAACTCCTGAGCTCATGCAATCCACCTGCCTTGGCCTCCCAAAGTGCTGGGATTATAGGTGTGAACCACCGTGACTGGCCAAAAGCTGTTTAGAAGATTTTATTCCATGTAAATATAACATATATAACATGGCCTCATTTCATTTATCATGTAAGCATGATAATGCAGAACAATCTCTCCAAAAGTTATGCTCCAGAGAACATTATTGCAGAAGACATCTTTAGAAACTAGACTATCTGGGGTTCGGGGAGACACAAACACTGTCTTCCTACATCGTCTCCTGACCTTAGAGTAAGTCTAAACTGCAAAGACCTTGCCTTTTGTCTGACAGCCTCTCAGACAACACTCTTCACACTCTGACTATACCCAAAGGATTAGTGACCAGTTATTTCTTCTGCTAGGACCTCAGCCTCCCTTCCACTTTCACACTTCCAGCCCAAGCACCTCCTATTCTCTCCTATGCTAGCTACTTCTATGTGTTAGCAGCAGTGTCTGCACACAGACCACAACTTAAGGCTTTTGCAATTCTCATCTCATTAAACCTGACGTTTATCTGTTAACTGCACTCAGACCTCTCTACCAGCCCAAAATAAAGATCTAAAAACGTGGCAAGCGGCTCTGATTTAAATCACGTAACAGGGATTAGCAGAATTTGAGGAAATATTCAAGATAAATTATATTCAGTAATTATCAAATTACCTTGAGAAATGGAATCACAAAAGGACGAAGGGGAAAGTTTGTGGCTTCTTGGAGCTTACAGTGGAATTCCTCAATTGTCACTGTTGAGTTCTGAAAAGATAAATAACCTTGTTCAACTTCCAAAACTGGACTTCCAAAACTTATAGTGCCAAACTCTTCTTTTTTTTTTTTTTTAATGTTATTTATTTATTTATTTATTTGAGATGGAGTCTTGCTCTGTTGCCCAGGCCAGAGCGCAGTGGCGCGGTCTCGGCTCACTGTAACCTCCACCTCCTGTGATCTCCTGACGGTGAACTCCTGACTTTGTGATCCACCCGCCTCGGCCTCCTAAAGTGGTGGGATTACAAGGGAGAGCCACCGCGCCCGGTCTTTTTATTTTGTTTTTTAAATGTTTAGTAGAGATGCAGTCTCGCTATGTTGTCTAGGCTGGTCCTGAACTCCTGAGCTCAAGCTATCTTCCTCCCTCAGCCTTCCAAAGTGTTGGGATTACAGGGGTGAGCCACCGTGCTCAGCTGCTAAAGACTTTTAAATCATAAGGAAAAGGATAACTGCAGGAACATCATCAGGAACTCAGACGCCTGGCAAAGGTAAACCACACTGGTTTCTTATGACAGAAACCCTCCTTGATTCCCTTCACCACCACCAAATTCTCCCCTTTGCCCAGCAGCCTAGGCTGCAGAATAGGGCACTGCCTTTCTCACTACCCATGAAGAGAGGCACTCTGATCCCTGATATTGAGGGGTTCATTGCAAGTCACTTCAGGAACAGGCAATCAAGCTTACAATGTTTCCTGTTACAGAGATAATGACTTGGCCTAGGATGTCAACTCTAAGACATTTTGGACTCAGTAACCCAGTGTCACATTTTTTCAAAAGTTCATTTCTTTTTCCAAGTTCTGCCCCCTACCTCCTGGCATAACTTCCCCCAAATCTTCAAACAAACAAACAAACAAACAAACAAACAAAAACCACCAGAAGCAAAAGAAAAAAGAATAGTTGCCTTCTACCTTCAAGTGGCCTGTATGCATTATGCATACCAGAATAACTCCCAACCGGCAAACCCCCATTGGTAAGTTATCACTGTTCTCTAAAAGGTGGACGTCCTCTGTGTTTTCCCAAAAGTCTAGGCCTCAAATTAGGAATGAGACTCAGCAACTCTGCTAAGGGGAATGAACAAATAAAAATATTTTCTTCAAAGTTCACACAATATTTGTATTTCAATTGCCGATAACACTGTATGATAACAAATTAAAACAAACGAACAAAATGAAATATGGGGATTATTCTGAATCCCTGCTTGCTCCCCAGAAAGAGCTATAACATTTCTAGGAATTTACTTTTAGAAACTTTGTAAGTGTTCAAAAACATAGTATGTAACATGCAACTTACCCCCACGCTATCACAATATATTTTCCTAACAAAAAAAAAAAAAAAGGAAAATATATAGATCTACCAACAGAAAGCTACATTAAAATTACAAGAGTCATGTATCAGAATGCTTATGCAGGGAGGGGGTAGAGCAGATTTGTACGCATTAAGGCAGAAAAGGTACCTACAATACTGTTAAGTGAAAAACCAGAAACAGAACATTATATTTTCTAAGAATCCACTTACAAAAATAACACACATGCATATTATATCATATATTTAATGCCTGGGAGAATAATCACAATAACAGTTATTTCTGAGTGTGCAATTATGTTGGATTTTCCAAATATATCATATTTATTATTCGGTAAACATTAAGACATTTTCCTTCAGGGAAAAGGGGTATGTCCAATTTAAACATATTAAAGGAAAATGTTTGAACACTTTCCCACATTTCATACCAAAAAAATTCTTTTAAAGTTAACGTTATATCTGTTTTAAGTATATGACATTTGCACAATACAGCAAAAGAAACCTGTAATTCTGGTAATCAGGAATAAAAACTAAGTGTAAGAGAATGACACTCTTTTATATCTACTGCAAGGGAAGCAATCAGGTCTTGAAAAGCAAACACAAATAGATTAAATGTATGGAAGGGCTACATGAATGATTTTAAGTATACTTGTGGGTAGACAAGGGGAAAGGATGGATTGTGTGACACAGGGAAATAGTGAGTTAGGCCAGAGAAATGGACTCAGGTTTACATACATAGTGGATATAGGGCAGTCCTGTATGAGAGGGATAAACACCTTCCTCCTTCAGCTAGTTTATAAAACCTTATTTTATATTAAGAGCATAATTGTTTGTTTCTTCCCCTCAAAGATCTCATAGTCTAGTGGGAAAAGAGGCAACTAAGCTATTCATTACAGTATGATGGAGGTACACATGTACAGGACACTACTGACTCACAGAGAAGACGTATTTGCTTAAAAATTTTTTTTTTTCAGAGATAGGGTCTAGCTCTGTCACTTAGGCTGGAGTGCAGTAGCATGATTATAGCTCACTGCAACCTTGAACTCCTGACCTCGTGATCCGCCCACCTTGGCCTCCCAAAGTGGTGGGATTACAGGCGTGAGCCACCGTGCCTGGCCATGCCCAGCTAATTTAAATTTTTTTTTTTGTAGAGGAAGGAGTCATGCTACATTCCCCAGGCTGGTCTTAAGCTCCTGGCCTCAAGTCGGCCTGGGCCTTCCAAATTCTGGGATTATGGGTGTTACCTGGCCAGAGAAGATATATTTGAATCAAACTTAGGGGGACAAGGATTTCTGTACATCAGTGTTGTCCTTGAGGAAACTGAAATGCAGCTTTGGGAAAGATGTGTCAGAGCAGAGAGAAGAACGTTGAGAGGTAAGATGCTGAGGGAATCTGGTCTCTGGATTTCAAGGGCAACACTTATACTCCAATGTATCCTCTATTCAGCTTTCTCCAATGCTTACATCTTTTTTTTTTTTTTGAGACACAGTCTTGTTTTGTCACCCATGCTGGAGTGCAGTGGTGTGATCTCAGCTCACTGCAACCTCAGCCTCCCAGGTTCAAGTGATTCTTGTGCCTCAGCCTTCCAAGTAGCTGGGATTACAGGTGTGCACTGGCACTCCTGGCTAATTTTTGTATTTTTAGTACAGATGGGATTTTGCCATGTTGACCAGGCTGATCTCCAACTCTTGACCTCAAGTGATCCTTCCAACTTGGCTTCCCAAAGGGTTACAATCTCAAAACTAGGAAACTAACATTGGTACAACATACTTATAGTTCTATACCATTTTGCCATATGTGTATTTTCATGTAACCACCACTGACCAAAATACAGAAATACAGAAACCTTGTCTATCTTTATCCTCCTGGTTTATAATAAAAATTGGCAATTATTTCCTCTACATATAGTGACAACCATATCAGGCAAAGTAATTTTTGCTGCCAACAAGAAACATAATTTAGAAAACTCAGGAGAGGGAAAGTTAGTTAGCTAGTTACCTATGTATATATATATGTATGTATATGTATGTATGTATCTATATCTATATCTATCTACAGAGTATTGCTCTGTCATCTATCTATCTATCTATCTATCTATCTATCTATCTATCTATCTATCTATCTATCTCTATCTACAGAGTATTGCTTTGTCACCCAGGCAGGAGTGCAGTGGTGTGATCATGGCTCATGGCAGCCTCGAACTCCTGGGCTTAAGTGATCCTCCTGCCTCAACTTCCTGAGTATCTGGGACTATAGGCATACTCCACTATGCCAGCTAAGGAAAGTTTATTTACTTACCTATATTTTTACTCTTAAACTCAACATTTTCTGCATAACCTGGTGTGGGATATATCAGAAAAACACAAAACCTAGGGAACTCACTGCTTATGTAGTCCCTTGGGTCCCATGAGTGAATCTGCTGTCTTCTCTCTACCTTTAAGAGTCTCTCTCTCTTTTTTTTTTAAAGTGATGGGGTCTTGCTCTGTCCCCCAGGCTCACAATCCACCTGCCTCAGCTGGGACTACATAGGTGGGACTACAGACACACTCCACCACACCTGGTGAAGACTCTAATTATTTTTGTTTTATAGGTAAAGTCCACGGCTTTTTGCTACTTATTGGGGGGAATAGGGAGAAGTCTGTCTTTCTACCTTGCCTCTGAACCAGAATGAGACTTGATTTTTAACGACAACAGATAAATTGTACTTTCCTCAGGGTTTTACAGACCTTTCAGTTAGCTTCAATGGGGGAGGGGGTACTTAATGTTGAACTGATTATCTTGGTGTATATTGTTTATGTTTATTATTTTCTTAGGATGAATGGTACCAGAAACATTGCCAAACTATCCTCCAGAAAGTACATTCTCCAAATAATAATAAGTAAGTGAAGCACAAAACATTTACCATTACCTTGAAGTGCAAAATGCCCATGCTTGCTTTCTGGTATAGTTAGGGACTCTCAGTACCTTACTTCTTATACACCATGGACACAGAATGCAGATGGATAACTCCAGCTACTAAATTATGTGGCCTTTATTTTTAGAGATGGGGGTCTGTCTATGTTACCCAGGCTGGCCTCAAACTCCTGGACCAAAGTGATCCTCCTGCCTCAGTCTCCTGAGTAGCTGTGACTACAGGTACACACCACACATATGAAACCACAATTCCACTGTTGCGTGCAGTGTTTCCACACGTGTAAAAGAATGTTCATAGGAACATTATTTGTAATGGTTCTGTACAAAAAAGAGTTAACATAGTAGGCCTAAAACTGCTAGCCTTAGAAAGGCCTGCTTGTAAGGTTGGGCCACTGGCTGGCATCTAGGACCCTGGATGGCAAACAGTTTCCTACATTGATATAAAACTTTTCTTAACTGAAGAGGTGGCAGCAACCCATGTGTCCATTGGGGAATTAACAGATCAATAAAATGTGATATAGACATAAAATGAAATATTAGCCTTAAAAAGTAGGAAAGTCTGACATATGCTATAACATGCATAAACCCTAAGGACATTAAGCTAAGTGAAATAGGCTAGTCACAAAAAGACAAATACTGTATGATTCTACTTGTATGAGGTACCTAGAGTAGTTAAATCCATAGGGACAGAAAGTAGAATGGTAATTGCCAGGGTCTAGGGAGAGGGGGGAATGGGGTATTATTGTTTAATTGGTGCAGTTTTGCAAGATGAAAAGAGTTTTGGAGATGGATGGTGATGATGGTTGTATGATAATATGAATATACTTATTGTCACTAAACTGTAAACCTAAAAATAGTTAATATAGTAAATTTCATCACAATTCAAAAAAAGCAATTGTATAAATTCCTTAACCCTGTGGTGCTCATAGGCTCTAAATACACAATGGCAAACAGGGACACATGGTGAACAGCACAAACAATATGAATGTACTTAAGACCACTGAACTGTCTACTTAAAAGAGGTTAAAATGGTATATTCTATAATGTATATTTTACTATGGAAAAAAAAGGTAACCCAAATGTGGCCATTTAAAAGAAATAATTGGACACACCTACATATACTTTTCATAACTAAAAAAAGATTCAAATTTTTTACAAATGAATTTTTTTTTTTTTTTTGAGACGGAGTCTTGCTCTGTTGCCCAGGCTGGAGTGCAGTGGCACGATCTTGGCTCACTGCAAGCTCCACGCCCGGCTAATTTTTTGTATTTTTAGTAGAGATGGGGTTTCACTGTGTGAGCCAGGATGATCTCGATCTCCTGACCTCATGATCCGCCCGCCGCAAATGAATTTTTGACATTTTTACTTTTAGTCTTGAAATTATTTTTAAGAATAGATAATACTTAATTTGCTGCTGGAATCAACATAACATTTTGATGTCTGCTTTGTTTCCAATTATGTTCAAGCTCATTTTGACATTTAACTCCAATAACCTTACTCTGGATCCAGTAAGATTTTTCTGTAGTAGTCTAAAATTTGAGGAATAAACAGGTTTAAAATAAAAAAGAACTAAACTTCTCCCTAACCGATAAGGGTGGCCGTGTGTAGAGTGGTTCTGCGAACAGTATGGTTCATGCTAAACACGGGTTTTCCTTCTAAGAGGGTAAAATTTGGCAGGTGCTAGGCAAAGACTGACTATGTGACCAGGCCCCAACAAAAACCTTGGCATTGAGTCTGTAATAGGCTTCCCTTGACAGAAACACTGCATATATGTTGCTGTTATTTTTGTTGCTAAGGAAAGGGAGCTCTGTGTTACCATTCAGGAGAGGCAGAGAGCATAAGGAAACCTGCAGATGGGTTCCTCCAGACTGTGTCTCTCTCACTATGTCTCCTTACTATGCCTCTGTAATAGATCTTAGCTGTGAGCACAACTGTATGTCAAGTCCTGTGACTCCTTCTGGCAAATCTCCAAACATGGGGGAGATGCTGGAGACCCCAAAACTGCCCCAAATTACAAATGACTTAAATGTCAGATAACCCAAAGGTATAAATTGTGGTATATTCCTACAATATGACACTATATAGCAATGAAAATAACCTACAGTCATACGTAACAAGGACTAAACCTCACAAATGATGAAAAAGTCATATATTGCATTTTGCCTTGTATGAAAGTTGTTCCTTTCATAATAGACTGAGAAATTTTTTAAATTTATGTTTTGAGATAGGGTCTCACTCTGTCACCTAGGCTGGAAGTGCAGTGGTGCAAACATAGCTTTCCTGGGCCCAAGGAATCCTCCCACCTCAACCTACTGAGTATCTAGGACCACAGGCATATGCCACCACACTCAGCTAACTTTTAAAAAATCATTTTGTAGAGGCAGTCTCACTATGTACCCAGGCTGGTCTTGAACTCCTGCATCCAAGCAATCCTCCCACCTTGGCTTCCCAAATTACAGGCGTGAGCCACCACATCTGGCCTTAGACTGAGAAATTTTTTAAGGCAATAATTCTTAAACTGTTTGGTCTCAGAATTCCTCTAATTTATATGGATTACATTTATTGACATTACTATATCAGAAATTAAAGCTGAGAATTTAATTAAAATAAAAAATAACTATATTGGTTCAGACTGAGGTGTGATTTTTAAAATCTGTATTTTCCAAAATAAATGCAGTAAGAAGAGCAGCACTGTTTTATCATTTTGCAAGTCTCTTTAATATCTAGCATAATAGAAAGTCTCTTTAATATCTAGCATACTAGAAGCCAGTTGTATTCTCTCTACTTTTGCATTTAGTCTACTGTTATATTATGAAAATAGTTTTCACCTTCTGGATCTCCAGAAAGGATCCTGGAGAATCTTCAGGGTCCCTAGATTTACACTCGGAGAGCTGCAGCTTCAAGGATTAGTGCTGTGATTCATCTTTTTATCCCATATAAAGGGGTTAACATACACAAAGGAGCACAGAATGCTTTTATTGGAGGTAAATTCAATTAGAAACATTGGGAACTGGCAGTACTTCCCTTATAAACACTGAGAATAAAACCCCACCCAGGTGTCGAAGTCAGAAAATCACTCCTTTATGCCACAGGTTCACCACGTGCAGTATAGAAAGAAAGAAAAATTATGTGTACCTTGCAAATTCTTAAGCAAGTTTATATGCACGAGGAGCTGAACAATGCAATCCCTTTGATACTGTTTATTTTGATAGTATTTATTTAGGCCACGTAACTTGTAATTTTAGAAATCATTGTTTTGAAAATTAAACTTGCTACCTCTCTACTCTCCTTGGTTTGGAAACAATGCACTAAGCACTGAATATATTAAATTACAAAACCTTGCATTAACTTGGTTGGACACCAGTGGGCCTGTTGAGAGCAGTTTTAAAAAAAATCCAAAGTTGCTTATTGGAATTAAATCACCACCTTAAATAACAAGTAAACATTATCGATTGTTTCTTTGATAAGCACTGACATAAAATCTACAATTAAACATCATGCTTATAATCCCAGCACTTTGGGAAGCCGAGACAGGCAGACTGCTTGAGGCTAGGAGTTTGAAAGCAGCCTGAACAAGATAGAGAGATCCCATCTCTACCAAAATAAAAAAATTAGCTGGGCATGGCGGCATGCACATGTAGTCCCAACTACTCAGGAGGATGCAGCAAGAGAACTGCTTAAACCTGGAAGGTCAAGGCTGAAGTGAGCTGTGTTCGCACCATCATACTCCAGGCTGGGTGACACAGTAAGACCCTCAAAAAAAAAGAAAGAAGAAAAGAAAAGAAAAGAAACCTACATTTAAACAGTTTTACACAAGTTATTCAATAACTAGTCTAGTCTGTAGCATTTGCCATATGACCATGGGTTTGAAAATGAGCAGAAATATCTAGAACTTTGCTCGCTTTGGACCTGAGCCACATACTCAGGCAGCTGAGAACAACAGTGAGGCTGTACTTACCACCAGTGCAAGAACAAGAGTCCGCACCTTCTCCCCAATCTCAGGGGAGATGTCATTGCCAAACTGTTGCAGAGTGGTAAGAAAGCGTTTCAACTTGCTGAGTTGTCGAGCACCACAAGTGGCTGGCAATTGCTGATTTGTGAGTGCAGATGATGTGGAGGAGGCAGGACCATTGCTGAATCTCTGTGGCGGTGATGGGGCACCATTCAGGGTAGGAGGAGAATGGTTGATGCCATTGCTTACTAAAAGAAAGCCAAAATGAAAGACTCAGGTTACGTGTAAAACAAGGGAACCTTTGTTCATTTTTTCTTGTTTGTATTTTCGTTTGTTCATTTGAATTTTGTAAAGCACATGTTATAAAGGTATGCAAAACTGGTTCTGTCCTCAGTGAGACTGCTGTCAGATAAAAATGGTAACAGAGTAACACTGGAGCGTTAAAAAGAAAGCAGAGTGCTCCCAGAGCAATAAGAAGGGAAATCTAACTCTACAGGTGCCATGGGCAGGGGTGGGTAGTTTTAAGAAAGACTTCCTGCAACAGGTAGTGCTTGAGATGGGTCTGGGCCAATAGATCTTTCCAGTGATGGGATACTCATGCCCATCTTTTACATTGCATCTCCTTCCCAATTTCAAGGTCCCCAAAACACTAGGCAGTCAATCAGAAGGTAGCATGTGAGCAAGACACCAGAAAAAAGAGTTATGATAATATGAGGGATATTTTTTAGGCCTACTGATTTAATGACTTATTCCTACAATAAGGTACCTATCTCTTTGGCCATCCAGAATACTCATGTCCATTAGAGCCAGTTACTCTCTGCCTTAACAGTGCTAGATTAATACTGCCAAACCCTTGGTCATTCAATAAAGCATCTTCCTGATTCCATGCAGGACACTCCCATCCTACATTTTTGCTCAAATTATAATACATGTGATTAATTACAGTTTTCCTATTTAGTTCTTAATAGTCATTTCTTGAAAATTTTAATTTCGAAAACAACCCTAGAGCTATGGTTTTGCTTGTTTGTTTTTTTGAGGCAGGGTCTCATTCTGTCATCCAAGCTGGAGTGCAGCAGCACCATCTTGGCCCATTGCAGCCTTGACCTCCTGGTGCAGCCTCGACCTCCTGGACTCAGGTGTCCTCCCACCTCAGCCTCCTGAGTAGCTGGGACTACAGGCACATGCCACCATGCACAGCTAATTTCTTTTTTTAAAATTTTTTGTAGATCAGGGAGTCTCACTATATTGCCCAGGCTGGTCTCAAACTCCTGGGCTCAAGTGATCCTCCTGCCTTGGCCTCCCAAAGGCTGGGATTACAGGCATGAGCCACCGTGCCTGGCACTGAGCTACGTTCTTGTTGGCATCAAGTAAAAATCTAAATTATCTAGTACCTAAGTATCATTCTGTTTTCACTTAATCATATCCAGCCTTAAAAAACTAAAAAAGTGAAACTTTATCTAAAAACATAAGAAACAATTTAAGACATAAGCAATGTTTAAAGAGCCAATCATTTAATCTTTACCTAGCTTAGAAAAAAGACATTTAGTCATATTTTGCCAAAAACCAACTTATTAATCATAAAAAATCTTCCACTTCCCTTCTACTTCCTCTAAGCCAGTCACAGTCAGTTAACCATCTCTGTTCCCTCTTCTTACACTGAACCTTACTCAAATTTGACCTGGCAAGCTCTTCTTCATCCCATACGGTTCAGGTATCATCTCTGTTAAGGAGCATTCTTTGACACATACTGCTGTTGCTCCGCTTGAAGGTAACCTTAGTGGATTCACTACATCTCTGTGCTGCCTATGTGCATGCTTCCACTATTTCACTTTTTTTTTTAGAGACCGAGTCTTGCTCTGTTTCCCAGGCTGGAGTGCAGTGGTTTAATCTCAGCTTACTGCAACCTCCGTCTCCTGAGTTCAAGGAATTCTCCTTCCTCAGCCTCCCGAGTAGCTGGGATTACAGGCACGCACCACCACATCCAGCTAATTTTTTGTATTTTTAGTAGAGACAGGGTTTCACCATGTTGGCCAGGCTGGTCTCGAACTCCTGACCTCAAGTGATCTGTCCTCCTCGGCCTCCCAAAGTGTTAGGATTATAGGTGTGAGCCACTGCGCCTGGCCTATGCTTGTTTATTTCTATATTTGTGTTGCCTTAATAGATGTTCACTTATTAATAATACAATACACAATACATATGTGCATACTTTAATTAAGTTTTATAAGTTGTGTATACAGTGTATATTTTTGCTTTGTTCAGCAAAGGGTGTTTAGGAAAATGCTGCTGAATGATTCACTGCATAACAGACTAACGGGCTGAGAAAAGGGGTGAGTTTTCTTGTGTCTTCCACTAAAGAAAATTAGTAAAGCTAATGAAAGGAAAGTTGAACACTCAACCTCAGCAATCCAGAAAATTAGTTGCAATAGTCTGCCATTTCTTTGTTTTCACAGAAAGGTCAATTGCCATTGGAAAGTTGCTCCATTTTGAAGGAACCAATAAAAATAACACATTACCATGCTTTTAGCTTCTCTGATGTATAGAAAGGCTTTTTCGTAGTCTCTTTAGAAAAAAATGTATGATCACATTTTCTGAAATGAAACACAACCACCGCCAAGCAGCCAAATATGGAAGTAAAAAGGGCTGAATTTGTATATACATATACCTATTGGTGTATCTTGAAATCTGATTGATGGCTGAGGTTTAAATCTGTTTCTTTTCAAGATAGTATATATGTCTAGGGCTGTTCAACTTTGAGATAGAAATTAGAATTTAAGAAAAGGGATATCACACTTCTTTTCATTCACTCTGGCTCAAACTGAATGCTACAGTTACCAGCTACTCCATTTCAAATGTTTTGGAAAATAATAAACTTCCAATTAAAGCTGTACATCTTACATTCTCTTCTCTTGCCTTTTAAAATAATAAACACAAAAAACAAAAAATTTTGAGCAAGGACAGTGTGCAAGCTTGTGTAATGGCATTTAAATGAAACAATACATACAGCATCTAGCTCAGTGCTCTGACACTTTTTGGGCATTCCAAAAATAGCAGTACATTTTGGTTTACAGGCAAAAGATCTGCAGAGTGTCAAAGTGAACTGGGGACGGCAGCATGTGCATGGAAAGGTAGAACTCAAATGAAGATCAAGACACTTGTGTGCATGTATGTATACTAGTTTATTTGGGGTTCTTTTGGTGATTATAGATATATAGGACTGAAATTGTTGAGTTACAGGGCACGTGGAAATTCAGCATTAGTGCAAACTGCCAATTTCCAAAAGATGTACTAAATTACACTCCAACCAGCATTGTATGAGTGTTCAAGTTGCTCCATACATCCTCACCAAAACTTGGTATCATTTTGAACATCCTGGTGGGTGTATAATGGTACTGTATTGGGTGTTAGTTTGCATTTCCTTGATGGTTAGTGAAGTTGAATATATTGTTACATATATTATTAGCTAACATAATGGTTATGGACTGAATTCTGCCCGAGCCTTGGCCAAATTCATACATTGAAGTCTTACCCCTTGTACCTCAGAATAGGACTATATTTGGAGATACTTTGAAGAGTTCATTAAGGTTAAAAGAGGTATTATGAGTAGTCCCTAATCCAATATGATTATTATCCTTAAAGGCAGGGGAAGAGACACCAGGGACGCAAAATGGAGGAAAGACCATGTGAGGATATGGCAAGAAGGCAACCATCTACAAGGCCCAGGTAAAACCAAACCTGCCAATACCTTGATCTTTACATTCTTGCCTCCAGAACTGTGAAAAAGTGAATAAAAATAAATTGTTTAAACCATCCAGTCTGTGGTATTTCATTATGGCAGCCCTAGTAAACAAATACAACAATATTCTCTTTTGTAAAAAGTCTTACCATGACAGCACTGGAACATTTTTAGAATTCTATAATTTTAGAAAACTTACTTGGAATCCCATAAGGCAATATAATAATTTAAATTCATTATTGTTAGAGTCAAAGAAATAAAAATAGTTACCAGCCAAAGAATATGAAAACAAAATATTTAAACAACTAAATATCCAAATAAGCTAAGTATTATTCTCAGAGGGTAAAAGTAATTTATAAAAGAAACAACCAGAAATATATATCTGTGTCTATATTTTCAATAGTACTTTGAAAACACTGAATAATATATGTGGAACGCTTCATACAAGTCAGTCACTTAGATCCAAATGTCACTCTGAACTACAAACATAAGTAACTAAGAGGTCTCACATGCAGTAGGAGTGAAGGACACTGGCCTCGGTCCTCCAGGATTTATTGGTGGGAGGGGTGGCATGGTGGGAGGTGAGGATCTGGACTGTATCTTCACTTCCACAGGCGATCCAGGCATCGCTGGCACCCTTTTCTCAGGACCAACTGCAGAGAATCAGAGAAATGGAGGTTAGGGTTTTCTAAAAGTTTGCAAAAACAGACAACAATTTGAAATACCAACATACTTCCCTAGAGGACTGCTTGGTATAATAGGCTGAATAGTGACCCCCTAAAAGATATGTCCACATCCCAACATCTGGAACTGTGAATGTTACCTGATTTGGCAAAAGGGTCTTTGAAGATATCATTAAGTTAAAAATCTTGAGAGGATGAGATCATCCTAGATTGTCTGGGTGGGCTCTAAATCCAATCTGAATGGTGTCCTTAAAGAAGGGATGAGACACAGACACAGAGACATACACAGAGGGAAGCCAAAGAGAGGACAGTCACACCAAGTGGCGACAGAGGCAGGGACTAGAGTGACACATCTATACACCGAGGAATGCCAAGGAGTGCCAGCAACCAGCAAGCCAGGAGGGAGAAGGGGACACATTTGTCCTCTGAAACCCCGGGAAGGAATCAACCTTGCTGATACCTCAATTTTGGGCCTCTGGCTTTCTGAACTGTGAGAGAATGAATTTCTATTGTCTTAAGCCACTCAGTTAGTGGTACTTTGTTACTTCAACCCTAGGAACTAAAATGAGGAAA
Organism: Homo sapiens; assembly: GCF_000001405.40. NCBI lineage: Eukaryota > Metazoa > Chordata > Mammalia > Primates > Hominidae > Homo > Homo sapiens. The sequence goes on along the minus strand of NC_000020.11, from coordinate 33,606,352 downwards.
CAAGGTCAAGAGGTGATGTGAACTGAAAGTTAGCAGTCTTTAGATAGTGGCTGAGAAAGGAAGAAACCAGGTTACAAATATAGCTTACCTCAAATGCATTTTCTTTAACTTCTCCTTATAAATGAATCAAATTATTAGGGGTGAAAAAGCTAACATGGGAACTATCTAGACTTAGGCCTCAACTGCAAGACATGAAAAGAAAATCAATCAGTTATATATAAATCAATATTAATAGGCTGGGCACGGTGGCTCATGCCTGTAAACCTAGCACTTTGGGAGGCTGAGGCGGGTGGATCACCTAAGGTCAGGAGTTTGAGATCAGCCTGGCCAACATGGTGAAACCCTGTCTCTACTAAAAATATAAAAATTAGCTGGGTGTGGTGGTGGGCACCTGTAGTCCCAGTTACTCAGGAGGCTGAGGCAAGAGAATCGCTTGAACCTGGGAGGCGGAGGTTGCAGTGAGCCAAGATCATGCCACTGCACTCTAGCCTGGGTGACAGAGCGACTCTGTCTTAAAAAAAAAAAAATCACCATTAATAATGATGTACTAAATTATATATATACATATCAACTACATCAAGTAGGAAAAAAGAGGGAGTCAACCTCTCTGACCTCAAACATGTAAATGTCATTCATGCTATACATTGTTCAAAAAGATGAAAAGTAGAGCTGAGTCTACATGAAGCAGAGGCTACTTCATCTATGGGAACAATTAATAATAGGCAGTTGTTTGATAATACTAAATGGCAACAAAATTCCAGAAAGATAAATTAGATAAACTTCATGATGCTGCAATTAGGTAGGTCTGAGCTAACAGGAATCAGACTTGATACCAATGAGTAATATTCTAATATATCTAACAAGTTATTTTTCCCTATCAAAGAGAACTTGTTACATACTTAGTTAATAATACGACCAGGGTTACCATAATCACCTTTAAATTGAGCTATGTTCCTCACAGTAATTCTAAGCTTTTCACTTAAGTACCAGCCATTCATTCTCCAATAACTGCTGAATTCAAATTAAAGTGTAAAAAATGGGGAGCAAAGGCTCAAATAAGAAGGTAAAGTCCAAGTTTTCCTTCTGTGAGAGCACAGCTATAAAGACAATACATACAAGAGTGTTCACGATCCTGGCAACAAGGAACATTTTTGTGCATTGATGGGACACAATGGTATTTGTAGAAAAGTATCTCCAAATACCATTTTTATGCTTCAGTTTGCAGTGGCCACACTTGGGAAAGGGATATAATAAAGTCAATCAAGAAAGCAATGCCCCCAAGTTACAAATCCCCTGACAAAAATGTGCAGTTCTCAGAACCATGTGGGCAACACTCTGCCAGCCCTTCCCATTTCTCTGTTCAGGACATTTTCTTTGTGAAATTGATGGTCGTCCTGTCTGATTAGTGGACTAATGAGCTGTTGCGCTTGCCTTTTCTTCCTGACAGTATTTTCTCAATGCCCTTCAGAGAACAGTTGACACATTTCCAGCTCTTCCATCTGGGGCCCAGCTTTCTGGAAGGGTAGGGGAGAAGGAAAGGAAGGAACTGACAGTTGTCTCGCACTGTAATGTGTTGTGTACAGTGTGCAACAACCTAGAGGGAGCTTTTCTTCAGACCACCTGGCTCTATAGCAAGGGTGCCAAAGACTTGAGGAAGGCTTAGCAGTGAGATGAGTTTTAACAGTCAGCACTTGGCAGAATAAAAAAGTTAGAGCAGCCCAAATGCAGAACGCTGAACTCTGTGCTCTTACCAACCAAAAGCTTTGATAGTGGGCCAAACCCAGCCACTAGAGAACTGTTTACAGATTGATACTTTTCATTTCACCACCCAAAACCTACAACACTAGTGTTTCTTCATGTTTCAAGTGAATGAAGCAGAAAAAGCACAGGTATGAAGACTGAGAGATTCCGTGTGAATTCTCATTCTGTTACAATGCAAGTGAATTTCACCAATTCATTTCACCTTTCTAGGCCTCATTTTCAACATATGTAAAATGAGTGACAGTAAGACCTACCTGTCAGGAAACATGTAATGATTAAAGATGATGCCTAAATCACTGCAAGGTATACAGAAGGTGCTTAATTAACAGGAATGATGATTAGAAGATAGAAATCCTGGTGTCAAATTCTGGACATACTATTAACTAGGTATGTGACCTTGACCAAGTTAATATTAACATCTGTTTTCTGTGGAAAATAGGTATACTATCAACAATTTATCCATGGAAACTCAGAGATAATGTATGGAATGATCCAAGAATTAATAGCTGCAAAATCACCAAGCACAATGTAAAGTGGCATTTTTGATGGAAGCTGGGTGGCATGAATGCCCTTCATGGAGTGAGATCTATCCAAGTGGTTTACAAGGTGACAAATTCAGCAGTTGCTCAGATGATGGGAAAGGGTATGTTCCAAAGTAGGCATTTTAACCCTCTGCCTGGGGTCACAGGATTATAGTAAGTCCCTGTAGGAAGAAGGCTATGACATGCCTTTATGTCATCCTAGTTATGGTGACTTCCTTTTTGAATTTTTATGAAAATGATAGTTATGTGCTATATTCTAGCTGGATCCCATTAAAGAATCAACCATATATTGAACTCTCTTCTATCTTGGAGAACCTTAAATAGAGTTGAAGAAGAAATTCTTTTCCCTCAATTGTGGCTTAAGTCCATAAACACCATTGCTTAGCATATCAAACAGCCATAAAGATTTAGTCCCAGGAAGTCAAAATAACCCTTGGTTTTGTCATAAGGGTCCAACTCAATTTCAAATTCAAAGTAACTGACAATTTAGTCACCCTATGAGTTTGTGTTTTGATTATTCTGAATATATTTGTATACGTGTATTAAAAATAAATGCATGTGTGCATATATATGTATGTATATATTAAAAAATAAAACCCAGATATGACAGCATGCATTTCCAAAATGACTTATGGTTCAACACCTAAACCATGGGAAGCCAAAGAACTTGATGAGTCAAAATGGAAAAGTATGTCTGAATAATTTCTTCACTGTGTGCAATTTGCTAAGGATATCCTGAAAACAGAAAACAGATGAAAGAATAAAGTAATAAACAGTTCTCTGTGTGATAGCAGTGATATTTTTTCCTACATAGGAATTTAAAGAATCAAAGATGAAACTAAAGAGTAGAACTATCCTGTAGCTCCACAGGAAAGTAACACTGAACACCCAGCAGTCTTCCTCTTATCTGCAGTTTCAGTTTCCACGGTTTCAGTTACCTACAGTCACCCAAAGTCCAAAAATATCAAATGGAAAATTTCAGAAATAAACAATTCATAAGTTTTAAATTGAGCACCGTACTGAATAGTGTGATGAAATCTCACACCATCCCACCTGGGATGTGAATCATCCCTTTGTCCAGAGTATACACTACCCGACCATAAGTCACTTAGTAGCCATCTCGGTTACCATCAGATGAACTGTCATGGTTTTGCAGTGCTTGTGGTCAAGTAACCCTGATTATTAGTTAATAATGGCCCCAAAGTAAAAGAGGAGTGATGCTGGCAATTCGGACACACCAAAGTGAAGCTGTAAAGTACTAAGTGAAAAGGCAGAAGTTCTTGACTTCGTAAGGAAAGAAAAAATTCCTATGCTGAGGTTGCTGACATCTACTGTAAGAAGGAAAAAGACGTTTGTGCTCATTTTGCTGTTGCATCTCATAGGCTCAGTTACAGTCCAAAAGGAATGTATGTAGGGTTCAATACTTCCCATGGTTTCAGGCATCCACCGGAGGTCTTGGAACATATTCCACGTGGGTAAGGGGGAACCACTGTATTACTGACTGACATCCCAGAAATGTGCTACTTGAGAAGAATCTTCCATGATAAACTGCCCACAATCAAGGGCATTTACAAATCATTATAAATTGCTTTTGAGTTTTTTTTTTTTTTTTAATCAGAGACTGGCAGAGAGCAGAGGTGTAAATACGAGATAAGAAAATAATGAGGTTATCTAAAGGGAAAGGCTACTCCCAAGCAATTGGAAAGAAGAAAAATTTAGGTCTCAAGGAGAAAGCATGTTGAGGCAAAAGGTGAGCCTGATGTGAAGAATGCTCCATCACTCCCTAGTTGTGTGACAGTGGTTTTCTTTATCTGTCCCTGGGGATATTTCAACACAGGGTTATATGAAGGGTACCATAATGGACATAACAATGGTGGGTATACAGCAGATACTCTCACATGGTTTACTTGAATCATATTTTAAAATATATTAGAATTATGGTTGGGCATGATGGCACATGCCTGTAATCCAAACCACCTTGAGACGGGAGAATTGCTAGACACGAGGATAAGCCCAGAGTTTGAGAACAGGCTGGGCAACACAGGGAGACCTCATCTCTCCAAAAACAACAAAAAAAATTAGCTGGATGTGGTGGCGCATGCCTGTGGTCCCGGCTACTCATTAGGCTGGGGTGGGAGGATCACCTGAGTCCAGGAGGTCGAGGCTGCAGTGAGCTGTGATCACACCACTGTGCTCCAGCCTGAGTGACAGGGTGAGACCCTGTCTCAAAAAAAAAAAAATCTATTAGAATAACAGTTTACCGAGTTTGAGATGTTATCTATGCTGTGTGGGGTAGAAGATCTGGTCAAGTGTTCCTGTTTATCATGACTGAGAAAATATGCAGAATATAGATCTTTCTATATTAGATCTATCTATAAAGATCCATATAGAGATCTTTCCTATAATGACAGGAACACTGATCATTCCAAAGAAGCTGGCCAAGGAAGCCATTAAATCCATTGCTTTATAAAAAAATCAGACTCCAGGCTGAGCACGGTGGCTCATGCCTGTAATCCCAGCGCTTTGGGAAGCTGAGGCGGGCGGATCACCTGAGGCCAGGAGTTCAAGATCAGCCTGGCCAACAGGGTGAAACCCTGTCTCTACTAAAAATACAAAAATGAGTTGGGCGTGGTGGCACACACCTGTAATCCCAGCTACTCAGGAGGCTGAGGCAGGAGAACCGCTTGAACACGAGAGGCAGAGGCTGCAATAAGCCAAGACCGCACCACTGCACTCCAGTCTGGGCGACAGAGCGAGACTCTGTCTAAAAACAAACAAACAAAAAACAACAACAACAATAAAAAACCCACAAAAAAAACAAAAATCAGACTCTCAGGCTGGGCGTGGGTGGCTCCTGCCTGTAATCCCAAGACTTTGGGAGACTGAGGTGGGCGGATTAGACTAACAGAAGGGAGCGGGGAGGCTTATCATTTTAGGCCATGAAGTTCTGACATGGTTTGTTATGCAGGAATAGACAACTAATCTACACCACATACAAATTATAATGTTCCTTTTTTTTTTTGGTTCTATTATTGTGTTTTATAATATCACAATATGTCCTGGAATTCTTAATTCCACAATTTTAAAAAACAATATGATAATACACTTTGAGGAGGTACCATAGTTCATTTAAACAATCCCTTGTCAATGAACAATTGGATTATTTCCAATAATTTGGTCCTGGATTTTGAGGATCCAGATCCCAATCTACTTGACTGTCCTGGATTTGCCAGGCCTTAGGGAAGTTCAGAGATGAAGGTAGGGAGGGACCTCACTTATGGGAAAGACAGACATACAGTACTGGGAAAATAAAGAAATAGAAACATTACCATGTACGACGGCCAGGCAAGTCTTAACACAATGTTAAGGTGTTTGCTGGAAAGGCTACATGGGCTCTCCAGGTAGCACATGGGATATAGTTTGAATAGTGCCCCCAAGAGGTGGTATCACAGCTGAAGGAAAAATCAGGGAAAAGATTTCCTGGACCATAGCCTCTCTTCAATCACTGCCAAGCATAGGTAAATGTTCTGAATGTGTAATTGTCATATGGTAAGAATTTCCAGGCCGGGTGCAGTGGCTCATACCTGTAATCCCAGCACGTTGGGAGGCCAATGCAGGCAGATCACCTGAGGTCAGGAGTTCAAGACGAGCCTGGCCAACATGGTGAAACCCCATCTCTACTAAACAAAAATTAGCTGGGCATGGTGGCAGGCGTCTGTAATCCCAGCTGCTCAGGAGGCTGAGGCAGAAGAACTGCTTGAACCCAGGAGGTGGAGGTTGCAGTTAGTTGAGATGGTGCCACTGCACTCCAGCCTGGAAAACAGCAAGACTCCATCACAAAAAAAAAAAAAAAAAAAAAAAAAAAAACTTTCCAAAAGTGATAATTCTAACTTGCTAAAGATGGAGGAAGAAACATCAAAATTACTGTTACATTTATAGCCTTATAAAGTTGGCTAAACTGATTATGGACATAGTACATGCTTAAGGATGAGCATTTACCATCTTTGTAACTCTGCCACAAATCTGACAACACATCCAACTTCCTAATAACACGCAGGCTTCATATGCCGAGATGGCCAGAAACAACTGTTTATAATGACAAACAATTTATCATTCAACAAAAATGGAGACATAAGGACTCAAAGAAATTACCAGAGGCTGGGCACAGTGGCTCACGCCTGTAATCCCAGCACTTTGGGAGGTTGAGGTGGGTGGATCACCTGAGGTCAGGAGTTCAAGACCAGCCTGGCCAACATGGTGAAACCCCGTTTCTACTAAAAATACAAAAAATTAGCCAGGCATGGTGGTGGGCACCTGTAAACCCAGCTACTCAGGAGGCTATGGCTGGCAGAAGAATCACTTGAACCTGGGAGGTGGAGGTTGCGGTGAGCCAAGATCATGCCATTCATTGCACTACAGCCTGGGCAACAGAGTAAGGCTCCGTCTCAAAAAAAAAAAAAAGGGAAATTACCAGAAAGTATTTTACAAGGACCTTTGAAGATAGAAGATGGAGCACAATTAAAACAAAATCAATACTTTAACATGTACCAACACTGATAGAAAAAATAAATTTTTTACATTCCATGTTTATACATATACTGGAAAATTAATTTATCATTATTATAGCTCAGGAATCAGGAAACTTTTCCTGCCAAAGGCAAGACAGTAAATATTTTTTTGCTCTATTGTAGCACACTATAGACAATATACAAATAAATGGGCTTGGCTGTGTTGTAATCAATCTTTATTCACAAAAATGGACAGTGGGCCACAGGTTTTTTTTTTCTCTTGAGACAGAGTCTCACTGTCGCCCAGGCTGTATTGCAGTGGCGCCATCTCTGTTCACTGCAACCTCCGCCTCCTGGGTTCAAGCAATTCTCCTGCCTCAGCTTCCCAAGTAGCTGGGACTACAGGCACATGCCACTGAGCCCAGCTAATTTTTTTGTATTTTAGTAGAGATGGAGTTTCACCCTGCTGCCCAGGCTGGTCTCGAACTCCTGAGCTCAGGCAATCCACCTGCCTCGGCCTCCCAAAGTGCTGGGATTACAGGCGTAAGCCACCATGCCTGGCCGACAGTGGGCCACAGTTTACTGACTTCTGCTATAACTGATTAAAAAGCTGGAAAACCAGCCTGGGCAATGAAGTGAGACTGCTGCGGGAAGTCAGGGACCCCAAACGGAGGGACCGGCTGAAGCCATGGCAGAAGAAGGTGGATTGTGAAGATTTCATGGACATTTATTAGTTCCCCAAATTAATACTTTTATTTCTTATGCCTGTCTTTACTGCAATCTCTAAACATAAATTGTAAAGATTTTATGGACACTTATCACTTCCCCAATCAATACTCTTGTGATTTCCTATGCCTGTCTTTACTTTAATCTCTTAATCCTGTCAGCTGAGGAGGATGTATATCGCCTCAGGACTCTGTAATAATTGCATTAACTGCACAAATTGTACAGCAGGTGTGTTTGAGCAATACGAAATGTGGGCACCTTGAAAAAAGAACAGGATAACAGCAATTGTTCAGGGAATAAGAGAGATAACCTTAAACTCTGACCGCTGATGAGCCAGGCAGAACAGAGCCATATTTCTCTCCTTTCAAAAGCAAATGGGAGAAATATCACTGAATTCTTTTTCTCAGCATGGAACATCCCTGGGAAAGAGAATACGCGCCTGGATGTATAGGCTTATAAACGGCCCCCCTAGGTGCGCCTGTCTCTTATGGTCGAGACTGCAGGGGTGAAATAGACCCCAGTCTCCCATAGTGCTCCCAGGCTTATTAGGAAGAGGAAATTCCCGCCTAATAAATTTTGGTCAGACCGGTTTATCTCAAAACCCTGTCTTCTGATAAGATGTTATCAATGACAATGGTGCTAACTTCATCAGCAATTTTAATTTTGCCTGGTCCTGTGGTCCTGTGATCTTGCCCTGCCTCCACTTGCCTTGTGATATTCTATTACCTTGTAAAGTACTTGATGTCTGTGACCCACACGTATTCGCACACTCCCTCCCCTTTTGAAACTCCCTAATAAAAACTTGCTGGTTTTTGCGGCTTGTGGGGCATCATGGAACCTACCGACATATGATGTCTCCCCTGGACGCCCAGCTTTAAAATTTCTCTCTTTTGTACTCTGTCCCTTTATTTCTCAAGCTGGCCGATGCTAAAGGAAAATAGAAAAGAACCTACGTGAATATTGGGGCAGATTCCCCGATATGAGACCCTGTCTTTTCAAAAAATAAAAGAATTAGCTGGGCACAGTGGCATGCACCTGTGGTCCCAGCTACTTGGGAGGCCATGTACCTACCGAAGAACTACAAAAGGAGGTTGCAGTGAGCTGAGATCGTGCCATTGCACTCCACTAACTGGGGGTGGGGTAGGGAGTGGTTTCAGGATGAAACTGTTCCACCTCAGATCATCAGGCATTAGATTCTCATAAGGAGTGCACAACCTAGATCCCTCACATGTCCAGTTAACAACAGGGATTGCCCTCCTAATGAGAATCTAATGCCATGGCTGATCTGGCAGGAGGCAGAGGTCAGGCGGTAATGCACTGGCTCACCACTTGCTGTGCCACACGGTTCCTAACAGGTCACAGATCCATACCGGTATGCAGCCTGAGGATTGGAGACCCCTGTCTTAACATAACCCCCAGGTAGTGGAATGCAGTTAAATAAGGAATTTGAGTAACTTTTCCTAAATTGAATCTTAGAATTTTCTCATCTATTTATTCAAAATTATTCGAGTAACTACTAAGTCTTCTACTACTGAGGTGACAGCAGTAAATAAATAAAAAATAAATACAAAATAGAGGTCAAAAGGCCGGGTACAGTGGCTCATATCTCTAATCCCAGCACTTTGTGAGGCTGAGGGTGGGAGGATGGCTTGAGTCCAGAGTTTGAGACCAGCCTGGACAAGATGGCAAGACCCCGGCTCCACAAAATTAAAACCAAAAAAAAATTAGCCAGGTGTGAGAGTGCTTGCCTATAATTCCAGCTGCTTTGGAGGCTCAGACAGGAGGATTCCTTCAGCCCTGGAGTTTCAGGCTGCAGTGAGCTGTGATTGTGCCACTGTACTCTAGCCTGGTTGACAGATGAGACTGAAAAAAAGAAAGAAAAAAAAAAAAAAAAAACAGAGGTCAAGAAACAATTTTGAGGTTTTTAGCCTAAGCAACTGGAAGGATGAAGTTACCATTTACTAAGAAGGAGGAACTGGTAAAGGAAAATGGGGAAAGAGCAACTGAAGATCAGGATTACCTTTAAAATGCTCAGTAGATATTCTAACAGAAATGCTGGATAAGCAGCTGGATATAAAAGTGTGGAGCTGAGGCCTGGGGTGGGAAAGTCTGAAGTTGTGATGAAATATTTTCAAATAATGGCATATAGATTCTACGGAAAGCCTGAGAACAGGTATCTTACTGGAAGTGGGTACAGATCTGCAGGTATTTCCACTCTTAGAGATCATGAAAGACAAGAAACTAAAAAAAGAGACTGAAAAAGAAAAGCCAAGGAAATAAGGGGAAAAACCAGAAGCCAAGTAAAGAGTATAATCTACCGGGCTGTAAGCACTGTGAATTTCAAGAATAAATATACAAAGAGCATAGGAATACATGCTAGCTGTTTAGGTTATTATAATGATTAGACCAGTGATTAATAAAATGCCTTTTTAAACCTACTTATTTGAAAACCTGCTTTCATCAAAGTATCATTAAGAATACAGGTACAATGAAGGTGAGAACAAGTATATTATGTGTAACAAAGAATATATTAACATTTAAGAGACTGCACACAGATCTCGCCCCAGAACTTAACTGAGACAGATACAGTGGCTACAGCACCTTAAGCCAGGAAAGAGTTAATATAAAATTTTCATTACTCCCTCAATTTAAGACCATCTCTTAGCTGAAACAGAATATACAGTAAATATAAAAAGCTGTATGCAGCAAAAGATGAGATGAAAAGGTCAGTTTGGCAAAACAGCCAAATTCCAGACCAGCTAGAGATTTATATTCTTGAATAGTCAAAGGTAGGCTATTGTGGAAGAAAGAAAACTGGGCATGAAACTGTGACTGTGAATCCTGATTTTTCTGCCAATTTATCAGCTACTGTGGAACCCTGGACAAGTCATGCCAGAGCCTTGGTTTCTTCATTTGTAAAACAGAGGAAGGGAGGTGTTAAAAGGCAAATAAAGTAACAGATTAAAAAGTGCTGTAGGCCAGGCATGGTGGTTCACGTCTGTAATCCCAGCACTTTGGGAGGCTGAGGCAGGTGGATCGAGTCAGCTCAGAAGTACAAGACCAGCCTGGCCAACATGGCAAAACCTGATCTCTACAAAACATACAAAAATTTAGCTGGGAGTGGTGGCGTACACCTATAGTCCCAGCTCCTTGGGAGGATTGCCTGAGCCTGGGAGGCAGAGGTTGTAGTGAGCCGAGATTGTGCCACTGCACTTCAGCCTGGGTGACAGAGCAAGGCCCGCTCTCAAAAAAAATAAATTAAAAAAAAAATGAAAATTAAAAAACAAGTACCGTATAAGATTTTTAAGCTAGGCACAGTGGCTCATGCCTGTAATCCCAGCACTTTGGGAGGCCGAGGTGGGCGGATCACAAGGTCAAGAGATCGAGACCATCCTGGCCAACGTGGTGAAACCCCGTCTCTACTAAAAATAGAAAAATCAGCTGGGCATGGTGGTGTGCGCCTGTAGTCCCAGCTACTCAGGAGGCTGAGACTGGAGAATCACATGAACCCAGGAGGCAGAGGTTGCAGTGAGCCGGGATTGGGCCACTGCACTCCAGCCTGGGCAACAAAGTGAGACTCCGACTCAAAAAAAAAATTTTTTCAAGTGTAAGATATTATTAGACAGCTATCCACCAGAAATGCATTAAGAATCATTACAGCACTACGTGCTGAGGGTCTCTTCCAATGCTAATTATTTCAACATTTAAAGATATATTGTAATTGCCAAGTCTGTTGATAACCTTAATGCAAGTTAAAAACAGTAGCAACACAGCTGACCTGAAAATGTAAATAGGGAAAAAATGAAATATGGATTGTTGCTTCCCAGCTCCAGCAAATATTTATTTAGAATAATATAGTTATCTACTCCAACTGCACACCATCTGTTTCAGGTCTCCACCAGCTTAGTATTTCTCACATGAACAGAAAAGACTTAAATTAAATTTGATTAGCATCTTGCCTTTGTATGGAAGCCACCCCTACCACAATCAAAATCGACTGAATCCCAACCACTTAAAGGTGTGTCACATTACTGCCTGGGCCACACATACGCAGCCAAAGTCAGAGAACTCAGAGAATCTGAGACTGATGGAGAATCAGCTAACTTTAGTCTTCTTGGCCAAAAATAAACCTCACTTTTTTTTCGGGAGACAGGGAAAAACGCTATCAATTTCTCACACAGCTAGTTAATGGCTTTCCTACGATTCAAAAAGCCAGGTCTCTTGGGTTCCAGCATTTGATACATCTGTGCTAAATGTCTGCGGAACACAGAACCTTCTAGAGGAAATCTAGCAGTAGGCCGGGCTCGGTGGCTCACACCTGTAATCCCAGCACTTTGGGAGGCCGAGGCAGGAGGATCACGAGGTCAAGAGATCGAGACCATTCCGGCTAACACAGTGAAACCCTGTCTCTACTAAAAACATAAAAATTAGACAGGTGTGGTGGCAGACGCCTGTAGTCCCAGCTACTCGGGAGGCTGAGGCAAGAGAATTGCTCCAACCCAGGAGGCAGAGGTTGCAGTGAGCCGAGGTTGCGCCACTGCACTCCAGCCTGGGCAACAGAGTGAGACTCCGTCTCAAAAAAAAAGAAAAGAAAGAAATATAGCAGTAAATTCTGACAGTCCAGCTCTTAAATATGTCACAGTATGTCATGTCTCCCATCTCTATTGCTAGAATTTAGCCACTGTCATCTCTCACCTGGACTGCTTCATCTGCCTCCTAACTATTCTTTCTGCTTCTGCTTTTAACCCCTTCAGTCCATTCATCACGTAGTATCCAAAGTGCTGATTTAAAACCTAAAACAGATCTTCCCACAGACCTGAACTCTTCTAATGGCTTCCTATTGCTCTTACAATAAAACATAAACTTACCTTGGCTTGAATGCCATGATCTACTCAGCAGTTCTCAAAATATGGTCCTGGGACCGTTGGGGGCCCTGGAGACCCTTTGGGATATGTGTGGACAGAAGGGGAAAGGTCAAAACAATTTTCATAATCGTAGCAAGAAGAGGTCATTTATCCTTTTTACTCTTTCATGAGTGAATGGTAGCTTTTTACAGAGATTACATGATTAATGCAGAAGCAGATATAAAAATCTAGCTATCTTGTATTAAAAACCAGTCAGAAGGTTGGGCGTGTTGGCTCATGCCTGTAATACCAGCACTTTGGGAGGCGGAGGCAGGCAGATCACCTGATGTCAGGAGCTCGAGACCAGCCTGGCCAACATGGCAAAACCCCGTCTCTAGTGAAAATACAAAAATTAGCCAGGCGTGGTGGCAGGTGCCTGTAATCCCAGCTACTCGGGAGGCTGACACTGGAGAATCACTTGAACCCAGGAGGCGAAGGTTGCAGTGAGCTGAGACCATGTCACTGCACAGCCTGGGAAACACAGTGAGACTCTGTCTCAAAAAAAAAAAAAAAAAAAAAATCCAGTCAAGAGATTTGCAAATCAGTTTATTATGTAATAGGTTTTTTTTGTTTTTTGTTTTTGAGACGGAATCTCACTGTCGCCCAGGTTGGGGTGCAGTGGCACAATCTCGGCTCACTGCAACCTTTGCCTCCTGGGTTCAAGCAATTCTCCTGCCTCAGCCTCCTGAGTAGCTGGGATTACAGGCACATGCCACCAAGCTCAGCTAATTTTTGCATTTTTAGTAGTGATGGGGTTTCACCTTGTTGGCCAGGCTGGTCTCCAACTCCTGGCCTCAAGTGATCTGCCTGCCTTGGCCTCCCACAACTATTAGGATTACAGGCATGAGCCAGGGTGCCTGGTCATAATTTTTCAATGTGAAAGAAAAACAGCTCTGTGTGTATGGGGGAGGATGGATCTAGATAAATATAGCTTCTTTACAATGGAAAAGCCTAGGTAGAGAGTTAATATAAACAAAATAATGTCTCCATTAGTCTACAATTTTAAGATGTAGATATTCAGCTTCTTTATAGAGGTTAATGGAGTCATGATATATAAGACATTATTCTGTCTTCCTTATATGCACTACAACTCATTAATAGTTCATGTATTTTTGAGGGGTTTTTTTAAGTGGCAGTGACCCATTCATATAACTCCATCTTCATACTTACTTAGTCTCCCTAGTGTCAAGTAATGTTGCATGAATTTTGTATTTTTTTTCTCGAAGACACTAGGTCTGGCTTTGTTACCAAGGCTGACCTCAAACTCTTGGGCTCAAGTGATCCTCAGCCTCCCAAGTAACTGGGACTACAGGGATGTGCTACAATGCCTGGCGATGTTGCATGAATTTTTAGGACTAACTGAATAGTCTGTGGCCTAGAATTAGAGTAAATGTAACCTTTTTACAACTGTGCTTTTATAATATCATGCATTAACAGAACTACATAGCATAATTTTATATATATATTTACATAATTATATATAATTTTTACATAATTATATATATAATTTTTACATAATTATATATATATATATATAAAATTTTTTTTGAGACAGAGTTTTGTTCTTGTCACCCAGGCTGGAGTGCAGTGACATGATCTTGGCTCACTGCAACCTCCGCCTCCCAGGTTCCAGCAATTCTCCTGCCTCAGCCTCCACAGTAGCTGGGATTACAGACGCGTGCCACGATGCCTGGCTAATTTTTGTATTTTCAGTAGAGATGGGGTTTCCCCATGTTGGTCAGGCTGGTCTCAAACTCCTGATATCACGTGATCCGCCCACCTCAGCCTCCCAAAGTGCTGAGATAACAGGCATGAGCCACTGGGCCCGGCCTATGTCGTTTTTTTCATGTTCATCAACTAACACTTGTTATCAATCCACTACTCTTGTTTGCTGTGCCCTAGGCATGGTGACAGACAATGAAAACAGAAGCAACATGTTGGACCAAGTGTGTTGGGGAAGATTTAAATATATCTAGAGATTCTGGAGCGTTTTTGGAAATGGAGACAGCATGAACACAGAATGACCATGACTTACAGGAGGCCCCCCCCTCCCACCCCGCCACAATTGGGATGTAGAATTGTTCATGAGAATGGACTTGGGAAAGTATCAGATTTTAGCAACCTGAAGACTACGAAGACCAGTCTGAGGAGCAAAAGAGAGCAGAGAATGTCTCTGTCTCAAAGAAAACTATTAAACTTTAATGTGCTATTAACTTTTGCATTTTAATTATATTCTATTAAGTAAAAATAAGTTTGTCCAATGAAATGGTATATGTGCCCAGTCCCGTCTTTCAAGTAGTAAGGTAACCACAAAGCCAATTGTGAGTTCAAACCATTCTTTTTAATTACATTGCCATCCTCAGTTAACTTGGATGTGACAAATATTTTTCTTTTCTTTTTGTACATATTTATTCATCATTTTTTTCTTTTTTTTTTTTTTTTTTGAGATTTACTCTGTTGCTCAGGCTGGAGTGCAGTAGTGGGATCTCGGCTCACTTCAACCTCGGCCTCCCGGGTTCAAGCAATTCTTGTGTCTCAGCCTCCCCAGTAGCTGGGACTACAGCAGGGACTACTACTTTTTTCTATTTTAAGTAGAAATGGGTTTTCACCATGTTGGCCAGGCTGGTCTCGAACTTCCGGCCTCAAGTGATCCACCTGTCTTGGGCTCCCAAAGCACTGGAATTATAGGTGTGAGCCACCATGCCCAGCTATTCATCAGTACTTTTTTTTTTGAGAGGGAGTTTCACTCTTGTTGCCCAGGCTGGAGTGCAATGGTGTGATCTCGGCTCACTGCAACTTCTGCCTCCCGGGTTCAAGTGATTCTCCTGCCTCAGCCTCCCAAGTAGCTGGAATTAACAGATGCCTGCCACCACACCCGGCAAATTTTTATTTTCTTTTTAGTAGAGATGGGGTTTCACCATGTTGGCCAGGCTGGTCTCAAACTTCTGGTCTCAAGTGATCTGCCTGCCTCGGCCTCCCAAAGTGCTCGGATTACAAGCGAGAGCCACTGCACCTGCCCTCATCAATCTTTAAAAGAGCCTGGGTTCCACCTGGCTCCATGTACCTTAATATTTGAAAAACCGAGTTTTTAATATTCCCCCAGCGCAAAGAAAGGCCCAGTCAGCCCATCAGCTTTTGTTTTGAGATGGAGAACCACAAAAATCAAAACTGCATGCTCAGGAGTAGCACGAAGCAAAGATTTAGCTTTCTTTATGGGAAGCCACAGGACAATATCCATGACTGGCTGACACCTAGGTTCTGTGAAGGAACTTCTAGCACCCAGGGCTTTACCTTGCTGCAGAGATGGAATATGCCACTGCCAGATAAATGAGAAGATCTTGGCACTCACCATCAGTTGGTAAGAGTTCTTCTGGGGTCCTACCACTCTCAAATATTTGAAGAAAACAATCTTATTGTGCCCAATCAAAGAAGAAGTATATTCCTGGGGCATGCGCATAGCCTTTGTGGGGGCCAAGAAAAAAAAACAAAGCTAGATGTGTTTAACGCAATCTGGTTTCTAAGAGTTGCCGCTAATTAAGCCCTCTGTTTGGGCCAACAGGTACTTAAAAAAAATTACCTTAGGGTTTGATGGTTTCTTTTAACTATTTTCTGGAAGCTGTTTGTGCACAGGAAAAAAGGATTGCAGATTTTTTTTTTTTTTTTGTAAAAAAAGATGAGACAGCATCGTCCAAGCTGGAAGAGCAGTCACATAACCTAGGCTCACTGCAGCCTGAACCTCCTGGGTTCAAGAGATCCTCCCACCTCAGCCTCCCAAGTAGCTGGAACTATAGGTGCATGCCAACATGTCCAGCTAATTTTTCTATTTTTTTTTTTAGAGACAGGGTCTCACTAGCTGGTCTCAAACTCCTGGCCTCAAGTGATCCTGCCACCTTGGCCTCACAAAGCACTGAGATTACAGGCGTGAGCCACCATGCCAGACCCCAAGGTTCAAACAGTACTAAGGAAAGGAATGTAAACAAGCTCATTAATAATTTTATAATGATTATATATTGAAATTTCTTAGTATATTAAACATATTATCAAAAGGAATGTCACCTGTTTCTTTTTTAAAAAATAAGGTTACAAGAATATTTAAAATTACATATGTGGCCTCTATTTGTTGCTTACATTATATTTCAATTGAACAGCTCTGGTGTGGGTATGAGGCAGTGGCTGGATTCAGACAGATCAGGATTGAAATTGAGGCTCTGTTAGCTCTCTGATAGTGGGGATATTTCCTCCTCAAAGTCTGTTTCCTTGTTTACAGCAATCATTCAATATTGCCCAGCTGCCAGAGTTGCTGTTTACAATCAAATGAAATAAAAAGAGAACAACCTATAGTACAGACCCATGACAAAGAAACGAATTCATCTTTACTCGTTTCCAGAGAAATCTGGACAACTATGACCTCACACTGTTCAGGCTGAGAAATTAAGAATTGAGTTTGGGTTTATTCTTATTTTTTTGAAAGTAAACAAAATAAAGGTAACTCTCTTAACTGATCATTTTGTGGGCCTAAATCATTGAGGACTATTAAGATGCATATACAAATGGAGTGCTTTATTACAATGCATTGGGGGTAAGGGACTACCAAACATCTCCACAACAGATAAAGACAAAGGGAGATGTCCCCTCTGCAACTGGCTGCTCTCTGTGCCTGGCTGGACTTCTAGTGTTTGATTTTCAACCCTGAAGCTCCATGCCAGAGGCATTCATTTGTGCATCTCCCACAGCTCCAACTGTCCTCTGCTGTTCTTCACCACTTTTATGTTGCAGCTCTAGTTTAAGCCACATTTTGCATGTATAACCTTGAAGTTTCTACTTACCACAAACTTGCTTTTTACTTGTTTTTATTAGAAATAGGTCTTCAGCTTAATCAAATGCATTTTTTTAGGGGAAGGGATGTATTTATGGAAATGGGTTTTTTTTCCTCCTTTCAGCTTCTTGTTTTTATTTTTATTTTTATTTTTGAGGGGAAGTCTCACTCTGTCCTCCAGGCTGGAGTGCAGTGGCGCGATCATGGCTCACTGCAACCTCTGCCTCCTGGATTCAAGTGATTCTCCTGCCTCAGAGAGTAACTGGCATTACAGGCACTTGCCACCATGCCTGGCTAATTTTTGCATTTTTACTAGAGACGGGGTTTCATCATGTTGGTCAAGCTGGTCTCGAACTCTTGACCTCAAGTGATACACCTGGCTCAGCTTCCCAAAGTGCTGGGATTACAGGCGTGAGCCACCATGCCCAGCCCTTTTCAGCTTCTTAATGTTGAACTATCCTTGCCATTGTGTGATCAACCTTACTTGGTTAGGGTGTACTGCTCTTAATTATAGTGTTGTTCTTTAAAGTAATCTAAGGAATAAAGGAAAATATAATGTAGCATAAATCTTTCAAACAGGCCAAAAATAAAGGTAAAAGAAAGAAATACATATCACGAGCTGAATGGCCATGGTACTTTTGTGGTTAACATATATATTATATTAATATATGCTACATTAACATATATATTTGTTCATTATTCATTTGTTGATCTATATATATTTATATATATATATTTCTTCATTTGCACCTGTTTCTATTCTATTTATAAAAAATAGTTTAAAATGTTCACTTTTTCTTCTGCAAGTTCATCATTTTAATTAACACTTCAACAAAGTTAAAACAAAGACTAACAATACTTTAAAATAGCTACATACCATACACAAAAAATAATAATAAAGGGGTCAAGAGGAAACTTTTGTGTTGATGGCTTCACAGGGGTGTACTTATTCCCAAATGCATGGAGGTGTATATGTTAAATATGTACAGCTTTTTAACATGTCAATCATACCTCAGTAATGTTATTTAAGAAAAATCAACAAAAAGTAATAGTTCTCTCAGTCTATAGTTCTACATAAAGTTGGAGGTTTTGATCTTCCCTTTCAATGGGAGGATTCAATGATTCATTCTAAATTCTTGACTTTATCACTATCAAAATTTTCTAATGCAATTTCAACTACTTGAATGAAACAAATGGTCCAGATGTGAACATCTGACTCTCATTTTCCTTGGGACAGAAATCATGAGTTGAGATTAATGGCTTTAAATGCCAAAACAGCCCAGACATAACAAGTTAAAAGGAAATACATGTGAAATAATTCAATTTTTGTCTTGGAAGCATACAACCTCTTTTCCACATAGGTCCAGTTAAGAAAATATAATTAAAACTGGGTACGGGGCTGGACGCAGTGGCTCATGCCTGTAATCCCAGCACTTTGGGAGGCTGAGGCAGGCGGATCATGAGGTCAGGAGATTGAGACCATCCTGGCCAACATGGTGAAACCCTGTCTCTACTAAAAGTACAAAAATTGGCCAGACGCGGTGGCTCACGCCTGTAATCCCAGCCCTTTGGGAGGCCAAGGGGGGCGGATCACGAGGTCAGAAGATCAAGACCATCCTGGCTAACACGGTGAAAGCCTGTCTCTACCAAAAACATGAAAAATTAGCCGGGCGTTGTGGCAGGCGCCTGTAGTCCCAGCTACTCGGGAGGCTGAGGCAGGAGAATCACTTGAACCCAGGAGGCACAGGTTGCAGTGAGCCGAGATCGTGCCACTGCACTCCAGCCTGGCGACAGAGCAGGACTCCATCTCAAAACAAAACAAAACAAAACAAAACAAAAAAATAAAAAACAAACCTGGGTGCCGTGGCTCACGCCTGTAATCCCAGCACTTTGGGAGGCCAAGGCAGGAGGATTGCCTGAGCTCAGGAGTTTGAGAACAGCCTGGACAACATAGGGAGACCTCGTCTCTAAAAAAGATGCCATCGAATTCGCCAGGCATGGTGGGGGGTGCCTGTAGTCCCAGCTACTCGGGAAGTTTAGGTTGCAGAATCACTGGAGCCTGGGTGGTTGTGGCTGCAGTGAGCCGTGATCACACTATTGCACTCCAGCCTGGGTGACAGAGTAAGACCCTAACTCAAAAATAAAATTAAATAAGATAAAATAAAATAAATAGTGAAGTTCAGAGTTAGGTAGAGACAATTCTATGAAACTCTCCAATATATTTTGAGAAAGCTATCACTCAAGTTCATAGCTTCCAAACTATGACAATTCTGAATTTCTGTGCTTTAATTATGAACCTTCAAGGAAAAGAGAAATTAAGGGTCAAAATACATACCTCTGTGGAATTACAGGACTTTTCCCTAATTCAGAGCCTTCTATCTATACTTTCCAAACACGTCACCTTGGCCCTTTATGCTTTAACCAAGAAGTATTTTTGATTATATAGAATCTCTTGACTTTGAAGCAATCTTAAAATTTTTATCTATTTTGAACTCACAGCCAATGCAAAAATCTGCTATAGAATATAAATGGCTCACATACAACCAGGTTCTGCTTAAAACCTCAGAGAAAGATAGAATGAGATCAAGAGCATTGTTTTGGCAATAATATCAACAGGAACCTCAGTTTTCCTATGTCTATAACCGAGATAACAATGATAATAGGCTGGGCGCGGTGGCTCACCCCTGTAATCCCAGCACTTTGGGAGGCTGAGGCGAGCGGATCATGAGGTCAGGAGTTAAGACCAGCCTGAACAACACAGTGAAACCCCGTCCCTGTAGTCCCAGCTACTCAGGAGGCTGAGGCACAAGAATCACTTGAACCTGGGAGGCAGAGGTTGCAATGAGCTGATATTGTGCCACTGCACTCCAGCCTGGGTGACAGAGGAAGACTCCGTCTCAAAAAACAAAACAAACAAAAAAACAAACAAGAAAACCCAGTGATAATAATGATAATAATCACAATATTGATCAGATCACATCTGCACTGGCAGTCCTTTTGCATACTGTAAATTACCATAACACATTAATTAGCTACCTTTTTAGAGACAGATATATGCAAAGAAGGTAGAAGAATAAAACCTAGAATTCAGCAACAAACATGAGAAATAATCACTATTTTTCTTCTACAGTTAAGCTTTGCTTCAAAAGTTAACTTTCAATTTACCACGGCTAAGGTTTTAATATAAATTTCCCCACATTTCCTCAACCATCACTCTGCCATAGTTCTAGATTGCTCTGCCAAAGCATAACAAAATGGGATGGTGAATTTTGAGAGAAAATAATTATGTATTTCCAGTTAAGACTATAATGCTTTCTAGATTATCTACATGCTTGTTCGCTTCCATTAGTTCCAGTATCCAATTACTAATGTACTAGGTACAAAAAGCACAGAAATAAATGTATTTCAAGGTACCAACATTCAATTAGTGAGGTTAAAAAATAATTTCTCTGCTAGAAAAATGTTCATAATGTTTGACTGTGTGACCTCACTCCTGGAAATCTGTCCTTAAGAAAACAGCTCAAGGGAAAAAGCAATTTATACCACAAGAGAATGGTTAATTAAACGGTGGAACAGCATGTCAATGTGAACTGTAAAGGCATTAAAAATTGTAATTATGAAGGATCATTCATTCAACACTTGGCGAAATGCATATAATACAACGCTGTATGGGGGGACCTTCCTATATATATGTAGTATGATTACAATTATTTATTAAAAAATAGACACATGCTCACGGTATTCAAAGAACATGACAATGGAACTGATGACACGATGGGGATAAGAGGTAAATACCAATTTCCTTGAATCATTTTGAAACATTGCTTATAAAATATTTTCATTTGCTTTTTGACTAAATTTGCTTTTCTCCAGAAGAATTATTAGACACCTACTTGAATGCCACGCATTCCTAACATGTTAGTCTTTCTTCACACACAGGCAGCATGATCTAGCTATAGGGACCTCATTTTCAAAACCAAAATTTTAACAGGTAGTTTGGGTTGAGGGAACAACAGGACAGGGTATTTAAAATACCCTGCAAGCATGACAGAAAAAAAACAAGGTTTGAGGTCAGAAGCCCTAAACCCCAGCCCTTCTCCATCTGAGCTGCAGAGATGAATGGAAACATGCTCCCAAATTAGACCAAATGCCCTGGGTTACAATCTCAGCAACTTGGTAATATGATAAAAGGCATCTAAGTTACCCTGTCAAAATCCCACTGGTAGTTTAAAGGATATCATGTTTTGGTATATAGTAAATGCTTAAACACACCAAAACAGTGGCTCAAGCTCTATAAAATAAGCAATTAAGTCTGCCTCTGTCTCCAACCTGTTCTGTAATCAGGAAATGATGCTAGTAATCCTGTTCTAAACTGCACACCATTTTACAAAATATATTATGGTTATAATTGCCATCATGACCACCATCATCTATATTATTATTGCTATTACTTCTACTAAGAAGCCAGCTAAAGAAGCTGACTAGAGCTTACCTGATGGGCTGAGGGAAAAATCTTAAACTCTTAAAAATGTCACTTAAGGCCGGGCGCGGTGGCTCACGCCTGTAATCTCAGCACTTTGGGAGGCCGAGACGGGCAGTTCAGGAGGTCAGGAGATTGAGACCATCCTGGCAAACACATGGTGAAACCCCGTCTCTACTAAAAATACCAAAAAAATTAGCCAGGCGCCTGTAGTCCCACCTACTTGGGAGGCTGAGGTAGGAGAATGGTGTGAACCTGGGAGGTGGAGCTTGCAGTGAGCCAAGATCGCATCACTGTATTCCAGCCTGGGCGACAGAGTGAGACTCTGTCTCAAAAAAAAAAAAAGAAAAAAAAAAGTCACTTAATCTGGCCAGCATGGTGGCTCACGCCTGTAATCCCAGCACTTTGGGAGGCTGAGGCAAGTGGATCACCTGAGGTCAGGAGTTCAAGACCAGCCTGGACAACATGGCAAAACCTCATCTCTACTAAAAATACAAAAAGTTAGCTGAGTGTAGTGGCAGGCACCTGTAGTCCCAGCTACTCAGGAGGCTGAGGAAGGAGAATCACTTGAACCTGGGAGGCAGAGGTCTCAGTGAGCCAAGATCATACCACCGCACTCCAGCCTAGGGAACAAAGCAAGATTCTGTCTCAAATAAATAAATAAACAAACAAACAAACAAACAAATAAATAAATAAATAAATAAAATCACTTAAACCAAATGACAATGGTGAAGGTATGCAATCAAGAAGGAAAAATACACAGCAAGTTCACAGTGTGGCATGGTTGGTATGAGAAGGGGTACAGGAAAGTGCTTACAGGATTTTGAGACACTTGGCCTCCCAGAGGACAGTCAAGTACTGAGGATGAATGCATAATATAACAGCACACCCTGTAGACAGCATCTGTCTAATGAAATGGTTACTAAATGCAGTGCTGGTAGACTTGGGTCACCATCTAAATCCAAACAAGTTGACTTAAGAACTTAAATATATCCAATTCAACAAATAATTCATTTTCAATTATATGTAATTATCCGTTTTTGGAAACAAGATAATTTTTTAAAATTTTACTAAATTATTTAATTTAAAGGGAAAAAAAGCCCCAAAACTTCATCATACATTATATTCAAATTACTGGTTCATAAAAATCATTTCATCTCCCCAAATAAGGTTAACGATTAGTCAAAGAACTTTAAACTATAAAGTCATATACTCAGTCTACCCAGATAAAGAAAATGAAATCCAGGCAAGGTTATGGCTTGGGACTTGGCCTTTGGCCCTGGGAAAAGGTCAATTATCATGTACCTACAACTTTGTAGTAATGACTACTAAAACAACTGATTTTTCAGTTGATTTTTCAAATCGATACAATAGTGTTCTTGTACAAAGGATAGTTAGATGGTAACACAATCTAATGGAAACAATGGCATGTGATATTAATAAAAACAATGCACATTCTGGGTCTACTTCTCCACTGAAATAATGACAGATAAATATATAGCAACACAGAAAAGGTCTTGATATAATGTAAAAGGAAAGAGCTGGATAT
The DNA here is from genome assembly GCF_000001405.40 of Homo sapiens. NCBI lineage: Eukaryota > Metazoa > Chordata > Mammalia > Primates > Hominidae > Homo > Homo sapiens. Next base: position 33,583,066 of record NC_000020.11, on the reverse strand, counting down.
AATGTATACTCACGAAAATAAAATGGAAAGAGTATGCACATGTATAAGAAAAAACTAGAAGGGAATATGGGGAAAGAAAGAAGTTGTTTAATAAAAGGTAGTGCTGTCTTTCCTCTTTTTTTTTTTTTAGACTGTCTTGCTCTGTCATCCAGGCTGGAGTGCAGTGGTGCGATCTTCGTTCACTGCAACATCCACCTCCTGGGTTCAAGTGATTCTCCTGCCTCAGGCTCCTGAGTAGCTGGGATTACAGGCACGTGCTACCACACCTGGCTAATGTTTGTATTTTTAGTAGAGATGGGGTTTTGCCATGTTGGCCAGGCTAGTCTCGAATTCCTGACCTCAAGTGATCCGCCTGCCTTGGCTTCCCAAAATGCTGGGATTACAGGTGTGAGTCACCGCACCCGGCATAGTAGAGATGGGGTTTTGCCATGCTGGCCAAGCTGGTCTTGAACTCCTGGCCTCAAGTGATCTTCCTGCCTCAGCCTCCCAAAGTGCTGGGATTACAGGTGTACGCCACCGCGCCCGGCCTGTGCTGTCATTCCTAATGCAAGAAGTTACCTTGCTGATTCATTTTTTTTGAGATAGAGTTTCGCTCTTGTTGCCCAGGCTGGAGTGCAATGGCGTGGTCTCGGCTCACTGCAACCTCTGCCTCCCAGGTTCAAGTGATTATCCTGCCTCAGCCTCCCAAGTAGCTGGGATTACAGGAATGTGCCACCACACCCAGCTAATTTTGTATTTTTAGTAGAGATGGGGTCTCACCATGTTGGCCAGGCTGGTCTCGCCTGACCTCAGACGATCCACCCACCTCAGCCTCCCAAAGTGCTGAGATTACAGGCGTGAGCCACCGCGCCCGGCTGCTGATTCATTTGATCAACATCATCAAAAGGCTAACATGACCCAAGCACTGTACTAAGTGTTTGGGACACAAACTTGAAGCTGATATTCCAACCTTCAAGGAGTTCATGATGTAGCTGGGCAATAAGGGTTCAAGGAAGGTACATCTCAAGTAGACTGGGACAAAAAAGGGAAGATTTAGCTGAATCTTATAAGTACAATCAAATCACAGATGATTATTACATCATCTCAGATTCTGTTTGGGGTCATGCCCACCACTGAAAATCAGCCGAAAACTAAGATTCCTTTCCACTAATGAAGAGTTTATCCACACACACTTATGTTTCTGCCAGCAGTGCCCACATACAGGTCCCAGCTTAGCTCCAGAGACTTCAGTCAGCCCATCTTCCTATTATAACATACCTCTTAGTTCACTGATTTGCAAATTCTAAGGCTAACTTTTCATTCTGGGTTTGAGAATAGGGAACAGATGGCCTACACAGCATAGAATCTCTCACAAGAACTAATTTTTACCAATCACATGTGGTTAAAATCCAGATTTATACCTACAGATTAGTGAGCAACAGAAACCCTTATAATGACATGACAATTATTCAGTGTGACAGCTGTTGATACCATTGCCAAATGTGAGTTTTAAAACATAGGCTAACACCTCTGGTTCCCCAGGATTCAAACAAAACAAAACAACAACAAAGACGACAAACACACAGACACACACACACACACACACAAAGAACAAAAAACAAAAAACCTTGAGTTACAGTACAAATCACAGGTATGAAACAACTTGTTTCAAAGAAGTTTAAAAGATGAGTAATCTTTAGAAATTAGGTTAACAAAGAAAATGACAGACATGGCTGGGCCTGGTGGCTCATGCCTGTCATTCCAGCACTTTGGGAGGCCAAGGCAGGTGGATCACAAGATCATGAGTTTGAGACCCACCTGATCAACATGGTGAAACCCCATCTCTACTAAAAATACAAAAATTAGCCAGGTGTGGTGGCGTGTGCCTGTAATCCCAGCAGGAGGCTGAGGCAGGAGAATCACTTGAACATGGGAGGTGGAGGTTTCAGTGCACCGAGATCACGCCACTGCACTCCAGCCTGGGTGACAGAGTGAAACTCTGTCTCAAGACAGGAAAGAAAGAAGGAAAGAAGGAGGGACGGGATGGATGGACAGGACGGGGAGGGGAGGGCAAGGGAGGGGAAGGGAGGGCAGACATATATACTCATTCCAATACTCATGCTATGGCTTCAGGAAACATTTTCATTCAAAAACAAACAGCAATGTTATCTGTATACTGCACATACATCCTACCCAAATGGAGTCTGCCTTTTTAAAAATAAATAAATAAATAAAAGACAGGGGCTCATTCCATTACCCAGGCTGGAATACAGTGGTGTGATCTCTGCTCACTGCAGTCTCAACCTCTTGGGCTCAGGGTGATTCTCCCACCTTGGCCTCCTAGGTAGCCTGGGACTACAGGCACATACCACCACGCCTGGCTAATTTTTTGTGTATTTTGTAGAGACAGGGTATTGCCACACTGCACAGGCTGGTCTCGAATTGCTGGACCCAAGTGATCTGCCCACCTGGGCCTCCCAAAGTGCTGAATTATAGGCATGAACCACCGTGCCTGGCCCCTATCAAATTGTGATGCTGCTATCAGCTGCTGCGTAATGAAGAATATAAAAAAATTTCTGTTCACATCACAAGGCCTGAAATGCATCATTTGTCTATTTTTGTTTCAGAAGAGGCCAATTTCGGCCTCTTAGGTTGTAAGCCTCTGGAGAGTTGGGGCCACGTTCATCTTGATCACCACCATATTCCAAGTGCCAAGTCCAGTGGCCAGAACATAGTACATAGTACATACTGGCTTTATTTAGTAAAGTTTATTAAGTAAAACCAACTATTAGATATTTCTTACTGCGTTACACAGAATGACTATGTTTTGATAATAATAGGCTACCAACGTTAAAATACAGTTAGGACTTAAAATTTAAAAATTTACACGCCTAAAATGTATATTCCCAATTTTGTAAAAGTTTTTAAAATTCAAGAATATCTCTGCATTAGATTAAAAAAAGAAAAAAGAGGCCAGGCGCAGTGGCTCACACCCATAATCCTAGCACTTTGGGAGGCCGAGGCGGATGGATCACCTAAGGTCAGGAGTTCGAGACCAGCCTGACCAACATGGAGAAACCCCGTCTCTACTAAAAAAAATACAAAATTAGTCAGACATGGTGGTGCATGCCTCTAATCCCAGCTATGCAGGAAGCTGAGGCAGGAGAATTGCTTGAACATGGGAGGCAGAGGTTGCGGTGAGCCGAGACCGTGCCATTGCACTCCAGCCTGGGCAACAAGAGAGAAACTCCGTCTCAAAAAAAAAAAAAAGAGAGAGAGAGAGAGAGACACCAAGATGTACCAAGATGTCTGTATAATATGTTCAGGACACCAAAGAGCTAAAGCAATCTCAAAAAAGAAGGACAGGGTTGGAGGACGAACCACCAAACACAAAGTGAGTTTCAATAAAGGTGTCAACTCAACTCAATGGGGAAAGAAAAGTCTATTTAGCAAATATTGCTGGAACTCGATGTCCAAATAGATACAAATTAACCTCAATCCTCTCTCACTCCATACAAAAAAAAAAAAAAAAAGATTCGTGATGGGTTGTAAAATAATACCCCGGACCATAAAATTTCTACAAAAAGAATAGGAGAATATCCTTATGACCTGGTGGTAAGCAAAAAAGCACAAACCATAAAATTTTTAAGACTGCTAAGTTAGACTTCACGAAAATTAAAGTTTTCTGCCCATCAAAAGACACCATTAAGAAAATGAACAGGCTGGGTGCAGTGGCTTACGTATGTATTCCCAATGCTTTGGGAGGCTGAGACTGGAGGACTGCTTGAGCCCAGAAGTTTGAGACCAGCCTGGGCAATACAGTGAGACCCCATCGCTAAATTTTAAAAAAAATTGAATAAAAATTTAAAAATTAAAAACATGAATAGACCAGGCATGGTGGTTTATGTCTGTAATCACAGCACTCCAGCCTGGGCGACAGAAGGAGACGCTTTCCTTAAAAAAAAAAAAAAACAAAAAAAAACCCCCAAAAAAACCAAAAAGGCACTCATTGGGTTGAACACTTAGTATCTGTGCATGTTTATTATATATTTTAAAAATCATTGCATAAGGATTCCACCACCCATTCCACTGCTCCCCTCTAAGAATAGATCCTACATGTACATGTTACGGCATCTTCTTAACATGTAGACATCACTCAGGCTATTTCTTTACACCAGGTCTTTGTACAATAGCTTATGAAAGGGTCTTTTTAAAGACTGTGTAGAGCCAGTTTATGCCATCCTTCAGATTTCCTGCAGTATTTCATCCTGAAGGCTGAGCTTGATAATCGGACCAGCACTCTTGCATCCTGACTGACCAGCATTCACTTCTAATCAATAACAGATGTGGGAATGGTGCCAGAGTGGGCCTTATGCCAAAGTAACAATTTTTCTCCTATTCAAGAGAAAATACCCTTCTTAAGCTCCCAAGTCATCCAAACAGAGAGAATGACATCTGGAAATACACTGCCATGTCATGTGGTTGGCCCCTTTGGATGATAGCTGTATGCACCACAAGCAGAGGGCTGTTGTGCTAGCCTTGTGGGACACCTCAGAGTATGGCAACTCTACAACCTTATGACAGGGAGAAAGTGCTAAAAGCTCTAAGAGAAAAATAGTAGCAAATGGGTACAAACATAAGTTTACTTAAGAAAATTCCCTTCATTATGGTTCTTTCTACAAATCAATTGAAATCATCTTCTCATTTCCACATTAAACTTTAGGCCCAAATTCTCTATTTGCTCACAGCCTTAACTTCTCAACTCCTTACCATTTTGGGGGGATCTATTTTTAAAAACCAAGGAAACTAATACTCAATGTAAATTAATTCAATCATATATAAATTGCCCTAGAAAAAATTTTAGAGGTGGAAAAATTTTAATTAGGTGTACCAATACTAAAGTAGTCAGCTGTAAAGGAAAAAATAAATATGAATATTAACAATTGATATTTTGATGTTATTTGTGACCAACTGACCACAAAGGAAAGCTGATTTAAAAGCCTTTCTTCAGATGCCCAGGAACACCGTACACACCTTCTCAATCCACACTGATAATGAAGCAAGTTTCATATTTACCCAAGATTTGAGTAGGACAAGACTTTCTTGCTGGGAAGGATAAATACAAGTCAGGAAATAACTATAATAGTAATAGCTACCATTACTCTCCATCTTCATATATTCATTTAGAAATAACAAAATATTTATTACACGCAAAGAATGGTGCTAAAATATTTTCTTATTTAAATGACACTAAGACAGTAGAAGGTACCATCTCCAATACCACTTTATTTAACCAGAAGCTAAGGCTCAGAGAAGTCAAAAATTATGTCCCAAGTCATATGGCTAAGAAATGGCAGCTCTGCTGAGCTCCAGAGACCATACTATAGCAAAATAAATAATGCAAAAAGAATTAATTATTGTAGGACTCAATGAAGTTTGCACATTGTGACCAAGAATTTAATAAAACACATTGATTACAGTTCAGAGAGACTTCACATTCTACTATATAGTTCCTGTCTTTCTTCACAAATATATGAACGTAAATACACAGTCTACAGCTGAAGCACACCCTGGACAAGTTAGAAAATTGAAGCATAGAAGCTGTTATGTAGGAGCCCATTTAAGTCCCCAAATGACAATCAGAGAGGCTTCTGACAAAAAGCCCCACTGTCAAATACATGGGCTTAAGGAGTGGCAATGGGGTGCCTTAAGGAGTAAGAACAAATAAGCCAAGATTTCAAAGATGTTGGCTCCACACCAAGATCACCCTTCTCTTCTTGGTATACCTCCTCAAAATCAACAATCCAGAAAGTTTTTATCCATCAATATTTTTAAAAATCCAGGTATATTAGAAAAATGGATAAATACTTAGTATAGGCACAAGTCTAAAATGATCAACAGCCATCACTGCTTACTGAAATGATTATTTAACAATGACACTCTGAAAGATAACCAGGTACTCTACTGTGTTTTCCAAATAGACTGAAAGATGGAGGCAGAACAAAATCAGCTAGAAAAACAATTTCTTTGGCAAACATTTCAGTGACACAATCAGCACCCTCTCAATTCATCTATTATGGAGTGCTCCATCTTTTTTTGGCATTGAACTAAAATTAGGACAGGGAAGATGGACTAAATATGGCAATAAATAAACAGAGAAAAGTAGCAGCTATAAGATCTCATAGACCACTCCACCCAGTACAGAATAAAACTCCCAGAGATGGAGCACACTTATACACTTGGAACGGTTTAACTCATATTCTTCCAAACTCTGTGATTCTTCACAAGTGTGAGCAGAAATACGGATGTGCTGTAGCAAAAATGTACAGCTGCAGCCTGCAGATGTCGAGCTGTTAGCTCTGTGATCAGCAGCCATGCTGTCTGCCTTGCTGGCGCCCTCCTGGTGGCTGCCTCAGTCAGCACTCTGGGCTGTGCCCAGAAAATTGGGAGAGGTTATTCCTGTTGGGCAGCACCCTTTGCAATCAAGAGATGAAAAAAAGACCTTCTTATCTGGGAAATGAAATGCTGATATGATGGTGATGTCTCAGTTTTCTCCTCTATAAAAATAAAAACACTACCAGCTGGCTTTTATTTCCTATCCCTGAGGGGCTGTTATTTGGATAAAAAGCTTTGAAAATTAAAAGCACCATGCAAATATAAGGCTATAGTATAGTGGAGACTGAATCCAAACAACATAAATGGAAGGTAGATGGGCACTCTGGCAGGGCAAGTATCCATGTCTGCCATCAGAGCAAACTCCTAAGTTCCAGTATCTACTTTTATATTAAGATGAGACCTCTGCTAGATATTAAGGAGGCAGAAAGCCTATAAAACAGGTTGTGCTCTCCACCTGCAATGCCCTGCTTTCCCTGTCTCTGGCACTTTAGAAACTCCTACTTTAAGGTCTAACTCCAAGTCCTCCCTGGTAGACTCAAGTGCACCTTGACAGAAATAAAACCTCCCACATTTGGACTCTTACAGCTTCTTATAAACACCTCTTAGGCCAGGCGCGGTGGCTCACGCCTGTAATCCCAACACTTTGGGAGGCCAAGGTGGGCGGATCACGAGATCAGGAGATCGAGGCCATCCTGGCTAACATGGTGAAACCCCGTCTCTACTAAAAATACATTAAAAAAAAAAAAATTAGCCAGGCGTGGTGGCTGGCGCCTGTAGTCCCAGCTACTCGGGAGGCTGAGGCAGGAGAGTGGTGTGAACCCGGGAGGTGGAGCTTGCAGTGAGCTGAGATCGCGCCACTGCACTCCAGCCTGGGCGACAGACTGAGACTCTGTCTCAAAAAATAAAAATAAAAATAAACACCTCTGTGATGTCATTTGTCATATTGTGCCACAGGTGATTTGTTTCTGTGCCTGTCTGTCTGTGAGTTCCTTGAGCTCTTCACTCTTATAACCATAGTTCCTAGTATAACACCCGATAATTTGGTGAGATTTAGGCTTCTAGCGAAAAAGGAAAAAAAAAACCCTATTAAGAAAGACTCTATAACTCTTTCCTAATTCCTCTTAACTAACTGCAATACAGTACAGAAAGGTTTCTATATCTTTTCTATTAAGACAGAACTTCCCAAGCTGTGTGCCAGGGACCAACGCCAGAGAGTTATGAAGAATGATTATCAGTTTACTGAGATAATGATTTCCTCAGCCTGGGACAGCCAATCAGAACTTAATACTTTCTATGTATGCTATGATGTGAAAAGAGGTTGGGAAGCATTACATAAATGTGAAGATTTAATCTTTTAAAATATTAAACTAATTTTAAACAGCAGGGTAAAGCATTCACAAATTGTGACATTAATTAAGGCATCAAGAAAAACCATAATGACTAGAAATAATTGCTTCACCTACTGTTGACTAGAAAATAAGTGTTTCAGAACACTGGCATCAGATACAACAGCATATCCTGAAAGAAAAATAACACAGCTACCTCGCATAGCAGTCAGTCTGCGCAAACAACCATATGGTTTGCTAATTTAATCAACAATCCCCAAATTTACTTTTTCATCCTGCAGATAAAATGAAAATGAAGTTGCTAGAAATATTTTAGAAATTATTTTGCCACTCCAAATGTTTAATACAATACATACAGTACCAAAGCCTATTCATCCAGGCTCCCTTTAAAAGCACAAAAACGCTTTATCAGCCACATTTTTTAAAAGCATAAAAAACATTGATCAGTTTAATCTTTTCATTTTAAATCTGTTTTAAGACCAATCATTCTTCACACCACACAACCAAAATTCAAACCCTTTGCCCTTCTCCATTCCACCTACAAGAGACAAAGCTTAGACCTTCCCCATCTCTTGACTAGATTGATCATACTCATCTCAAAATACCCCCATGAAATTCTTCTTTTGCCCAGAAGCCTCCATCTCAAAATGCCAATGAAGTCAGGCTTCCCTGCTTAAAAAGAAAACAACTTTTTATAAGAGTTTTTGTTTGTTTGTTTTTTTGAGATGGAGTTTCACTCGTTTCCCAGGCTGGAGTGCAATGGCACAATCTCGGCTCACTGCAACCTCTGCCTCCCGGGTTCAAGCCATTCTCCTGCCTCAGCCACCCGAGTAGCTGGGATTACAGGCATGTGCCACCACGCCTGGCTAATTCTGTATTTTTAGTAGAGACGGGGTTTCTCCATGTTGGTCAGGCTGGTCTGGAACTCCCAACCTCAGGTGATCCACCCGCCTTGGCCTCCCAAAGTGCTGGGATTACAGGCGTGAGCCACCATGCCTGGCCTTTAAAGCAAATTGTTTCTAGGGAAGAGTATATTTCTGTTATTAAATTAGTCCTCTATTAGAAATGAATGTTTCACACATACCTTTCCATTGCCTTGCCAGGACCTGTATTTCTTTCAAGCTTATTCCAGATTCTTTAGCCATTCACCTGGTGATCTGCTTATGTTCCAAAAGATGAATGCAACATCACAGGTACAGTCAGGATTGTGCTCCACAAAAACTACCATCCTCAATCTTCATCATAATATCTAGACAGGAACTGGTATGGTGGCTCTTGCCTGTAATCCCAGCACTTTGGGCAGCCAACATGGGAAGATCGCTTTAGCCCAGGAGTTTGAGACCCACCTGGGCAACATGGCAAAACCCCACCTCTACAAAAAAAAAAAAATAAGAAAAATTAGCCAGGTATGGTGGCAAATGCCTCTAGTCCTAGCTATTCGGGAGGCTGAGGTGGGACAACTACCTGAGCCCATGAAGTCAAGGCTGCAGTGAGCCATGATGGCACCACTGCACTCCAGCCTGGGTGAAGAGTTAAGACCCTGTGTCAAAATAATAATAATAATAGGGCCGGGTGTGGTGGCTCAAGCCTGTAATCCTAGCACTTTGGGAGGCTGAGGTGGGCGGATCACGAGGTCAGGAGTTCGAGGCCAGCCTGGCAAATATGGTAAAACCCTATCTCTATTAAAAATATAAAAATTAGCCAGGCATGGTAGTGCACGCCTGTAGTCCCAGCCACTTGGGAGGCTGAGGCAGTAGAATTGCTTGAACCCAGGAGGCAGAGGTTGCAGTGAGCTAAGATCACGCCACTGCACTTCAGCCTGGGCGATAGAGCGAGACTCCATCTCAAAAGAAAAAAAAAAAGAAGAAGAAGAAGAAGTAGTACTCAAAAACTGAGAAACAATGTGTCACATACAGTACTGAACACTTACATCCATCATCTCTTTGCATTCTTAAAATAATCACCTTTCAGTGAGGATCCTCCTTGACTACCCTCCTCAAACTAACCTGGATCTCCTTAAACCCTTTCCCTTTCTCCTTAGCGCTTTCATTTTTTGTAACATTAAAAAACATCCTAAATATACATAAACATACATTTTAGGCTACATATATATTACTTATTAATCATCTTTACTGCCTGTCTCTTCTACTAGAATTTAATCTCCATGAGGGCAGGGGCTTTGCTTTACTCATTGATGTAACTCCAATACCTAGAATAATGCCTAGCACACAGTAGGCACCTAAATATTCAAATGAATGGATGAATAATAAGGAAGACAGATTTGACAATTATTTGAAAACACCCCTCTCCCTCTCAACATTCAATCTATCAACAAGTTCAGAAAACTTAACTTCCTCTAAAATATAACAAATCATCTGTCCTCTACTATATTCACTGCCATAAAGCTGGGCCAAACTTGTCACTTTTCACTTCTGGTCTTGCTGCTTCCAGCCATGCCCTATAAAATTCTTTCTCTATATGACAGGAAGAATGATCTTTATACAATATAAATCAGATCACATTACTGCCCCAACTATTCAATGGTTACCCATCACTCAGAATGAAATCCAAATTCATTGGATTACAAAGCTTTATGCTGGCTTTAAAAGCTCTACATGAACTTCTGTCTCCTGTCTCTCTACCCTCTTCTCTTCGTCCACTACATTATATCTACATCGGCCATTTTTCTATTCTTTGAACATACTGAGTTCATTCCCATCATTGAGCCTTTGCACTGGAATATTCTTATCACTGACATCCACCGACTATTTCATTATTGTTATTCAGCACACAGCTCAATTTACTTCTTCAGAGAGTCCTAAATTAACACTTAATTTCATATACATATTTTTTTGTTAATGGGCTCAGTACTTTCTTTTATTCAAATTTAGAAACATTTTTATTTGCAAGACTATTCAAATAATTCTGTTAATATCATTTAGCTAAATTCACCAATTAATTCATCCATTTATAAAAATCACTTTCTTTTTCTCTATCTACCTATATTTTTATCTAAACCACTTGAGAGCAAGCTGGAAACATTACACTCCCTTATGCTTAAATATTTCAGTGTGTAAATGCTAAGAGTTAGGATGTTTACTTATAAGCCCAGTATAATTACCAAAATTATTAACATTAATACCCTACCACCATCTTTACAGATATTATTCTAAAATTTATGAGGGACTTCCTCATATAAACAAGGTTGGCAGATCACCTGAAGTCAGGAGTTCAAGACCAGCCTGGCCAACATGGCAAAACCCCGTCTCTAGTAACAATGCAAAAATTAGCCAGGCCCGTGGTGGCAGGCGCCTGTAGTCCCAGCTACTCTGGAGGCTGAGGCAGCAGAATCGTTTGAACCTGGGAGGCGGAGGTTATGGTGAGCCGGGATTGTGCCACTGCACTCCAGCCTGGGCGACAGAGCGAGACTCCATCTCAAAAACCAAACAAACCAAACAAACAAACAAAACACAAGAAAAGAAATCACCACTCCCAAGTGCTAATGGAAAATAACTGTCAACCTTTACACTCTAACCACATTTAACTATCATTCAAGTAAAGGTGAAATAAAGATATCTTCAGATCAGCAAAAAGAGTGTACTACTTACAGATTCTCCAAGAATTATTAACAGATACACTTGGCAGGAATGAATTATTAACCTAGAAGGAAAATTGTGATAAATATGCAAAGTGACCAGATAATTCAATAAATATATTGGTAAATCGAAATTAATAGCTTTAAAAATAATGGTAACTATTATTTTGGCTGGGAGTGTAACAAACAAAATGGAAACAAAATCCTAGACAGCGGTAATATATTGAAAAAGTTACTGAATTTGAAGTGTTCTAAGACTTCTGTACTTAAAGAAAAAAATGGATATATGAATTGACATTAGATTTTATGTCAAGTACACATTAAAATTTTAAAAGTAATCATCAAAATAAGGAAAACGAAACATCTATCTTTAAACTCACCCACTATTTTCACTTATTCAATTAAGAGTATCTATTGATTTGTGCGTACAAAATGTGAGAAAATAGAATAAAGTAGTACATTAAAATGAAACAAACCAAAAAAGTTGAAGAGCCTTAAACATTTTTACTGAAGTGTTTGAAACTGACTCCAAAAAACAACATAATTACCAAGACAAATCACCAATTCTCTGTCCCCCCTCCAGACCCACTTAAAAAGATTTGTTGTTAGAGATGGTTCCCTTGGATGGAAAGGCAGGGAAACACTTCAATTCATTCTCCAAGATAAAGATGGAAGTTAACATTTCTAGAAGGTCAGTCACACACACACCAAGTCTGTTGTCCTCCCTTACTTTAGACATGAAGAACAGAGCCAGGACTGGGGAAAGGTAAGTGAGAAGCCTGGGGCCCCGACAAAGCACTTGTGGTTATTTGCCATGCTTCTCTACTTGGGGAGACAGAAGCACAGTTTGCTTGTGGAAACCTCAGTTCACATTCACAGTGCAAGAAAACTTATTTCCAGTTTCATTGTGGCATTAGCCCTAGGAATGAGAGAGGACAACTTAATAAAATTAAAACAGATGAAAAGAAAATGAGTCTCACATTAGACTGCAAACTCCTTTTACTATTTAACTTTGTTTCTCAGTATGTACAATGACAGAATGAAAGAATCAGTAAGGCCACAGAAGGAAACCCCCATTCTTCCTAAGTACCAGAAAGAAGGGTTAACAGCACATGTACTCACCTCAAGACGACAATATCTATAGCAATACTGATCAACATTCCCAACATGTACTAGCTCCAAACTTCAAATCAAAGTACACTTAATTTGGAGTCAGAGAAGGCTCTGTTTCAAATCTCAACTCTTCCCCTTTACTGACTTCCCTACCTTTCAATTTCTCCACTGCTTAAAACGAAGGAGCAGATTAAAAAGCTCTGAAAAAAACTCTTCAAATACTACAACTCCTAACCTATTCTAAATATAATCACATTGCTCTACCTAGAGGCTTGCCTTCATAGGAGCTGTCACGTAAAATGTTGGCTGCCAGGGGCTTTTCAAATTCTAGTATCTTTTTTTGTTTGTTTGTTTTTGAGATGGAGTCTCGCTCTTGTCACCCAGGCTGGAGTGCAGTGGCATGATCTCGGCTCCCTGCAAACTCTGCCTCCTGGGTTCAAGTGATTCTCCTGCCTCAGCCTCCCCAGTAGCTGGGATTACAGGCATGTGCCACCACACCTGGCTAGTTTCTTTGTATTTTTAGTAAAGATGGGGCTTCACCATTTTGGATAGGCTAGTCTCCAACTCCTGACTTCAGGTGATCGCCCGCCTTGGCCTCCCAAACTGCTGGGATTACAGGTCTGGCCATGTTGCCCAGGCTTGTCTTGAATGACTGGGCTCAAGTAATCCTCTTGCCTCAGGCTTCTGAGTACCTGAGACAAGAGGCACACACCATAGGGCCTGGCTTTAGTACCTTTTTAAACTCCAAAATAAATAGAATATAAAGAAAGAAAGCCAAAAAGACATTTCTTCCAACAGAAATGGCCCTATGTTCCTTATGATAAAAGCTCTATGCAGCTAAGCTTAAAACATTGAAATTGTTACTTTAAATTTTCCAAATTATTAAATAATTTAATTTAAAATGCTGTAAACTCAAGATTTTACTTTAAAACTGGGTTACACTGCTAAACTCTCAACAGGCAAAAGTCAATGACCTCCCCCTTGATTTCCTGGGCTATTGACTTGTAAAGGCTACCAGAATACCCTTCACTGACAGGGCAGTGACTTTGTCAAGGTCACAATACAATTCATCAGGAGTCAATAACAACTTTGGATTGTCCTTGAAATTCTATCTAGAGTTTGAAGCTGAGAACTTATTACCTGTTTGAGATTACAATCTTGATTTAGAACAATAACCAAAGTGGAACACTTAAGTTTGTTTACTGATGAAGGAAGAAAGAAGTCTAAAACATCGACCTTCTCATTGTGGTATTTATTCTAATGAGTAAACTAGAACAATTATTTGTGTAAACACAGAGAACAAACAACAAAATAATGCAAAATTAAAGCATTTAACAATGACTGCATGTTGTTTTCTCCCACAAAACATATTATCCTTTTAAACTAGGCCCCTTTCCTAACATACTGCCCACTGGATTAAATTTAACAAACCAAAAAGCAAGTGATGAAAATTTTTGTGTGCCCTACCCCCACCCTAGGGGCACTGGGCCACGATTTGCTTGAATATTATGGGTGTGGCATGAAATATTAAAGCAGTGACTAAAATTTTCCATAAAATCCCATCCAAAGTCTAAAAGCTTTACTACTCAGAAACAGATTCATTTCCAGACATTTAAAAGATTTACTATTCCACTTATGACACTCTGGTGTTTCTACATTTAATATTTAGGGAGGAGGTGATGGGGGTGGGGAAAAGGGTGTAATTAGTTTTGCTTGTAAAATGTTCATCACAGTTGTAGCGCCAACTGAGCTATACAGCCTACTGGGGGTCTAATAGATTTCAGGGTATTATAGTTTGAGTAATAGAGGTTGGGGTTGTGGTGGAAATCAATAAATGGCTACTACTTCTTTGCATAGACCCATATGGAAGTAATCAAGCGCAAGGGTGGCAGCTGGGGCCAATAACAGTCACCTGCAGTTGAGGGACATGGGGGTTTCAGATGGGTTTTTAATGCTAATTTCCTACAGAAACAATGAGCTAGAAAGAGCAGAGTAACAGACGAGGCCGGATGAAGAGAGACCAGCCAGAACAATGGCTGCACCTGGTGCTGGGAGCAGAGGGACAGAGCAGGCACGCGCCCGCCGGCAGCAGAGGACACATCTGTCACCCTCAAAGCAGCCCATCCCCCAGCTCTTCCAGCAGAGTAAGTGGTGCAAGGTCCCTAAATGTTAACAGCTTGCCACACAGCAACAGGTTTGAGTTTTTAAAGACTGCCGCATTCTCTACAGCATTCTCTACACGCACCCTTCTCCCATGACTTAGAATTAGTTAGGGAACTGGGTTCCCTGTCAGTCTCAAGTGAGACAGTAAAAATATCCAAGACTCCCATTTTAAGTAAATCTTTTAGTTATTGTGACTTCAATGTTTTTGGGGGACTGGGAAAAATCACATGGAAAGAGAAATCTTATTGAGTGCTGATGCAGGAAGTATCATGCTAATTTCTTTCTAATTAAATCCTTAGAACTCATTTTTATTCCCATTTTACAGCTGAGAAAACTGAGGCTTAGAGGTGAAGGTTAAATCAGCTTATGGTTACACAGCCTAATGTCAAAACCCACACACAATCTTTCACCGTCTTCTCTCCATCTGTCCAAACTACCACAATCAAATGAAAATACAATAGTCCCCGCCTTGTCTGAAGGAGATGCGTTCCAAGACCCCCAGCGGATGCCTGAAACCCCAGACAGTACCAAACCCTATATATACTATGTTTTCTCCTATACATACATACCTACGATAAAGTTTAATTTACAGGCTGGGCGTGGTGGCTCATGCCTGTAATCCCAGCACTTTGGGAGGCCGAAGCGGGTAGATCACCTGAGGTCAGGCGTTCGAAACCTGCCTGGCCAACATGGTGAAACCCCATCTCTACTAAAAATACAAAAAATTAACTGGGCGTGGTGGCACATGCCTGTAATCCCAGCTACTTGGGAGGCTGAGACAGGAGAATTGCTTGAACCTGAGAGGCGGAGGTTGCAGTGAGCCGAGATCACGCCACTGCACTCCAGCCTGGGCAACAAGAGTGAAGCTCCGTCTCAAATTAAAAAAAAAAAAAAAAAGTTTAATTTACAAAGTAGGCACAGTAAGAGATTAACAAGAATAAAACATTATAACAATTATAACAATATACTGTAATAAAAGTTATGTGAATGTGGTCTCTCTCTCAGAATGTCTTAGCGTACTGTACCACAGGTAACTGAAACCCTGGAAAGCGAAACTTCGACTAAGGGGAGACTACTGTACACACTCCATTTACTGCAGAGCTCCAGCTACGAGAGACAACTGCAGATAATATGTATACATATACAGAACTGCATCCCACCTTGCCAGGCATCTATAACAAACTGCTGAGGATTGAACGATAACAGGATTTCCACGAGCTGTTGCTTTAAACAAAACACAAAGAGTTGCTTTTTCAGGTTTTGGCATGCTTTAGGAAAATTAAATCCATATGCATTTTAAATTCCCCAGTATCAATCTGTGTCATCATATAGTTCTCAAAAGTCAAATGCTGTTTGGAAAGTCCATCAGCCAGTGAAAATACAAACACCAGTTATAATATGTTGTTTTTCTGCAAGATACAACCACCACTAATTCCTTTATTTACTGACTTGAACTTGGAGGGAAAATTAAACAATCCACAGAGTCCATCATGGTAGCAATCTTTTAAATCACAGCTTCCTGGTATATAAATCACACATATAAAAGACGGCTATGCATGCATAAAGGTAAGTATCTCAGAAGTAAACAACTGATCTTGGATTTGGAAAGACAGCAACAGCTAGACATACTTCAAAACATGGTAGAAATGAATACTATGTAATTATGCATTTAATAAAGTTTAATTTAAGGCTCTAGAAGAAAGGGAACCTTTCCATCCTGCCACTATGCTCCTTCCAAACATGAGAAGTCCAAATCCTTCCTGTCCTTCTAAATTCTGATCAAACGCGACCTCCTTTAGGAAGGTTCTCTGATTCCTACAGTTGGTGCTAATTTTCAGGACTTACTACTTTTGTACTTTTTTTTTTTTTGAGACTGAGTCTTGCTCTGTTGCCCAAGCTGGAGTACAGTGGCATGATCTCAGCTCCCTGCAACTTCCGCCTCCCAGGTTCAATTGATTCTCCTGCCTCAGCCTCCTGAGTAGCTGGGATTACAGGCACATGTCACCACGCCCGGCTAATTTTTGTATTTTTAGTAGAGATGGGGTTTCGCCACGTTGGCCAGGCTTGTCTCGAACTCCTGACTTCAAGTAATCCGCTCACTTCGGTCTCCCAAAGTGCTGGGATTACAGGTGTGAGCTACTGGCGCCCAGCCACTTTTTGTACACTTTATCTCCTCTATGAGATTTCACCTTTTAAAAAAAATCCCTTACCATATTATCACATACAACAGGCAATTCAAAATAACATTCGTAAAATGGGTGTCCTGGAAACTCAACATAATTCTAGTCTAAGCTCAGCCAGCAACCAGGAGGATATTGAACTCTGGGCTGGGGAGACTATTTGCCATCCCATTATCTTTCCCTCAACTTTCCTATTTTATCTATAAAATAATGTGTTTGACTAGATTATCCAAAGGATCCTTTCCAACCCTAATATTGTCCATAGGTCATCTCTGGGAACTTATGAGCACTGAGTAGCCTTAGAATAACCATCAATGAACTGACCCAACCAATCTTTCGGATCCAACTGAATTTTTCCAGTTGTGTATTAAATACATTCGTTCACTCAAATGTATTTTTTGATGTTCCCGCAAAGCCACTTAAATGTCATTATCCTCATCTCCAGTTTATTGGCATTATTGCATTATGTGCCTCCAGTCCAACAAGGACCCTCGCTATGAAAATATGCTTGGGTCATTACTGGAAGCCAATTTAGGAGAATTTCCTCCTAGTAGTAAGATTCTCATGATGCTTCCATAATCTTCAGAAAGAATCATGATTTTCTCCAGTATTCAACTCAAATGTATCTTGGTTATAACCTCAGTAGCAAGCAATACTCTCCTGAAATGTCTGGTCCTAGCAAGACTTTTAATCACCCAACTTTATTTACAGTGAGTGAATCTTCACATCCTAAAATGCATATTTTTTCTTATTTATTATGTTTCCTGAAACTCTAGCATCCAAAGTATTCCTAGCATGGACATAGTCATATGAAATCCCCTTTTCAGGCCCTCTATAGTAGGCCCTATCCTACAGAAAAGCATTAAGTCCTTTTCTCCCCACTCATGTCTCCTAGGCTACAATGGAAAGTGTTTTCTCACTGAAGGAGTACCATGTGAATTCAGTATAAACACTATATCCTCTCAAGTATTCAGAAAAGTCCCAAAGATGCTTGTTGAACAATGCACCTATCAAAAGAGATGCCCCCAAATTTTTACAAAATCATTTTAGTCAATTTGGTATAAAAGAAAACTTGGAGCCGGGCGCAGTGGCTCACACCTACAATCCCAGCACTTTGGGAGGCCAAGGCGGGCAGATCATGAGGTCAGGAGATCGAGACCATCCTGGCTAACACGGTGAAACACCGTCTCTACTAAAAATACAAAAAATTAGCCGGGTGTGGTGGCGGGTGCCTGTAGTCCCAGCTACTCTGGAGGCTGAGGCAGGAGAATAGCATGAACCGGGGAGGTGGAGCTTGCAGTCAGTCGAGATCGCGCCGCTGCACTCCAGCCTGGGTGACAGAGCGAGACTCCGTCTCAAAAAGAAAAGAAAAGAAAAGAAAACTTGGGAAAAGTTCCATTTTAAAAGTCTCCTTCAAGTCAGCGTGGTGGCTCATGCCTGCAATCCCACCACTTTGGGAGGTCGAGGTGGCTCTATTGCTTGAGGTCAGGAGTTTGAGACAAGCCTGGGCAACATGGCAAAACCCCACCTGTATAAAAACTACCAAAATTAGCTGGGCGTGGTGGTGCGTGCCTGTGGTCCCAGCTACTCAGGAGGCCAGGGTGGGAGGATCACTGAAGTCCGGAAGAGTGAAGGCTGTAGTGAGCCATGATCATGCTTCTGCATGCTAGCCTGATCAACAGAGTTTGAGACCATGTCCCAAAAAAAAGAAAGAAAAGAAAAGAGAAAAGAAAAAAAGAGGGCCAGGCGCGGTGGCTCACTCCTTTAATCCCAGCACTTTGGGAGGCTGAGGCAGGCGGATCACAAGTTCAGGAGTTCAAGACCAGCCTGACCAACATGGTAAAACCCGTCTCTACTAAAAATACAAAAATTAGCCAGGCATGGTGGCACGCCTATACTCCCAGCTACTTGGGAGGCTGAGGCAGAATAGCTTGAACCCGGGAGGTGGAGGTTGCAGTGAGCCGAGACCGCGCCACTGCACTCCACCTGCGCGACAGAGTGAGACTCCATCTCGGAAAAAAAAAAAAAAGAAAGAAAAAGAAAAAAGTCCCCTCCACCTCAAGAAATCTGACTATAAAATTGAAGGAAGAAATTGAAGAGTACTATACTGTCCACTTAATTACCCAATTAATATAAATAAAGGCTGAAGAACTTTAAGGAATAAAAATATTTTTTAAAGTTTCTATTTGAGAAATGGTAGAATTTTTGCGTGACTTGTAATACACGGGGGAAAAACAATTTTCCAGCGGGAGGTCGCGGAGTGGGGGGAACAATTTCAACAGTGTCGTCACAAAGCAGTACAATTCAGTACCTCACTCCTGCTTGTTGACTTTTTCAAAGTTCTTCTGTTCTGGTATAGTTTGGCAAATATAGCATAGAACATTTAGAATAGATGCAGACAATCTGAGACGAGTACAGCAAGAGGAAGGGCGCCCTGAAAACTAGAACTACAGGCCAGACCCATTCTTGCCCAGGAGCTGAAGTTAAAAATGCAAGGGGTTTAGGAATCTATCGCAGCAAAAAAAGTGAACATCTAGAACTCTTGAAACCAACTTGTATGCTTTCTATGTGCCAGACAAATTTCCCCAATAACAACATCAGTCAGGAATTACACAAAATAGAGATTCAAAGAGAACAGTGGCTTGCTTGAGATTACAGAACTAGTAAATAATGGGTACACAGTTTGTGTAACTCCCAAACTCATGTTCTTTCCATAGAACATGGAAAGGAAGCCTAGATTCGAAGGCCTCAAAAACATGAATACAATGTATGGAAACAGTAAAAAGTGGCCAGGTGCAGTGGCTCATGCCTGCAATCCCAACACTTTGGGAAGCTGAGGCAGAAGGATCACTTGAGCCTAGAAGTTTAAGAGACTAGTCTGGGCAACACAGTGAGACCCATCTCTATTTCTTATATATAAGAAATAGCAAAAATCTAAAATAGGCATCACAAACTAACCAGGACTACAGAACACAGTACGTAGTTATATGCACATGAATTTATTGCATCACAAAACTACCCCAAACTCACAATTCAAGTCAGATTCATTGATGTTATTTATTTTATATGTAGCAAGAAAACAGAAGAAAACAGCATAGGAGCAAAATGTAAATGAAAAACTGTTAGATATATCTAAAACGAAGAGATGCTGTTAGTTTTGCTTCAACCTCTTTTAGTTATAATTTGCCTGCATATACTGAAATAAAATCTGACAATAGAAAAGAGCGTTTTATGAGCCATCTTTTTAATATGGCCTATTTGTATTATGCATACTAAAGGGGAAAAAAATTCCCTCTAAACATCACAGAACAATCCAACGTGGAAAACCTTACAGAAATATTTGTGGGACTACTTTTCTAGCTGTAGAATTCATATACTACATCTAATTATTAAGTAAACCTTGCATTCAAAAAAGCATGACATTCAAATATAAGGTTGGCAACAGAAAAATAGAAACATAAATAAAATGAAGCATTAAAATAAAACTGAGTAGAAAGGCTGAACTCTTGTATCAAATACCAAGAAACATTCATATCATCGTAATTTGAAAGAAGTAAAAAGCTTTGAAAGGCAGAGAATTGTGCACTTTAACCCCCAAAACTATATTAAAATGTACTTACCCCAAATGCCCAAATTATAAACAATCCAGATTCTTAAATACACCAAATTTATTTGAAATAGATATTCCAAAGCTCCTCTTTTTCTCCTCCTAATCTTCAAAGCTCAATCGGAGACCAGCCTTCCTCCTCCTTTCATTAGCTGGACATGTGTCAGCTCTCTCACATCTGCGATTTCTCACTGACTAGAGCTGCCTGTCCCATTCCAGGGAAACACAGATGGATCCCAGATGGGAAGGTCCTGCCAAACAGACCAGCTCTTCACCTTGCCAGAATCCCCAGATACAGTCAGTCTCTCTCTTTTTCTCCCTCCCTCCTGCTTCCTCTCTCTCCACTACCCTTCCAACCCTCCCTGTTACCAGGGCTCTTTGCCAGCTGATGTCACTAAGTACACACCTCCCAGTGGCTCCTGGCCAATCTGACATTAACTTGTTAAATACGTGTAATTTGTTTATGGCTGACAATAACAGCAAGGATATTGTGCAAAACCTATCTGTGCAAATCCCTAGTGGAATAACACGTAGAGACACACAGAGACACACAGACTCACATTTTTGGGAACATTCAAATGTTTAGCAATTACCATTTAAAGTCCTATATACTGTCTGGTTTCTGCTATTGTTTAATAGCTTCTGTTTTTTGAGCCAGTTTTTAAATCCTAATATAACAAATTCCTTCTTAAAATCAATTATTAAAAATATGTTTTGAACATATAATTGGATGAAAAATATAAAGTTGCAAATTAATTTGGGGAATATAAACAGAAATGTATGTAAATGATTCACACAAGCTGCCTCTCAGATCCAGACTTGGTAGCACTGCAAAACTGGCACGTGATTAAAATAAGACAATGCAGGCAACATGGTTCTGATGCTGTAAAGATTATAAATGGAAGATGGGGACACAATGCAAAATTGTTTTAAAACAGAGCAAATATAAATGTCAGAAATAACATAATATTTAACATTAAAATAACTGCTAATATAAGTGTCAACAATGAGTCGCCAAAATAAAAAATATTTTAAGAACAATAACAATGAAAATCCAGAGAGATGACAGAAACCCATAAGGTCAGAGTTTAATCCTTTATACCTCAAAGAGCTAGCATATAATAGCTGCTCAGTCAATTTCTGCTAAATAAAAATCGAAGGTTGACAACTGATACCATACTATAGTTACACAAAATGGTACCACTGGGGCAAATTGAGTGAAGGGTCCAACGGACCTCCCTGTACATTTTTCATTATAACTTCCTGTGAATCTACATTTTAAAATAAAAAGTTAAAAGATTGTGGGTGGTGGTAGCCAGGTGCAGTGACTCACACCTGTAATCCCAACACTTTGGGAGGCCAAGGTGGTCAGGTCGCTTGAGCTCAGGCGTTTGAGATCAGCCTGGGCAATTTTGGGAGGCCAAGGTGGTCAGGTCGCTTGAGCTCAGGCGTTTGAGATCAGCCTGGGCAACACAGTGAGACCCCATCTTTAAAAAAGAAAAGAAAAAGAAAGGCCAGGCACTGTGGCTCACACCAGTAATCCCAGCACTTTTGGAGGCCGAGGCAAGCGGATCACAAGCTCAAGAGATCAAGACCATCCTGGCCAACATGGTGAAACCCTGTCTCTACTAAAAACACAAAAATTAGCTGGGCGTGTTGGTACGCACCTGTAATCCCAGCTACTCGGGAGGCTGAGGCAGGAGAATTGCTTGAACCCGGGAGGTGGAGGTTGCAGTGAGCTGAGATCATGCCACTGCACTCCAGCCTGGTGACAGAGCGAGACTCCGTCTCAAAAAAAAAGCAAAAGCAAAAGCAAAAAAAGATGGCCAGGGGAAGGCGGGGGTCTTGGCTTCTTCCTGGGTCACATTACATGACACATATCCTATACTAAAATCTACATGAATACAGATTCGGCATGAAAGATCCCCTGCATATATATATATATAGTCAAACAGGTGTGGTTATAATTCTCTAACCCTTAACCTTCTACCATACTTGGGATATATCTGCAATCTGTAAACAATATTTCTGTCATGGCAATTTTTGACAAATAGGAAGGAAGGCTATTTCTGTCAAGGGCAACTTAATTACTAGGTTTTAGGGCTTCATTTCATACCAGTGATGGTGGTAATAATAGTAACACCAGCAGGTTCAGTGTTTGTCATGTGTACTCACTAAGTGTCAGAGACTATTCTAGTTCCCTGCATTGCTACAAAGGTCCTATGTTAAAGGGCCTATAAGGTAGGTATTATTGTCTCAAAGTTATAGCTAAGGAAAGTAATGTTCAAACAAGTTAATGCCACATAGCTAGTGTCAGCATCAGGTTGTCTGAATTCACAGCTAGAGCACTACACCCCACTGCTGACAAGAAAATGAATCCAAAGATGCTGCTGGCTGTCTTGGATCACTTGTTCTCAAGGAAGCCAGCTACCATGTTGTGAAGACACTCAAGCAGTCCTAAGAGCCTTCCACATGGGGAGAGACTGAGACATCTTGCCAATAGCCGGTATCAAATTGCCTACAATGTAAGTAAGCCATCTTGACAGCAGACACCAAGCCACTACCATCGAACTAAGGCACCTCAGAATTATGACCCATACAAACCATGTGAGGTGATAAATACTGTTATTTAAAAAGGAAAACAAGGTGGGTCTTTCACTTCTAGCACTCAGATTATGGATCCTAAATAGCATTTTCCAATAAAAGGAAGCAGAGCTCTTCAGGAAAATAGTCAACTCCAGGTATAGGGCAGAAAATGTACAAAACTTGTCATAACAGAAAGCAATCAGGCCATCAATCACTTCTGGAGTTATGTCCCAAGGACTCAGAGAGAGTTAATGTGAAGAGGCTCCCACTAACAAAGATGGGGTAATTTGAGGAGCAATAAAAAATGACCACAATTGGCCAGGCGCAATGGCTCACGCCTGTAATCCCAGCACTTTAGGAGGCCAAGGTGGGTGGATCACAAGGTCAGGAGATCAAGACCATCCTAGCCAACACGGTGAAACCCCGCCTCTACTAAAAAATACAAAAATTAGCTGGGTGTGGTGGTGGGCGCCTGTAATCCAAGCTACTTGGGAGGCTGAGCCAGGAGAATGGCTTGAACCCAGGATGCAGAGGTTACAGTGAGCCAAGATCATGCCACTGCACTCCAGGCTGGTGACAGAGGAAGACCCTGTCTCAACAACAACAACAACAACAAAAATCACAATTGGGCCAGGAGTGGTGGATCACACCTGTAATCCCAGCACCTTGGGAGGCTGAAGTGGGCAGATCGCCTCAGGTCAGGAGTTCCAGACCAGCCTGGCCAAGATAGTGAAACTCTCTCTCTACTAAAAATACAAAAATTAGCCAGGCATGCTGGCACATGCCTATAGTTCCAGCTACTCAGGAGTCTGAGGCAGGAGAATCGCTTGAACCAGGAAGGCAGAGGTTGGAGCCAAGATTGCCCCATTGTACTCCAGCCTGGGTGACAGAGTGACACTCCATCTCAGAAAAAAAAAAAAAAAAAAAAAGAAAGGAAAAAAAGAAGCTGCAATTGATTGAAACACAATAAAATGTTTAAATCATGAGTTCATAATAATACCTATTTAAAAAAACTAATTGATTACTTATCTTTCAGAGAATACTAGAGAACCAAACTCATTCTAAAATCTGATGAATCAAGCATTTCATCTGTCTTTCCTATATGAACTGTACATCTAGTTAAACAAATAGTTGGAGAAAAGTGTTGGGTTCAATGTTCATTATTTCGATGATAGGCTAACTAGGAGCACAAACCTCACCACTATGCAATACATCCATGTAACAAAGCTGCACATGTACCCGAATCTAAAATAAAGATTCAAGAATCGCCGCCCCCCCAAACAGTTGGCGAAAAATTGATCTCTATTGAAATAATCCAACTAGTAAATGACAAAATAATATATCTGGAATATCATCATTTTGCAAATCCCTAATGAAAAAATGAATCTAATGATCACCAATTGCCACTATTATAAAACGAGAGACACCTGGAAATTAATATGCCTCCTAATGAATCATGCTTTACCCAAAAAAAAAGTAAAACAATACGATTGAGCAAATTTATAAAACATTGAGGGGACACAGGAACATGTTAATGGCAAGATGATGATGCAATTAGCAAAGTCGAGAATGTGGAAAACTTTATAGTCCAAGCAATCCAGATTCTTAAGGAAAAAAAGGGAGATGGAGGGAGTTAGGAGCAGAACCTATACATTAAAAGAGAAATAAGGGCCTGGCACAGCAGCTCACACCTATAGTCCCAGCGCCTTGGGAGATTGAGGAAGATGTCTCACTTGAGGCCAGGAGTTTTGAGACCAGCCTGGCCAACATGGTGAAGCCTCATCTCTACTAAAACCACAAAAATTAGCTGGGCAAGATGGCGCACTCCTGTAATCCCAGCTACTCTGGTGGCCGAGGCAGGAGAATCGCTTGAATTTGGGAGGCGGAGGTTGCAGTGAGCCATGATCGCACCACTGCACTCCAGCCTGAGCGAGAGTGAGACAGAGTCTCAAAAAAAAAAAAAAAGAGAGAGCGCGCCCAGGCGCAGTGGCTCACACCTGTAATCCCAGCACTTTGGAAGGCCGAGACGAGTGGATCACGAGGTCAAGAACTCAAGACCAGCCTGGCCAACATGGTGAAACCCCGTCTCTACTAAAAATTTAGCCAGGCGTAGTGGCTGGCACCTGAAATCCCAGCTACTTGGGAGGCTTAGGCAGAAGAATCACTTGAACCCAGTAGGCGGAGGTTGCGGTGAGCCGAGATCGCGCCACTGCACTTTAGCTTGGGCGACAGAGCAAGATTTTTGTCTCAAAACAGAAAAAAAAAAAAAGAGAGAGAAATAAAAGACCTAAATGTGGCTGGGCACAGTGGTTCACGCCTGTAATCCCAACACTTTGAGAGGCCAAGGTGGAAGGATCACTTGAGGCCAGGAGTTTGAGACCA
Source organism: Homo sapiens (assembly GCF_000001405.40). Classification (NCBI taxonomy): domain Eukaryota; kingdom Metazoa; phylum Chordata; class Mammalia; order Primates; family Hominidae; genus Homo; species Homo sapiens. The sequence continues at coordinate 33,557,719 of NC_000020.11, read as the reverse complement.
GCTTGGGCAACATACCAAGATCCCATTTCTACAAAAAATTACAAAATTAGCCAGGCGTGTTGGGGCATGCCCGCAGTCCTAGCTACCTGAGAGGCTGAGGTGGGAGTATTGCTTGACACCAGGAGTTTGAGGCTGCAGTGAACTATGATCCCACCACTGCACTTCACCCTGGGTGACAGAGTGAGACCCTGTCTCTCAAAAAATATATAGACATAGAAATACACACGCAAACACACTTTCATACATACACTTCCTAGCTGTTTGCTGAGAGGTTCTAGAAGCAATGACCCCTTCTATAAATGAACACCCAGATCTTGATTTCTAAACTACATTTTCTACTAAAACCAAGGATCCTTGGAGAAATAGCTGATCTCTGGTAGGGCAGGGAAAGTAAAAGATAAGCACACAGCTGGGCGCAGTGGCTCACGCCTGTAATCCCAGCACTTTGGGAGGCCAAGGCAGGCGGATCACAAGGTCAGCAGTTCGAGACCAGCCTGGCCAACATGGTGAAAACCCGTCTCTACTAAAAATACAAAAATTAGCCAGGCGTGGTGGTAGGCACCTGTAATCCAAGCTACTTGGGAGGCTGAGGCAGAAGAATCCCTTGAACCCAGGAGGCGGAGGTTGCAGTGAGCCAAGACCATGCCATTGCACTCCAGCCGGGGCAACAGAGTGAGGCTCTGTCTCAAAAAAAAAAAAAAAAAAAAAAAAAAAAGATAAGCATGCAACACCTTGGGCAAGAAAGTAAGAGACTGCTCAAAAATGACAGGGGTATGTCAAAAGAACACTAAAGCCAGTTAGAAGGGACTACCACTGGAATTGTGCAACAATTTAAGCATCAAAATAAATAATGATAGTAATGGATTAGAGCATAATCCATATTTAATTTTTTTAACCAATCAACAAGGAAGAAAGGAAAGCATTCCTTCATTAGAATGCCAATATGTAAATGCAGAAACAATGATGGAATTAGAAAATTACCACTAGTAGGGTGCAGCTGCTCATGCTTATAATGTCAGCACTCTGGGAGGTCAAGGTGGAACAATCACTTTAGGCCAGGAGTTCAAAATCTGCTTGGGCAACATAGTGAGACCTTGTCTCTACAAAAAAAAATTAAAAATTAGAAAAAAGAAAATCACCACTAGATGCTGAGACTACTAGTGAATAGAAAACTAATGAAAAACAGGACAACTTCATCATCTCTAAATATACCCAACAAATTACTTATTAATCACAAAGAGGATAGTAATTTTTGCAGTGGAGTAACCTGGCAGACATGACCTTAATACAATGATTAACCAATCACTAATATTGAGACACACTGATTATGTGCCTCCTTAAATGAGGCATTAAGGAGAATACATCCCTTCTATAGTATTCCAGCCTGAAATTCGTAACATTAATGTAATCATAAGGTAACGGCAACGAAACCCAAACTAAGTACAGAACAACTGGTCTGTATTCAAAATTGGAATGGTCAAGAAAAGAAAAGTACCAGGAGGGGAGAAGAGGAGGCAGGCAGGCTGAAGAACTGTTTTAGAATAAGAAAAATTAAAGAGCCGCAGTGGCTCACATTTGTAATCCCAAAACTTTGGGAGGCCAAGGAAGGTGGCTTACTTAAGGTAAGGAGTTCGAGACCAGCCGGAGCAACGTAGTGAGACTCCATCTCTACAAAAAGTAAAAAAAATTAGCCAGGCATAATGGCATGTGCCTATATTCCCAAGTATTCAGGAGGCTGAGGTTGGGGGATTGCCTGAGTCCAGGAGGTCAAGGCTGCAGTGAGCCATTATTGCACCACTGCACCCTAGCCTGGGCACCAGAATGAGACCCTGTCTCTAAGAAAGAAGAAAAAAGGAAAGAGGAAAGGGGAAAGGCAAGGAAGAAAGAGACATGCCAGTTAAATTCAGTGTGTGATGACAGACTGAATTGGATTGAGGTATAAGAGCTATAAAAGACATTATTGAAATAATTTATAAAACCTGAATATAGTCTGTGAATCAGGTTAATAGTATGGTATCATTATTACATTTTCTGATTTTGATAATTGTACTGTGGTTATGTGTGGTTATGTAAGAAAATGCCTTTGATTTCAGGAAATATGCATTTAAGTATTTAGGGATAAAAGGGCATATTTCCACTTTCAGAGTGGTTCAGGAAAAAAACTGTACCTCCAAAATACACACAATGATAAAGCAATTGGAGTAAAATGTAAACAACTTATAGAAAGTTGCAAGAACTCCTAAGTATTTTACTGTATCAAAAACAAAACAAAACAAAAAACAGAAAACAAGTCCCATCCATGACAAAAAAGTGTGAAGACACTCTTGTGGGTATTAAGTGAACATGTGTGTCAGTCCATGATCTAATGATCCCATTCATGACGGTCTCTTCTTTGGTTTCTTACTCTGATGATGACAACTACATGCCATTTTAATGTTTTTTTTTTTTTAAATTGGGCAGCCATTAGGCTGAGACAGCTGGCTCCAGTGCCTAGTAAGCAAACTGAAGCCCAATGTAAACATAAAATGAAACTTAAGCTTAACCAATCAAAAACAAACCTCTAACTAGGGACTTTCCACTGGATCATATCCAAATAAGGCAAGTGCCTAGCTACAGCCAATCAAGTAATTCCTTTACTTTGCTACAGCGTTCAGCCTATAAAAGCCTGCTTCTAAAGCAGAGCTCTCTGAACTTCTTCCAGTTTTGAATGCTGCCTGAATCCTTTAATGCTCACCTAAATTCTGCTAAATGTCTGTCTAAAGTTTTTATTTAAACAATTCTGAACATTTTTAAGTTGTTATTTTTTCTTATGTAATATTCATTTTAATACCTATAATGGGTACTCTGACATTCAATCTAAATTAATAGAAAACAGAAAAATAATTCTACAAATACACTTGAGATGCAGACATCTGAGTTTGATTTATCAGATCAAATCTCTCATCTAGCACATAAAAATGATTCTAGACTTTCAAACAACGTTAAAAAAGAAAAACAGCCAGGCGCAGTGGCTCACACCTGTAACCCCAGCAATTTGGGAGGCTGAGATCACTCCACTGCACTCCAACCTGGACAACAAAAGCGAAACTCCATCTCAAAAAAAAAAAAAAAAAAAAAAAGAAAAGAAAAAGGAAAAGGAAAGAAAAGAAAAGAAAAGAAAAAAGAAAAATAGGCCGGGCGCAGTGGCTCACCCCTGTAACCCCAGCAATTTAGGAGGCTGAGGTGGGCAGATCACTTGAGGTCAGGAGTTCGAGAACAGCCTGGTCAACATGGTGAAACCCCGTCTCTACTAAAAATACAAAACCTAGCTGGGCCAGGTGGCACAAGCCTGTAATCCCACTCAGGAGACTGAGGCAGGAGAATCACTTGAACCCAGGAGGCGAAGGCTGCAGTGAGCTGAGATCATGCCTCTGCACTCCAGCTTGGGTGACAGAGCAACACTGTCTGAAAAAAAAAAAAAAAAAGAAAAAAGTAAGAAAAATAAACACTGGTGCTTATAGTGAATTTGCTTTTCATTGTAATAACTCCTTACTTGCACAGAAGTTCTGCAAACAGCAACCTGGAATGTTTCTTCATCTGTCACTTAAGAACAAAATAATATTATATGGTATTTCAAGCATCAGGTTGCAAAAATAGTCTTTTTTGAAAATGAAACGCATTGTAAAATTTCAATCTACATTTTAATCTATCCCAAAACCAAACCAATCTTTTTATTTTAACATCAATATCAAGAATCATGTTTTACTTAAATACAAATGTAAAGTTAACAAAAGCATATGCCTACTAGTAAACTGGAGAAACTAAAAATATATAATTAATATATTTAAGATTGTATTTTACATTACTTTAAGATCAGACTTTTTAAAAATCACCTCTTTAACATCTACCATACAAAAATAAAATCATTTTTCAAAAAACCCTAAGAGGGGATTTGCAAGATTGCATAACAAGGGCTTTCAAGTCCAACAAGATCAGGGGATGATGATTTATAGTAGAAGTCAGCAAACTTATAGCCTGCTTAGCGTTTTAGTAAACAAAGTTTCACTGGAAAAGGACCATGCCCATTCCTTTACATATTGTCTATCTATGGCTGCTTTCCTGCCGCATTAGCAGGGTTGGGACAGAGATCGTGTGGCCCACAAAGCCAAAAACGGTCACTATATGACCCTTTACAAAAAACTAAACTCTGGCTGGGCATGGTGGCTCACGCCTGTAATCCCAGCACTTTGGGAGGCTGAGGCTGGTAGATTACTTGAGGTCAGGAGTTCGAGACCAGCCTGACCAATATGGTGAAACCATGTCTCTACTAAAAATACACACAAAAAATTAGCCAGGCGTAGTGGCGTGCACCTGTAGTCCCAGCTACTCGGGAGGCTGAGACAGGAGAACTGCTTGAACCCGGGAGGTGGAGGCTGCAGTGAGCCAAGACTGTGCACCATTGCACTCCCGCCTGGGTAACAGAGTGAAACTCCCTCTAAAACAAAAAACATAAACTAAACTCTGATTTATAGCAACAACGTAGCTTTACAAAAAAAAGTTCTAATACTCAAACACCTACTGAGGTTACACTAAGTGCAGGAGACACAGTAAAGAAAAATAGTCTCTGCTCTCAGGGAGCTTACAGTCTATTGAGAAAAGTAATGTAATTATCATACAAACAAACATAATAATATATACTAAGTGCTATAAAGAAAAAAACCAGAACTATGAGCTTCACAGCAGGGACTAGAGTTAAGGGGTGTGCTATATAGACATAATCTCTGATGAAATGAAATTTGACAGAGGAGAAGTAGATCAGGTTAAAAAGGGGGATGGGGTGGAGATGAAGAATATTCAGAAGTATTTCAGGCAGAGGGAACAGAATAATATAGGAACCCTGAGATGGTAAAAGGTATGACTAGCAGAAAGAAGCAGGAGGAAGTCAGCATGTATGGACAGCATTAAACGTGCAGAAGGACGATGAAGTGGAGTGACAAGCAAGGGGACATTTCACACATTTGCTGGGGTGCAGGGGACAGCATAAGCCCATTTGTCTCACTTCCTAAATGTTAGATAATCTTGCAAACTCCTGTGACAACAAAGGCTATCTTATTCACTATTCTGTCTTATTCACCTTCACATCCACACGGCTTGACAGTGTTTAACAATGCTCAAAAAAATGTTTAGAATTTGAAATGTACAACTGATCAGAAAATAGTGTCTTCCTTTTTTTTACAGCAAACATTTCAAGAGACACTGATTTCCCCTTACAATTCAGCAGAAAGAGCCTGGAGTAGCTGTTTCACTGATTCAATTACTAAGCCAATTATCTAAATCCCTAAAACTCTCATCTGTCAAAAATCAGAAGACAGGACCAGGTGTCACCTGAGGTCCTCTGAAGCTTTGTTTCTTTCTATTTAGCACATGTTTAAACAGCTCAAGATCCAATTATTCTTCCATGTAGTCTCATAACATCATTGTTAAGTCAAATAACCTGAAAATGCTCTCCACAAACAAGATATTCTAATTTTCCAATTTATATGACAATGTGTAGATTCCAGTTTTATTAGTTATTAAAGACTTCATAAATGGTTGTGTATTTGCTTCACACACTGAGCATTACAAAGCTTGGAAAAAATTTTGTCAACTTAAAAAAAAAAAAAAACCAGGGAAGCAATCAAACTCAAAAGTGATCTTGAAAATTAAAACTGAACAACAATTCTGATGTTTGAGTCATCAGCCCTTATGGGACACAAGTCAGACTACAGCAGCTGTGGACCATCATTTAAAATCAAGAATTTTACGTAAGCAGAAAAAAAAAGGGCAGGGAGGGCAAGAAGAGAAAAAGGAAAAAAAAATCAAGAATTAAACTTAATAGTGATAGAAGATTTTTAAAAGTTGATGGAACAGGCCAGGAGAAGTGACTCACACCTGTAATCCCAGCACTTTGGGAAGCCAAGGTGGGCGGATTTCTTGAGGTCAGGAGTTCAAGACCAGCCTGGCCAATATGGTGAAACCCCGTCTCTACTAAAAATACAAAAATTAGCCGGGCGTGGTGACACACGCCTGTAATCCCAGCTACGATGGGAGACTGAGGCACAAGAATTGCTTTAACCCAGGAAGTGGAGGTTGCAATGAGCTGAGATCACACCACTGCACTCCAGACTGGGTGACAGAGAGAGAATCAATCAACAACAACAAAACATTGATGGAACAAAAGCACAGAGCTGGGTGTGGTGGCTCACACCTGTAATCCCAGCACTTTGGGAGGCCAAGGCAGGCAGATCACCTGAGGTCGGGAGTTCGAGACCAGCCTGACTAACATGGAGAAACCCCGTCTCTACTAAAAATACAAAATTAGCTGGGCGTGGTGGTGCATGCCTGTAATTCCAGCTACTTGGGAGGCTGAGGCAGGAGAATCACTTGAACCCAGGAGGCTGAGGTTGCAGTGAGCCGAGATTACGCCATTGCACTCCAGCCTGGGCGACAACAGCGAAACTCCATCTCAAAAAAAAAAAAAAGCACAGAAAATAAATGGAAGTCAAAAATTTCACTTGCTGGAATAAACCAACAGTTAATTGTATATTTTAAGTAAGGGATATACAGTTACTCTACTCAAATGAGACCACCAACTGATTTCCTTCTTTCACTATGAACACTTCCGTCGAATGAGCTCTTCACCTGGAAAACTATCCATACTTAAAGACTTATGGCTCCCCTTTAGGAGCAATGATTCCTGAAACAGCATTGACAACTCTCCACCCCAACTCATGTAGCTTCCAACTCATGTAGCTTGACAGCAGATAAGACCACATCAAGGCCAAGCGTGGTGGCTCACGCTTGTAATCCCAGCACTTTGGGAAGCCGAGAGGGGACGGATCACCTGAGGTCAGGAGTTGGAGACCAGCCTGGGCAAGGTGGTGAAACCCCGTCTCTAATAAAAATACAAAAATTAGCCAGGTGTGGTGGTACGAACCTGTAATCCCAGCTACTAGGGAAGCTGAGGCAGGAGAATTGCTTGAACCCGGGAGCGGAGGTTGCAGCGAGCTAACAGCGCACCACTTCACTCCAGCCTGGGCGAAAACAGCGAAACTCCATCTCTACATAAATAAATAAATAAATAAATAAATAACCACATTAGTACTTCAGACTTTGAGTTATTTGTTGACCAAATGTACCCATTACTGTTCTCTGAGGACAGGTGGTGTGTCTTGATTAACATGTTTAATGCTTATTTGTTGGGTAAATAAATTAAAATATGCTGTTTGTTTAAAAAATAAATTTAACAGGATCAAACCACAAAGCATTAGCTTAGAAAGAATCCAAGCCAATCCCTCCATTTAATTAAAATAGGGGGAGGGGAGTTAAAGTCTGAAAGGGTGAATTAAATTTCTATTAAATGTGATGTATTCAAATCAAATTATGCTGTCTTCAAGAATTTTTTAATGGGAGGATTTTGACAAAAAATTAATAATTTCAAGACTACTTTGCTAATAAGTATTAAAAATTATTGCCCCTGAACTGGTTTTTCCAAACATCGTGGCCATTTTCACCATCCTGTCCCATCCAAAATAAGGTATCATTCATACTTGGGGTATACACCTATTTGCAAAGACAATGTAGAACGTTATTACATTTGTTAAGTTATTAAAATCTATAGCTCTTAGTATCTTCTGGAAGGCTTTATGTGGAAAAAACTGTCCAAATTCTATAAGACAGGTATTTATTGAACCCTATTTTATAAACTTAAAACAAAGAAGGATGCTGTCTTTGATGTGTCTGAAACCCTAACATGAACCCCAACTGCCAGTGTTCTATCTCCCTCTTGGTCCCAATCTCTCAGGACACCTGATTTAGAGAAAAAAAAAAAAAAAAAAAAGCAGCAGCCATCTATTATACATAAATGCCATCTGCAGACATGTGCTGTACTTGGACTACTCCTTTGCAGCAGGGGAAAAAACCTGTTGTCCCTCTGCCCCTGCCAACATTTTAAATAAGTTTTATTGAGGTATAATATACAGACCATAAAATTTGCCTATTTTCAGTGTACAAGTCAATGATTTTTAGTAAATTTACAGTTGTACGATCATCACAATTCCATTTTAGAACATTTTCATCACCCCTAAAAGATCCCTCATGTCCCTTTACAGCCCTAGACAACCACTACTAATCTTGCTTTCACTGTCCCTATAAATTCGCTATTCCTGGACATTTCACATAAATGAAAGGATATGTCATCTTTTGTGGCTTCTTTAATTTAGCAAAATATTTCTGAGCTTCATGCTGTACCATGTATCAAGATTCACTCCTTTTTACTGCTGAGTAGTATTCTACTGATGAATACACATTATGCTTATCTATTCACCAGTTAATGGGCATTTGGATTGTTTCCAATTTTTGGCTATTTAGTAATGCTGCTGGGAACAATCTACACAAGTTCAAAATGGTTGATTTTTTTTTTTTATAAATTTGTCCAGTTTTATCTGCTTTATGGAGGGAGGATTTCCCAAGCACCTTAATCCAACATTCCAGAAATTCTGCCCTAACCAAATAGTTTTTAATAATTTTTCGATTATTCTGACATTATGCTCTCATCAGTAGTTTGTCAACTAATATTAATATCATGTTTAGATTTTCCTCGTCCCAGATTATAAGAATATGCACCTATATGTTCTTCTAGAACTCCCGTGGTTTCACTTTTATATAGCTCATTCTTAAGTACAATGAATGAATACGGATGGATGGATGGATGGATGGATGGATGGACGGATGGACAGATGGACAGGGTCTTGCTCTATCATCCAGGATGGGGCTGAAGTGCAAAGGAGGGAATCATAGCTCACTGCAACCTCAAACTTATGGGCTCAAGTGATCTTCCTGCTTCAGCCTCCTGAGTAGCGGCAACTCCAGAAGAATGCCACCATGTCTGGCTTTTTTTCGGGGGAAGGGTAGACACAGGGTTTCACTATGTTGCCCACACTGGTCTTCAACTCCTGGCCTCAATCTCCCCATTTTGGCCTCCCAAAGTGCTGGGATTACAGATGTGAGCCACTGTACCCAGCCCAGAATTTATTTTGATATATGCAGAAAATCTGAGGTTGAAAAGCCTAAAATATGAGTTTTATTAAGATAACTATACTTATTGCTGAACCCACAGGAAACTAAGTCCAAAGACTACACAACTAATTAAGAAATCAGGCCAGGCACGGTGGCTCATGCTTGTAATCCCAGCACTTTGGGAGGCGGAGGCAGGCAGATCACCTGAGGTCAGGAGTTCGAGACCAGCCTGGCCAACATGGTGAAACCCCATCTCTACTAAAATTACAAAAATTAGCCAGGTGCGGTGGTGGGCACCTGTAATCCTAGCTACCTGGGAGGCTGAGGGAGGAGAATCACTTGAACCTGGGAGGCAGAGGTTGCAGTGAGCCGATTGCGTGACTGCAATCCAGCCTGGGCGACAGAGTAGACTCCATCTCAAAAAAAAAATAAAAAAAATAAAAATAAAAACTCCCAGTACTCAAAATAAAAGGAAACCTACAGGTGAATGCTAAAAATTAATTAGAGGCCCAGCAATTATAAGACAAGCAGAATAATCTAGAGATCCTGCCTTCTTTGTATAATTTCCAACTTTATATACTGGAATTATTTCTTCTTCCTACACCTCAGGCCAGGTATCGTCCAGTGGCTCATGCCTGTAATCCCAGCACTTAAGGAGGCAGAGGTGGAAGGATCGCTTGAGCCCAGGAGTTCAAAACCTGCAATACAGCAAGACCCCATTCTCCACAAAAAGAAAAGAAAACAAAACAAAAAACAAGTGTAACTGCCTTACCCCTCAGTAAAGTATTTCTGGTTTTATAAATAAAAATTAGTAACGAAATAATGTTCACTTCACAGAGAGGTTTTTACATCTAGTTTTGTTGACATGCCTTCATTCAAAATACTGGGAGTGCCTATACAGATTTTTATAATATACACCTAATTTTCTGCCAGGCAGACTTTTAATTTTACTTACACACACACACACACACACACACACACACACACACACACACATTTTTTTGAGACAGGGTCTCGCTCTGTTGCCCAAGCTGGAGTGCAGGGGTGCAATCATAGCTCACTGCAGTCTTGACCTCCTCACCTCAAGTGATCCTCCCACCTCAGCCTTCTGAGTAGCAGGACTACAGGTGCATGTCACCATGCCTGGTTAATTTTTTGCAGTTTTTTGTAGAGATGGGGTCTCAAACTCCTAGACTCAAGCTATCCACCTGCCTAAGCCTCCCAAAGTGCTGGGATTACAGGCATGAGCAACAGCACTGGCCATTTTATTATATTTTTATTTTTAAATTTTTTATTTCTCAGAGATGTGTTACCCAGGCTGGAGTGCTGTGACCCAATCATAGTTCATTGCAGCCTTGAACTCCTGGGTCCAAGTCATCCTCCCGACTCAGCTTCAAAGGTATAGCTGGGATTACAGGCATAATCTTCCATGCTTGGTCCCAAGCAGACTTTTTATTTCCGGTCTTTTTTATTTTTTTCTTTTTGAGACGGAGTCTCGCCCTGTTGCCCAGGCTAGAGTGCAACTGCACAATCTCGGCTCACTGCAACCTCTGCCTCCTGGGTTCAAGCAATTCTCCTGCCTCAGCCTCCTGAGTAGCTGGGACTACAGATGTGTACCCCATGCCTGGCTAATTTTTGTATTTTTAGTAGAGTTGGGGCTTCACCATGCTGGTCAGGCTGGTCTCGAACTCCTGACCTCAGATGATTCACCCGCCTCGGCCTCCCAAAATGCTGGGATTACAGGCATGAGCCACTGAGCCTGGCACAGTATTTCACACTTTTAACAAACTCTGGCTCCGAAATGAAACTAAACAGAGAGGTAATGTGGAGTTATTTTTCTTTTCTTTTGCTGCTACAAATGGTAAACTCAATTGTAAAGAAAACACCCAGGCCAGGCACAGTGGCTCACGCCTGTAATCCCAACACTTTAGGAAGCTGAGGCAGGTGGATCACTTGACCCCAGGAGCTCAAGACCAGCCTGGGAAACAGAGGGAGACCTCTATAAAAAAATACAAAAAATAAATCTCTACAAAAAATAAAAATTGTATCCACTACAAAAAATTAAAAAAAAAAAATTAGCCAGGCATGGTGGCAGGTGCCTGTGGAACATATGCCTGCAGAGTACTTGGGAGGCTGAGGTGGAAGGATTGCTAGAGCTGAGCAGGTAAAGGTTGCAGTGAGCCGTGATCCTGGCTGCTACTACACTCCAGCCTGGATGACAGAGAGAGTGTGTCTCCAAGAAAAAAAAAAAAAAAAAGTATATCCAGATAGGCCATGCTGAGCTAAATTAATTTTTCAGACCAAAAAAAAGAAGAAATTCAAAATTTACACCAAATAAACAAAAAGAAAATTTATACCAACTGAAAATGTCCTTTTCTTTAGTCTTTACAGTGTGGCTGCTAAGGCCTGGTTTTATAAGCTTCATTATTTATCCTATATAAAAACAATACAAAAATGTTTATTCTATTATTAAATTAATTGCAAATCTTCAGGAAAAAGTAAAGAAAAAATGTCAGTTACTAACAGATAAATTAGCAGTTTATATACAAATAAGCACCTCTTCCCTCAGATAAACAAATTTAAGAGGCAGATAATTCAGCATTATTATCATCAACTATTATTAAGTGTCTACCACATGGTAGGCTTGCACAGAAAGATACAGGCCTTGTAGGACATTTAACAAAACATCCTACTACAGTAATGCTTTCATTATTTAAACTGGCACATGACAGATTATGTTAACAGCTTCATTTATTGACTAAGTCTAATCATATTTCCTCAGTTGGCATCAATATAATATCTACTATTTACATTTGCTTCAACACTGGATATTTGTTCAAAAGTCTTCCATATTTGATTTTCTACCACAGAATTTTAAATGAACAGAAATGAAATTCTGTGTTTTTCTATGGTAGACTGCAAAAAGATAAGAAAAAGTCTGAGTATGTTGGCTCACGCCTGTAATCCCAGCATTTTGGGAGGCCAACAGGGGACAGATAACCTGACGTCAGGAGTTCAAGACCAGCCTGGCCAACATGGCGGAAGCCCATCTCTAGTGAAATACAAAAAATTAGCCAGGCATGGCGGCATGTGCCTGTAATCCCAGCTACTCAGGAGGCTGAGGCAGGAGAATCCTTGAACCCGGAGGCAGAGGTTGCAGTGAGGCGAGATCGTGCCATTGCACTCCAGCCTAGAGGAAAACAAACGAACGAAAGAAAGAAAGAAAGAAAGAAAGAAAGAAAGAGAAAGAAAGAGTCTTAATGAGAGCTAAAAATCATTTCATTTGGGAATCCCACTAACAATCCCACTAATAACTTGCATTTTATTTCAAGGAAATTTTGTAGTTAAGTGTTCCACAGGAATGAATTAAGATCAAAAATTATCTAGTGGCATTTTTCAAAAACTGATCAAGCAATCACCTTTCCTGGCACACAGCTTTTCTATTTAATGTTTTATAGTTTTCAGTTGATTCAAAACATACCCCAAGATCACATTCTTTTTAAGAAACACTGCTTCCTAAAGTTTAAATGCTTATTATTTCACAAAGGTTTTGAATTACACATACCAAAAAATGTGAAAAACATGGTTAACGTCATTTGGAGTAAAGAAACCACAAACTGTAAGCTTCATGAGAGTTGGGACTGCCTGTCTACCTTGCATTCTGTTCTGTTCTATTCTATTCTATTCTATTCTATTCTATTCTATTCTATTCTATTCTATTCTATTCTATTCTATTCTGTTCTATTCTATTCACTCATGCATGCAACAAATATTTATTGTGCATCTATCAGATGCCTGACCATGTTTGAGGCAATGGAGATACATCAATAAACCACATAGGCCGGGCACAGTGGCTCACGCCTGTAATTCCAGCATTTTGGGAGGCTGAGGCGGGGGGATCATGAGGTCAGGAGTTCATGACCAGCCTGCCCAATATGGTGAAACCCCATCTCTACTAAAAATACAAAAATTAGACAGGCGTGGCGGCAGGTGCCTGTAATCCCAGCTACTCAGGAGGCTGGGGCAGGGAACTGCTTGAACCCAGGAGGTGGAGGTTACAGTGAGCCGAGATCGCGCCACTACGCTCCAGCCTGGGTGACAGAGCGAGACTCCATCTCAAAAAAATAAAAAACAAATAAATAAAAATAAAAATAAATCAAATAGACAAGATTCCCTGTCTTCTCTGAAACTAGCAAGAGGAGACAAAGAACAAACAAAATTAATAAATACTATATACAGTATATCAGAAGGTAATAAGCTGGTAAAGTGAGATGGGGCACAGTTTTAAATAAGGTAGCCTGGTTGACCTTGCAGAGAAGGGAAGAAATGAGCCGCAGCAGGACAGGTGAAAAAAGAATTGTCTAGGTAAAGGTCCTGAGGCAAGACTAGGCCTACAGTCTTCAAGGAACTGCAAGAAGTTAGTGTGGCTGAAGCTGAAAAGTAGTAGGATATGAGCTGAGAGGTCAAGCAGTGGGCAGGGAGAGGGAAGCAGATCACAGATAGCTTCCAGCCACTGGAAAAACTTTGGTCTCTTTCAGTAAAATGGGAGTCATTAACAGGGTTCTGAGCAGAGAATTGACATGACCTGACTAAATTGAACCACTCTGGCTGCTATGTTCAAAACAGATGGTAGGGCAAGAATGGAAACAGGGAAAACAACTAGGAAGCAACTCCAATAATCCAGGCCAGAGATGCTAGTGGTATGGACAAGAATGGAAGGGGTAAAGGTAAGATGTTACTTGGATTCTGGATTCTGGATATAGTCTCAAGGTAGAACAAACAGGATTGCACTCTAGCCTGGGAGACAAAGTGAGACTCCACCTCAAAATGAATAAATAAATAAATTAATTAATTAATTTAATTTAATTTAGTTATCAGTGCTTTGAAATATGGTTATCATAATGTTGCCTGTCTTCTACTTGGCAACAATGAAAAACCTCCAAATGCTGCACAAAGCAGAGCAGTGGTCAGGAGACTGGCACCTCAGCACACACTCACTTTACCTTTCTGAGCTTCCGTTTTTTCCAATTGTAAAATGAATCTTTGTATGTTCTTCCCTCTAAGAACGCTCTTTTCCTCTGACTGAAATCTAAAACACCTTCAAGTTCAGCTCCTGTTGCCTTCTCCATGGAGGCTTTCCAGGTTCTCTAGTACGTGTTCATCTCCCCCACTTCTTTGAACTCTAATAACTATTTACTTTTATTGATGCAGACCATTCATTTGGTCCTATGTTGCGAACTGCCTTGAATGTTAACTATTTTACGTGTTTGTCTTCAGCACTCCATTGCGCCAGAAAATCTTTAAGTATCTACTTATTCTGGTTTTCCCTATAATATCTAATACAAAAGTGTATCACTATAAAATAATAATTTTTCGCCGGGCACGGTGGCTCACGCCTGTAATCCCAGCACTTTGGGAGGCCGAGGCAGACAGATCACAAGGTCAGGAGTTAAGACCAGCCTGACCAACATGGTGAAACCCTGCTCTACTACAAACACAAAAGTTAGCCGGGCATGGTGGCATGCGCCTGTAATCCCAGCTACTCAGGGGGCTGAGGCAGGAGAACTGCTTGAACCTGGGAGGCAGAGATTGCAGTGATCCAATATCATGCCACTGCACTCCAGCCTGGGCGACAGGGCAAGACTCTGTCTCAAAAAATAATAATAATAAAAATTTGTCTTACTAATACTTAATACAAATTAAGTATTAGTAAGAAATAGCCGGGCATGGTGGTTCAAGCCTGTAATTCCAGCACTTTGGGAGGCCAGGCAGGCAGATTGTTTGAGTCCAGGAGACCAGCCTGAACAACACGGGGAGACCCTGTCTCTACCAAAACTACATAAAATTAGTCAGGTGTGGCCGCATATGCCTGTAGTCCCAGCTTCCCGGGAGGTTGAGGTGGGAGGACCACTTGAGCCTGGGAGGAGGAGGTTGCAATGAGTCAAGATCGTGCCACCACACTCCAGCCTCCATGGCAGAGCAAGACCCTGTTCCTGAACCCCCCAAAAAAAGACTTAGTAAGAAAGACTTCTTCTGTTAGTTCCTACAAAGACTGAATATAGCAATTTCTGTAGAGTTTATTTTAATAAGACATATAAGTTTAAAGGCAAAACAACAACAAAACTCAAATGCATATGTCCACAATATATATACATTGATAATTGAGAGAGTATTCAGAAGCTTTAAAATTAAAATCATCCTAAAATGGAAGAGGCTTAATGAAAAAAATTATAATAAAAAAAAATTTAAAACTAAAATCAAAGGGCATCTTAAACTGAGGGTACAAAAAGTTCATGTAAACACAAAAACCTGTAAAATACTAGGTAGCCAGGAACAAAATAGATCTAGTTCCTCACAGGTGTTAAGACTGGTTCTTCTAGCAGAGTTACCAATGATTATTGGTTTTAACTGATCACTGACTTAACCACTCAGGCAATAGAAGAGCAAAACGAGGTACTAGGCTAGATGCTGTAAACCACATGTTCCTCTAGCCCACATACTCAAGCTCATCTGAGGAACTTGTTAAAATGTAGGTTCCCAGGCCTAAATCAGAACCAAGTAATCAGAATAGGGGGTCCAGGAATCCAAACTTTAATAAGTTCTTCAGGTGACTCCTCTATACACTAAAGTTTGAGAAAACTGCTAGGTGTAGTGGCTCATGCCTATAATCCCAGCACTTTGGGAGGCTGAGGCGGGAGGATCACTTCAGTCCAGGAGATGGAGGCTGCAGTGAGCTATGATGATGCCACTGCACTCCAGCCTGGGTGACAGAGTAAGACCCTGTCTCAAATTAAACAAAAACAAAAACAAAAACCTGTAGCACTAAGACAAAGTCCCTGCTTTCAGTAATATAGTAGGGGATAAATGTATGCATAACACAAGATATAATAAAAAGTAACAAGTAAAAAGTACCAAAAATTATAGAAAAAGTCTCTTCCAGCTAGGCAAAGAACAATAAAGGCTTCATGGAAAAGTTAGGAGAATTTTGAGTTCAGATGATTTGGGAAAATGTACCTGTAACTGACAGAGAAAGAACTAAAAACAAACAAACAAACCAGGAACATAACTGTGGAAAGGCATCAGCCTAGGCTAAAATGTGTAGGTCATAAGTGTCTACCACAATCAAGCCACTGCCTGAGTAACAGAGCAGGAGCAAGAACTCATCTTAAGCACTAGAAAGCCCTAGACCTAATGGAAAAATAGAGTCCGGCTTCTCTGTCCTTACTCAGTTATACGACTCGTCAATTTCAAATCCCTTCCATACACCCATATACAATTTAAGAAAGATGACCCGCTGGTCTCCAACCAATGGAGATGGGCGGGTATATGGATTTCCATTCACATTCCCTGCTAAAATCATGAGTCTAACTTTGGCTTAACCTGCTTCTAATCACTTGACCTCTGAACAAACTGCTTCTAATCACTTGACCCTTGACCTCTGGACTACATGACAACCACCTTTCAGTGCCCTCAATGCTAGATCTAGTTCCTGACTTCAATCCATCACCTAAATGCAAAATATCAGCAATGGAAGAGACATCTAATCAAAGTTTCCATGGTACTATGGGGAAAGTGAGGTGCCAGTTGACTGGTTCCAGAAACCAGATTTCCTGGCTGCCTGCAAATTACTTTCTAGCGTCCCACAGTGCATCTTAAACTTTACCTCTCAAGGAATGTTCAAATTACTTTATTAACTTATTAGAGCCAAATTCATTAAGCTAGTACCTTCTACTTGCACAACTCTAGGGTTACCTTTCACATTATATTCTATGTGAATAGCACCACTGTAGAGCACAACTCCAGAATACAATTAGAATGGTGATTCTGGAGTTATAGGCTATGCCAGTTAGGGTTCTAACAAGTACCCTAGATATCAAATTTATTAACATACTTTATATACGCAGCACTAAGGAAGCATCCAACAGTTTAGAATGATTACTACGGCTTTTACTATGGCTTTTTAACACAACGAATAAAAGTACCCTTGCATCATCTTCTGGTTTCCATTCCCTTTACTTTAAAATGCTAACTAGCCCAATAAATCATTCTCTAGTCAGCATGTTACCATATAACTTCTTAACGAAATCTGAAAAGTCTTAAGCTGTTTTTGAAAAAGCATGTTATAAGGGCTGCTTTGCATATTAATCAGGTTTATCATTTTTAGCTGAAGTTTCAGTCAATAAAGGTGGTACCATAAGATTACTATATTTTCACTGTACAGTTTCTATGTTTAGATATACAAACACCATTGTTAAAACTGCCTACAGCATTCAGTACAGTAACATGCTGTTAGCTACTATTACAGGTTTACATATATCCTAGGTGTGTAGTAGGCTATATTATGTAGGTTTGTGTAAGTACACTCTATAATGTTTGTACATCACCTAATGATGCATTTCTCAGAACATATTTCTGTTGTTAAAAGACATAAGACTATACATGTAAACCTAAAGGAAATACTGAATATTCTACCACATTCAATGTTGAAACAATGTGATTTTTAAAAAACATTTAATAAATGGTTTATAGTTACCAAACTCCCATTCTGTTTTATGAGCAACCCTCCTTGTTTGATGGCCAAAATTAAAAAGTTAATTACTGTTCTCTTAAAGCTACTTTTAATCAAACAAAAACATTTCTGCCACTTCCACTGTAGCATGTAAAATTCAACTTACTTCACTCCTAAAACCTAAATCTGACCAAAAAACAAACAGGCCAGACATGGTGGCTCACACCAATAATCCCAGCACTTGAGGAGGCCTTTGGGAAACCAGCCCAGCCAATATAGCAAGACTGCATCTCTACAATAAATAAAAATTAAAAAAAAAAATTATCCAGGCATGGTGGTACGCACCTATAGTCCCAGCTACTCAGGATGCTGAGGTGGGAGGATTGCTTGAGCCTAGGAGTTTGAGGCTGAAGTAAGCTGTGATCATGCCATTGCACTCCAGCCTGAGTGACAGACAAAGACTGTCTTCTACCAAAAAAAAAAAAAACACAAAAAACAAAAAAAACCTTACTTCGCTGTCACCCTACAAAGTATTTTGATGCACTGCTTCCAAATTAACTATACAATCAACCAATTATTTTAGGGACCTATAATACATTTATGGTAGGCATTTTGAGGAAAACAAATATTTTCCAAAGATATACTCCCAGTCCCTAAGTTTAGTAAGATATCAACTCAACAGGGATGTAAACAATGATAGGAAATGAGTAATAAAGATGGGCTTCATTGACCTCGAAACATGAGGAAGATGCAGAGGGCCTGAAAAGAGATTGGAGAACAGCATAAGCAACAGTGCAGAAATAGGATATGCAAACAAGCATTCATTCCTTCACTTGGTGCTCACACTAGTGCCAGACTAAATATTTACAGACTACCCACACTGTGTTGCAGGCACATGGCTATGATTTCTATGTTCTCTCTTTCAATTCACATGACATATTGTAAAGTTCTTGTGTTACTCTCTTCCTACAGATAAGCAAACAGGCCTAACAGTTAAAAAACTTGCCCAAGATTATACAGACACTAAGCAGCAAAATGGGAATTCAAACCAAATTTCCGAACCTCAACTCTGATGCTCTCTCCCCAACTATAATTTTAAGTGGGACCTAGGCTAGAATAAGTTGCAATGGTAAACAGAAATGCCAATTATTGACAGGAAGAAATATTTGATCCCAATGTGGAGGAATAAATAAGTTGGAACTTCATGTAATTGGTAGCTAGGAATTATGATATGGCCCTGAACAAAATGAAACCAGTGTTTTCTGAAGACAACATAGACTGAGAGAATACCTCACAGAAAGCCATTAACTAATTAAAAAAAAAAAACAAACAACAATATGATAATATCTAAGACCAAGAAGATAACAAAAGAAAATTGAAAAGGACAGAATCTCTGAAGCAGTGACAACACAGAAAATACTGATAATAAGTAAATAAGTAAAACAAGTGATAATTGGAAAGAAGTAAAATTGTCCTTATTTGCAAATGATGTACAGAAAATCCAACGGAGGCCAGGGACGGTGGCTCATGCCTGTAATCCCAGCACTTTGGGAGGCCGAGGTGGGTGGATTACCTGAGGTCAGTTCAAGACTAGCCTAGGCAACATGGTAAAACCTTGTCTCTACTAAAAATACAATTAGCCAGGCCTGGTGGCAGGCAACTGCAATCCCAGCTACTCAGGAAGCTGAGGCAGTAGAATTGCTTGAACCCAGGATGCAGAGGTTGCAGTGAGCCGAGATTGGGCCACTGCACTCCAGTCTGGGTGAGAAAGCAGGACTCCATCTCAAAAAAAAAAGGAAAAAGAAAAAAGAAAATCCAATGGAATCTCCCCAAAAAGCTATTAAAATAAGTGAATTTAGCCAAGTTGCAGGATACAAGATCAATACACAAAAATCAACTTCATGTCTATAGAGTAGCAATGACCAAATACTGAAATTCTGAAAAAATTAAAACAGTATCAAAAATTGTGAAATATTAAGAGAAAAATTTGACAAAAGACATAAAACCTGTACAGGAAAAACACAAAAATACTACTGAGAAACATTAATTAAAATAAAATCACTAATTTAATTTGTTAATTTGTATCTCTCCTAAACTGTTAAGACGTCAGCTCTTCCCCCAAACAGATTCAATGTAGTCCCAATCAAAATCCCAACGTGCTTTTTTTTTTTTTTAAGAAATTGAGAAGCTAATTCTAGAATTTATTTGGAAATGCAAAGAACCTAGATTACCTAAAACAACTTTGAAAACGAATATAGCTAGAGGACTAAAACTGCCTCACTTCAAGTTATAGTAAAACAGTGTGGTACAGGCATAAAGATAAGGTAAACATATCAATGGAACAGAGTCCAGAAACAGACCCACAGATATATAAACAACTGATTTTTGACAAAGGTACAAGGACAATCCGGTAGAGGAATGATAGTCCTTTCAACAACTGGTACTAAAACAGCTGGATATTCATATGCAAAAAACTGAACTTGGATCCTTAATATCTCATACCATGTATTAAAATATTAGATCTACATGTAAATCTAAAAACTACAGAAATTCCAGAAAAAAACATACAAGAAAATCTTTGTGAACTCGGGTTAGGCAAAGATTCCTTAGACACAACAAAAGCTATAAAAGCTAAAAAGAGCTCTCCCTCTCCCTCTCACTCTCACCACGGCCCACGGTCTCCCTCTTCCTCTCTTTCCACGGTCTCCCTCTGATGCCCAGCCGAAGCTGGACTGTACTGCTGCCATCTCGGCTCACTGCAACCTCCCTGCCTGATTCTACTGCCTCAGCCTGCCGAGTGCCTGCGATTGCAGGCGCGCGCTGCCACGCCTGACTGGTTTTCTTACTTTTTTGGTGGAGACGGGGTTTCGCTGTGTTGGCCGGGCTGGTCTCCAGCTCCTAACCGCGAGTGATCCGCCAGCCTCGGCCTCGCGAGGTGCCGGGATTGCAGACGGAGTCTGGTTCACTCAGTGCTCAATGGTGCCCAGGCTGAATGCAGTGGCGTGATCTCGGCTCGCTACAACCTCCACCTCCCAGCCGCCTGCCTTGGCCTCCCAAAGTGCCGAGATTGCAGCCTCTGCCCGGCCACCACCCCGTCTAGGAAGTGAGGAGCATCTCTGCCTGGCCGCCCATCGTCTGGGACGTGAGGAGCCCCTCTGCCTGGCTGCCCAGTCTGGAAAGTGAGGAGCGCCTCTTCCCGGCCGCCATCCCGTCTAGGAAGTGAGGAGCGTCTCTGCCCGGCCGCCATCCCATCTAGGAAGTGAGGAGCGCCTCTTCCCGGCCGCCATCCCGTCTAGGAAGTGAGGAGCGTCTCTGCCCAGCCGCCATCCCATCTAGGAAGTGAGGAGCGCCTCTTCCCGGCCGCCATCCCATCTAGGAAGTAAGGAGCGTCTCTGCCCGGCCGCCCATCGCCTGAGATGTGGGGAGCGCCTCTGCCCCGCCGCCCCGTCTGGGATGTGAGAGCACCCGGCTGCGACCCCGTCTGGGAGGTGAGGAGCGTCTCTGCCCGGCCGCCCCATCTGAGAAGTGAGGAGACCCTCCGCCTGGCAACCGCCCCGTCTGAGAAGTGAGGAGCCCCTCCGCCCGGCAGCCGCCCCGTCTGAGAAGTGAGGAGCCCCTACGCCCGGCAGCCACCCCGTCTGGGAAGTGAGGAGTGTCTCCACCCAGCAGCCACCCCGTCCGGGAGGGAGGTGGGGGTCAGCCCCCGCCAGGCC
This sequence comes from Homo sapiens, assembly GCF_000001405.40. Taxonomy (NCBI): domain Eukaryota; kingdom Metazoa; phylum Chordata; class Mammalia; order Primates; family Hominidae; genus Homo; species Homo sapiens. The sequence continues at coordinate 33,536,461 of NC_000020.11, read as the reverse complement.
AGCCGCCCCGTCCGGGAGGGAGGTGGGGGGGTCAGCCCCCCGCCCGGCCAGCCACCCTGTCCGGGAGGTGAGGGGCGCCTCTGCCCGGCCGCCCCTACTGGGAAGTGAGGAGCCCCTCTGCCCGGCCAGCCGCCCCGTCTGGGAGGGAGGTGGGGGGGGTCAGCCCCCCGCCCGGCCAGCCGCCCCGTCTGGGAGATGAGGGGCGCCTCTGCCCGGCCGCCCCTACTGGGATGTGAGGAGCCCCTCTGCCCGGCCACCACCCCGTCTGGGAGGTGTACCCAACAGCTCATTGAGAATGGGCCGGGATGACAATGGCGGTTTTGTGGAATAGAAAGGGGGGAAAGGTGGGGAAAAGATTGGGAAATCGGATGGTTGCCGTGTCTGTGTAGAAAGAAGTAGACATGTGAGACTTTTCATTTTGTTCTGTACCAAGAAAAATTCTTCTGCCTTGGGATCCTGTTGATCGGTGACCTTACCCCCAACCCTGTGCTCTCTGAAACATGTGCTGTGTCCACTCAGGCTTAAATGGATTAAGGGCGGTGCAAGATGTGCTTCGTTAAACAGATGCTTGAAGGCAGCATGCTCGTTAAGAATCATCACCACTCCCTAATCTCAAGTACCCAGGGACACAAACACTGCGGAAGGCCGCAGGGTCCTCTGCCTAGGAAAACCAGAGACCTTTGTTCACTTGTTTATCTGCTGACCTTCCCTCCACTATTGTCCTATGACCCTGCCAACTCCCCCTCTGCGAGAAACACCCAAGAATGATCAATTAAAAATAAATAAATAAATAAAATAAAATAAAATAAATAAATATTTAAAAGGTCAAAAAAAAAAAGAAAAAATAAAAAAATAAAAATAAAACTCAATCCATGCCCAGACTTCCTGCCTGGGCCTAACAAAGAAGCCTTCTCCTGCAGACCCCAGGACAGCTAAGCCACTGAGCTGGTTCTTAGCACCAATCTTCTAGATCAGTTCAACTCAAATTCCTTGCCAGGCTTGTAAGATAAATAAGGAAGCAACTGAGTGGGGACCATGGGGACCTGTCTTAAGGGGCAGCAGCTACTGCTACTGAACCCCAACCACCACGACTATGTGGGAATATGACCCAGTGTGGCCAAATTTTCCAGTTTTTGTAAGGGAATCCCAAAATCCAGACTTTTATTTTCTAAATATTGACTCAAATTTGTAAAAAGCTCTATGTAGCCCCAACTAAACATGTCTGTGGGCTAGATTAGCCCTTTGGCTAGCTGGCCACCAGTTGACCATTTCTGTAGACAAGATTCTCAGAAAGGCAACCACAGCCTCAACTTTTACAGGATTATTTTCTACCTAAAGAGGCATGTGCATAAATGGCAGGATGCCCAGCACACCTCATTTTACTGTGTTTCACTTTATTGTACTTCACAAATATTGCATTTTTTAACAAATGGAAGGTTTCTGGCAACCCTGTGTCAAGCAAATCTATCAGTGCCATTTGTCCAACAGCATGCACTCACTTCCTGTCTCTGGATCACATTTTGGTAATTTTTGCGACATTTCACAGTTTCTCATTATTATTATATCTGTTATGGTGATCTGTGATCAGTGATCTTTGATATTACTATTCTAATTGTTTTGGGGAGCCACAAACTGTGCCCATATAAGATGGAAAACTTCCAATAAATGCTGTGTGTGTTCTGACTGCTCAAAAAAAAAAAAAAAAAAAAAGCTAAAAAGATACAAAAAATCTTTTTAACTCTATTCTTTGAAAGAAACTGTTAAGAAAATAGACAAGTAATACGCTGGGAGAAAATATTTGCAAAGCATATACCTGATTATATACCTGATTTAAAAAAAAACCTCAACAGGCTGGGGGCAATGGATCATGCCTATAATCTCAGCACTTTGGGAGGCCGAGGTGGACGGATCACTTGAGGCCAGGAGTTCAAGACCAGCCTGGCCAACATGGTGAAACCTCGTCTCTACTAAAAATACAAAAATTAGCCGGGCGTGGTGGCGCGTGCCTGTAGTCCCAGCTACTCAGGAAGTTCAGGATCACTTGAACCCAGGAGGTGGAGGCTGCAGCGAGCTGGGATCGCACAACTGTACTCCAGCCTGGGCAACAGAGTGAGACTGTCTCAAACAAACAAACAAAAACCTCAACAGCAAGAAAATAAACAATGTAATTTTTTTAAATGGGTAAAAGATTTAAACAGACATTTCACCAAAGAAGATATATAGATGGTAAGTACTTGAAAATATTTTAGAAAAAGTTTGGCAATTTCTTAAATAGTTAAAACATATGATGCAACCACACCATTCCTATGTATTTACAAAGGAAAAAGAGTCTGGGCACAGTGGTTTAACACCTGTAATCCCAACACTTTGTCTGGGAGGCCAAGGCAGGAGTATCACTAGAGCCCAGGAGTTCAAGACTAGCCTGGGCTCGAACCCCATCTCTATTTGTTGTTGCTGTTGTTGTTGTTTCTGAGATGGAGTCTCGCTCTGTCACCCAGGCTGGAGAGCACTGGCGTGATCTCGGCTCACTGAAACCTCGGCTCAATGCAACCTCCACTTCCAGGGTTCAAGCGGTTCTCCAGCCTCACCCTCCTGAGTAGCTGGAATTACAGGCACACACCACCATGCAAGGCTAACTGCTGTATTTTTAGTAGAGACGGAGTTTCACCATGTTGGCCAAGCTGGTCTTGAACTCCTAACATTCAGGTGATCCGCCCACCTCAGCCTCACAAAGTGCTGGGATTACAGGCATGAGCCACCACGCCCGGTTCCCATCTGTGCTTTTTTTTTTAAAAAAGAAAAGACAAAAGCAAGCATATGTCCATATAAACATTTATATATGAATGTTCAAAGAAGCTTTATTTGCAATAGCCAAAGACTGGAAACAACTCAAACATCTATCCACAGGCAAATAAACAAATGTGATATATCCATACAACAGAATACTACTCAACAATAAAATGGAATAAACTACTGATACATACATCTTAAAATAATTATGCTGGATGAAAGAAACCAGACCTAAAAAGGAAGAAAGGATGGAAGGAAAGGAGTGCATATTGTATGATTTCATCTATATAAAACATATATACATAAAATTCTATAAAATGCACACTAATCTATAGTGACTGAAAGCAGATTAGTGTTTGCTTGGAGACAGGGCAGGGGGAGCATGGGAGGGAGAGATTACCAATGGGCACAAGGATACTTTATGGAGTGAATGATATGTTGACTATCTTGATTGCAGTGATCATTTCACAGGTATACCTGCCAAACCTGAGCAAACTGTACACTTTACATATGTGTAGTTTATTGTAAGTCAATTAAACCTCATTTTTTTTTTAGTGAAAGAATAAAACAAAAGTATATGTAAGGGGGGAAAAGTGATAAAAGTTTAAGAAGAAAATGCAGGAAGAAGCACTGTTTGTTCAGGAAGGGGCGTGTAGTTCTCTGAGGATTCCATGCAGTTTGAAACAGCTGTGTATGAGATGACAGTGAAATAAGCCAAATGGACATCATCTGTAGGCAGTGAGAAACACGGTTCCAAAACACAGAGAGGAATCACTCCTTGAGAAACAGCAGAAGACAGCACAAGGGAGAAGACAGTGCCAGGCAGCACAATAGCTCATTTATCTATAATACCATGCCATATACAAAATATACTATTTTGTGGAACATTCCCCTAGGCCTGTCAGCTTTTAAACTGCAAGTCAGAATACTCCCCTGGCTTATTTTACCGATAAATACAACTGAAACACAAGATGCAGACAAGATACATCCTCTCACAGTGTTAAATGAGACATTCAAACTTGGTTTTGGTTGCTCTGAAATGTTAAAAGGATCTAACACACCTTGTATAATTCACCTTGATAGTGAACATTCAAAGAGACACACAGTTTAGCAGAAAATAACTGAAATTGACTTACATGTCTCAGTTGCTTAAAGCAAAAAGGAAAGCTACACTTGAAATGTACCTTGTTATAAATGTAACATAAATGTCAAACTCTAAATAGCCTGGTGAAAAAGAGCTAGTAGATCGGGTATGCTGCTATCTCAGAGATCATTCCCTACCCCTTGCCCAACGTTTCTGCTGTAAACTCAAATGTCAACTTCTCAATAATGCCTTCCTAAGTTCCCTCTTCGTTGTGTACCTTTGACAGAATTACACTTTTCTGCTCTCAAAACCATACTTGAACAATAACAGTTATTTCCTTAATCTATTAGAGGTTAAGTACTGTCATACTCATCACTAGCCTAAACGCAGTGTTCTGTGCACACCAGGAGCTAAAAATGGGGAAAAGAGGTGTTTGATGGGATAAGGCCAAAGGTGACAAGGCCTAGAGAGGTCTGGAAACCAAACCTAAGCCTCACCAGAGTTCTGGTTTCCTTTCATTAAGTCTGGTAACTGCAGCTTATTGGGGCTGAGGGGATAGGTTCATGGGAGGTCACTACATTACTCCATCTACTTTGTGTATGTTCAAAATTCCCCACAATAAATTGTTAAAAAATAAAGAGTAGGTGAAGATATGATTAAACCCTTCTTGTTCTTACTTTCCTACCTTTGAACTTTTCTTTTTCCTTTTAACTTGATCTTTACCAGCTTTCCCTCCTTTGTTGTCAACGGGTCCACTGGGTCATTAACCAGTTAACAAATGGTGGTTTGGAGGATAAAAGACAGACCCTTTGCACAGGCAGTGGAATTCCAAATGCTAGACTCCTGGCTCCACAATGTCTGATTCAGAAAAACTGCTGGGAGCTATTAGTTTAGCTCGCCCACCCAGGCATATTAAGACTCTTCCAGTTCCTTTTACACCACTCCCATATGCCTCTCATTTATGCCTACACAGTTTTGTGATTGTGTGCTTTTGTTTAGCACAGGAAGAGATCAGGTCCAGTGTGACCACAGAAATTATTAGGAAGGTCTAAGGATAAGGATTCCAGAATGAAAGTAGTTTCAAATGTGAAACTGCAACAGATCTGAACTGTTTTTTCTAGTGGGGCAATAATCCAACAAAAATGCATTTCAAAATCCTAAACACAGATGAAGAGGATATACAGCAGCAGTGTGAGTAGGATTCTGGCCTAAATGACAGCATTTGCCATTTTGTAAGCACCCTGTGCTTTCCCCGCTCTGAGCTTTAGTTAACGCTCCCCTCTGTACCTGAAACTGTGGTCTAGATCAATGTGCTTACAGTTTCCTTCATGCTTCCACCTTGGACTGAAGAAGCATACTCTTCCCCTTCAACAAATATTTCCTGAGCACTGCACACTGACACTGACACTGTACTGCACCCTGCATTTAGTCCTTAAACCCTTGCTCTCAATTCGTCCCTCCTACTGCAACTAGAAGCCTTGTTTGTTTGTTTGTTTATTTATTTAGAGACGGAGTCTTGCTCTGTTGCCCAGGTTGGAGTGCAATGGCGTGATCTCGGCTCACTGCAACCTCCGCCTCCTAGGTTCAAGCAATTCTCCTGCCACGGCCTGGATTACAGGAGCTGCGATTACAGGCGCCTGCCACCACACCCGGCTAATTTTTGTATTTTAGTAGAGATGGGGTTTCACTACGTAGGTGAAGCTGATCTCAAACTCCTGACCTCAAATGATCCGCCCGCCTCGGCCTCCCAAAGTGCTGGGATTACAGGTGTGAGCCACCGCGCCTGGCGCCATCTTTATTTTCATGGAACACGCACCGCACTTTGTTCATGTGCTTTTATAGTGCTTCCTACAAGTGGATCAAGAATGGGCATGTGGGCTGGTGCAGTGGCTCACGCCTGTAATCCCAGCACTTTGGGAGGTGGAGGTGGGCGGATCACTTAAGGTGATCCGAGACCAGCCTGGCCAACATAGTGAAACCCCGTCTTTACAAAAAATACAAAAATTAGCTGGTGTGGCTGCGCATGGCTGTAATCCCAGCTACCTGGGGGGCTGAAGCAGGAGAATTGCATGAACCCGGGAGGCAGAGGTTGCAGTGAGCCAAGATTGTGCCACTGCACTCCAGCCTGGGCAACGGAGTGAGACTCTGTTTCAAAAAAAACAAACAATGGGCATCAGACCTAAAAGCTGGTTCAATCAGGCTATTTTGCTGGACTCCTACGTGGAATGCCAAGCATTGCCTCTCATGCTCTCATTATGACAGTGAGGTATAAGGACATGTAGCTTTAGTCATTTTGCCACCAGAGGTGAAGCCAGCCTTAAGGAGATTCAGAGATTGAACAAGATACAAAAGAGAAACAAAGAGGCTGGGTGTGATAGCTCATGCCTGTAATCCCAGCACTTTCAGAGGCCATGGCAGGAGGATCACCTGAGTCCAAAAGTTCGAGACCAGCCTGGACAACACAGGGAGACCTGATCTCTATTAAAAAATAAAATAAAATAGGCCAGGCGAGGTGGCTCATGCCTGTAATCCCAGCACTTTGGAAGGCCGAGGCAGGTGGATCACCTTAGTGCAGGACTTTGAGACCAGCCTGGCCAACATGGTGCAACACTGTGGCCACTAAAAATACAAAAAAATTATCCAGGTGTGATGGCGCACACCTATAATCCCAGCTACTTGGGAGGCTGAGGCAGGAGAATCAATTGAACCCAGGAAGGGGAGGTTGTAGTGTGCCCAGATTGCACCACTGCACTCCAGCCTGTGTAACAAGAGCAAAACTCCATCTCATTAAAAAAAAAAAAAGAAATATATATATATATATATATATATATATATATATATATAACTGCTTTCTTCTTTCTTGATACAAGACACTAGAAGTAATCTTATGCCTAGTTTTTTTTTGTTTGTTTTTTTAAAGACAGGGTCTCAAGCAATCCTCCCATCTCAGCCTCCTGAGGTGTGGCACATCACCATGCCCAGCTAACGTTTTGCATTTTTTGTTGCTCAGACTGGTCTCAAACTCCTGGGCTCAAGAGATTCACCTGCCTCAGCCTTGGCCTCCCAAAATGCTGGGATTACAGGCGCGAGCCACCATGCCTGGCTTGTCTCTTTTGTAACTTACAAAGAGAACAAAGTAAAGGAAAGAGGGATGGAAAGAGCTCCTGCACTAGTTAAACCAGAGTTGAAAGAGGCTTGATGGAAGGTTACCAAAGGAGAACATGAATCTGTGAGAAAATGTCGTAAGGTAAAAATAACTGGTGCACTGGGCGCGGTGGCTCACGCCTGTAATCCTAGCACTTTGGGAGGCCGAGGTGGGCGGATCACGAGGTCAGGAGATCAAGACCATCCTGGCTAACACAGTGAAACCCCCTCTCTACTAAAAATACAAAAAATTAGCCGGGCATGGTGGCAGGCACCTGTAGTCCCAGCTACTCGGGAGGCTGAGGCAGGAGAATGGCGTAAACCCGGTAGGCGGAGCTTGCAGTGAACTGAGATTGCGCCACTGCACTCCAGCCTGGGCGACAGAACAAGACTCCGTCTCAAAAAAACAAACAAACAAAAAAAACAAACAAACTGGTCCACGCGTAGTGCAAACTCCCAAAAGGAAAAGAAAAAGGTTAAACACTTCCTCACACCAGCCAATTGGTGGCATCACGAGCCCAAAACTTGGTACTGGCTGGAACAGATGGATTAAGTTGGTTCTTAGGCAAATTAGCCTTCATTCTCAACCAAGAGTTGACATTTTAGGCCGGGTGCAGTGGCTTACGCCTGTAATCCCAACACTTTGGAGGCCAAAGTGGGCAGATTGCTTGAGCCCAGGAGTTCAAGACCAGCCTGGACAACATGGTGAGATCCCGTCACTACACCACACACGCACACACACACACACACACGAGTGGACATTTAAGGCAGGTTAACATAGTTACATGTATATATAACTGGCAAAAAGGTACAGAGCAGCTTAAAAGGGCATGTAAGTCATATCCCTGATTCCACACGCATGGGCTGGGAACAAGAATATAACTGAGACTTCAGTCAAAGGCTGATAATAAAGCCCTCATCTGGGATCCTCTGATTCAAAAAAGAGAGAAAAATAGCCCACCAAACAATCAAGCCAGTGAAAAGGTCTGGATTTCGGTCATGATCTGCTCTTCTCTAGGTCATGTTGAAGGCAATTCTTCGACTGATTCAGACAACATTTTCCACATGCAACCTTTACTGATCACTTCCTTTATTCTACTCATATGTCCTCATCTTCATCTGTCTTTCTGTCTTGCTTAGTTACCTGAGTTCACAGGCCTTACCTCTCTTACTAGCTATCAAGTTTCTTAAGACATGGGAAACTTGTCTTATACATATCACAGTCTCCAGATCTGAGAGAAGTAAACTTTGAAGAATCAGAAAACAAACCCTTGAGCCAGGTATAGAGGCAAGAGCCTGTAATCCCAGTTACTGGGGAGGCTGAGGTGGGAGGACTGCTTGAACCCAGGAGTTTGAGACCAGCCTGGACAATGGAGTGAGGCCTTGTCTCTACAAAAAGAAAAGAAAAACCAACACTTCAGCCAGGTATAGTGGCATGAGCCTGCAATCCCAACTGTTCAGCTGACTGAGGTGGGAAGACTGCTTGAGCCCAGAAGTTGGAGACCAGCCTTGACAACACAGCAAGACTCCATCTCAAAATAATAATAATACAGCAAAGAAAAAAAAGAAAATAAAACAAACATAAAATATATACAAATCAGGCTGGGAGTGGAGGCTGACACCTCTAATCCTAGCATTTTGGGAGGCCAAGACAGGCAGATCACCTGAGGTCAGGCATTCGAGACTAAACTGGTTAACAAGGCAAAACGCTGTCTCTACTAAAAATACAACAAAAAAAAAAGAAAAGAAAAGAAAAAACAATAAGACTTAGGGCTGGGTGAGGTGGCTCACTCCCATAATCCCAGCATTTTGGGAGCCTGAGACATGCAGATCATCTGAGGTCAGGAGTTTGAGACCAGCCTGGCCAACATGGCGAAACCCTGTCTCTACTAAAAATACAAAAATCAGTTGGACGTAGTGGCACGCATCTGTGATACCAGCTACTTGGGAGGCTGAGGCAGGAGAACTGCTTGAACCCGGAAGGCAGTGGTTGCAGTGGGCCAAGATCACGCCACTGCACTCCAACCCGGGCGACAGAACAAGAATTCATCTCAAAAAAAAAAAAAAAAAAAAAATCAGTCGGGCCTGGTGGCACAGCCCTGTAATCCCAGCTACTCAGGAGGCTGAGGCAGGAGAATCACTTGAACCTGGGAGGCAGAGGTTGCAGTGAGCCGGGACTACACCACTGCACTCCAGCCTGGGTGATGTAGTGAGACTCCATCTCAAAAAACAAACAAACAAAAATACACACACAAAATTAAGTGATATGTGATTTTAAAAAACTATAATTAAGAGATTAAGAAGAACAATACTTTTTAAAAAGGCTTCTGGGTTTACAAAACTTTACCAAATAGCTATTTCAGCATAGTCTTGTATTGTCTTTATAATGCAGCTGAGGACTGGAACAAAAGTCACTTACTGCCAATTCATCCTATAAACTTAGGAAACACTGGAATGATCACAAACCCAGATAACGACAGGTGTAGAGATCTGCTTAGACCATCATTCAAATGCACCCGAGTATGCTTGTGACTCTTACCCTAAATATTGCAATGCAAGCCAGGTGAGTAAGAGATAGAAGTAGGAGAACTTTCTGAGGCTTCCAACCACACAAACTGCTAACTTCCTCTCAGAGTTGTCTTCATAGAACACATGGAAATATAGCTTAAGATATATATTTCCCTTATTGTAATAAATCTACATTTTTTTTTTTGAAAATTTGGCCTTGCTGAACAAGATTGGAGTACCCACAATAACCTGTCAGTATCCTATAAAAAGCTAACTTATCATACTGAATTTGGGTGTTTGACAAACTTTTAGTTTTGCCATAAAATAAATGTATTCATTGCTGGGCGCAGTGAGAGAAATGAAAACGTGTCCACATAAAAACCAGTAAACAAATGTTTATAGTGGCTTTATTTATAATAGCCAAAAAGTGAAAACAGGTCACAAATCCATCAACTGATGAATGAATAAACAAAATGTGGTATAATAGATTATTTTTATTGCTACAAACGTTGAACTAGCAAATCCTGAACCTTTGCTCCTAGAGGAAAACACACGGTTAGGTTCCTGTGAGCCTCTAGTCACATTTTTGTCAGTAGATCATCAGTACACACCTTCTTTTTTATGTGTTTCTGATGAAAGACACCTTATTTATTTACTTATTTTAAATTTCAATAGCCTTAGGGATACAGTAGTTTTGGGTTACACAGATGAATTATATAGTGTTAACACCTTACTTAAAATATATGTAAGGCCAGGCGCGGTGGCTCACGCCTGTAATCCCAGCACTTTGGGAGGCCAAGGCGGGAGGATTCATTAACATGTCAAACAGCCTGAACAAAGCTTATTTAATATATTTTCCTCTAAAGTACAGCATAGCTTTCTAGCTCTTGGAAACAGGAGACAGCACTTCAGCATTATACTTGAAGGCCAATCACCAATAAAAAACACAAAGGCAAATCCATAGACAGAAAGTAGATTACGTGGCCAGGTGCAGTGGCTCACACCTGTAATTCCAACACTTTGGGAGGCCAAGGCACAAGGATCGCTTGAGCTCAGGAGTTTGAGTCCAGCCTGGGCAACAAAGTGAGACTTCATCTCTACAAATAATTTAAAAACTGGTCACAGGCATGGTGGCATGTGCCAGTGGTTCCAGCTACTTGGGAGGCTGTAGTGGGAGAATTGCTTGAGCCCAGGTGGTCGAGGCTGCGATGAGCTGTGACTGTACCACTGCACTCCAATCTGGGTGACAAAGTCAGACTCCATCTCAAGGGAAAAATAAAAAAGTAGATTAGGGACTGGGGAAAGGAAAAATAGACAGTAATTGTTAATGGGTATGGGGTTTCTTTTCGGAGTGATATAAATATTCACTGCACTGTGTGCAGTGATGGTTATAAAACCTTGTCAACATACTAAAAACTATTAAATTGTATACCTTAAAGAAGTAGGGTAGGGCCAGGTGCAGTGACTCACACCTGTAATCCCAGCACTTTGAGAGGCCAAGGCAGGAAGATCACCTGAGGTCGGGAGTTCGAGACCAGCCTGACCAACATGGAGAAACCCCATCTCTACTAAAAATACAAAATTAGCCGGGCATGGTGGCACATGCCTGGTAATCCCAGCTACTCAGGAGGCTGAGGCATAAGAATCACTTGAACCCAGGAGGCGGAGGTTGTGGTGAGCCGAGATTGTGCCATTGCACTCCAGCCTGGGCAACAAGAGCCAAACTCTGTCTCAAAAAAAAAAAAAAATGGAGGTAGGGTATGTGAATTATATCTCAACAAAGCCATTTACAAAAAAAGCGGCCGGGTGCACTGGCTTACGCCTGTAATCCCAGCACTCTGAGAGGCCAAGGCAGGTGGATCACTTGAGGTCAGGAGTTCAAGACCAGCCTGGACAACATGGTGAAATCTCTTCTCTATTAAAAAATACAAAAATTAGCCAGGCGTGGTGCCACACACCTGTAAGCCCAGCTACTTGGGAGGCTGAGGCAGGAGAATTGCTTGAACCCGGGAGGCAAGGGTTGCAGTGAGCTGAGATCGTGCCACTGTACTCCATGCCTGGGCAACACAGTGAGGCTCCATCTCAACAACAAAAAAAAGCTATTTGTCACATTTTCTGACATATATAGCAGTCATACATATATACATTTTCTTTTCAAATTAACCAAAAAAATATACCTTACCATACTATTACCTGAGTGCAACTCAACCAGCTCATTTCTAGCATAGCAAGCATAAAGTTAATTCCCCTCTACATGTATACCTTTCTCCTATTAAGATTGATCCTGGTTTGTCTTCTTATGTATTTAAGTGAGCATCTGGATTTTTTTTTTAATCCTAAAAATAAATTGCAACAAAATTATTTTATTTGAAAATGAGAACAACGTTTGCAAGTTCATGGCATGCCCATCTAGGCAAGTTCCAAGAAAAACAACTACAAAGCGGGAGAAATGTCATAAATCACTCAAGAACCCACAGTCTGAAAGCCCCTTCATTATTCCAAAACCATACCCATCTGGTATGCAACAAAGTGTAGAAACCACTTCTCTGTTCAAACTCTGATTCTGGAATCCACAGAATCCAAAAATCATAATAATATGAAAAAGAGAACAAAAGACTGAACTTTTCTTTCTTTCCTGCCTAGCCAGAAATCTCAGCCCACGTGACTTGTGACAGGTAACAATCAGTGTTGATTTTCTTAAGATCTTACTTGAGATTTATTATGAAACATTCCCAGTTAAATGTTAACTATGTGCCAGGCACTGAGTTAAGGTAATTCTTTTAATAATAATAATAATTTTAAAACCTGTACATATTTTTGTCCTGAAAACTGAAGTCTAAAAAACGAGAAAACAAAAAAAGAGGGACAAAAAAACCCAAAAAACTGAAGTCTGCTCTAAAACCTACCTACAAGTGATAACCATTAAAAACTAAAAAAAAAGCACAACACACTGGCCGGGCGTGGTGGCTCATGCCTATAATCTCAGCACTTTGGGAGGCCGAGGCGGGCGGATCACCTCAGGTCAGGAGTTCGAGATCAGTCTGACCAACATGGAGAAACCCCGTCTCTGCTAAAAATACAAAATTAGCCGGGAGTGGTGGCGCATGCCTGTAATCCCAGCTACTCGGGAGGCTGAGGCAGGAGAATTGCTTGAACCAGGGAGGCGGAGGTTGCGGTGAGGATCATGCCACTGCACTCCAGCCTGGGCGACAAGGGTGAAATTCCATCCTGGGAAAAAAAGAAAACAAAACAAAAAACACAACACATAGGGAATAAATTAGGTCTTAAACTGAAAGACTCTCCAATCTTAGCTTATTTTTCTTCAAAGTATTTATCCCCACCTGGGGTTTTAGTACACGTTTGTTTGCTTATTGGATCACTAGACTGTGATCCTTATGGAGTAAAACCTCTCTCATCTAGATAAGAACCCCATTTTTTTAAATGCTTTTGAAAAATAAGAATGATCTTTATTATTTAATTAAGATAGACTCTGTAATTAAATTATAATTCAGGGAGGCTGCAAACATATATGGGAGGCTGAGGCAGGAGAACTGCTTGAACCCAGGAGGCAGAGGTTGCAGTGAGCCAAGATTGCACCACTGCACTCCAGCCTGGGCAACACAGCAAGACTGTCTCAAAATATAAAAAAAAATAAATAAATAAAAAATAAAGCCTATGATTTATCCCAATATGTCTCAAATTTTAATGTTCATATGAATCACCTGGGAAATCTTACTAAAATGCAAATTCAGTAGGTCTGGGCCAGAGCCCAGATTCTGCATTTTTAACAAGTTCCCAGGTGGCAATGCTGCTGCTCATACCCAGAATCTACAATGCGTATCTATATTCCCCATGGCTAAGGTAAATTTGCCCCTTCCTGTCTAGTTCTAAAGGGATAAGTATACAACTAGCCAACTTCTACAAAACAATCCTTAAAGGCTTATCAAACTTCTGTATTTTCTCTTCATCAGACACAAGTTTTTGAACCTTTCCATTGGATTTTCTTTTTTTAGGGATCTTTTAAATCCTCTCAAAAGCTGCTCTCATATATCTCTTAAGCTGAAGAAGTTAAACCTTAAGTATGATAGGCAAAACTACTAGCTCTCTTCATGCATCTCAATGGTATAATTGTTTCTAAAATAACACTATAATACAGGTTCTGTTTTATTTATTTACTTATTTATTAGTTTTGTGAGACAGGGTCTCACTCAGTTGCCTAGGCTGCAGTGCAGTGGTGCAATCATGCCTCACTGCAGCCTTGAACTCCTGGGCTCAAATGATCCTCCCACCTCAGCCTCCCAAGTAGGTTGGGACTACAGGCACATATCACGAAGCCCAGCTAAATTTTTATTTTTTTAATTTTTTTTTTTTAAACAAACAGGGTCTTGCTATGTTGACCAGGATGGTCTCAAATTCCTGGCCTCAAACAATCCTCCCACCTTGGCCTCCCAAAGCGCTGAGAGTACAGGCATGAGTCACTGTGGCTGGCCCAGGTTCATTTTTACTTGGTAGTACCAGATGAGCTGAGATCATGTACACTAGTGGTTGCTCCCTACATTAAATTGGCTTACTTATCTATGCTGCTGTTTCTCTGTTAACTATCACTGAATTTGATCCACTGGCTTTCACTACTCGTTTCTGAAAGAATTTTTTAGAAGGTTATTTTGAATTTTAACCCAATTCTCCAAGGAACCAGGCCCTGGTACTGAGGAATAACTTATTTTCTGTAGCTCTTGGTTTTCTCACCTGTGAAGTAATTAAGGGTGAGGGTCATGAATGTACTCTAGTCTTCCTTCCAAGAGTCTATGACCCTGGAGTCTCTATTTCAATTCCATTCTTCAGTGCATGGAACCTGTGACCTCTATTTTGTTCTATGTTGCCTAACTAAAGGCTCTTTTTGCTTACTTCCCAGATCTTCCCTGCCATAAACTATATATATATATACTACTATTTATAAGTAGCCTTACAAGGAACTCTCTCAGAGAAGTTAACGAGCTGGAAATATCTTCAAGTAACTAAAAACAAAAATAAAACCTAAACAAACAAACAAAAAACCCTTAAATTATCTTTCTCAATGCCAACCAAGAAACACACACACACACACACACACACGCAGCTCAAATTTACATCTTTTTTTGTTCAATTTTGCTGTTACTATCCAGACCAAAGGCAACACCTGTGCCAAGGTAAATGCTATGCTTAGGTATATATGACTGGAGAGAGCTGGAAAAGCAATCAATTAGCTCTTCTCCTTAGTCTCACCAGCTGTATTTTCCTGATGACACAGAATCTGTCCACCTGCTCCCACAGATGGTACAGCTGCAGTTAAAGTAAAACACCTGGACTCCATGCAGTTTATTAGAACAATGTTAGCTGTAGATCAGGCAAGCCCAGGTCAGCATTTCCATCTTATCACCCAGATTAAAACAAACACCATTTTAAACTATAGGATGCTAAAATATGCCTTTTATCCCCAAAACACAAATACAACAATTTTGTTATAATAATAATGTCAGAGAGTTATTATTATAACAAGATAAATGTCAGGAAGAAATTTAAAAAGAATTGATTAGAGGGTAACAATCCTAGATTACAAATTTGGTTGTCATTAACCACTTCCCCAACTACTTAATTTAGAACATTTATAGAAGATAACACTAGCAAAACAAGCTCATTACTCCCTAGCCATCACGGCTTCATAAGCATGGTAGTGTCAATACAAGTAAATGTGCTAAATGAATGGATAGTGCTAAATAAACAGAATATGAGAAATAAGAATTTCTTCCTAGTTGTATACTTTATAATTGAGAAATGTTTTCTTCTCCCCCTAAAGCCTTAAATCGACTTAACCTATACTTAAATCCTCCGAGAAATGTCCCCCCATTAAGAAAGACTCATCAATATTGGTAAACTATCTAGGATGGCAGCTGAAAATTGTGTGTGTGTGTGTGTGTGTGTGTGTGTGATGGCAGGTGAAAGTGTGTGTGTGTGTATGTGATGGCAGGTGAAAATGTGTGTGTGTGTGCGCGTGCGTGTGTAAAAACAGTGATTATTTCCTGAACAAATAAACGAAAACACTCATGAGTAACAAATGATTTTATGCCATAGTCCACGAGTTAGTTTGAACGTTGAAAAGTTATTTAAGATATTTCTTTTTTTCATTTTTGAGATACAGTCTTGCTCTGTCACCAAGGCTGGAGTGCAGCGGCATGATCTCAGCTCACTGCAAACTCTGCCTCCCAGGTCCAAGCAATTCTCTGGCTCAACCTCCCAAGTAGCTTGGAATACAGATGCGTGCCACCACACCCAGCTAATTTTTGCATTTTTAGTAGAGACTGGGTTTCACTATGTTGGCCAGGCTGGTTTCGAACTCCTGACCTCCAGTGATCCACCTGCCTTGGCCTCCCAAAGTGCTGGGATTACAGGTGTGAACCACCAAACCCGGCCTACTTAGGACAGTTCAATAGCTTATCAAAAAAGTAGTATATGTTAGAAGTTAGAGATGCCCCAGGACTGCAGTAATATACAGATATGAGAGCTTGGTTACCAAGACAATATAGCATTATGAGGTATATAAAACAAGGCAATCAAATGAAAGATATATTCCTCAAGTTTAACATAAAATCAGACATCTGCCTCTCCTCCCTACCTCAGTGAGCGTTAACTGATCTCTTTCCTTAATAGTTTCTCAGTTATCTCCGTTTATCACTTTTATCACAAAGTTTGTGCTATATCAAAATAGTTTTTCCTCCCCATAACTCTTCAGCCAACTAGATTTTTGTTTGTTTTTTGAGACGGAATTTTGCTCTGTTGCCCAGGCTCCAGTGCAATGGCGTGATCTCGGCTCACCACAACCTCTGCCTCCCAGGTTCAAGCGATTCTCCTGCCTCAGCCTCCCGAGTAGCTGGGATTAGGCACGAGCCACCATGCCTGGCTAATTTTTTATTTTTAGTAGAGATGAGGTTTCTTCCACATTGGTCAGGCTGGTCTCGAACTCCCGACCTCAGGTGATCCGCCTGCCTCGGCCTCCCAAAGTGCTGGTATTACAGGCGTGAGCCACCGTGCCCGGCTCAGCCAACTAGATTTAGATGGTCTTTGTCAGGTTTAGACACCCTCTGAGACACCAATGCTCCTCAAAGGAGTCTTCAGGTTACCTCTAAGAGAATTATTTAGGAACCCTGCTGCTGAAAATGAAGATTCCTGGACCCTACCCCAGACCTTCCAGGATTTAAAAATCCAGGGGGTGAACCTACATTTCACAAGCTTCCCAGATGATTAGAATACACACCAAGGTGTATACCATACACAGAGTTGTCCCTGAGTATCCACGGTAGACTGGTGCAAGGAATCCGTGTGGATACCAAAATCCACCAATGCTCAAGTCTCTTACGTAAAATGGTATAATATTTGCATATAACCTACCCATACCTCTAATACTCTTTATTTAAATAATTTATTTATTTTCTGAGACAGAGTCTCGCACTGTTGCCCAGACTGGAGTGCAGTTGAGCAATCTCGACTCATTGCAACCACCACCTCCCGGGTTCAAGCGATTCTCCCGCCTCAGCCTCCTGAATAGCTGGAATTACAGGCATATGCCACTGCACCGGGCTAATTTTTGCATTTTTAGTAGAAATGGGGCTTCACCTTGTCGGCCAGGCTGGTCTCGAACTCCTGATCTCAGGTGATCTGCCCATCTTGGCCTCCCAAAGTTCTGGGATTACAAGCATGAACCATGGTGCCCAGCCACAATCTGTATATTTTTTTTCCTGAATAGTTGCGATCCATGGTTGGCTGAATTCATGGATGCAAAACCCACAGAAACAGAGGGCCAAATATTATTTTTCTTTCCTTAATCATTATTTAATAGAAACCTACATTTACCAGTTGAATTCACCTTCATTATTTGAAAACTGAGACAGCCCGTCTCTACTAAAACTACAAAACTTAGCTGGGCATGGTGCTGTGAGCCTGTAGTCCCAGTTGCTTGGGAGGCTGAGGGAGGAGAATCGCTTGAACCCGGGAGACGGAGGTTGCAGTCAGCCAAGATCGCTCCAGTGCATTCCAGCCTGGGCAACAGAGCCAGACTCCGTCTCAAAAAAAAGAAGAGAAAGAAAAAAAGAAAACCAAGACACAGATAAATTCACTTTTTTTTTTTTTTTGGAGAAGGAGTTTCGCTCTTGTTGCACAGGCTGGACTGCAATGGCGTGTTATCAGCTCACCGCAACCTCTGCCACTCGGGTTCAAGAGATTCTCCTGCCTCAGCCTCCCAAGTAGCTGGGATTATAGGCATGTGCCACCATGCCCAGCTAATTTTTTTTTTTTTTTTGTATTTTTAGTAGAGGGAGTTTCTTCATGTTCATCAGGCTGGTCTCAAACTCCCGACCTCAGGTGATCCACTCGCCTCAGCCTACCAAAGTGTGGGGATTACAGGAGTGAGCCACCGTGCCTGGTCTGACAAATTCATTTTCTGTTTGGTTTGGTCTGCTCTGTTTCCAACAAGAGCCTACTTCATTATCTCCCCAATATATCTACCTAGTCCATAGACTGGCTCAGAGCAGGCCTTTGACAATATTTAATTTTATCCCACAATGGCATTTCAATTCCTTTGTCATTCTGAGAAAAATACTAACAGCATGGGAATTTGGTGCATGGATCATTAACAGTAAGACATTAAAATCAAAATGTAGGCAGGATGCAGTGACTCACGCCTGTAATCCCAGCACTTCGGGAGGCAAGGCAGGCGGATCATGAGGTCAGGAGACCGAAACCATCCTGGCTAACACAATGAAACCCAGTCTCTACTAAGAATACAAAAAATTAGCCAGGCATGGTTGCACGTGCCTGTAGTCCCAGCTACTTGGGAGGCTGAGGCAGGAGAATCACTTGAACCTGGAAGGTGAAGGTTGCAGTGAGCCGAGATTGCACCACTGCACTCCAGCCTGGGTGACAGAGAGAGACTCTGTCTCAAAAAAAATAAAAGCAAAATGTAAGCTGGGCACGGTGGCTCACGCCTGTAATCCTAGCACTTTAGGAGGCCGAGGCGGGTGGATCACAAGGTCAGGAGTTTGAGACCAACCTGGCCCACACAGTGAAACTCCATCTCTACTAGAAATACAAAAAATTGGCCAGGTATGGTGGCACACACCTGTAGAACAAGCTACTCGGGAGGCTGAGTCAGGAGAATTGCTTGAACCGGGAGGCGGAGGTTGCAAGCAAGTCTCCGTCTTCAAAAAAAAAAAAAAAGGCAAAATATAGCAGCCTAGCCAACCTAGGCTCTACTAACCAAACCAAACCTTATCTCTACTAAAAATACAAAAAAGCTGTGCATGGTGACATTCACCTACAGTCCCAGCTACTCAAGAGGCTGAGGCACAAGAATCACTTGAGTGATTGAGCCGGAGATTGCAGTGAGCCAAGATCACACCACTGCACTTTAGTCTGGACAACAGAGCGAGACTCTGTCTCAAAAAAAAAAAAAAACACCAAAAAAACCAAAAAAACCAGTCCTATGAATTAGTTTACAATAGTGGAAATAATCACCAAAATACCTTGATGGCAATAATGAGCTGAAAATTGGCAAGGCTTCTGTGGATTTAGGCCTGCAGAGCTTGATCTACCTGAAGCTTTTCTTCCCATATGTCATGAATAACAGAAAGGACTTATTTTCATTTCCAGCACAGCTCTGTCTAGTTACAGAACTGAACTTCACAGGTTCATTAATTCCTTTTTCCACTTTCAGGCAGATAGAGAAACATCATCTCCTATAACCACAGGTAATTGGTAGATCTGCAAGAACTAACTGCTCCAAAATGGATGACTCTGCACTTTCTGAGAAAGGGAAAAGGATGTGAATGGTGCTTGGCAACATCATGAAGCAGTCCATCACATATCTGCTTTTATTTACAGAGCATTTAGAAAGTTCTCTGAAAGGTGTGATCTCACTACTAAAGGCATCTCACTACTAACACTGAGCAAATCAATATCGAATGTTGCTGTTGTTCATAAAATCTGTTCCAAGGCACTTAAAACAACAGAAGAGATAAATGTCTTCACTACTGTTTAAAGCAAAGATCTTCTAGAATAGTTTTGTGTCCTTCCCATCTGACTGTAAATTATAAAAACTGCAAAGTATTATGTACAGTATCATTCCATTTAGAAAAAACACTGCGTGAGTATTACAGATGTGTATAAAGGTATACCAAAAAGCCTGAAAATATACAGAAACTTTCAGCGATGAGGTGAAAGAGAATTTTTACTTTTTACTATATTTGCTAGGCATTTTTAAAGAATGTCTTGGCTGGGCATGGTGGTTCACACCTGTAATCCCAGCACAGGGTTTCACCATGTTGGTCAGGCTGGTCTCGAACTCTGGACCTTGTGATCTGCCCACCTCGGCCTCCCGAAGTCTAGGATTATAGGCGTGAGCCACTGCACCTGGCTATAGTTTTTTATTTTTATATTTTAAGATGGAGTCTCACTCTGTTGCTCAGGCTGGAGTGCAGTGGCACGCTCTCAGCTCACTGTAACCTCTGCCTGCTAGGTTCAAGGGATTCTCCTGCCTCAGCCTCCTGAGTAGCTGGAATTACAGGCATGCACCACCACACCCAGCTAATTTTTATATTTTTAGTAGAGATGGGGTTTCACTATGTTGGCCAGACTGGTCTCGAACTCCTGATCTCAGGTGATCTGCCCGCCTCGGACTCCCAAAGTGCTGGGACTACAAGTGTGAGCCACCATGCCCGTCTGACGCTGTAGTTTTTAAATTATTGTTCATTTTTTGAATTTATTTTTACATTTTTGAGGCCGGGTCTTGCTCTGTCTCTCAGGCACAGTGCAGTGACATGATCACAGGTCACTCCAGCCTCAACCTCCTGGGCTTAGCCTCCTCCTGCCTCAGCCTCCTGAGTAACTGGGATTACAGGTGTGCTACTGGCTAATTTTTCTTATGTTTTGTAGAGATGCATTCTTGCTATTTTGCTCAGGATGGTCTCAAACTATTCTTCTGTGTTGTCCTCCCAAAGGGCTGGGATTACAGGTATGAGCCTTCTCGACACTGTAATTTTTGAAAGCTATCTTTAGGAAAGTAATTATAAGATATTCCCCCCGCCCCGTTTTTTTTTTTTTTTTTTTTGAGATGGAGTCTCCCTCTTGTGGCCCAGGATGGAGTGTAATGGCACAATCTCGGCTCACTGCAACCTCTGCCTCCCGAGTTCAAGTGATTCTCTTGTCTCAGCCTCCCAATTAGCTGGGATTACAGGTATACGCCACCATGCCCGACTAATTTTGTATTTTTAGTAGAGACAGGGTTTCGCCATGTTTGTCAGGCTGGTCTCAAACTTGAGGTCTCTGACCCACCCACCTCAGCCTCGCTGGATGACAGAGTGAGACTCCATCTCAATAAAAAAATAAAAATAAAAAACTATAGTGTCAATGCAGAACACTACAGAATAAATAATAGGTAGATATTATAGCATAAATAACATTATCCCTCATTGAGCAGGATACCACTATTTGGCCAAGGACACGTTTTCCGTCACCCAGGCTGGTGTGCAGTGCCACACTTTTTTTTTTTTTTTTTTTTTGAGATGGAGTCTTGCTTTGTCACCCAGGCTGGAGTGCAGTGACACGATCTTGGCTCACTGCAACCTCCACCTCCAGGTTTCAAGCAATTCTCCTGCCTCAGCCTCCCAAGTAGCTGGGACTACAGGCGCCTGCCACCACACCCAGTGAATTTTTCTATTTTTAGTAGAGACAGGATTTCACCATGTTTTTGCTAGGCTAGTCTCAAACTCCTGACCTCAGGTGATCCACCCGCTTCGGCCTCCCAAAGTGCTGTGATTACAGGCGTGAGCCACCAAGCCCGGCCAACAGTAACTTCTTAATTCACATTCCTACCTCCTCCCTTGATTCACTAGGTGTTTTCTCTAAAAGCAATCTCTTAGACCCAGTGCAGTGGCTCACGCCTGTAATCCCAGCACTTTGGGAGGCCAAGGCGGGCGGATCACAAGGTTAGGAGTTCAAGAACAGCCTGGCCAACACAGTGAAACCCCATCTCTAATAATTAAAAAATCAGCCAGGTGTGATGGCAGGCACCAGTAGTCCCAGCTACTCGGGAGGCCGAGGCAGGAGAATCACTTGAACCTAGGAGGCGGAGGTTGCAGTGAGCAAGACCCCACCATCGCACTCCAGCCTATAGGACAGAGCAAGACTTTGTCTTTAAAAATAATAATAATAAAATAAATAAATAAATAAAAGCAATCTCTTTAAAAGGTAAAGGGGATAATGTCACCCTCCTGCTCAAAACTGATTTCATTCAGCAAATCCAAAATCCTTACCATGACCCCAAATGCGCTGTGTGCTCTGGCCCCCATCTACCTCCCTGACATCAGCTTTTCGCTCCATCCCCTGCTCCAGCCATGCTAGCCTCCTTGGTGCTCTTTAAACATATCAAGCATGTTCCTACCTCAGGGCCTCAACACCCGCTATTACCTTTGCCTGGACTGCTCCTCTCCAGACATGGTGAAACCCCGTCTCTACTAAAAATACAAAAATTAGCTCGGTGTGGTAGCACACACCTGTCATCCCAGTTACTGGGGAGGCAAAGGCAGGAGAATCGTTTGAACCCAAGAGGTGGAGGTTGTAGCGAGCCGAGATCGCACCACTGCACTCCAGCCTGGGTGACAGAGTAAGACTCTATCTCAAAAAAAAAAAAAAAAAAAAAAAAAACAAAGGCAGGGCACGGTGGCTCACGCCTGTAATCTTAGCACTTTGGGAGGCCAAAGCAGGTGGATCACCTGAGGTCAGGAGTTCGAGGCCCGCCTGACCAACATGGTAAAATCCTGTCTCTACTAAAAATACAAAAAAAGTAGCCAGGCATGGTGGCCGGTGCCTGCAATCCCAGCTACTTGGGAGGCTGAGGTAGGAGAATTGCTGGAACCCAGGAGGCAGAGGCTGCAGTGAGCCGAGATCGCACCACTGCACTCCAGCCTGGGCAAAAGACCCCCTCTCAAAACAACAACAACAACAAAAAAAAACACAAAACAAAAAACAGCAAGTACTTATCAACACCTAAATATATTAAACAGGTACAACATTCTTTTTTTTTTTTTTTTTTTTCCTGGGACAGAGTCTTACTCTGTCACCCGGCCAGTAGCGCAGTTGCGCAATCTTGGCTCACTGCAATCTCTTCCTCCCGGGTTCAAGCGATTCTCCTGCCTCAGCCTCCCAAGTAGCTGGGATTACAGGCACCTGCCACCATGCCCCAGCTAATCTGGCCAGGTGCGGTGGCTCACGCCTGTAATCCCAGCACTTTGGGAGGCCAACGCAGGCGGATCACAAGGTCAAGAGTTCGAGACCTGCCTGGCCAACATGGTGAAACCCCGTCTCTACTAAAAAATACAAAAATTAGCTGGGCGTGATGGTGGGCACCTGTAATCCCAGCTGTAATTGGGAGGCTGAGGCAGGAGAATCGCTTGAACCTGAGAGGTGAAGGTTGCAGTGAGCTGATACTGTGCCACTGCACTCCAGCCTGGGAGACAAGAGTGAGACTCTATCTCAAAAAAAAAAACCAAAAAAAAAACAAAAAAACCCATTACGGTCTATGAAAGCAGCACTGTTTTCTTCACGACTGTATGCCCTCTACCTATCTCACAAAGCAGAGGCTCTTCAAAAAGGTTAAACATTAACAACAGCAAGTTGTTAGTCTGGAGAGGATGTGTAATAAATGGAACTCTCACAGACTGCTGATGCAAGCATTGGCTGATAGAACAACTCTGGAAAACTTTGACAGCAGCAGCATCTACTAAAGCTGAACATATGCACACTGTATGTCCCTCCAATCCCATTCCTAGGCATACACCCAACAAAAAGACATACATACGTGGCCGGGTGCGGTGGCTCACGCCTGTAATCCCAGCACTTTGGGAGGCCAAGGTGGGTGGATCACAAGGTCAGGAGATCGAGACCATCCTGGCTAATGCAGTGAAACCCTGTCTCTACTAAAAATACAAAAAATTAGCTGGGCTTGGTGGCAGGAGCCTGTAGTCCCAACTACTTGGGAGGCTGAGGCAGGAAAAAGGCTTGAACCCAGGAGGCGGAGCTTGCAGTCAGCCCGAGATCGCGCCACTGCACTCCAGCCTGGGCAACACAGTTGAGACTCCGTCTCCAAAAAAAAAAAAAAAAAGACATACATACGTGCACCCACATACACAGAAGAATGTTCCCTGCAGCGTTATTCCTAATAGTCCAAAACTAGAAACAATCAGAATATACCTCAACAGCAGAATGGACCGACTGTGGTATATTACTGTGGCAAAACCCTAGACAGAAATTTGAGAATGGACTATTATTACTAACACAAGATCATGTATCATTACTGTTGAGCAAAAGAAGCCAGATATGGAAGAATGCACATTATATGACTCTTTATATAAAGTTCAAAAAGAATAAAGCAAAACTAATGAATGGTGATAGAGGTCAGGATAGTGGTTACCCCTTGGAGAAGGAGGGACAGTGACTGGCAAGTAAGAAGGTAGGCTTCTGAAGTGGTTGCTGTTAATGTTTTCTTTTACTTTTTTTTTGTTGAGAGGGAGTCTCGCTCTGTCGCCCAGGCTGGAGTGCAGTAGCCCCATCTTGGTTCACTGCAACATTTGCCTCCCAGGTTCAAGTGGTTCTCCTGCCTCAGCCTCCCGAGAGGCTGGGATTAACAGGTGCACACCGCCTGCACACCGCCATGCCCGGCTAATTTTTGTTTTTTGAAGACAGAGTCTCGCTCTGTCGCTGGCCTGGAGTGCAGTGGCGTAGATCTCAGCTCACTGCAACCTCCCCCTCCCGGGTTCAAGCGATTCTCCTACCTCAGCCTCCCACGTAGCTGGGCCTACAGGCGCATGCCACCACGCCCAGCTAATCTTTGTATTTTTAGTAGAGGCAGGGTTTCACATGTTGGCCTGGCTGGTCTCAAACTCCTGACCTCAAGTGATCTCCCTGCCTTGGCCTTCCAAAGTGCTGGGATTACAGGCGTAAGCCACTGTGCCCAGCCTTCTTCTTCTTGAGACAGGGTCTTGCTCTGTAGCCCAAGCTGGAGTGCAGTGGCATGATCATGGCTCACTGCATCCTCAGAACTCCTGGGCTCAAGTGATCTTCCTGCCTCAGCCTCCTGAGTAGCTGGGACTACAGGCATGCACCACCATGCCCTAATGCTTTATTTCTTGATCTACATAGTAGCTACACAGGTATGATCACTTTGTGAAAATTCACTGAGCTGTACATTTATGATTTATGCATTTTGTCTATTTAATAAAAAGTTTATGGCCAGGCATGATGGCTCACACCTGTAATCCTTTTGGAAGACAGCCTTTTTTCTGTTACTTTTCTCTTTACATAAACCATTTTTTTAAGAGTTTTGCTCAAATAGCATGGTACTGGTACCAAAACAGATATATAAACTAATGGAACAGAACAGAGGCCTCAGAAATAAAACCACACATCTACAACCATCTGATCTTTGACAAACCCGACAAAAACAAGAAATGCGGAAAGGATTCCCTATTTAATAAATGGTGCTGGGAAAAC
Organism: Homo sapiens; assembly: GCF_000001405.40. Classification (NCBI taxonomy): domain Eukaryota; kingdom Metazoa; phylum Chordata; class Mammalia; order Primates; family Hominidae; genus Homo; species Homo sapiens. The sequence goes on along the minus strand of NC_000020.11, from coordinate 33,511,362 downwards.
CGGCTAGCCATATGTAGAAAACTGAAACCGGATCCCTTTCTTACACCTTATACAAAAATTAATTCAAGATGGACTAACTACTTAAATATTAGACGTAAAACCATAAAAACCCTAGAAGAAAACCTAGGCAATACCATTCAGGACACAGGTATGGGCAAGGACTTCATGACTAAAACACCAAAAGCAATGGCAACAAAAGCCAAAATTGACAAATGGGATCTAATTAAACTAAAGAGCTTCTGCACAGCAAAAGAAACTACCATCAGAGTGAACAGGCAACCTACAGAATGGGAGAAAATTTTTGCAATCTATCCATCTGACAAAGGGTTAATATCCAGAATCTACAAAGAACTTAAACAAATTTACAAGAAAAAAACAAACAACCCCATCAAAACGTGGGTGAAGGATATGAACAGACACTTCTCAAAAGAAGACATTTATGCAGCCAACAGACACATAAAAAATGCTCATCAACACTGGTCATCAGAGAAATGCAAAACAAAACCACAATGAGATACCATCTCACACCAGTTAGAATAGCGATCATTAAAAGGTCAGTAAACAACAGATGCTGGAGAGGATGTGGAGAAATAGGAATGCTTTTACACTGTGGGTGGGAGTGTAAACTAGTTCAACCATTGTGGAAGACAGTGTGGTGATTCCTCAAGGATCTAGAACTAGAAATACCATTTGACCCAGCGATCCCATTACTGGGCATATACCCAAAGGATCATAAATCATGCTACTATAAAGACATATGCACAAGTATGTTTATTGCGGCACTATTCACAATAGCAAAGACTCGGAACCAACCCAAATGTCCATCAATGATAGACTAGATTAAGAAAATGTGGCCGGGCGTGGTGGCTCACGCCTGTAATCCCAGCACTTCCAGAGGCCGAGGCGGGCGGATCACGAGGTCAGCAGATTGAGACCATCCTGGCTAACAACTGAAACCCCGTCTCTACTAAAAATACAAAAAAAATTAGCCGGGCGTGGTGGAGGGCACCTGTAGTCCCAGCTACTCGGGAGGCTGAGGCAGGAGAATGGCATGAACCCGGGAGGTGGAGCTTGCAGTGAGCCAAGATAGCGCCACTGCACTCCAGTCTGGGCGACAGAGCGAGACTCTGTCTCCAAAAAAAAAAAAACAAGAAAAAAAGAAAAAGTGGCACATATACACCATGGAATACTATGCAGCCATAAAAAACAATGAGTTCATGTCCTTTGCAGGGACATGGACGCAGCTGGAAACCATCATTCTGAGCAAACTATCACAAGGACAGAAAACCAAACACCGCATGTTCTCACTCACAGGTGGGAATTGAACAATGAGAACACTTGGACACAGGGCAGGCAACATCACACCCCGAGGCCTGTGGTGGGGTGGGGGGCAGGGGGCAGGATAGCATTAGGAGAAATACCTAATGTAAATGACGAGTTAATGGGTGCAGCAAACCAACATGGCACATGTATACCTATGTAACAAAACTGCACATTGTGCACATGTACCCTAGAACTTGTATTTAAAAAAAAAAAAAAAGAGTTTTACTCTATCTCCCAGGCTGGACTGCAGTGTTGTGATCTCAGTTCACTGCAAGCTCCGCCTCCCACGTTCAAGAGATTCTCTTGCCCTAGCCTCCCAAGTAGCTGGGATTACAGGAGCCCACCACTATGCTCAGCTAATTTTTGTATTTTTGGTAGAGACGAGGTTTCATCACATTGGGCCAGGCTGGTCTCAAACTCCTGACCTCAAATGATCCACCCACCTCGGCCTCCCAAATTGCTGGGATTACAGGTGTGAGCCACCGTGCCCAGCCAGGACCTTTTCAAATAAGGAAAAATTTAGACATCTGTTACCGACAGATTATTTCCCCAAAGGTTTCCTTTTAAAAACATCATTATTTAGGATAAGTTTAATAAAATCTGAAGCCTTGTTTTCCCCCTTAATCTTGGGATCTGAATCAGTGTGTCGTGTTCTTTTTATTTTTTATTTTTTGAGAGGGAGTCTCGCTGTGTCGCCTAGGCTGGAGTGCAGTGGTGCAATCTTGACTCATTGCAACCTCCACCTCCAGAGTTCAAGTGTTTCTCCTACCTCAGCCTCCCAAGTAGCTAGGACTACAGGTGTGTGCCACCACACCCAGATAATTTTTGTAATTTTAGTAAATAAGGGATTTCACCATGTTGGCCAGGCTGGTCTCAAACTCCTGACATCAGATGATCTGCCCACCTCAGCCTTCCAAAGTGCTGGGATTACAGGTGTGAGCCACCACACCCAGCCAAGTCTGACATATTGTAATATTTAACTGGCATGAATTATCTGCTTGTTTTCCCTATAACTAACTGTGAAGAGGGTTCACATGTAAACGACTGATCTGGCAAATGAATAAATGTACAAAGAAATCCTTTCTTTAAAACAAGTAAGTTTGTGCTCCACACACGGCCAAACTCTCATACAATAAATTAACTCTTCAGCAGCCTCCAAGCTAAAAAGCTGAAATCAAACCAATTAAGTTAAGCCCTAATGGGATCCCAATTTCCTACTTCTGATAGCAGAAGTTTAAATAAACCCCTCTTGTCTTATAAATGCAGCCATAAAAAAGAAGATCATGTCCTTTGCAGCAGGGACATGGATGGAACTGGAAGCCATTATCCTTAGCAAACTAACATGGGAAAAGAAAAGCAAATACCGCATGTTTTCACTTACAAGTGGGAGCTAAATGATGAGAACACATAGACATATAAGAGGGGAACAAAACACACTGGAGCCTATGGGAAAGTGGAGGGTGGGAGGAGGGAGAGGATCAGGAAAAATAACAGGTACTAGGCTAATACCTGGGTGAGGAAGTAATCTGTACAACAAACGCCCATGACACAAGTTTACCTATGTAACAAATCTGCACATGTAGCCCTCAACTTAAAAGCTAAAAAAACAAACAAACAAAAAAATACAAGCATAAAAACAAAGGCAGGCGGGGTGCAGTAGCTCACACCTGTTCTCCCAGCACTTTGGCAGGCCGGGGTAGGCAGATCACTTGAGCCCAGGAGTTTGACACCAGCCTGAGCAACATGGTGAAACTCCATCTCTACCAAAAACACAAAAATTAGCCAGGTGTGGTGGCGCACACCTGTAATACCAGCTACTTGGGAGGCTGAGGCAGGAGAATCACTTAAACCCGGGAGGCGGAGGTTGCAGTGGGCTGAGATTGCGCCACTGCACTCTAGCCTGGGCCAGAGTAAGAGGCTATCAAACAAACAAAAACAGCACAAAGGCAAAGGGACCTGACCCGTCTGCTTCCTACTCTCATCTCCTGCTATTCTTTACCCAGCACTTCACACTTCAATAATACATAACTACTTTCAGTCCCCCTCACACTCATAAACCTGACCCAGCCTCAACTTCACCCATCTCCTACCCATTCTTCACTTGGGTCATGCTTTGCTGGTAGGAGTATAAAAGCTGATATACCTCTCCAGAGGGTATTCTGGCAACATCTATCAAAATTACACAAACAGGCAAACCCCTTAACCCCAGCAGTTCTACTTCTAGGAATTTACTCTACAGATCTATGAAAAGACAATTGCTACAAGGTTATGCAGCATTGTTTGCAACAGCAAAGGATTGAAAGGTAAATGTCCATCAGCAGTAGGGGGGAAAAAGTATGGTGCAGTCATACAATGAAATACAATGCAAAATGAGGAAGTTCTTTACCTACCGACATTATATGGCCTACAGGAATGTATCGAAAGGGTCCAGAAAAAAATGGTAATGCTAGCTGCTTCCAGGAAGGGGAAAAGACTGGCTGGTGCAGAGGTGAGAGAAACTTCAATAAGTATTCTTTGTTCGTTTCAAATGTTAAATTAGCTAAATACATAGCCAGTCCAAAAATTATTTTTTTATGTTGTAAGGAAAAACAGATTGGCTCAAAACAGATATCATTTTCTCTAAGAAGCCTTTTTTGAAACACACTCACACATGCATACTTACACATTAGGTCAGATGCCCATCCTTGGTAGGATGTTACTTGCCATTAACACTGCTTAGCATTTGGTACTGAAGCTATCAATCTCCCTTACTGGACTACATAGTCCTCCAGGACCTCAGAACTCTTTATATCCCCCAGGATCTGATACAAGGAATTCAATAAACGTTTGTCAAAGTAAATATCTGAAATCAAGAATATCCTAGAAAATCAATAACTTTTAGTCACTGTAATGACAATTCATTATAGTCCACCTTCTAGTATAATTAGCTGTTTGTCCTTCTAATAGAATACAAATATCAGGCCCTTAAATAAATGACATATTGAATTTAACTAACAGGGTAACACCAAGAAACTGAACTGGCAAGTAAGCTAAAATAATTTACAAAAAAGGGACATTCACATAATCAGAAATTGATTTCAGTATTCCAAATGGCTACTTACCAGTTACAGTTTTTTTGGACATTCTCCCCATTGAACACACCATTCCTCAGAGTCCAACATCCACAAAATTAGCATGAACTATTTAGAGACCTACAGAAAACTCATAGCTAGCCAAGTGTTGCTCTCCACAGCTGCAGCTAAGTGCTCAGTGGCTCTGGGGCATGGATGGCATCCCATCTCCTTCCTCCGAAATTCCCTGCCTCCATTGATTGAACCAGAATCCTTGTTTCACTATTTCCCAACAGAACTCTCACTCGATGGCATCAATTACAAGAGGAAAAGATGGTTAATCACTATCTAAACTTAAAACATCTGTTTAAAAGTTTTTATTACAAGAGCTATCCAAAAACTGTTAGGGCACAGAAGGAAAACTAGAAAATCACTGAGGACCGGGACCGAATCTTACCTACCTTGGCAGCCCTATGGCACTTAGCGCAATCCCTGCATCTAACAGCTCCATAATACAGTTGTTAATGGTTTCACTTAGTGTAGGAAGTGGATTTTTATTTTATCTGTATTAATTTTTTTCAATGTATTTATGTATTACATAAAACAAAGTAAATATGAAAAAAGAGGGGACCTGTGTCTCTGTGTGTATTGTAGTAGTACTGGCCATTTTGCTATTCAGCTCTTGTATTAAATTGCTTCTCTTCTTTTTTGTATTAATTTATATTATTATGACTATTATTATTATCTTGTAGAGACAGGGTCTGTGTTGGCCCAGTGTGGTCTCAAACTCCTGGACTCAAGCAATTTTCCCACTGTGGCCTCTCAAAATGCTGGGATTATAGGCTTGAGCCACCATACCCAGCCCCTTCTATTTCTTTTCTTTTTTTATTTTTATTTTTTTTGAGACAGTCTTACTCTGTCCCCTAGGTTGGAGTGCAGTGGCACGATTTCAGCTCACTGCAACTTCCACCTTCTGGGTTCAAGCAATTCTCCTGCCTCAGCCTCCCTAATAGCTAGGATTACAGGCGTGCGCCACCAGTCTGGCTAATTTTCATACTTATAGTAGAGACAGGGTTTCCCCATGCTGGCCAGGCTGGTCTTGAACTCCTGATATCAAGTGATCCATGTGCCTCAGCCTCCCAAAGTGTTAGGATTACAAGCCTAAGCCACCACACCTGACCCCTTCCATTTCTTTCTTTTTTTTTTTGAAACAAGAGTTTCGCTCTTGTTGCCCAGGCTGGAGTGCAATGGCGCGATCTCGGCTCACTGCAACCTCCGCCTCCCAGGTTCAAGTAATTCTCCTGCCTCAGCCTCCTGAGCAGCTGGGATTACAGGCATGCACCACCACGCCTGGCTAATTTTGTATTTTCAGCAGAGATGGGGGTTTCTCCATGTTGAGGCTGGTCTCGAACTCCTGACCTCCAGTGATTCACCCGCCTCGGCCTCCCTAAGTGCTGGGATTACAGGCGTGAGCCACTGCACCCGGCCGACCCCTTCTATTTCTATTCAACCATTTTTTTTCTGCAAACTTGTTCCCATAAACAACTATGGAAACCACTACAAATGGAGAGTACTATAAAATTAATCATGAGGTAACATACAGTGTTCAAAACATCCTTTAACAGTCCCTCAACTGATTCTCACCTTTTCAGGTAGACAGGTGAAAAGATGAAATTAACTCAAAATTCAAATATGAATTGTTCAAGACTGCACTGCTTATGAATTTGAGGTAAAAGAAAGGACTGGGATGACACCCATATCTTCCTCTATTACACCTCTACTTAAAAGAGAGACAGAATGTCCCCTCACAGCTCCAAATCCAAAAAGCCACACTCTCACATTCTAGCCGTGTGACAGTGAGTAAATCACCTGATTACCCGAACCAATCTCCTTATACAAGTTAAGAGGATGAAGACACTTCTACCTACCTTAATTGCTATAAAAATTAGATATGTGAAAATTGTTCTGATACACAAATGGTAGTTACCATTATTTCTGCAAATGATGTGTAAATAAGAACTGCACTAACCCCAAAAGAATATAAATAGCAAGGGACCCTACATTCTAAAACAAGTAACAGAGAGTATTCCTTTCATTGTAGAAATGAGATGACCAAAATTGATTTCACCCAGATATAGTGCTTCCTTAACAATTAATTCTAAAACAAAACAAAACAAAAATACCAACAAGCAAGTGAAACTGTCATACATTAGTAGTGGAAATGCAAAATGGTATGGTATAGCCATTTTGGAAAACATTTTGGCAGTTTCCAAAAAAGTTAAGTATAGGCCGGGCGTGGTGGCTCACACCTTTAATCCCAGCACTTTTGGAGGCCAAGGTGGGTGGATCACCTGAGGTCAGGATTTCGAGACAGTCTGGCCAACATGGTGAAACCCCATCTCTACTAAAAATACAAAAATTAGCCAAGCGTGGCGGTGCACACCTGTAATCCCAGCTACTCGGCAGACTGAGGCAGGAGAATTTGCTTAAACTCAGGAGGCGGAGGCTGCCGTGAGCCATGCCACTGCATTCCAGCCTAAGTGACAGAGCAAGACTCCATCTTAAAAAAAAAAAAAAAAAAAAAAAGTTAAATATGAAATTATCATAGAACCCAGCAATCCCATGCCTAGGTATTTATCCAAGAGAGAGAAAAACATATGTCCACATGCAGAACCGTATATGAATATTTAAAGCTTTATTCATAATCATCAAAATGGGAAACAGTTCAAATGTCCATCAGCTGGTGAACATAACATGTTACTCAACAATAAAAAGGAACAACCTATAGATACATGACACAACGTGGATGAATCTCAAAAGCATTATGGTAAGTGAAACACATCAGACACAAAGGTTACATACTGTATGATTCCATGTATATGACATTATAGAAAAGAAAAAGTAGAGAAACAAGCAAACAAAAACCCCCATAAAACTGTGAGTGACAAAAACCAGTATAAACTAGTAGCTTCCAAGAGCGAGGTGAAAAGAAAGGGGTGTGAGAAAACTTACAGGAAGAATGAAAATTATCTCTATCTGGTTTGATGATTACAACTGCATACTAATAATACAAAACTAATAGAACTATGCCATGAAAAAGAGCAAGTTTTTTTCTCTACCCACTGACAAAAAAAAAAAAAGTAAATTTGATTGTATATAAATTACATCTTGGCCACGCATAGTGGCATATGCCTGAATCCCAGTACTTTGCGAGATCGAGGCAGGAGATTCGCTTGGGCCAGGAGTTCGAGGCCAGCCGGGGCAACATAGTAAGACCCTGTCACAAAAAATTTAAAAAGATTTCAAGTTATTCTGAGACTCTGCCAAGACAGAAGCACCAAGAAAAAAAGATAAATAAATAAACCATACAAAATGAATATATTTCACTGCTATCTAGTTTTATACAATAATTTTTTTCCTAAAAATACACACAAAATGGCCAGGTGCGGTGGCTCACGCCTGCAATCCCAGCACTTTGGGAGGCCGAGGCGGGCGGATCACGAGGTCAGGAGTTCGATACCAGCCTGGTCAACATGGTGAAACCCCGTCTCTACTAAAAATACAAAAATTAGCTGGGCCTGATGGCGGGCGCCTGTAATCCCAGCTAGTCGGGAGGCTGAGGCAGGAGAATCGCTTGAACCCGGGAGGCAGAGGTTGCAGTGAGCTGAGATTGCGCCACTGCATTCCAGCCTGGGCGACTGGGCGAGACTCCATCTCAAAAAAAAAAAAAAAAAAGAAAGAAAGAAAGAAATTTAGATACATATTTTTTGATATGTGTATATGTATGTGTGTGTATATATTTCCTAGCTCTGTCCATTAAGAAGTTCTAAAAAACAATATTCCAATAGGAATGAGCACACACAGCATCCAAATCTTTTTTTTTTTTTTTTTTTTTTTTTGAGACAGAGTCTCGCTCTGTCACCCAAGCTGGAGCGCAGTGGCGCGATCTCAGCTCACTGCAAGCTCCGCCTCCCGGGTTCACGCCATTCTCCTGCCTCAGCCTCCGGAGTAGCTGGGACTACAGATGCCCGCCACCAAGCCCGGCTAATTTTCTGTATTTTTTAGTAGAGATGGGGTTTCGCCGTGTTAGCCAGGATGGTCTCGATCTCCTGACCTCGTGATCCGCCCCCCTCGGCCTCCCAAAGTGCTGGGATTACAGGCGTGAGCCACCGCGCCCGGCCTCCAAATCTTGATTTCTAAATAATTTTCTCCACTGAAAGGAATTAGGAGAGAAACAGTTTGGAGAAATGGCCGATTCCAAGAAGAGGGTAAGAAGAGCAGAAACTAGGCCGGGCACGGTGGCTCACGCCTGTAATCCCAGCACTTTGGGAGGTCGAGGCAGGCAGATCACAAGGTCAGGAGATCCAGACCATCCTGGCTAACACGGTGAAACCCCGTCTCTACTAAAAATACAAAAAATTAGCCGGGTGTGTTGGCGGGCGCCTGTGGTCCCAGCTACTCGGAAGGCTGAGGCAGAATGGCGTGAACCCGGGAGGCGGAGCTTGCAGTGAGCCGAGATCGGGCCACTGCACTCCAGCCTGGGCGACAGAGCGAGACTCCGTCACACACACGAAAAAAAAGAAAAAAAAAATGAAGAGCAGAAACTAAGCCTACAACACCTTTTTGGTGTGTCAAAAAAAGCAGTTAAAAAATGTGGGAATGTGTCAAAATGACACAAAAGCCAGCTTGAAGGGGATCTCCCTGGCCAAATCTGGAACAATGTGAACACAACAAATAATGACAGTAACAGAGTATTAAAATAAGAATCCATAAATCCATATTAATATATATACACAAAGATAAGAAAATGCTCTGCAGAAGAATATTAACTAATAAGCAAGGAAGGACTGACAGAAACAACAACAAAAATTAGCTGACGCTTGTCTATAATCCCGGCTAGTGCCACATAAGGTGGCTTGCGCCTGTGATCCCAGTACTTTCGGAGCTTGAGGTGGGAGAATAACTTGAGCCCAGGAGTTTGAGATCAGCCTGGGCAACAAAGTGAGACCTCATCTCTACAAAATAAAAAATTAAGTAAATTTTGTAATTAGGCCAGGCGCAGTGGCTCATGCCTGTAATCCCAGCACTTTGTGACGCTGACTCAGGCGAATCACCTGAGGTCAGGAGATCCAGACCATCCAGGCCAACATGGTGAAACCCTGTCTCTACTAAAAATACAAAAATTAGCTGGGTGTGGTGGCATGTGCCTGTAATCCCAGGTACTCAGGAGGCTGCAGCAGGAGAATCACTTGAACCAGGGAGTCGGAGGTTGCAGTGAGCCGAGATCGCACCACTGCACTCCAGCCTGGCGACAAAGTGAGACTCCCTCTCAAAAAAAAAAAAAAAAAAAAAAAAAAAAGGAAGGCTAAGAATATAGTTTCAACTACTTAGCCAGACCAACTTATCAAGGGAAAATTAATGGGGAGCTGAATTTCAGCAATTGGCTGGGGAATGCAGGAGCTAAAACCATCACCTCTCCCGGCACTTCTCCCTCACCATTCTGCATTTCCCTAATCTCAGCTACTTCCACCTTTAGTCCCAGACATAAAGTTAGTGTAGCTCTAGGGATACAAGGCCAAAATGAATAAATCTGTGTTGTTTAAATGTCTGTTCTCATGTGGCTTCGAAAAATTAAAAGCAGGCACGACCTCTGCATGGAGATGGCTAAATTAACAAAGAAATAAGGGAAACATTTGTAAGAGAGGAAAAGGCCAAAATAGTGTATCAAGGGAGCTGTGCTATGCCTGATATTAACATTTCACTGGAGCTGCTACAGAGGTCACATTACATATTTGTCACCATCAGCTAATTTGACTGAAAGGTCTAGCCAACTCCAAAGCTATAAATTCAGACAGAAGGATACCAAGCTCTGGGTTATTCTGAATTTATACTTTGATTTCTGCATTTAATTACAACACAAAATAGAAGGGTAAAATCAAATCTTAAAGAGCCACATTGCAAAGTAAAGCTTCATTGCATAGTCTATATACTATATTTGATGATCCATATTTGACAGCTCCTCATAGAGCCATGCAAAATTAGCATGGACATTTCTTGGGCTTTTGATGTTCACTGCCATCATCTGCTTCACTGCTAAGATCAGGAAACATATGGGATGAATTGTTAAAGACTGCTGACAGTTTCTGTTGCCTTTTTATTTTTTTAATTCATCTCTAAGGCCAACTTAGGATACCCCTGAACAAGGTCTCATATAGCTATCTTTAAATCATACCCCAATTATTTGGACTTTTTTAAATTTTTAAATTTTTATTTATTTTTTTGAGACAGAGTCTTGCTCTGTCGCCCAGGCTGGAGTGTAGTGGCAGGATCTTGGCTCACTACAACCTCTGCCTCCCAGGTTCAAGTGATTCTCCCACCTCAGCCTCCCAAGTAGCTGTGATTACAGGCATGCGCCACCATGGCTGAATAATTTTGTATTTTTATTAGAGACGGGGTTTCTCCATGTTGGTCAGGCTGGTCTTGAGCTCCCAACCTCAGCTGATCCATCAGCCTCAGCCTCCCCAAAGTGCTTGAATTACAGACGTGAGCCACCGCGCCTGGCCTGGACTTTTTTTTTTAAATAAGAAGAGTTGTTAGGGAAAGAAAGTTGAAGAAAGATTATGGGAAATCAATTATCTTCAGGAAGCTCTGGGCTCCTGTAGAACACATGTCTAAAAACCCCTAGTCTAGCAAAAAGAAGCCATGCGATAGAGGGTTAAAAAAAAGTGGGTTTTTGGCTGGGCGCAGTGGCTCACGTCTATAATCCCACCACTTTGGGAGGCAGAGGCGGGCAGATCACAAGTCAGGAGTTCAAGACCAGCCTGGCCAAGATGGTGAAACCCCGTCTTTACTAAAAATACAAAAATTAGCCGGGTGTGGTGACGGGCGCCTGTAGTCCCAGTTGCTCAGGAGGCTGAGGCACAGAACTGCTTGAACCTCGGTGGTGGAGGTTGCAGTGAGCCAAGATCACACCACTGCACTCAGCCTGAGCGACAGAGACTGTCTTTAAAAAAAATAAAAAATAAAAAATAAATGGGTGTTTGGACACTCAATGCATAATGAATGAACTTGACACCAAGATTAAACTAGTTAGGAAGAGTGAATCTACTACTTATTAACTGTGTGACCTTGGACAATTAAATTCTCTAACTCATTTCTTTTTTTCTTTTTTCTGAGATGGAGTCTCACTCTGTCGCCCAGGATTTCCTTATCAGTAAAACAGAGATACTCTCTCCCAAGTTTGATCTATAATTAAATGAGATGATTGATGTACATAAAAAATGCCCAGCAGAAAATCTAGCCAAGACTTTTTCTTAAAAGAATTCAACTAGACTTAAAGTCATACTCGGCTGACGTATCTGCTTATTGACTCATTTCAAAAGTTCAAGTTATGGTACCCCAACTCCTAAAATTTCAGATAGCCTCAAGGGGCCAGAGACAGAAACCAGAGACAGAGGCAAAAAGCTACTTAACCAGCCTTAATAAAATCCAGAAACAAGGTCTGTCACATGTACAAACACTAGCTCATGTCGCACATGTAAACTATTACTACAGCATTATGAGATCCCTTCCTTGGTAATCTTACTAAAGCCTAAACAATAACCAGAGTGATTCTTCTTCATTAGCCTCCAAGCTTTCAGGGATTTGAAGTAAATCTTTACAAAAGAATGGTCACTTTCTATGAGATTCAAAACAATACTCTAAGGAATGAGAACAAAATTGGCAGGTGAGAAATCTTACTTCCCCACCTCTTCCTCCTATTTTCATTACCCTGAACTTAGTGAATTAACTCATTTTGATCCCAGGGCTGCAATCATTCATTAAGCACTATCATTTAAACCATTCTTCCTGCCTAAAACTCTGGATTCACATAACCTATACAACATTTAACACTTGAGAACAAGCTTAAACTCAATCTCTCTGCTTATTTTTTTTTTTTTTCTTTTTAGACGGAGTTTCACTCTTTCGCCCAGGCTGGAATGAAGCAGCGTGATCTCAGCTCACTGCAACCTTCCGCCCCCTGGGTTCAAGCAATTCTCCTGCCTCAGCCTCCTGAGTAGCTGAGATGATAGGCACCCACCACCATACCTGGCTAATTTTTGTATTTTTAGAAGAGACGGGGTTTTGCCATGTTGGCCAGGCTGGTCTCGAACTCCTGACCTCAGGTGATCCGCCCGCCTCGGCCTCCCAAAGTGCTGGGGTTACAGGTATGAGCCACTGTGCCTGGCCATTATTATTTTTTATTATTTTGAGACAGGGTCTCTCTGTCACCCAGGCTGGAGTGCAGTGGCACTATCACTGCAGCTTCCAACACCTGGGCTCAAGCGATCCTCCTACCTCAGCCTTCCGAGTAACTGGGACTACAGCTGAGTGGCACCACCATCACGCCCAACCTCTCTGCTGATTTTTTGATTCTGTATATAAGAAAACTAGGTCAGGTTGGGCGCGGTAGCTCACGCCTATAATCCCAGCACTTTGGGAGGCCGAGGTGGGCAGATGACCTGAGGTCAGGAGTTCGAGACCAGCCTGGCCAACATGATGAAACCCCCATCTCCACTAAAAATACAAAAATTAGCCAGGTGTGGTGGCGCATGCCTGTAAACCCAGCGACTTGGGAAGCTGAGGCAGGACAATGGCTTGACCCTGGGAGGCGGAGGTTGCAGTGAGCAACTGCACTCCAGTGCCACTGCACTCCAGCCTGGGCAACAAAAGGGAAACTCCATCTCAAAAAAAAAAAAAAAAGAAAGAAAATTAACTGGGCCAGGCACAGTGGTTCATGCCTGTTAATGCCAGCACGTTGGGAGGCCAAGGCAGGTGGATCACTTGAGCCTAGGAGTTCTAGACCAGCCTGGGCAACATGAAGAAACCCTGTCTCTACCAAAAATACAAAAGTTGGTCTCATAACCTGGTTTCAAAATTAACAAACAAAAATTTTAAAAATACAGTAAGATAAAAAGAAAACTAACTGGTTCCAAACTAGGATAAACTTACTCAAAAGTCAAAGAAGGGCTGGACTCAATGGCTCACATCTGCAATCCTAGCATTTTGGGAGTCCAAGGCAGGAGAATCATTGGAACCCAGTAATTAGAGACCAGCATGGGAAACATAGAAACATCCTGTCTCTATAAAAAAAATAAAAATAAGCTGGGTGTGGTGGCTCACGCCTGTAATCCCAGCACTTTGGGAGGCCAAGGCGGGCAGATCACGAGGTCAAGTGATCGAGACTAGCCTGGCCAACATGGTGAAACCCCATCTCTACTAAAAATACAAAAATTAGCTGGGCGTGGTGGCGTGTGCCTGTAGTCCCTGCTACTCGGGAGGCGGAGGCAGGAGAATCGCTGGAACCCGGGAGGCAGAGATTGTAGTGAGCCCAGATCACACTACCGCACTGTAGCCTAGCGACAGAGTGAGACCCCTTCTCAAAAAAAAAAAAAAAAAAAAAGTATACAAGCTTCAAACACAGTCATGGTCCCAGCAGGAAACATGGCATACTCCAGTAAGGTTAATTCAAGGAGGGTTTAATAATGGAACTAGAAAGAAATATGTGAGCAGGGTACAAGATAGGCACAAGGGATAGCTGTAATACCCTGGGACTAATGAGAGCATCTCTAGATCTCTAGGCCCAACAACCAAAGGGAACAAAAACTTTCCAAACCTACATGGAGGATGTCACACAGAAAGGACCACATTCTTTTTTTTTTTTTTTTTTTTTTTTGGAGACAGGGTTTCGCTCTTGTCACCCAGGCTGGAGTGCAATGGCGTGATCTCTGCTCACCATAACCTCCGCCTCCCGGGTTCAAGCAATTCTCCTGCCTCAGCCTCCTGAGTAGCTGGAACTACAGGCATGCACCACCATGCCCAGCTAATTTTGTATTTTTAGTAGAGACATGGTTTCTCCATTTTGGTCAGGCTGGTCTCAAACTCCCGACCTCAGGTGATCTGCCGGCCTCAGCCTCCCAAAGTACTGGGATTACAGGCATGAGCCACCGCACCCGGCCGAGAGGACCACATTTAGAGAAGCAGTGACCTTCAGTCAAGGGACAGAGTCAGCTAAGGGCACAACCCATGAGACGGGAGTAGGAAAATAAATTTCATAACCTCAAAGGGGAAGGAAGCTCATTGATGTAGTCCATATAGGTAAGTCAGCTTCCCAGGGCACAGGATAGGGTGAAAAAGGATGGAAAGCAGACCTAGAAGAGCAAACAAAAGGTACCTATTCAACGTCAGACAAGCCTTTCTGATGCACTTTCCGATCTCTTCTGTAATCCCAATGGATAAGTGCCAGATAAGGAAAGGGATACTGAAGATGATCATTCTTACCCCTTTTAAATAGTAATGCACAGGTCCTATCTACTACAAAACATTTGTAACCAAGTTTTTCACTAGTAAATATGGTCATTTACCATTCCACTTTTAACTGTTTAGACTTCCTTGAAGGTCCAATGATTATATACCTTTCTCGACACTAATGAACTTCCTACTTACCTTGCTAGGCAAAATAAAATTACAAAAATGCAAACATTGTCAAAACCCTCAAGGAGTTTATAATTTAGAAGCTTATATTCTTAGATAACTAAGAAGGCAGAATGAGGTATGTGCCAGAGAGAGAAGGAAAGGGCTGTGGTGGTGTGAAAAGTTCTGTAACAGGCTTCTTTGCCATCTGGCCCCTGCCAGGAACAACTCCAGCCAGAATTCACTATTAACAAGGTATATAAGCTTCAATCAGGTTCCCTGTAGGTCCAGATCTGATAAACTACTCACCAAGCCCTCAACTACCTTCAGCCAGTAGACTTCACCCTTCCTTCTCCTGGGAAAAGCCTCCCTTCTCCTTTAAAGCCTGGTTTAATGTCACCCCTTTAGCTGGACCTTACCTGGAATCTCAAGGAATAATTAGTTATGTCTCCCCTGCCTTCCCAAAAGCCTTACGCTTAAAGCACTTAAAACACTTTATCATTACCTGTTGACTTGTGCACGGCCCCTCCTAGACTGAGACCCTAAGTCAGATGGTATACCCTCAGCCACTAACAACCACCAGAACAGAATGTGTCAAGCACGGTTTTAAGTACTTTACATATATTAACATATATTAACCATCATAATAAACCTGCAAATGGGGTAGAAATTTTATCTCCATTTTTCAGATGAGGAAAATGAACTGCACAAGAAGGTTAAGTAATGAGCCTGAAGTCTCAAAACTTGTTAGGATTGGTTCCCAGGATTTTAACCTCAGCACAACTCCAGAATTAAATTTCAAAACTTTAGAATTTAAATCTTAACCATTACATTTTTTTCTTTTTTTGAGACAGAGTCTTGCTGTGTTGCCCAGGCTGGAGTGCAGTGGCACGATCTCAGCACACTGCAACCTCCGCAGTTTCTTTCAAGCAATTCTCCTGCCTCAGCCTCCCAAGTAGCTGGGACTACAGGAACCCGCCACCACGCCCAGCTGATTTTTTTTGTACGTTTTTTGGTAGGGACGGGGTTTCACAATGTTGGCCAGGCTGGTCTTGAACTCCTGACCTCGTGATCCGCCCACCTCAGCCTCCCAAAGTGCTGGGATTACAGGGATGAGCCATCGTGCCCGGCCTTTTTTTTTTTTTTTTTTTGAGATAGAGTTTCCCTCTTGTTGCCCAGGCTGGAGTGCAATGGTGGGATCTCAGCTCACGGCCACCTCTGCCTCCTGGCTTCAAGCAATTCTCCTGCCTCAGCTGGTACTACAGGCCCCCGCTACCACAGCCAGCTTCTTTTTGTATTTTTAGTAGAGATGGGGTTTCACCATGTTGGCCATGCTGGTCTCAAAACTCCTGACCTCAGATGATCCGCCCACCTCGACCTTCCAAATGGTGGGATTACAGGCGCGAGCCACCATACCCAGCCATTACATTTTACTTCTACCGAATAAACTAGATTTCATCAGAGCAATAGACCTAATGGATTGAGAAGGTACTACTACAAGATCAATGATCTCCACCCCAGGAGGTATTGTTAAAATTCACCACTGGGTGTAGAAAGACAACGTTGGAACTGCTACTTCCATTTATTTTACCTTATCCTTCTGTAAAATGTCTATTTTTGTATGTTATAAAACATACCTAGGACAGGCGTGGTGGCTCATGCCTGTAATCCCAACACTTTGGGAGGCTGAGACGGGCGGATCACCTGAGGTCAGGAGTTTGAGACCAGCCTGACCAACATGGTGAAACCCCATCTCCACTAAAAATACAAAATTAGCTGGGTGTGGTGGTGCATGCCTGTAATCCCAGCTATTTGGAAGGCTGAGGCAGGAGAATCGCTTGAACCTGGGAGGCGGAGGTTGTGGTGAGCCAAGATCGCCATTGCACTCCAGCCTGGGCAACAAGAGCAAAACTCCATCTCAAAACAAAATAAAACAAAACAATACACCTAATACAGTGGCCGGGCGCGGTGGCTCATGCCTGTAATCCCAGCACTTTGGGAGGCCGAGGCGGGCGGATCACGAGGTCAGCAGATCGAGACCATCCTGGCTAACAGGGTGAAACCCCGCCTCTACCAAAAATACAAAAAATTAGCCAGGCGTGGCGGCGGGCACCTGTAGTCCCAGCTACTCGGGAGGCTGAGGCAGGAGAATGGCGTGAACCCAGGAGGTGGAGCTTGCAGTGAGCTGAGATCGTGCCACTGCACTCCAGCCTGGGCAACAGAGCGAGACTCTGTCTCAAAAAAAAAAAAAAAAAAAAAAAAAATATATATATATATATATATATATATATATACACATATATATGCCTAATACATAGTACAGTCACACTATAATCGCCATTTAAAACAAACATTCAGGCCAGGCGCGGTAGCTCACGCCTGTAATCCTAACATTTTGGGATGCCAAGGCGGGTGGATCACTTTAGGTCAGGAGTTTGAGACCAGCCTGACCAACATGGTGAAACCCTATCACTGCTGAAAACACAAAATTACCAGGGGTGGTGCCATACACCTGAAATCCCAGTACTTGGGAGGCTGAGGCAGGACAATCACTTGAATTCAGGAGATGGACGATGCAGTGAGCCGAGATCGCACCACTGCACTCCAGCTGGGGCAACAAGAGCAAAACTTCGTCTCAAAAAAAACCATAAAAAAACAAAAAATAAAACATTCATAGAATGTGTGTGCATACTCAACCCTATTTACTGATGGAATGAACACTAAAAACATTTTAGGTGGCCAGGTATGGTGGCTCATGCCTCTACTCCCAATACCGGGAAGCTGAGGCAGGAGGATCGCTGCAGCCCAGCAGTTCAAGACCAGCCTGAGAAACACAGTGAAACCCCATGTCTACAAAACTTTTTAAACAATTAGCCAGGCATGGCAATACATGCCTGTAGTCACAGCTACTAGGGAGGCTGAGGTGGGAGGCTGACTTGAGCCCCAGAGATAAGAGGCTGCAGAAGCTATGCTCACTGGGCAGCAGAACCTGGGCAACAGAGCAAGACCCCACCTCAGTTTTAAAAAAAGAAAAAACAAACATGTGAGGCCACAGTTCTAGACTACTTCCCCAAGGACTCTGGCTCAGGGGTTGAAGCACCGATTTTAAGACTGAACTCCTATATTCTCTTTCCCAGCATGCCAGTTAAAAACTTCAATCAAGGCCAGGTGCAGTTACTCATGCCTGTAATCCCAGCATTTTGGGAAGCCGAGGCGGGCAGATCACCTGCGGTCAGGCGTTCGAGACCAGCCTGGCCAATGTAGTGAAACCCCATCTCTACTATAAATACAAAAATTAGCCGGACGTGTTGGCACGCACCTGTAATACCAGCTACTTGGGAAGCTGAGGCAGGAGAACTGCTTGAACCCAGGAGGCGGAGGTTGCAGTGAGCCGAGATCATGCCATTGCACGCCAGCCTGAGCAACAAGAGTGAAACTCCGTCTCAAAAAAAAAAAAAAAAAAAAAAAACCAAAACTTCAATCAAGGGCGGGTGCAGAGGCTCACACTTGTAATCCCAGAACTTTGGGAGGCTGAGGCGGGCAGATCACTTGAGGTCAGGAGCCCAGCCAAAACATGGTTAAACCCCGTCTCTACAAAAAATACAAAAAAAAATTAGCCAGGCATGGTGGTGAGCACCTGTAATCCCAGCTCCTCAGGAGGCTGAGTACTACACCAAGTGTACTGTCTAGGAATGTAATACAGAATTCTCTTAGAAACACTAAAAAAGGCCAGGCAAAGTGGCTCATGACTTTAATCCCAGCAATTTGGATGGCTGAGGAAGGAGGATTACTCAAGCCCAGGACTTCCGGACTAGCATGGGCAACAAAGCAAGACCCCATCTCTACAAAAAATAAAAAAATTAGCTGGGTGTGGTGGCGCCTGGAGTCCCAGCTACTCAAGTGGCTGAGGCAGGAGAATCACTTGAACCCAGGAGGTTGAGGCTGCTGTGGGCCATGATGACGCCACTGCACTCCAGTCTGGGTGACAGAGAGAGACTGTCTCAAAAAAAGGAAAAAAGAAAACAAAAATGTAGTTACGTAACAGAAGCAAAAGTTGTGCTTTTGGGCATATTTTAAACTAAATACTACACAAAAGAAATTTGGACACAATCTTTTTTTTTTAAGTGAAAGCAAGTTTATTATGGAAGTAAAGAAACAAAGGAAGACTACTTCATAGGCAGAAGAGCCCCCCAATTTTTTCAAATAAAAAGTCCTTTCTGGTCAGGCTTGGTGACTCACGCTCGTAATCCCAGCACTTTGGGAGGCTGAGGTGGGTGAATTACCTGAGGTCAGGGGTTCGAGACCAGCCTGACCAATATGGTGAAACCCTGTCTCTACTAAAAATATAAAAATTAAGGCCGGGCGCAGTGGCTCATGCCTCTAATCCCAGCACTTTGAGAGGCTGAGGCAGATGGATCCCCTGAGTTCAGGAGTTCACGACCAGCCTGGCCAACATGGTAAAACCGTCTCTACTAAAAATGCAAAAAATTAGTCAGGTGTGGTGGCAGGCGCCTGTAATCGCAGCTACTCTGGAGGCTGATGCAGGAGAATCGCTTGAACCTGGGGCGGGGGGAGGTTGCAGTGAGCCGATATTGTACTACTGCACTCCAGCCTGGGCAACAAGAACAAAACTCCGTCTCAAAAAAAATAATAAAATAAAATAAAATAATTGGCCGAGCGTGGTGGCATATGCCTGTAGTCCCAGCTACTCCGGAGGCTGAGACAGGAGAATAGCTTGAACCCAGGAGACGGAGGTTGCAGTGAGCCAAGATCACACCCCTGCACTCCAGTCTGGGCGACAGAGCAAGATTCCGTCTCAAAAAAAAAAAAGCCTTTCATTTTACAGAGATGCTGTACCTTTGCAAGCCTAAAAGAGTAATCACTATCCGCCTCTTTAGTTGGAAATTTCATGAGGAATGGATCAAACCATCAAAAGCAGTAACTGCAAGCTGGGTGTATCTACTTTTTCTATCTTCAATCCAACATTTAATGGGTGCAAAAAAAAAGAAGCGTAAAGCCTCCCTTTCACGTGTTTAAGGACATCAGCTCTGAGACTAGTACTCAGAGTACCTTCTGTTACTCAGTTTCATCCTCTGCAAAATGGGCATCCTCAAATAATGTCTTACTTAGGATGTCATCAAGATTAAACAATTAAAAAAACATGCAAAACATGTTTATCTGTTTCCTCATTTACTATGTCTCTCCCTCTCCTAACTAAACTCAAAACCCCAGTTCGGTCTATCTTGTTTATTGTATTCCCAGGGCCTGGAATGGTATTTTTAAACTTACTATATGATTTAATAAATATTAAGTGAATAGAATGCAAAATGTCTGGTGCTCAAAAAAATGTTGGCTATTATAATTACAATAATGAAAAACAATTAAAATTTTATTGTTCTTATTCAGAGAAGCCACCCCTCCCCCAAGGATCTCACACATCAAGGAGGAACACTAGATAAATACTGGAATGGCTAAATGGAAGTAAGAATAACAATTAGATCATGGAGCAGGACTAACAGACAACAAAACAAAATCTTAACACGGCTAGAGCCTAATTTCGGACTTTTCCGAGTGCGGTGCACACTGGATCAGATTAATAAAGGACGATTACAATAATGACAGTTTTCACAATTGTGTGTGTGCCACGGTCGGTGTCAAGCGTTTTACTGGCCTCACAAAACCCAAGAACCCTGGGGGAGGGAGGGAACCCGCTCCACATCCCCATTTTGCAGATGGGGGAACTGAGGCACCGGGAGAGCCAAGGTCACTACCTAAATGGGGAAGCCTGGATGTGAACCCAGGTAGCCAACTACTGAGCCTGCGCTCAAACAGGCCCTCCGAGGGGCCATTCTCATCTCCTCCAACCCTCAACATCGGGCGGGTGTAGTATTTCCCCAGGAGCCGGACTTCGTGGCCCCAGCGCTGGGACAACAAAATGATTCTTGCCCGCCGGCAAGTCCCATGGACGCCGGCCCGGCCTAAGTTCCGAGGCCGCGGGCCCCACAATTTCCCTCACACCGTGAGCCCCGAGCTCTTCGGGCGGCGCAGGAAGCGACGGGGTGGCCTCAGGAGCCCGGGAAGGCCCGCCCCGCTGCGTGACCTTGGATCCGCCGCCCCGCTTCGGGCCTCAGTTTCCACTCCCGGCCTCGCGCCCGGGGCACTCGGAATCACCGCGCCTGCGGAGCCGCAGGCCCTCACACGCCCCCCTCGGCCGCCCGCATTCACGCCCCACTTACGCTGGAAGGCGGCCGCTCCAGGGACGCCTACCATCGCCGAGCGCCGCCGCCGCGCGCCGCCCGCCTCTACCCGCGACACGGGTCCCTCGCAGGCGCCGCCCGCCTCGACCCGCGGCCCGGGTCCCTCGCAGGCGTCGCCGCGAGATCTGCAGCCGCCGAGCTAACCAGACACCACCACCGCTGCTGTCGCCGTCGCCGCCGCCGCCGCCGCCGTTAGGCCGCGCCCCGCCCCGCCCCCGGCTGGCCCCGCCCCGCCCGCCGGGCACGCCCCCGCCGCGCGCTCTCGCCGCCAGGCCAACGCACGCGGAAGCCCGGCCCCAAGACCAGCTCCCATTAAGCACCGCCCCCTAACCTGACCCGCCCCTTCCGCGGGAACCGACCGCCGAATCCCGGCGCAGCCTGCTTCTCAGACCTGCCCCCTCGGCGTCACGCGCGCCCGTCACGCGCACGGCCCACTTTCTAGCTCCAGACTTCCCGGTGTAGCCAGGGCAGTGGCCCAGGCTCGGGGGCCGAGTGCTAGGGGGAGGGATTACAACGAGTGGCAACGTCTCACCTGAGTTCTCCAGGTACAGGCCTGATGGCTTTTGCGCATGCCTTTGAGCGAGCCCCCTGGCTCAAAGTGTTTTTGGCCTGAAGTATTCTAAATGCCTAAAATTTCATCATCGTAATTTTAATAACTGTTGGCCGGGCGTGGTGGCCCACGCCTGTAATCCTAGTACTTTGGGAGGCCAAAGGAGAGTCACTTGAGCTCAGGAGTTTGAGACTAGCGTCTCTATTAAAAAAATAAATAAATAAAAATAAAAAATAGACCAGGCACGGTGGCTCAGGCCTATAATCCTAACACTTTGGGAGGCCGAGGAGGGTGGATTACCTGAGGTCAGAACTTCGAGGCTAGTCTGGCCAATGTGGCGAAACGCTGTCTCTACTAAAAATACAAAACTTAGAGCCGGGCGCAGTGGCTCAAGCCTGTAATCCTAGCACTTTGGGAGGCCGAGGCGGGAGGATCACGAGGTCAGGAGTTTGAAGACCAGTCTGGCCTATAAGGTGAAACCCTATCTCTACTAAAAAAATAAATAAATAAAAATACAAAAATTAGCCTGGTGCGGTGGCGCGTGCCTTTAGTCCCAGCTACTCGGGAGGCTGGGGCAGGAGAATCACTTGAATCCGGGAGGGGGAGGTTGCAGTGAGCCGAGATCGGAGCCATTGCACTCCAGCCTGAGCAAAAAGAGCAAAACTCCGTATCAAAAAAACAAAACAAGGCCAGGAGCTGTGGCTCACCCCTGTAATCCCAGCACTTTGGGACGCCGAAGCTGGCAGATCACAGCTCAGGATTTGGAGACCAGCCTGACCAACGTGGTGAAACCCCGTCTGTACTAAAAATACAAAAATTAGCTGGACTTGGTTTCACAAGCCTGTAATCCCAGCTAATCAGGAGGCTGAGACAGGAGAATTGCTTGAACCCCGGAGGCGGAGGTTGCACCGAGCCAAGATCACGACACTGCACTCCCACCTGGGTGACAGAGCGAGACTCCCTCTCAAAAAACAAAACAAAACAAAACAAAAAAATTAGCTGGGCGCGGTGGCGGGTGTCCATAATCCCAGCTACTCGGGAGGCTGAGGCAGGAGAGTCGCTTGAACCTGGGAGGCAGAGGTTGCAGTGAACCGAAATCGCGCCACTACACTCTAGCCTGGGCAACAGAGGGAAGCTCCGTCTGAAAAGAAAAGAAAAGAATAAAGACTCTTGTTTCTCAGTATTATTTCAGATATCTCACACCAAGAATATAGAATGCATTTGTATTTTACTTGTGTATTGAAAACAAATTTTAAAAGACAGAATGTAGGCCGGCCGGGTACAGTGGTTTATGCCTCTAATCCCGGCACTTTGGGAGGCCAAGGCAGGTGGATCGCTTGAGTCCAGGAGTTCAAGACTAGCCTGGGTAACACGGGGAAACCGCGCCTGTACAAAAAATACAAAAATTAGCCAGACATGGTGTTGCACACACGCTTGTAGTCTCAGCTACACAGAAGGCTGCGGTGGGAGGATCATATGAGCCAGGGAGTCAGAGGTTTCAGTTACCCCAGATCAGACCAATGTACTCTGGCCTGATCTAACAGATCAGGCGTGAGTAACAGAGTGAGACCCTGTCTCAAAAAAAGAAAAAAAAATGTAGAAATAAGAACATATGTGCATATACCAGCTGGGTATAGTGGTTCACACCTGTAATCCTAGCACTTTGGGAGGCTGAAGTGGGCAGATCACAAAAGGTCAGGAGTTCGAGACCAGCCTGGCCAACATGGTGAAAACCTGTCTCTACTAAAAATACAAAAGTTAGCCAGGAGTGGTGGCGTGTGCCTGTAGTCTCAGCTACTCAGGAGGCTGAGGCAGGAGGATGGCTTGAACTTGGGAGGTGGCAGTTGCAGTGAGCCAAGATCATGCCACTGCACTCCAGCCTGGGCCACAAAGCAAGACTCTGTCTCAAAACAAAACAAAAAAAAAAAAAAGAGAGAGAAGAAAAGAACATATGTGGCCAGGCATGGTGGCTCATGCCTGTAATCCCAGCACTTTGGGAGACTGAGGCAGACAGATCACCTGAGGTTGGGAGTTCGAGACCAGCCTGACCAACATGGAGGAACCCTGTCTCTAGTAAAAATACACAATTTGCTGGGCACATGCCTGTAACACCAGCTACTCAGGAGGCTGAGGCAGGAGAATCACTTAAACCCGGGAGGCAGAGGTTGCAGTGAGCCGAGATTGCGCCATT
The DNA here is from genome assembly GCF_000001405.40 of Homo sapiens. Classification (NCBI taxonomy): domain Eukaryota; kingdom Metazoa; phylum Chordata; class Mammalia; order Primates; family Hominidae; genus Homo; species Homo sapiens. The sequence continues at coordinate 33,487,539 of NC_000020.11, read as the reverse complement.
GCACTTCAGCCTGGGCAACAAGAGCGAAACTTCATCTCAAAAAAAAGAAAAGAACATGCATGTATATATATACTCTTTAAAGTGCCATGAGCACTGATGAAGAAAGCCCTCCCTAGAACGTTTTTGGAAAACACAATAAAAGGTACCAATGTACTCAGAGAGTCCCAGGAAGGGTCTCTAAACCACAACTAAAAGGCTATGAGGAATTCAGATGGGGTTAACAGCCCAGCTGAAATTTCACTTCCTTTGTGAAAATCTCTCCAATGCTCCTATCAAAAAATAATTTTCAAGACTGGGCAATAAAGTGAGACCTCCTTTCTACAAAAAATAAAAAAATTAGCAAGGCATGGTGGTGCACGCCTGTAGTCCCAGCTACTCAGGAGGCTGAGGCAGGAGGATTGGCTTGAGCCCAGGAGGTCAAGGCTGCAGTGAGCTGTGATCCGACCACTGCACTCCAGCATGGGTGACAGAGCAAGACCGTGCCTCAAAAAAAGAGTGATAATAATTTGGCCGGATGCGGTGGCTCATGCCTGCAATCTCAGCACTTTGGAAGGCTGAGGCAGGTGGATCACCTGAGGTCAGGAGTTTGAGACCAGCCTGGCCAACATGGTGAAACCCCATCTCTACTAAAAATACAAAAATTAGCTCGCATTGTGGCGGGCACCTGTAATCCCAGCTACTTGGGAGGCTGAGGCAGGAGAATCGCTTGAACCAGGAGACTGAGGTTATGGTAAGTCGAGATCATGCCACTGCACTCCAGTCTAGCGATAGAGTGAGACTCTGTCTCAAAAATAATTACTATTGACCGGGTGCGGTGGCTCACGCCTGTAATCCCAGCACTTTGGGAAGCCAAGGCTGGCGGATCACGAGGTCAGGAGATCGAGACCATCCTGGCTAACACAGTGAAACCCCATCCCTACTAAAAATACAAAAAAAAAAAATTAGCTGGGTGTGGTGGCGGGCGCCTGTAGTCCCAGCTACTTGGAAGGCTGAGGCAGGAGAATGGCGTGAACCTGGGAGGTGGAGCTTGCAGTGAGCTGAGATCGCGCCACCGCACTCCATCCTGGGCGACAGAGCGAGACTCCATCTCAGAAAAAACAACAACAACAACAACAAAAAAAAAACAAAGTGCTGGGATTACAGTCGTGAACCATGGCACCCACCCCGACCAGCTAATTATTATTATTAGTAGTAGTAGTAGTAGTAGAGGTGGTGTCTCTTTGTGTTGCCCAGGCTGGTCTTAAACTCCTAGAGCTCAAGCAATCCTCCAGCCTGGGCCTCTCAAAGTGCTAGAATTGTAAGCACGCGCTACCACACCCAACCTTCAAACTTTTTAAGATTCAAGTAAGAGAGACCGGGCCCAGTGGCTCACGCCTGTAATCCCAGCACTTTGGGAGGCTGAGGCGGGCTGATGATGAGGTCAGGAATTTGAGACCAGCCTGGCCAGCATGATGAAACCTCGTCTCTACTAAAAATACAAAAATTAGCCAGGCGTGGTGGCATGCACCTGTAATCCCAGCTACTCAGGAGGCTGAAAAATGAGAATCGTGCCAGGCATGGTGGCTCACGCCTGTAATCCCAGCACTTTGGGAGGCCGAGGTGGGTGGATTACCTGAGTTCAGGAGTTTGAGACCAGCCTGACCAACATGGAGAAACCCCGTCTCTACTAAAAATACAAAATTAGCCGGACGTGGTGACTCATGCCTGTAATTCCAGCTACTCAGGAGGCTGAGGCAGAAGAATCGCTTGAACCTGGGAGTTGGAGGTTGCGGTGAGCCGAGATCGCGCCACTGCACTCCAGCCTGGGCAACAACAGCAAAATTCCATCTCAAAAAAAAAAAAAAAGAACAAGAATCGCTTGAACCCGGGAGGCGGAGGTTGCAGTGAGCTGAGATTGTGCACTCCAGCCTGGGTGACAGAGTGAGACTCCATTTCAAAAAAAAAAAAAGAACTATTATGAAGAATTTTATGCCCTCAAGTTTGACATTTTAGATAAAATCAATAATTTCCTTGAAAGATACAAACTACTGGCCGGGCACGGTGGCTCACGCCTGTAATCCCAGCACTTTGGGAGGCCGAGGCGGGCAGATCACGAGGTCAGGAGATCGAGACCATCCTGGCTAACACAGTGAAACCCCGTCTCTACTAAAAATACAAAAAAAATTAGCCAGGCGTGGTGTCGGCCGTCTGTAGTCCCAGCTACTCCGGAGGCTGAGGCAGGAGAATGGCGTGAACCTGGGAGACAGAGCTTGCAGTAAGCCAAGATCGTGCCACTGCACTCCAGCCTGGAGAACAGAGCGAGACTCCGTCTCAAAAAAAAAAAAAGAAAAAAAAAGAAAGATGCCAACTACTAAAGCTTACTGAATAAGGTGATCATCTGAATATCCTATATATATTAAGAATATTAGGCCAGGTGCGGTGGTTCACACCTGTAATCCCAGCACTTTGGGAGGCCAAGGTGGGAGGATTCCTTAAACCTAGGAATTCAAGATCAGACTGGGCAACATAATGAGACCCTGTTTCTACAAAAACTAAATTTTAAATGTTAGCAGGCATGCTGGCACAAGACCATGGTCCTAGCTACTTAGTAGGTTGAGGTAGAAAGATCACTTGAACCTGAGAAGTCAAGGCTGCAGTGAGCCGAGATCACATCACTGCACTCCAGCCTGGGCAACAGAGCAAGACTCTGTCTCAGAAAAAAAATTACATTTATGGTTAGGCCAAGCATGGCAGCTCATACCTGTAATCCCAGCATTTTGGGAGGCCTAGGCAGGTGGATTGCTTGAGCCCAGGAGTTCAAGACCAGGCTGGGTAACATGGCAAAACTCCAGCTCTACAAAAAATACAAACATTTGCCATTCATAGTGCTGCATCTCTGTAGTCCTAGCTACTTGGGAGGCTGAGGTGGTAGGATCACGATGTCAGGAGATTGAGACCATCCTGGCCAACATGGTGAAACCCCGTCTCTACTAAAAATACAAAAATTGGCCGGGCATGGTGGCTTACACCTGTAATCCCAGCACTTTGGGAGGTCGAGACAGGCAGATCACCTGAGGTCAGGAGCTGGAGACCAGCCTGGCCAACATGGTGAAACCCCGTCTCTACTAAAGATACAAAAAAAATTAGCTGGACATGGTGGCAGGCGCCTGTAATCCCAGTTACTCGGGAGGCTGAGGCAGGAGAATCACTTGAACCCAGAGGCAGAAGTTGCAGTGAGCCAAGATCGTTCCATTGCACTCCAGCCTGGGGGACAAGAGTGAGACTTTGTCTCAAAAAAAAAAAAAAAATTAGCTGGGCGTGGTAGCGCGAGCCTGTAGTCCCAGCTACTCAGGAGGCTGAGGCAGGAGAATCCCTTGAACCCGGGAGGTGGAGGTTGCGGTGAGCCAAGATCGAGCCATTGCACTCCAGCCTGGGCAACAAGAGTTAAACTCCATCTCAAAAAAAAAAAAAAAAAAAAAGAAAGAAAGAAAATATTAGGAAATGGAATCTAACAATATATAAAAAGTATAATACATTATGAACAAATTAGGATTACCCAGGGAACACAAGGTTGATTCAAAAACTTGTTGTTTTTTTTTTGAGATGGAGTCTCGCTTTGTCGACCAGGCTGGAGTGTGGAGTACAGTGGTGTGATATTGGCCCACTGCAACCTCTGCCTCCCAGGTTCAAGCAATTCTCATACCTCAGCCTCCAAGTAGCTGGGATTACAGGTGTGCACCATGATGCCCAGCTTTTTTTTTTTTTTTTAGTAGAGACAGTGTTTCATCATGTTGGCCAGGCTGGTCTCAAACTCCCGACCTCAAGTGATCCGCCCACCATGGCCTCCCAAAGTGCTGGGATTACAGGCATAAGCCACCATGCCTGGCCACTTTTTTTGGGGGGGATGGAGTCCCTCTGTCGCCCAGGTTGGAGTGCAGTGGCACAATCTTGCTTCACTGCAACCTCCCCTCCTTGGTTCAAGCAATTCTCCTGCCTCTGCCTTGTCCTCCTGAATACCTGGGACTACAGGCACATGCCACCACGCACGGCTAATTTTTTGTATTTTTAGTAGAGACAGAGTTTCACCATGTTGGCCAGGCTGGTCTCAAACTCAAGTGATCCACCCGCCTCGGCTTCCCAAAGTGCTGAGATTATAGGCGTGAGCCACCACACTTGGTCTCATTCTACTGTTTCTGAAGATAAAACTTTGTTGCTAAGGGCCTGGACAAGGCCTGGTTTCAAAGATAGAGATTTCTCAAGTTCTGTGTGGTTTCAAATATAGAGACAATAAGTTAGTTGACACAAGTCACCAACCTTTTCTATTTATTTGTTATTCTTGCATAGTTCATGGTGGAATGTGTTTATGTTTTGGGGTGGGGGATAGGCCTTTGGGGAGCACATCAGAGCCATAAACCATTAACATTTACAAGTCAAGGGACAGGGCTAGGTGCCTTATAAACTGAATTTGACTTCAACCTTGCAATAACTAAATTTTCCAGCGCCAGGGAAGTTAAGAGATATTATAAGGTCAGCCTGAGTCTGAAGGTTACTCAGGTGATAGAACTTAATTCTGACATTCTTTTCACAGCCTTCTGGAAGCCTTGTAGACTTAGATAGACCTAAGGAAATTGCTTGAGGCCCTGGCTCTTTCTTGTCCAAGTCCAGTGACTGTTTTTCTTTAACTAGTGACGAGAAGGATAAAGATGGGCGTTAGGGAGAAGTGTGTGCTGCCTGCCATCTGCCCTGGCCATGCCCGTTCCGCTAATGAAGGATAAACACAAGGCCAGGCCAGATGACAGTCAGCGAGGGGAAGCGACTTAGAGGTGTTGGTCCTTCTTGGGTAAACAGGAGTCTGAAATACCCATGGCACTTTAAAAAAAATCTCTTTGTGTGCCAGAAAAATATTTGACAGGGCTGGGGCTTTTCTTTTCTTTTTTTTTTTTGAGACACAGTTTCACTCTTGTTGCCCAGGCTGGAGTGCAATGCACGGCATCTCTGCCTCCCGGGTTCAAACGATTTCCCTGCCTCACCGTCCCGAGTAGCTGGGATTACAGGCATGAGCCACCACACCTAGCTAATTTTGTGTTTTTAGTAGAGACGGGGTTTCTCCATGTTGGCCAGGCTGGTCTCGAACTCTGGACCTCAGGTGATCTACCCGCCTTGGCCTCCCAAAGTGCTGGGATTACAGGTGTGAGCCACTAGGCCCAGCAGCTGGGGCTTTTCTAATAAGCAAGGCTTTTTCTCCCAAAAAGGCTGAAGAGCCCAAAACTCCCAGAGGGAGAGATGAACGAGTTCTTTGGCTACTGGTTATATGATTAAAATTTATTATTGTTTATGCTTATGAGAGGAATGTGAGCATAGTCATGGTGAAGAATTTGTACACTACATAAGAAGATTGTGACAAAAATAACAGTGAATTCTTTTTTTCCTTAACTCTAATCTCATGACAGATTATCTTAATTCTTAACATTGAGGAATAGGCCAGGGAGGTGGTGGCTCATGCCTGAATCTCAGCACTTTGTGAGGCCAAGGTGGGAGGATTCCATGAGGCCAGGAGTTTAAGACCAGCCTGGGCAACATAGCAAAACCCCATTGGCCAGCTGCAGTGAGCAGTGATTATGCCACTACACTTCAGCCTGGACAATAGAGCAAGACTCTGTCTCAAAAAATAAAAAGAAAAAAGAAAGAAATTGTCACCATTTTACTGTATAGTATTCCCAACGTTTTTCTGTTCATGGACCTATTTACATAATTGAGATCATACTATTAGCACATTTCTGCATCCTGCCTTTTATTTTTTTAATATTTTTATTTATTTATTTATTTATTTATTTATTTATTTTGAGACAGACTCTTACTCTGTTGCCCAGGCTGGAGAGCAACGGCATTGATCTCGGCTCACTGCAACCTCCGCCTCCCAGGTTCAAGTGATTTTTCTGCCTCAGCCTCCTGAGCAGCCTGGGATTACAGGCACGTGCCAGCACGCCCAGCTAATTTTCATATTTTTAGTGGAGATGGGGGTTTCACCATATTGACCTGGCTGGTCTCGAACTCCTGACCTCAAGTGATCTACCTGCCTCGGCCTCCCAGAGTGTTGGGATTACAGCCACTTTGCCCAGCCTGCATCCTGCCTTTTGAAAAACTATCCTAGGCCTGGTGCTGTGGCTCGCACCTGTAATCCTGGCACTTTGGGAGGCCAAGGTGGGCAGATCACTTGAGATCAGGAGTTCAGACCAGACTGGCCAACATGGTGAAACCTCATCTCTACTAAAAATACAAAAATTAGCCGGGCGTGCTGGCACGCACCTGTAGTCCCAGCTACTCAGGAGACTGAGGCAGGAGAGTCGCTTCAACCCGGGAGGTGGATGTTGCAGTGAGCCAAGTTTGTGCCACTGCACTCCAGCCTGGGTGACAGAGTGGACTCTGTCTCAAAAAAAAAAAAAAAAAAAAAAAAAAGGCTGGCCACGGTGGCTCACACCTGTAATCCCGGCACTTTAGGAGGCCGAGGCAGGCAGATCACTTGGGGTCAGGAGCTTGAGACTAGCCTGGCCAATGCAGTGACACCCTGTCTCCACTCAAAATACAAAATTAGCCAAGTGTGGTGGCACACACTTGTTATCCCAGCTACTTGGGAGGCTGAGGCGGGAGGATTGCTTGAACTCAGGAGGCCGAGGTTGCAGTGAGCCGAGATCGGGCCACTGCACTCCAGCCTGGCAACACAGCGAGACTCCATCTCAAATAAATAAATAAATAAATAAATAAATAAAAGTTAAACAAATGACACCTCCAAGACTCTAATGTCCTTAAAATAAAATTCAAACTGCCCACCATGATCTACAAAGTCCTACATTGTTTGGACCCAGCCTATCACTTCCCTCACCTCTTCTTTTTTTTTTTTTTGAGACAGAGTTCCACTCTTGTCACCCAGGCTGGAGTGCAATGGGGCACCATCTCAACTCACTGCAACCTCCACCTCCCGGGTTCAAATGATTCTCCTTCCTCAGCCTCCCGAGTAGCTGGGATTACAGGCGCCCGCCACCACGCCCAGCTAAGTTTTGTATTTTTAGTAGAGGCAAAGTTTCACCATGTTGGCCAGGCTGGTCTCAAACTCCTAGCCTCAGGTGACCCACCCGCTTCGGCCTCCCAAAGTACTGGGATTACAAGCATGAGCTACTGAGCATGGCCCCATCACCTCTTCTTTACCTTCCACACCCGCAGAGCTTTTCATTCCCTCTGTCCCACCCCTTGTCCCAGTTGTTCAGGCTGGAGGGACAGAGAGACCTCTAGGCAGAGTGGGCGGGGCTGCACGCTGCAATCTTGGAGACCAGGGAAGGGATGTTTAAGCCTGAGGCCAAGGAAGGCATATACATGGTTTCATGAATGCCCTGGAGGACTGTGATTTGCTTTTTAAATTTTTCCTCTAAACAAATGGCCCTAGACAGGCTAAAAGAGAGGAGAAATCCAGATATTTGAAGCCTTCTTTGAGAATGTTAAAGACTTACCTGTTCAGAGCTGCCCACCCTTAGAGCAGAAGGTCCCAGATCTCATGCTGATGCATGTGAATCCCTAGGGGCCCTCAGAATTTGGTCTCAAACAGCAACCTGGCTATCAAGTCTGATTGTCTATGGGGGAGTGGTACAAAAGACACACTTTGGATAGGTCTGTTACTAGGCTGGGGTAAATCATAGTCTCTATGTGGCATTTCCCCATCTGTGAGAACAGCACCTGGCTTAGGGGCTGTGGGTAGTGGGTGAGAAAACCATATTAGGTGCTGTGCATGGCACCAAGCACAGAGCTTGTGCATTCTTCCCTCCATCACCAAACACATACCATGTGCCAAGCACTGTCCTGAGCATCAGGGCTACAACTGTGCACAAGACAGACCAAATTCCCACCCCACGGGGGAGGCATTCTGTGAGGGGACAGTGACCATGAACTGGCAATGAGCATAGTCAGTATACACTATGCTAGGTACTCCAAGGAAAAACAAGGCAGGAGAAAGGCAAGAGGTGCAACCCAACTTTTTTTTTTTTTTTTTTTTTTGAGACAGAGTCTTGCTCTGTTGCCCACGCTGGAGTGCAGTGGTGCGATTTCGACTGACTGCAACCTTGGCCTCCTGGGTTCAAGCGATTCTCCTGCCTCAGCCTCCCGAGTAGCTGGGATTACAGGCATGTGCCACCACGTCCGGCTAACTTTGTATTTTTAGTAGAGACAGGGTTTTGCCATGTTGGCCAGGCTGGTCTCGAACTCCTGACCTCAAGTGATCCGCCCGCCTTGGCCTCCCAAAGTGCTGGGATTACAGGTGTGAGCCACCGCACCCGGCCAAGTGCTACTTTATATAAGGAAGCAGAGAGAGTGTTCTCTAAGGAGGTGTTAATTAAACTCTAAAACCTGGAGAAGGTAAGACAGCCGCCAGGCTGAGTAAGGGTAGCAGGAACAAAGGCCCGGAGGCAGAAAGATGGCTGCACAGAAAGGACATCAGGATACAGCAGAGACTGAGAAAGGGGACTGCGGCCAGATAACGTGGGGCCTGGTAGGCCATAGTAAGAAATCTGACTTTATTTTTTATTTCTAATTTAATTTAATGTATTTATTTGAGACTGGGTCTCACTCTGTCACTCAGGCTGGAATGCAGTGGCACGATCATGGCTCACTGCAGCTTTGACCTCCTGGGCTCAAGTGACCCTCCCATCACAACCTCCTGAGTAGCTGAGACCACAGACACACCTGGCTAATTTTAAATTTTTTTTTTTTTTTGAGACAGAGTCTCACTCTGTTGCCCAGGCTGGAGTGCAGTGGCGTGATCTCCGCTCACCACAACCTCCACCTCCTGGGTTCAAGCGATTCTCCTGTCTCAGCCTCCCAAGTAGCTGGGACTACAGGCGCATGCCCCCATGTCCAGCTAATTTTTGTATTTTTAGTAGAGACGGGGTTTCACTATGTTGGCCAGGCTGGTCTTGAACTCCTGTCCTCGTGATCCGCCCGCCTCGGCTTCTCAAAGTGCTGGGATTACAGGCATGAGCCACTGCACCCAGCTAAAATTTTTTGTAGGGACAAGGTCTCTTTATGTTGCCCAGGCTGGTCTAGAGCTCCTGGGCTCAAGCAATCCTTCTATCTTGGCTTCCCAAAGTGCTGGGTTTATAGGCTTGAGCCACTGTGCTCTGCCAGGAATTTGAATTTGTTCTCCACAAATTTCAGAGCCTCTAGATAGTTTTGAGCAAAGGAGCGACATGATCATCCCTCTAGAGAGAAGGGTATGCCAGGGGAGGCAACGGTGGAAAACCACTGGGTGATTCTGGAGGGAGACCGTGATGGCTTGGAACAAGGTAGTGGCAGTAGAGATGGTGAGTAGGGGTTGGATGTGTGTTCTGTTTGAAGGTGGAGATGGTGGAGTTTGCTGATGGCTTGTTTGTGGGGTATGGAAAAGAGCAGGATGAAGGGTGACTCCAAGGTTCTGGGCTGAGCAGCTGAAAGGATGGAGCAGCCACAGGCTGAGGTGGTGACAGCTGTGGGATGAACAAACACATGCCAAGGGCGAAAGCAGGAGTTCAGGTCTGGGGATGTTAACTTTGGGATGTCTGCATGAGGGTGTAGATAGGATTGGGGTTTCTCCACTCCTGCTTTTCTCTGCTGGTGGTGTTGGGGCCACAGTGGATGTGGAATGTGTATAGGTTGAAATAATCTGAATGTGACTTATTCGCACCTTCCACAGCCTCCAGTGCAGATGAGCCTTGGCCTTTGTGAGGTTGCCAAGCCTTTCCTCCCCCTGCACTCTGGGCCTCCCATCTGGAGCACCTGCCCCAGGTGTCAGCTGTGCTGGAAACTGTTCATTCCAGGCCCAGACTTATTATGTGATCTTAAACTGCCTCTGGGAGATAGTGGGGACAGGGCCCACAATTCCCCAGGGCTTCCCTCCCTCGTCCACCTCCGAAGGTGGAGGCTTCTGCTGGCGCCTGGGACAGAGTTGGGTGCAGTTGTTTGCTTTACAACACCAACAATTGAGCCTATCCCCTCGGTGCCCCAGGGCACAGCTCCACACCTGTTCTCCAGCCTCCATCCCAGGTGCAGGCCCTGCAGAGAACAAAAGAACACCTTCGCACCAAGGTCATTGCAAGTACAAACTATGGAGGGTTAGGAACTATTTGCAGTTTCAGCCACCCACTGGGGGTTTTGGAATCTATGCCCAGAGGATACAGTGGGGGTGGGGTGGGGCAGATTACTGTGCCTCGATGGGCCTTGTTGGGGGTGAGGGGAAGAAAGGCTGCAGAGAAGAGAGCCCTATTCTGAAAAGGGAGAAAAACTCTGGAGAATTAGAGGGTTTGAATCAGCACTATCCCAGAGAACATTCTGCAGTGATCTGTGCAGCTCAGTATGATAGCCACCGCACATGGCTGTCGAGCACTTCAAATTTGGCTGGTGCAACTGAGGAACTAAAGTACCAATTTTATTTAATTTTAATTAATTGAAATTTAAATAGCCTAGTGGCCACCCAATGGACAGCACATGTTTCCTTTCCTTTTATTTTATTTTATTTATTTCGCTCTGTTGCCCAAGCAGGAGTGTAGTGGCTTGATTTCGGCTCACCACAATCTCCGCCTCCCGGGTTCAAGCGATTCTTCTGCCTCAGCCTCCCTATTAGCTGGGACTACAGGCTCGCGCTACCATGCCCGGCTAATTTTTCTTTGTTTGTTTGATTTTCTTTTTTTTTTTTTGAGACGGAGTTTCACTCTTGCTGCCCAGGTTGGAGTGCAATGGCACGATCTCAGCTCACTGCAACCTCTGCCTCCCAGGTTCAAGCGATTCTCCTGCCTCAACCTCCCAAGTAGCTGGAATTACAGGCGCCCGCCACCACGTCCGGCTAATTTTTTGTGTTTTTAGTAGAGACGGGGTTTCACCATGTTAGCCAGGCTGGTCTCGAACTCCTGACCTCGTGATCCACCTGCCTCAGCCTCCCAAAGTGCTGGGATTATAGGTGTGAGCCACTGTGACCGGCCAAATTTTTGTATTTTTAGTAGAGACGGGATTTCACTATGTTGGCCAGGCTGATCTCGAACTCCTTACCCCGTGATCCGCCCACTTCGGCCTCCCAAAGTGCTAGGATTACAAGCATGAGCCACTGCGCCAGGCCAGCACAGGTTTTAACAGTTAACTCTGGAGGATGTTTAGATAATAACAGCTCTTGTTTGTTGAACACCCACTTTATTCCAGGCACATCACACACATCTTACTCCTCGCAACCACTGTATAGGAAAGTGTTGCCTCCGTTTTACAGATAAGGAACAGTGGTGAAGCCACTGAGCAAAGTCCCAGAATGAGGAAGTGCTGAAGGCTGAAAGGGAACACCCAAAATCACATTTTATAACCCCACTCAAATAAATAAGCCCCAAGGACCAGGCTGGCTTTGTGGCAGTCTAGCTCTACACAAATGAATGGGGTGTGCAAATTGCTAAAAGATGCAAATCAGCCTCCGATTTGGGGGACAAAAGCTCAGACCCTCTGGTCACACCCTGAGTCTTTCTGGGCTGTGGGCGGATGGGGGCAGAGGCTGAGTGACAGGGAGGGACCTGGGAGGAGGGGGTATTGGGGTGGGGGTGGGGCTGGCCAGCTGGTGTCGGAGACCCAGGACATCAGCTGGCTGGCGGGCTGGCAGGCTCAGACAATGGGCGGGGGGCCTGGTTGGAACCCTCCTCCCTCTGTGCCTGGCCCTCTCTGCACCCTGGCCAGCTGCCATGACCACCTCTGGTCTGAGCCAGGGATCGTGGGGAGGAGGAGAGCATTGAGGGGGTTGAGGGGAGAGTGAAGGATGCTGGGGTGGACCGTCTGGAATGACCTAGGGTGGGAACGGGTTTGCAGAACAGGGGAGGTTAGGAAGGTCTCCTTGGTGCCAGACATTGCACAAGAGGATTTGCATGCGTCCTTCCGTTTGCTCCTCTCAAAGTCCCCCTGGTAATAGTAATAATAATTATTACCAACAATAGCAATCCGGTAGCTCATGCTGAGCCCACCTGGCTGGAGCTCAAGGTGTTATCTCAGTTAATCCTCACGACCGCCTTGGGAGTCAAGGACTTTTATTAGACCCTTTACCAAACCAGGCGCTCCAGGCTCAGAGCAGTTAAGGGACTTGTCTAACATCTCAGGGGTGGGAAAAAAAGGGTCTCTCTTCCACCTGAGGCTCTCACCCTTACTTTAAACTGAACACTTAATCTCTGGGATTGGGAGACTTTTCCCCAACCGATAAAGATATGTGAAATTCAAACTTTAGTGTAATTAGGAGAGTTTTGTTGAAACACAGCCACCCGTGTCGTGTCGTTATGTATTGTCTGTTTGCTCAAATTGTGCATGGCTGATTGCTGTGACAGCATCAGGAGCCACAGGTCTCAGCGCCAGTATGGTATATGGTTTAGTCTGTTTCTCTCTCTTTTTTTTTTTTTTTTGAGATACGGTCTCGCCCTGTCACCCAGGCTGGAGTGCAGCGGCACGATCTCAGCTCACCACAACCTCCGCCTCCCAGCTTCAAGTGATTCTCCACTTCAGCCTCTCGAGTAGCTGGGATTACAGGTGCACATCACCATGCTTGGCCCCATTTTTTAATTTTTGATACAGATGGGGTTTCACTATGTTGGCCAGGCTGGTCTTGAGCTCCTGACCTCAGGTGATCTGCCCGTGTCAGCCTCCCAAAGTGCTGGGATTACAGGCTTGAACCACCGCACACGGTCTGCCTATCCCTTCTCTAGTTGGCCTCTTACCCAGGAGCTGGCTCTGGAGGGGCAGCTGGAATCCAAACTCTCAGTTCCCCGAAGGTCCTCCTCCCTCTGGCATCCCCTGATCCTTGGCAGCTCTTATGCCCAGCAGGTCTTTTTGCATCCTGCTTGCAAGAATGTGATGTGGTATTCATGCATTCATTCTACACGTATGCACTGTGTGCCAGGCACTGGTCTAGGTAGGAGTTACAAACTAGATATGGTCCTTGTCTGCAGACATCAATCAGTCATCCAGCACATCTCTAAATACAAACAGTAAAAGGGCACGTGTGGTGCCTCACGCTTGTAGTTCCTGCAGTTTGAGAGGCTGAGGTGGGAGAATTGCTTGAGCCCAAGAGTTTGAGACCAGCCTGGGCAACATGGTGGCACCCTGTCTCTACAAAAGGTAAGAAAAATAGCTGGGCATGGTGGTGAATGCCTGTGGTCCCAGCTACTCAAGAGACTGAAGTGGGAGGATCACTTGGGCCTGGGAGGTGGAGGCTGTGGTGAAATGAGATTGCACCACTTCACTCCAGCCTGGGTGACAGAGAGAAATCTTGCCTCAAATAAATACATAATTAAATGCAAACAGTACAGAGTCCTGTGAACAGAGTGTGGGGAGCTTGAAGAGCATTTGACAGGGAAGCAAAGTTAACCTGGCTGTCAGGGAGAGCTTCCTGGAGCAGGTGATGGTAACATTCGAGATCTGAAAAATGAGTAGGTTCCAGGTGCTAGGACATCCCTTTCTGGACTCATCCGTCTGCATCATTTCAATTCCTTTCCCTGTCCTAGGAGTGTAGATCTCATCTCAGGTGAGACCTATTTTTTAGGGAGACGGGCACAGTGACTCCCCTCTCCACCCATGAATTGAAACATTGAGTGGGGGTGGAGCATGCTAGAGAAGGCAGGTAGACAACTTAACAGTCACTACTGTTTTTTGTTTGTTTGTTTGTTTGTTTGTTTGAGACTGAGTCTTGCTCTGTTGACCAGGATGAAGTGCAGTGGTGCAATCTCAGCTCACCTCAACCTCTGACTCCCAGGTTCAAGCAATTCTCATGCCTCAGCCTCCCACATAGCTAGAATTACAGGTGCCTGCCACCACACCTGGCTAATTTTTGTATTTTTAGTAGAGATTGGGGTTTTGCCATGTTGGCCAGGCTGGTCTTGAACTCTTGACCTCAGGTGATCCACCTGCCTCGGCCTCCCAAAGTGCTGGGAGTAGAGGTGTGAGCCACAGTGCCAGGCCCGGTTTATATAATTATTTTTAAAATAGTGACTGCATGCCTGTAGTCCCAGCTACTCAGGAGGATGAGGTGGGAGGATCACCTGAGCCCAGGAGATGGAGGCTGCAGTGAGCTATGGTTGTGCCACTGCACTCTAGCCTGGGTGACAGGGTGAGACCCTGTCTCAAAAAAAAAAAAGAAAAATTTAAAAATCTCTGTCTTGTTAGAGCTTCTTACATTCTAGCCGAGGAGGAGTAAGTAATGTATGTGACATATTGTTAAGTGGTGATAAACAGCATGGAAAAAAACAAAGCAGGTGGCAGACAGACAATTTGCAATAAGGAGGTCAGGGAAGGCCTCCCTGGGAAAACGACAGTTTGAGCAGAGATCTGAGCAATTTATGTGGGTATCTGGGGACGCCTGCATTGCTGGAACATCAAGATGCCATGAAATTCAAATCAATAGCACTCTCAAGTCATGAAATTCTGAGTAATAGGATTCTATGGCCATGAAATGCTAATCAATATTTCTGTGGTGCCATAAAATTCTAATCAATAGAATTCTCTGGTTGTGAAATTCTAACTAATAGAACTCAGAAGCCTTGAAATTCTAATCTATCAGGAAACTTCTAGATGAAGGAAAGCTTCTGGGGTGCAAAAGTCTCAGTGATCAGTGGGGCGCGGTGGTGCACGCCTGCAGTCCCAGCTACTACGGAGGCTGAGACAGGATGATCACTAGGAGTTTGAGGCTGCAATGAGCTATAACTGTGCCTATGAGTAGCTGCTGCACTCCAGCCTGGGCGACAGAATGAGACCCAGTCTCTTTTTCGTTTGTTTTTGAGAAGGAGTTTTGCTCTGTTGCCCAGGCTAGAGGGCAGTAGCACAATCTCAGCTTACTGCAACCTCTGCCTCCTGGGTTCAAGCAGTTCTCCTGTCTCAGCCTCCTGGGTAGATGGGACTATAGGCACATGTCACCATGCCTGGCTAATTTTTGTATTTTTAGTAGAGACAGGATTTCACCATATTGGTCAAGCTGGTCACGAACTCCTGACCTCAGGTGATCCACCCACCTCGGCCTCCCAAAGTGCCGGGATTACAGGCATGAGCCACCGCGCCTGCCCGAGACCCAGTCTCTTAAAAAAAAAAATTAGTGAGCTGGGCATGGTGGCTCATGCCTATAATGACTCTGAAATGGAGACTAAGTCTTGCTCTGTTGACCAGGATGAAGTGCAGTGGTGCAATTTCGGCTCACTGCAACCTCTGACTCCCAGGTTCAAGCAATTCTCATGCTTCAGCCTCCCACGTAGCTAGAATTACAGGCGCCTGCCACCATACCTGGCTAATTTTTGTATTTTTAGTAGAGATTGGGGTTTTGCCATGTTGGCCAGGCTGGTCTCGAACTCTTGACCTCAGGTGATCCACCCGCCTCGGCCTCCCAAAGTGCTGGGATTAGAGGTGTGAGCCGGGCATATTGGCTCACGCCTGTAATCCCCACTTTGGGAGGCCGAGGCGGGTGGATCACGAGGTCGGGAGATCGAGACCATCCTGGCTAACATGGTGAAACCCCGTCTCTACTAAAAATATAAAATCCAGGCAGATGTGGTGGTGGGCGCCTATAGTCCCAGCTACTTAGGAGGCTGAGGCAGGAGAATTGCTTGAACTCAGGAGGCGGAGGTCGCAGTGAGCGGAGATCGCACCACTGCACTCCAGCCTGGCCTGGGTAACAGAGCAAGACTCCGTCTCAAAAAAAAAAAAAAAGCATGAAAATAAAAAACAAAATTAGGGTTGAGCACGGTGGTTTATGCCTGTAATCCCAGCACTTTGGGAGGCTGAGGGGGGCGGATCACAAGGTCAAGAGTTCGAGACCAGCCCAGCCAATATGGTGAAACCCCGTCTCTACTAAGAATACAAAAATTAGCCAGACGTGGAGGCGCGTGCCTGTAATCCCAGTTACTCAGGGGCTGAGGCAGGAAAATCGCTTGAACCTGGGAGGTGGAGGTTGCAGTGAACCGAGATCGCACCACTGCACTCCAGCCTGGGTGACAGAGTGAGACCGTATGTCAAAAAAATAAATAAATAAAAAGAAAAAAAAATAATAATAGTAAAAGCTGCCACTGACTCTGCTCTGTGTCAGCCATGAAATCAAGCCTTCTACATTCTGCTTACTTAAGGATTGGCTCATGGATAGTGTTAGTCCTAAGACTATAGGCTATTTTCCTGCCTCATGGGCTTAATTAGACGCCACTTACAAAGTTCTTGGGACTTTCAGCTTCCTCCCCCCAGGTTATCCTTTCTGATTACATGTCCCCATCAAACTGTGGTGGTCCATGCTTCTTTGCTCCTGTTCATTTTCTTTCTTTCTTTTTTTTTTTTTTTTGAGAAAGAATCTCACTCTGTTGCCCAGGCTTGAGTACAGTGACAGGATCACAGCTCACTGCATTCTCAGCCTCCTGGGCTCCAGTGACCCTCCCATCTCAACCTTCCAAGTAGTTGGGACTGCAGGCGTATGCCGGCAGGCCCAGCCAATTTTTCAAAACATTTTTTGTAGAGATGGAGTCTTGCTGTGTTGCCCAGGCTAGTCTTGAACTCCCAAGCTGGAGCAATCCTCAGCCTGCCAAAGTGCTGGAATTACAGGCATAAGCTGTAATTACGCCTGGCTTCTTTGCTCCTGTTTTTTCCCTCTGCCTTTGCTCCTGTTTTTTTCCCTCTGCCTTTTCCAGATGTACTTTGTACATCTGGGCAAACTGAGGCTCCAAGAGGATTTATCCTCTTGGGGGATAAATCTTTGGGAAATCTTTTGGGGACTTCCCAAAGTCCCCCAAGAAGCATCCGCTGGATAAGGTCTCCACTCTTCAGGCTCCGCCAGTTATCTGGCACCTGTGTGACCTTGGGCAAGTTCACTAACCTCTCTGAGCTTGATTTTCACTTCCTGGAAATGGAAAAAGATGACTCTTACCTCCCAGCATTCTCGAGAGAAGTGATTAACTGAGGCAATGTGTACTTAGCACACTGATAAGCTCTCAAGGCCAGCTATTATTATTGTTCTCTGATTATTATTATTTAACTACAGTATAATCCTAATTATTCATACATATTCCAGCCCAGGGCTCTTTACCGTGCCTTAGAAAACTGTGCCCTGAGGCCTGATTTTAAGACCCAGACAGGCCCCCATTCTCCTCTCTGAGGACCTGGAGTCTGAGCTGATTACTGAAAGGAGTAATGAACTGGGGCAGGGGACAGGCACAATTACAGCTCACAGCAGCCTCCAACTCCTAGTGATTCTCCTGCCACAGCCTTCCAAGTAGCTGGGACTGCAGGCAGGCACCACCATGCCCCGCTGCTCTCTGAGATTTTTGCACCCCAGCAGCTTCCCTTCATCTGGAAGTTTTCCTGATTGATTAGAACTTCAAGCCTTCTGAGTTCTATTACTTAGAATTTCACAGCCAGAGAATTCTACTGTTTGGAATGTTATAGCATCACAGATGCTGGGAGTCTGGGGGCTGGGGATCGCCCTTGCTGCCTCCTGGTGTTGTGTGTGGCAGGGGACACTTGGCTCTTTCTGGGTCCCAGCCAGGCTCCTGGTGCCTCAATAAGACCCTATTTGGTTTGGAGCTTGCTGGTACTGGAAGGAGGCTTTGGGGGCCCAAGAAACCAAGATGAAGGTCACATAGCATCTGCAGACTGGGAAGGTACCACTGATGAAGCTCAGAAATGGTCTGGAAGTCATGGCCCTGAGGATCCCCCATGAGGCACCCAAGAATAGGACAGTTATGGTTCTGCAACCAAACAGATTGATGCTATTACTGTGTGACTTTCAGCAAATCTCTTGACCCATTTGAGACTCTATTTCCACATCAGAGAGCCGAATGATGTGGGCTCAGGCCAGGCTCAGTGCCTCATGCCTGTAATGTCAGCACTTTGGGAGGCCGAGGCAGGTGGATTGCTTGAGCCCAGAAGTTCGAGACCAGCCTGGGCAACATGGTGAAACCCCATCTGTACCAAAAATACAAAAATTAGCTGGGTGTGGTGGTGCACAACTGTAGTCCCAGCTACCTGGGAGGCTGAGGTAGGATGAGGAGCTGTGACTGTGCCACTGCACCCCAGCCTCGATGACAGCAAGACTGTCTCAAAAAAAACAAAAACAAAAACCTGCTCACTAGGGTTGTGAGGATTCAGAGCTTAGCAAGGGGCCTGGTGCTTGGCAAGTGCTCATTAAATATAAGTTATTACTATCACTGAGTTACTTAAACTTCCTGATGTGTAGGACCCTCTACTGAACTCTTGGGATCAGGATAAGGTTCCGTGGAAGGCACCAAATTATAGAGGGTAAGAATTTCAGTGCTAAGGTCAGATCCTACTTCTGCCATATGTGGCTGTGGGTGGCTCCCTGGACCCTCTGAGCCTCCTCCTCTTCCTCTTCTGCACAATGGGGATATATACATATATATATATATACACATATATATATATTTTTTTTTATTTGACACGGAGTTTCGCTCTTGTTGCCGAGGCTGAAGTGCAATGGCACTGTGTCAGCTCACTGCAGCCTCCGCCTCCCAGGTTCAAGCGATTCTCCTGCCTCAGCCTCCCGAGTAGCTGGGATTACAGGTGCGCACCACCATGCCCAGCTACTTTTTTGTATTTTTATTGGAGACGAGGTTTCACCATGGCCAGGCTGGTCTTGATCTCGTGACCTCAGGTGTTCCCCCTGCCTCAGCCTCCCAGAGTGCTGGGATTACAGGCGTGAGCCACTGCGCCCGGCCTTTTTTTTTTTTTTTTTTTTTTTTTTGAGACAGAGTCTCACTCTGTTGCCCAGGTTGAAGTGCAATGGTGTGATCTTGGCTCATTGCAACCTCTGCCTCCCAGGTTCAAGTGATTCTCCTGCCTCAGCTTTCCAAGTAGTGGGGATTACAGGAGCCTGCCACCACGCCCGGCTGTTTTATATTTTTAGTAGAGACAGGGTTTCCCCATGTTGGCCAGGTTGGTCTTGAACTCCTGGCCTCAAGTGATCCGCCCGCCTCGGTCTCCCAAAGTGCTGGAATTATAGGGTTGAGCCACCGCATCCATCCCTATATACATATGTAGGGATGCACCATCTCAGTTCACTGCAACCTCCGCCTCCGGGGTTCAACAATTCTACTGTCTCAGCCCTCTGAGTAGCTGGGATTATAGGCATGCGCCACTAGGCCAGGCTACTTTTTTGTCTTTTTAGTAGAGACGGGGTTTCACCATGTTGCCCAGGCTGGTCTCAAATTCCTGATCTCAGGTCATCTGCCTGCTTCGGACTCCTAAAGTGTTGGGATTATAGGTGTAAGTCGTGGTCCATCTGTATTTTTTTATTTTTTGAGACATGGTCTTGCTCTGTCACCCAGACTGGAGTGCAATGGTGTGATCTAGGCTCACTCCAACCTGTGCCTCCCAAGTTCAAGCGATTCTCCTACCTCAACCTCCCAAGTAGCTGAGATTACAGGTGCACGCTACCATGCCCAGCTAATTTTGTATTTTTAGTAGAGACGGGGTTTCACCATGTTGGCCAGGCTGGTCTCAAACTCCTAACCTCAAGTGATCTGCTCACCTCAGCCTCCCAAAGTGTTGGGATTACAGGCGTGAGCCACTGCACTGGCCCATCCCATCTGTATTTTTTTTTTTTTTGAGAGGAAGTCTTGGCTCACTGCAACCTCTGCCTCCCAGGTTCAAGGGATTCTCTTGCCTCAGCCTCTCCAGTAGCAGGGATTACAGGCACCTGCCCCACGCCTGGCTAATTTTTGTGTTTTTAGTAGAGATGGGGTTTCGCCATGTTGGCCAGGCTGGTCTCGAACTCCTGAGCTCAAGTAATCCATCTGCCTCAGCCTCCTCAAGTGCTGGGATTAAAGGTGTGAGCCACATCTGGCCCGTATTTTTTTTAAATCCCACTTTAAACACCCATCGGATGGCTATTATAAAAACAGCCCATGGCCGGGCGCGGTGCCTCACACCTGTAATTCCAGCACTTTGGGAGGCCAAGATGGGTGGATTATCTGAGGTCAGGAGTTCGAGACCAGCCTGGCCAACACGGTGAAACCCCCTCTCTACTAAAAATACAAAAATTAGCCAGGTGTGGTGGCACATGCCTGTAATCCCAGCTCCTCGGGGGGTGGCTGAGGCAAGAGAATAGCTTGAACCCAGGAGGCTGAGGTTGCAGTGAGCCGAGATCGCAGCACTGCACTCCAGCCTGGGCAAAAAAGCGAAACTCCGTGTCAAAAAATAAAAAGAAAAAAAAAGAAATTATGCCATTTGTTTGTGGCTGGGACCAGTGGCTCATATCTGGATTCCCAGCACTTTGGGGGGCTGAGGTGAGCGGATCACCTGAGGCCGGGAGTTCAAGACCAGCCTGACCAACATGGAGAAACCCTGCCTCTACTAAAAAATTTGCTGGGGGTGGTGGCGCATGCCTGTAACCTCAGCTACTCTGGAGGCTGTGGCAGGAGAATCGCTTGAACCCAGGAGGTGGAGTTTACAGTGAACCGAGATGGTTCCATTGCACTCCCGCCTGGGCAACAAGAGTAAAACAAAAACAAAAACAAAAACATCCCATGAGCCTGGTCAACATAGTGAGACCCCATCTCTACAAAAAGTTTAAACATTAGCCAGGTGTGGTGGCACACACCTGTAAGTCCCAGCTACTTGAGAGGCTGAGGTGGGAGGAATGCTTGAGACCAAGAGTTCAAGGCTGCAGGGAGCTATGACCATGCCACTGCACTCCAGCCTGGGCATCAAAGGAAGATGCTGTCCCTTAAAAAAAAAAAGTGGCCGGGTGTGGTGGCTCACACCTATAATCCCAGCACTTTGGGAGGCCGAGGTGGGTGGATCACCTGGGGCCAGGAGTTTGAGGCCAGCCTGACCAACATGGGGAAACCCCATCTCTACTAAAAATACAAAAATTAGCCAGGCGTGGTGGTGGGCGCCTGTAATCCCAGCTACTTGGGAGGCTGAGACGGGAGAATGGCTTGAACCCAGGAGGCGGAGGTTGCAGTGAGCTGAGATTGCACCACTGCACTTCAGCCTGGGTGACAGTGAGACTGTCTGAAAAAAAAAAAAAAAAAAGAGCTTAGGAGTGCTCACCATTTGAGAAGAAGCTCTTGATACATTGAAGAGTAAAGTGTTGTCTGAAAAAGGGAAGTATTTGCCAAGGTGAACCAACTTCTTGCAAAAAAAAAAAAAAAAATTGGTTTGCAAGAGTTTCCTGAGGCAAACGGTGAGGCTATTTATTGGTTTACAGTCTTATCTTTCCAGGTAAGAATTTCTTGAAACAGTCAAATCTTGTTGACATAGAGGACCTCAGTTCTCAGCCTTAATCATTGAATATGATTGTCTCAGTTTTTATATTTATCCTGTTCCCTATTGATGGGCGCTTACTTTTCTTCTGGTATTTCACTATCACATGCTATGCTTCAATGACACCTTGTGCACAGGGGTGAGTTTCACTGGGGCCCCACCTAGAAGTGGAATTGCTGGGTAGTGAGACGTGAGTATCTTCAATTTTCCTAGGGTCCTAGATTCTTTCTAATCCATCTCCCTGCCTCCCAGAAGAGGAAAGCCTCTCTCCACAGCCACCACAGCAGACGGCAGGAACTGCCAGGGCTTTGCCCACACCGGCTGCTTGCCCACCCGCCTGCCCTCCCTTGTTCTGGCAGATTAATGGTGACCTGTGACCCTGACAGGCTGGCCACACTCCCGGCCAATTTCAGTCTGTCAAAAGGAGTCCCAGGGGTGGTCAGGGCCTAGGGATGTGTTAGCCAGATGGGCCTGGGAGGTCTCGGGTTGGCTTATCCCAGGAGGCAGAGCAGGTGGGCAGCCCTCAGCAACACCCCCCCAACATTCTCCTCATCATGCATCACTGGGCTGGAGCTGGAGCCAGATGGTGGGGATGGGGAGGCTTGCAGCTTCTGCCCTGACAAAGGATCCTCTATACTGCACCCCCACCCTGACCCTGACCAGCTTGGCTAGTCTAGTCTGTGGCTGCCCAATCACTCTCAGCCCTGGCCTGTCCCACCCCGGGGTGCCTTTCTGCTGAGATCTTCTCTTCCTGATCCTGTTTGTAGAGGAAGTCTGCAACGTTCCTGGAGACTCTTGGACTTGGAAACTCACTTATCATCAACTTGAGAGTGAGCAGGTAAAACCAAGGCAGCATGGCCCCGTGGTTATAACATGTCATAGATTCAAATGCAGTAATAGGATTAAGTGCAATGGGCCAGGTGGCAAACTGGTGTCTGGCTCTCAGTGAGCCCTCATCAACAGAGTCTCTGACTGCTATGAATGGGGAAACTGAGGCCTAGAGTGGAGGATGCTTGCAGAAGAGCCTCATGGTTAGGAGGTTAGGCTTGGGAGTCAGGCCTACCTGCGTTAATCCAGATCTGCTACTGAGAGTGAGTCCTTGGGCAGATCACCTAAGCTCTCAATTTCCCCAGCTGAAATGCAGCCCCCTGAGGCCTCATCATAGAGAACAGTCCTGAGGATGAGGAAAGATAATGCAAGGAAGGCATCTGGCAGATAGTAAGGACTCAGTACGTGCGTCCTAAACCTCATCATCCTTGATTTTCTCCTTCCTTCTTTCCTTCCTTCCTTCCTTCCTTCCTTCCTTCCTTCCTTCCTTCCTCTCTCTCTCTCTCTCTCTCTCTCTCCCCCTCTCTCTCTCTCGCTTTCTTTCCTTCCTTTCTTTCTCTCTGTTTCTCTCTCTCTCTCTCTCTGTCGCCGAGGCTGGAGTGCAGTGGCACGATCTCAGGTCACTGTAACCTCCGCCTCCCGGGTTCAAGTGATTCTCCTACCTCAGCCTCCCATGTAGCTGGGACTACAGGTACTTGCCACCACACCTGGCTAATTTTTTGTATTTTTAGTAGAAACAGGTTTCACCGTGTTAGCCGGGATGGTCTCGATCTCCTGACCTCGTGATCTGCCTGCTTCGGCCTCCCAAAGTGCTGGGATTACAGGCATGAGCCATAGTGCCCAGCTTTCCTTCCTTCTTCCTTTCAAGATGAAGTCTCTGTGTTGCCCAGGCTGGAGTGCAGTGGCACGATCTTGGCTCACTGCAACCTCCGCCTCCTGGGTTCAAGTGATTCTCCTGCCTCAGCCTCTCATGTACTGGGATTACAGACGCCTGCCACCATGCCCAGATAACTTTTGTATTTTTGGTAGAGACAGGGTTTTGCCATGTTGGTCAGCCTGGTTTTGAACTCCTGACCACAAGTGATCTGCCTGCCTCAGTCTCCCAAAGTGCAGGGATTACAGGTATGCGGGTATGAGCAACCATGCCCAGCCTTTTTTTTTTTTTTTGAGACAGGGTCTCTTGGGCTGGGTGCGGTGGCTCACGCCTGTAATCCAAGCATTTTAGGAGGCCGAGGTGGGTGGATCACCCGAGGTCAGAAGTTTAAGACCAGCCTGGCCAACATGGTGAAACTGTGCCTCTACTCAAAATACAATAATTAGCCAGGTGTAGTGGCATGCACCTGTAATCCCAGCTACTCAGGAGGCTGAGGCTCAAGAATCACTTGAATCTGGGAGGTGGAATTTACAGTGAGCTGAGATGGTGCCACTGCACTTTAGCCTGGGTGACAGAGTGAGACTCTCTCTCAAAAAAAAAAAAAAAAAAGAGACAGGGTCTCTTACTGTCACCCAATGTGGAGTGTAGTGATGCAATCTCGGCTCACTGCAACCTCTGCCTCCTGGGGTCAAGAGATCCTCCCACCTCAGCCTCCTGAGTAGCTAAGACTACAGGTGTGCACCACCAGGCCCAGCTAATTTTTGATTTTTTTGTAGAGACAGGGTTTCACTGTGTTACCCAGGTTGGTCTCGAAGTCCTGAGCTCAAGCAATCCTCCCACCTTCGCCTGCCAAAGTGCTGGGATTATAGGGGTGAGCCACTGCTCCTGGCCCCTTTCCTGTGTCTTTCGTTTCTTCCTTCCTTCTCTCTTTCACCATTTCTCAGAAGTGGGTGGTTCAAAGATTTTCCCTGACTTGGGGAAGAGCACATGAGAGCCCAGGCAGGCTGGGGAGGCAAGCAGGCCAGGGTGAGACACAGGGCTGCAGCCCGGCCAGCACTCACGTGGGGCTGCCTCCAGGAATCCCTCCCCACACACAGAGCCTGGGCACCTTTCAACTGGCTCCTTGCTGCCAAGCGAAGTCTATTAATATCAAAGTAATGAGGTAATTACTGTGATTTAGAAAAATTACTAGTGAATGCTTTTGAGGGAATTTCAGAGCAGAGAATAGGGTAAGTGAAACATCTGTGAGGAAAGGGATGCAGGGCCGTCAGCGATGAATCCTGAGGGTGGGTGAGCTCTGGCCTGCGTGGGGCAGGGTAGGGGGGCTTGGAGGGGACCACCCCAGGGTCATGCATGTGCATGGGACTTTTGGAGTAAATAATAGGGGAGGAGTGTGTGTGTTTGCGTGTGTGTGTGTGTGTAACCAGGGTGTAGGATTTTCAGGCCCTAGGAGCACCCTGACTTTGGCTGGTACAAAGCAGCAGATTCCAGGGTGAAGAACAAAACCTGGAGCCAGAGGCCAACCCCTTTTCACAATCCCAGCCTCTGACTATCCTTGACTGATCTCCACCCACAGAATCCCCCCAGCCCTGAGGCCACCAGCCTGGAGAAGGGTTAGATGAGTAAAGAGAAATTGGGCAGAGCTCATGAGAGAAATTGGGCAGAGCTCAGAAGCAGAGGTTGTCAAAGTGTGACTCTTGGACTGACAGCATGGTCATCGCCTGGGAACTTGCTAAAAATACACATTCTCAGGCTGCTGCAGAGCCACTGAATCAGTAACTCTGGGGTGGGGACTGGTGACCTGTTGTCGTTGCTTTTGAGATGGAGCCTCGCTGCGTTGCCCAGGCTGGAGTGCAGTGGCGTGATCTCGGCTCACTTCAACCTCCACCTCCCAGGTTCAAGCCATTCTCCTGTCTCAGCCTCCTGAGCAGCTGGGATTACAGGCTCAGGCCACCACACCAAACCTGACAATCTGTTTTAAGGAGCCCCTAATAGAGGCATGAAATGATAGGAAGGGCCAGGCCTGGGAAATGGAGGCCAGAGACTGCTTTGAGAGGCTTTTAGGAGGTTGAATCTGTAGGAATTGGTACCAGGGTGGGTGTGGAAGAAAGTACAGCAGTAGTAGTTGTAGTAATAATAATAACAGTAATAATGACTTGAACATGTATTGTGCCCGTTCTGTGCTCTTATTTAATCCTCACAACAAGCCTAAGAGGCAGCTACTATTCTGATCCCAATTTTTCACATAGGAAACTAAAGTACAGAGAGGCTGACTGCCCAAGGCCACACAGCTGGTAGTTGGTGGAGCTGGGATGCAATTTCAGCCTTCAGATGCTGGGTTTTTGCCTCCTCTCTAATGCCAGGCTGCTTTGGTAATCTGAAGAGGGTTATTGGTGACCTGAGTAAGCAGTAAGGGCTGCCAGGGGAGAAGTAACTTCCAGGGAAGCTAACACTGTTTTGTTTTTGAATTTACTGAGCACTTACTACACTTACTATGTGCTAGGCATGATGCAAAGCATTTGCTAGTGCACTGTCACATTTATTTATTTATTATTATTATTTTTTGAGATGGAGTCTCACTCTGTCACCCAGGCTGGAGTGCAATGGCATGATCTCGGCTCACTGTAACCTCCGCCTGCCAGCTTCAAGCAATTTTCCTGCCTTAGCCTTCTGAGTAGCTGGGATTACAGGCACCTGCCACCATGTCCAGCTAGTTTTTGTATTTTTAGTAGAGAGGGGGTTTCACCATGTTGGCGAGGCTGGTCTCGAACTCCTGACCTCGTGATCCGTCTGCCTTGGCCTCCCAAAGTGCTGGGATTATAGACGTGAGCCACCTCGCCCTGCCTAATTTTGTTTTTTTTTTTTTTTTGGAGACGGAGTCTCGCTCGGTCACCCAGGCTGGAGTGCAGTGGCACGATCTTGGCTCACGGCAAGCTCCGCCTCCTAGGTTCACGCCATTCTCCTGCCTCAGCCTCCCGAGTAGCTGGGACTGCAGGTGTCCGCCACCACGCCTGGCTAATTTTTTGTATTTTTTTTAAGTAGAGATGGGGTTTCACCATGTTAGCCAGGATGATCTCGATCTCCTGACCTCGTGATCTGCCCGTCCTGGCCTCCCAAAGTGCTGGGATTACAGGTGTGAGCCACCGTGCCCGGCCCTAATTTTGTATTTTTAATAGAGACAGGGTTTCGCCATGTTGGCCAGGCTGTCTTGAACTCCTGACCTCAGGTGATCTGCCCACCTAGGCCTCCCAAAGTGCTGGGATTACAGGTGTGAGCCACTGGGCCTGGCCTACTGTCACATTTAAGTGTCACACTGATCCTCTAGGTACTATAATGATTCCATCTTCCAAATGATCTAATTGAGGCTCAGAGAGAGAGAGTTGCCTGCCCAAGATCACATAGTCTTTTTTTTTTTTGGACACAGGGTCTCACTCTGTTACCTAGGCTGGAGTAGTGCAGGGGCTGCATCAAGGCTCACTGCACCCTTGATCTCCTGGGCTCAAGCGATCCTCTCACCTTGGCCCCCTGAATATCTGGGACTACAGGTGCACGCCACCACGCTTGGCTAATTTCTGATCTTTTGTAGAGATGGTTCCTCACTCACAAATGTGAGCCACCACGCCCAGCAATCACATAGGCTTTGTGTTTGTGTCAGGTGCGAATCAGCCTAGTTATGCTAACTCTGATTGGGAGGTGGGGGTGGGAGGGAAGTTTTGTGATGACTCAATGGCCAATTAAATGTTTACAAATTCATGGTTTATTGAGAGGCTTTCACACCAACACATAGGCAGTAATGAGAGAGGAGGAACAAGCCACAGGGAGTAGCTCCAGTAGCTCTGGGATGACTGTGCTGACTGTTTTCCCTCAGAATGCCAACAAGGGTTGGGGGGCTGAAGGGGTGGGGGGGCCGAGGCTCTTCTCCCAGCAGAGCTTCGGAGGGTTGCCTGATGGAAAAGAGGCCTCAGAGTTCTCACTGGTAGAGCTCCCACAGGCATCTCTGCCATGGCCAGTTTCTTTTTCTTTTCTTTCTTTTTTGAGACAGGGTCTCGCTGTGTTACCCAGGCTGGAGTGCAGAGGCATCATCACGGCTTACTGCAGCCTCATCCTCCCTAGCTCACGTGATCCTCCCACCTCAGCCTCAGGGGTAGCTGGGACTACCGGCGTACACCGCCTAGCTTTTTTTTTTTTTTTTTTTCAGAGACTGAGTCTTGCTCTATCACCCAGGCTGGAGTGCAGTGGCACGATCTTGGCTCACTGCAACCTCTGCTTCCTGGGTTCAAGCGATTTTCCTGCCTCACCCTCCCGAGTAGCTGGGACTACAGGCATGTGCCACCATGCCCGGCTAATTTTTTTTGGTATTTTTAGCAGAGATGGGGTTTCACCATGTTGGCCAGGATGGTCTCGAACTCCTGACCTCAAGTGACCGCCTGCCTTGGCCTCCCAAAGTGCTGGTATTACAGGCGTGAGCCACCGTGCCTGGCCAACTTTTTAAAGTTTTTGTAGAGATGAGGTCTCCCTATGTTGCCAGGCTTATCTTGAACTGCTGGGTTCAAGCAATCTCCTTACTTCATCCTTCCAAAATGTTGGGGTTACAGGTATGAGCCATGACGCCCCGTGATGGTCAGTTTATTGCGGTGTTCATGGCCCTCTGCAAGAGTCTCCATAGCCATTATCTCAGCTGCCCTGTGGCTTCTCTTTCTTGTTAGGTCTTGGGGGTGCCTGACCACAGCAGGTGTTATCCCCTCTGTCCACCGTACACTTTGAGAGGTCAGCAGTTTAACTGTAGGCTGAGTCACTTGTCATAAGTGACTCCATTTTGACATGTTTAGGATCACAAAACATTATTATCTATCACATAGTGAGTGGCAAGGCAGCAGGAATTTGGAATCGTGGCTCTTAATCCAGATAGGCAGACCCTAGTCTCGGTGGGGATCGCCCTTGCACAGGGGGTGCCTCCCTGCTTCCTGCTCACCTGGGATGCCACTCTATGTTACCAGTACCAAGGACAGGACCAGGGACACAGTGACAGTGAATATCTGTTAAATGACATTTTAACATTTGTTTAAATAAAAACAGTCCATTACCTCTATTGTGGAGTAGAAAAGCAAACAAACAAACAAATAACTAAAATAAAGCCAGGGGAAGGAACTGAAGTTCATGGAGTCTCTCATGTGCCAGGTACTTTGCTTACACAAGGCCAATTTAGTGCTTTCAGAACCCTCCAGTCTTTTGTTTTATTATCCTCATTTTACAGATGAGAAAAGTGAGACAGCGAGGAAGTGACCTGTTACCTGTTTGAGGTCACATGATGAGGCCGTGGGAAAATCAGGGTTTGATACCCTTGGTCTGACCCCCACACCGTGTGTTTTTTTTTTTTTTTTTTTTTTACAAAGTCTCAGCCAGGCACAGTGGCTCATGCCTGTAATCCCAGCACTTTGGGAGGCCAAGGCAGGTGGATCACCTGAGGTCAGGAGTTCGAGACCAGCCTGGCCAACATGATGAAACCCCATTTCTACTAAAAATACAAAAAATGAGCCGGGCATGGTGGCATGCACCTGTAATCCTAGCTACTCAGGAGGCTGAGGCAGGAGAATTGCTTGAACCTGGGAGGCGGAGGTTGCAGTGACCCGAGATCGAGCCATCATACTCCTGCCTCGGCAAAAACAGCGAAATTCAGTCTCAAAAAAAAAGAGACGAGTCTCGCTCTGTCGCCAGGCTGGAGTGCAGTGGCGCGATCTCTGCTTACTGCAACCTCCGCCTCCCGGGTTCTAGCGATTCTCCTGCCTCAGCCTCCTGAGTAGCTGGGACTACAGTCACATGCCACCATGCCCAGCTAATTTTTGTTTTTTTTTTTTTGAGACGGAGTCTCACTCTGTCGCCCAGGCTGGAGTGCAGTGGCGCGATCTCGGCTCACTGCAAGCTCCGCCTCCTGGGTTCAAGCCATTCTCCTGCCTCAGCCTCCCGAGTAGCTGGGACTGCAGGTGCCCGCCACCACGCCCGGCTAATTTTTTGTATTTTTTTTAAGTAGAGATGGGGTTTCACCATGTTAGCCAGGATGGTCTTGATCTCCTGACCTCCTGATCCGCCCACCTCGGCCTCCCAAAGTTCTGGGATTACAGGCGTGAGCCACCGCGACTGGCCTAATTTTTGTATTTTTAGCAGAGACAGGGTTTCACCATGTTGGCCAGGATGGTCTCGATTTCTTGACCTTGTGATCCACCTGCCTCAGGCTCCCAGTGTGCTGGGACTATAGGCCTGAGCCACTGCGCCCAGCCAAGACATGTTTTCATCATGTTGGCCAGGTTGGTCTCGAACTCCTGACCTCAAATGATCCACCCTTCTTGACCTCCCAAAGTGCTGGGATTACAGGCATGAGCCACTGTGCCCACCCTCACACTGGTTCTCTTTCCATTGGTTCAGTCTGTGACTCTGGAGGGTTGGGATGCAGAGATGGGAGGGGCCCATTAAATGGTGACTGATATAATAATGGTGATAATAATTATTATTATCGGTATTATGTGTGAAATGGTTGTGTAATCCTCACATGGAGAAGGGAAAAACATGCTTTGAAAGTGACAATCTCAGCCTGGGCAACACAGCGAGACTCCATCTCTACGGAAAATTAAAGAAAAATAGCCAGGCCTGGGCTGGGTGCGGTGGCTCAAGCCTGTAATTCCAGCACTTTGGGAGGCCAAGGTGGGCGGATCCTAAGGTCAGGAGTTGGAGACCAGCCTGACCAACATGGTGAAACCCTGTCTCTACTAAAAATACAAAAATTAGCTGGGCCTAGTGGCAGGCACCTGTAATCCCAGTTGCTCGGGAGGCTGAGGCAGGAGAATCGTTTGAACCCGGAAGGCGGAGGTTGCAGTGAGCCAAGATAGCACCACTGCACTCCAGCCTGGGTGAAAGAGTGAGACTCCGTCTTAAAAAAAAAAAAAAAAAAGAAAAATAGCCAGGCCTGGTGGTGGGCTACCTGGGAGGCTGAGATGGGAGGATCACTTGAACCCAGGAGTTCGAAGCTGCATGTGAGCTGTGGCTGTGCTACTATGCTTCAGCCTGGGTGACAGAGTGAGACTCTGCCTCAGAAACCAAAACCAAACTGACAAACAAAAAGTGACAACCTCAAGGAGCCCAGCTTCCCATCCTATTCCCACCTTCCCACTTGCAGGGCTCATGGCACCTGCTAGGACCTTGCGACCCTGGCTCTCTGCTGCCCCCTCCTGGCATCTGTCAGAGGTGGCGCCTGGATGCGAAATCTTCAGCCTGTCTTCAGCGCAGCAAGTGTCTTTTGTGAGTGACCAATACAAGGGTGGGAAGGACATGGCTGGGGATACCTCCTCTTGGGCCTCTGGTTCCTCCCTCATGAAATTCTGGATTGGGACTAAAAGTTCCTAGACCATGACTCTGAATCTTTCTCTGCCAAGGATAACATCTTCCTGGCCTTTCACCATCTCCAGCCAAAAAGCCAAACCCTGCAGGGTGTGGTGGCTCACCCCTGTAATCCCAGCACTTTGGGAGGCTGAGGTAGGTGGATCAAATGAACTCAGGAGTTCCAAACTAGCCTGGGCAACATGGTGAAACCCTGTCTCTACGGGAAAAAAAAAATTGGTGCACACTGGTAATCACAGCTAGTCAGGAGGCTGAGGTGGGAGGATCACTTGAGTCTGGGAGGTGGAGGTTGCAGTGAGCCATGATTGCACGACTGCACTCCAGCCTGGGTGATGGATTGAGACCCCCTTCTCCAAAAACAAAGAAATAAACAAAAAAGAAACAGAGTGAGACCCTGTCTCAAAAAAAAAAAAAAAAAAAAAAAAAAAAACCGGCCGGGTGGCTCATGCCTATAATCCCAACAGTTTGGGAGGCCAAGGTGGGCGGATCATGAGGTCAGGAGTTTGAGACCAGCCTGGCCAACATGGTGAAACCCTGTCTTAACTAAAAATACAAAAATTAGCCGGCGTGCTGGGACGCACCTGTAATCCCAGCTACTCGGGAGGCTGAAGCAGGAGAATCGCTTGAACCCAGGAGGCAGAGGTTACGGTGAGCCAAGATCGGGCCACTGCGCTACAGCCTGGGTGACAGAGCAAGACTCTGTCTCGAGGGTGAAAAAAAAAGAAAAAGCCTGGCCTTTCACCATCTCCAGCCAAAAAGCCAAACCCTGCAGGGTGTGGTGGCTCACCCCTGTAATCCCAGCACTTTGGGAGGCTGAGGTAGGTGGATCAAATGAACTCAGGAGTTCCAAACTAGCCTGGGCAACATGGTGAAACCCTGTCTCTACGGGAAAAAAAAAATTGGTGCACACTGGTAATCACAGCTAGTCAGGAGGCTGAGGTGGGAGGATCACTTGAGTCTGGGAGGTGGAGGTTGCAGTGAGCCATGATTGCACGACTGCACTCCAGCCTGGGTGATGGATTGAGACCCCCTTCTCCAAAAACAAAGAAATAAACAAAAAAGAAACAGAGTGAGACCCTGTCTCAAAAAAAAAAAAAAAAAAAAAAAAAAAAACCGGCCGGGTGGCTCATGCCTATAATCCCAACAGTTTGGGAGGCCAAGGTGGGCGGATCATGAGGTCAGGAGTTTGAGACCAGCCTGGCCAACATGGTGAAACCCTGTCTTAACTAAAAATACAAAAATTAGCCGGCGTGCTGGGACGCACCTGTAATCCCAGCTACTCGGGAGGCTGAAGCAGGAGAATCGCTTGAACCCAGGAGGCAGAGGTTACGGTGAGCCAAGATCGGGCCACTGCGCTACAGCCTGGGTGACAGAGCAAGACTCTGTCTCGAGGGTGAAAAAAAAAGAAAAAGCCAAACCCTTTGCCCTGGTTTCTATCCCCTGTGTTTCCTCTTCTTCTTCTTCTTTTTTTTTATTTGAGAAGGAGTCTCTCTGTTGCCCAGGCTGGAGTGGAGTGCAATGGGAAGATCTGGGCTCACTGCAACCTCCACCTCCTGGGTTCAAGAGATTCTCCTGCCTCAGCCTCCTGAGTAGCTGGGATTACAGCTGCCCGCAACCATGCCCAGCTAATTTTTGTATTTTTAGTAAAGACAGGGTTTCACCATTTTGGTCAGGCTGGTCTCGAACTCCTAACCTCAGGTGATCCACCCGCTTTGGCCTCCCAAAGTGCTGGGATTACAGGCGTGAGCCATGGCGTACGGGCCCCTGTGCTTCTAATCTCTGGAAGTGTCTTACTCCTCCCTAATTGAGCATCATCAGAGCCCAGTTTGAAGCATCACCATCACCCAACAAGGTTGATTTTCTTGCTGTGGGGCCAGAATTGCAGGCCCAGGATTCATGTCTGGTTTAAGTGGAAAACTTGTTAATCACCATCCTATACACCCCTCACTACAGCGAGTGTGCTGCTTCCAGAGCTGGTTTGTCTATGCTTGCTCTCTCCTCTTCAGCTTTGTATCTACTCCAGGGCTCAGCACATGGCCCATTTTTCTTCTTTCTCTATGCTCTCTTCCTATAGGTTATCTTAAGACTGTCACACACTTTAAATATCTTCCATATGTCATTGACTCTCCTTAATCTCCTTCACGCAAGCCATCAGCAAGGCTTAGCAATCTTACCTCCTTAATACCTCTTAATTATATTTAGCCCTTTCCATCCCCACTGCAGTCACCTTTCTAGTTCAGGTCACCACCACCTGCCCTGTGAACAACTTCATTTTTTTTTTTGAGACAGAGTCTTGCTCTGTCGCCAGGCTGGAGTGCAGTGGTGCAATCTTGGCTCACTGCAACTTCTGCCTCCTGGGTTCAAGTGATTCTGCTACCTCAGCCTCCTGAGTAGCTGGGACTACAGGCATGCTACCGCGCCCAGCTAACTTTTTGTATTTTTAGTAGAGATGAGGTTTCAGCATGTTGGCCAGGCTGGTCTCGAACTCCTGATCTCAGTGATCTGCCTGCCTCAGCCTCCCAAAGTGCTGGGATTACAGGTGTGAGTCACCGTGCCCGGCCTAATTTTTTTTTTTTTTTGAGATGGAGTCTCGCTCTGTCGCCCAGGCTGTAGTACAGTGGTGCGATCTTGACTCACTGCAAGCTCCGCCTCCCGGGTTCATGCCATTCTCCTGCCTCAGCCTCCCGAGTAGCTGGGACTACAGGTACCTGCCACCACGCCCGGCTAATTTTTTGTATTTTTAGTAGAGATGGGGTTTTGCCATGTTAGCCAGGCTGGTCTTGATCTCCTGACCTCGTGATCCGCCTGCCTCGGCCTCCCAAAGTGCTGGGATTACAGGCTTGAGCCACCGTGCCCAGCCCTAATTTTTTTTTTTTTTAAGAGACACAGTCTCACTCTGTCACCCAGTCTAGACTGCAGCGGTGTGATCATAGCTCACTGCAGCCTCGAACTCTTTTATTCTCAAGCTCAATCAATTGGCCTCAGCCTCTTGGATAGCTAGGGCTACAAGGTGCACAGCACCATGACTGGCTAACTTTTTGTTTTTCTTAAAAACAATTTCTTTACAGTTTTATCATTTTTAAAAATTATTTATTTATTTATTTTTGAGACAGAGTCTTGCTCTGCCGCCCAGGCTGGAGTGTGGTGGTGGCTCGATCTTGGCTCACTGCAACCACTGCCTCCTAAGTTCAGGTGATTCTCCTGCCTCAGCCTCTTGAGTAGCTGGAATTACAGCTGCGTGCCCCCATGCCTGGCTAATTTTTTATTTTTAGTAGAGACATGGTTTCACCATATCAGCCAGGTGGGTCTTGAATTCCTGACCTCAGGTGATCCACCAGCCTCAGTCTCCCAAAGTGTTGGGATTGCAGGCACGAGCCACTGTGCCCAGCCAAGAAGCTTCAGTTTTTTTTTTTTTTGAGACAGAGTCTCACTCTGTCACCCAGGCTGGAGTGCAGTGGCACGATCTCTGCTCACTGCAAGCTCTGCCTCCTGGTTTCAGGCCATTCTCCTGCCTCAGCCTCCCAAGTAGCTGGGACTACAGGCGCCTGCCACCACGCCCGGCTAATTTTTTGTATTTTTTAGTAGAGACAGGATTTCACCTTGTTAGCCAGGATGGTCTCGATCTCCTGACCTTATGATCCGCCCGCCTCGGCCTCCTGAAATGCTGGGATTACAGGTGTGAGCCACTGAGCCCGGCCTTTTTTTTTTTTTTTTTTTTGAGACAGAGTCTCGTTCTGTCACCCAGGCTGGAGTGCAGCAGCGTTATCTCGACTCACTGCAACCTCTGCCTGTTGGGTTCAAGCGATTCTCATGCCTCAGCCTCCCGAGTAGCTGGGATTACAGGCAGGCACCACTATACCGAGCTAATTTTTGTATTTTTAGTAGAGACTGGGTTTCACCATGTTGAAACCCAGTTCAGGATGGTCTTGATCACCTGAGCTCGTGATCCACCCACCTCAGCCTCCCAAAGTGCTGGGATTATAGGTGTGAGCCACTCCGCCCGGCCACAAAGCTTCAGTTTTGATGCACATTTGGAATTATGGGGCAAGAGAGAAACCCAGGGCCCACCCAGGGTGAAAAAGCTGTTAGGTGACCCCCACATAAAGCCAGGGTCTGGAAAGCCTGCATCCTCATTGAAAGAGTGGACTGGGCCGGGTGTGGTGGCTTACACCTGTAATCCTAGCACTTTGGAAGGCCAAGGCAGGCAGATCGCCTGAGGTCGGGAGTTTGAGACCAGCCTGGCCAGCATGGTGACACCCCACCTCTACCAAAAGTAAAAAATTACTCAGGCGTGGTGGTGGGTGCCTATAATCCCAGCTACTCAGGAAGCTGAGGCAGGAGAATCACTTGAACCCAGGAGGCGGAGGTTGCAGTGAGCCGAGATCACGCCATTGCACTCCAGCCTGGGCAACAGAGCAAGATTTCATCTCAAAAAAAAAAAAAAAAAAGAAAGAAAGAGCGGACTGCAAAAATCTTGCAGAGGGCACCAGCAAAGAAATTTCTCCATCGTGAACATGGTGGGCAGAGGGGGAAAGCATCTCTGAGAATTCGTAACCTCACATGGGATTGCAACCTGTATTTCTACTCTTTGTGTGAATCAAAAGATCCCGTGCTAAAATATTTTATTTTATTTTATTTTTTGAGACGGCATTTCGCTCTTGATGACCTGGCTGGAGTATAGTGGCATGATCTCTGCTCATTGCAACCTCCGCCTCCCAGGTCCGAGCGATTCTTCTGCCTCAACCTCCCAAGTAGCTGGGATTACAGGCATTCACCACCACGCCCGGCTAATTTTTTATTTTTGGTAGAGACGGGGTTTCATCATGTTGGCCAGGCTGGTCTCAAACTCCTGACCTCAGGTGATCTGCCTGCCTTGGCCTCCTAAAGTGCTGAGATTACAGGTGTGAGCCACCGTGACTGGCCTCATGCTAAGTACTGAAAGCACTCTTTTTTTGAGACAGAGTCTTGCTCTGTCACCCAGGCTGGAGTGCAGTGTCGCGATCTCAGGTCAGTGC
The DNA here is from genome assembly GCF_000001405.40 of Homo sapiens. Classification (NCBI taxonomy): domain Eukaryota; kingdom Metazoa; phylum Chordata; class Mammalia; order Primates; family Hominidae; genus Homo; species Homo sapiens. The sequence continues at coordinate 33,452,178 of NC_000020.11, read as the reverse complement.
AAGCTCCGCTTTCCGGGTTCAAGTGATTCTCCTGTCTCAGCCTCCTGAGTAGCTGGGATGACAGACACGCACCATCATGCCCGGCTAAGTTTTGTATTTTTAGTAAAGACTGTGTTTCACCATGTTGGTCAGGCTGGTCTCAAACTCCTGACCTCATGATCCACCTGCCTTGGCCTCCCAAAGTGCTGGGATTATAGGCGTGAGCGACCACGCCCGGCCCTGAAAGCACTCTTAGGTTGGCTGTCCCATCAGGCATCTGACAGAAGTACCCACAAATCCTCTCTGAAGGAATAGAACCTACTTCATACCAGACCTCAAAGAATGCATATAAACTGTGTAGTTGACAAGATTACACATGTGTAATGAAGAAAAAAGATCCACCAGCTGCTGTCTATGGAGTAGCCATTCTTTTATTGCTTTAAGAAAAAGGCTGGGCTCAGTGGCTCATGCCTGTAATCTTGGGACTTTGGGAGGCCAAGGTGGGAGGATGGCTTGAGTCCAGGAGTTCCAGACCAGCCTGGGCAACATAGTGGGACCCCGTTTCTATTTAAAGTAAATTAAAACAAATTTTTTTTTTTTTTTTTTAGATGGAGTCTCGCTCTTTCGCCCAGGCTGGAGTGCAGTGGTACAATCTCGGCTCACTGCAACCTCTGCCTCCCGGGTTCACACCATTCTCCTGCCTCAGCCTCCAGAGTAGCGGGGACCACAGGCGCCTGCCACCACGCCTGGCTAATTTTTTGTATTTTTAGTAGAGATGGGGTTTCACTGTGTTAGCCAGGATGGTTTCGATCTCCTGACCTTGTGATCCGCCTGCCTCGGCCTCCCAAAGTGCTGGGATTACAGGCATGAGCCACCGCGCCCGGCCAATTAAAACAAATTTTAAAAAAGAAAAAGTAAAAAGAGCCACCAACACTTCAGAATCAGAATTACTATATAGGCTCATGCCTGTAATCCCAGTGCTTTGGGAGGCTGAGGCAGGAGGATAGCTTGAACCCAGGAATTTTGAGGTAGATCAGCAAGATTTGTTTTCCAAGCACTGGTTATGACTGGTCACCATCCCGCTGATCAGAGCAGAAACTGGTCAATCCAGGGTGCAGTGAAGACGCCAGCCAAAATCAGCAGATGGTGACTAAAGTGACCGCTAGTTGCCCTCACTGCTCATTTGCATAAAGACACTCCCACTAGTGCCATGATAGTTTAGAAAGGCTCTGGCAATGGCCATGGCAATGGCCCAGAAGTTACCTTATATGGTTCCAGAAACTGTCCATTTTCCAGAACGTTCTGAATAACTTGCCTCTTAATTTGTGTATAATTAAAAGTGGGTCTAGGCCGGGCGGGGTGGCTCACGTCTGTAATCCTAGCACTTTGGGAGGCTGAGGCGGGCAGATCGCCTGAAGTCAGGAGTTCATGGCCAACATAGTGAAACTCCATCTCTACTAAAAATACAAAAAAATGAACCAGGTGTGGTGGCACACACCTGTAATCCCAGCTACTTGGGAGGCTGAGGCAGGAGAATCTCTGGAATCAGTGGGGTAGAGGCTGCAGTGAGCCAAGATCATGCCACTGTACTCCAACCTGGGCAACAGGGCCAGATTCCGTCTCAAAAAAAAAAAAAGTGGGTATAAATACAGCTGCCCCCAGCCCATATGAAACTCTTCTGGGCACACTGCCTGTGTGTTAACCCTCCTCTGCAAGGGCAGTCCCTCTGCTGCTGCTGTACGCTGCTGCTTCAATAAAAGTTGCTGTCTGATACCACTGGCTCACCTTTGAATTATTTCCTGGGAGAAGCCAAGAACTTTCCCAGGCTAAGGCCCAATTTGGGGCTCGCCTGTCTTGAGCCCAGGAGTTAGAGGCTGCAGGAAGCTAGGATCATGCCACTGTACTCCAGTCTGCATCACAAAGCAAGCCCCGTCTCTTTAAAAACAAAAAGAGGCTGGGCGCGGTGGCTCACACCTTTAATCCCAACACTTTGGGAGGCCGAGGCGGGTGGATCATTTGAGGTCAGGAGTTCGAGACCAGCCTGGCCAACATGGTGAAACCCCGTCTCCACTAAAAATTCAAAAAATTAGTTGCGAGTGGTGGCACATGTCTGTAATCCCAGCTACTTGGGAGCCTGGGGCAGAAGAATCGCTTGAACCTGGGAGGTGGAGGTTGCAGTGAGCTGAGATCATGCCATTGCACTCCAGCCTGGGCGTCAGAGTGAGACCCTGCCTCAAAAATAAATAAATAAATAAAATAAAAACAAAAAAGAACTACTATATAGATAATATAAAATAAGTACAATTCATAGGTTTAAATACATTTCAAAAGGGTATCAAAAGCATGGGTAAAGAATAGAGAGACTATGCCAGTTATGGTGGCTCACGCCTGTAATCCCAGCACTTTGGGAGGCTGAGGCGGGTGGATCACCTGCGGTCAGGAGTTCGAGACCAGCCTGGCCAAGATGGCAAAACCCCCGTCTCTACTAAAAATACAAAAAATTAGCCGGGGGTGGTTGTGGGCACTTGTAATCCCAGATAACTTGGGAGGCTGAGGCAAGAGAATCACTTGAACCCGGGAGGTGGAGGTTGCAGTGAGCCAAGATCACGCCATTGCACTCCAGCCTGGGGGACAGAGCAAGACTCTGTCTCAAAAAAAAAAAAAGATACTATAAACATAATCAGACAGATGTGGAAAAAAAAGTAGGGCCGGGCATGGTGGCTTATGCCTGTAATCCCAGCACTTTGGGAGGCTGAGGCAGGCGGATCATGAGGTCAGGAGTTCAAGACTAGCCTGATCAACATGGTGAAACCCTGTCTCTACTAAAAATACAAAAATTATGGCAGGGCGTGGTGGCTCACACCTGTAATCCCAGCACTTTGGGAGGCCGAGGTGGGTGGATCACGAGATCAGGAGTTTGAGACCAGCCTGGCCAACATAGTGAAACCCTGTCTCTACTGAAAATACAAAAAATTAGCTGGGCGTGGTGGCAGGTGCCTGTAATCCCAGCTATTTGAGAGGCTGAGGCAGGAGAATCCCTTGAAGCTGGGAGGCAGAGGTTGCAGTGAGCTGAGATCGTGACACTGCACTCCAGCTTGGGCAACAGTGTGAGATTCCATCTCAAACAAACAAACAAACAAACAAAAAAAACCCCAAAACTAGCTGGATGTGGTGGCATGCGCCTTTAACCCCAGCTACTCAGGAGGCTGAGGCAGGAGAATTGCTTGAATCCAGGAGGTGGAGGTTGCAGTGAGCTGAGATTGTGCCACTGCACTCCAGCCTGGGTGACAGAGTGAGACTCCGTCTCAAAAAAAAAAAAAAAAAAAAAGTAGAATTTCTAGAAATAAAAAAGTAACAATTGATATTTTAAATTCAAAGAATAGGATAAACAGTAGATTAGTTCTAGTTAAAGAAAGAATTAGTAAACTGGAAGATATCACTGAAGAAATTACTCAGAATGCAGTATGGAAAAAAGTAAAGAGAAGATATGAAAGAAAGTTAAGAGACATGGAGATTTGAGTAAGATATTCTAATTTAAGAGATAATTAAAGATTGGGCAAGAGGCATTTGGCCTTCTTTGATAGAAAGCTTTGCCTGCCACCTTCAGGCTGGGTGCAGTGGCTCATGCCTGTAATCCCAGCACTTTGGGAGGCTGAGGCGGGCAGGTTGCCTGAGGTCAGGAGTTTGAAACCAGCCTGGCCAACATGGTGAAATTCCGTTTCTACAAAAATACAAAAATTAGCTGGGCGTGGTGGCATGTGCCTGTAATCCCAGCTACTCTAGAGGCTGAGTTGGAAGAATCGCTTGAACCTGGGAGGCAGAGGTTGCAGTGAGTCAAGATAGTGCCATTGCACTCCAGCCTGGGTGACAGAGTGAGACTCAGTCTCAAAATAAAATAAAATAAAATAAAATAAAAAACTAAATAAAAAGAGGCTGGGTGCGATGGCTCACACCTGTAATTCCAGCACTTTGGGAGGCCGAGGTGGGCGGATCATCTGAGGTCAGGAGTTCAAGACCATCCTGGCCAACGTGGTGAAACCCCCTTTTTTTTTTTTTTTTTGAGACAGAGTCTCACTCTGTCACCCAGGCTGGAGTGCAGTGGTGTGATCTCAGCTCACTGCAACATCTGCCTCCTGGGTTCAAGAGATTCTCCTGCCTCAGCCTTCCAAGAAGGTGGGACTACAGGCGTGTACCAACATGCCTGGCCAATTTTTTGTATTTTTAGTAGAGATGGGGTTTCACTGCAGAAACCCTGTTTTTACTAAAAATACAGAAATTAGCTGGGTGTGATGGCGGGCGCCTGTAATCCCAGCTGCTTGGAAGGCTGAGGCAGGAGAATCGCTTGAACCCGGGAGGCGGAGGTTGCAGTGAGTGGAGATCGCGCCACTGCACCCCATCCTGGGCAATAGGAGTGAAACTCCGTCTTAAAAAAATAATAATAATAAATAAATAAAAAGAAAAATATTTAGCGCTAAATACTTAACAACATAGCAAATAATTTGGGAGAGTAAGTAATTGAAGATAATAGAGTGCTCTTAATACAACTAGAGAATATAACTTCCAAAAGCAGAAGGAGAAATGTCCATTTATGTGATGTTAAAAAATGTAAAACTAAACAGTAGATTGTTTAGGATTTATGCATAGATTTTTTTTTTTTTGAGACGGAGTCTCGCTTTGACACCCAGGCTGAGGTGCAGCAGCACATCTTGGTTCACTGCAAGCTCCGCCTCCCAGGTTCACGCCATTCTCCTGCCTCAGCCTCCTGAGTAGCTGGGACTACAGGCGCCCGCCACCACGCCCTGCTAATTTCTTTTTGTATTTTTAGTAGAGATGGGGTTTCACTGTGTTAGCCAGAATGGTCTTGATCTCCTGACCTCGCGATCCGCCCGCCTCGGCCTCCCAAAGTGCTGGGATTACAGGCATGAGCCACCGTGCCCAGCCAAGTTTTTGTATTTTAGTAGAGACGGGGTTTCACCATGTTGGTCAGGATGGTCTCGATAGCTTGACCTCGTGATCTGCCCACCTCGGCCTCCCAAAGTGCTGGGATTACAGGCTTGAGCCACCGTGCCCAGCTAATTTTCGTATTTTTGTAGAGAATGGGGTTTTACCATGTTGGCCAGGCTGCTGTTGAACTCCTGACCTCAGGTGATCCAGCCGCCTAGGCCTCCTAAAGTGCTGGGATTACAGGTGTGAGCCACCGCGCCTGGCCAGAGCTTGCAGAGACTTTAGTAGGCTGGGCAGCTCCCCTCTCTCCCTTTTTTTCCCCTTCCCCCTCTCCTATTCCTTGGGAGTGAACTGGTTTTCTCTGGGAGCTCTGCCTGGGGCTTGGCAGGGAGCCGGGCCTATGTGTATCTATCTGGGAGGCCAATTTCTGAGCCACAGCAGAGAGGCATCGGCTGACCACAGTGTAGGGATAGAGCATTCCTGCAGCTACAGGGTTCTTGGGGGTAGCTACAGGTGATTGGCACTGCCTATCAAGTGTGATCACAAACACACACACCCATACTCACATACAGACGTATACATATGCATACACACGTCACTGTTTCCTTGGCTCTACATCTTCTTTCTGTGTTAGCCCCTTTGCACACATCACTCCTTTCCCTACTTCCTTCCTTCCTGTTATATCCACAGGAAACTGTCCCCCAGAGGAGAAGCCCTCTCTTAGGGCTCTTTCTCAGTAAGTTTGTCTGGGCCTCATTAAGTCTTTTTTAAGCAGGGCAGTACGTGGGGGGACTTTTAAGGATCTGGTTCCAGGCTTTGGTCTTGGGAAAGGAGCTTCAATTCCCTGCTGGTCTCTTGCCTCCTGCCAGGTCTGTCCTCCCCTCCCTTCTCTACCATTGGAGTGAAGCTTCCACAAGCCAAGTAGGCTGTAGTTATTTATCACAAGTGCTTACCCCAAATTCCTCAGGCTGTCCTACAATCTTTAAGCACAGTCATACTTTTAAGATATCAATGCTTATATACAATGCTATATTCCTTCCCTGCCTCCCTTCTCTCCTTCCTTCCTCTCACTTTCTTTTATTTATTTTTGAGACAGGGTCTTGCTCTGTCACCCAGGCTGGAGTGCAGTGGCATGATTGTGGCTCACAGCAGCAGCCTCAAACAGGCCTCCTGCTGCAGCTTCCTAAGTAGCTGGGAGTACAGGTGCACATTACCACGCTTGGCTAATTTCTTTATTTTGTAGAGATGGAGTCTCGTGAAGTTGCCCAAGTGGTCTCAAACTCCTAGCCTCAAGTGATCATTCCTCCTCGGCATCCCATATATATATGTATAAAAGACCCTGGGTTCTTTTTTTAAAACCTGTGTCTCTCCTGTTTTGACACCTACCACTCTAACTTAAAACAATTCCTTTTTTTTGTTGTTGGTTTTTTTTTTTTTTTTTTTTGAGACGGAGTCTCACCCTATCACCCAGGCTGGAGTGCAGTGGTGCAATCTCTGCTTGCTGCAATCTCCGCCTCCCGGGTTCAAGTGATTCTCCTGCCTCAGCCTCCTGAGTAGCTGGGATTATAGGTGTCTGCCACCACGCCCGGCTAATTTTTTTATATTTTTAGTAGAGATGGGGTTTCACCATGTTGGCCAGGCTGAGTCTCAAACTCCTGACCTCGTGATCTACCTGCCTCGGCCTCCTAAAGTGCTGGGATTACAGGCATGAGCCACCATACCTGGCCCCCTCTTTTTTTTCTTGATGGTATCTTATGTGGAGGATTTTACCCAAAAGTTCAGGGAGGCTAAACACTGGTGTAGTCCTACTTATTTATTGCTCAACATATCCCAGCTAGGAATGGAGGATAGAGACAAGGAGCAGGTATGAAGGCCAGTTGAGCTGTGTGATGTGGTGGATTTTTCAGATTACAATCATGCTTTACCTCTGTATTTGTCAGCTGTCTAGCAGAGTGGTTCAGTGCCCAGGCACTGGTGTCAAACAGGCCTGGGTTTGAATCGCAGCTCTTCCTCACTCATAAATGTGTGACCTAGGCCAATTAGACTAAATCCAAGTTTTCCCTTCTGTATAATAGGGGTGCTCTTTTTTCTTGCTCTGTCACCAAGGCTGGAGTGTGATGGTGCAATCACAGCTCACTGCAGCCTGGACCTCCAAGGCTCAAGCGATCCTGCCACCTCAGCTGTGATTACAGGTGTGAGCCACTGTGCCCAGCTGGGGGTGCTCTTAGCTACTCCAGGAGGCTAATGTAAAGATAACACTTGGAAAATATTCTGCCAGCCCTAGGTAAGAGTAAGCATTCACTAAATGAAAGTGATTATTTCTATAGAATAGGGAGTCACAGTTTACCACGTGTTTTCACATTGATTTAATCCTCACACCAGCCCAGTGAAGTAGGTATTATTATGATCCACATTTTACAGATGAGGAAATTGAGGCCTAGAGCAGTGACGTGAGGGGACCAAAGTCGACTTGGAGCTAACAGAGGCAGCAAAGATTAGAAACCATGTCTCCAGTCGCCCAGACCCAGAGCCCCACCTTGCAACCCTCTTCCCACACACCAGTTCTGTTTTTTTTCTGCCAGGCCTCAAAGTGTGGGACTTCAGGCTTTTCTATACTCGACTGTGAACACAGCCAGGGGTTAATCTCTTAAACTTCCCTCCAGTTTTGAAGTGGGGATCCTGCCCACACCTCCCCCAAGCCCTAAGCGGTGTCGGTAGCGGTCTCCTCCAGGGGGCGGGGCCTGTCATCTTTAGAAGCCACGCCAGCGATAAGCCACGCCCACAGACCAAAGCCTCGACCCCCACCCCCCATCCCCCGCCCTCCCCGATAGGAAACCAACTTCTTCCTCAGCTCCCCAACTAGCAACTGTGCCCGCAAGGTCTCTCGCGGCTCAGCATCTACCTTTTTTTTTTTTTTTTTTTTTTGACACAGGGTTTCGCTCTGTCACCCAGGCTGGAGTGCAGTGGCGCGATCGCGGCTTACTGCAGCCTCGAGCTTCTGGGCTGTCATCTAGGCCTCCCAAAGTGTTGGGATTACAGGCGTGAGCCTCCACGCCCAGACGGTGTCTACCTCTTAAACTCAAGCCTTGGAGTCCAACGCTCTACCATACGCAGCCCAGCCCTCCGCCATATGCAGCCCAGCCCGATGCCCAGTGCTTCGCACCAGGATACGTGGTTCTGTCTCTTTTTCATGCGCTCCCACGTCCGGGAGTTACAGTCCCGGCCCTCGATGGGCATTCCGAGCGCCGAGCCCCCTGCGCGGGCTCACTGGGTTCCGCCCCCGACGCGAAGCCCCGCCCCCTGACGCCCCGCCCAGCACCACGCCTCCCGGGCTTTCGCCTTACTTAGTGGCCCGCCCCGCCGCCCTTCTGACCCACCCCGCTAGGTAGTCCCACACGGCGGCCCTCGGCTCCCGGGCCCCGCCCCGGCCTCCTGCATTTGCCCGAGGCCCCCTCCCCAGCACTGGCCACACCCCAGGGTAGCCCCGCCCCCAGAGCTCCTCCCCCAGCGGCCGGGGTAGGGTGGCGGCTGGCCCAGCCGGGCCCCCGCTGCCCTCTGCCCTGGGCGCTTGGTCGGAGCGGGCTGGGCAAAGCGGGACAGGGCGAGCGCGGCGGCCCGGGGGCTCGGAGGCGAAGATGGCGTCCGGCAGGCGCGCCCCGCGCACCGGGCTGCTGGAGCTGCGCGCCGGGGCGGGCTCGGGGGCCGGCGGCGAGCGATGGCAGCGGGTGCTGCTGAGTCTGGCGGAGGACGTGCTGACCGTGAGCCCCGCCGACGGCGACCCTGGTCCCGAGCCCGGCGCTCCGCGGGAGCAGGAGCCCGCGCAGCTCAACGGCGCCGCGGAGCCGGGCGCCGGGCCCCCGCAGCTGCCAGAGGCGCTACTGCTCCAGCGGCGCCGCGTGACGGTGCGCAAGGCCGACGCCGGTGGGCTGGGCATCAGCATCAAAGGTGGGCGCGGGACACCGAGGGCGCGGGGTCGTGGTGTCTGGGGGCAGCCGAGGGCGCAGGGGGCTGGCAGCGCGCCCAGGACATGGAGCTGGAGGCTTCCTGTCTGGGGGTAAGGGGGGTCTGAGGAAACAGGTAACGGAGGGCACTGGGCACACCAAGGTTGGAGGGGGTTTCAGTAGTTGGTGGCCTTAGGGGGCACGGAAGACACAGGTGTGGATAAGATTGTGGGAGCACCAAGGACACGTGGGTGGGAGTTCTGTGTGGAGGCGGGGGGGTCTGAGGGGTAACCAGCATGAACATCAAGGACAAGAGGGGTCCCCCGGAAAGCAGAGTGTGGAGAAAGGGGGTTGAGGCCGGGACACCAGTGGGACAGGGAGGAGGGAGTCCCTGAGAAGCAACCAAGGTGGGTGCAGAGGGGAAGCCTGGAGTCTGGGAAGCACAGGGGTGGATAGGAGGCCTGGGTGCAGGCACAGGCTGGGGTCACAGGCAGAAGGCCAGCAAGGACCTAGGAATCTAAGGACCCAGGAAGGCTGCAGGGAGCCCTGACAGCTGGATTTGGGTCTCCTGATCTGACTATCTCCACCTTGCACAGGATAGAGCTTTCAGCCCCCAGGACTGACCGCTAGTGGGGTGCAGTTAGGGTGCAACCAGACTGTGTTTGAATCCAGGATCAGCTGTGTGAGGTTGCAAAAGTCCCGTCCCGCCTCTGAATCTGTTTCCTCAACTGTATAAGAGGATGACAGAGTTGTGATGTTTCTGAGAGCAGGGCTCACCACACCAGCACACTGTAGGTGCCTAGTTAATTACTGCTGTTAGCGGAGAGGAAAAATGGAGGCCAGCAGATACTCCCAAAGCAACTAAACATAGTTGTTAAAATCCTTGCACACCCCCAGCTGCTGGGTTCACTATTCCTGCCCATCTGTTTCTCAGGGTCCCAGCCCCCAGCAGGTGCTTTGGGAAAGGGTATCAGCCTTTGTCTCCACCTTGAATACATACCGTACCCTCTGGGGTCTCCCTGGTACTGGTTCTGTTGACTAGTGCCTCCAGACCGTTTGGCTTGGCTGAGGCGGTGGGGATGGTGGTGAATGCCACCACTGTGTGCCAGGTGCTGTGCCCAGGACACTAGTCTCATGATCCACTTCATCCTGGCAACAAGTGGTGAAAGGTAGGGAGTATAATTCCCATATTGCAGGTGAAGAAACTGAGACTCAGAAAGTTAAAATGATTTTCCCACGATTACATAGTGAGTGTCAGTGCTGGGATTTGAACCTTAATTATCAGCTACTGTCCCTCAGAGAGTGCTCAGGGAAGTTGATTCTTTCCTGTAGAAGGGCAGATCCCCAGGCAGCCAACCAAGAGGGGCTAAAAAGGAGAAATGAGAAAATGAGGGTATGGGCACCAGTCTTACCCCCAATCTCCAGCATGGGATAGGGCAACAGATGAATCCAAAAATTATACACTCAGTGTGTCAAAGCAGGAAGGAACTTATTCATACAGAATTCCATTCTGCAGATGGACACACTGAGACTCAGAGAGGAGCAGGGACTTTGCAAGGTCACACAAAGTTACTCCCCAGCTCCATAATTCTAGGTGGAGGGGAGGGTACTTTTAGGAGACTTCAGGTATTTCCATTGGATCCAAATCTGGGCTCCTGTTGCCATGGTAACCCCTCCTATAAAGTCTAGCTTAGTCTGAGGCAGCCATGAGTGATCATAGCTTCAAACTGAACTGAAGCCCCTAGTTTCAGGTGGGGGAGGGCAGATATAAATAGAAACCCCTTCCTCTCCTAGACTTCAAGCTCTGTGCAGATAAGCAAACGGTCGGGCCTGTGTGGGCGTCAAGAGAGGTGTTCCAGTCCCAGCTCCGCCACCAGACTTGTGTGACCTTGGAACAATGACCTCCCACTCTGGGCCACTAATTCTTCATCTTCAGTATTCTGGGGATGAGCCAGGAGTGTGATATCTGAGGGCCTGACTTGTCGTCTGTGGTAGGGCTAATAGTGTTGGTTCTGGAGCCTGGAGGCCTAGGTGCAAATACTGGCTTCGCTACTTACTAGTGGAGTGACCTTGGACAAGGGGCTTCCCTCCACACTTCAGTTTCCCTAATAGGAAACTGAACATACCTATGTGATGGGGTATTGTAAAGACGCAATGAATCAACATTGAAAGCATTTAGCACAGTGCTTGGCATTTGGTAAGTGCAACTAAGGTGAACTCTTATTACTATTTCTTATTTTAAAAGGGCATTTAAGAGTTTGGTAATAAAGATGTTTAGTAAAATGTATTAGCTTCTTTTGTATCCAAGATGCCATTCAGGCAGGTTTTTAGAATCTCTAGACTCTAAGGCTTTGGTTTCCAGCCTGGACTTTGGATTGTAAAACATTATGATTGCTAAAGCAGTCTTTTGAGGCCATAGGAATAGCCGACTTGTCTCTTGATTCCGGTTTGAGGGGTATCAGTGGGTTCCCACATTGTTGCCTTTTTGTGTGTGTGTGTGAGACAGTCTTGCTCTGTTGCCCAGGGTGGAGTGCAGTGGTGCGATCTCGGCTCACTGCAATCTCCACCTCCTGGGTTCAAGCAGTTCTCGTGCCTCAGCCTCCTGAGTAGCTGGAATTATAGGCACACACCGCCATGCCTGGCTAATTTTTGTATTTTTGTTTTATTTTGAGATGGAGTCTTGTTCTGTCGCCCATGCTGGAGTGCAGTGGTGTGATCTTGGCTCACTGCAACCTCCACCTCCTGGGTTCAAGCAATTCTGCTGCCTCAGCCTCCTGAGTAGCTGGGACTACAGGCATGTGCCACCAGGCCCAGCTAATTTTTTGTGTTTGTATTTATTTATTTATTTATTTATTTTTTGAGATGGAGTTTCGCTCTTATTGCCCAGGCTGGAGTGCAATGGTGCAATCTTGGCTCATTGCAACCTCAGCCTCCCGGTTCAAGCAATTCTCCTGACTCAGCCTCCCGAGTAACTGGGATTACAGGCATGCGCCCCCATGCCCGGCTAATGTTTGTACTTTTAGAAGAGATGGGGTTTTGCCATGTTGGCCAGGCTGGTCTTGAACCCCTAACCTCAGGTGATCTGCCCATCTTGGCCTCCCAAAGTGCTGGGATTACAGGCGTGAGCCACCACGCCCAGCCATATTTTTTTATTTGTTTATTTTTTTATTATGTATTTATTTACTTTTTTGAGCAGAGTTTCACTTTTGTTGCCCAGGCTAGAGAGCAATGGCGTGATCTCAGCTCACTGCAACCTCCGCCTCCTGGGTCCAAGTGATTCTCCTGCCTCAGCCTCCCGAGTAGCTGGGATTACAGGCATCCGCTACCACGCCCAGTTAATTTTTTGTATTTTTGGTAGGGACAGGGTTTCACTATGTTGGCCAGGCTGGTCTCGAACTCCTGACCTTAGGTGATCCACCTGGCAGCCTTGGCCTCCCAAAGTGCTGGGATTACAGGCATAAGCCACCGCACCTGGCCCTTTTTTGTGTTTTTAGTAGAGGCAGGATTTCGCTATGTTGGCCAGGCTGGTCTCAAACTACTGGTCTCAAGTGATCCGACCACCTTGGCCTCCCAAAGTGTTGGGATTACAGGTGTGAGCCACTTTGTCCGGTTATTTTCATTTTTAATTTTTGTGCGTACATAGTAGGCATATATATTTATGGGTTACATGAGAAAATCGAAAACATTTAAGAAAAAGTGATTGAAGCACTTTGTAAGTTGCACAAACACTGGTGAACACCCAAAGCACTTAATCAAAAGATCCAGGGATCAAACTATAGCATTATGAATTTTGAAAATGATTTATTTAATTAATTAATTTATTGAGACAGGGTCTCCTTCTGCCACCCAAGCTGGAGTGCAGTGGCACAATCTCAGCTCACTGCAGCCTCGACCTCCTGGGCTCAAGTGATCCTCCTACTTCAGCTTCCCTAGTAGCTGAGACCACAGGTGCCTGGCTAATTTTTGTATTTTTAGTAGAGGCGGGGTTTTCCCATGTTGCCCAGGCTGATCCTGAACTCCTGACCTCAGGTGACCTGCCCACCTCAGCCTTCTAAGGTGCTGGGATTACAGGCATGAGCCACCGGACCTAATCAAAAATGATTTATTATTAGTGTTACTAGTGTCCCAAACTTCCAAGATTTTTCTCAGATTCCCTTTATTCTCCCATTGCCTTTTCCAGCACTGGGCTAGGCACCAAGGGAAGCCTTCAGAAATAATTGTGTCTTGATGTGACTCCCAAGTGTTGGAGTATCTGCCTAAGTCTTGTCCTCCTTCTGTACCTGTGCAGGCGGCCGGGAGAACAAGATGCCTATTCTCATTTCCAAGATCTTCAAGGGATTGGCAGCTGACCAGACAGAGGCCCTTTTTGTGGGGGATGCCATCCTGTCTGTGAATGGGGAAGACTTGTCCTCTGCTACCCATGATGAGGCGGTGCAGGTCCTCAAGAAGACAGGCAAGGAGGTGGTGCTGGAGGGTAAGCACTGACGTTCCAGGGTTCAGAGGGGCTGGGTGGAGGTGTTCCACTGCTTCTCTACCTCCCCCAGGCCTCAGAAGGCCCCATCCCAGCACTGGGGGCTGGGAGGTGGGCAGGACTGAAAACAGAAACAGAATTTGGGGACCTGCCTGAAGACAGTGTGGGGTGGTGGAGGGAGAGTTGGCATAGAGCCAAGCAGACCTGATTTGCATTTTCTGTCTTCCAGTCACTAGCTGTGTAGCCCTGGACAAGTCACTTCATTTCCCTGATCCTTAGTTTCCTCATTTGTAAAACAGGGATGTAGCTCCTGCCTTTCTGGGTTGTTGCGACTAGGGCAAAAATGTACATGGCAGAGTGTGCCAGCACCTGAGTGACACAGGGAGAGAGGGGTGCGGACTGGGGAAGGGGCAGGTCAGATTCTTTCCTGTGGGGCCTGGAGAGCTCTTGACTTCAGGTTCTTTTAGTGCCTGGGCCTTAAAACCCCAAGACCCATCCTCCTTTGGGAGAAGCCTTGGCTTTTATTTTACTTTATTTTTTTTTTGAGATGGAATCTTGCTCTGTTGTCCAGGCTGGAATACAGTGGCATGATCTTGGTTCATCGCAACCTCTGCCTCCTGGGTTCAAGTGATCCTCCTGCCTCAGCCTCCCAAGTAGCTGGGATTACAGGTGTGCGTCACCATGCCCAGCTAATTTTTATATTTTTGTAGAGACAGGGTTTTGCCATGTTGGCCAGGCTAGTCTTGAACTCCTGGCCTTAGGTGATCCACCCACCTCAGTCTCCCAAAGTGCTGAGATTACAGGCATGAGCCACCACGCCCAGAGGCCTTGGCTTTTATAGAGTAGGACATCAAATCCTTCCAGCCAGGATCAGAGAGGAGTTTTGTGGAGGAACCTTGGTTGAATGGCTTTCTCCACTGTTCCCTCACAGTGTGGTCTTGGGTGGGACCCTTGCCCTCTGTGGGCCTCGGTTTCCCCATCAGTTGTTACACGCCTCCTGCTGAGGTTGTCCCATGACCATCTTGTGCCATGTCTCTCAAGAGGTTTCTGCTTTGCTCAGCCCTTTCCTCAAACTCTGTCAGCTCTGGAAGCCCCGTGGGGGCCTGAGGAATGTGTCTCTGGCTTATGGCCCAGAACAGGCACAGGGAGGTGGCGGGGGCTGATGGAGAATAACACGGCCAGAGAAGCTGCTGAGTTGAGTCCCAGGCCCAAATCCTGGTGGGTTGCCTTGGTTTCCCTAAAGGAGTGTCCAAGAGGCCACAGAAGCAAATAGGTTCTCGGTCCTTGGTTGACCCAGATATAAAATAAAATAAAATTTAAATAAAGAAAATAAAATGTAAAGTTTTATTTTATATTTTAGGTATATCTATTTAAATGCCATGGATGCATTTTTTTTTCTTGTTTTTTTTTTTTTTCGAGACAGGGTCTTGCTCTATCACCCAGGCTGGAGTACAGTAGTATGATCTTGGCTCAATGCACCCTCCACCCCCCGGGGCTCAAACAATCCTCCCACCTCAACCTCCTGAGTGGCTGGGACTACAGATGCATGCCACCACACCTGGTTAATTTTTTTTTTTTTCTGAGATGGAGTCTCACTCTGTTGCCCAGGCTGGAGTGCAGTGGCATGATCTCGGCTCACTGCAACCTCCGTCTCCCGGGTTCAAGCAATTCTTCTGCCTCCGCCTCCTGAGTAGCTGGGATTACAGGCACCCACCACCATGCCCGGCTAATTTTTTTATTTTTAGTAGAGATGAGGTTTCACCATATTGGCCAGGCTGGTCTCAAACTCCTGAGCTTGTGATCCACCTGCCTCAGCCTCCAAAAGTGCTGGGATTACAGGTGTGAGCCCCTGCGCCTAGCTTTTTTTTTTTTTTTTTTTTGAGATGGAGTCTTACTCTGTCGCCCAGGCTGGAGCAGTGGCGCGATCTTGGCTCACTGCATCCTCCGCCTTCCAGGTTCAAGCGATTCTTCTGCCTTAGCCTTCCGAGTAGCTGGGACTACAGGTGCGCACTACCACGCCTGGCTAATTTTTTTTTTGTATTTTTAGTAGAGACAGGGTTTCACCATATTGGCCAGGCTGGTCTCGAACTCCTGACCTCGTGATCTGCCTGCCTCGGCCTCCCAAAGTGCTGGGATTACAGGCGTGAGCCACCACACCTAGCCAATTTTTTGTAGAGACAGGGTTTCACCATGTTGCCTGGGCTGGTCTCCAACTCCTGGGCTTAAGGGATCCTCCCACCTAAGTCTCCCAAAGTGCTGGGATTGCAGGCCACAGTGCCCAGTCTAGATGCATTTTTTTGATACTTAAAAAAAGCTGACTCTAGAGTGTTGATCCTTAGAAGCTTAAGTGTATCAATCATATTTTAATGGCAAAGTTAAATAATAGAATGCCACATAAATGATATGGATATAAGAGACTTTCCCCACATGCCTCATTACTTTGATATTTATAGTCAGCAATGCGGTTTGAAACCACTGACATTCATCGAAATGTCATATTTTAGTTGACTTGAAAGCTCTTTTAGCTTCTGTTGTTTGAAAGTTTAGTCTATGGTAAAATTTCTGCTATAGACACAATTCAAATCCACATTCACACGGAGGTCCCCTCACCTCCTCATCTTTATTTTTTATTTTTATTTATTTATATTTTTGAGACAGAGTCTTGCTCTGTCACCCAGGTTGGAGTGCAGTGGCGGGATCTCGGCTCACTGCAAGCTCCGCCTCCCGGGTTCACGCCATTCTCCTGCTCAGCCTCCCAAGTAGCTGGGACTACAGGTGCCCGCCACCACGCCTGGCTAATTTTTTGTATTATTAGTAGAGATGTGGTTTCACCGTGTTAGCCAGGATGGTCTCGATCTCCTGACCTTGTGATCTGCCCGCCCCGGCCTCCCAAAGTGCTGGGATTACACGCGTGAGCCACCGCGCCCGGCCCACCTCCTCATCTTTAGATTAAAAATGTATCTATCTGGGTTCCCATGTATGTCGTTTTGAGAAGGTAGTATCTGTAAATGTGTGACCTTGAAGCATCTTCTGACTTTAGGAGTGAATACTCAAGCCTTCCCTCTAACTCATGTCATGCATTCCTCCTCACTAAGCCAAGAGACATTCATGGACATCTACTGTGTGCCTGCTGTGTATATTAAGGTCAGAAGCTAAACTACACCCAGGGCCTCTCCTGAAGGAGCTCACCATGTGGTAGGGTAGACAAAACATAAACACTATCTCCTCTACACAAACTGTGTTTTTTTCTTGAGGCAGGGTCTCACTCTGTTGCCCAGGCTGGAGTGCAGTAGTGCGATCTCAGCTTACTGCAACCTCCTTCTCCCAGGTTCAAGCGATTCTCTGCCTCAGTTCTGTAGCTGGAATTACAGGTGTGCACCACCACGGCCTGGTTAATTTTTGTATTTTTAGTAGAGACAGGGTTTTGCCATGTTGGCCAGGCTGGTCTCGAACTCCCGGCCTCAGTGATCTGCCTGCCTGGGCCTCCCAAAGTGCTGGGATTACAGACGTGAGCCACCATGCCTGGCCTACAGAAACTCTTTAAAAGCCGGTGGCTAGGTGCTGTGACTCACGCCTGTAATCCCAGCACTTTGGGAGGCTGAGGCGGGTGGATCACCTGAGGCCAGGAGTTTGAGACCAGCCTGGCCAACATGGCGAAACCCCGTCTCTACTAAAAATACAAAAATTAGCTGAGCCATGGTGGCGCGTGCCTGTAATCCCAGCTACTCAGGAGGCTGAGGTAGGAAAATCTTGAACACGGGAGGCGGAGGTTGCAGTGAGCCGTGATTGTGCCGCTGCACTCCAGCCTGGGCGACAAGAGCAAGAATCCATCTCAAAAAAAAAAAAAAAAAAAAAAAAAAAGCTGGTGCCTGAAATCCTGTCTGCTCTGCAATAAATCTCTGTTTGGCCTTGGGTAAGACCCTTGCCTTCTAGGGGACTCAGTTTTCCTATTGAAGTTAGGCTAGATCAGAGGTGATCAATAGCTTTTATTTAGAGTGGCAGCTCCAGGCAGGCGTGGTGGCTTACGCCTGTAATCCCAACACTTTGGGAGGCTTAGGTGGGCAGATCACTTGAGCCCAGGAGTTCGAGACCAGCTTGGGCAACACAGTGAGATTTCATCTCTGTAGGAAAAAAAAAAAAAAGAGTGTAAGCGTCAGCTCCACTGGTGGTTCTGTGAGTTCCATATTTGGAAGGATTGGGAGGCTTTGTCTGGGCTCAGCAGAAAGGAGCTGGAATTGATTAGCAATGTCTACTACAGATGCAGTAGAGAAGTAACATGTGTATCATCCCAGGACTGAGGGGCCCCTGCTCTTATATTCTCTGAGATGTTTCACAGGACGAGATCATTCCTTGGTGAACCCTGCCTATGGCCTGGGTAAGAGAAAGAAGAATGTGGCCTTCATGTTTTTCCCCACTTTTCCTTAGTTGAAGTCTTTTTCGACCTATTCTCCTGGCCCAAGATCTCATGGAAGGAGGTCATTCCACTCAAGATAGCACAAAGAGGGGAGGAGGAGTGGTGGAAGGCACTGGAGTCAGGAATCTCTGAATGGCAAGAGTGATCAGAGAGGTCTGAAGGATAGGAGGATGCTGGGCTGTGGCTGGTCCTTGAGACTTTGGGGAGTGGAGAAGGTCTGGGCCTGGCAGTTGCACCAGTCTGGAGCAGCCAGGGTTCCTGGGACCCTCTCTGGGCCTAGGTTTCCCCGGAGTTGAATCACTGACCACATTGTTCAACATTTCCCCACTCACATCCCATTACTGAGGACGCCTCCAAGGGGCCATGGAAGGATGGCCTGTCCTTTGGATGTGAACTTGGCAAGGCAACTGGATATTTTTCCAGCTCAGTGGATAGTGAATCCCCTGAGGATGTCCTGGGAGAACAAGCATTACCAGCAAACTCCAGGTGTCAGCTAGAGCCTTACTTCCCTGGCCTAAGTTGGGGGCTCAGCTGAGCCTCAGCAACCCCAACCTGCCTCCTAGAACATTTCTTCTACTAGGTCAGGGGTTTGCAGAAATGTCCTGATCCTGTTCTCAGCCAGAGGGGTGTGTTTGTGACCACAGTCTGGGCCCAAGTTGGCAGCCAACAAGTGTCTGTCCGCTGCTTCGAGAGGCCCGTTGTGTGTGCAGACCTCAAGCCAGGGCCAGCCTGGGCCCTTGAAGGCCAGGCCTGGGGGAAGAGGGAGGGACAGCCTCAAGGAAAACACCCTTCCCTCCTCCCATTCCAGTGTGGCTGGCAGGACTGTGACAACAGTGAGCCTGTCATGCATTAAAAATAATGCTGGCTGGGCGCGGTGACTCATGCCTGTAATCCTAGCACTTTGGGAGGCTGAGGCAGGCAGATCAACTGAGGTCAGGGGTTCGAGACTAGCCTGGGCAACATGGTGAAACCCCGTCTCTACTAATAATATACAAAAATTAGCTGAGCATGGTGACACGCGCCTGTAATCCCAGCTACTCGGGAGGCTGAGGTAGGAGAATTGCTTGAACCCAGGAGGCAGAGGTTTCAGTGAGCCAAGATCGAACCATTGTACTCCAGCCTGGGGCAACAAGAGCAAAACTCCATCTCAAAAAAAAAAGAAAAAAGAAAAACCCGACAAAAAACAAAAAATAATACTAAGGCCAGGCAAGGTGGCTCACGCCTGTAATCCCAGCACTTTGGGAGGCTGAGGTGGGTGGACCACCTGAGGTCAGGAGTTCGAGACCAGCCTGGCCAAAATGGTGAAACTCCATCTCTACGAAAAATATAAAAATTAGCTGGGCGTGGTGGCAGGCACCTGTAATCCCAGCTACTCAGGAGGCTGAGACAGGAGAATCACTTGAACCCAGGAGGTGGATGTCGCAGTGAGCCAAGATTGCACCACTGCATTCCAGCTTGGGTGACAGAGTGAGTCTCTATCTCAAAAAAAAAAAATTAATAAAGTGAATTTTAGTGCTTTATATAAAGTAAGGAAGGTATAGCCCTCATAGAGATCAGGCTTTTATTTATTTATTTAGGATCTCACTCTGTTGCCCAGCCTATAGCACAGAGGTGTGATTGCAGCTCACTGCAGCCTCAACTCCTGGGCTCAAGCGATCCTCCTATCTCAGCCTCTCAAGTAGCTGGGACGACGGCATGTGCTACCACACCTGCCTAATTAAAAAAAATTAATAGAAACAGGGTCTCCCTGTGTTGTCCAGGCTAGTCTTGAACTCCTGGGCTCTAGCAGTCCTCCCAAAGTGCTGGGGTTACAGGCATGAGCCACTGCGCCTGATCCTGTTATTGTTTTCTTTAGTAAACTGGAAGCTGTTTGAGGGCAGGAACCACATGTAGCTTGTCTCTCAGCCCCCAGGTCTGGCACTGAGCCCAACATACATTAGATCTTGGTGAGTGTTTGGAGACTGATCAGTGGGGTATATCTTGGACCCTTTCTACTTTACCTTTCACCTTTTCAATTGCTGTTGACTTTCCTAAATGTTTAAGATGGGACTTGAGAATCATGCTGAGCTTGACTGACTCTTGAGCTTTTCTGTTCTGAGTCCTCAGAACTCTAAGGCCAGCTCCCTACTGGCTCTTCCCAGGAAGATGGCCACTGCCAGGTGTCCTGCCTTTGATCTGGCTTGATGCATCACCACTGTCAAAAGCGGGATGTCATTCTGGATGTAGCTAATTTGGGGCCACCCTGTTTCAACTTAGCTGAGTCATGCTGTGCCCCAGAGATGCTGGAGGGACCCCTGTCCCAGGAAGAGGGCATGAATGGAACTCCTGTTCAGTTCTCCCATGGCCGCAAAGACCTGTTGTTCTGACCATTGTTCTCAAGGAAAAGTTTACTTGGCTGTGCACACGCATAGCTTTGGACCATGTGACTCCCCACAAACAAAACTTGGCTTAATCCAGCCCTGGCCTGTTCCCCGGACCTTGATTAAAATGTCTTGTGGGCCTCTGTAGGCAGGTTCTGGCCCTGACGAGCTGTGTGACCCTGGCTGCTGCTGGTGGTGGAGGAAATAATAGTGATAATAATCAGGATGGTAGCATCTGCTGCTTATTGAGCATCCACACTGTGCTCAACACCATGAGCACCTACTGTGCTAAGTCCCTTCCCTATGCTTGTTTTTTTCTTTGAGATGGAGTCTCGCTCCATTGCCCAGGCTGGAGTACAGTGGCACGATCTCGGCTCACTGCAACCTCCACCTCCCTGGTTCAAGCGATTCTCCTACTTCAGCCTCCCGAGTAGCTGGGACTACAGGCGCGTGCCACCATGCCTGGCTAATTTTTTGTATTTTTAGTAGAGATGGGGTTTCACCATGTTGGCCAGGCTGGTCTCGAACTCCTGACCTCAGGTGATCCACCCGCCTCGGCCTCCCAAAGTGCTGGGATTACAGGTGTGAGCCACCGTGCCCGGCCCTTCCCTATGTTATTTAATTGAATCCTCAATGTCATCCCTGTGAATTAGGTACATTGTTCATTGTATAGATGAGAACACTGAAGCTCAGAGAGGTGACATTACTTGCCCAAGGTCACAGTATGGCAGAGATGGAATATGAGCTCAAGTCTTTCAGATGCCAAAACTCATATATATATATTTTAATCAAAAACAAAAATTTTGTAAGAGACAGGGTCTCACTCTGTCATGCAGGCTGGAATGCAGTTGCATGATCACGGCTCACTGTAGCCTCGACTTCCTGGGCTCAAGTGATCCTCCCACCACAGCCTCTCCAGTAGCTGGGACTACAGGCATGTGCCACCATACCCAGCTATTATTGTTTTGATTTTTTGTAGAGACAGGGTCTCACTATATTGTCCAGGCTGGTCTCAAACTCCTGGACTCAAGTGATTCTCCTGCCTCAGCCTCCTGACGTGCTGGGATTACAGGTGTGAGCCAGTGTGCCTGGCTGAAAACCCATAATCTTTTTTTTTTTTTGAGACGGAGTCTCGCTCTGTTGCCCAGGCTGGAGTACAGTGGCACGATCTCGGCTCACTGCAATCTGCGCCTCCCCAGTTCAAGTGATTCTTCTGCCTCAGTCTCTAAAGTAGCTGGGATTACAGGCATGTGCCACCACACCTGGCTAATTTTTGTATTTTTAGTAGAGATGAGATCTCACCATGTTAGCCAGGCTGGTCTCGAATTCCTGACCTCATGTGATCCGCCCTCCTCTGCCTTCCAAAGTGCTGGGATTTACAGGTGTGAGCCACTGCGCCCGGCGAAAACTCATTTTCTTAAATACTTATCTGCACTACAGGTTATGTCACTTCTCTGAGACTCAGTTTACTCACCCATTAAATAAAGATACTATGGCTGGGTGCGGTGGCTCCCACCTGTTATCCCAGCACTTTGGGAGGCTGAGGCGGGTGGATCACCTGAGGTCAGGAGTTCAAGACTAGCCTGGTAAACATGGTGAAACCCCGTCTCTACTAAAAATACAAAATTTAGCGCGTGCCTGTAGTCCCAGCTACTCAGGAGGCTGAGGCAGGAGAATTGCTTGAGCCCAGGAGGTGGAGGTTGCAGTGAGCTGAGATCACGCCACGGCACTCCAGCCTGGGCGACAGAGTGAGACTCCGTCTCAAAAAAAAAAAAAAAAAAAGAAAAAAGTAATAAAAATGAACATAAATAAGGATATTAATTCATCTCATCAAATTGGTGAAATAAGGTGAAGGTGTGTTCGAGAGAGTTGAGCTTGGCCCCAATATATAGTAGGCGCTCAATAAGTACTGCTTTCTCCCATCACTAAGATTCTAGAACCCTGAATCTAGGCTTCCGAGTTGATACGAGCATTATCTCTGAACTATGGCTTGTATGGCTTGGTATGTGGTGGTATATTTTTGAAAAATAAACTAGATTTTTTAGAAAATTTAAAAAGTAATACATACTCATTCAAAAATATCCAGCTTAGCCTGAGCAACATAGCGAAACCCTGTCTCTCCAAAAAAAAGTTACAAAAATTAGCCAGGCATGGTGGCACATTCCTGTAGTCCCAGCTACTTGGGATGCTGAGGCTGAAGGATCATTTGAGCCTGGGATGTGGAGGATGGAGTGAGCTGAGATTGTGCCATTGCACTCCAACTTGGGTGACAGAGTGAGACCCTGTCTCGAAAAAAAAATAAGTGGCTCATGCCTATAATTCCAGCACTTTCAGAGGCTGAGGTGGGAGGATTCCTTGAGACCAGGAGTTCGAGACTAGCCTAGGCAACATGGCAAGGCCTCGTCTCTACAATTTTTTTGTTTTTGTTTTTGTTTTTTTGAGATGGAGTTTCTCTCTTGTTGGCCAGGCTGGAGTGCAATGGCATGATCTCGGCTCACTGCAACCTCTGCCTCCTGGGTTCAAGCGATTCTCGTGCCTCAGCCTCCCGAGTAGCTAGGATTACAGGCGCGCACCAACACATCTGGCTAATTTTTGTATTTTTAGTAGAGATGGGGTTTCGCCACTCCTGGCCTCAGGTGATCCACCTGCCTCGGACTCCCAAAGTGCTAGGATTACAGGCATGAGCCACTATGCCTGACCCAATTTTTTTTTTTTTTTTTTTTTTTTTTTTTTTTAGGTGGAGTCTTACTGTGTTACCCAGGCTGGAGTGCAGTGGACTATCTTGGCTCAATCAAACCTCCACCTCCTGGGTTCAAGCAATTCTCCTACCTCACCTTCTCAAGTAGCTGGGATCACAGGCATGTGCCACCATGCCTGGCTAATTTCTGTATATAGTATAGGTGGGGTTTCACCATGTTGGCCAAGTCTCAAACTCCTGACCTCAAGTGATCTGCCTAAGGCCTCCCAAAGTCCTGGGATTACAGGCATAAGCCACCGTGCCTGGCCTACAAAAAATTTTTGTTTTTTTTGAGACCGAGTCTTGCTTTGTTGCCCAGGTTGCAGTGCAGTGGTACGATCTTGGCTCACTGCAACCTTTGCCTCTCAGGTTCAAGCAGTTTTCCTGCCTCAGCCTCCCAAGTAGCTGGGATTATAGGCGCCTGCCACCACACCTGGCTAATTTTTGTATTTTTAGTAGGGATGGGGTTTCACCATCTTGGTCAGGCTGGTTTTGAACTCCTGACCTCAAGCAATCCACCTGCCTCGGCCTCCCAGACTGCTGGAATTACAGGCGTGAGCCACTGTGCCTGGCCAAAAAATTTTTTAAAAATTAGCTGGGCATAGTGTTGTGCACCTGTAATCCCAGCTACTCAGGAGGCTGGGTAGGAGGATTGCTTGAGCCCAGGAGTTCAAGGCTGTACCCAAACTATGATTATGCCACTGTACTCTAATCTGGGCAACAAAGCAAGACACTGTCTCTTAAAAAAAAAAAATTACCAACGAGAGTGTAAAGGGATCATCTTATAGAGATAACCAGTGTTGATACTTTCACACATTTTCTTCCAGTAAGTTTCCATATTTGCTTTTATCACGTAATAAGTTGAGAACATGTAAGTCTCATTCTTTTTTATCTTTTTAATATTTTTTATTTTATAATTTTTTTGAGACAGTGTCTCACTCTGTTGCCCAGGTTGGAGTGCAGTGGCATAATCATTGCTCACTGCAGCCTCGACCTCCTGGATTCAAGCGATCCTCCCATCTCAGCCTCCTGAATAGCTGGGACTACAGGTGCACACCACCACACCCAGCTAAATTTTTGTGCTTTTTGTGGAGATGGGATTTCGCCATGTTGCCCAGGCTGGTCTTGAACTACTGAGCTCAGGTGATCTGCCCACCATCGGCCTCCCAAAGTGCTGGGATTACACGTGTGAGCCACTGTGCCCGGCCCCTCATTCTTTTTAATGGTTATGTGGTGTCCCATTATTGGGCTGGAGGACTACACATCTGTAGTCCTATTTACTCCTGAAGCTGAGGTTGGAGGATTGTTTGAGGCCAGGAATTCGAGGCCGGAGTGCACTATGATGCACCTGTGAACAGCCACTGCACTCCAGCTTGGACAACATAGCAAGACCCCATGTCTACAAATTAAAAAAAAAAATCCCATGGATTTGTTTATTCATGTAACATATATTTACTGAGCCCCTGCTCTGTGCCAGGACTAGATGCAGGCACCAAGGATATAGCTATGAACAAGACTGAGTAGTGAGTGTCTGCCAGTCAGGGAGTTCACATCTTGTTTTTAGCAGCCCCTATTCATGAATATTCAAGTTGTCCCTAGCCTCTTGCAGGATGGACAATAGCGCTATAAGCCTTCTGTGCACCTGTGAGCACTCATCTGAAGGGTGGTTCCTGGAAGGGTTGCTGTTAGGTCAAAAGGGTCACATGCTTTTGGGATTTTGTATAGGTTGTAACCCCTGTACTACTCAAGGGTGTGGTAAGGTGAGATTTTATCCCCCAAAGTGTGGCAACCCCTGGGCTCTGCTGGTCATCCCTGTTATAGGGCCTGCCAGAGTCTGGGGACTATTTATAGTTCAGCCTTGCTAGACCAGCAAGACCTTAAAGGTCATCCCTTCCAGGGCCTGTTGGAATCCCAAGTCCTCTTCACACCATCCTGGGTGGATGGGTGGGCAGCTGGAACTTGAATCCTCAAGTTCAAGTTGAGGGTTGACATATCAGTGCCCATTATATAGGCAAAGAAACTGAGGCTCAGAGAGACCTTGCCTCATGCAAGTGATATTACGGGGCCTGGATTCAAATCCTTGTCTGCCTGTCACCACATTACATGCCTATCCCCTTATACTGTCACACTAGGAACAGCAGCAGAAATCATAACCACACTGCTATCTCCAGACAGCCCTGTTCTATGCCAGGCAGGAGAAGGTGCTTTACAGGTATTGAATCTTTCACTTATTTATTTATTTTTAAATTGGCTTTTTTTTTTTTTTTTTTGAGACAGGGTTTCTCTCTGTCACCCAGGCTAGAGTACAGTGGCACAATCACAGCTCACTTTAGCCTCAACCTCCTGGGCTCAAGTGATCCTCCCACCTCAGCCTCCTGAGTAGCTGGGATTATAGGTGTGCACCACCACACCTGGCTAATTTTGTGTATTTTTGGTAGAGACGGAGTTTTGCCATGTTGGCCAGGCTGCTCTTAAACTCCTGGGCTCAAGCGATCGTCCTGCCTTGAACTCCCAAAGTGCTCACAGGTGTGAGCCACTGAGCCCAGACAAATCTTTTTTTTTGTTTTTGTTTGTTTGTTTGAGATGTCTGTCACCCAGGCTGGAGTGCAATGTCACGATCTTGGCTCACTGCAACCTCTGCCTCCCGGGTTCAAGTGATTCTCCTGCCTCAGCCTCCCAAGTAGTTGGGATTACAGGTGTCTGCCACCATGCCTGACTAATTTTTGTATTTTTAGGAGAGACGAGGTTTCATCATGTTGGCCAGGCTGGTCTCGAACTCCTGACCTCAAGTGATCCGCCCGCCTCGGCCACCCAAAGTGCTGGGATTACAGGCATGAGCCACTGTGCCCAACCTGCAGCTGAATCTTTTTTTTTTTTTTTTGGAGAAGGAGTCTCGCTCTGTCACCCTGGCTGGAGTGCAGTGGGGCGATCCTGGCTCACTGCAACCTCTGCCTCCTGAGTTCAAGCGATTCTCCTGCCTCAGCCTCCCAAGTAGCTGGGATTACAGGCGTGTGCCACCACACCTGGCTAATTTTTTTGTATTTTTAGTAGAGACAGGGTTTCACCATGTTGGCCAGGCTGGTCTTGAACTCCTGCCCTCAGGTGATCTGCCCACCTCAGCCTCCCAAACTGCTGGGATTACAGGCGTGAGTCACTGCGCCTGGCCCAGCTGAATCTTTTAATACCCTTTAAAGTAGATATATTTTACTTCTATTTTTACTTTTATTTTTTTTTAATGTTTTATTGATTGATTGATTGAGACGGAGTCTTGCTCTGTCACGCAGGCTGGAGTGCCATGGTACGATCTTGGCTCACTGCAACCTCTGTCTCCCTGATTCAAGCGATTCTCCTGTCTCAGCCTCCCAAGTAGCTGGGATTATAGGCATGTACCACCATGCCTGGCTAATTTTTTTTTGTATTTTTAGTGGAGATAGGGTTTCACCATGTTGGCCAGGCTGGTCTCGAACTTCTGACCTCAGTTGATCTGCCCGCCTCGACCTCGCGAAGCACTGGGATTACAGGCGGGAGCCAGTGTGCCCGGCCCTTCCATTTTTAAAATAAGGAAACAGAGGCTCGCAGAGGTCAAGTCACTTGTTCAAGGTCACAGAGCAAGGACGTTATTACAAGCCTGCCTCACTCCAGGGCCCACTTTCTTTCTTTCCTTTTTGTTTTAGACAGGTTCTCACTGTGTGGCCCAGGCTGGAGTGCTGTGGCACAATCATGGCTCACTGCAACCTCTGCCTTCCAGGCTCAAGTAATTCTCCCATCTCAGCCTCCCTAGTAGGTAGGACTATAGCTGCACACTACCACACCTGGCTAATTTTTTGTATATTTAGTAGAGATGGGGTTTCGCTATGTTGCCCAAGCTGGTCTTGAACTCCTGGGCTCAAAAGATTCCCCCTGCCTCGGCCTCCCACAGTGCTGGAATTATAGGTGTGAGCCACCATGCCCGGCCCCAGACCCACTTTCAATGTTTTTGCTCCACACTGAGAAGCCCCAGGGCTTTCAGTGTTTATTCATCTAACACATTTTTTTCTTTTATTTACTTACGTACTTATTTATAGATACAGGGTCTTGTTCTGTCACCCAGGCCGGAGTGTAGTTGCATGATCATAGCAGCCTTGACCTCCCTGGCTCAAGTGATCCTCCCATCTCAGCCTCCTGAGTAGCTGGGGCTACAGGTGTGCTCTACCATGCCCGGCTAATTTTTTTTTTTTGAGATGGAGTCTCGCTCTGTCACCTAGGGTGGAGTGCAGTGGCGTGATCTCGGCTCACTGCAACCTCTGCTTCCTGGGTTCAAGCGATTCTCCTGCCTCAGCCTCCCGAGTGGCTGGGACTACAGGCGTGTGCCACCACTTCTGGCTAATTTGTTGTAGTTTTAGTAGAGACGGGGTTTCACCGTGTTAGTCAGGATGGTCTTAATCTCTTGACCTTGTGATCTGCCCGCGTCGGCCCCCCAAAGTGCTGGGATTACAGGCACGAGCCACTGTGCCCGGCCTAGTTTTTAAAAATTTTTTGTAGGCCAGGCACGGTGGCTCAAACCTGTAATCCCAGCACATTGGAGGTTGAGATGGGTGGGTTGCTTGAGCCCAGGAATTTGAGACTAACCTGGGCAACAAGACAAAACCCCATCTCTACAAAAAATAAAAAAATTAGCCAGGCATAATAACATGAGCCTCTGATCCCAGCTACTCGGAAGGCTGAGGTGGGAGGATCGCTTAAGCCTAGGAGGTCAAGACTGCAGTGAGCTGTGATCATACCACCGCACTCCAGCCTGGGTGAGAGTGAGTCCCTGTCTCAAAATTTTTTTTTTTTTAATTTTTTCAAGACAGGGTCTCCCTATGTCACCCAGGCTGGTTTCAAACTCCTGGGCTCAAGCAATCCTCCCACCTAAGGCTTCCAAAGTCCTGGGATTACAGGTGTGAGCCACTGTGCCTGGCCCAGATTTCTTTTACTGCTTACTTGGTATATGTCAAGTACTATTTTCTTTTTTTTTCTTTCTTTCTTTTTTTTTTTTTGAGATGGCGTTTCACTCTTGTTGCCCAGGCTGGAGTGCAATGGTACAATCTTGGCTCACTGCAACCTCTGCCTCCCACGTTCAAGCCACTCTCCTGCCTCAGCCTCCCAAGTAGTTGGGATTACAGGCATGCGCAACCACATCCAGCTAATTTTGTATTTTTAGTAGAGACAGGGTTTCACCATGTTGGTCAGGCTGGTCTCCAACTCCCGACCTCAGGTGATCCACTCGCCTCGGCCTCCCAAAGTGTTGGGAATACAGGTGTGAGCCACCGCGCCCGGCCGTCAGGTACTATTCTTGATGGTGAGGATACCCTAGTGAACTGGAAAACAGGGCAGCCCCTGCTCTCCGGGAACTGACATTCTGGTTAGGGGAGAAAGGCCATGGGCTAGTAAACAAATGGCTCTATCATCTAATTTCAAGCAGCGGTAAGTAAATGACCACCCACTGAACAGACAAGGAACAGCTTGAGCTTAGAGGACAGGCTTCCCTTCAGCCAGGACATTCAGTCACAGACATTTATTAAGCACTGGGATAAGTACTGGAGATCCTGTTGCCCAAACAGATGTGTTCCCTTCTCTCAGCAACGCATATGTGACCCCCAGTCCACTTATACTGGGCCTGATGAGTGATCCTGCCCTGTTTCTCTTCCATGTGTTTCCAGTGGAATCTATTCCTGGCTCTTTGGGGCCAGAGCCAGATCCTGGCTTCCCTCCTTGGCAGAGCTGGAGCTCCCTGGAAATTGGGGCCTCTGTTTATAGGTGCCTCAGCTTCCCTGAGGAGGAAGGGCCCATGTGTCACTGCTTATCAGGCTCCCAGGCCAGGGGCTTGGCTGGGGAGGGTGGGGGCACTGGCCGGGCCTATCTTTGGAGTCTCGAGAATGCTGGCCACAGGGCTGTGGTCGTGCCCTCAGCTCTCTAGGCCATAGGCTTTGGCAGCCCCACCCTGCCTTGTCGGGTGACTCAGGCAGAAATCAGAGAGGGGAGGAGGCCTCAGAGTTGGGCTATTTATGGCCACACTCCGGGGCCCCCAGGACCCCACCCCCACTCTGGGACAGGCCACTTGGTTTGTGAAATGCAAGCCCTGATTCTGGCATCAGCTGGTATGCTGTCCATTTATAGCATGTTCCTGTGGGAAAGGAGGGGGACCCAGATCTGGGATGGCTGGGCGAGCAGGGGATCTGGCAGTTTCTCTGGCTTCAAAGTTGACAAATGTTCATTTGCTGAGCATGTAGCGTATGAGATCTCTGCTGGATTCTGGGGACACAGAGAAGAGTCAGACCAGGTCCCTGCCCTCAAAGTGCTCTCAGCCTAGTTGGGGACACAGACCCTACACAGACAATCACAGGGGAGTGAGGCGTAGGGGACTGCGGAGGTGATGGGTGTGATGGATCCAGACTGAGCATCTGATCACCTCTTCTGAGGTGACCTCTGAGCTGGGCCTGTCTCCTGGGCTATGGCACCTCTTCCCTCCTGCTAAATGAGCCTGTCCTGCCCTGGCATTCATTTTTCCATTCACAGAACACTGATTCTGGGTTGGTTGGTTTGTTTGAAATGGGTCTTGCTCTGTTATCCAGGCTGACTATAGCCTCAACCTTCTGGGCTCAAGCAAGCCTCCCACCTTAGCCTCCCATCTCACCCTCCCAAGTACCTAGGACTACAGATGCACACCACCATGCCCAGCTAGTTTTTTGTATTTTTGGTAGAGACAGGGTTTTGCCATGTTGCCCAGGCTGCTCTCAAACTCCTAGGCTCAAGCGATCTGCCTGCCTCAGCCTCCCCAAGTGCTGGGACTACAGGCGTGAGCTACTGCCCAGCCAACTCTGGGTTTGAAGAGCAAGCCCAGTTTCTTTCTTTTTCTTTTCTTTTTTTTTTTTTGAGACAGAGTCTTGCTCTGTCGCCCAGGCTGGAGTGCAATGGCACGATCTCAGCTCACTGCAACTTCCACCTCCTGGGTTCAAGCGATTCTCCTGCCTCAGCCTCCTGAGTAGCTGGGACTATAGGTGCACGCCACCATGCCCGGCTAATTTTTGTAATTTTAGTAGAGACGAGGTTTCACCACGTTGGCCAAGATGGTCTCGATCTCCTGACCTCGTGATCCACCCGCCTCGGCCTCCCAAGTGCTGGGATTACAGGCGTGAGGCACTGTGCCCGGCAATTTCTTTTAGGAGTTCCCAGTTTTGTGGAGGAGACAACCCTAACACACAGAATCGGAGACCTAGGAAGTATGGGCAAGAAAGGCTGATAAGTGAGAAACACCTGCTTCTTGAGTCCTTAATACTCACCACATGCCTTACAACATTTTATTTAATCCTGACATCTCTCTGAGGCAGACTTTTTTTTTTTTTTTTTTTTTTTTGGAGACAGGGTCTTGCTCTGTCGCCCAGGCTGGAGTGCAGTGGCATAATCTTGGCTTACTGCAACCTCTGCCTCCTGGGCTCAAGCAATCCTCCCACCTCAGCCTCCCGAGTAGCTGGGACTACAGGCGCACACTACCATGCCTGGCTAATGTTTTGTGTTTTTGGTAGAGACAAGGTTTTGCTATGTTGCCCAACCTGGTCTTGAACTCCTGGGCTCAAGCAGTCTGCCTGCCTCGGGCTCCCAAAGTGCTGGGATTACAGGCGTGAGCCACCATGTCTGGCTGTAGTTATTAATCTTTTATTTTTATTATTTTATTATTTTTTATTTTTATTATTATTTTTTTGAGACGGAGTTTCACTCTTGTTGCCCAGGCTGGAGTGCAATGGCACAATCTTGGCTCACTGCAGCCTTTGCCTCCTGTGTTCAAGCAATTCTCCTGCCTCAGCCTCCTGAGTAGCTGGGATTACAGGTGTGCACTACCATGGCCTGGCTAATTTTTGTATTTTTAGTAGAGACAGGGTTTCGCCATGTTGGCCAGGTGGTCTTGAACTCCCAGCCTCAGGTGATCCTCCCGCCTCAGCCTCCCAAAGTGCTGGGATTACAGGCGTGAGCCACTGTGCCCAGCCCTATTCATCTTTTACTGACTAGCAGATTGAGGCCCAGAGAGGTAAATGACCTTGTCCATGGTTACACAGTTAGACAGTGCTGGAGCTGGAATTCAAATCCAAGAGCATCTGACTCCAGAGGGAATTGCATTTTCTTTCTTTCTCTTTTTTTTTTTTTTGAGACAGGGTATCACTCTGTTACCAGACTGGAGTGCAATGGCGTAATCATGGCTTGCTGCAGCCTCTGCTTGCTGGGTTCAAGCGATCCTCCTGCCTCAGCCTCTTGATTAGCTGGAATCACAGGCATGTGTCACCACACCTGGCTAATTTTTTTTTAAATTTTACTTTCTTTTTCTTTTTTTTTTTTGAGACGGGGTCTTGCTCTGTCCCTCAGGCTGGAGTGCAGTGGCGCAATCTTGGCTCACTGGAACCTCCGCCTCCCGGGTTCAAGCAATTCTCCTGCCTCAGCCTCCCAAGTAGCTGGGATTACAGGTGCCCACGACCACGCCCAGCTAATTTTTTTCTGTATTTTTAGTAAAGACAGGGTTTCACCATGTTGGCCAGGCTCGTCTCAAACTCCTGAGCTCAAGCGATCCACCCACTGTGGCCTACCAAAGTGCTGGGATTACAGACATGAGCCACCGCACAAGGCCGGGAACTGCATTTTCAATAGTGTGGAAGTTTGGAAGCTCATACAGCCTCTGAGTAGTTAGTGTGATTGGACCAGAGGGTGAGATTAGGGATATGGCAAGAAGTGAAGCCAGGGAGGAAGACAGGACCTGTGGGCAGGGCCCATGTCCTAGAGGGCATTGAAGTTAGGCAAAGGGTGCAGGGGAGGCAGAGCAGGGCTTTGAGCAGGACGTGGCCACTTGTAGCAAGGAGATGTAGCAGTTGCACCATTGGGGGCTGTATTTGTCAGGATGCTTTTGACTGCAAGTAACAGGAATCCAATTCAATGAGGTTTAAACATCAAAGAAAATGTGTTATCCTCCCGAACATCTTGAGACAGCATGGCTCCAGGGAAGATTAATTTAGGGGCTCATGGTATCATCGAAAACTCAGGTCTCTCCATCTTTCTGCTTCACCATCCTCAATGTGTGGATCCCAAACTTTGTGGTCAAAAAGTAGGCTGGGCACAGTGGTTCATGCCTGTAATCCCAGCACTTTTGGAGGCTGAGGCCGGCGGAGCACCTGAGGTCAGGAATTCAAGATCAGCCTGGCCAACATGGCGAAACCCCATCTCTACTAAAAATACAAAAATTAGCTGGGTGTGGTGGTACGCACCTGTAATCCCAGCTACTTGGGAGGCTGAGGCAGGAGATTCGCTTGAACCCGGGAGGCAGAGGTTGCAGTGAGCCAATACTGCACCATTGCACTCCAGCCTGGGCGACAGAGTGAGACTCTGTCACAAAAAAAAGAAAGAAAAAAAAAGTGGCTGTCGTTGCACTAGGAACAAGCTCCCTCCCAGCAACTTTGAAAGGCTAAAGGAGGAGAAAAGGAAGGCAGTGTTTTTTTCCTCACATCTCATTGGCCAGAACTGTATCATTTGCCCCTTTCTAAACCAATCACAAGCAAAAAGGATGGAATGATCATGATTTGATTTGACCAATCAAGATTCTCCCTCTAAGCTGGGGAGAAGCTGAGCCTCTAGGGCTCAGGGTTCTCTTAGCAAAGGAAAAAGAGGGGAGATGGTTTTTGGCTGTCAAGTAGGCTGTGATATGTCCCACTTCTGCTGCCCTTTGAGACATAATCCAATAGTCAGTCCTGGGGTAAGTCGTTGCTACAGTGATGATAAGTCATTTGAGTCCTAGTCCCCAAAAGTCAGACCCAGGCTTGCTTCTCCCAAAAAAACCTGACCCTGGTTTCTTTCAACATTGCTTCTATCCCAACCCCAATAGGGTTTGTAACTCCCTCTTATTTGCCTCCATTTGCTTTGAATCCTATCTGAGCCTCAGAGGCATCTCCTGCGACAGAAATAGCTTCTTATCTGGTTCTTCCAGGGAGGTGGGCCAAGAATTACTTCCTAACTCCTTCCTGGGCTGTCCACTCACAGGGCACGTTGGCTGGGCTTTGACTGCAGACGTCAGATAGCTAGCAAGCCAGATGGCCCTGGGAGCAGGTGTGGTTGAGAGCAGAGGAAGAGAGGCTGCCCACGGGCTAGCAGGCATCAGGCACCCACAGAGGGTATATCCTTGTTGGGAGAAGAGAGACAAGGTCTTGGGAAAGTCATCATTTTTTTTTTTTTGAGGCAGTCGCACTTCATCGTCCAGGCTGGAGTGCGCAATCTTGGCTCATTGCAACCTTTGCTTCCCATGTTCAAGTGATTCTCATGCCTCAGCCTCTCGAGTAGCTGGGATTACAGGCATGCACCACCCTGCCCAGCTAACCTTTGTATTATTAGTAGAGACAGGGTTTCACCTTGTTGGCCAGGGTGGTCTTGAACTCCTGACATCAAGTGATCCACACTGCCTTGGCCTCCCAAAGTGCTGGAATTACAGGCATGAGCCACCATGCCCAGCCTGGGAGTCTTTTTTTTTTTTTTTTTTTTTTTTTTTTTTGAGACAGAGTCTTGTTATGTCACCCAGGCTGGAGTACAGTGGCACAATCTTGGCTCACTGCAACCTCCTCCTCCCGGGTTCAAGTGATTCTCCTGCCTCAGCCTCCCCAGTAGCTGGGATTACAGGTGCGAGCCACCACGCCCGGCTAGCTTTTGTATTTTCAGTAGAGACGGGGTTTCACCATGTTGGTCAGGCTGGTTTCAAACTTTTGACCTCAAATGATCTGCCCGCCTTGGCCTCCCAAAGTGCTAGGATTACAGGCATGAGCCAACATGCCCAGCCTGGGAAAGTCTTGTAACCACCTTCTTGTATACACTGTCTAGGAGTTCAAGACCAGCAACATGGCGTGACCCCATCTCTACAAAAAATTAATAGCTGGGTGTGGTAGTGCGTACCTGTAGACCCAGCTACTTGGGGAGCTGAGGTGGGAGGATTGATTGATCTGGGAGATTGAGGCTGTAGCGAGCTGTGATCACACCATGGCACTCTAGTCTGGGTGACAGAGAGAAACTGTCTCAAAAAAAAAAAAAAAAAAGTCACATGGCCACACCTCACTGCAAAGGAGGCTGGGAAATAGAGTCTTTCTTCCAGGTGGCTGTATGTCTATTAACCATGGGGAAAATGAGAGAAGGGATATAGGCGGGCCCTATCTCTATATAGGGATAGAGAGAAGGGATACAGTATTTTCTGCTCCACTGCCCTGTCAGAGACTTTAACTTAGAAGAATTTGTTAATATCACTACTGGACTCTTGCTTACTAAGGGTCTAATAGTGACACGTAAATTAAACTCTTAATAAATTAGTGACAATTGTGATATGTGCTGGGAGCCCATGTCACAGTGGTGACTGCTGATGTCTCTCCCAATCAGTCAAGTATATGAAGGACGTCTCACCGTATTTCAAGAACTCTACTGGTGGGACCTCGGTCGGCTGGGACTCACCTCCTGCCTCACCCCTTCAGCGGCAGCCTTCCTCCCCTGGCCCCACACCCCGGAACTTCAGCGAGGCCAAACACATGTCCTTGAAGATGGCATATGTCTCGAAGAGGTGCACCCCCAATGACCCGGAGCCCAGGTAAGGCTGGGGTTGGGAGCAACTCAGATGGACAGATGCCCTGGCGTCAGGTGGTGGGACCAATGGAAAGACACCTCTGTGTTGTACGAATGACCAGCACAATGCCAGGACATAGTAGGTGCTTAAAAAATAGATTGACTGGAAGCCTGAGTGAAGCCATGGAGATGATGGTGTGCTTTGCTTCTCACTTCTTCCTCTGGGCAGCTCACATCTGGGGATGAACTTGGTCTGAGGAAGAACCCTGCGTTCCAGTCCTGGTCCTCTTTGAACTAGGCCCTTTTCCTCACTGACCTTTAGATTCTCCATTGTGAGATGAGGTTGTTGGACTCACTGATCCTCTCGTCTCTTCCCACTCTGCTGGAGCTCTGAGATGTCTGGTAACCTTTTTATCAGGGCCATGGAAGGTTACATCCTTCACATCTGAGCAGCCTTTAACAGTTCATTGATAATACTGAAACCACCTAACATTTACTGAGTGTTTACTGTGTACCCAGCACTGTGTTGAGTGCTTTCCCTGTGCAATATTATTTAGCTCTCACAGAGGCCCAATGGGCAAAGTCCTATTATTTCACCTCCATTTTATTTTATTTTATTATTATTTTTGAGCCAGAGTTTTGCTCTGTCGCCCAGGCTGGAGTGCAGTGGTGCAAAGATCTTGGCTCACTGCAATTTCTGCCTCCTGGGTTCAAGTGATTCTCCTGCCTTAGCCTCCTAAGTAGCTGGGACTACAGGCGCCCACCACCACACCTGGCTAACTTTTTTTTTTTTTTTTTTTTTTTTGACAGAGTCTCACTCTGTTGCCCAGGTTGGAGTGCAATGGCATGATCTTGGCTCACTGAAACCTCTGCCTTCCAGGTTCAAGCAATTCTCCTCCCTCAGCCTCCCAAGTAGCTGGGATTACGGGCGCCTGCCACCATGCCTGGCTAATTATTTGTATTTTTAGTAGAGACGGGATTCTCCATGTTGGTCAGGCTGGTCACGAACTCCTGACCTCAGGTGATTCCCCCGCCTCAGCCTCCCAAAGTGCTGGGATTATAGGTGTAAGCAACTGTGCCCTGCCTAACTTTTGTATTTTTTGTAGAGATGGGGTTCCACCATGTTGGCCACGCTGGTTTCGCACTGCTGACCTCAGGTGATCTGCCTGCCTCGGCCTCCCAAAGTGCTGGGATTACAGGCATGAGCCATCGTTCCCGGCTCACCTCCATTTTATAGATGAGGACAGAGAGGGGAAGTAACCTACTTGAGATCACACAACCAGAAAGGGTGGCACTTGCCTCAATCCTGGTAGTCCTTTCTGCTTTGGAAGGTGCAAGATACCTGAGTGATGGTGGTGGCTAAATGGAGCATATTTGGTCAAGTGGGATATGCATTGTTGGAGGTGATGCTTAACTGCTATATGCATTACAAGCTTGGGCTGTGGGTCCTAGTGACAGCCTAGGTTCAATGCCAAGCAAATGCCCAACATTGGCTGGGAGGGCTGGTTAACGTCCAGCATCCAAATCTCTTGGTCTCACTCGATGCCACACCTCTTGCCTGCCCCCATGAGGCAAAAACTGGTGATTCACAGGTCACTTGCCGATGCTCTAAAAAAGAGCCTTTGTTTTTGTTTTTGAGACGGAGTATCGCTCTGTTGCCCAGGCTGGAGTGCAGTGGTGTAATCTTGGCTCACTGCGGTCCCCTTCTCCCGGGTTCAAGCGATTCTCCTGCCTCAGACTTCTGAGTAGCTGGGATTACAGGCACCTGCCAACATGCCCAGCTAATTTTGTATTTTTATTAGAGATGGGGTTTCACCATGTTGGTCAGGCTGGTTTGGAACTCCTGACCTCAGGTGATCCGCCCACCTTGGCCTCCTGAAGTGCTAGGATTACAGGCATGAGCCATCGCCTGTATTTTTAATAGACTAATTTTTGTATTTTTTTTTTTTTTGGGACAGAGTCTTCTCTGTTGCCAGGCTGGATGGAGTGCAGTGGTACAATCTCAGCTCACTGCAACCTCCGCCTCCTAGGTTCAGGCAATTCTCCTGCCTCAGCCTCCTGAGTAGCTGGGACTACAGGTGCACGCCGCCATGCCTGACTAATTTTTTTTTTTTTTGTATTTTAGCAGAGACGGGGGTTCACCATGTTGCCCAGGCTGGTCTTGAACTCTTGAGCTCAGGCATTCTGCCTGCCTCGGCCTCCCAAAGTGCTAGGATTACAGGCATGAGCCACCGCGCCCGGCTGTATTTTTACTAGAGACAGGGTTTCACCACATTGGCCAGGCTGATCTCAAACTCCTGACCTCAAGATCCACCCACCTTGGGCTCCCAAAGTGCTGGGATTACAGGGGTGAGCCACCATGCCCGGCCCGGAAGGGCCTTCTGTGAGTGTGAAGGTGAAGTAGTATTAGTCCTTCTAGAGACTCATAGAACCTTAGATTCCCAGCCTGATCCCAGACATTACCTGAAACGTGTGTATATGTTTCTAAGTGTGCGCACGTGTAGATGACATGTAAATGCAAGTGCTTGTATGTATATATGAGAGCATTTGCATGTATGAGTATAGATTTGTACATGTGTGTTTGTTTATATGTTATTTGTATGTGTATGCACATATGTGTGTGCATGTGTGTTTTAACATGTACATGCCTGAGTACCTACATAGGTAACCTCAATATAACTGGGGTTCCATATGGCCCACTGTCAGTGCAGTATCCCAGTCATAGGGATACAGCCTGGCAACCAAAATATAATGAAAACTGCTTCAAACTTTTACTCAGTGTTAGGATTGCACTGGGCTGCAAGTACAGAAACTCCAACAAGCAATGACTTAAATAAAAGGGGTTAATTTTCCCACATGTTTAAAAAGAAGTCCAGGGGTCAGCTATTCAGGCTGCTGTAGATGCTCAAGGATGCCATCAAGGAACTAGGCTTCTAGCTTCCTGCTCTACCATTTTAATTATGGGCGGTTTTCTTCTTCGTGGAGGCAGGATGGTGGCTGCATCCCAAGAATTGTGTTCATATTCCAGGCAGAAATAAGACAAAAGCCAAAGAGTCTTTTCTGCTAGTATTTTGGCTATCTGTTGCTGTATCACAAACCAACCCTAAAATTTAGTGGTTTAGAAAACAATAATTTATTATTTCTTTTTGAGATGGGGGATCTCGCTCTGTCACCCAGGCTGGAGTGCAGTGGTGTGATCTCAGCTCACTGCAACCTCTGCTTCCCAGGTTCAAGTGATTCTGGTGCCTCAGCCTCCCAAGTAGCTGGGACCACAGGTGCCCGCCATGACGTCTGGCTAATTTTTTGTGTTTTTAGAGGAGATGGGG
Organism: Homo sapiens; assembly: GCF_000001405.40. Taxonomy (NCBI): domain Eukaryota; kingdom Metazoa; phylum Chordata; class Mammalia; order Primates; family Hominidae; genus Homo; species Homo sapiens. The sequence continues at coordinate 33,414,417 of NC_000020.11, read as the reverse complement.
TTTTGCCCTGTTGGCTAGGTTGGTTTTGAACTCCTGGCCTCAAGTGATCTGCCCGGCTCAGCTTCCCAAAGTGCTGGGATTACAGGTGTGAGCCACCATGCCTGGCCTCAAGCCTCTTTAGTTTTGTTGTTGTTTTGTTTTTCTGTTTTTTTTTTTTTTTTTTTTTTTTTTTGGTTTTTGAGACGGAGTTTCGCTTTTGTTGCCCAGGCTGGAGTGCAATGGCACGATCTCAGCTCACTACAACCTCCACTTTCTGGGTTCAAGCGATTCTCCTGCCTCAGCCTCCCTAGTAGCTGGGATTACAGGCATGTGCCACCACACCCAGCTAATTTTGTATTTTTAGTAGAGATGGGGTTTCTCCATGTTGATCAGGCTGGTCTTGAACTCCCTACCTCAGGTGATCCACCCGCTTTGGCTTCCCAAAGTGCTGGGATTACAGGCGTGAGCCATCACACCCTGTCTGTTTTTCTGTTTTTTTAAGATGAGGTCTTGTGCTGTCATCTAGGCTGGAGTGCACTGGCACCCTTATAGCTTACTGCAGCCTCAAACTCCTGGGCTCAAGTGGTTCTCCTGCCTCAGCCTCTAAGTAGCTGGGACTATAGGCACGTGTCACCATGCCTGGCTAATTAAAAAAAAAATTTTTTTTTCTTTTTTAGAGATGAGTGTCTCACTTTGTTGTCCAGGCTGGTCTCGAACTCCTGGGCTCAAGCCATCGTCCTGGCTCAGTCTCCCGAAGTTCTGGGATTACAGGCGTGAGCCACCATGTCCAGCTTAGTTTTTTTTTTTTTTTTCCCCTGCTCTTATTAGTGAATTAGTTTGGTTCTGTGCAACAAGGAGAACCTGGGAGCTGGCCCAGAAGAGGATGTTCCTTAGAAACCAGGAGAAAGGGGCAAGATTAGGAATAGCCACACAGCAATAATTTAGGCCCTATTACACCATCATGCATGTTTCAGTGTGTGTGTATATTTGTGTGTATCTGCATACGTGTAGGCTGGGCACGGTGGCTCATGCCTGTAATCCCAGCACTTTGGAGGGCGAAGGCGGGGTGATCATTTGAGGTCAGGAGTTCGAGACCAGCCTGGCCAACTTGGTGAAACCCCATCTCTACTAAAAATAAAAAAATAAGGCCAGGCATGGTGGCTCATGCCTGTAATCCCAGCACTTTGGGAGGCTGAGGCAGGCGGATCACGGGGTCAGGAGATCGAGACCATCCTGGCCAACATGGTGAAACCCCATCTCTATTAAAAATACAAAAATTATATGGGTGTGGTGGCGTGTGCCTGTAATCCCAGCTACTTGGGAGGCTGAGGCAGGAGAATCACTTGAACCTGGGAGGCAGAGGTTGGGCCATTGCAGTGCAGCCTGGGTGACAGAGCGAGGCTCTGTTTCAAAAACAACAACAAAAACCCCACAAAATATATGAACACGTGTGTATATGTCACACTCGCTTGTTCCTATGCCCCATGAAGCCCCAGCAACTGTGGCTGGAGCCCAGCAGTGAGGGTTGCTCCTGATTCTCTCACGGACATCCCCCTGGTTTCTCCTGGTTTGGTGGTGGGTGGGGTTTCTTGGGCCAGGGTTGGGCAGCTGCAGCCTAATGGTCAGGTCCTTGTCTCCACCCATTTGTGCCTGCAGGTATCTGGAGATCTGCTCGGCAGATGGTCAAGACACCCTCTTCCTGAGGGCCAAGGATGAGGCTAGTGCGAGGTCGTGGGCGACTGCCATCCAAGCCCAGGTCAATACTCTGACGCCGCGGGTCAAGGATGAGCTGCAGGCACTGTTGGCAGCCACCAGCACAGCTGGGAGCCAGGACATCAAGCAGATTGGCTGGCTAACTGAGCAGGTACCTGCTGGGCCTGGGACCTATCCCTCTCTCTCTTCCGCTCCTTTGGAGCTGGCCCTGTTCCCAGTGCCCCTGGCCACCTCACCCTGCCCTGGCCCTCTGCCCTCTCTTCCCCCACCCATCCTCACTGCTGTTTTGTTCTCTGCAGCTGCCCAGTGGGGGCACAGCCCCCACCCTGGCCCTGCTAACTGAAAAGGAACTGCTCCTCTACTTGTCTCTCCCCGAGACCCGCGAGGCCCTGAGCCGGCCAGCCCGTACTGCCCCACTCATCGCCACCAGGTACCCACAGGCAGGGGCAGTATGTCTCCCCCAGAACTTGCCAGGAGATGCTCCAGCAGGGCCCCAGAAGCTGGGAACTCCAGCCCTGTCCACCCTCAGCTATTCCCCAGGTGACCTGAAGCAAGTCTCTGCCCTGTCTGGGCCTCAGTTTCCTCATCTGTAAAATGGGTGCTTGGAACAAAAGGATATAAGGTCCCCATTAGCCACTCATTCGCTGACACTTATGCCTTGTGCTGCATGGTTCAGAGGGCACAGAGCTGACCCCAACAGTTTCTGCCTCCAGAGAGAACCTTGTCTGGCTGGGGAGACAGACCCAGGAACAGCCATTACAGTGCAGGGTTTGTAGGAGCCACTTAACTCTGTTGGGGTAGTAGAGGAAGGCTTCAGGGAGGAGGTGACATTTGAGCTGGACTTTGATGGATGAGTAGAAGTTTTCTGTTTAAGAAAGGGTGAAAGAGCATCCCATGCAGAGAGAACATCATGGTCAAAAGTACAGAGGCATGAAGGGCTATAGCATGTTCATGGAGCTATGAGTTTGTGATAACCAGAATTCATGCAGGAAATGGAGAGAAGGGAGTTGGCAGGGCCTGATCTTGAAGAGCTTCTATTGCCTGATTAAGGAATGTTAGCTTTAGCTTAAGAGTTTGGTAGTGTTGAAGGGTTTAAGCTGGGGAGCGAGGTGCTCTGGTTGCTTTAAGAGAATCCCTGTGGCTGCCACGTGGAGAATGCAGCGGAGAGTGCAGGATGGAAGTGGGGAGGTGCTGCAGTCATGCAGGAGAGATGATGGTGGCTGGGGGAGGTGGAGGTGGGTGGCAGGAGCAGATGGGGAAGAAAGGCAGCATTGGCATTGGAAACCACATGGGTGTAAAATTAACAGGGCTCCGTGCTTGCCAGATGGGGCGGGTGAAGGAGGGGTCCGGAATGAACAGGAGGTTTGGAGCTTGTGTCTGGGTGAGCGTGGGACTGGGGGTGGGGGTGGAAAGGGAGGAGGCTGGAGCAAGATGCTGAGTTAAGTCCAGAGTGTGTGTGGGATGGAGAGGGAGCTTGGATAGGAAGCCTGGGGACTCGAGGGTCTGCAGCTCAGGGCTGGAAAGTCGAAGGCGGGTGTCAGCAGCAGTCTGTGGCGGGGGGAACTGAGCTATAGGAGAAAGAGTGGGTGGAGGGAGGAACAAAGAGGGATATGGGGCAGAACTTTCTGCCCCAGAGAGGGGCAGTTGGCTTACCAAGGCCACACAGCAAGTGAGAGTCAAGCTGCAGGGGTCTGAAGTCCTTGTCCCCCATGTCTCCTTACCTCAGGCTGGCTCTGGCCCGTGTGTCAGGAGCCTGCTGGCTACTAGGGATAACTAGGTCCTGGACTGTCTGCCTAATCAAGTGATTCAAGTTAGGCAACAAAAGTTTACTGAGCACCTACTGTGGGCAGGCATGGTTTTAGTTACTGGGAATACAGTGGTGAACACAAGATCAAAATTTCTAACCTAGTTGACATTCTAGTGAAAAAGACAGTCAAAAACCAACGAAAACAAATAATAAAAAGTATAATTTCTGGTACCATGATTAAAAAGTAAGGCTAGTGAGTGACAAGGGTGCTATTTTGGACTGGGAGGTCAGGGAAGGCTTCTCAGAGGAGGTGACATTTAAACTAACATCTGAAGGAAGTGAGGGAGTGAGCCGTGCAGATAATCAGGGAAGCATGTATAGGCAGAGGGAAGAGCATATGCAAAGGTGCTGAGGCAGGCATGTGCTAGGTGTGTGTGATGACACCAGTATAGCCAGAGCCAAGGGAGTGACGGGGAGGGTGGCAGGAGATGTCTCCTGCTGAGTCAATCAGTGCCCCCTGGCAAGTCCTGTCCTGTTAGGTGGTAAAGGATTTACAGGGTTTCTTCCCAGGTCACTGGCCCCTTTGCCCAGAACTATTTGCCTCCGGCCTGAGGCCTCATGCTCAGCCCTCTGCCCCCAACCCCCAGACTGGTGCACTCAGGCCCCTCCAAGGGCTCAGTGCCCTACGATGCAGAGCTCTCTTTTGCCCTGCGCACGGGCACGCGTCACGGTGTGGACACTCACCTGTTCAGCGTGGAGTCACCGCAGGAGCTGGCTGCCTGGACCCGCCAGCTTGTGGATGGCTGTCACCGGGCCGCCGAGGGTGTGCAGGAGGTGTCTACAGGTGTGCTGGGAGGATCTGGGAGTGTCCCTCTGGTAATAAGCCTCTTATCCCCAGGGGCATTCAAGCTTCCTTCTTTAGGGCACTTCAGGAGGGGATAGAAAATGGGGTTTGGAGGTCAAGGTGGGTGGATCACCTGAGGTCAGAAGTTTGAGACCAGTCTGGCAAACATGGCAAAACCCTGTCTCTACTAATAATACAAAAATTGGCCAGGTGCGGTGGCTCACGCCTGTAATCGCAGCACTTTGGGAGGCTGAGGCGGGTGGATCACTTGAGGTCAGCAGTTTGAGACCAGCCTGGCCAAAATGGTGAAACCCTGTCTCTACTAAAAATACAAAAATTAGCCGGGCATGGTGGTGGGCGCCTGTAGTCCTAGCTACTCGGGAGGCTGAGGCAGAATTGTTTGAATCTGGGAGGTGGAGGTTGTAGTGGGCCCAGATTGTGCCACTGCACTCCAGCCTGGGCGACAGAGCAAGACTGTCTCAAAAAAAAAAAATAATAATACAAAAATTAGCCGGGCATGGTACTAGGTGCCTGTAGTCCCAGCTACGCAGGAAGCTGAGGCACGAGAATCACTTGAACCCGGGAGATGGAGGTTGTGGTGAGCCGAGATTGCGCCCACTGCACTCCAGCCTGGGTAACAGAGTGAGACTGTTTCTCCAAAAAAAAAAGGAAGTTGGGTTTGGGCCCTCTGTTTTGGATGTGCAGGTGCCCTAGCAGGCAGAGACTCTTCTCCCTGGGGTTTTCTTGCCCCAGTTTTGTCAATCTGCTGGTGAGGATGTGAGAGATGGCACTTGGGGTAGGGTTGCCAGAGGAAATAAATACAGGACACCCAGCCTCATTTGAATTTCAGGTTAACAATGAATACTTTTTTCACAGAAGTATGCCCAAATTAGTCATTGTTTATCTGAAATTTAAATTTAGCCGGGTAACTCTGCAGGTCTCCAAGGGCGGTGCTTGGTAGATCTGATGATGCCTTTATCAGCAGTGAGCCTCCTGTCCATGGCACATTTTAAGCTCCCCCTTTCTACTTGTGCTGCTGGAAGTGGGACTGGAAGTGGGTGTAGGTCCTCTGAGGGTGGGGGTGATGACTCTCTGCAGGGTGGGTGTACTGGTGCCACGACAAACAGTGAGCCTCCCATCCCTGGAGGCATTCAGGCCCCACTTTGTAAGCTGCGGTGGGGGTTGGAGGTTGGGGTGTAGTCTCTGAGGTGCCAGCTGTGCCTGTACCTATGTGCCCTCCCTGCAGCCTGCACGTGGAATGGGCGTCCCTGCAGCCTGTCTGTGCACATCGACAAGGGCTTCACACTGTGGGCGGCTGAGCCAGGTGCAGCCCGAGCTGTGCTCCTGCGACAGCCCTTCGAGAAGCTGCAGATGTCTTCAGATGACGGTGCCAGTCTCCTTTTCCTGGATTTTGGAGGTGCTGAAGGCGAGATCGTGAGTGAGGGGCTGCCTCTGCACCCTGGGGAGGAGGGGGTGTGCACTCTCGGAGGCCAGGCTGGCCAGGGCCCTGACTCTTCTCTCCATCCACCCTCCAGCAGCTGGACCTGCACTCGTGTCCCAAAACCATAGTCTTCATCATCCACTCCTTCCTGTCGGCCAAAGTCACCCGCCTCGGGCTGTTGGCCTAGAAGTCGCCGGATGCACTAGCCCTGAAGAGGGGTGTCCATGACATGGCCTGAGCTGGGCCTCCACCGACTGCCTGCTCACCCCTGGGCTGAGGGAAGGGAGAGGAGAGGAACAAGGGCCTCCGAAACCCCAACCCTGAGGGAGACTGGATTGGTCTTGGGGCCCAGGACCCAGACGCAGGACAGAGTGGACTCTGCCTGTGATGGGGTGGCCTTCCTGCTGCCCCCCTCCACCAGTGCCTTTTGCAGAGAGATATTTTGTGTACACAGAAGCCATTCCGAGTCTGGGACCTGCCCCTGTGCGGATCCTGACCCCAGCCAACAGCTGAGCTGCCGGGCCTCCTCGAGGCCCCTAAGCCACCCCCAGAGGTCCCATCTGAAGCTGGAGTACCCTGGGGTCAGCAGCAAGAGAAAGAAGAGGAGATTTTCTGTTTGTTTTTCCCCTCAGCCCTGCCACCGTGGGGAGTCTGGTTTTTCTCTTCATCCTGTCTCTCTCCTCCTTACTCTTGGATAAATAAACAGCCTGTGAGCACACAGGCAGCCCGGCCCAGTGTATGTGGTCTGTGCCTTGGCCTTTGGGTCCTGGGGTGGCCCCTGCAGTCCCAAGATGGACCAGACCAAGGACTAGGGCACCTTTCCCTGGAGAAGAACAGACCTTTACTACATGGGCCAAAGACAGTGTATTGGTTATCTATTGTTGTGTGACAAATTATCCAAAATTTGCAGCTTAAAATGACAAATATTCATTATCTCTTAGGTTCTGTGGGTCAGAAATTTGAGAGGGGCTAAGCTGGGCTGTTCTTGTCTCAGGGTCGCTCATGAGGTTGCAGTCAAGTTGTCGGCTAGGGCTGCAGTCATCTGAAGGCTTGACTGGGGCTGGAGGATCCATTCCAATACTGCTCATGCACATGGCTGTGGGTAGGAGGTCTCAGTTCCTCACCATGTAGGGCTAACCCTAGAGCTGCTGCTTGAGTTTTCTCATGATATGGCAGTTGGCTTTCCCCACAGTGAGACAGAAGAGAGGGCAAGGAGGAAGCCACAAACAGTGCCTCTTATGACCCGGTCTTGGAAGCCTTACACTGTTGCTTCTGCTTTGTTCTATTCATTAGAAATGAGTCACTAAGTTCAGTCCACACTCAAAGGGAGGGGAATTAGGCTCCACCTCTTGAAGAAAGGAATGTCAAAGAATTTGTGGACCCATGTCAAAGCCATCTTAGAGAGCTTCAGGACCCTTTCCTGCAGAAGGGAGGTGGAGTGGAATGTGTTTGGTACTTCGGAAACTGCGATGTGCTGGCTGGATGTGAGTGGGCAGTGGTTATGACTCCCTACCTAAAATCACAATGACAATGGCAATGATGGAGAACTTTTTTTTTTTTGAGACGGAGTCTTGCTCTGTCACCCAGGCAGGGTCTCATCTCACTGCAACATCCACCTCCCGGTTCAAGCGATTCTCCTGCCTCAGCCTCCTGAGTAGCTGGGATTACAGGCGCCCACCACCATGCCCCACTAATGTTTTGTATTTTTAGTAGAGATAGGGTTTCACCATGTTGGCCAGGCTGGTTTTAAACTCCTGACCTCAAGTGATCCTCCTGCATCAGCTTCCCAAAGTGCTAGGACACCGTGCCAAGCCCAGAACTTTTTTTTTTTTAAACTTTTGAAAGGTTCAGTTTCTTTAATGTAGCGACAAGATAAAACAAAGATGATGTGCCTGGTGTGATGGCTCATGCCTGTAATCCCAGCACTCTGGGAGGCTGAGGTGGGCGGATCACCTGAGGTCAGGAGTTCAAGACCAGCCTGGCCAACATGGTGAAACCCTGTTGCTACTAAAAATACAAAAATTAGCCGGGCATGGTGGCACCTGCCTGTAATCCCAGCTACTCAGGAGGCTGAGGCAGGAGAATTGCTTGAACCTGGGAGGTGAAGGTTGCGGTGAGCTGAGATCGCGGCCACTGCACTCCAGCCTGGGTAACAGAGTGAGACTCGGTCTCAAAAAAACAAACAAAACAAACAACAACAACAACAAATTAGCCAGATATGGTGGTGTGCACTTGTAATCTCAGCTACTCGGGAGGCTGAGACAGGAGAATCATTTGAACCCTGGAGGTGGAGTTTGCAGCGAGCAGAGATTGCGCTACTGCACTCCGGCCTGGGCCCCAGAGCGTGACTCTGTCTCAAAAAAAAAAAAAAGAGAGACCAGGTAACTTAACTTTGAGGCAATCACTTTTAGCTTACTTACAATGGTAGCATTGTTTCTTTGTGAAAATGAAATTTTCTCAGCTTATCCACTAAATTTTCAGCAACATCCCAAACCACCAAAGACTCACTCCTTTTCCTTCTGGCCATCAGCAGTCTGGTGCCTTCACTTGGAACACCACCCTCCGCCCTATTTTTTGTTTTGGAGGTGGGGTCTCGCTTTGTTGCCCAGGCTGGAGTGCAGTTGCGGGATCCCAGCTTACTGCAGTCTCGGCCTCCCAGGCTCAAGTGATCCTCCTACCTCAGCCTCCCAAGTTGCTAAGACTATAGGACTGTGCCACCATGGCTGGCTAATTTTTTATTTTTTAATTTGTTGTAGAGATGGGGTCTTGCCATGTTACTCAGGCTGGTCTCACACTCCTGAACTCAAGCAATCCTCCTGTCTTGGCCTCAAGCAATTCTCTTGCCTCAGCCTCCTGAGCAGCTGGGATTACAGGCGCTCGCCACCATGCCCGGCTAATTTTTTTGTATTTTTAGTAGAGACGGGGGTTTCACCATGTTGGCCAGGCTGGTCTTGAACTCCTGACCTCAGGTGATCCGCCTGCCTCGGCTTCCTAAAGTGCTGGGATTACAGGTGTGAGCCACTGCGCCTGGCCATAATTTTTGCATTTTTATTAGAGATGTGGTTTCACCATGTTGGCCAGGCTGGTCTCGAACTCCTGACCTCCAGTGATCTTCCCACCTTGGCCTCCCAAAGTGCTGGGATTACAGATATGAGCCACTGTGCCTGGCCACTATATGTATATTTCTACATCTAGAATGAGATTTATCATAAGGAATTGGATCAAGTGATTATAGAGGCTGAGAAGTCCTACAATTTGCCATCTGCAAGCTGCACACCGAGGAAAGGTGGTGGTGTAAATTCCAGTTTGAATCTAAAAGACTGAGAATCAGGAGTGCCAATGGTGTTTAAGTCCCAGTCCAAGGGCAGGAGAAGACCAATGTCTCAGCTTAAGCAGTCAGGCAGACAGAGAATTCAACCTTGCTCTGTCTTCCTGTCCTATTTGGGTCCCCAAGGGGTTAGATGATGTCCATCCAGATTGTGGAGGGTAGTCTACTCTACTCAGTCCACCAAAGCTAATCTCTTCCTCAAGAAACACCCAGAAATAACGTTTAACTAGATATCTGGGCAACCTGTGGCCCAGTCAAGTTGACACAAATAATTAACCAGCACAGTGTTCTGCATTATTTCCCAGTGTTCTCCAGCAGGATTAAGACCTAGATGCCTGCAAGAAAGTTGCTTGTTAACAATGTTTATTGGCTGTCTCCCCTCCCTGTTTCACTCCCCTACTACCCTACCAGTGTTTCCTGAGATTACTTTGCAAATCAACTACCTGCACTCAAATACTTGTCTCAGTAGCCGGGCACAGTAGCTCATGCCTGTAATCCCAGCACTTTGGGAGGCCAAGGTGGGTGGATCACCGCAGGTGGGGAGTTAGAGACCAGTCTGGCCAATATGGTGAAACCCTGTTTCTACTAAAAATACAAAAATTAGCCGGGTGTGGTGGCGCTTGCCTGTAATCCCAGTTACTCAGGAGGCTGAGGCAGGAGAATCGCTTGAACCCGGGTGGTGGAGGTTGCAGTGAGCCAAGATTGGGCCACTACACTCCAGCCTGTGTAACAGAGTGAGACTTGGTCTAAAAAAAAAAAAATACTTGTCTCAGGTCTGCTTCTGGGGAGCCCAAACTAAGACAGAAAGCAGTCATTTATTCATTCAACAAATTTTCATTAAGCCCTTCTATGAGTCAGACCCTGTGTAGATCATGGGGATAAAGCCATGAACAAGACACGACGTGTCCCTCCCTAGCTGATAGTCCAGGGAATAGGCAATGATAAGAAAATAAGTAATGCCAACATTTTGAATAGTGACAAATATGGTGAAGAAAATAATAAGAGAAGTGATAGAGTAGTTTATATGAAGTGGTCAGAGAGGGTCTCTCTGAAGAGCTGATATTTATGCTGAGACCTAAAGGATGAGAAGGGGCCAGCCACGAAACAATTTTGGAGAAGAGCATTCCAGAAAGATAATAGTAAGAAGAGAAGCTCTGTGGGCATGGTGTTGCGTGCCTGTAATCCTAGCTACTTGGGAGGCTGTGGCAGGATAATTGCTTGAACCCGAGAGGTGGAGGTTGTAGTGAGCCAACATCACGCCATTGCACTCCAGCCTGGGTAACAGAGCAAGACTCCGTCTCAAAAAAGAAAAGAAAAAAAAAAAAGGACAGAGGGTCTGAAATAAACATTTGCTTGGGTTATTGAAGGAGCAAGATAAAATTATGTAGTTGAAGTATAGTCAACTAGAAAGAACACAGTAGGAGAAGTAAGTGGTAAGAAGTACATGGGTTGGAGAAGTAAAAGTAAGCAGGGGGCCAGACATGGTGGCTCATGCTTGTAATTCCAGCACTTTGGCAGGCTGAGGTGGGAGGATCACTTGAGGCCAGGAGTTTGAGACCAGCCTGGCCAACATGGCGAAAACCCATCTCTAGTAAAAACAAAAATCAGCCGGGCGTGGTGGTGCTCGCCTCTAATCCTAGCACTTTAGGAGGTCGAGGTGGGCGGATCACTTGAGGCCAGGAGTTTGAGACCAATCTGGCCAACATGGTGAAACCCTGCTCTACTAAAAATACAAAAATTAGTTTGACGTGGTGGTGCACGCCTGTAATCCCAGCTACTCGGGAGGCTGAGGCAGGAGAGTCGCTTTAACCTGGGAGGCGGATGTTGCAGTGAGCCGAGATTGCACTACTGCACTCCAGCCTGGGCGACAGAGTGAGTGAGACGTCGTCTCAAAAAAAAAAAGCAGGGGCCACATCATGCAGGCCCCTAGGATACAGTAGGAAATCTGGATTTTATTGCACGGGCAATGGAAAGCTCTTAAGCTTTTTGTTTTTGTTTTTTTCTTTTCTTTTCTTTTTTTTTTTTTTTTTGAGATGGAGTCTTGCTCTGTCGCCCAGGCTGGAGTGCAGTGGCTCGATCTTGGCTCACTGCAATCTCCGCTTCCTGGGTTCAAGCAATTGTCCTGCCTCAGCCTCCCGAGTAGCTGGGACTACAGGCACGCGGCACCATGCCCAGCTATTTTTTATTTTTTATTTTTAGTAGAGACGGGGTTTTACCATATTGGCCAGGCTGGTCTCGAATTCCTGACCTCATGATCCACCCACCTCAGCCTCCCAAAGTGCTGGGATTACAGGCATAAGCCACCGTGCCCGGCTGTTTTTGTTTTTTTCTTTTTCAAGACATGGTCTCATTCTGGTACCCAGGCTGGAGTGCAGTGTTGAGGTCATGGTTCACTGCCGCCTCAACTTCCCTGGCTCAAGCAATCCTCCCTGCCTCAGCCTTCTGAGTAGCTGGGACCACAGGTACCCACCACCATGCCGGGGTAATTTTTGTGTTTTTTGTAGAGATGGGGTTTTATCATGTTGCTCAGGCTAGTCTAGAACTCCTGGGCTCAAGCAATCTGCCCATCTTGGCCTCCCAAAGTGCTGGGATTACAGATGTGAGCCACCACGCCCGGCCTGCCACGGAGAGTTTTCAGGAGAGGGGTGATATAATTTGATTTAATAAAACAAACACAAATTCCCTTAGGCTATGTGTGGGAAACTGTTCTCAGGAGACAAGGTGACCATTAGCAGGCTACTGTGATTGTTTCTGATGAGACAATGGTGGCCTGGGTAGTTGTAGCTACCGAGTAGACAGATTTGACATTTTGGAGTTAGAGTTGACAGGGCTTACTGACAGATAGAATGTGGGGATCCAGGGAGGTGAAGAAAATGACCATTCAGTTCCTCCTAGTGCACCTGGAAGGATGGTTGGGCCATTTACTGAGATGGGCCAGAATGACAGGTACAGGTTTTTGGTGAAGGTGCATGTGTGGAAATGAAGAGTTCTGTATAAGTTAGAGATGGTCATCAGACACTCAAGAAGGGGTGTCAAGTAGGCAGCTGAGCTATGGCTCTGGTACTGCAGGGAGGGTCCAGCTGGAGATGTGAATCAGGAAGTCATTAACCTACAGGGCAGCACCCTCCAATAGAAATAGAGCGTGAACCTCTTAGGTGACTTAAAATTTCCCAGTAAGGACCGGACACGGTGGCTCATGCCTACAATCCCAGCACTTTGGGAGGCCAAGGTGGGAGGATGGCTTGCGCCTAGGTAGGAGTTTGAGACCAGCCTGGGCAACATGGGGAGACCGGTCTCTACAAAAAAATTAAAAAAATTTTAGCTGGGCGTGGTGGCGCCTGCCTGTAGTCCCAGCCACTTGGGAGTGTGAGGTGGGAGGATTGCTTTAGCATGGGAGGCGGAAGCTGCAGTGAGCCATGATCACACCATATTATTTTTCCCCCTGCTAGCCACATTGAAAAAGTAAAAAGAAACAACAGGTGAACTTAATTCAAATATTTCTACCACCATAGCTACAAATAAAAAAAACTAATTCAACAAATGTACTTATTTAATCCAATATATCCCAACAATTATTGCAGCACATAATCAATATAAACATTATATATATGAACTATTTGACACTATTTGACATTTCTTCTTCCACATCCAGTGTATCTGACATTTAGCGCACATTTGATTTGCACTCACCCACTTTGAGGAGCTCAATTGCCGCTTAAGTCCGTGGCTAGTGGCTGCCCTAAAGTTCAGCACCGCCACGGAGCTTTGGGTCCACCCGGACTGTAAAAAGGAAGCACTTCCGTTAGCATGACCCGGCCTGAAGTAGCGGCGGAACGGAAGTCGCTTGTGTATGAACGCAGCGGCGGACCTGTGAGGGGATCCGACTTGCCGGCAGAACTTACGCTGCGGGACCCCGGGCACTGTTGCTGCTGCGGGAGGTGAGCAGCGCGGCCGCCGGGGTGGGCTGCGCACCCGCTTTTGACTGGCGCCTGGGGCAGGAGGGGCCGCGGATCCCGGGAAGCGCACGGTGTTCAAGAGGGAGGATGGCACGGTGGTTATGGCGTGGGGCCTGGCGTCAGGCTGTAGGGGTTCGTACCCTAACCCCGCCGCCTAACCCCGTGTGACCTTGGACAGGTCACCTCCACTTCTTTCAAGGCTTCGCTTCGCCACCCGTGAAGTGGGGTTGACAGTACAGCCTGCCTCACAGGGTTGCTATGAGGGTTATAGGTAATAATTCGCGGAAAATGCTTTGCACCATGCCTAACGCATTGTAACCAGCCAATAAAATGTTTGGGATGTTGTACGCTGTTGTTCCAGCCTCATTGCCGACTGTCAGAATTAATTTCGAGCCTCCAGAGAGGCTTCTACATTGCGTTATGCAAAGCATTTTGCTTGTATTATTGCATTTGATCCTACGGTAGGCTTATGGAGATAGGTGCTATTATCCCCATCTAGAGGCTCCCAGAGTTTAAGACAGGTGCCTAAGGTTTAGCTGGCTTGGCAGCAGTGGGGTCAGATTCTGACTCCAGGGTCCATACTTTTTTTTTCTTGAGACGGGAGTCTTGCTCTGTCGCCCAGGCTGGAGTGCAGTGACGCGATCTCGGCTCACTGTAGCCCCTGCCCCGCGAGTTCCAGCGATTCTCCTGCCTCAGCCTCCTGGGTAGCTAGGATTACAGGCGCATACCACCACACCCGGCTAAGTTTTGTATTTTTAGTGGAGTTCATACTCTTAACCAGGATGCTCTAATACTCTCTGTGAAAGGGGGTGTGGGCTGTAAATGTGCAGTTAGTGAACGCTTACTGTATCTCAAGTTGGGTTTTTAATATCTTATTCTTAATAACACTTATGGGGTGGTAGGTGCTGCTTTTATCCTTATTTTACACATGTGGAATTGGCGGCTCAGAGACAGAAATTTGTCTTGCCAAAGGTCACACAGCAATTATGGAGTAGAAAGGGGCGATTTTAAAGTTCACACTTTAAGGCTGTTCTTCTCTGACTCTTGAAACTGGGTTGGCATTGCTCCTAAGTGCTAGTAGCAGATGTGGCAGGTCATCTCATTGGAAAGGTAATGGGCCACATCTGCTCTTTACACGTGTATAGCAGGGTTCCCCTAACCCTAGGTGGTAGAATGGTACCTGTCTGTGGCCTGTGAGGAACCGGGTTGCACAGCAGGAGGTGAGCAGCAAAGCTGGCATTACTGCCTGAGCTCTGCCTCCCGTCAGATTGGCCACGGAATTAGTTTCTCAGGAACACAAACCCTATTGTGAACTGCGTATATGCAAGGCATCTAGTTTGTGCATTCCATTTCCTTTTTTTTGAGACAAGTTCTCTCTCTCTCTGTTGCCCAGGCTGGAGTGTGGTGGCGCAATCTCAGCTCACTGCAATCTCTGCCTCCCTGGCTCAAGTGATCCTCCTACCTCAGCTTCCCAAGTTGCTGGGATTACAGGCACATACCACAATGGCTGGCTAATTTTTTATTTTTTAATTTGTTGTAGAGACAACAAATAAACATGGTCTTGCCATGTTGCCCAGGCTGGTCTCGAACTCCTGAGCTCAAACAATCCGCCTGCCTCGGCCTCCCAAAGTGCTGGGATTATAGATGTCAGCCACCGCACTGGCTCAAGATTGCATGCTCCTTGTAAGAATCTAAATGCCTGAGGTGGAACAGTTTCAACACACCCCTGCTTCCATGTCTGTGGAAAAATTGTCTTCCATGAAACCAATTCCTAGTACCAAAAAGGTTGGGAACCACTGATGTTTAGCACCTGCCGTGAGGCAGCTACCACAATGGGAGATGGTGAAGGTGTAGAAATGAATGATACTTGTTCCCTGCTTGCAGGAACCTGCCAGTTTACTAGGGCTGGCAGAAGTGTCAGTAATAATTAACAGCAAAGTGTGATGAGTCTTGTGATGGAGAGATAGAATAGAGCTTTGGGAACCCAGAGGAGGACCCCACCTAGACTTCGGGGGTGATGGCCAGAGCAGGCTTCCCAGAGGAAGAAAGCTGAAAGTACCATAGGCCACTAGAGAGAAGATAAATACCAGCCAGAGAACAGCATGTGTAAAATCCTATAAGCTAGTGAAGATTAATACAAAGAAGTGTGGCATGGCTGGAGTGTAGTAGGCCATAGATGTGGGGTCCAGTAAAAATATATGGTGATCCTAGAATTCTTCCTTAGTCAGAAAATTAAAAAAAAAAAAAGTAAATAGTATGGCTTCATCTCCTATACCTTAGTCACCTAAGTCTTCCTGGGAGGCAACTATTGTTTCTTATGCATTCTAGAGATATTGTATGTACCTGCAAATAGGTACCTCAATATTCCCACCCTCTTTCCCCACAGATTCAACAGTAGTATAATGTAGGTAGCATGGAGCATATTGCTTCCTTGCCTTTGTCATGTATAGGTTCAGCCTCATTTATTTTTATTTTTATTTTTTTGAGATAGGGTCTTACTCTGTCACCCAGGCTGGAGTGCAGTGGTGCGATTATGGCTTACTGCAGCATTGATCTCCTGGGCTCAAGCAATCCTTTCATCTCAACCTCCTGAGTAGCTGGGACTACAGGTGTGCATCACTGTGCTCGGCTATTTTTTGTTATTTTTATAGAGATGAGGTCTCACTATGTTGCCCAGGCTGGTCTCGAATTCCTGGCTCAAGTGATGTTTCTGTCTCAGCTTCCCAAAATGCTGGGATTATAGGCATGAGCCACTGCACCCGGCCACCAGCCTTGGTTTCTAACAGTTGTATCTTGTTTCATTGTATGGATGCACCAGAACTTACTTAACTAGTCCTTTATTGATAACATTTAGATCTTTCCCTTTCCTTTGCTATTAGAAACACTGTTGCATTGAATATCTTTTATTTTTATTTTTTGAGACAGTCTCACTCTGTTGCCCAGGCTAGAGTGCAGTGGCGTGATCTTGGCTCACTGCAACCTTCTCCTCCTGAGCTCAAGAGATTCTCATGCCTCAGTCTCCCGGGTATCTTAGAATACAGGTGTGTGCCACCACATCCAGCTAATTTTTTGTATTTTTAGTAGAGATGAGGTTTCACTGTGTTGGCCAGGCTGGTCTCGAACTCCTGGCCTGAAGTGATCCACCAGCCTCAGCGTCCCAAAGTGCTGGGATTACAGGCATGAGCCACTGTGCCTAGACTGAATGTCTTTATACATAGGTCATTTTGTATGTGTATAGATTTATCTGCAGGATAATTATGAGTGGAAATGCTTTGTCAGATGGTTTGCACACTTGTAATTTTGATGGAAAGTGGCAAATTGTTCTCTATAAAGGTTGTGTTATTTGCTAAGCCAAGTGTGAGAGGGTCTGGGTGGAAAGTTTGAAGGTAGTAGTTTGAAACTCTTTTTTTTTTGTTTTGAGATGGAGTTTCGCTCTGTTGTCCAAACTGTAGTGCAGTGGTGCGATCTCGGTTCATAGCAACTTCTGCTTCCTGGGTTCCAGTGATTCTCCTGTCTCAGCCTCCTGAGTAGTTGGGACTATAGGCACTTGCTACCACATCTGGCTAACTTTTGTATTTTTAGTAGAAATGGGGTTTTGCCATGTTGGTCAGGCTGGTCTTGAACTCCTGACCTCAAGTGATCCTCCTGCCTCGGCCTCCCAAAGTCCTGGGATTACAGGCATGAGCGGCTGCATCCAGCCAAGACTCTTGAAGGGTAGAAGGAGTCACTGATCGGGCATACAATGCCCTCACATTAGTTGCTTTCCTTCTGAAGGAACTCAAAGGAAGATGCCCTCAGACAGTGAGTGGTTTTCACTTTATTAAGAGGCAGTGTAGCAAGATGGGTAGTGGCACGGGCTTTGCATCCATACAGATTTTTATCTGAGTCCTTGTTTGACTGCTTACTGGCTGTAGGAGCTTAGGTGAGTTCCTCAACCTATGTCTTTCGGAATAGGAACAATAATAGTATCTGCTTCCTAGGATTGCTGTAAAGATTTAATGAGTTAATACACTTAAAGCCTTGGGAACTGGTCTTGGCACAAGGTGCTATTTTGTCATTTTGTCAGGGCTTTCCATCTCATCTCTACCACCCCTTGTTTTGAAAAGACTGCCTGGATTTGCATCTCATCTCTGGCACTCCTTTGTGTGGTCTTGGGCAAGTTGCCTCAGTTTTTTTCAACTGTAAAACAGAGGTCATATTATTAGGAGTACCTTCTTCATGGGCTTTTGTGAGGGGTAAATAGATGTATACACTTGAAGTGCTCACAGCAGTGTCCTGTCCATAGTGTTCAATAAATGCTGGTGATGTCTGTCATTCTTTTGCAGACTGTGGGCTGTTTAGTGCCATGCACCCTTTACAGTGTGTCCTCCAAGTGCAGAGGTCTCTGGGGTGGGGACCATTGGCCTCTGTGTCTTGGCTGTCGCTGAGGATGTGCAGGGCACACAGCAGTCTCTCTAGTACCATGTGTCCCAGTCCAGAGAGGCAGGAGGATGGAGCTCGGAAGGATTTCAGCTCCAGGCTGGCTGCTGGACCGACTTTTCAACATTTTTTAAAAAGTGCCTCAGCTCCTCAGGAGAAGCTGTCTTCAGAAGTGGAAGACCCACCTCCCTATCTCATGATGGATGAACTTCTTGGAAGGCAGAGAAAAGGTTGGTTTTACTTCGCTTATCCCTTTGGGCTTCCTGCCTTGCTCCTCTCTGTCATTCCTGGCATGATTCTTTTATTACAGAACTGGCTTGGAAGGTTAACAGTGTGGGAAGGCTGTGGGAATCATTAGACTCCACCAAGTAATATTAATATCAAGAAACTCGACTGGTCACGGTGGCTCATGCCTGTAATCCCAGCACTTTGGGAGGCCAAGATGGGTGGATTGCTTGAGCCCAGGAGTTCAAGAACAGTCTGGGTAACATGGTGAAACACTGTCTCTACAAAAAATAAAAAATTAGCCAGGTATGATAGTGTGCACCTGTAGTCCTAGCTACTCAGGAGGCTGAGGTGGGAGAATCATTTGATCAAAAGCTGATTATCATTCAGCTCTTAACTTTTAGTTGGAATTTATTGGAGTCTGGAAATAAGACCTGCTGGTGGGGACGGGGGTTGATCTTGGAATATAGTTTGAAGCTGCCAGAATGTGAAATTCATATTCTTACAACTGTGTACAAAATTAGTTTTACTTCATAATATAGCCTTGCTTTCATTTAAGATGAAGTTACTGTAAGAAGATGCCTCATTTTAATTTTGTGACTTTATGTACCCTCTGGCCACTGCTGCTACTTCCAGAGGCTGGAAAACCTCTTTATTTTGAGGAGGAGTGTAACATGTGGATTTAAACTTATTTTCCCTTCAGGCTGATGAACACTATCAGTTAGCCCTTCCTTTTCTTTTCTTTTTTGTTTTTTTTTGAGTCTCGCTCTGTCGCCCAGGCTGGAGCACAATGGTGCGATCTCAGCTCACTGCAACCTCTGCCTCCTGGCTTCAAGTGATTCTCCTGCCTCAGCCTCCTGAGTAGCTGGGATTACAGGTGCACGCCACCACACCTGGCTGATTTTTGTATTTTTAGTGGAGACCTGGGTTTCACCATTTTGGCTAGGCTGGTCTCGAACTCCTGACCTCAAGTGATCTGCCCGCCTTGGCCTCCCAAAGTGCTGGGATTACAGGCGTGAGCCACCACCCTCGGCCTAGTCCTTCCTTTTCTAATTGTTTTTATAACTATATTTCCTTGATTCTCAGGTACATGTTTTCCCCATTTAAAAGATAACATGGCTTGTAATTGGTGTGGATATATAATGTGGTATATTTTTTTGTTTGTTTGAGACAGGTTCTCACTCTATTGCCCAGGCTGAGTGCAGTGGTGTGATCATGGCTCACGGCAGCCTCAGTCTCCTGGGCTCGAGCAGTTCTACCTCAGCCTCCTGAGTAGCTGGGACCACAGGCATGTATCACTTGCCTAATTTTTAAATTTTTTGTAGAGACAGGGTCTCCCTATGTTGCCCTGGCTGGTCTCAAACTCCTGGGCTTAAGTAATCCTCCTGTCTCAGTCTCCCAAAGTACTGGGATTATAGGCATGAACCACTGTGCCCAGCCTAATATGGTATTTCTTTTGTTCTGAAGGTCTATCATTAACTTGGGGGTACATCTGGCAATTTATGTTATCTTAAGATTGAAGCAATAGGGGACTTAGTGGATAACCAGATGCCTCAGATATTTCTAGAGCATTTGGGAAGGAGACCTTTTGAGACACGAGACCCCTTGTTGTCTGTCTACCATGGATTCCCCCCAACCTCTCACTGCAGTCTACCTCGAGACCTATGGCTGCCAGATGAATGTGAATGACACAGAGATAGCCTGGTCCATCTTACAGAAGAGTGGCTACCTGCGGACCAGTAACCTCCAAGAGGTACATGCATTTCCTATTTCCTTTGTTTCCTGGACCTGGGCAAGATTCTGCATTTGTGCCAGTTCTTAGGTGTAGTTTCAGGAGCAGGGTGCCCCCTGGTGAGAGAGAGTTCCCTTGGGTGAAGTGTTCACCATGGGACTGAGTTGTACTTTTGTTCCAGCTGTTTTTGAAACTTTTATGGTGATGTGCGCCTTCAGACAAGGAGCTAAGTTAAGAATTGGCTGTGGAGAGGGAAGTTGGAGAGTTACTGTTTAACGAGTACAGGGTTTTAGTTGCAGAAGATGAAAAAGTTATGGAAAATGCGTAGTTATGAAATTGCAGATGTTCTTAATGCCACAGGACTGTACCCTTAAAAATGGTTAAAATGTCCAGGTGTGGGTCACCATGCCTGTAATCCCAGGACTTTGGGAGGCCAAGGCAGGAGGATTGCTTGAAGACAGGAGTTTGAGGCTGCAGTGAGCTATGGTTATGCTATTGCTCTTCAGCCTGGGCAAGTGAGCGAGACTCCTTTCTCTATTAAAAAAAAAAAAAAAGGAAAAAAATAGTTAAAGAAAAATAATAGGCCGGGTGTAGTGGCTCATGCCTGTAATCCTAGCATTTTGGGAGACCAAGGCAGGTGAATCACTTGAGGTCAGGAGTTCGAGACCAGCTTGGCTAACATGGTAAAACCCCATCTCTACTAAAAATACAAAAATTAACTGGGCGTGGTGGTGGGCACCTGTAATCCCAGGCTGAGGCAGGAGAATTGCTTGAACCGCTCGGGAGGTGGAGGTTGCAGTGAGCTGAGATTGCCCCACTGCACTCCAGCCTGGGAAACAGAGTGAGACTCTGTCTCAAAAAAAAAAAAAGGAAAAAAAAATAATAAAGAGCTGTAGGGCAGGAATTGTACAAGGCTAATATCCAAGATATTATGTAATTTTCCTTGTTTTCCTTTCTTTCCATTCAGGCAGATGTGATTCTCCTTGTCACATGCTCTATCAGGTGCGAATTTGTTCTTTTCCTAGGAGTGAATGTATTTTATGTAATAATGCCAGAGCTAACAGTGCCTGGCCTGGCTGTCTATGGAGATGAGCCAGTGGCCCCATGGCAGTAGGACTTGCAGTTTTCCCACAGTGGAGATAGTCTTTATACAACTGGCTGACATTGGCTGGGCATGTACCGTGGTGTCAGGTTCTGAGTGAGTAACATAATGCATTAACAAATTTAATGATCACAACAACCCTGTGTGGTTGGTGCTGTTATAGATGAGGACACCAAGAATGTGCCGAGCCACTCAGCTCTTCCTGAGCTTTGTTTTGTAACTAATGGCATATGTTTATAATATAGCTGCCCGGGGTAGGATGTAGTCATAGGCTTGGGGAGTTTTGAGTAGAGATGGGTGACTCCCATCAGAGGTGAACGTACCTCCTTTCTCACTTTGTTTCTGTGTTCAAGACATGCTAGTGTTAATGTTTCCCTATCCGGCTATACTGTCAATTAATTCATCTGACATTTTTGTTCTGTAGGCCTCTGCTGCTTGACACTGAACTATGTGCTTTGGGTGATTCCGAAATGAACCCTTCTTCCATGGCCTGGCTTTAAGGAGCCTAGTCTGATATGGGAACTAAGATAGATGAACAAATAGCTCCAACATCTGGCAAAAAATGCTAGTTCAAAAAAAATCAAACAATGAGGCTGGGTGTAGTAGGTCACACCTATAATCCCAGCACTCTTGGAGTCCGAGGTGGGAGGATCACTTGAGTCCAGGAGTTCAAGGCTACAGTGAACTATTCAAGACCAGCCTGGGCACAAAGTAAAGCCCTGTATCTACAAAGAAAAATAAAAGATAAATTGCTGGCCAGGCACGGTTGCTCACACCTGTAATCCCAGCGCTTTGGGAGGCCAGAGTGGGCATATCATGAGGTCAGGAGTTCAAGACCAGTCTGGCCAACATAGTGAAACCCCATCTCTACTAAAAATACAAAAATTAGCCAGGCGTGGTGGTGCACGCCTGTAATCCCAGCTACTCAGGAGGCTGAGGCAGGATAATTGCTTGAACCAGGGAGTTGGAGGTTGCAGTGAGCCGAGATCGCGCTGTTGCACTCCAGCCTGGTGACAAAGCGAGACTCCATCTCAAAAAAAAAAAAGGAGAAATTGCTAAGTATAGGGAAAAATCTAGTTAAAGTAGAAGGGCATTAGGATCTGGAATCATAAAAAAAAAAAGTTGAAGGGCAGTTAAAGGGAGGACAAACTGTCCAACAGAGGAGAACTGGAAGGCCTTGTGAAGTAGATTGTTTTTGAGTTTGGCTTAAAGGCTTTTCAGGATTTGAAGATGTGTAGGAAGGATGTCATTTTAGGAAAGGTAAATTATAGCAAGTGTTGCTTCTTCAGGTGGCCCCCTACCTACCTTCCGTAAGTCTGAATGGCAGATACACATTTAAGGCAGGGCTGTCCAATCTTTTGACTTCCCTGGGCCACATTGGAAGAAGAAGAAGAATTGTCTTGGGCCACACATAAGATACACTAACACTAATAATAGCTGATGAGCTAAAAAAAAAAAAAAAAAAAAAATCCCCCCCAAAAAAATCTCCTAATGTTTTACAAAAGTTTATGAATTTGTGTTGGGCTGCATTCAAAGCCATCCTGGCTGCATGTGGCCCGTGGGCTGCAGGTTGGAAAAGCTTGATTTAAAGGGTTGAAGGTGGTTTTTATTTTCTTCCCACTGACCTACTCTCTTAGATACCTCTGTGGTTTATTTTTGGTTCAGTCTTGCCTCCTTTGATCTCTCTAGGGAGAAGGCTGAGCAGACCATCTGGAACCGTTTACATCAGCTTAAAGCCTTGAAGACAAGGCGGCCCCGCTCCCGGGTTCCTCTGAGGATTGGAATTCTAGGTATCTGGTAATTTGCACATTTTGTCAGCTTTGAAACTTGGACTTTATGTGGCTTTATTTGCTAGTGTTTCCTTTAGAGGCTGGATTCCCAGTGTCTGAAGAAATCTTATATATCCCATGCAATTCTTGTACTTACTGCCAGAGGTGACAGGATTAAATGAGATAAAGTTCATGAAAGGGCTTTCCGTAGTTCCTTGAAGTAATAGGTGCTCAGAAAGTGGTATATCCTGCCTAGAGTCTAATGCGGCTCATGGTAGCACAGAGTTATGGGTAGAGTTGGAGTCTGAAGGGACAGCTTGAATTTCTTTTTTTTTTTTCTTTGAGATGGAGTTTCACTCTTGTTGTCCAGGCTGGAGTGCAATGGCGAGATCTTGGCTCACCGCAACTTCTGCCTCCTGGGTGCAAGTGATTCTCCTGCCTCAGCCTCCCGAGTAGCTGGGATTACAGGCTTGCACCACCATGCCTGGCTAATTTTGTATTTTTAGTAGAGACGGGTTTCCCCATGTTGGTCAGGCTGGTCTCGAACTCCTGACCTCGGGTGATCCGCCTGCCTCAGCCTCCCAAAGTGTTGGGATTATAGGCATGAGCCACCGTGCCTGGCCTGACAGCACAAATTTCTAATGTGGGTACCTTTCATTCTGACTCCTGAAGCAAGCTCAAGTGAAGATTTAGGTCTGCCTCACCAATATGGTAACCACTAGCCACATGTGGCTATTTAAATTTACCTATAATTAAATAAAATTTAAAATTCACTTCTTTAGTTCCATTAGCCACATTTCAACTTCTCAGTAGCCACACATGACCACATGACTAGGGGCTACCAGTTTGTACAGCGCAATTATTTTTCCATCCAGCACACTCTGTCATCCTTTTTTTTTTTTTTTTTTTTTTTAAAAACAGAGTCTCACACTGTTGCCCAGACTGGAGTGGCATGATCATGGCTCACTGCAGCCTCCAACTCCTGGGCTCAAATGATCCTCTCACCTCAGCCTCCTGGGTAGCTAGGTCTACAGGTGTGTACCACCACACTTAGCTAATTTTTTGACCTTTTGTAGAAACAGGGTCTTGCTATATTGCCCAGGCTGGTCTAGAACTTCTGGGCTGAAGTGTGATCCTCTTGCCTCAATCTCCCAGATTGCTGGGATTATAGGTGTGAGCCACTGCACCAGGCCTATCATCTTATTAGAAAGTTATGTTGGGCAGTTCTGATCTATATGACTGGAGACATTTCTCTACCCTTTTCTGTCTCAGAATTTAGTTAATGTATTTAACATTATGGAAAAACAGACTATCTCCATTGTGGAATAGTTAAATTAATCTCTCCTAACGATGGGTCCACACACAGATGGAGCATATTTAGTTATCAGATCCATGTAGTAATTGACGCAGGAGGATGGAAGGGTCAGCTGAAATGTTCTGTTCCATTTCAGTTCCTTCACTGTAGAAGCCTCAGGGTGTATATCTAATAAGAATTTCAGAAATCCCAAGAATAATTTAAAAAACTGTAGTAAAATATATATGAAATTACCATTTTAATCCTTTTTAATAGTATATTTCTGTGGCACTAAGTATATTCACATTGTTTTGCACCCATCACCACCATCCATCTGCAGGACTTTTTTCTCTTCCCAAACTGAGACTACATATCCATTGAACACACGCTCCCCATTCCTCCTTCCCTCAGCCCCTGGCAATCACCATTCTACTTTCTGTTTATGAATCTGACTACTCTAGATACCTCATGTAAGTGGAACCATACAATTTTGTCTTTTTTGTGACTGTCTTATTTGGCTTATCATAATGTCCTCAGGGTTCATGAGGTTACCTGTTGTAGCCTGTGTCAGAATTTCCTTCTTTTTTTTTTTTTGGTGACAGGGTCTCAGTTTGTCGCCCAGGCTGGAGTGCAGTGGCGTGATCATGGCTCACTGCAGCCTCAACCTCCCAGGCTCAAGCAATCCTCCTGCCTCAGCCTCCTGAGTAGCTGGGACTGCAGGCACGTTCCACGAGGACTAATTTTTTTATTTTTTGTAGAGATGTGGGTCTCACTATGTTGCCAGGGCTGATCCTGAACTCCTGGGCTCAAGTGATCCACCCTCCTTGGCCTCCCAAAGTGCTGAGATTACAGGTGTGACCCATAGCACCTGGCCAGAATTTCCTTCCTTTATAAGGCTGAGTAATACTCCGTTGTAAAAAAAAAAAAAAAATTCCATTGTGTATATGTAGTACATTTTGTTTGTTCATTGAAAAATTATTTTTTTTTCCCAAGGCAGAAGAATTTTTCTTAGTACAGAACAAAATGGAGTCTCCTATGTCTACTTCTTTCTACACAGACACAGCAACAATCTGATTTCTCTATCTTTTCCCCACATTTCCCCCTTTTCTATTCAACAAAACCGCCATCGTCATCATGGTCTGTTCTCAATGAGCTGTTGTGTACACCTCCCAGACGGGGTGGCGGCCGGGCAGAAGGGCTCCTCACTTCCCAGAAGGGGTGGCCGGGCAGAGGCGCCCCCCACCTCCTGGACGGGGCGGCTGGCCGGGCGGGGGCTGCCCCCTACTCCCTCCCGGACGGGGCGGCTGGCCGGGCGGGGGCTGACCCCCCCACCTCCCTCCCTGACGGGTCGGCTGGCCGGGCGGGGGCTGACCCCCACCTCCCTCCCGGACGGGGCGGCTGCTGGGCGGAGACGCTCCTCACTTCCCAGTCGGGGCAGCTGCCGGGCGGAGGGGCTCCTCACTTCTCAGACGGGGCGGCTGCCGCGCGGAGGGGCTCCTCACTTCTCAGACGGGGCGGCTGCCGCGCGGAGGGGCTCCTCACTTCTCAGACGGGGCGGCCGGGCAGAGACGCTCCTCACCTCCCAGACGGGGTCGCGGCCGGGCAGAGGCGCTCCTCACATCCCAGAGGGGGCAGCGGGGCAGAGGCACTCCCCACATCTCAGACGATGGGTGGCCGGGCAGAGACGCTGCTCACTTCCTAGACGGGATGGCGGCCGGGAAGAGGCGCTCCTCAGTTCCCAGACTGGGCAGCCGGGCAGAGGGGCTCCTCACATCCCAGACGATGGGCGGCCAGGCAGAGATGCTCCTCACTTCCCAGACGGGGTGGCGGCCGGGCAGAGGCTGCAATCTCGGCACTTTGGGAGGCCAAGGCAGGCGGCTGGGAGGTGGAGGTTGTAGCGAGCGGAGGTCACGCCACTGCACTCCAGCCTGGCAACATTGAGCACTGAGTGAACGAGACTCCATCTGCAATCCCGGCACCTCAGGAGGCCGAGGCTGGCAGATCACTCCCGGTTAGGAGCTGGAGACCAGCCCGGCCAACACAGCGAAACCCAGTCTCCACCAAAAAAATACGAAAACCAGTCAGGCGTGGCGGCGCGCGCCTGCAATCGCAGGCACTCGGCAGGTTGAGGCAGGAGAATCAGGCAGGGAGGTTGCAGTGAGCAGAGATGGCGGCAGCACAGTCCAGCTTTGGCTGGGCATCAGAGGGAGACCGTGGAAAGAGAGGGAGAGGGAGACAGTGGAAAGAGAGGGAGACGGAGACTGTGGGGAGAGGGAGAAGGAGAGAGGGAGAGGGGGAGAGGGAGAGGGAGAGGGAGAGGGGGAGAGGGAGAGGGGGAGAGGGAGAGGGAGAGGGAGAGGGAGCTGAAAAATTATTTATTTAACTGGCTTTGCGTAGATGCAAATATCTCTTCATTCATTAATAGACACTTGGGTTGCTTGCACCTTTTGGCTATTGTGGATAATAGTGCTATGAACATGGGCATACAAACAAGAATAGCTGTTAAGTGTTTTCAAAGGGTATTTGTAATAAAGTGGACTTTAAGATATTATAACTTTAATAACATAATTTTTTTAAGGATATGGAAGATAACAGCATAAATGGCTTACTCATTTCTTACAGGTTTTAGCAAGTATTATAGGCTAGAAGAGAGGGAAAGGGTTCAAGTGTAGTTGTGGGTAAGTAAGTTCCAGACACAGAATACTTTTTATTTCAGCACTAAGTAATTTTCAGTTGAAAGAAGACATGGTTCATGTCTTGAAAGGTTTGTGGGTGGTGGTTTAATTTTTTTTTTTTTTTTGAGACGGAGTTTCACCCTTGTTGCCCAGGCTGGAGTACAATGGTGCGATCTTGGCCCACCGCAACCTCTGCCTCCTGGGTTCAAGCGATTCTCCTGTCCCTCAGCCTCCCAAGTTGCTGGGATTACAGGCATGTGCCACCATGCCTGGGTACTTTTGTATTTTTAGTAGAGACAGGGTTTCTCTATGTTGGTCAGGCTGGGCTTGAACTCTCAACCTCAGGTGATCCGCCTGCCTCGGCCCCCCAAAGTGTGGGGATTACAGCCATGAGCCACCGCACCTGGCTGGTGGTTTAATTTTTTTCTGGGCATTTAATTGAATTGCTCTGGAACCCTTTTCTGTGGTTTTCTTATATAGGAAGATACAGGCTCCAGTGCGATGGGAGTGTTGGTTAAATTTGAAGGATGATACTCAATTCTTAGAGAAGTTTTCTGTGCCCTGGTCTCTAATCCCAGCTACAGATAAAGTGGAATAAGAAGAAGCCATTAAACACCAGGTGGATTTGGGGAAAGGTGCTTGTTTCTTTTTCCCTTCCAGGCTGCATGGCTGAGAGGTTGAAGGAGGAGATTCTCAACAGAGAGAAAATGGTAGATATTTTGGCTGGTCCTGATGCCTACCGGGACCTTCCCCGGCTGCTGGCTGTTGCTGAGTCGGGCCAGCAAGCTGCCAACGTGCTGCTCTCTCTGGACGAGACCTATGCTGATGTCATGCCAGTCCAGACAAGCGCCAGTGCCACGTCTGCCTTTGTGTGAGTCACTGCCTAAGAGATAGGGAATAAGCCTCTTCCTCCTTTCACACTTTTTTTTTTTTTTTTGAGACAGGGTCTCACTCTTGTCATCCAGGCTGGAGTGCAGTGTCATGATCAGGGCTCACTGCAGCCTTGACCTCCTGGGCTCTTGCTTTAGTCCCCTGAGTAGCTGGGACTACAGGTGTGCACCCCCACACCTGGCTAATTTTTTTTTGAATTTTTACAGAGATAGGGTCTCACTATATTGCCCAGGCTGGTCTCAAACTCCTGAGCTTGGGTGATCCTCCCACCTCAGCCTTCCAAAATCCTGGGATTATAAGGGTGAGCCACTGCGCCTGGCCATGGCATTAAATTTTCTGTAACAGAGGTTGCCAAATAGCTTACTACCTCTTTTTGTAAATAAGGTTTTATTGGAATACAAGCATGCCCATTTATTCACATATTGCCTCTGGCTGCTTTTGCCACTAAAGCAAGGTTAAATACTTGGGACAGAGACTATAGCCTGCTAAGTCTCAAATATTTACTATAGGGTTTTTTTTTTTTTTTTACAGAAAAGTTTGTCAACCTCTGTTTATTTTAATGGCTATATAATATTCTCTTGTTGGAATGCTTAGTAAGAATAATAGCTAACATTTATTACATAATTCTTCAGTGAACGTCTTTGATACATAGCCGTAATTATTTCCTTCAGATAGATTGAGGCTTTCACATACAGGATGTGAATTAAAGAGAGCGATTTAACTTCGATACCTAACAGTTGGATCAGGAAGGCGTGAGAAATGTAGAATTCTGTGTTTTAAATCCAGGGTCTCCTTGCCCTATATACACACATATACACACACTTTATAATATTTATTTTTTTCTGGTCTGGATGTAAAAAGTTCAG
The DNA here is from genome assembly GCF_000001405.40 of Homo sapiens. Taxonomy (NCBI): domain Eukaryota; kingdom Metazoa; phylum Chordata; class Mammalia; order Primates; family Hominidae; genus Homo; species Homo sapiens. The sequence continues at coordinate 33,386,436 of NC_000020.11, read as the reverse complement.
ATAATATACTCATAAAAACAGTAGGTACAAACATATTCAGGCTGTCTGGAAAAAAGAATTTAAAAACAGTAGAGGGGCCAGGTGCAGTGGCTCACGCCTGTAATCCCAGCACTTTGGGAGGCTGAGGTGGGTGGATCATGAAGTCAAAAGATCGAGACCATCGTGGCCAACATGGAGAAATCCCATCTCTACTAAAAATACAAAAATTAGCCGGGCGTGGTGGCAGGCGCCTGTAGTCCCAGCTACTCAGGAGGCTGAGGCAGGAGAATCACTTGAACCTGGGAGGTGGAGGTTGCAGTGAGCCGAGATTGCAACTGCACTCCAGCCTGGTGACAGAGTGAGACTCCGTCTCAAACAAAACAAAACAAAAAAACAGTAGAAAGTCCAAGTGTGGTAAGTGTATATTCTAGCTCCTCACCGCTGTGCTTCCTCAGGCTAGTCATTGTCCCACTGGTTATAGTTTGGTTTATATTTTGTGATTAGATACCAATTTTTAAAGATAAAAAAGGTCTACTTTAGTGCTTAGATCTCAGATTGGTCCAGTGTGAGCATTGTGGCAAGAGGATTCAGAGCCAAAGAATAATGCTATTGAAGCTGAGTCCTGCTCCTTGGGTCATACCAGCACACCCTGCTACTGTTACTAAGTTCTGGTACTTTCTTCTCCAGGTCAATCATGCGAGGCTGTGACAACATGTGTAGCTACTGCATTGTTCCTTTCACCCGGGGCAGGGAGAGGAGTCGGCCTATTGCCTCCATTCTAGAGGAAGTGAAGAAGCTTTCTGAGCAGGTGAAGAGTTCTCCAGGCTTTCTTGCTGTGAACATGTTTGGGGGAGGATGAGGATAACCTTTGTAGTTTTGAGCCTATGCTGTCTCTGACTTATTAAAGTTTAGGACCATGCCTGGCCAGAAAGAACTACTTTTGTGTACATCATTGGTTTATTGCCCACAAATTACAGAGCTCCACTATGGAGGCAGCATGGTGGATGGAGAGGGCATGAGATTACAGTCAGGTGATGGAGTGTGAATTCTGGCTTGGTTCCTAGGCATGTCAATTTAACTGTCGTCGTAATGCAGTTTCCTCATCTGTGAAAAGAGAATAAAATAATACCTTGCTTGCAGGGTTATTAGAAGGATTGGAGGAAAAGTTTTTAAATTACCTGGCACATAGCTAAGTTTTTGAGAAATTATGAATTTGTCTCTTCCAGGAAAAACTCCCAGATTTATTGTTCATTTTATCACTGAGCCAGCTCACTAGTTGAGGGACAGAATAGATGAGGGGAGTAAGGTGGATCAGAAGCCACAGGGGAGATCTGCTCTTCTTTCTCCCACTGGGAGCTGGTCCTCAGCTTTTGAGGAGGTCTTTTCCTTAGCCCCGGGCCTGAATCTGCTACCCCTGCAGAAGAGGACAATAGGTGGGAATATGGTGGCTTTTCCTAACAGTGGTGTCTCCCTGCTTCCTTACTTGTTTGGCTCAGGAATCATGGGAGAGGGCCAGGGTAGCCCCTGCCCCAGTTCTTTTTTTATTTTTTATTTTTGAGACGGGCTTTCACTCTGTCACCCAAGCTGGAGTACAGTGGTGTGGTCAGAGCTCACTGCAGCATCACCTGCCTGGACTCAAGCAATTCTCCCACTTCAGCCTCCCAAGTAGCTGGGACTACAGGTAGGTGCCACCACGCCCAGTGAATTTTTTAATTATTTGTAGAGATGAGGTCTCACTATGCTGCCCAGGCTGGTCTAGAACTCCTGGGATCAAGTAATCCTACTGTCTTGGCCTCCCAAAGTGCTGGGATTACAGTCATGAGCCACTGTGCCTGGCCTCCCTGCTCTAGTTCTAAGTCACCAGTTTGCTATCATCCTCACATTCTGGCAGTGCTGTCTTCTCTTGCCCTACCCCCAGATAATCAGTTCCTTGATTTGGCCCCTAGCTGCTCCCCTGCTCTGTGAGGCATTTTCCATACCCCACCTCTCCAAGTGCTTCCTGGTCTAAAGTTGTCTCCTTCCTCTCCCCTTCCAGCTCTCCCTCAGTACCAAAACTCACTCCTTCAGGATAGAGACATTCTGTTTAAATAGACTGAGATGGTGACAAAACTCCCCAACCTTTCTAGGCCATTTGCCTATAAAAGAAGGAACTTAATAACATTAAAGTGAATCTTAGTGAATTCAAGGCCATAGACTTGTGGAAAATTAAGATTTTACTTGTATTTTAAAGTATCTGTTAGTCACTTAATAATTTTGCTTGTTTAGTAATTTTTAAAGATTTTTTTTCTTTCATTTAGATTTTTTAGACTACAGTTGCAAAGAGTATAGAATATTGTACCTTTAACAGAATGTCCGTTTATTCATTCAAACAATGGTTATCTATTGGAAGTCTTCTAAATAAGCAACTTTTATAAAAAGTCTTTTTAATCTTTTTATATGAAAAATACTTAAATATACTGAAAAGAGGGAATAGTATAATGACCCCTCTGCCCCAGCTAACAATCACCTAAATTTAACAATTGTTGCATTTTGCCATATTTGTTTCATTTACTTTTATTTTTTATTTTTTTTTGGCTGGAGTGTAGTGGTATGATCTCGGCTCACTGCAGCCTCCACCTCCCAGATTCAAGCGATTCTCCTGCCTTATCCTCCTGAGTAGCTGGGATTACAGGTGCCTGGCACCACACCTGGCTGATTTTTTTTTTTTTTTTTTTTTGAGACAGAGTTTTGCTCTTATTACCCAGGCTGGAGTGCAATGGTGTGATCTCGGCTCACCACAACCTCCGCCTCCCGGGTTCAAACGATTCTCCTGCCTCAGCCTCCCGAGTAGCTGGGATTATAGGCATGCGCCACCACGCCTGGCTAATTTTGTATTTTTTAAGTAGAGACGGGGTTTCTCCATGTTGTTCAGGCTGGTCTCGATCTCCCGACCTCAGGTGTTCCTCCCACCTCGGCCTCCCAAAGTGTTGGGATTACAGGTAAGAGCCACTGTGCCTGGCTTAATTTTTGTATTTTTAATAGAGACGGGGTTTCACCATGTTAGGCTGGTCTCAAACTCCTGATCTCAAGTGATCCACCCGCCTCGGCCTCCCAAAGTGCTGGGATTACAGGTGTGAGCCCACTACGCCTGGCCTCATTTATTTTTTTCTTATTGAAAACGTATTTCAAAGTAGAGCATGTTGTTTCATCCTTCAGTATGCATCTCTAAAAAATAAGGATATTTTCTTTTTTAAACATTTAAAAATCTTTTTATTATTTATTTATTTATTTATTTTTGAGATGGAGTTTCGCTCTTTTTGCCCAGGCTGGAGTGCAATGGCACAATCTTGGCTCACCGCAACCTCCGCCTCCCAGGTTCAAGTGATTCTCCTGCCTCAGCCTCCCAAGTAGCTGGAATTACAGGTGTGCACCACTACACCCAGCTAATTTTGTATTTTTAGTAGAGATGGGGTTTCACCATGTTGGCCAGGCTTAGTCTCAAACTCCTGACCTCAGGTGATTCACCCGGCTCAGCCTCCCAAAGGGCTAGGATTACAGGTGTGAGCCACTGTGCCTGGCCTATTTATTTATTTACTTATTTATTTATTTATTTTGAGACAGAGTCTTGTTCTGTTGCCCAGGCTGGAGTGCAGTGTTATGATCTTGGCTCACTGCAACCTCTGCCCCCGGGACTCAAGTGATCCTCCTGCCTCAGCCTCCTGAGTAGCTGGGATTATAGGCACGTACCACCATGTGCTGCTAAAGAATATTTTTATTTTATTTTATTTATTTATTTAGAGACGGAATTTTGCTCTTTTTGCCCATGCTGGAGTGCAATGGCACGATCTCAGCTCACTGCAACCTCCACCTCCTGGGTTCATGTGATTCTCCTGCTTCAGCCTCCTGAGTAAATGGGACTACAGGCATGCGCCACCATACTTAGCTCATTTTTGTATTTTTAGTAGAGACGGGGTTTCACCATGTTGGGCAGGCTGGTCTCGAACTCCTGACCTCAGGTGATCTACCCGCCTTGGCCTCCTAAAGTGCTAGGATTACAGGCATGAGCCACCGTGTCTGGCCAAGAATATTTTTAATACCATTAGTTCTTCCAGTAAGATTAACAAAAATTGCTAAATACTGTCTCATTCCAGTTCATCCTTATTCGGAGTTCCCCAATTGTTCCTTAAGTCATTCTGCATTTGGTTTGTATGTCTTTTTATATATGTGTGTGTATTTTACTTAGTTTTATATCCTACTTTTTAATAAACTTTTTGTTTTGGAATGACTTTACATTTACAGGAAAGTTGCAAAGAGAGTTTCCTCGAGCATTGCCATCTTTCTTTGGTACATTTTTTGGTGCTGTAATCCCAGCACTTTGGGAGGCCAAGGCAGGAGGGTGCCTTGAGCGTAGGAGTTCAAGACCAGCCTGGGCAACACTGGGAGCTGCTGTCTCTATTACAAAACAAACAAAGCAAAAACTAAGAGATTAATATTGGTATGTTACTATTAACTCTCTTCAGACTTTATTTGGATTTTGCCAGTTTCTCCACTAATGTCTTACTTCGTTTCCAGGATCCAATCTAGGATCCACATTGCATTTAGTATATCCTGCTTTTTAGATTAACAGTATGTCACAACTTACACAAATAAATAGCCTTTATGGAGACTGGAGTTATGACAACTAAATGCATCGCACGGTCCTCGATTGGGATTCTGATCAGGGAAAAAAATGTTATAAAGAACATTATTTGGGCTGGGCGTGGTGGCTCACACCTGTAATCCTAGCATTTTGGGAGACCATGGTGTGCAGATTGTCTGAGCTCCGGAGTTTGAGACTAGCCTGGGCAACTTGGCAAAACCCGTCTCTACTAAAAAATACAAAAAGTTAGCCTGGCGTGGTGACACACGCCTGTAGTCCCAGCTACTCAGGAGGCTGAGGCAGGAGAATCGCTTGAACCTGGGAGGCGGAGATTGCAGTGAGCCAAGATCACGCTAGTGCACTCCAGCCTGGGCAACAGAGTGAGACTCTGTCTCAAAAAACAACAATAACAACAACAACAACAACAAAACATTATTTGGACTATTGGTAACATTTGATTTATGGAAAGTAGATAATAGTGTTGTATCAATATTTCTGATTTTGATAATTGTCCTGAAATTATATAGGAGAATGCCCTTGTTTTTAAGAAATATATACTAAAATATTTGGAAGTAAAAGAGTATGATATCTGTGACTTTTTCTCAGAAGGCTTAAAAAAAATGTAGTCATATGTGTGTTGAGAGAGAGTGTATATGAGTGTCTGAATGTGAATGATAAACAAATGGGGTGCAGTGTTAACATTTGATGAATTTGGGCAAAGAGTATATGGGAATTCTTTTAATATTGCAGTTTGTCTGTAAATTATGTCAAAGTTACAAAACAAGTCTTTTTTAGCAACCATTATTTGTGAAACTTTATAATATAACATTTCTATTTTTTGAGATGGAGTCTCGCTCTGTTGCCCAGGCTGGAGTGCAGTGGCATGGTCTCGGCTCACTGCAGCCTCTGCCTCCTGGGTTCAAGCGATTCTCCTGCCTCACCCTCCTTAGTAGCTGGGATTAGGTGCCTGCCACCACGCCCAGCTAATTTTTTGTATTTTTAGTAGAGAAGGGATTTCACCATGTTAGCCAGGCTGGTCTGAACTCCTGACCGTGTGATCCGCCCACCTTGGCCTCCCAAAGTACTGGGATTTCAGGAGGGAGCCACTGCACCTGGCCTATAATATAAATTTTCAAACAGACAAATAGAAAGACTAGTATAATAGAAAAACGTGATTGTTAACATTTTGTCATACACCTATCTCCATGCACCCATAAATGTATTTTTTCTGAACCATTTGAAGTAATTTGTAGACCTCAGGACACTTGCCCCTAGATACTTCAGTATGTATCTTCTATGAGTAACAATTTTTCTCTTCATAACCATGATATCATTATCATATGTATGAAAATCAATAGTTATTTAAGCCAGACACTTTGGGAGGCTGAGGTGGGAGGATTGCTTGAGTTTAGGAGTTTAAAACCAGTCTGTGCAACATGGTGAAATCCCATCTCTACAAAAGTAAAAAAAGGTAGTCCCAGCTACTTGGGAGGCTGAGGCAGGAGGACTGCTTAAGCCTGGGAGGTTGAGGCTACAGTGAGCTATGATCGTGCTGCTGCACTCCAGCCTGGGCAACAGAGGGAGACCCTGTCTCAAGAAGAAGAAGAAAAAAATCTAAAACAGCTCTTTTATTTTTTGTTGTTGTTGTTTTCTTTAAATGATGCATTAACTTTTTGAAGAGATCAGACATGAGTCTCCTTTGTCTGATTTTTTCCTCATGTTGTCATTTAATATATCTCTGTGAATTCTAGTAACTGGAAGTTAGGTGTAAAAGCTTGATTAGTTCAGGTTAAATATTTCTGGTGAGAATACTTTATATAGTCATGGTGTATAACATTCAAATGACAGATCTATCATAAATTAACCATTATTGTGGATTATTGAGTTTGTTTCCAGTTTTGATTCTAAATAATGTTTTGAAGATTAATTTTTATATAAGGCTTTATTAGGTTTAGCTCTTTAGGTAAGATGTCTAAGCTTGAAATTATTCGGTTATAGACACAACACACTTATAGGTGACTCTTGGTAGGTTCGATTTTTCTTTTGTTTAAAACAAAAGATATGTTAATTTCAGCTAATTTTTAATTAGTGTTTTTTTATGAAGCTACCCAAAAGTTTTAAAATTCCAATATATTTTCCCATGTTTAGGGGCTGAAAGAAGTGACACTTCTTGGTCAGAATGTTAATAGTTTTCGGGACAATTCGGAGGTCCAGTTCAACAGTGCAGTGCCTACCAATCTCAGTCGTGGCTTTACCACCAACTATAAAACCAAGCAAGGAGGACTTCGTTTTGCTCATCTTCTGGATCAGGTCTCCAGAGTAGATCCTGAAATGAGGATCCGTTTTACCTCTCCCCACCCCAAGGATTTTCCTGATGAGGTGAGCGTCAGGTTAGCTGTGACAAACTGATATTAGTATTCTTGAGCATGCCAAAGGCTGGACCCAGTAGGGATGCAGCAGAGACCTGGAGTCCTGCTTAGGGATCCTGTGGGGTATTGCTGCATCACCCTCCAGATCTGCTGGTCCTTTGAAGATTTGAAGTCCACCAGTGGCTGGGCACGGGGCTTACACCAATAATCTCAACACTTGGAGACGCTGAGGCAGGTGGATTACTTGAGCTCAGGAGTTGGAAACCAGCCTGGGCAACATGGCGAAACCCCGTCTCTACTGCAAATACAAAAAATTAGCTGGGTGGGGTGGGATACGACTGTAGTTCTGGCTACTTGGGAGACTGAGGTGGCATACGACTGTAGTTCCAGCTACTTGGGAGACTGAGGTGGGAGAATCACATGAGCCCAGGAAGTCGAGGCTGCAGTGAGCCGAGATCGCACCACTGCACTCCATCCTGGGTGAGATAGCGAGACCCTGTCTCGAAAAAAAAGTCTGCCAAGGTGGGAGTGGAGGTAGGACTGATATTCAGCGGGAGGTTAAGACCACCTGCGGGACCGTGAGGGCTGTACAGAGAGGATTTGTTACAAAGTGGGCAGCTGAGTGGTAATAATGGTGGTGGGGCGGTAATGGTGGTGTGGGGTGGACAGGAAGGAGGTGATGTGGTGCTCTGGGAAACAGCCCAGACTTTCGCCTCAGACCCGGGTTCAAATCTCAGCTTTTCCACTGTTTTACCAGCGAGCATGTGATGTTTTCAACTTTTCATCTTTATCTGTAAAATGGGGTTAATAAGGGGTTAACAATTACCTCCTGCTTTGGGTTGTTGTGAAATAGATACAAAGGCATACCTTGTTTTATTGCACTCTGCAGATATTATGGAGTTATTTTTAACAAATGGAAGGTTTGTGGCAACTCTGAATAAGTCTGTCAGCACCATTTTTCCAACAGCATGTGCTTACTTCATGTCTCTGTGTCATATTTTGGTAATTTTCACAATATTTCAAACTTCATTATTATTACATCTGTTATGGTGATCTGTGATCAGTGCTATTTAATGTTATTCTTAAAATTGTTTCGGAACACCATGAGCCACACCCACATAAGAAAGTGACCTAAATTGGTAAATGATGTGTGTGTTCTGACTGTTCCACAGACGGCCATTCCCCCATCTCTCTCCCTTTCCTCAGGCCTCCCTATTCTCTGAGACACAACAATATTGAAATTGGGCCATTTAATCACCCTACAATGGCCTCTAAAGTGCTCAAGTGAAGGGAAGGGTCGCAGGGCTCTCACTTGAAATCAAAAGCCAGAAATGTTTAAGCTTACTGAGGAAATCATGTTGAAAGCCGAGCTAGGCTGAAAGCTAGGCCTCTTATGTCAACCAGCCAAGTTGTAAATGCAAAGGAAAAGTTCATGAAGGAAATTAAAAGTACTACTCCACTGAACACATGAATGATAAGAAAACAACACAACCTCTTTGGCCGGGTGTGATGGCTCACAGGCTGGGCGCAGTGACTCACACCTTTAATCCCAGCATTTTGGGAGGCCAAGGTGGGTGGATCACCTGAGGTCAGGAGTTCTAGATCAGCCTGGCCAACATGGCAAAACTCTGTCTCTACTAAAAATAGAAAAATTAGCTGGGTTTGGTTGTGCAGACCTGTAATCCTAGCTGCTTGGGAGGCTGAGGCAGGAGAATTGCTTGAACCCGGGAGGCAGAGGTTGCAGTGAGCTGAGATTGTGCCACTGCATTCCAGCCTGGGCAATAGAGTGAGACTCCATCTCAAAAAGAAAAACAAGAAAACCCAAAAAAACCACTAACAACAAAACCCAGCCTTTTTGCTGATATGGAGAAAGCTTTAGTGATCTGGAGAGAAGATCAAAGAAGCCGCAGCACTTCCTTAAGCCAAAGCCTAATCCAGAGCAAGGCCCCTCTTCAGTTCTCTGAAGCCCAAGAGAGGTGAGGAAGCTGAAGAAGAAAAGTTTGAAGCTAGCAGAGGTTGACTTACAAGGTTTGAGGAAAGAAGCCATCTCTCTAACATCAAAGTGCAAGGGGAAGCCATAGTGCTGATGTAGAAGCTGTGCAAGTTATCCAGAAGATCTAGCTAAGATCAATGCTGAAGGTGGTTCTACTAAACAACAGATTTGCAGTGTAAATGAACAGTCTTCTGTTGGAAGAAGATGTCATCTGGGACTTTCATAGCTAGAGAAGAGAAATCAGTGCCATTCTTCAAAGCTTCAAAGGACAGGCTGACTCTGTCTCTTGTTTCCTTTTAAAAAAATTAGAGGTGGGGTCTTGCCGTATTGCCCAGGCTGGTCTTGAACACCTGACCTCAAGCAGTTCTCCCACCTAGGCCTCTCAAAGTGCTGGGATCACAGGCGGGAGCTACTGTGCCCAGCCAGACTCTCTTGTTAGGGGCCAAGGCAGCTGGTGACTTTAAGTTGAAGCCAGTGTTGATTTGCCATTCTGAAAATCCTAGGGCCCTTAAGAATGATGCTAAAGAGGATGTTACTTCCTCCACTGAAGTCGTGAGCCCCTCAAAATCATCCATGAATGTTGAAATCAGTATCTTCCAAACTCCTATTAATGTTGACATTTCGACCTCTTCCCATGAATCATTAATGTTCTTAATGGTATCTAGAATGATGAATTCTTTCCGGAATGTTTTCAGTTTACTCTGCCCAGATCCATCACAAAAGTCACTATCTACGACAGCTATAGCTTTATGAAATATATTTCTTAAATAATAAGAATTGATCTTATATAAACTAAAAATTAAAATAATAGGGCTTGAAAGTTGAAATTACTCCTTGATCCATGGGCTGCAAAATGGATATTGTGTTAGCAGGCATAAAAACGACACTAATAATCTCCTTGTACATCTCTTTCAGAGCTCTGGGATGACCAGGTGCGTTGTCAATGAGCAGTCATATTTAGAAAGGAATCTTTTTTCCTAAGCAGTAGGTCTCAACAGTGAGCTTAAAATATTCAGTGGTGGCTCATCCCTGTAATCCCAACACTTTGGGAGGTTGAGGCAGGAGAATCACTTGAGCCTACAAGTTGGACACCAGCCCAGGCAGCATAACAACTTTATAGTTTTTATTTTTTATTTTTATTTTTATTTTTTTTCGAGACTGAGTCTTGCTCTGTCACCCAGGCTGGAGTGCGGTGGTGCGATCTCAGCTCACTGCAACCTCTGCCTCCCAGGTTCAAGCAGTTCTCCTGCCTTGCCTCCCAAGTAGCTGGGACTACAGGCATGCACCACCATGCCTGGCTAATTTTTGTATTCTTAGCAGAGACTTAGTAGAGATGTTGGCCAGGCTGGTCTCGAACTCTTGACTTCATGATCCACCCATCTTGGCCTCCTAAAGTGCTGGGATTACAGGCGTGAGCCACTGTGCCCGGCCCTATAATTTTTAAATAAAAAAATTAGCTGGGCATGGTGGCACATGCCTGTAGTCGTAGTTACTTGGGACGCTGGAACAGGAGGATCGCTTGGCCTAGCAGTTCAAGGTTGGGGTGAGCTACAGTTTCATTGCACTCTAGCGAGGGTGATAGAGTGAAACCCTATCTCGATATATTTAAAAAATATAAATATAATGAAATTAAGGTATGTACATTGCTTTCACTTAATAGACTGCAGTATAGAGTAAATATAACTTTTATTTGCACTGGGAAACCAAAAAATTTGTGTCACTCACTTTATTGCAATATTCTCTTCATTGTGGTGATCTGGAACCAAACCTGTGATATCTCTGAGGTATGCCTATATTGTGTCAAAGGTACTTAGCACAGTGCCTGGCATGGAGTAGGTAGCCCACATCTGAAACCTTTTTTTGGAGGTTTTTTGTTTCAGTGAAAAGTCTTTCTTTTGGCCCCGACTTTCATCTTTTTTCCTCTGGATTGTCTTCTTATTGAGTTGTAAAAGTTCTTTACATATCCTTTATTTTTTTGACCACTGCAAAGGAGCCTTTCTTGCAATGGAGGAGAGAGACTGGAATGTGTTCTCTTTATGTTTTCTTTTCTTTTCTTTTTCTTTTTTTTTTTTTTTTGAGATGGAGTCTCGCTCTGTCACCCAGGCTAGAGCGCAGTGGTGTGATCTGGCCTCACTGCAACCTCTGCCTCCCGGGTTCAAGTGATTCTCCTGCCTCAACCTCCTGAGTAGCTGGGATTACAGGTGCACACCACCATGTCCAGCTAATTTTTGTATTTTTAGTAGAGACGGGGTTTTACCATGTTGGCCAAGCTGGTCTCGAACTGCTGACCTCAAATGATTTGCCCACCTCAGCCTCCCAAAGTGCTGGGATTACAAGCATGAGCCACTGCGCCCAGCCTCTTTATGTATTCTTGGTTCAAATCCTTTGTCAATATGTTTTCAAATATTTTCCCCTAGTATCAGTTTTTTGATGGTATCTTTTTTTTTCTTTTTTCTTCTTTTAAAAATTAAAAAAAATAGACCCAAGGTCTCACTATGTTGTCCAGGCTGGTCTTGAAGTCTTGGCCTCAAGCAATCCTCCTGCCTTGGCCTCCCAAAGTGCTGGGATTACAGAGGTGAGCCATGACACCTGACCTGATGGTATCTTTAAAAATGACTAGTTTGGGCTGGGCGTGGTGGCTCACGCCTGTAATCCCAGCACTTTGGGAGGCTGAGGCAGGCGGATCACTTGAGGTCAGTATTTCTAGTCCAGCCTGGGCAACATCATCTCTACTAAAAATACAAAAGTTAGCCAGGTGTGGTGGTTTGTGCCTGTAATCCCTGCTACTGGGGAGGCTGAGGCAGGAGAATCGCTTGAACCCAGGAGACAGAGGTTGCAGTGAGTGGAGATGGCACCACTGTACTCCAGCCTGGGCAATGGAGTGATACTCTGTCTCAAAAAAAAAAAAAATAGAAAGTGACTGCTTTGTAAGCTAGCTGAAAGAAGTGCCATTTTTTTCCTGCTTTGCCTGCTGACCCTAGTGTCAGCACTACCTGTATTCAGCTCCCATGGCTTTAATCTGACCTCTGCTTACTTTCTTCTCTCTACTCTTTGAAAGCAGAGATGCCATCAGGTGAAGTGTCTGAGACAAATAGAATGGGGCTTGAACAAAAGTTAGGGAATAGGTGATTTTGTGTGTCTGGTTTAATTAGCCTCTTAATTATGTGAAAATTGACCTTGGAGGATACATAGTAAGAGCGGTATTGCTTTCTGTAAGGTTCTTTGGTGAGATTGTGATTACCTATAATGTGTTCTGTTTCATCAGGTTCTGCAGCTGATTCATGAGAGAGATAACATCTGTAAACAGATCCACCTGCCAGCCCAGAGTGGAAGCAGCCGTGTGTTGGAGGCCATGCGGAGGGGGTCAGGCTTGCTTGGAGAGGGGGCATCCCTCACTTTTCCATGTTTCCTTAATGACCAAACAGTGTCCTTGTTGCCAAGAACCTAGCATAGTGTGTGGCACAAAGTAGCTGCTCAGTAAATATTTATTGTATGACTAAGCCACTGGGCACTGGAGTTTGCTTCTGCTCACTTCATAAGCAAAGGCTAAGGACTGGTCACCCATTTTCACTGTTTAGTTTAAAAAGCATAAATATTTACTGAGCAGCCACTGTGTGACAGTAAGTATTTATTGTATGACTAAGCCACAGGGCACTGGAGCTTGCTTCGCTAACTCCATAACATAGGCTAAGGACTGGGTCATCCATTTTCACTGTTTAGTATGTTTTTTTTTAATTAAGCACCTATGGTGTGGCACACTCTGAGATTTTAATTTTTTAATGTTAACATTAAGGTTTTGTTACATCTTGGAATTTAAATGTCGCTCTATGTGTTCACTTTCTTTGAGAATAATAAGTATTACACAGATGAGACTGAAGGGAGAATCTGTCCCAAGGCAAGCTGTATGGAATTAGTGCTTTGTCTTGTTTTCCACAGGGCATAGTATTTTAGAGGTCCTCTAAAATGTTTAATCTGTCTAGATTTATTAGTTAAATAAAAAAAGCTATTTAGAATAGTTTATGCTGGCCAGGCACTGTGGCTTCTGCCTGTAATCCAAGCACTTTGGGAGACTGTGGTGGGCAGATTGCCTGAGCTCAGTAGTTTGAGAATAGACCAGCTTGTGCAACATGGGGAAACCCAGTCTTTACACACACACACACCTGGGCAACATGGCGAAACCCAGTCTCTACACACACAAACACACACCTGGGCAACATGGTGAAACCCAGTCCCTACACACACACACACACACACATGCACACACCTGGGCAACATGGTGAAACCCAGTCCCTACACACACAGACACACACACACACACACACACACACGGGCAACATGGCGAAACCCAGTCTCTACACACATACACACACACATACAGACACACAGACACACACACACACTAGCTGGGTGTGGTGGCGCACATCTGTGGTCCCAGCTACTCAAGAGGCTGAGGTGGAAGGATCACTTGAGCCCAGGAATTTGAGTTGCAGTGAACCGAGATTGTGCCATTGCACTCCAGCCTGAGAGACAGAGCGAGACTCTGTCTCAAAAAAAAAAAAAAAAAGTTTATGTCCTTAAATAAAAATTCATAGGCTCTAGATTAGATTAGAAGATACAGCTTAGATCAAAAGGGCTCTTTTGGATACTTTAATTTACTCGTGTGCCCTGCCATGTGGATGAGAAGTGATTACATGTGGAAATTCATAGTGTTATCTTTTTATAGCATTCATTTAAAAAGGTTGGATTTATGTAGGCCTTTTCCTTTTGTTCTTTATTGCAGATATTCAAGAGAAGCTTATGTGGAGTTAGTTCACCATATTAGAGAATCTATTCCAGGTACATTTAAGAAACTCATTCTGCTGAGCATGTTACTCTACCAGTGACCAGCCTTGTGGTTAGATACAGTCAACACCTTTGGCATTTCCTTGTGACACAGTTTCATAACTTTTGTGCTCTTCTTCTTTCTCTTTCTCTCTCCTCGTATTCTTTCTTTTATGTCTTTCTGATTTTTTGTTGTCTTAGTCCTGCTGGAAGTACTTAGGTGTGGATCACCTTGTGGCCTCAAGGCTATAGAGATTCCTTTTCTATGGTCTTTGTATCTGGACATAGAGGAAAGACCTTATCTTATCTTGTAAGGTGACAAAGTTATGTCTAAATTAGTTCTGATTTGAGAACAATTGATATCTTTTTTTTTTTTTTTTAGAAATAAGAACTTACTATTCTTATTTATTCATCTTCATTTTCTATATTTTATACCACATTTGACTTTCTTTTTGAGGCCGATTTTACAGATACATTTTAAAATCACTTTTGAGTTAGAATACTTTAAGCATAATATGGAGAGAATAACACTTAGATTATGCCTTTGGGGAACTTCCAGGTTAGGTGGGAAAAGAAAGCAGTTACAGTGTTGTTTATTTTCAGATATGCTTCAGAGAAGTCTTGATGAAATGAGGAAATGTAGGTATAAAGATGATTGTACAGATCAGCAGTAAAATGTGTACTTTTTCTAACTAGCTTTATGGCAACTTATTACTGTAAATTTTAGAGATAATTCCTTTCGTATTATCTTATTCCATATTCCCCTTCACTGTCCCCTTCCTCCTAATAAAATACTCTGTAGTCATTTAGTTTAGATTTGGTTGAGGGTGTATACATTTTTCCTCAAATTTCTAATTATTACAACTTTTTTTTTGAGACAGAATCTTGCTCTATTGCCCAGGATAGAGTGCAGTGGCGCAATCTCGGCTCACTGCAGCTTCTGCCTGCCAGGTTCAAGCGATTCTTGTGCCTCAGCCTCCCAAGTAGCCAGGACTACAGGCCACCATGCCCAGCTAATTTTTGTATTTTTTGGTAGAGATAGGGTTTCACCATGTTGTCCAGGCTGGTCCCGAACTCCTGACCTCAAGTGATCTGCCCGCCTCAGCCTGCCAAAGTGGTGGGATTACAGGCATGAGCCACTGCACCTGGCCTAATTATTTTAACTTTTATGGACAAATACTTTCGTTTTGATAGGGCAGGGTAATGCAGAGGCTAGGTATGTGGCTATGGGTCAAGCTCCACTGTTACAGGCTGTGTGATAGCAGATAAGAGACTTCATTTCTGTGGGATGCAGCTTTCTCATCTGTAAAATGGAGTTAATAGTACTCACCTCACTGGGTCACTGGAATAATTTTTTTGGTGGGGGATAGGTTATCATTCTGTCGCCCAGGCTGGAATGCAGTGGCATGAACACAGTTCACTGCAGCCTTGACCTCCCTGGGCTCAGGTGATCCTCCCACCTCAGCCTCCTGAGTAGCTGGGACTACACTTGAATACCACCCTGCCTGGTCAATTTTTGTATTTTTTGTAGAGATGGGATTTTGCCTATTGGCCAGGCTGGTCTCGAACTCCTGACCTCAAGTGATCCGCCCACCTTGGCCTCTCAAAGTGCTGGGATTACAGGGGTGAGCTACCGCATGCAACGGCTGCTACTGTCTTAGATGACCATTGTATCAAACCAAATTCAGAAATATATTTTTGTATGAAGCACCACAAGGTTTTCACTGGTAAGAGGACTGATATGAAAATGTGGACTCCCTACTGTGTCCCTAAATGCAGCATTGGAAGTGGAAATACCTTTTCTAGTGCTTAGGGGAAATGTAGGCCAAGAAGCTGATCTCTGTCATGGAATGCTGTGGGTGAACAGGCCTATCCCGCCTTACTCTGTACTATTTTGTTTTACTTATGAATAGTCCTAGGGAGGACCTTACAGTTGCTATCCCTCCCTTGTAATCCACATATGCTGAAGGCCTCCCTTGAAGGTAAACAGCAGGCAGTCACCTGTCATCCTTTGCTGTGTATCACAGGTGTGAGCCTCAGCAGCGATTTCATTGCTGGCTTTTGTGGTGAGACGGAGGAAGATCACGTCCAGACAGTCTCTTTGCTCCGGGAAGTTCAGTACAACATGGGCTTCCTCTTTGCCTACAGCATGAGACAGGTGAGCCCTGGGGTTGGGGAGGACTGACATCATTCCTGACCAGTTTGGGGGTGGTGACTGTAGAGAACAGGGCAGAAAAGAGAGTGGCGGCAAGGCAGTCCTTGAGAAACCACAGGCTCTTACGATTCACTTCCGTTCATTTTTCTAGTACACTCTGTCTACTCTGAAACGGTTCAGCAATTTGATGATACATGATTACTGTGCCAGTATTCCTCATTAAAATATTTTAAAATTATGTTTAGATTGTTTGCAATTTGAATATGGAAGGAGAAAACCTTTTCTTTACGAGAAACCTAAAATTGTTTCTTAACATGCAGAACTCCTTTTTGGTCTGCAGATGTGATTTATTTTACCGGGGCCCCTGGTCATCTTCCCAGCCATCCTCAGTGATTCCTAACTTCTGTTTTCCTAGGCAAGTGAACTCACTTGGAGGCTTCCCAGGAAACAAAGCAGATTCCCAGGCAAAGCAGAAGGAGATTAGGAAAGAAGGAGAGATTAGTGCACTTTTCCTGAAGAGAAGGATAGTCCTGGTTGGCTGTCATTTTCTTGATTGTAGGCATGGATTTGCACGGTTCACTCCTCATTCCCTCAGTCACCTTTGTGGCAATGTGCTTGTGTTTGGGCAGGAGGTTGAAGGCCCCCTGTGGCCAGGGGGCTCAGAAAAGCTGGCTGACAAACGACTGAACCCATGACTTTATTGTCATTGTTACTGAGCTGCCATCAACCAAACTAATTTTTTTGTTTTTTTAAGAGGCAGTATCTTTCTATGCTGTCCAGGTTGGTCTCAAACTCCTGGCTCAGGCAGTCCTTTCACCACGCTCTCTCAAAGTGCTGAGATGACAGGCGTGAGTCATGACACCTCAACTAATTCATTTTAAAGCCACTGCGTAGTGTTCTGTGGGCAGCGTAACTGTGCCAATGTATGTATCATATTCATGTATCTTTTAGTGTTTTGGAGAGATGAAGCTTCAGAGGAGCTGTTAGTTTCTGTTTTGCTTCTTTTTTTTTTTGAGGCGGAGTCTCAGTCTCGCTCTGTTGCCCAGGCTGGAGTGCAGTTGCGCAATCTCGACTCACTGCAAGCTCTGCCTCCCGGGTTCATGCCATTCTCCTGCCTCAGCCTCCCGAGTAGCTGGGACTACAGGCACCCGCCACCATGCCCGGCTAATTTTTTGTATTTTTAGTAGAGACGGGGTTTCACCGCATTAGCCAGGATGGTCTCAATCTCCTGACCTCGTGATCTGCCCGCCTCGGCCTCCCAAAGTGCTGGGATTACAGGTGTGAGCCACTGTGCCTGGCCCCTTCTATTTTGCTTCTTTTCCATGGACATCACAAATATGCCAGAGAAATTCTTTTTTTTTTTGAGACAGAGTCTCGCTCTGTCACCAGGCTGGAGGGCAGTGGCATGATCTTGGCTCACAGCAACCTCCACCTTCCAGGTTCAAGCAATCCTCCTGCCTCAGCCTCCCGAGTAGCTGGGATTACTGGTGCGTGCCACCACACCTGGCTAATTTTTGTATTTTTTAGTAGAGACAGGGTTTTACCATGTTGGCCAGGATGGTCTTGATCTCTCGACCTTGTGATCCACCCACCTCAGCCTCCCAAGAGAAATTCTTTTTTTTTATTTTTTGAGACGGAGTCTCGCTCTTGTTGCCCAGGCTGAAGTGCAATGGCACGATCTCAGCTCACCACAACCTCCACCTTCCGGGTTCAAGTTTTTCTCCTGCCTCAGCCTCCCGAGTAGCTGGGATTATAGGCATGTGCCACCACGCCTGGCTAATTTTGTATTTTTAGTAGAGATGGGGTTTCTCCATGTTGGTCAGGTGGGTCTCAAACTCCTGACCTCAGGTGATCCACCACCTTGGCCTCCCAAAGTGCTGGGATTACAGGCATGAGCCACTGTGCCCGGCCTGAGAAATTCTTTTTAATACTAGGATTGGTAGAGGTGGGAGGACCACTTAAGCCCAGGAGTTTGAGACCAACCTGGGTAACATAGGGAGACCCTTCTCTACCAAAAAAAAAAAAAAAAAAAAAAAAAAAAATTAGCCGAGAGTGGTGGCACATGCCTGTGATCCCAGCTATTTGGGAGGCTGAAGTCGGAGGATCACTTGAGCCTGGGAGGTTGAAACTGTGGTGATCCAAGATTGTGCCACTGCACTCCGGTTTGGCAACAGAATGAGACCCTGTCTCAAAAAAGAAAAAAAAATCCTAGGGATGGGAAATGGGTTTTCAGCTTGTGGCAGAAGCATCTTATGGTCAGTGAATATGAATGTTCACTTTGGGACCTAATTCCTAAGGGTTAAGGTTATAGGAACTTAATCAAGAACCTAGTGGATGAGAGCAAGCACTCAAATTGTGCCTCTGCTGCTTAATAACTACGTGACATTGGGCAAATGTCTTGGTTTCCAACATTGGTACCAACCTCATAGGGTTGTTCTGGGGATTAAGTAAGATAATATGTTTAAAGCAGTTATAATTGTGTTTCATGCATAGTAAATGCACAACAGAGGTAAGTTATTGTTGTTAGTAGTAAGACAGAATGGAGTAAACTCTGCAATATTTTTAGGATTCTCCGTTTTCCTCCGTGGATACTTCTCTTCAAGGTAGATTGGTTTGAATGTCCAAACTTTGGTATATAGATATTCCTTTTATTCCATATTTTTGTCTAGCTCAGTGGTTCTCCAGCTGTACTGAGCATGAGCTCATGTCATAAAGATATAATACACACTGTGGTTTTGGATGATTTAAAGGTGTTTTAAGGATAAATTCCCTTTTTTCTTTTGGACTAGGTAATACATGCTTGAATAAAATTCAAAAGGTTAAGTGCTGTACATGAGTGGTTCTTCCTTCTTCCCAGGTTGCCTAGTTTTTTTAGTTCCTTCCCTGAAGGCAACCACTTAGCAATTTCTTTTGTAACTTTCTGGGCATATTTCGTGTGTTTATAAGCATGCCTGTATGTATTCTGTCTACACTAAAGTTACATGTGTTGATCTGCACTTTGCTTATTTCAAGTAACAGTAGATTTTGGAGAACAATCCACATTAGTACATATAGAACTATCATTCTGTTTAACAGCCGCACAATATTCCATTGTATAGATAAACCATAATTTCTGTGACTACTTGCCTATTGAAATATTTAGGCTGCATTGCATCTTATGTCTTCATAAATAGTACTGCTGAGTAACCTAGTATATGTGAGTCATTTGGTATATGTACAAGTGTAACGTTAGGATAAATATCAAGAGTAATTTTGAGTCTATGATTTTCATGTGCTAAATTTAGAATTTAACCCTTGCAAAAATATGACTCCACTACCTTTTTATCTTGGAATGCTCCCAGAGCCAGAGAAACCTCTTGCCTCTGGCTTGGGTTTCTGTACATGTGTCTGTTACTTGTAGGTAGAATGAACATGGTCGCCCTCTGTGCATTAAGAATAGATTCTACAAGTCCTTGGTGACCTCCATCTTCTCTCTTTTTTTTTTTTTTAATAGAAGACACGGGCATATCATAGGCTGAAGGATGATGTCCCGGAAGAGGTAAAATTAAGGCGTTTGGAGGAACTCATCACTATCTTCCGAGAAGAAGCAACAAAAGCCAATCAGACCTCTGTGGGCTGTACCCAGTTGGTGCTAGTGGAAGGGGTGAGGCCATATGTGTGTGTGTTATGTTGTTTTTTATGTTTCAGAACATTAGATCTTTGATTTTTTTCCTCATTATGTTGCCTAGGCTGGACTCAAACTGCTGGGCTCAAGTGATTCTCCTGCCTCAGCCTCCCAAGTAGGTGGGACTACAGGCTGATGTTTTAAATCAAAGTTTTTGTAGTTTTCAGTATACAGATTTTGTCCATGTTTTGTTAGATTTACACCTAAGTATTTCTTTTCTTTTTTTGAGACGGAGTCTCGCTCTTTTGACCAGGCTGGAGTGCAGTGGCACAGTCTCGGCCCACTGCAACCTCTGCTTCCCAGGTTCAAGCGATTCTCTTGCCTCTGCCTCCCGAGTAGCTGGGATTACAGGTGTGTGTCACCATGCCTGGCTAATTTTTGTATTTTTTTTAGTAGAGACGGGGTTTCATCATGTTGGCCAGGCTGGTCTCAAAGTTATCCACCCACCTCAGCCTCCCAAAGTGCTAGGATTACGGGCATGAGCCACCGTGCCCGGCCTTTTTTTTTTTTTTTTTTTTTGAGATGGAGTCTCACTCTTTCACTTAGGCTGGAGTGCAGTGGCATGATCTTGGCTTACTGCAACCTCTGTCTCCCAGGCTCAAGCAATTCTCCTGCCTCAGCCTCCAGAGTAGCTGGGATTGCAGGCACCCACTACCACACCCAGCTAATTTTTGTATTTTTAGTAGAGACAGGATTTCACCATGTTGTCCAGGCTGGTCTCAAACTCCTGACCTCAGGTGTTCCACCCACCTTGGCCTCCCAAAGAGCTGGGATTACAGGTGTGAGCCACAGCTCTCGACCACAAAGCTCTTTCTTATTCATCCAACATAGCCATTACTTACTTGGGGCTAGAGAATAAATGGGTTTTTCAAGGCTAGCAGTTGGAGTCATTGCTTTCTCTTAGAGGAGACTTTCTTTCCTCCAGACATGGCCAGTTTAAAACACCAAGTTGCTATGTCCAGAGTGGCAGAAAAGATGATAATGGCTCACATCCCTCAGCATTTACCGTCTGCCAGGAACTGCGCACTTTATGGCCATCAGCACAGAGTGCCACCACTGTCCTTGGAGAAAGGTGCTGTTACTAGCTCCCTTTTGTGCATGAGGGTACTGAGCTCAGAGACAGAGCATAACTTCCCTAAGGTTACACAGCTAGTGTGTGGCAGAGTCAGAATTAGATACAGCTCTCTCTCCAGAGTCTGTAATCACCCTGCCCTTTTTTTTTTTTTTTTTTTTTTTTTTTACATTATAGAGAATTTTAAACATAGAGGCTGGGCGCAGTGGCTTGTGCCTGTAATCCCAGCACTTTGGGGGGCCGAGGCGGGTAGATCACTTGAGGTCAGGAGTTCGAGACCAGTCTGGCCAACATGGTGAATCACCGTCTCTACTAAAAATACAAAAATTAGTTGGGTATGGTGGTGCACACCTGTAGTCCCAGCTACTCAGGAGGCTGAGGTGGGAGAATTGCTTGAACCTGGGAGGCGGAGGTTGCAGTGAGCTGAGATCGGGCCATTGCACTCCAGCCTGGGCAACAGAGTGAGACTCTGTTTCAAAAAAACCCAAATAAACAACAACAAAAAACATATAGAGAATAGTATAATGAATGCTGGCATACCTATTAACCAGCCTCAACAAATGTCAATACTGCTGGGCATGGTGGCTCAAGCCTGTGATCCTAGCACTTTGGAAGGCCAAGGCTGGAGGATTGCGTGAGCCCAGGAGTTCAAAACCAGCTTAGGCAACATGGTGAAACCTAATCTCTACAAATTAAATAAAAAATAAAAATTAGTCAGGTGTGGTGGTGCACACCTGTAGTCACAGCTACTTGGGAAGCTGATGTGAGAAGATTGCTTGAATCCAGGAGGTCGAGGGTGCAGTAAGATGAGATTGTGCCACCTTACTCCAGCCTGGAGTCTGTATCAAAAAAAATACACAGCTAGAGTCTGTATCAAAAAAAAAAAAAAAGAGGCTGGTCACGGTGGCTCATGCCTGGAATCCCACCACTTTGGAAGGCCGAGGCGGGTGGATCACCTGAGGTCGGGAGTTGGAGACCAGCCTGACCAACATGGAGAAACCCCGTCTCTACTAAAAATACAAAATTAGCTGGGCTTGGTGGCACATGCCTGTAATCCCAGTTACTCGGGAGGCTGAGGCAAGAGAATGGCTTGAACCTGGGAGGCGGAGGTTATGGTGAGCCGAGATCGCGCCATTGTACTCTAGCCTGGGCAACAAAAGTGAAACTCCGTCTCAAACAAAAAAAAAGCCAAAAAATAGTTGTCAATACTTGACTAATCTTGTTTCATTTCCACTGCTCCTGGTGGGTGATTTTAAAGCAAGTATAAGATACTTCTTCGGGCCAGGCGCGGTGGCTCACGTCTGTAATCCCATCACTTTGGGAGGCTGAGGCAGGTGGATCATGAGGTCAGGAGTTCAGGACCAGCCTGGCCAAGATGGTGAAACCCCGTCTCTACTAAAAATACAAAAATTAGCCAAGTGTGGTGGCAGGCACCTGTAATCCCAGTGACTTTGGGAGGCTGAGGCAGAGAATTGCTTGAACCTGGGAGGCAGAGGTTGCAGTGAGCCAAGATTGCGCCACTGCACTCCAGCCTGGGTCACACAGCGAGACTCCATCTCAAAAAAAAAAAAAAAAAAGCTATTTCTTCAGTAAATATTTCAGTATATATGTCTAGAAGATAAGGACTTTAAAAAAATTATAAACAAAATGCTATTATCATACCTGACAATAATTGACAAAAATGTCTTAATATTCTTTTTAGATTTCCAAAGCACTTCTAATTTTCTTAATATTACCAAATATTTGCTCAGTGTTCTAATTTCCCTGTTTGTCTCATGAATGTTCTTTTACACTTGGTTTTTTTCAAATCATGGAACCTGAAATCTCAATTTAATTGATTTTATTATTTATTTTTTATATTTTTTGAGACAAAGTCTCTCGTTCTGTCTCCCTGGCTGGAGTGTGGTGGTGTAATGATAGCTCACTGTAACCTTGAACTCCTTGGGCTCACGCGACCCTCCTGCTTCAGCCTCCGGAGTAGCTGGTACTATAATGTGTACAACCACGCCTGGCTAATGTTTCAAATTTTTTGTAGAGATGGGGTTTTGCTCTGTTGCCCAGGTTGGTCTCAGACTCCTTGCCTCATGCAATCCTCCTACCTCAGCCTCCCAAAGTTCTGGGATTACAGGCATGAGCCACTGCAGTGGCCTGAACTCTCTTTTTTTAAAAAAAAAATTACTGTAAAACAACTGCAAACCCATAGAGAAGTTCCAAGTGTATTATAAAGAACTTTTTTTCCCCTTGAATCATTTCAGAGTAAGTTGCTGCCCTGATGTCCCCAAACCCCCAAATACTGTAATGTGTATCTTGTACAAACAGGGACATTCTCCTAGATAACTGTAGTACAACTATGAAAATCAGGAAATTAACCTTGTTAGATTACTACCATCTAATCCTGAGACCCCATGTAAGTTTCCTCCAGTTGTCTTCGAACTGTCCTTTATAGGAAAAGGATTTGGTTTAGTATCATATGTTGCATTTAACTGTCATGTCTCTCTAGTCTCCTTTAGTCTAGGATGGTTCGTCATTATTTCTTTGACTTCCATGACCTTGACACTTAAAGATTACAGGCCAGTTATTTTGTAGAATGTCCATAATTTGATGTATTTTCATGATAAGATTCAGGTTATGCATTCTTTGGCAGGAATACCAGAGAGATGATGTTGTATTCTAATCATATCCTGTGAGGTGGCATACAATTTTGATTTGTCTCATTACTGATGATGCTAACTTTGAAAACATGGAAGATACTGTCTGCCAGCCTTCTTGACTGTAAAGTTACTCTTTTTCCTTTTGTAACTAGTAAGTATTTTGTAGGGAATAGTAGAGCCTCTAAATCTCAGCTGAAGGTTGTTTCCCTAAAGTGGTATTCATTTAAAGACTGAACTCCTTTCTGTGTCTTTGATTACTTAAGAATATAGCATGTTGTCAGAGCTTGATTTTCTAATGGCAGATTATGTGCCCTTTGGATTCTCTTTGGCCCATTATTTTAACCCCAAACTGGGTACCACTCACTCAGTGTATATAATGTAAGATTCTTGTAATGATATACTTCTGTCCCTTCCTCCTCCTTTTGTACTATTTTTACAGAGTTTTACTTTTGTATCCCTAAATCATTGTTATTTTTGCTTTAAACAATTATCTTTTAAAGGAACTTTAAAAAATGAGAGAAAGTCTGTATTTACCCACTGATTTACTATTTCTGGCATTCTTCATCCCTTGTGTACGTTCACGTTTCCACTGGGCATCGTTTTGTTTGTGCTTGAAAGGCTTCCTTTAACATTGCTTGTAATGCAGGTCTTTTGGCAGTGATGCTGCTCAGCTTCTGTTTGTCTGAAAAGATCTTTATTTCACCTTCCTTTTAAAAATATATTTTCACCGAGTGTTGACTTTTAGGTTGACATTTTGGAGATATCATTCTGTTGACTTCTGACATACGTGATTCTGACAGGTTTGTGGTCATTCTTCTTTACTCTATGCCATTTTCTTTGGCTGCTTTTAAGATTTTGCTTTATCACTGTTTTTAGGAATTTGATGTGGCTGGGGGTGGTTTTCTTTGTGTTTACCCCTTTGTGTTTTCTTTGGGATTTTTTTGAGGCTTTTTAGTTTCTGGGGTTATAGTTTTCATCAAATCTGGAAAAATTTCACCTGTTACTCTTCAGATTTTTTTGCTCCGCTTCCTCTTCCACCCACCTCCACCACTTCCGTACTTGAATTACACATATGTCCCACCACTTGATATTGTCCCAGAGGTCACAGAGATTGTTCCCTCCCTCTCTCCCTTCCTTCCTTTTTTTTTTTTTTTTTTTTGAGACTGAGGCTCACTCTGTTGCCCACACTGGAGTGCAGTGGCGTGATCTCGGCTCACTGCAACCTCTGCCTCCCAGGTTTAAGCGATTCTCCTGCCTCAGTCTCCCGAGTCACTGGGACTACAGATGTGCGCCACCACACCCGGCTAATTTTTGTGTTTTCAGTAGAGACGGGGTTTCGCCATGTTGTCCAGGTTGGTCTCAAACTCCTGACCTCAGGTAATTCACTCGCCTCAGCCTCCCAAAGTGCTGGAATTAACAGGCGTGAGCCACTGCGCCTGGCCAGAAAAACTTTTTTATTCTCTGGATAGTTTAGTTTCACTACTAAGATGTGGCCTTCTGTCAGGAATTGCTAGTGAATATATCCCAAGGAACCGATGAGCACAATTTCCACCCTCCAAGAACTTATGACTGTGACAAATCCATAAACTCTTCTATTTGGTAGTGGATTCCAGGCCACATGTGAGTTCTGGGAACTGTTCAGTGGACAGTTCCCAGGTTACTCTCTTTGCCTGACTTCATGGAGTTTTATGCTACACATGCAAGTGTTAGTGTTCAGTGAAGACTCATAAGGACCCCCTGCATATTTCTGAAATTCTTTTTCCGCTTTGCTCCCTTCTCTCTAGAATTTGCTTCACAGTTTCTAACTATTTCAGTCTCCCTGAACATTGATCCCTCTCTCTTCAGTGCAGGGGAGGACCACTGTGCTGTGCTTGAGCTCTCCCCTCCTGCTTCACAGGCTCCCGTCTGGCATGTACCTTCTGGCAGAAAGCAGGGGTGATTGGGGGGCTCACTTTGTTTTCCTTCTCTCACAGCTCACAGTCTTGTATGATCTCTTGTCCAGTATCCGAAAACAGTTGTTTCATATATTTTACCCAATTTGCTGGTTATTATTTATAAGGCTGAAGGGTAAACTTGTTTCTGTCTCTTTACCATGGCTGGAAGAGAAGGGTTTCCGTAGACTCTAGAAGTTAATCCCATCATAGTGATGTTAGTATCTTCCTGGCTCTGTCTTCTGTGTGTTGTGTTGGAGATTCTGCCTTTCAGTCTGTCTATTCAGTGAGGGCAAGTAATGCAGGCCAAACAATCCCAGAACATTCATTCATAAGTGACTAGTATGAGACTGGGTGAAGTGAAAGTTGGTTTTCCAAATGCATCGCTCATAAGTCTCTGGCTTTAGGCCTGTTGGAGGTCCATTCCTGCAGAAGGCAGTTCTGCACAGACTTATTGATTAATTGATTCATTATAATATAGTTAGCAAAACTTTACAGTGTTTCTGTTGTGGGCCATACACTGCCCTTGCTGGTGAAGCAGCAGCAAACACTGAGTCTTCAGTGATTCCTTGGTTAAGGAATGCTCTGTGGGTCAGACTCTTGGGGATCCGAGACAGAGAAGGCACAGTTTCTACCCTCCAAGAACTTACAACTGTGACAAATCCACGAACTCTTCTCTCTTCTTTCTGCAGCTCAGTAAACGCTCTGCCACTGACCTGTGTGGCAGGAATGATGGAAACCTTAAGGTGATCTTCCCTGATGCAGAGATGGAGGATGTCAATAACCCTGGGCTCAGGGTCAGAGCCCAGCCTGGGGACTATGTGCTGGTGAAGGTGAGGAGTCCTTTTGGGCTTTTGGCTTGCACTGTGAAATGAGTGTTGGTTTGGATATTTGTGGTAATAAAGTTTTTTCCTAGAGACACATTTTAGTAAAATAAAAATCCCCTCTCAACCAGTACAATGGAAGGGCACTTTGGATTGGATTTTAGACTGCTCCTTACTAATGCCTTCTTATTCTTCTTACCTATTCTCCTGCCCTGGAAGCGTTCTTTGTGGGAATTTGGTGAGTTTGGAGTATGCAGTGGCATGTAGTTTCTCGCTGCAGAGAGGCCAGGAGGTGGAGTGATTTCGAGTGAGTAGAGAGTGTTCCCTGTTGGAGATCAACATTTTCTTTGTGATCTCTGACGGCTCAGGCCTCTTTAACTTACATGTGCTCGAGTTTCTTGGGTCTCTTCCCTGGACTCACAGATCAGCTATATGGCTGTGGGATTTTCTCTCCCTTTCTTTCTCTCTTTCTTTCTCCCTTTCACTGGCGATATGCTTCTCTTATTGTCTCCTTCCATTTCTTCCTTTCTTCTGCCTTCTCTTCTCACACTGCCCAGTTCTGCTACTGCCACCTTCCCTGTCTTGTTCTCATATCTGCTTCGCCTCAGAACCAGAAGCTGGCAGGACACAGACTGATGCCCTAGAGCATCCACAGAAGTTCCTTTAAGGGCAGGGAAAATGCCTGTTTTGTTTCTGTTTGTTTATCTTTGTTTATCTTCTAGCACCTAGGGCAATTCCGGGTACAAAATATGTACTTAGTAAGGATTTACTAATGGACTGACTTGCTCTTATGATAAGACATGTGACCACAGATAACTTTGGGGTCACATTCTTTTAGCTCTCAATTGGAGGAGAGAGAACATTTCTCACCAAATGTTGGCTGTAAATATCCTAAGGAAGGATTTGACTGGATCAGCCTTGGAGTTAGGAGGGCAGGGCCTGTGATGGGCAGTTTCACCTGAATTTTATGGTTAGAGCTGAGGAGGAGCCATCTTCCAAGAGAAAAGGGAGAAGTGGCTGGGACTGACCTGCTTTGACTTCTTAAATTATATCCATTGCCATTCCATGAGACCTCGCTTCCTGCCAGGATCGGGGGCACACAGGAGCCATGTGGTCTCTGCCAGCCGGTCGCCTCCATCAGATTCCTTTTGGGGGCTTCTCCTCTAGAGGCTCCACATGAAGTCCCAGTGCTACAGTCCTAGTTATTTTGCCTTCTTCTGCCTGGTTTTCTTTCAGATCACCTCAGCCAGTTCTCAGACACTTAGGGGACATGTTCTCTGCAGGACCACTCTGAGGGACTCTTCTGCATATTGCTGACCTGAGAGGATGGCCTCAGAGCTGACTTGGGCAATCCTCCCCAACAGGAAGGGGAGACATTGCCTGCCACTGAGGAAACAGGTCATGAAGGTGGAGATAAGCTGCAAGGGGCGAAGCAACTTTATGTCAGTGGAAAACGTGTCTCTTTAAAGCTGCTATGTGAACAGCTTTTACAGTCATTAAATTTACCTAAACTAAGGTTAACCCTTTGTCTCTCACTTTGACTTCGTTTTTACCTTGGTTAGTGTTTCTGGAGTTTTCCCTGCAGTCTGTGTTAAGTGTTTCCCCACCCAGTTTCTCCTGTGGACACTGCTCCCTCTCAGGTTTTCTCCCCTGGGCCCTAGGAGGCAGAGACTGAAGGAGAGGAAGGTGGGGAGAACCATTTGCTTGGGAAAACTGCTCTCGACCTTTCTGACATTTGCATTGGATGCCACTGACTTAGCTGCCTATCGCTGCACTTTATTTTGCATGTTTTACCTGAGGATTTCCCTCATGGACCTCTTTTTATCTGGCACCAAAGTTGACTTTTAAATTGTTCTAAAGCCACTCAAGCAAAAAAGTTGATAAAACACTCTGCTTTCCTTTACAACCCCCAACATAAAAAAATTATTTGTTGGAAAAAAATGTTTTCTTACATGAGATGAAACAATATTGTCTGGGCGCGGTGGCTCACACCTATAATCCCAGCACTTTGGGAGCCTGAGGCGGGTGGATCACTTGAGCTCAGGAGATCAAGACCAGCCTGGTCAACATGGTGAAACCCTGACTCTGCTAAAGAAAAATCCAAAAGTTAGCCGGGCATGGTGGCAGGCACCTGTAGTCCTAGCTACTCAGGAGGGTGAGGCAGGAGAATCACTGAACCTGGGAGGTGGAGGCTGCAGTGAGCTGAGGTCATGCCACTGCCCTCCAGCCTGGGGGACAGAGCAAGACTCCGTCTCAAAAAAAAAAAAAAAAAAAAAAAAAACAACTATTAATTCAAAACATAAGCTGGGGATGGTGGCTCATACCAGTAATCCCACCACTTTGGGAGGCTGAGGCACGTGGATTGCTTGAGCCCAGGAGTTGGAGACCAACCTGAGCAATGTGGCAGGTTTCCTGACTTTACAGGAAAAAAAAAAAAATTAGCTGGGTGTGGTGGTGCAGGCCTTGTAGTCCCAGCTACTTGAGAGGCTGAGGCAGGAGGATCACTTGAGCCCAGGAGATAGAGGCTGCAGTGAGCCGCGATTACACCGCCACACCCTAGCCTGGGTGACAGAGCAAGACCCTTTCTCAAAAAAATAAAAAACAAGAAAAACCATCAAAACTTACAGATATGGGTTAGCTCTATCACTCATTTCTTTAAAAGTTTTCATGAGTATTCAGTCAAAACCAACTATCCCCTTGAAATATTATCTGTCTGAATTTCCAAGTGGACCACAGGACTGTAGACAATCTTGGAATGTCCTCAGAAGGCTCTGTGATGGATCAGGCACAGAGTAAAAACCCGAGTCCTTTCAAATGGAAGAGGAAAAGACAAGGATAGAAGAAGCTTTTCAAACTTCATCTTCTTTCCTGTAGCTGTGGTCTCTTCTTCCTCCTCTGCCTCCTTGGAAGCCTCCTTGCCCTCCAAAGCCTCCCTGGCCTTTGCCACCAGTGGACCTCTTTTTCAGCCTGTGAGGTCTGACAGCACTTGGAGTTTTAGAAAATGTCATTACCAGGTGGGGCACAGTGGCTCACGCCTGTAATCCCAGCACTTTGGGAGGCCGAGGCAGGTGGATCACCTGAGGTCAGGAGTTCAAGACCAGTCTTGCCAACATGGCAAAACACTGTCTGTACTAAAAATAACAAAAAAAATTAGCTGGGCATCGTGGTGGGTGCCTGTAATCCCAGCAATTTGGGAGGCTGAGGCAGGAGAATAGCTTGAACCCAAAAGGTGGAGGTTGCAGTGAGTCGAGATCGCGCCATTGCACTCCAACCTGGGCGACGAGCGAAACTCAGTCTCAAAAAAAAAAAAAAAAAAAGATGTCATTACTTTTTAGGCTTTAAAAAAATTATGTCTCTTTTCCCTTGGACCTATTAGTAGGTTTCGAGTAGTGGTTCTCAGCCCCCTTCACCACCAAGGTTATTTCATTCTGTGGGTATCATGAAAAAAATATCCAAGAGATGGTAGCATGGAATTTTTGGAGTCAGAGGACTTTGGTTCACATCCCCACTTTATTGCTTGAGAGTTGTCTGAAATTGAGTAGTTAATTTACTCTTCTCCTCTTCTCTGTCTTGTGTGTTTTTTTTTTTTTTTTTTTTTTTTTTTTGAGGTGGAGCCTCGCTCTGTCACCCAGGCTGGAGTGCAGTGGCACGATCTTGGCTCACTGCAACCTCTGCCTCCTGGGTTCAAGCGATTCTCTCCTGCCTCAGCCTCCCAAGTAGCTGGGATTACAGGCGCCTGCCACCACGCCCAGCTAATTTTTTATTTTATTTTTAGTAGAGAAAGAGTTTCACTGTGTTGGCCAGGCTGGTCTCAAACTCCTTCCTGACTTCAAGTGATCCGCCTGCCTCGGCCTCCCAAAATGCTGGGATTACAGGCATGAGCCATTGTGCCCAGCCTGGCTTGGTTTTTTGATGTGAAACATGAAGATAATCACATGCATATCTCACGTGGAATTCAGTGACACAATCATGCTTCTAGAGAGTTTAGCACAGTCCATGGAACATTATAAGGTCTTATCAAATGGGAGAGATCATCAAAAGATTTTACTTCTCAAACAGATTGTGTATATTAGGATATACTGGGGCTTTTATTGTGTGTCTGGCCATGATGTCCTTTAGACCTTCTTCATTTACCTGCACAACAGGAACCTCTTCCTCAGGTGCTGGTTCAGCGCTCAAGGATTGGTTTCTACTCTTAGGGTCCGTCTTCTATTGAGAACATTTATCTGTGATGGTTCCTTACCCTAGTCCTTTCTTCAGAAGGCACTTAAAGCAGGTTTTGAAATTATTTCAATTTTTATAAAAAGGTAAAACAGGCCGGGTGTGGTGGCTCACGCCTGTAATCCCAGCACTTTGGGAGGTCAAGGCGGGTGGATGACTTGAGGTCTGGAGTTTGAGACCAGCCTCACCAACATGGCGAAACCCCGTCTCTGCTAAAAATGCACAAATTAGCCAGGCGTGGTGGCACATCTCTGTAATCCCAGCTATTCGGGAGGCTGAGGCAGGAGAATGGCTTGAACCCAGGAGGTGGAGGCTGCAGTGAGCTGAGAGTGCACCACTGCACTCCAGTCTGGGTGACAGAGTGAGACCCTGTCTCAAAAACAACAAACAAACAAAAGGTAAAACATACATATGGTAAATAATCCAAACAATACAGTAGGTATCTGTAATCAATCACCTTCCCGCCTACTAATCCCCTAGTTCCCTTTTACAAAATCCAGCACATTAATCATTTTCTAATGTATCTTTTCAGAGATAATCTCTGTGTATAAAATGATTTATATTTGTGATTATTTTATACAAATGATTGTATACCATACACACTATTAACAGCTTTATTGAGGTATGTGTAATTTACATACAATCGATGTGTACATTTTTTCTTTTCTTTTTTTTTTTGAGATGGAGTTTTGCTTTTGTTGCCCAGGCTGGAGTGCAATGGTGCGATCGATCTCGGCTCACCGCAACCTCCGCCTCCTGGGTTCAAGCGATTCTCCTGCGTCAGCCTCCTGAGTAGCTGGGATTATAGGCATGCGCCACCACGCCTGGCTAATTTTGTATTTTTATAGAGATGGGGTTTCACTATGTTGGCCAGGCCAGTTTTGAATTCCTGACCTCAGGTGATCCAACCACCCCGTCCTCCCAAAGTCTTGGAATTACAGGTGTGAGCCACCATGCCTGGCCATTCCTGACCTTTTCTTTCCAGAGTGTGTATGGCACTGAGCACCTGGCACTACAATCTTTTCTCACATACCATCAATAAATATATTGAAAACATAAGAAACTTGGGGGGTGTTGTATTGTGTTCAGAGCTGTCAGGAAACAAAGTACAGAGAAATATTAGATTCAGGTGAAAATACAACTCCATTGTAGAGCTAAGTAGGATGTCAGTTGCTCCTTAAAGTCACTTATAAATTGGAAACTACTGAGCAGAAAGAGTCAATGTAAGATGAACAACAGCATGTGAGTTCAAAACTCCATCCTGATTTCTCTGTAATTTTGCAGATACTTCCCAAGAACCTTGTGATTATTTTGCTTATGTAGTTTTTTTTTTTTTTCCTTAGAGACAGAGTCTTGCTCTGTTGCCCAGAGCTGGAGTGCAGTGGCATGATCTCAGCTCACTGCAAACTCTGCCTCCCGGGTTCAAGTAATTCTCCTGCCTCAGCCTCCTGGGATTATAGGCACCTGCCATCATACCCAGCTAATTTTTGTATTTTTAGTAGAGACAGGGTTTCACCAAGTTGGCCAGGATGGTCTCGAACTCCTGACCTTGTGATCCACCCACCTCGGCCTCCCAAAGTGCTGGGATTACAGGCGTGAGCCACTGCACCCAGCCGGTTATGCGATTTTTATCAGACCTTAGATATCTCTTATATAGACAGGCAGATTATGTAGTTACAGACAGTACCTCAGAAGTTTGATGTCTGTGATCAGTTTGTCTTTCGAAATCTTGCTCACGAATGAGATGATTAATTCCTGAATTAATACAAAATGAACATGAGTTAACAATAACACCTTGGCCTGGCTACTCAGCAAACATGTCACAGTGCGCGATGGCCAACAGGGTCCCAGGTCAGAGGGTTGTCTGCCTGGCCTTATCCTCCTAAGCCAACCTGCTCACTCCATTCTCCCTTTGGGGGCTGAGCCCACCAGCCTGGCTGGACTCCCTCATCCTAGGGACACCCAGACACTCTGAGCCTCAGAGTTTAGGGAGTAACTAAACCCACTAAACACTGCTCCTTGCAATTCTTCCTCTCAACTCTGCTCTGATTCATTTCTCAGCACTCACCGTTTGCCCGGTGACAAAGCTCCCACCGTCCTTGGTGATGTTAACCCAGTAGCTGGCTTAGATTTTATGTCTGGCCGGTGGGAGTAGGTTAGTTTGGTGATTCTTGCATCCAGGTTATTTCTCTGTTGGAAAGAAGTAGTCATTTAGAGTGTGTTGAGTAAGGGCTGCAGGATGTTGCAGTATGAAACACTCTCGCATCATTCAGATCATACATACAAATATTTATCGTCTGGTGTAAGTTGGTCACCTGGGTGCTGGTGCAGCTGGTGTGACCATGACAGACAAGGCCTATTTCTAAACATTCACCTTGATAATGTTTCCTTTCTTTGAAGGATGGTGGGGGCATGCAACATGTAAAATCTTACTTTTCTATTACACCTTGTCCAATCTGAAGCCTGTCTCTCTGTATGCCTTTGTGGGAAGAGAGTTCTGCACTTGATCATTTGATCACTTTGGGACACACTCTTAAAAAAAATTATATTTTGTTTCAAAGAGAGCCTGGCACATAGAGAAAAGTCAATTATGATTGTTACTATTGCTACTATTCCCTCTGCCACTTCTAGGGCCGGTAGCAAATGAACAACTGCCTTATGTTTTTTGCTCATTCTGTGACTGTTGGTGCTTCCTTCCCTCACTCTCGTCATCTGTAAAACGGGGATAAGAAACCCTACATCCTAGTGCTGTTTTGAGGATGAAATGATGTTGGTTATGTAAAGACACCTGGTTTTGCCCCTAGCACACAGATGGCACTTAGAACCCCTCCTCCCCCACTTTTTTTTTTCTGAGACAAAGTCTCACTCTGTCACCCAGGCTGCAATATAGTGATGCAATCACAGCTCACTGCAGCCTCAACCTCCCTGGCTCTGGTGATCCTCCTGCCTCAGCCTCCCAAGTAGCTGGGACTTACAGGCATGCACCACTACGCCTGGCTAATTTTTTGCTGAGATAAGGTGACAACATGTTGTCCACGCTGGTCTTGAACTCCTGGACTCAAGCAATTTGCCTGCCTCGGCCTCCCAAAGTGTGGGGATTACTGGCATGAGCCACCTCACCCGGCTTCAGACCACATTTTTCTCCCCAAGTCCCTGTTCTCTGCTTTCCACCAACATAAACCAGGACCCATTTACATGACAATGAAGGGAAAAGGTGCATCCCATGGCAGTCGTGTATTAACCTGAAAGAACATTCAGAATCCACTTTCACCCCCACCTTCTTGCTGTCAGAGGCTGACCGGCTGAGCTTGAGGAAAGTGCTGAGCCACGCCGGGCCCTGTGGACGACCCTTACCTGCACAGAGCTCTGCTTGGCAGTGTGAGTGATGATGACCTTCAGCATCGCGTAGGACAGAATTAGGGAAACGCTGACATTTTTAGTGTCTGAAGAGAGAGAACTTCCAGGCACAGTGACGGTATTTTTGTTAAAGTGGGCTTTAGCCTAGAGTGAAAAAGCAGAAAAAACATCTCGGTAATCACATGAGACCGACACCCATTTCAATGCCTTTGGAGGTCTGACTGGGGAGGTGGAGGGTGAGGTGGTCCTGAAGGTATTGCTGTGGGAGGAGCCTGAGGACACGTGGCTGTTGACCTCCCCAACTCCACTGTGGTGCGGGACCGTGGGCATGGTGGGGTTTGCAGTGCCCTGAGGGCAGGCACCTGGTGAAGGAGGAGCTGCTGCTGAGCTCCGGCTGCCCGTGGACCCCATGCAGTTAGGCTCAGGGCACCCAGATCTCTGACTTTCCAGGAGAAGCCACATTCATTATTTTTCAGGTGAATGGCCCTTGTTTAAGTGTTTCTACCAGTAAGGTGTGTGTGTGTGTGTGTGTGTGTGTATCTGTGTCACTTTTTTTTTTTTTTGAGACAGAGTCTCACTCTGTTGCCAGGCTGGAGTGCAGCGGTGCAATCTCGGCTCACTGCAACCTCTGCCTCCTCCTATCCAAGTGATCCTTCCACCTCAGCCTCCCTAGCAGCTAGGACTACAGGCACATGCCACCATGCCTGGCTGATTTTTGGATTTTTTGTAGGGACAGGATTTTGTCATGTTGCTCAGGCTGGTTTCCAACTCCTGGATTCAAGCGACCCACTCACCTTGGCCTCCCAAAGTGCTGGGATTCTAGGTGTGAGCCACCTCGCCTGGCCAACAGTCACATTCCTTACCTTCCTGTACATGCGCTGTCAGCCTGGCAGGCCCTCATTCCTTCCCACATTCCAAAGCCCATCTTGTCTGTAATTTCCTTTCATGGATATTCTGACCTTCATTGGTTAATATGCATTTCCCCCTGCTTATGAAATGCAAACTCCACAGAGCAGGAAAGTTAGAAGTTTCAGCAAAGTAAACTTTGCTATTGTTAGTTTAAAAACCAACAATAGCTGGGCATGGTGGTGCACACGTGTAATCCCAGCACTTTGGGAGGCCGAGGCATGCAGATCATTTGAGGTCAGGAGTTTGAGACCAGCCTGATGAACATGGAGAAACCCCATCTTTACTACAACAACAGAGAAATTAGCCAGGTGTGGTGGTGTGCACCTGTAGTCCCAGCTACTCGGGAGGCTGAGGCAGAAAAATCATTTGAATCCAGGAGGCAGAGGTTGCAGTGAGCCAAGATCACGCCACTGCACTCCAGCCTGGGCGACAGAATGAGACTCCATCTCAAAATAAAATAAAATAAAACTAACAATAGCTGGGCGTGGTGGCTCACACCTGTAATCCCAGCACTTTGGGAGGCCCAGGCAGGAGGATTGCTTGAGCCCAGGAGTTTGAGAGCAGCCTGAGCAACATAGCAAGACCTGGTCTCCACAAAAAATTAAAAAAAAAAAAAGAAGTTAGCTGAGCACCTTGGCACACACCTGTGGTCCCAACTACTTGAGAGGCTGAGGTGGGAGGATCACCTGAACCTAGGAGATCCAGGCTGCAGTGAGCTGTGATTGTGCCTCTGCACTCCAGCCCCGGTGACAGAGTGAGACCTTGTCTCAAAAACAAAACAAAAAAAAAACAACTTCACAAGCATTTCTGTATACCATTATAAATGTTGTCAGCATTTCTAATCTTGTACTTGGTTTAATTATTTGCTTTTTGTTTCAGGTTTTTTGTTTTTTAAATTCCCATCATGAATACCCCTATGTCTTTGTGTTTAAATGTATCTGTACTTAGGTTTTTTGGACAGATTCCTGTAAGTGAAACTAACTGAGTCTAAAACCTTGCCTCTTTCAGCACTTTTCATGACCTAGTTTTGCCTTCCCTAGTGGCTTAGTGGGGTGGGTGGGGTGAGTGGGTCCTGTCATTTTCTTTTTTTTTTTTTTTTTGAGATGGAGTCTCGCTCTGTCACCGAGACTGGAGTGCAGTGGCGTGATCTCGGCTCACTGCAACCTCCGCCTCCCAGGTTCACGCCATTCTCCTGCCTCAGCCTCCCGAGTAGCTGGGACTACAGGCGCCCGCCACCACGCCCAGCTATTTTTTTGTATTTTTAGTAGAGACGGGGTTTCACTGTGTTATCCAGGATGGGCTCGATCTCCTGACCTCGTAATCCGCCCGCCTAGGCCTCCCCAAGTGCTGGGATTACAGGCGTGAGCCACCACACCCAGCCCGTCAACATTTTTGTTCACATTATTGGAGGATGAGGCTCCCTGGACCATTCTCTTGCCTTGCCCACCTGTACTTGGGGAGAGGGGCAGCTGTGTGCAGTGCCCGCTTTGCCCCATCCTCACCCATGCTGCTGTCCTCTCTGTTGTCTCTACCTGGTCTTTGCTCACTGGATGTTACAACCCTGGGGCAGGGGGACCCAGTGGACTGCTGTGTGCACAGACTCACCCTTTTCCACCTATGAAGGCCGTAGTCGTGGCTTGGACATGGATCCCATCGCCTGTCGTGGTTGACTTCATGCTCTCCACAGTTACTTTTTCAACCTGTAATCTGCAAAGCGAAAGCATCAAGAGTCAGTCCTGTTTCAACGAATCAGCCTGGACAGCAGGAGAAATGCCTTTGAAGCAGATAATTAACAGCCTACCAAGCCACCATCCAGTCCCTTGACCCCTCAGCTGTCTAATGTGCCCAGGCCTATAAGCTCAAAAATCTTGATCCTGTTTCCCCCTGAAAGGATATAGGCACAGCATAGAGCGAGAATATTTCTGGTGAAATATATCAATCTCAAGCAATATACCCATCCCAATCCGTGGGACTGTTGGAAGTTGAACATGAGCATCCAAATCAGCAGGTTTCTGGTGGAGAAGTCATACATAGGGTCAAGGAAGCACTTACCCCAGCAAGAGCTGTTCCAGGTCAGCATTTTTCAGCAGGTCTGGGAGTGCATCGCTGATGCCTGAGGGCAGGGTGCTGTTCAGCACGCCCTGAGCAGACTCTTTGAGGTCTTGGACTTTGTCGGTCACATCCTTCAGAGGCCGCTGGAGAGTGGAGAGACCAGTGCCACCGAGGAGTCCTTTTACAGGGTTCTTGTCTGAACCAGTGGGTAGTAGGCTCACCAGACCCTCCGTCCCCTGGGGTAGCAGACCACTGACAGCACCAGTGAGTTCTGAGAGCAATGGAAGTTTCGAGGACTTGCCGCCACTTCCCTCACCTAGGATACCACTGAGGCTGGCACCTCCAAGTATATCAAGGGGTGAAGTGAGGTCTAATAGAGACAGCAGGTCCAAGTCGCTCACTGTGGATAATACGGTCCCAAGCAAACCAGCCAAGTTAACCTTCTCACACTTCAGAATCTTCTCAATCTGCAGGGGCAAGGTGGCATTCATATCTGAAAAGGGTCAAGAGACACATTCTTGCTGTGGCCTTCCCAGTTGGTTCAGCAAGAAGAAGCTTTCCTGCCAGGCAGCTGGCACATTTGAATTGAGGGGTCCATAGGAACTGTATATGGTGCCTCCTGGAAAAAACAGTGCTTGCTACTGCCTACTCCAAGGACAGCCTGGTGTCAGAGAAATTTGCCTGTGCCCTTATTAAGAGCTACCATTTATTAGTAACTACTATGAGATCAGCCTGCTGTTGAGTACATCTAAAGGGATTTGGGCATGGAGTGAAGGGGCCTCGTGCCACTGGACTGCAGCCTAGGCAACAGAGCAAGACCCTGTCTCAACACAAACACAAACAAAAACAAAACAAAGCAACCAAAATTAACCACCATTACCTCCAAATCACTGTGTGATGGGTACAAAGCTGTCTTTTTTTTTTTTTTTTAAACCATGTCTGGTCTTTTTTCTATATATTTGAAGTATTTTGTACCAAGGAAGGCTGCTGGAAGAGCAAAGCACATGTTCTTCCCGAGTCAAAGCAGTCCGCATTGTAGTTGTGGGGCTGGCCCTTTGGTCATGCAGCATGTGCCAGGTCTCCCTGTGTGGCCCTGTCCTCTCATCCTGGATGGCTGAGGTGGGCCATGACTGCGAGGCTGGCGTCAGAGCACTGAGAGCCTTCCTGCTGGCCTTCATTTGCTAATAAATCCCTGCTCCTTCTGGCTCCTCAGTGGGAGTCACTTCTTTGCCCAGCCTTAAATTCCTGAGTTGCTCTGCCCTCACCCTCTGCGGGGTTCTTGGAGGAAAGAATTCCTCATTGTCTAATGCAGGAGGTGAGACTCAGGGAGTGAGTGAACAAAAGGAGTTTGGAGAGAACAAGTCTGGTCAAGGGGATGATGGCGGGGCCCAGATTTCCCATTTCCTGGCTCCTGTTAAAGCGGATTGAGGTTTCAGCACCTGTGGGAGTCTGGGTGAGCCCTGGGGCCCAGCAGGGAGGGGATGGGCAGTCTCTCCGCACAGTCTCCAGGTGAGGTGGGAGGTAATCAGTCTGCCGGGTGGGAGAGTTCCCTCCTCCAGGGTTGTGTAGACCACCCCTAACCTACGTGTGGACCCTGGACAAGCAGCCTCAGTGCCATCTTGGAGCAGATGAGGAAGCCAGACTCTCAGGCCCACTGCAGTAGTGCCGGACCAGAATGGCTAGGGGGGCCTGGGCAACTGTTCTATCACAAGCTTCTAAGGTGAGTCCAACACCCCCTCATGTTCGGGACCCACATGTTCAGAAGACAGAACCCCCCGCTGAGCTTAGGAATGAGAAGCCTGCGTGAGGGGCTGAAAGGACCAAGGGTGTGTAGCCCTTACTTACAGTCTTCGAGTTTGCTGTCAGATATGAAGTACTTGGTGACGGGTGGACACCTGCCTCCTTTGGTCCTCGCTGGGTATTTTCCGGTTAGAGGGACTTTTGAGACTGACAGACTTCCAGGGAGCAATCCAGGTGGAAAACGGACAGGCAAAGTGGGTATTAGGGAAGGCCTATCTGCGAGCTCCAGCTGGCCAAGTGCTTCCTCGACCGCCAACATGACAGCCAGGGCCCAGAGAGTCAGCATCGTGGTGGCTGATACCTGCAAAAGAGGGCTTCTTCAGACACCACATTCCCCAGGGACCATCAGGCCACAATGTACGTTTGTGTAGGACGTCCACATACCAGGGTCCTGGCCCTTGCGGGAGGGTGCCATTCCCATCGTAGATATTCTAGTCTGTATGCTGCAGTCATGGGAAAATGTTGCAGTATGTAGCAGTCAGTGTCTTGAAGAAAGGGCTTTTTCCTACTTATTTTCTTTTCTTTTCTTTTTCGAGACGGAGTCTTGCTCCTGTCACCCAGGCTGGAGTGCAATGGCATGATCTTGGCTCACTGCAACCTCCGCCTCCCGGGTTCAAGCGATTCTTCTGCCTCAGCCTCCTGAGTAGCTGGGATTACAGGTGCCTGCCACCACGCCTAGCTAATTTTTGTATTTTTAGTAGAGACAGGGTTTTGCCATGTTGGCCAGGCTGGTCTCGAACTCCTGGCCTCGTGAGCCACCCGCCTTGACCTCCCTACTTCTTTTCAACTGTGCATAGACCTACTCTCCAGGCTGGTCATTGCGTTTAAGTACAGGCCAAGCCCTGCTCACTGGTGTTACCTTCAGGTCACATATTCTCATGCCACCTTCCTCTGTCACATCCCTGGAGCCATCTGAGTCACTAACTGGGGAACTGGAGAGTTCTGAATCCTGCAGCTGCACTCTCAGGTCTATCTCTTGTCACTGGGGTGTGTGCATATGTCTGCTCACACTGAGGATTCTGAGACTCAGGAGGCAGAGAGCTGGTTCCACACCCAGTCAGGACACCCCTGTTTGAGTGTGAGCTGTGCTGGGTGACTTTCAGAGATTGATCCCCACCACTGACCCTCACTTTCCTCCAAAAGTGTGATTCCCAAGTTTTTCCCTCTAATGTTTAGGGTGAGGTGGAGGTTTGTGTCCCCTGGCATTTTACCTTGGTGAGGCAAGGTGAGCTTGTTTTGTAAAATTGGGTTGGGGGCCTTTCCCCCCCCCCCCCCCCCCCACAAGGTCTTGCTCTGTCACCCAGGCTGGAGTGCAGTGGGGCAATCTTGGCTTACTGCAGCCTCTACTTCCCAGGCTCAAGTGACTCTCGTGCCTCAGCCTCCTGAGTAGCTGGGATTACAGGTGCACACCACCACACCCAGCTAATTTTTGTATTTTTAGTAGAGAAGAGGTTTCACTATGTTGGTCAGGCTGGTCTCTGACTCTTGACCTCAGGTGATCCACTTGCCTCGGCCTCCCAAAGTGCTGGGATTACAGGTGTGAACCACTGCGCCAGGCTGGGTTGTGAATCTTTGCCCTTGCCATGTATAGGCATTAACAAAAGCAAGCCATTTGCCATTTGCCAACACCCTAAAAAAGTGTCTATCCCGGCCTGGGTAAAAGGGTGAGACCCCGTCTCTACAAAAAAAAAAAAAAAAAAAAATTAGCTGGGCGTGGTGGTTCACACCTGTAATCTCAGCTACTTGGGAGGCTGAGGTGGGAGGATCGGTTGAGCCCAGGAAGTTGAGGCTGCAGTGAGACAAGTTCACACCACTGCACTCCAGCCTGGGCAACAGATCGAGACTCTATCCCTAAAAAAGAAGAGCAACTATGGCAGGAATGTGAGGAAGGGTACAATCTGAATGAAGCCAGTGAGAATTCTTCAGTTTGAATTAATTAGGCCTTATGAAAAAAATCTCAACACAGCTTCATTAGTTTTTAAAATTTTACTCTCATCTGCGGGAAATTCAACCTCAGTATCTCACATGACATCTAAGCATACTTTCGCAGAAAAAAAAAATCTATGCCTGTGACTGAGTTGATGGCAATATTGTCAGACTTTGACTTGAGTGAAACCTTTTGAGAATCCCAGGACTAAATCCATTCTCTGAAAACCAATGCATAACAGGCAATTGTCAACCACCTTCCCTGTGCTAGGCAGAGTGCATTTCAGCAGGGGAGGGACATTGCTAAAGCGATCAAAAAATGCATAAACCCTCGTTATGGGTCCTTAGATGGACTGTGCGTTGCTTGTTGCTACCTGAGAGCTGGACCTTCTCTTTCACCCGTTCGACGCAGCAAGTTCTTACCTTGCCTGGGGTGGATGGGTCCAAGTTTTCGGAAGCTGCCTTTCCTTCTGCTCCTGCCGCCAGACTGTTGATGACAGAGCTGCATCCCAATTTTATAGCCCAATGTCTGTCTGAAAAGTCAGACAAGAAGGGACACAATCCAAGCATGCTGATAAGGGCAGCGTGATTCAGGCTGCCTTCCAAATCATCCCCTTCTCATTGCTGCAACATTGCCAGTGTCTTCCTGAAAGATGTTCGGAGTGCTTGGAGCTTCTTGTGAAGGGGGCGGGCAGGCCAGGTGTCTGTCTCTCTGAGGTAGGTTAGATAGTAGAGCCTCTCTTTAAAAAAACACTTATCAAATTTATGGCAAGAACAAGCCACTTGGTATTCCATGAACCGCATCGGGGGCTTGTGGTTAAAGACATCCTGTAGCAAAGAGGAGGAAGAACTGAGGGAAAAAAAATCCCCAGGCCTGCACAGGTGCGGAAACCTGGAACTAATGACCTCAAACTGACCTAGGCTCTTTTTGATGCTAAAAAAAAACTTTAGTTTAGCTATACCCATGGGTAGAGATTTAAGATTTTAATGAGACATGCGATGTATGTAATAGCGCGTACAGCCACTGAATATGCAGGCCTCATAAAGCACCCCCAACGTGTTTCGTAGCAGCCCCTCTTTCTTGCCCCTTGATGAATAATCATGCAAATCTCCCATAAAGGAAGATCCCTCCCATCACACGGAGCTGTCTCACTTTTGATGAGCTGTCAGAGGGTTGTTTTGCTTTGTAATAAACTCTTTTTTTTTTTTTGAGACGGAAATTTATTCTGTCACCAGGCTGGAGTGCAATGGTGTGATCTTGGCTCACTGCAACCTCCGCCTCCCAGGTTCAAGCGATTCTTCTGCCTCAGCCTCCTTAGCAGCTGGAATTACAGGTGTGCACCACCACACCGGCTAATCTTTGTATTTTTAGTAGAAACAGGGTTTTGCCATGTTGGCCAGGCTGGTCTCGAACTCCTGACCTCAGGTGACCTACCCACCTTGGCCTCCCAAAGTGCTGAGATTACAGGCGTAAGCCACCGGGCCCAGCCTGCTTTGTAATAAACCCTTTTGTTTACTTTTACTTTGGACTAGCTCTCAGATTCTTTTGTGGGGCAAAGTCAAGAACATGAACCAGCCCATTGACATCTCCTGATTTTAATTCTCCATTTTAAGCCGTTAGGAGCCATTGGGGCACTAGAGAGTGACAGAGCAGAGGGACCTGAGAGGCTGGCAGGTAGCAGCCCTAGGGGAGCCCTCTCTGGTGCCCGTGCTGTGCTCTGGGCATGGACGGCACTCAGCACTGAGTCCATGAGCTGCTGAGCCACTGACTCTGGGCACTGGAGTCAGAAAGTTTTTTTTGTTTTTTTGAGATGGAGTTTCACTCTTGCTTCTCAGGCTGGAGTTCAGCGGCGAAATCTTGGTTCACTGCAACCTCTGCCTCTGGGGTTCAAGTGATTCTTGTGTCTCAGCTTCCCAAGTAGCTGGGATTATAGGTTTGCGCCACCACGCCCGGCTAATTTTTGTATTTTTAGTAGAGATGGGGTTTCGCCATGTTGGCCAGGCTGGTCTCAATCTCCTGACCTCAGGTGATCCACCTCCCAAAGTGCTGGGATTACAGGCGTGAGCCACCACGCCTGGCCTGGAGTCAGAAAGTTCTGGGCTCAGATCCTGGGTAGGCCGCTTGCCGGTTGTGTGGTCCTTGGCTTCCATTACCATCATGCACTTCTCTGGTTACAAATGTGCCAGGCTCTGGCAGGTGGGAAAGACCCAACCCTGTCTCTGGTGGTGGGGCTCTTCCAGTTTTATGCGTGGGACAGATGTGAATGAAGTAATTCAGTGTACGCCACTACTTATTGAGGGACTAGTGAAGAAAGGGTATGTTCTGAGGGAAAGGAGCCCAGTTCTGTGAGGGAACAGGAGAAATCTGGGAGGGCTTCCCTTAGGAGGTGATGTGAGAGCTGCTGTCTGAAGGATGAGCGGGTGTCACTGAGGTGATCTATGATCATCCTGCAGAGAAACATCCCAGGTAGACAGAAAAGTGTTCACAGGCTCTGTAGTGAGTGGGCGGCCCTGAGGTGAGTTTGGGGCATTCACCTCTCCTGGGAGAAGGTTGCTGGGAAGATTAGAAGAAGCAGATAAATAATTTAGTATAGAAGTTGACAGAAAGGGTCAGATGCGGTGGCTCATGCCTGTAATCCTAGCACTTTGGGAGGCCAAGGTGGGCAGATCATGAGGTCAGGAGATTGAGACCATCCTGGCTAACATGGTGAAACCCCATCTCTACCAAAAATACAAAAAATTAGCCAGGCATGGTGACACATGCCTATAATCCCAGCTACTCAGGAGGTGGAGGCAGGAGAATCACTTGAACCCAGGAGGCGGAGCTTGCAGTGAGCCGAGATTGCACCACTGCACTCCAGCCTGGGTGACAGAGCAAGACTCTGTCTCAAAAAAAAAAAAAAAGAGTTGACGGAAAGGAAAAAACCTTATGAATGCGTCTAGGTAGTTAATTCAGTTCAAACGTGCCTGAAGTAAGTAGAGTAGATGGCCCCTGTCTATTGGATTCAATCAGCCCCCAAGATACATGACATTCTTGTGCATTCATAGAGTACTGACTGTATGGGGCAGTCCCTGTTCCCTATGGCAAATGTGTCCCAACCTCTGTTTCATGGTCCAGGCTCTGGGCCTGACTGCACAGGGTGGAGGTGGGCCTCTCCTTGTCTGGAGATCCTCTGAGTGACTTTTTTTTTTTTTTTTTTTTTGAGACAGTGTCTCATTCTGTCACCCAGGCTGGAGTGCAGTGGTGCTATCTCAGCTCACTGCAGCTTCCATCTCCTGGGTTCCAGTGATTCTCCTGCCTCAGCCTCCTGAGCAGTTGGGACTACAGGTGTGCACGACCATGCCTGGCTAATTTTTGTATTTTTAGAAGAGATGGGGTTTTGCCATGTCAGCCAGGCAGGTCTTGAGCTCCTGGCCTCAAGAAATCCGCCCGCCTCTGCCTCCCAAAGTGCTGGGATTA
Source organism: Homo sapiens (assembly GCF_000001405.40). NCBI lineage: Eukaryota > Metazoa > Chordata > Mammalia > Primates > Hominidae > Homo > Homo sapiens. The sequence goes on along the minus strand of NC_000020.11, from coordinate 33,342,634 downwards.
CAGGGGTGAGCCACCGTGCCCGGCCTCTCTGAGCATCTTAATTCATTGCAGGCTCCAAAAAGCCCCACAGTAATGGGCCTGCGTGCTCTTGTTCATTCCTTCATTCCCACAGACACATATTGTGCCAGGCAGTGTTTCTGGACAGCAGTAGAACATTGCATATCACAGACAGGGTTCCAGCCCTAAGGCTGCTGATGGTCAGCTGGGAGAGACTGACACTCCTAGCTCATCCCAGGGATGAGTGAATGAGCATGGATCAGGCTCGGAGGGAAAGGAAGCTGGTTCCGGGAGCTGCACGAGCTGGGCTTGGGCAGAGCATCTGGAAGGTTCTCTGGAGAGTCCATGTGGCAGCCATGGGCCTGGGCCTGCCCTTTATTCCAGTACCTCTGAGTTCAGAAGAACCTGAAGGTCCCAATAGACATCATTATCACCTTGGTGCGTATGTTACAGGTTTTAATTCTTGGTTCCTCTCTTCCCCAACTTCTGGATCCTGCTTTAATAAGTAAGGGTGGAGGTGCAGGAATTTGTTTTAGAAGGCCTCTCTGCAGGCGGCCCAGATTGGAGAACCACTAGTCTAGTCCATTCTGCACCCTCATTTTGTAGGTGAGGACAGAGTTCCAGAGCAGGGGTCACATGCCCCAAGACACCCAGAAGTCTGGAGCTGGTCTAGGATTTGGGCTTGGATTGTCCTACTGGACATAAAATGACCTTCCAGTACCGACTTTTCCTTTCTGGAAATGAAGTGGGAAGTTGTCAGGGTTCCAGCATGTGTGCAACACATGCATTCTTTCAGCAAAGAGCCCCTGCACTTTCTCCCTGCCAGGTACTGTGGTGGGTGGTAGGGATCAGGCAGGGGACATGCCATACTGTGTCCTCCCTCATGCAGTTCACCCCTTAGTGGGGGACACTGATAACAGGACAATTCTATTTTTTTTTTTTTTTTTGAGACAGAGTCTCGCTCTGTCTCCCAGGCTGGAGTGCAGTGGTATGATCTTGGCTCACTGCAACTTTTGCCTCCTGGGTTCAAGCAATCCTCTCACCTCCCAAGTAGCTGGGACTAAAGGCGCGTGGTACCACGCCCAGCTAATTTTTCTATTTTTAGTGGAGACAGGGTTTCGCCATGTTGCCCAGGCTGGTCTCAAATTCCTGGACTCAAGGAATCCACCTGCCTTGGACTCCCAAAGTGCTGGGATTACAGATGTGAGCCACAGCACTCAGCCTGACAATTCTTGATAATGATACATGTGTGAAGAAAGAGAAACAAAGATGATGGAGAAGAGGGGGTGAGATTCCTTTGGACCCACACCTCTGTGCTGAGTGACATTTTATCCCAGACGTGGGTGACATGATGATGGATCGAACCATGCAAAGACCTGGGGAGTGAGTAATGGATGCAGGGTGGTTGGAAAGTATAAAAAACCTGAATGGGCATGAGCTTGAGTAGCTCTAGGGGTGAGAGCTTGGCTGAAGATGAAGGAGACAGTAGAGAAATGGGAAGGAAGATGTTGATCCGCAGATGTTACCAGGCAAGGAGCTGCCCTGCTCTGAACACCTTCCAGGTGAAATCATCAATAAGGGCCTGTTTTCTGTTGCCTGTGACCAGATGCATCCTGAGGGATACACTGTGGTAGACTTTGGATTTTTGTTTTCAGGGTGATTGGAAGGTGGAGGGGTTTAAGCTTGGGAGTTACATAACTGGCTCAGCCCACTTTGCTTCCCCTGGTTGCCCCTGGAATGAGACTTGAATGGTGTCACTAGGCTGCTGAGGTTCTCATTTATATTTAAGAAATTCAGCTGGGAGCAATGGCTCATGCCTGTAACCCCAACACTTTGGGAGGCCAAGGCAGGTAGATTGCTTGAGCTCACGAGTACAAGACCAGCCTGGGCAGCATGGCGAAACCCTGTCTCCACAAAAATACAAAAATTATCTAGGCGTGGTGGCATGTGCCTGTGGTCCCAGCTACTCGGGAGGCTGAGTTTGGAGGATCATTTGAGCCCAGGAGGTCGAGGCTGCAGTGAACCTTAATCACACCACTGCACTCCAGCCTGGGTAAGAGGGCAAGACCCTGTCTCAAAAAAAAAAAAAAAAATCTAGTCTTTGGACAGGGCTCCTTCTTACCTGTTATCTCATTGAATGGCTCCCCAAATTCTAGAACCTATTCTTTGGGCCTGAGGCTTTCCCTGTACAGCAGGAGAAGGCCCAGTCATCATCTAGGTTCCTATCACTTGAAGATTTGTGATTTTGTTTTGTGCGTCCTATCATGCTGTTTGGTGTAACCACAGCCTTACAAAGCAAGAGTCCAGGTGAGGAAGCTGATTTTGCCTCAGGGGGTGGTGAATGCCCGCTTCAGGGACCTGCAGGCTAGGCATTGGACTGGGGTCCTGCCTTCAAGCAGGCTCAGCATGTCTGCTGCCTGGCCTTCCCTAGGCTGCAGGACCTCTCCAGCTCCACTGAGGTTCTCATGCCATGAACCTCAACTACGGTTTCATTTGTCAAAGGCCCCACTTTGGACATTGCTGAACAGACAGTGCATAGACCTTTGTATTAGATACGTAGACCTTTGCATCAAATGTCAGAGGGCAGAACTTAGAGTTTTATTCATGATGATAAGTAGGAGACGAAACTCAACTGTCCTGGGTCTTATTTTTCTTGGACATTTGAGGGAAATTGAATCATCTTTGAGATGAAATTTGTGCCACCCATTGGTGGGTGTGGCCCTTGAGTTTGGTGCCTCGAATGATTCTCTGAACCCAAACAATGAACCCAACCGCAGAGGTCATGAAGGGGAAGGGGCACATCCGGGAGGCAGCCTCTGATGGGCCTCGGGGCTTCCTGCTTCTTTGTCTCTCTCCTCTTCAACTTTAGGAGGTGGGGCAGCCATTGACTTCTGCTAATCCAGGGTCCCCATGGTGGATTACGTGACATAGGGTGGCTTATCAGCTGGGAACAACGGCCAGTTTGTCCCTGAGCCCTAAGCGATTTGACCTGCAGACTCTTTGAAGGGAAGTCCTTTTCAAGGCTGGCCAAGTCTTGGCTGAGATCACAATGACCAGTGATAATGCAGTCTGCCAACTCTTAATAGCCTCTGTGTGAGGAGATCACAATAGGCCAGGTTGAGCCGAGGATGTCCCAGGGACAGAAACTTAAGGATTCTTTAGTGACGCACACATGTCTGCATACATGTTTATGCTTTTATCTTTTTATGTGCTTGTCTGTGTCTGTCTAGGCCCCTGGAACTCGGAGGCCATGGCCTGCCTTCCTTGGCTCAGTCCTCTGGCGTAATCAGTGTCAGATCTCTGCCAGTCACACGAGGTCACGGGGGGCTACTGCAGGCAGTTTGTGTCCCTGGACCCTCTGAAGTTGCATATAAAATTTGGTGTTAATGTTCACTTCTCAGAGATACGTTTAATGAGATTCTTTTTTTTTTTTTTTGAGACAGGGTCTCACTTTGTTGCCCAGGCTGGAATGTAGTGGTGCCATCACAGCTCACTGCAGCCTTGACCTTTTGGGCTCAAGCCATCCTCCCACCTTAACTGAGACTATAGGTTCATGTTATCATGCCCAGCTAGCTTTTTCCTATGTTTTTGGTAGAGATGGGATCTCACTATGTTGCCCAGGCTGGTTTCAAACTCCTGGGCTCAATGATATCCCCACGTTGCTTTAATGAGATTCTTGATGGGCCTTGTGATGTATAAACGGTGAAGAACCAATGGTTTAGGAAAAGGCAGAGTTTCTGGTCACAGAGTTTGGGGCCAGACAGGCCTTGATATGAATCTTGGTTCTGCTGCCTCCTGGCTGTGTGGCCTTGGGATATTATCTAATATTTTTGTTCCTTAGTTTCCTCATCTATAAAGTGGGGATGAAATCATGCCTATCATAGGGTTGCTGTGAGGATTAAACAAGATGAAATATGTCACCCTGCCTAGGATATGTGAGTCTCCATAATCTACTATCATCATCATTATCTACTATTGCATCAGCCACGCTCAGGTCTTTGATTTTATGCCATTCTCCTATCTACAGAATCTAGATTTTCACAACTATTTACACCTTGTTTGAAACAGTAAAATATGGATTTTGGGGGGTTATGTTTCTTTATCTCCTCCCAAAAATGGATCATTTAGAATGATTTTACTAGACAGAAAGCCGGTATAGAGACATTTTAACCTCACTCTGAAGTTTCTTCTTTTTTGAGACAGGGTCTCACTCTGTCACCCAGGCTGAAGTGCAGTGGCATGATCTTGGCTCACTGCAACCTCTGCCTCCTGGGCTCACGTGATCCTCCCACCTCATCCCCCCAAGTAGCTGGGACTATAGGCCACCAAGCCCGGCTAATTTTTGTATTTTTTGTAGAGACAAGGTTTCACTATATTTCCCAGGCTGGTCTCGAATTCCTGACCTCAGGTGATCCACCCTCCTCGGCCTTCCAAAGTGCCGGGATTACAGGCATGAGCCGTCGTGCCTGGCCTGAAGTTTCATTTTCAATGGGGGTATAAAGTTTTCTGGGCACATGCTCCCAAAGTAGATATGTGAACAAACCTTGTCACAAATGTGTAAGAGGTTTCAAAGCGAAGTACTGTATTTAAGACGTGTTTGCAGATGTTTCAGTTTTGGCTGTTTCTTTTCAATCCACTTGCTCACAGATGTCAATACTCAGGGTTAGGCCTGTGGTTTCTGCTTTGTAAGTCAAAATTGAGTGTGTCTGTCCCAAGAGGGCTTTCCCTTCCTTCCCAGAGGACGTGTGGCTTATGGGCACTCTGGTTCTGCTGCTTCTCCTCTGAGCACCCCCTGCCTCTTTGCACCCACTGGGTACACATTGTTTCGTGTGTTCAGGATGCCAGTGGGCATCTTTTTATAGAAGGGCAACAGGTTGGCTCTGAATAGCTCCAGTGTCACTATGGCTGCATTTGCCTGTGGGCTCAGCCAGCTTGGGTTTCACATAAGGGAGAACTAACGCTGCCCAGGATGGAGAGACAGGGTGTGTCATGGAAATCACACTAAAACTTGGGTCAGAAGGAGTTGCCCACAACCTCCAAAATCCCACTACTGAGCACTCAGCAAATGCTTTCCACTCTTACAACAACCTATCTTCCTCCTCGCTCCTCCTCCTCTTCCTCCCCCGTCCTCCTCCTCAGCAGCATCACCACTTTCCCCATTTAGACGTGAAGAAACTGCGGTTCAGAGAAGTTACTTCTCTGCAGAAGTGGCAGGACTGAGATTCAAAGGCAGACATGTCTGGAGCAAAGCCTTTTCCCAGGATATGCCCCTTGTCTTCTTGATCCGATAGTCCATGAGATGCCTGAGGGCTGGGGCGTGTCTCACTCGTCTTGCACATCCCTGTCTCCACCTAGCGTGCAGTAAATGCATGAATGAAGGAATGCACGAATGAATGGGGCCAGCTCCTCTGAGCCTCAGTTTCTCTGTCTGTCAAATAGGCTAACAAGTCCCTGTCTGCTTCTCTTTGATGGGGCTTATGGGAATCAGAGAAGACAGTGGCTCTGAGTGCCTAAAGTGATAGCTGATGTGAGGCAGGGAGTTCCCTCCACCTTCAGCCTTCCTTTCTCCTGTCTCCACCGCTCTTCAGAACAACACTGGGCAGAGATATGAGCTCCCTCAGGGTAGTTGGTTTGAACATCTCAGGGTTGATCCCTGATGTCTCACAATAAAACAGCACTGGATTTCCCCCAAAGCTCTGGGAGTCTGTAGCTTTGTAGCTCTGGCTCAATCTCTTTTCTTCTAAAAGTGCATGACATTAGGAAACTGAGGCAGGAGGATTGCTTGAGCCCAGGAGCTCCAGACCAGCCTGGGCAACATAGTGAGACCCCTTCTCTTAAGAAAAAAAAAAAGTCTGACATATTCAGATCACATCACTCTCCTGCTTAAAATAGTGAATCACCATTCCGCACAGAATGGTGCCCATATTTTTGGCCTAGCCCTTGAGGCCCTGTGCAGTTGGACCTCTGCCTGCCTCTCCAACCTCATTTCCTACCATTTCTTGCTTATTTCACTGTCTGCACTGGCTTTCTGTTAGTTTCTCAGATAGACCCACCTTATTTCCACCCCAGGACCTTTGCACATTCTGTTCCCACTGCCCAGAACCCTTTCCTCCACATTTTACCTGGCTCACTCACACTGCAGGTCTCAGCTCGAACAGCTTCTCCTTCAAGAGGCCTTCCCCGGTCACCTCTTCTAAAGTAGGCTACCCTAGCCATTGTTTTTATTTTGAAACAGAGCCTCACTCTGTCACCCAGCCTGGAGCGCAGTGGCACGATCTTGGCTCACTGCAGCCTCCGCCTTTGTGTTCAAGCGATTCTCCTGCCTCAGCCTCCCTAGTAGCTGGGACCACAGGCAAGTGCCACCACGCCTGGCTAATTTTTGTATTTTTAGTAGAGATGGGGTTTCATCATGTTGGCCAGGCTGGTCTTGAACTCCTGGCCTCAAGTGATTGCCTTCCTCAACCTCCCAGAGTTCTGGGATTACAGGCATGAGCCACTGTGCCTGGCCACGCTGCCATTCTTCTCTCTCCTGGCACCCTGTAGTTTTCCTTCTTGGCTCTCATTGGAATTTGTAGTCCTTTGTCTTTTTATTGGCTGGGTTATTTAACGTCTCCATCACAAGTTTTGTGAGGGCAGAAACCATTCTTGCTGTGTTTTGCTCATGTGGCACAAAGTGTCGATACCTATCCCTACAATTATTGAATGAATGAGAACATTTTCCCCCAATCATAAAAGTCAACCATGTTCACCATAAAAGTTTTGGAAACAGTATTAAGAATAAAATAAAAGTAACCTGCGATCCTACCACTCAAGCTGTCTGACAATCACAGCCTACATTTTGAGTTTATTTATTTATTGAGACAAGGCCTGGCTCTATTGCCTGGGCTGGAGTGCAGTGGTGCCATCCCAGCTCACTGCAACCTCTGCCTCCTAGGCTCAAGCCACCCTTCCATCGCAGCCACTCGAGTAGCTGGGACTACAGGCATGAACCGCCATGCCTGGCTAATTTTTTTGGTATTTTTTGTAGTGATGAGGTTTCATCATGCTGCCCAAGCTGGTCTCGAACTCATGAGCTCAACCAATCTGCTTGCCTTGGCCTCCCATAGTGTTGGGATTACAGGTGTGAGCCACTGTGCCCAGCTCATTTATTTTATATATGTACATTTAATTTTCAGATCATCTCTAAATAGGTTTGTATCCTAGTCTTCTTGTATTTTCTTATGAATGCTCTTTTAAAACATTATTTTAATGCCTGTACAAATTTTTTATTAGGAATTTATCATAAAAATAAATCTTGTATTGTTGGACATTTAGATTGTTCTCAAATTTTCACCATAAAACCAGTGCTATGGTAACCATCTTTGTCTGCATCTCTGATTATTTTTTTTTCTTTTTCTTTTTTTTTTTTCTTTTGAGACAGAGTCTTGCTCTGTTGCCCAGGCTGGAGTGCAATGGCATGATCTCGGCTCACTGCAACCTCTGCCTCCTGGGTTCAAGCAATTCTTCTGCCTCAGCCTCCCAAGTAGCTGGGATTACAGGCGCCCACCACTACACCAGGCTAATTTTTTTTGTATTTTTAGTAGAGATGGGGTTTCACCATGTTAGGCTGGTCTCGAACTCCTGACCTCAGGTGATCTGCCCACTTTGGCCTCCCAAAGTGCTGGGATTACAGGCATGAGCCACCGCGCCCAGCCATCTCTGATTATTTCTTTAGGAAATTCCCAGAAGTGGGAATTAATCATATGCATTTCAAATAATGTGAATATGTTCGAGATTCTTGATCCATCTGAGATTTGGCTTGCTCTTGTTGACCTCAAGCACTTGGATATCTTGTGGAGGAAGATGTCAATTAGTGAAATGTCTGAATTATGAATTTACTTTGGATAAAAAAGCAGTTTGATTCCATGTAACATTTCAAACTAGGTTTTGTTTGTTTTAAGGTATCACTTAGAAGAGCTCTTTGCTCTAATAAATAGGTAAGAGTTATTTATTCTGAAAAATATTTGTATGAACATGGGGAATCTGAAATCCTTGACCCCTGCCTCTCTTCTTGGTTCCAGCGACTGTGTGTCTCAGCTGGGAGTGGGGCTAGATTAGTGATGATGAATTCGTTCATCCACCATCCATCTGCCCACCCTCCTATCCATCCATCCATCTATCCATCCACCATCCATCTTCGTACCTTCCTATCCATCCATCCACCATCCATCTACCCAATCCTCCCATCCATTCATCCATCCACAGTCCATCTAACCATCCTCCCATCCATTCATCCATCCACCATCCATCTACCCACCCTCCTATCCATCCATCTATCCATCCGTCATCCATCTTCCTACATTCCCATCCATCCATCCATCCATCCATCCATCCATCCATCCATCATCCATCTACCCATCCTCCCATCCATTCATCCATCCACCATCCACCTATCTATCCTTACATTCATTCGTCCATCCATCCATCCACCATCCATCTACCCATCCTTCCATCTACCCACCCTCCTATCCATCTGTGGTCCTCACCACCTTACAAATAGGAATAATCACACTCCCTGTCTGGCACCAGCCAGTGTTATCTGAAGATCTGATGGGAAGATGGGTGCATGAGCCTGCAAACTGCAAAGTGAGATGCACCGTGGAAGATGCATCTGTGGAAATCTTGGGAGGGGATCGAGGGGCTTTCGTGGTGGGTGGGAAAGGCTTGCCGGTGCCTGGACAGGCCATCCTGGCTGAGGAGGCCAAGGCCTGCCCGGCTTCTTCAAGGTCCCAAGGAATTCTCCATTCAAGCATTTTGTACCAAGTATCTACCATGTGCTGGGCACCGAGCTGACACATGGGTGGGAAATCTCTGGGCTTGGGGTGAGGGTTCAGCTTGTCTTCCAGCCTCCACCCAATCTTAGTCGTGTCATATATGCACACCAAGGGCTGGGAGACTTTGCAAGTTCATGTGCAGGGTGGTCCTGCCCTCTAGGTCAAGACCTCTGGGGCTGCCCACTGGGGTCTTTTTTCCCTTCAAGGTTGGGCTTGTGGTTCATAAATGAAACAGATCAGGGAGCCACGTAAAGAACCCACAGCGAGGCTCGCTCTGAACCCCAACCTTCTGCTGCGGGACAGCGATCCTGCCCCAGACCCATGAAAGCCTCCATGGTTTGGGCTGTGTGGTGGTGAAGGGCCCCCGGGAAACTCTGGTTTTCTGAGGCCAGCCAGGGCTACCAGGGAGCTGAATGCTTGCTCACTCCCAAGACAGAGGCTGCCACGAGCCTCCATCCTGCTGCTCCCAGGGATTTTATCATAATCAGTGTGAAGTTTCTCCTCATCTGCCTTTTCCTGGGGCCAGGCCTACCTGCTGTGGACAGCGACAGGTGCCTGTGGGTGGGGCGCTCTGTGCTTTGCCTTCTCTCTGCCCCGGCGAACACCTACCGTGCACGTTTTGACTCTGGGGCGGGATCTTTTTCTGTTCACTGCCCTGCCCTGCCAGGGCCACGTGGGCGAGGGGAGCTGGGGCGGGGCATGTGTGTGTCCTGGGCCCGCGTCCACGATGGCACTGTTCTTGAGCGTGCGCCATGCCTTGTGGGCCTGGGGACTCTGGGGTGTGGTTGTCTCATGACCACCCACTTGGACCCAGCTCCCAGCCTGGGGGTCTTGCCGCCTCCCTCAGCTCCTTTCCTCCGCACTCAGGGTCTCCCAAGCGTCTCTGGGCTTCTGTGGTTCCCGCTTTCTTAGAGACCCCCAAGCCCCTCATCTTTCCTGCTTCCTTCCTCCCTCTCCATCAGCGAGGCTTTCCGGTGTGCATGGTTCCTTGTGTCCCCTCCACACCCTATCCTGTCAGGGCTGGGACTTTTGAAACTCAAACACCTCTTCACCATTTTCTGAGGAACTCTCCCTTCCTGGAGACACTGAATATAGAATTCAGAATTCCTTTCTCAGGGGCCACGGGAAGCCAAGAAATATCAGGGGGAAAAAGCCCGCATTTAAATATTTCAAGACAGTCTCCCCTCCTCACAGAACCCCTTAGCATACTCAGAACTGACTCTTGCTCAGGCAAGAACCCTCTGTATTGCAGCTGAGGTTTTGGAACACTGTGGCCCTTTGCAGGCCATCAGGGGCTGGAAAACTCATGGCGGGGGGTGGACTGGCTCTTGGTCAGAAGCCACTACTTGCCCAGAATGGCCAGCAGCAGGTAATCCTGTGGGTAGAAGCAGAGCACGTTCCCCACCATCCTTGTCCTTGATGCCCAAAATACCAGCTCTGCCTGAGGCTGCTCCCACTACACCTTAGAGGGGCCGTGTGTGTCCTAAGGATACACTTTCCCCTGGATGAAGAGGGCAGAGTTAGGGACCCCTGGACAAGGGGAGAGAAAGGAGGGGGAGGGGGAATCTCAGGAAAGCTTGTGAGGGAAGGAACAGATCAGACTCTGGGACTCTTCCTGAGAGCCTATGTGTCAAGGGCCCTCTAACATTTCTGTGTCGGGGTTTGTCCTGCCTGGGTCGCCCTGAAGTGGGCCCCTCACCAGCTAGAGCCTCTCACGCATTGCCACCCACAATGCCCAAACCTCTGCCAGACCCGACCATGCTGCTGGGATCTGTCTGCTCCTGCACCTATTGTTTTCCACCAGAATGGGAGCTCCTGGAGGGTTCCGGGGCTGAGTCTAACTCATCTTTTTGTCTCAGCATTGCCCAGCACCGGGCCAGGCACAGAGCAGTCAGTGAGGTTACTGACTGACTGAGTGATGGTGAATGAATGAGTGGGTCATCAGGGCAGCCATGTAAGATTGTGTAGGTTGTGCACTGCCCAACTCCAGGTGGCATTGTTCATGTAAACTACTGTACAAGTGGTGCACCCTGCAGTTGTGTCATGTGTGGCCTGCACAAGAGCATAAGGAAGCCGGGAGGTAACTCGGCGAGTAAGCCAATGAGCTCATTTGCCTTCTTTTCCTTTGCTTCTCACAGGCCAGTTAGGAGACAGCTGCTGGGGCTGGTTCAAGGCTCAGGCTGGGTCCTGACTCTGCTCCTCTCTGATATTCAGAGCACAGGTGGGCCCTGCCCACGCTGGGTGCACTCTGAGCAGACGGGTCCACCTGGCCAGGATTTGCAGCATCATTTTTGGAGCAGCCCAGGCCTTGCAGGCCCTGTAGTGGCCCCTGTGGTCCTCACTGGAGTGCGTCTGGGCCTCCCCTCCCTACTAGGGACACCAGGGGCTGAATCTAGGAAAGGGGTCTGCAGGGTGGGGCTGGAAGCAGGGTTTGATGAGGCACACTGCTGCCGGCCCCTGCTGCCTCCTTTTGTGCAGCGCAGGGTCTCTCTGTGTGGGATTAGGGTTGAGTTCTGTTAAGTGCCTGAGCAGGGCTGGCTGAAGACAGTGGTCCTAACACTTCCTCATGTTTGTAAGGAGAGCCCTGACTTCCAGCTCCTAGGGAGAATTATTATTATTATTATTATTTTGAGACAGAGTCTCGCTCTGTTGCCCAGGCTGGAGTGCAGTGGCGTGATATTAGCTCGCTGCAACCTCCACCTCCTGGGTTCAAGCAATTCTCCTGCCTCAGCCTCCCGAGTAGCTGGGACTACAGGTGCACACCACCATGCCCGGCTCATTTTTTGTATTTTTAGTAGAGATGGGGTTTCACCATATTGGCCAGGCTGGTCTCTTGGCCAGGCTGGTCTCAAACTCCTGACCTCGTGATCCACCTGCCTCTGCCTCCCAAACTGCTGGGATTACAGGCATGAGCCACCATGCCTGGCCAGAATTTTCTTTATCCCCATTTTCCAGATATGAACGATAGGCTCAGAGAGGGTCAGCAGCTTGCCCATGGTCATGCAGCCAGGAGGTTCCGTATGATTGTCTCTGCCTTGGTCCCTCCTGCTCTGCTGTTTACAGATGGGAATCTTTTAAAGGTGGGAGTTAAAGAAATGAAGGGCATCTCTAAGACCCGCCCATTCCCCTGACCCCTGTCCACCTCTTCTCAGGTTCAGCCCACAGTGGGAAGGAAGGAGGGCTGGGCAGGCAGGGCAGCTCCAGGGGCAGATTCAGAGCTGGCAAACTCTCCTGGGGGTTCCTCTGTGGTTCCTTCGCTGGTTTCCTCTACCCTCTGGTCTCTGCTGCATTTTGCCTCCCTGGTATTTGGGTGCCCTTGGGCAGGCCCTGGTTTCCACCCTCTGCGGTTCACAGACAGCAGGCATCAGAGGCAACAGCCCTGTTCTGGGGTCTGGAGTTCTCGGGAGGTGGGTGGTTGGGGCTAAGGGTACAGACTTTGAAGTCAGATGAACCCCTGTTGGATCCCGGTTCTGCTGCCCTGGGCACGTTTCTCTGACTCTCTGAGCCTCAGTTCCCTCCGTTGTTAAGTGGGAGGGAATTACAGCATCAACTTCATGGAGCTCATTGTGAAGGTCATTTGTGTAGGGGCATTGATGCTCTCCAAGAGCCCTGTGGTCTGGGTCCCTGCGGGACTCGTGCAGCCCCTGGGAGCCTCAGTTTCCTCATCTGTAAGTGGGGAGTCACATGCAGGATGGCTTTGAGAGGAGGCGAGGTAAGAAGGCTGAGGGCCGGGACACAAGCGCCTCCTCAGCTTCTTCTTCTGCAGGATGAGACGAGGCACCTCTAGGGCTCAAAGTCACTTATAGCCACGACCACCCATGTGCGTCTCAGGCAGCTCTTTTTCCCCAGGCTTACCTCTGAGAGGTCCCTTTGGGCCTGGTGGAAGGACCCCTGATGTTGGGCACAGGGAGGCTGTGTTCTCTGAGCAGCTCTGCCAGAGGGGCGGGCAGGGGACCTCAGTGCCCTGGTGGGCAGAGGTGGTCCCTGGCTGCTCCACTGCTCAGAATGGGGAAGGGACAGGGTGTGTTCCCCCACCCCTGCTCAGGGTGGACTATCTCCATCCCCCATCAGGCAGCCCCTGAACAGCAAGCAGCTCCAGCTGGGAAAGCTGGTCTCTAAAGGGCTGCTCCACCCATTTACTAAGAACCTTATTAAGGGAAATCCTTGAACCTATTCAGTGACTGAACACATTCTTCTCAGCAACATTTTAAGGAATGTTCACTTTGTTGAAGGATTCTTATAAACCTGTTAGTGAATTTTGCTATTTTTTAATTGAGGGGAATAGCCCCAAACACTATATGCTCCCCCCCGAAAAATGCTAAAATGTTGGTAGAAACAGAAAATGTCCTTAAAAAAAGGATTAGAAACAAGTCGGAATAAACTAAAAAATTAACCTTAAAACACTAGAAATTTGGTCATATTAATAAGAAAATATCCATTGAATATATCAAAGAAGGAAATATTCACAAATGCTTATAAAATACATGAAACATTATCCTTAAAGCAAGATTTTGGGAAATGGGTAAATTTGGTAAACTTGGAGAATTGGTCATTTTGCAATTTGAGTTTCAGTGAGTTAGCCATTTGGCTGGGAATTGATTTTTGGCAAACTGAGTCTCCCAGATTTGACCTTGGGGGCCTGGCCTGGGCCCCTCCTGCTCCCTCTCCTGCGCTGACCAGCCTTTGCCCCAACCCATGCCCACATCATCACTTAGAGCTCAGGGGAGGGTCCGATACCCCCTTGCTGGCCTAATTGTCATTACCTGCCGGCCCCTCTAGTGTCACTCTAAGTCCCAACATGAGTCGGAGCTCAGGGAGAAGCTCTGTTGGGGAAGCCAGTGTTCTGGGCTCAGCTCTGCAGACTTGCTGTGTGACCTTGAATAAATCACTTAATCTCTCTGGGCCTGGTGGGGAGGGATCTCAGGTGACTTCTCGGATGAGTGAGGTCTGAGCTGTTTCTCCTGCATGTATTTCTTGAGTGCCTCCTGCATGCGAGGTACTGGACAGGGTGCTGGAGATGCAACAAGAAACCGAGGGGTCCCTGCCCTGGGGCAGCTCACTGTCTGGCTGGGGACACAGGCACTCACCAAATCATCACATGGGTGGATGGGGGATTGTTACACAAACCGTGTCGGAAGCCCCGAGATCTACGGAGCAGAGAAGCTCTGCACACACTCGTAGCACTCAGTCCTCCTCCCTCCATCTTCCTGGCATCACCTCCCCCGAAGCCACCTTCACTTCCCCAGCTCAGAGTCTGCTTCTGAGGGAGCCCAAACCAAGGCAATGGTGTTTGGAAGAGTTTAGGTTTGTTGCGGATATCTAAAGATGGGGGTGAAATCTCAGAAAGTTCAGCTTTCTGGTGTCTCTTAAAGATAATCTGCGGTTCTGCTGTGCTGAGAACATTCGACTGAGCAGAGTGGAGCCGCCCACTGGGCGGGGTCGTGTTCACCAAAGGCCCCACCTGGGCCTCTTCACCTGGGTGTTACCCGCCTGCCCCTGCAGGTGTTGGAGATGTGAGCTCTGGGTGCCATCACCTCTGAGGGCCTTTTCCATTCCGATTTCCATCATGCCAACCTCCACCCACCTCGAGAAGCCCTCCCTGCGCACTTGTCCCAGTTCTAACCTTCCATCATTGCTTGCTGTCCGGGTGAAGAATAGGAGGGCACCCATGGTCCCTTCCGCAGCCCCCTCATATGACACTCCCCGGATTTCAGCATCTCTACCCTGCCTCCTCTGCCTTACCTGTGGGCAATTCTTTAATTAAAAAAATATTTTTGTAGAGACAGGGTCTTGCCATGTTGCCCAGGCCGGTCTTGAACTCCTGAGCTCAAGTGATCCTCCCGTGTTGGCCTCCTAAAGTGGGAGGATTACAGGTGTGAGCCACCACGCCTGGCCACCTGTGGGCAGTTTTTAGCCAACCCCAGGCAGAAGTCAGCTGTCTTGGAGATGTTTAATGCTGCTCTGAGTATGGTATGTGGGTGTGACAGAGAAAGTGGGGATCACTGTTGTGATGGGCAGAAACACCCTCTTCAAAAGCTGTAAGAGAAGGGCCCCTGAATGTCCTTCCTGCAACAGATGACAGAGGAACAGGAAGGACATTTCAGCTGGGTCAGCAGATTCTGGCCTGAGGAAGGATGGGACACCAGTGTTCAGATGCTCACAGGGGATCAGCAGTCCTGGGGACTCCACTTTTTTTTTTTTTTTTGAGACAGAGTCTCTGTCACCCATGCTGGACGGCAGGGGCATGGTCTCGGCTCACTGCAACCTCCGCCTCCCAGGTTCAAGCAATTCTCCTGTCTCAGCCTCCTGAGTAGCTGGGATTACAGGTGTGTACTACCATGCCTGGCTAATTTTTTGTATTTTTAGTAGAGATGGGGTTTCACCGTGCTAGCCAGGATGGTCTCTATCTCCTGACCTTGTGATCTGCCTGCCTTGGCCTCCCAAAGTACTGGGATTACAGGCATGAGCCACCATGCCCGGTCATGTAGTTCCTGATTTCTTAGGGAAAATGCAGCCTTCAAAAAAAGTTTCTATGAAGAATTGAAATTAGGTCAGAACAGGAGAAGAATTTGTGTTCTAGCCGGAGGGACCCCCTTGACCCCCAGCCCCCAGGAATGCTTGTTCGGGCTTGGTCCCTTCTCATCTGGCCCTCACCCCCACCCTGTGTCATTGTCTTCTCCAGCTACTGGTTCATGTTGATCCAGACCAGGCATGTGTGGGCCTTGCCGGGGGTGGGGGCACAGGTGGGTGCTGGGTGCTCTTGGATGGCAGTGGGGCCAGGGCTGGACACAGCTGGAGGGACTCAGCCCAGTGGAGGGACAGCCTTTTGTAATGAGAGTCACTTGGCTCTAGAATTACTGTTGCCTTGAAGCCAGAGGACCCCTTGGTGTTGAGGGGGTTGTCTATGGGCCTCCGTAACTCACACGATCACCTTATAAGCCAGAAATAGGATGTTACCCCACCAGCCAGATACATGATCTTCACCAAGAAAGGCCGAGAAGTGATTCCCACAAGCCAGAGATGACCAGTTTGTTTGTTTGTTTTTTTGCCGCAGAATCATGTCAACTAAGACCCCAGGATACTGTTTCCCCATGGATGCCATGTGGCTCACCCATGGTGGGGACCCTCCTGACCGCTTATTTGAGGCACCTTCTCAACTTCAAAGTCCGTGGAACGGGAAATAGGAATCCCAAGGGGGCTCAGAATAGAGAAGCTGAAACTTTTGGGAGGCTGTATTTCCCCAGATTTCCTCCCAGGGCCCCGCCCTCTCTAGCCTGGGTAACCCTCTCTCTGGGGGAGTGGAGAAACACCGCAGCGCTCCATGAGCTCCAGGCCTCTGGACTTCCTCCTGTGATGGCTTTTGATGCCATCACGCCCAAGGGAGGCAGTCAAAGGGCTTAACCACCACCTGGCAAGGGCTCCGAGCTGAGGGTCTTGGAGGCAGAATCCTTTAGTTGCTGAGGTCCTTGTGGAGCACCAGAGGTGAACAAAGGGGTGCAGGTGTTAAAGTATTTTAACACTTTAGCAGCAGGCACAGCTCGCTGGCCCTGGAGGGGTTCTCACAGTGGACCCAGGCCCCCTAGGGAACAAAGACCTTTGCGTCTCACTAACTGATATGATTGGCTGTGTCTCCACCCAAGTCTCATCATGAATTGTAACTCCCATAATTCCCACCTGTTGTGGGAGGGACCCGGTGGGAGATTATTGAATCCTGGGGGCAATTTCCCCCATACTTTTCTCATGGTAGTGAATAAGTCTCACGAGATCTGATGGTTTTATCAGGGGAAACCCCTTTTGCTTGGTTCTCATTCTCTCTTGTCTGCTGCCATGTAAGACATGACTTTCACCTTCTGCCATGATTGTGAGGCCTCCTCAGCCACGTGGAACTGTGAGTCCCTTAAACCCCTTTTTCATTACCCAGTCTTGGGTATGTCTTTATCAGCAGCATGAAAATAGACTAATACACTCACCCAGGAAACTGAGACAGAGGAGGTGATGCTGAGCCCCAGTAGCACTAGCAAGCCCGGCTGGATGATGGTGGCCGTGTGGCCGTCAAGGCGGACCGTGGGAGGATCAGGGGTGTTGATGGTCAGTTGTATGCTCCCTCTGGACTGACTGGAAGCCTGGGTGAAATTACAGCAGAAAAGGTGCAGGCATTGACTAAAGATGGCTTTCCTCAGCTCCCAGCTTGGAAGAACGGGGGCAAGGCTATCTTAGGAGTCAAGGGTCTGGGGTTCTGTTCTAGCACTGCAGCAACTTGCTGTGTGACCTTGGCCAGGTCACTTACCCTCCCTGGGCTTTTTGGAGGTGGGATAACATCCTCCTTCTCCTGAACATACATAGCAGGTAAGAGTATAGAGTTTTGGAACCGGAGTTCCAGCTCCACCACTGGGAAGCTGTGTGGCCTGAGGCAAGTTTCTTAATCTCTCTGTGCTTTGATTTTCACACTTGTAAAATAGGGATAATAATTGCAACTAGCCCAGAGGTTGTTGTGAAGATTCAATGAGTTAATTTGTATAAAGTGCTTAGAAAAGAACCCGGCACCTAGTACTGCCATATACTTGTCAGCTGTTGTGGTTATTGTTACTGCTTGTCTATCAGGGGCTCTGTTCTGAAACACTTTGGAGAAAGGACATTGAGCAAGGATCTTGGAGTCAGGGACGGGGTTCCAATCCTGGTTCTACCATTTACTGAGCGATGTGAGCTTGGGCGAGTGAGCTCACCTTGCTGAGCCTCAGTTTGCTCACCTGTAGAAGGGGGTGACAGTGCAGGGTTACTGGAGGGTTGCACTGATGTAGTGGGAGGGACCTGTGTACAGTCACTGCCCACCATTATCTAGGTGTCCCCCCAGCAGGCTTGGGTCTTATTCAGGAGTGAATAGTAATGGCAGGCACAGGGCCATGGTCACCTGAGCTGAGCCCTGAGCTAAGTGCCTTACTTACATCATCTCATTAAATCCTCACAATGCCTGTGTAGCAGGTGCAGTGATTTTTGGAGTCCACGGCAGGAAACCCTGGCCTAAGGGAACACGCCCATGTGGCCTGACCTGGCCCAGCTCCTGTCTCAGAATCTCCCCTGAGACCCTGGCTGGGCTTCTGGAGGAGGAGCTGGCAACACACCCACCCTGGGCCTGGGCTCCAGCTCAATCCGTGACAATAGCTGAATGAGGTCTGCAGCCTGGAAAAGGGGCAAAGTGTGTGTTGGTCTTTAAAATCCTGCAGACGGGCTCTGAGCTGGCTGGTTGGGGAGGGAGCTCAGTGGGGCTCAATGAGCTGTAACTACTGGATGTACCGCCTGCCACTGGTCCGTCCCAGCGTAAGAGGAGGTTTCTCACCATGATTTATCTGGACAGGTTAACTTTGTATTGTTTCAATGATTTTTCTCCTGACATTTTATTATGAAAATGTCTATACATACAACAAAGCTGACAGGGTCTCACTCTGTCGCCCAGGCTGGAGTGCAATGGTATGATCTTGGCTCACTGCAGCCTCCGCCTCCCAGGTTCAAGCAATTCTGGTGCTTCAGCCTCCCCAGTAGCTGGGACTACAGGTGTGTACCACCACGCCTGGCTAAGTTAAATTTATTTTTCACCACATAACTAGTAAAATACAAAGAATGCCCTTGCCCACTGGTGTAAGAATTTCTGTAGATGTGGAATGACAGGCTCACTTCTGACTGTCTCAGAGCTGCCATTCCTGTGTGTGATGGACAGCCCAGCGGGGAGGCAGGAGATCTGGCTGTAGCCCTGATCCTACCCACTACGTAACCTTGGACCAGTCATATTCCCCATCTGGGCCTTGGTTTCCTAATGTGAAAAATGGAGCAATAATAGTTCTCCCCGCCCCTTTCCCCTTCTTCTAGCACTCACTGTGGAGTCCTGGGGGTCCACGTGGAACTCCTTGCTGGTGTGGAGGCAGAACAGATGTCATTGTAGACTTCCAGCCAAAAGAGCAGGTCTGCCACGCTTCCCTGGGCTGATGTTGGGAAGGGCTGGGGGGCCAGGTGCTCAGGCCTTGAGGCTCTCTGGCCCGGGCTGCAGGGGGCCACAAGCTTCATAGAAATGAAGGAAGAAGAAATTCAGTGGGAAGGGCCTCCCTGGGCAACTGGTTACAGCAAACATATTTGCAGGCTCGCTATGTGCTAGACACAGCCCTGCACATCAACATGTACAATCTCATTTGAACCTCACGACAGTGCCACAAGATGGGAACTGTCATTGTCATCATTTGACAGATGAGGAGGCTAAAGCCCAGAGAGGGGAAGTGACTTACTCAAGATCCTGCACACGGGAAGAGGTAGAGCTGGGCTTTGGACCCAGGAGCCTGGTTTCCCTGCTTCTCCCTCGTTTGGCCCATTTCCTTCTCTGCGCCTTTGTTTACAGTGCCTCCTTCCGGTCCACTCGAAGCCTCCCGTCCTCCCGATCCACCTCCTGTCATTCCATCAGGATGGGGAAGGAGCAGTGGATAGGAGCTGGGCTTTGTTTGCCAGGAGGGTGTCCATCCTAGAGGAAGTGGAGAGGGTGGCTGGTGGGGTCTGACACACCATGGCTGGCAGACTGCAGTCAGGAGGGCGAGTCAGGGCAGGGTTGAGGAAGCCCCTCTAGGCCTGTGTGGCATGGGGGCTCCAGTGGCTGCTCCTTCCCTGCCTTCCTCCTCCTGCCCCTTCTTTCTTCTCTTCCCCTCTTTCTGTTTCTGCTTGCCTTCTTGCTTTCTCCCTCCCTGATTTTCTCCTGCTTCTCTTTATTTCTTCCTGGTTCTCTCTCTGCCTCTGTCTCTTTGACAGAGTCTTGCTCTGTCACCCAGGCTGGAGTGCAGTGGTGTGATCTCAGCTTACTGCAACCTCTGCATCTGAGTTGAAATGATTCTCCTGCTCAGCCTCCCAAGTAGCTGGGATTACAGGCGCCTGCCACCACGCCTGGCTAATTTTTGTATTTTTAGTAGAGACAGGGTTTCACCATGTTGGCCAGGCTGGTCTTGAACTCCTGACCTCACGTGATCCACCTGCCTCAGCCTCCCAAAGTGCTGGGATTACAGGTATAAGCCATGGCACCCACCTGCCTCTGTCTCTTTATTTCTCTTTCTGATAAAGGTCTCTGGAATTTCTGAGCAGGGAGAGGTCACACCTGACAGTGGTCATAGAAGGATTCTTGGAGGTTTTGTGTTGGGTAAACATAAGAACGATAGATCGTGACCATTTTATGTGGTAGGCTCTGTGCTAAGTGAGTCACATGGGTTAGCTCATTTTTTTCCCCCACAACCAGCCATGCTGGTTGGGTACTGTGAGCCATTCCATTTTACTGGTGAGGAAACTGAGGCTCCTAGAGGTCAAATAACTTGGCCAGGCCCCATTGTTAGGAAGTGTCCAAGCTGAGGCTTGAACCTCAGCTCTTAGCAATGACATTTGACATGGAGGAAGGAGATGCTGATGGGTACCATCTGTGGCCTTGGAGATGACCCTGTTCCCGGTGCTCCGGCCACTCCAGACAACTAGCTGGGGAGAGGCAGTCCCAGCCCGGAGTTTCAGTGAAGGATCAGTGCAGAAAGGGCTGGCATCTGGCTGGGCAAGGCGGCTCACGCCTGTAATACTGGCACTTTGGGAGGCCGAGGTGGGCAGATCACTCGAGGTCAGGGGTTCGAGAGCAGCTTGGCCAACATGGGGAAACCCTGTCTCTACTAAAAACACAAAAATTAGCCAGGTGTGGTGGTGGGTGCCTGTAATCCCAGTTACTTGGGAGGCTGAGCAGGAGAATTGCTTGAACCTGGGAGGCGGAGGTTCCAGTGCGCCGAGATTGTGCCACTGCACTCCAGCCTGGGCAACAGAGCAAGACTCAGTCTCAAAAAAAAAAAAAAAAGAAAGAAAGAAAGGGCTGGCACGCAGCCTTGCCCAGTGGAAGCTTTGGAGCAGGCACATACTCACTGCTGCAGAGCCTCAGTGCTCAGGTGTCCAGGTGGGCTGTGGCACTCCTCACTCCTCGAAAGCCACCTTGGTGGTATTCCCTGTCTGTTCCAGCCGTACTCCAATGTGAATGCTCTTGATGACTTTGAGCCACGGGATCCTGTAGGGACAGTGTATTTGGGCAGATGAAAGTGCGGAGCCCAAAGTTGAGGCCAGAGGTCACAAGCTGATAGCCTGCCGTTGCCTGAAGGGCTCAAATTAAAAACTAGGAGGATTCATTAAAAATATGGAAAACCCAGATGATCTGACAACACTGGATCCCCTGGTCTCACAGAGTGGCAAACATCTGGGGCTGAGGGTGACCTTGAGATGGGCCATGTGCTCTCTAGTTTGCTGTGGTCCCCACCAGGCCAGTGGTCAGGTTCCATTTTTACTGCACTATCCCTACAAGGGGAATGATATGTTTACCATATTGCAGAGAAATATTTCTCTGTGTCCACGTGTCTATCAAAGAAATATTTATTTGTACTCACATCTCTATTAAAAGGGGGAAGTTTGGCCAGGAGCGGTGGCTCACCCCTGTAATCCCGGCACTTTGGAAGGCTGAGGCGGGTGGATTACTTGAGGCCAGGAGTTTGAAACCAGCCTGGCCGACATGGTGAAACCCTGTCTTTACTAAAAATAAAAAAAATTACCTGGGTGTGGTGGCGCATGCCTGTGATCCTAGCTACTCGGGAGTCTGAGGCATGAGAATTGCTTGAATCTGGGAGGCAGAGGTTGTGGTGAGCCCAGATCGCGCCACTGCACTCCAGCCTGGGCAACAGAGCAAGATTCTGTCTGAAAAAAATAAAAAAAAAGAAAAAAAGGTGGAAGCTAGATGAAGAGAGCCAAATTTTACAAGAAAAACAAGAGTGGACACGTTCCTAAAGGGCATTTAGGAATATTTCTGTTTTACTTGCAAACACTGGTTTGTATCACTGCCTCTGTTGGCTGTTGTGTTTGCAACCTCTGGTCTGTCCAATCAGCTGCAGTTCAGAATTTTGCAGGTGAACTCTCACAACAGCCTAGTGCAGCAGGAAACCAGAATTATATCTTTTTTTTTTTTTTTTGAGACGGAGTCTTGCTCTATCGCCCAGGCTGGAGTGCAATGGCACAATCTCGGCTCACTGCAACCTCCATCTCCCAGGTTCAATCGATTCTCCTGCCTCACCCTCTCAAGTAGCTGGGATTACAGGCGCCCACCACCATGCCCAGCTAATTTTTGTGTTTTTAGTAGAGACAAGGCTTCACCATGTTGGCCAGGCTAGTCTCAAGCTCCTCACCTCAAGTGATCTGCCCACCTCAGCTTCCCAAAGTGCTGGGATTACAGGCCTGAGCCATCGTGCCTGGCCAATTATACCCATTTTATAGATGAGGAAGCCGAAGCCCAGAGAATGGACACCTCTTGCCCAAGTTGCCCAGCCCAGGAGTGCCAGACTCCAAGGCGTGCTTGAACCACACCTTCCTCGGGTAATCCTGTTAATACACTGTCCTGCCCATTTGCTCAGATGGGCTCACGTCCCCTGACATGAAAGTCAGAGGGTTTTATCCAACCTGCACCACCGACTTACTGTGTGTTCCTGGGCAGGTTCTTCTCCCACTCCGTGCTTCAGTTTCCTTATCAGTAAAAATGGCTTTGAAACACGCCCAAGTGGAAAGGATCGTGTGGTGACATGAGGCATGTGACTTTTGCTAGCCCTGCATGGCTGCCTCTTGATTCATGGCAGTGAGGGGTTGGTCTGCCTGGCACCCAAATGGGTGATGCGGAAGTGCCCGTGTGTACTTACTCCTGGAGTGAGAGGTACAGTTTGCAGCGCAACGTGACCTGCAGCAGGCTATCACTTAGGATTTGCAGGGTGATCTCAGGTCTTTTGGCGTCTTCTATGACCAACCTGTGAGAGGCATGGAGGATGTTGGTGTGGCCTGGCCAGGCCTCTGTGACTCTGTGGGGTGTGAGTATCCGGATCTGCTGGAATAGGGGCAGAGCCCAGGAGGGGTGGGAGCAGCTTTGGGACAACCCCTTCCCTTGCCCCCAGCCCAGCTGTAGAACGCTGAGCTCTAGTTCCATTCTCCAAGGCTTGACGACCCAGGCAAGTCCCTTCCCTTCTCTGGGCCTCCGTGTCAGCCTCTGTAAAATGGGGGAGGGAACAGTAGAGGAGCGTAAGCATCTGCAAAAGAGAAGCAGGCCAGCGAGAGTCAGGGAAGGCAAGGTGGCAGGTAAGCCCTCTGCCATCTGCTCAGGACCCATCTGCTCTGCTCCCTTCTGCACCATCAGCTACCAGCACCTCCCTGAGCTGAGAGGAGCCGAGTTTTAGGTATTTTTTGAACGTTAGGTACAAGCTGGTGACTCATCTGGTGCCCACTGGAAGAGGCAGCAACAAATTCAAATGCCAGAGGAAAACTTTTCTGGGTCAGGCTCCCTGCTGTATATCTGCCTTTAGCACGGATTTTTTTTTTTTTTTGAGATGGTGTCTCGCTATGTTGTCCAGGCTGGAATGCAGTGGCTATTCACAGGTGCAATCACATTACAAATTCCTGGGCTCAAGCGATCCTCCTCTCCAGCCTCCTGAGAAGCTGGGACTACAAATGTGTGTCACTGTGCCGGCTCTGGTGGGTTTTGTTTGTTTGTTTGTTTTTGAGATGGAGTCTCAGTCTGTTGCCCAGGTTGGAGTGCAGTGGTGTGATCTTGGCTTACTGCAACCTCTGCCTCCCAGGTTCAGGTGATTCTCCTGCCTCAGCCTCCCAGTCAGCTGGAATTACAGGTGCGTGCCACCACACCTGGCTGATTTTTGTATTTTTATTAGAGACTGGTCTTTACCATGTTGACTAGGCTGTTCTCGAACTCCTGATCTCAAGTGATCCACCCGCCTTGGCCTCCCGAAGTGCTGGGATTACAGGTGCGAGCCCTCTTGCCTTACCTGGAGGTTTTGTTTTGAGACAGAGACTTACTCTGTTGCCCAGGCTGGAGTCGCAGTGTCACAATCATGGATTGCTGCAGCCTTGAACTCCAGGGCTCAGGTGATCCTCACACCTCAGATTCCAGGGTAGCTGGGACTACAGGCACGCGTCACCATGCCTGGCTAATTTTTGTATTTTTTGTGGAGATGGGGTTTTATCATGTTGCCCAGGCTGGTTTTGAACTCCTAGGTTCAAATGATCTGCCCATCTTGGCCTCCCAAAGTGCTGGGATTACTGATGTCGGCCGCTGTGCCTGTGACAATATGTTTCTGTTGTCCAGGGTGCTCAGTTTGTATTAATAGTACTTTGTTATGGCAGTCCTCACAATCTAATACAATTGGGAAACCCAGATTTTGATTAAAATCTTCTTGATTTTTATATGTTGGCAATTCATTAAAAATATTTTTCAAAAACCTATGTAGGTTTGCAGAAAACCCAGTTGTAGGCTGAGTGTAGGGAGCAGGAGGGCTGCCGGGCTGAGGTCCCAGATTGAGACCCTACTTTCTTCCTAGGAAGATTTCAAGCAGCTTGGAGAGACATAGGGTCAAGAAAAGTAGACTTGCTTAGCACTTTCCAGGCTATAGAGAACCTCCAAAGACACCGTGCTGAGAACACAGCTGCTCAGGGTACCAGGAAAGGCCAGAGGCAGTCCTAGCCCTCCACTTATCCACCTGCCCTGAGTAGCTCCCACAGCAGGGGGAGGCTCTTCCCTGAAAGCAGTTCCCCGACCGACCTGCGACAGGTCCAGCCCACTGCTCTTCTTGGAGAGGCGTTTGCCTACAAAGGGCAGGTGGTCCAGGACAGCAACACCTTTGCTCCTGGCCCCTGTCACAGGCAGGCTGAGCATGCAGTCCAGGGTGTAGTGCTCTGAGAACAGGTCTGAACTGTCCGAGGATGCAAGCCCCGCTTCAGTGTGGGGCTGTACTGTTCATTCAACCTTTCACCAAATTCACTCAGTCATTTGGCAGCCAGCACTTACTGAGTGCTTACTCTCTCCTGGGCTCAAGGGACAGAAGCAGTGTGGCTCCTGCCCTCATGGAGTTTACTTCCTGGTAGGGAGAGAGACAAAAGCCGAGCACTCAGATCAGCAAGCAAGGCAATATTCCAGAGTGATCTGTGCAAAAGAAAAAATACAGTGGAGTCGGAGCATGACTGGGTGAAGATCTGTTTCTGATGGGGTGAAAAGGAAGCGCCTCTCTGAGGAGGAGGCCTCTGAGCTGAGGCCTGAGTGAGGTGGAGGAATCCATCATGCAGGCTGATCTCGGGGACAGCCATGGTGGCAGAGGGAACAGAACGTGCAAAGGCCCTGAGGTGCTGGTGAGCCTGGCGTGGTAGGAAACAGAAAGATAAGTGAGGCTGCAGCGTGGCGAGCGGGGATGGGGCTGGATGGATGACAAACAGCTCAGTCAGGAGTTAGGGACAGAGGCAGCCAGCCCTACAGACAGATGGGACAGCAGGCGCAGCACACTTGGATAAGGCCGCAGAGGAGACGTCACCAAAGGGCTGTGGGAACTCAGAGGAAGGAGAGATCCCTTCTGCCTGGGGAAATCGAGAGGAATTCCCAGAGGAGGTGGTTAGAACTTTGCGTTCAAGCATGGGCCCAGATGCACCAGGTTGAGCAGGAGAGAAAGGCATTTCAGGCCAGAGGAACAGCCTAGCACAGGAGGGAGCTGTGAAGTCTGTGGGGGTGGTCAGGGAAGGAGGCAGTGGAAGAGGCTGGAGATGCAGGGCCTTGAATGCCAGGATAAGGGGCTCAGAGGTTCTCCTGAGGGCACTGAGGAGCCATGGCAAGTGTTAGAGCAGGGGAGAGACAGGATCAGCTCTGGGTGAGGTAAGGTGAATTCTGTGGCAAGGGGGAGGCCTGTACAGGAGAAGCATTGAGCAGGGAGGTGGTGCCGTCTCCCACCCCTGGCCTTTCCTGAGTTCATGCCTCTGACGCTCACCCCTTAACATTTACCTGTTTCCCACTGATTCTTGTCCTCTGAAGGCAGAGTAGGTGCTGGGCCTTCCCCTGGGCCTGGGGCAGCAGCGTCCAGCAAGCAGTGACATCCAGAGCAGCAGCATTCTCTTGGCCAGGACCTGCAGACACAGAGGTGGGAGCCTTGACGTCCTCACCGGGGCCCTGTCACTGTGTATCTCCCAGCTCTGCCTCTCCTAGGACCATCTCTCCAGCTTTCCTTCCCTTGCCTCTGCCCCCAGCTCCAGATCCGCTAGTCCTCGAACACAGCCTGCACTTCCTGCCACTGTACATTTGTGCTTGTGGATCCCTCGGCCTGGAGTGCCCTTCTCCAGAGCGTGGGCTGGCTTCAAAGCTGGGCCCTGCCACTTCCTGAGGGTGGGACCTGAGCAAGTCACAGGACCTCTTCATGCCTCAGTTTTCTCATCTGTAAAATGGGGACAATTCTAGGTCGTTGTGAGGAATATGTTCCATAATATGTGCAAAGCACTTAGCAAGCAGTGAGTGCCCAACAGCTGTTAATATGGTTGGATGACATTGTGAGAGGTTAAAGGATGTATTACTTCCCCCTTTTTTTTGAGACAGGGTCTTGCCTTGTCACCCAGGCTGGAATGTAGTGGCACAATCTTGGCTCACTGCAGCCTCGACTTCCCAGACTCAAGGAATCCTCCTGCCTCAGCCTCCAAGTAGCTGAGACTACAGGAGCATGCCACTATGCACAGCTAATTTTTGTATTTTTAGCAGAGGCTAGATTTCGCCATGTTGCCCAGTTTGGTCTCGAACTCTTGGACTCAAGCGATCCTCCTGTGTTGGCCTCCTAAAGTGCCGCGATTACAAGTGTGAGTCATTCCTCATAGCCTAGCACTTCCTTTTAACACTGGAGGCTTCTGGATCTTGAGTTTGCTATGGGATAGAGGTTCTGGGGGAGGTGTCAGAGAGGTGGTAGCGGTAGGCACCTGGGGGGCTTAAAGCTACAGATCTTTACCAGCTAGCAGAGAAATATTCCAAACACTGCATTTGTACCACCAGTTCCTACCAGCAGAACCTCAGCCCTGCCACGTGTCTGAAAGGGCATAGCTGGGACCCCAGAATCTGCAGGCAGGGGCTGTCTGGGTGGGCAGGAGCATTCCACTAGGAAACGAAGCTTCTGGAACTGCAAGGCAGGGACCAGCCAAAATGCAGACATCTCTAGGGCAGATGTCACTATAAACAGGGCCCACAGAGGAGCTACCATTGCCCTCCATGCCATGCCCATGAAGAAGCCACCCAGAGGGTAGACGCTGCCCTTGAGCAAGGCGAGGAGACCCCTGAAGTGGCTAAGCCTACGCTGGAGTGCCTTAGAATGTCCTGGCATTGCCTTGAGTATCCAGTTTTTTGCTACTTGGTGGCACAGGATTTCAAAACAGTGACCAAATCGGATAACGGAAAGAGAATGGTTTTGTGTTTGTTTGCATACACAAACTGCTTTGTATTGATTGGGCTGTGAAATTTGTGCTTGTGGCATTTGCTCTTCCAAGCTGATGTCAAATGCATCCACTATTCATCCAACCAGCACTTAGTCAGTCTCTGTGTCAAACACTTTTCTCTATCAGTTCACTCAAGTCAGATCTCTTTCCCCCATTGCCCTCAGCACAGCACACTCATCTTTCCACCCTCTCCACTTCCTGGGTTGAGCCAGCCATACCGACCCTGACTTCTGGAGTCCATACTATGTGCCAGGCACCATGCTGAGGGCTGCACAAGCTTCATCGCATCATTGAGTCCTCACCCCAATGGTCTCAGATCATTGATATCAGGCCCAAGATACAGATGATGAAACTGAGGCTCAGAATGGAGAGATAACTTACCCAAGGTGACACAGGTAGTGAGTGGCAGAGCCGGCATTCCGGCCCAGGTTCGCCTGGTGCTAAAAATCTGTGTGCCACTTCACAACGTTTTTATAGGTGCTCAAGAAATATTTGAGAAATGCCCCGTTGACCTCCTTGGCCTTACATCTCCAAGAATGGGGTTATCTGGAATCTCTCCTTGGCCTCTGTCTCCAGCTTCCCAGAAAGACAACTTTTTTAACCTGAGCTCAGAAGCCCAGGCGGGTGGGTACCCGGGCAGGAAGTCCAGCCCCTTGGCCAGGCTTGCGGCTCAGAGGAGCTCTTCAGTGGAGGGAGAGGTCCTCTTGGCACTGGGTGGCAAGGGGCTTCTGGCCAAAACTGAGGCTGGAGGGGCAGGCCCTGAGTCCTGGACCAACAGGCTTTAGGGAGGAGGCGGGTGGGGCCCTGTGATTTTGAGAGTGGGTCATTTCCGTTTGGAACGTCCTTGGAGCTGTGGAGCCCTGGTAGGGACCCCAGCTCTCGGGAGGGGCCCTGCGGGGGCTCCTAGTACAGGATGTGGCAGTCATAGAACCCACGGGAGTGATTGTGTGGGGGTGAGGCAGAGGGAGGAGAGCAGGTGGGTGGCAAGGGCCAGGCAGGGGGGCTCTGGGGTCCACCTTCTGGTAGCCATTCTCTATAGTCTTTTAAAAAATTTTTTAATTTTAAAATTACTTTCAAGCTCTGCCGAGTCTCAGGACCTATGCCCTTTCTGTCTAGGTTGTCCAAGCCATCAGTTTTTGCTATGACGTGGTCACCAATGGCATGGTCTCTGCAGCCAGACAGGCCTGGGCTCAAACTGCCACCTTCAATCAGGAGCTGTGTGACTGTGGGCAAGTGGCTTTCTCTTCTGAGCCTCACTTTTCGTGTCTGTAACATGGGAATGATAGATCCATTTATGTCTTTTTGGTATGGTGAAGGTTCGTTAAGGCAACTCAGTACAGGGCCTAGCATATAGGAAGTGTTCAAAAAGTTATTTCTTTTAACTTCCATTTTATGGATGAGAAAACTGAGACTCAGAGACGTTAAGTACCTTGCTCTGGGTCACACAGCATGTCCATGATAAAGCTGGGATTTGAAATCAGGGCCCAGAGAGGGGTCTGACCACTCAGTGAAAGAGAAATTTGGTGTCACTATGCCACGCAGCTCCAAGACTCGGAGACCTAGCTCCCAACCAAACTGCTGTGCCAGGGTCCTTTGATGTGGGAATCCTGGCATCCCCACTGCGAGTGTGCACAGCTGGCTGTGTCAGCATTGACGGCTTCATTAATTGCTGTCTAGTATGGGCACCCCAATGGCAGGTGTGACTCTTCTCTAGGTGGATTTTGGATTTTTCACAGGGTTTCCTCCTGGGGTTAATGTCTTTCCCTTTCACAACTCAGAGGCATGGACAGAGCAGGTGTTAAACTGTGTTCTTTGGCTGGAGACCTGGGGCAGAGAGGCTGACAATGGAAGGGCAAGTTCTTTTTTTTTTTTCTTTTTTTGAGATGGAGTCTCTCTCTGTTGCCCAGGCTAGAGTTCAGTGGCGTGATCTCGGCTCACTGCAACCTCCGCCTCCCAGGTTCAAGTGATTCTCCTGCCTCAGCCTCCCGAGTAGCTGGGACTACAGGTGCGTGCCACCATGTCTGGCTAATTTTTGTATTTTTATTAGAGACGGGGTTTCTCCATGTTGGCCAGGCTGGTCTCGATCTCTTGGCCTCGTGATCTGCCTGCCTCAGCCTCCCAAAGTGCTGGGATTACAGGCATGAGCCACCGTGCCCAACCTGAAGGGTGGGGTCTAGAAGACAGCAGCTGTGCAGGAAGCACAAGGTCAATGGCAGCTCTGAAGTTCTCGTTTTGGCTAACCTCAAAAGCAAAGGGCTAGTGTCAGTATTAAGTTGCTGCATCAACCTAATATGACTTGGCAGCATAGATTAGATGGGATATTCTTATTTTAGAATCTCAGATTTTTTGGGTTAGAATATGATTTAAGAGTTGATAGGTCCCCTTCATTTCTGCAAACTGGGTCTCAATATTATTGTGAAGGGCTGTCTTCCTTCTGCCAAGGGCAGAGAAAAGCTCTTGGGTTAACTGCTCACCTGAGTCACCAGGAAGGCGCAGGGTGTTAGTGGAACCACTGAGGTCTTCTTTCCTTCCCAAATCTGGTCTCTAAATGAAAAAGACCGGAGCCCCACGGCCTCCATATGCTTACCTCATTGACTAATCTCTGCTGAGAGATGGGAGGTTTCATGGGGGTGTCTTCCACAAAAGGGAAGCCCTAGGCAGGACACGGAGATGGGCAAGACACTGTTACTGCCTCTCTCTGAGCCTCAGTTTATTGATCTGTAAAAGGGGAATGCTCAACTCACAGGAAGTAGATAACACTGTGCTGGGAGCAGAGGCTGCTGGTTGTTACCGTTATTTTGAAGAAAAAGAAAACTGGGGCCCGGCGCGGTGGCTCATGCCTGTAATCCCAGTACTCTGGGAGGCCGAGGCGGGTGGATCACTTGAGGTCAGGAGTTCGAGACCAGCCTGGCCAGCATGGCGAAACCCCGTCTCTACTAATAACACAAAAATCAGCCGGGCATGATGGCGCATGCCTGTAATCCCAGCTACTCGGCAGGCTGAAGCAGGAGAATTGCTTGAGCCTGGGAAGGCGGAGGTTGCAGTGAGCAGAGATTGCACCACTGTACTCTAGCCTGGGCGACAGAGTGAGACCCTGTCTCAAAAAAAAAGACATAAAGAAAGAAAGAAAATTGGATCTATAACCTGCTGTGGATTCAGCTGGGAGGCTCAGGGCAAAGTGGGTGAGGCCTGGGTTCCCGCCCCAGCCCCATCACATCACCAGCTGTTTGTTACTTCATCTCCCATCTGTAAGACAAACACAGTACTAATTCCTGCAAGGCACGATGATTTAATGAGATCTCTTGGTGTTTTCTCTTTGCTGCTGCTGCTAAGACAGCAGGAAATTGAGGAGTTTTCCTCCCGCAGCCCAGCAAGGCAGTGGAGTCGTGGAATTCCCAGCCTGGAGGAGCCTCAGCAGTTCATGGAGGGTGGTTGTGTTTCAAGGCCCAAATCAGGAGGCTGGCACAGGAGAACAACCCCTCTCTTTTTTTGGGGGAGGTGGAAACCCAAGTGGGTAGGCGATAAAGGAGCAGAGAGAAGAAGGAGGTGGTGTGGGGTAATAGTTGGGGGCTGCTTGGGAGTGGTGCAGAGTTGTCAGAGCCTTGGTTTCTTCATTTGTCAGGTGCAGGTGTGGGGGGAGCCTGTGCCACAGGCGCTGGGGAAGGTGGCGTGACCAAAGGTCTGGAAGATCCTTAGAATAGTGCCTGCCTGGAGCAAATGGCTATCTTGATTGAGGTTCACCAGAAGCAGACCCTGAGAACAGGATTGGAGTGCAGGTAGTTGATTTGGGAGATGACCCCAGGGAACACTGGTAGGGGAGTGTGGAAGTGAGGTGGGGAGGTGAGGCAACCTATAAAGAGCATATTGGGCCGGGCATGGTGGTGCACATCTATAATTCAAGCTACTTGGAATGTTGAGGCAGGAGGATAACTTGAATCTAGGAGTTTGAGGCTGCAGTAAACTGAGATTGTGTCATTGCACTCCAGCCTGGGCAACAGAGCAAGACCTTGTCTCAAAAAACAAAACAAAACAAAACAAAACAATACAAAACCAAACCAAACCCCAAACCACACCCCCCCCACCAAAAAAAAAAACTGTGTCAGCACGCTGGTTATCAGCATGGACAACTGGGGCCCAGTCCCGCTGGTGAGCTGGGAGCCTGTCTACAGCAGGTGTCCTAGAGTTGTTCCCTCCCCCAAAGGGTGAGGAAGCCAGGGTTATGTATCTGCTGACCCCCAGGAAGCCCCAGAGGGTGTGGGTGATGGGACGCGGAGGATATACGGCTCGGGCTGTTTTGGAGAAGGATCCCTGTGCCCCGCTTGGCTGGGGTGGAGGAGCTACTTGACTCTGACAGGGTCACGTGGACTGGGACAGGGATCCCTTCATCAGGACCAGGTGGGACCCAGACTAGAGGGGCTACTCCATCCTCCAGGCTCCCTGGAAGCCCCCAAAAGATCCTTGTATGACCCTAGGGAGCCAGAAGAGTCCAACCCTAGGCAAGATGGAGATGGACTTTGTCACCTCCTTTGTGAATGGGAGTTCAAATGCAGATTGAATATGATTTAGAAAAATAATGGAATGTGATGTGTGGGGAACAAAATCCTACCCAAAGTGTGGCTGGGATCTGGGATGCGTGGGGAGCTTCCACATAGCCCTGGCACTGGGCAGCTGTTTGGCTGGGAGCTGGGATGCGTGGGGAACTTCCACACAGCCCTGGCACTCAGTAGCTGTTGGGTAAGTGGTCACTGACAATGGTGTAAGCACCTTGTGCAAGGCTGTGGCCTGGTGCCTCTGTGTGCCTCTTGGCCTGGCCAATGTCCCTGGCTGCCCTTCTGGGCTGTGAGCTGTATATCTTATGCCTGTTTGTGCTCTCATGATGAGCAACGCATTTTCCTGGGATGCCTACCCTATCCCTTCCTGCAAGGCCCTCGTGTAACTGAAGGTACTGGGCAGGCCTGAGGTCTGGAGAACAGGGACCCTATTGTCTGTCCCAAGCGCCCTGACATCAGGGAGGCCAGAAAGACAAGGCAGTCATGCACTGTCTGAGCAGGATGGCACTTTGGTGATAAGGCTGAACACTCCAGAGGCCAGGCAACAGCAGTAATGACCACCCACAGACGACATTGTCTGAGTATCTACCATGTATCTGGAACTGTTCTCTCATTTACTCCTCACCAAAGCCCTCCAAGGCAGAGACAATGACTATCCCCATTTTACGGAGAAGGAAACTGAGGCCCACAGAGGGGAAACTACATCCCAGAGTCAAAGAAGCATTAAGAGGCCAGCCAGAGCTCCAAGCCTAGTTCATCTGCCCCCAGATCCACATTGTTCAGAGAGTCCTCTGTCCACCACACTGCCAAGATAAACAAAACATATGTCCCCCACCCTAAAAGCCATCCCACTGAAGATGGTCTTGAGGCTGACATGAAGGCAGGTGGGAAGAGCTGGCTTTCTGATTCCTGAAGCACAGGGAGGTGGTCAAGACTGTGGACATCATCCACATGTGGCCCAGACATCACCCAGATTGGCTCAGATGTGCCTGAACATGACCCAGGTGTGGCTCAGCCATCCAGTCCCCAAGCCTGCCAGGGGCAAAATGACTCCTGTGCCGGGACAAAGAGACTCCAGACGGCAGGCATCACAGGCAAGTGTTTATTGATTGCAGAGAGGGATGGTCTATAGAGCTCACACCCATACTCCCAGCTGGGACCCAGCCTTCCCTGATGGCTGCCATCCAAGTCTTCACTGGGAGACAGGAGAGCTGGGTTTCCACAAGGAGGCTGGAGTAAGCACAAGGGCATCCTGGAATTGGAGGGGAAAAGTCAGAAAACAGGTTTCTTTAACCTTTTGCCTTGTGGTTTATGCTGGTTTTGTCCTCCATAAGGTGACTGCTGGCACCGGGGGACCATGACCCTGAACCCACAAATACAGAATTCTTAGAAGGGTCGGGGTGGAGGGTCTGTGTGTGAACATTAATGCCACACCAGGTCCTGATGTCATCTCCATTTTGCAGATGGGGACACTGAGACTTGAAGATGGCAAAAGCCCCTTTCCAAAGTCACGCACTCAGTAGGTGGCAGAAGTGGGATTTGCACTTAGCACCCGCCTTGATCACCCCCTGCTTTGGGCCCCTCCTCTGCATGAGCTAATGACAGTAAGGTGTCCATCTCAGTTAGCAGGCATTTACTAAACACCTACTGTGTGCAGCCACTGATCACAACAGAGAACAAAGCAGACAGAAACCCCTGCCTTCTTGAAGTTTTGGCTCCACTCTAGAGGGGGAGAGATGCCCCAGAGCCTGGCACACAGTGACTGTGAGCTGTTCTTCTTAAGGGTAGTATTTGGGAGCGAGGGTGACACTGCCATAGATCCTCTCCCCAGCAGATGCCACGGAGAGTCATTTGCTCACCAAGCATTTATTGAACACCTACTGTGTGCCAGGCCATGCTGAGCACCGGGGACAGAGGCATGGACAAGATGGACATGATCCTGGCCTTGAGCTGAGACCATCTGGCCACATGGTGTGTGTGTGTGTGTGTATGTGTATGTGCATGTGTAGTGTGTGTATGTGTGTATATGTGTATGTGTGCGTCTCTGTGTATGTGTGTGTATGTATGTGTGTATGTGTGTGGTGTGTGTGTAGTGTGTATGTGTGTGGTGTGTGTATTATGTGTGTGTGTATGTGTGTGTGTAGTGTGTATGTGTGTGGTGTGTGTATTATGTGTGTGTGTGTAGTGTGTATGTGTGTGGTGTGTATGTGTGCAATATGTATGTGTGTGTGTATGTATATGTATAGGTGTATAAAGGTGTGTGTGTGTATGTATGTGTATAAAGGTGTATGTGTTTGTATGTGCGTGTGTATGTATGTGTATAGGTGTATAAAGGTGTGTGTGTGTATGTATGTGTATAAAGGTGTATGTGTTTGTATGTGCGTGTGTATGTATGTGTATAGGTGTATAAAGGTGTGTGTGTGTATGTATGTGTATAAAGGTGTATGTGTTTGTATGTGCGTGTGTATGTATGTGTATAGGTGTATAAAGGTGTGCGTGTGTGTGTGTATATGTGTGTGTGCATGCATGCATCTCAGGCCTATGAGGTTACCTGCCTTGGATGTTGCCTCAGATCCTGGGCCTCCTTCCTCATCTTTCCTGGAACACCAACAATCCCTGCCTCAGGGCCTTTGCACTTGACATCTGATATGGTTTAGATCTGTGTCCCCGCCCAAATCTCATGTAGAACCCAATGTTGGAGGTGGGGTCTAAGCTGATTGGATCATGGGGCTGGTTTCTTGTGAATGGTTTAGCGCCATCCTCTTGGTGCTGTTCTCGTGATGGTGAGTGTGCTCTTGTGAGATCTGGTTGTTTAAAAGTGTGTAGCACCTCCCACCCCTTGCTCCTGCTTGGGCCATGTGATGTGCAGTCTTCCCCTTTGCCTTCCGCTATGATTGGAAGTTTCCTGAAGCCTCCCCAGAAGCTGAGCAGATGCCAGCATCGTGTTTCCTGTACAGCCTGCAGAACCACAAGCCAATTAAACCTCTTTTCTTCATGAATTACCCAGTCTCAGGTATTTATTTTCTTTCCTTTTTTTTTTGGGGGGGGGATGGATTTCACTCTTGTTGCCCAGGCTGGAGTGCAATGGCGTGATCTCAGGTCACTGCAACCTCCGCCTCCTGGGTTCAAGCAATTCTTCTGCCTCAGCCTTCCGAGTAGCTGGGATTACAGGTACCCGCCATCACGCCCAGCTAATTTTTGTATTTTTAGTAGAGACTGGGTTTTGCCATGTCGGCCAGGCTGGTCTCGAACTCTTGACCTCAGGTGATCTGCCCACCTTGGCCTCCCAAAGTGCTGGGATTATAGGCACAAGCCACTGAGCCCAGCCTCAGGTATTTCTTTATAGCAGTGTGAGAACGGCCTAATACGCTGTCCCTCTGACGGGACACTTCTCCCAGCTACCCACAGGGCTCACCCCTCACCTCCTCAGGCATTGGCTCAAATGTTACCTCCTCAGAGAGGCCCTCCCTGGCCACCCCATCTGAAACAGCACCCCCTTCCCTGACATCACTCTCTCCTCCTGAGCCTGCTTTATTTTTCTTCTCAGCCTTCCTCCACTCAGCCTGATGTTACATCTTTAGGGCTTGTGTATCTGCCTCTTCTGCTAAAAGGTAGGCTTGAAAAAGATGGGAGTGTTTTCCATTTGTTCATTTCGGTGGCCTCAAGCACTCAGAAGCATGGCTTGCCTATAGAAGACCCTCGAAAAATATTTAGTGAATTACTGAATGAATGAATGAATGAATGAATGACAAGGGGGTGGAAAAAGTGTACTGACCCCAGGCTAGGAGGGTTCCATCCTCAGCACAGCCAACCTTCTCACTTGCAGATGAGGAGGTGAGGCCCTGAGAGGGGAAGGGACTTGCCCAGGGTCACCTGTAGGCTGGGGTTGGAGTGCAGGCCCCACCTCCCAGCCAGGGCTCTCAGTGGCTGTGCCCTCCCTGGGGCAGGATGTTTAGGGCCACACCCACTCACCTTGGTCAGTGAGGACTCAGCTGCCTCGAATCCCAAGGCCTTCACCAATGACACTGGGACCCCAGATCTTAATTTGCCTGAAATAACAAATGTGGTCAGAAACTGATGGGCCTGGGGTGAGACTGGGCAGCCAGGGGCAGGCTCAGGGTTCCTGAAGGGGAGCCCCGGCCTGGCAGGCCTGATCAGACAGCCCCCTCTGCCTCTGCTCGCCTGTTCTCTGGCCCCAGCATTGACCCAGCCTCGTCTACCCTCCCTTTGCCTCTGGCACTGGCTTCTGGCCCCTCACAAAATGCAGTCCTCACATTCTCTTACGCTCTTGCTCAAGAACCATCAGGGGCTCCCATTATCCCCAGCAGAGGTTTCTATACTTTGAGATTTTTCCAGTCTAATAAAATAAAGAAATTAAAAAGGTGGAACTGTATAGGTTACAAACCCTTCCCACCCCTCATTCAACCTGGGGCTGAATTAGAGTGTTGGGCACTGACTGTGCCAGGCACCTCCTGATTTGTGCCTCTGAAGAAGGTACTTCTACGTCCCCATTTTACAGATGGAGAAACTGAGGCTCAGAAGGATTGTGCAGCTTGACCAAGGCCAGGCACTAGCAAGAGGGGGAACAGGGTCTGCTGAGGCGCCTCCAGTTGTCTCTTACACCTCTGTCATTGCTCTCATTGTCTGCTTATGCCTCTGTCTCCTTCCAGCCCTGCAAGTCTGGCCCACTGCTTGGTTCATCTTTACGAGCCCAGCCTCTGGCACTAGCAAAGGAATTGGGCTGAGAAGGTTCTTGGGAGGAGGCAGATTTTGAAGTAGGCTCTGAGGGATGGCTGGGAGATGAATGAAAGGGGCCCCATTCATGGAGATGAGGGCAGGGGAAGTAAAGCCAAGCCCTGGGGAGAGAGGGGGCACAGATGGCAGAGGTATGCACCATTCTGGTTCGGCAGCAGGATGGAGTGGATGATCTCAGTGATGATGTTTTTCAGAACATCAGGCTGTGAGAGAGAGAAGGGGCACTGTCACCCTGGTTGAGCATCTGAAGTTCCCCCCCATCATTCTTCGTGGGTGTGGCTCCTCCCCATGGGTGAGGTGGCTGGTGGAGATGTAGGAATTCCAGGTCCCCTGCTGATCAGAGCTGTGGGGGCTCCCAGGGACCAGATGGGCTGGGTTGGGGCATGAACTCAGCCGCCCCTGGGGCCTGGTAGATGGGGGGATTGGGGTGCATTGGAGGATGCCCCATCCTCAGGGGCCCCACCACTCTGTTGCAGCTGAATTTGCCCTGAGGGAATTTTGCCCTGCATTGCCTGAACTTCTGACTTCTGGAGGGAAGCCAGAAGTCCTGATTTGCATGTGGAACTCTCCGTGTTTTAAAATATTAGTCACCGGGCATGGTGGCTCATGCCTGTAATCCCAGCACTTTGGGAGGCCAAGGCGGGCAGATCATGAGGTCAGGAGATCGAGACCATCTTGGCTAACATGGTGAAACCCTGTCTCTACTAAAAGTACAAAAAATTAGCCGGGCGTGGTGGTGGGCGCCTGTAGTCCCAGCTACTCAGGAGGCTGAGGCAGGAGAATTGCTTGAACCCGGGAGATGGAGGTTGCAGTGAGCCAAGATCACACCACTGCTCTCCAGCCTGGGCGACAGAGCGAGACTCCATCTCAAAAAAAAAAAAAAAAAAAGTCAAAAATAGTGAAAAACAAATCATAAAAACCAGAGAAAACACGCCAGACTGAGGTATTGGGGTTCGGTCTGAATCCCAGCAGGAAAGGGCTGTCTAGGGGCACTGAGGCGCGTCTACGTGTGCAGAATGAGATTGTGAGTCAAGGGCACTTGTGTTCTAATTCAGGATCAAAACTTCACTGAAAGAAAGTGTGTATCTGTGAGTGTATTTGTGTGTGCGTGTGTGTGTTCTCAGCTGTGTCTGACACGTGGTGGCTTCTCTGTAAACACTCGAGGGAAGTTGGACTTTGGTGGAGACCGGCCAGCCCCCCATGGTGCTTCTGTGGGGACCTTGTTTGAAGCAAATCCTGGGCAATATCTGTTTTGAGAGTGGACCATTCCAGGCCACCCCCTGTGCCCTCAGGCACCACCTGTTAACACTTACTTGGAACCAGCCAATCCCAGAGTTCATCAGCTGGATCCGATCAGAGCTGCAATGGAAGATGCCTGTGAGAGCGGCCCCTGAAGTCCCACTCATTCACCATCCACTCATTCAACAGCGATTTATTGAGCACCTATTATGTGCCAGGCACAGTGCGGGCTCCAGTGAACCACATGAAGCCCTTGCGTCGTGGAGCTTGCATTCTAATGGCAGGGGTGGGGTGGGGGGCATAGAGGGGGCACAGAAAACAAATAGCAGTCCAGTGAGCAGAAAAATCAACCTCAGGAGTCAGGGCTGTGGTGGACAAGGAGGCCCAAGCTCCTTCAAAGGGCGCCCCAATTCCTGGCTCGACAGTTTGTTGCTATGTAGGATTGTGGGCACAGGGCAGCCAGATAGTCTGATTTGATATGTGCACAACTCATTTATATTAAACAGCCCAGCCCTATGTGGGCTGATCAAAAGAGCCCTGGGCCTGACTTGTCCCCAGAGGCTCCAGCTGGCAGCCCCTGCACTCACTCTGGGGCCACAGGAAAGTGGCGGGGAGGGAGAACAGGCAGGGTGCAGGAGGCAGCTGGAGCCCTGCACTTCTGTGCCGGGTGACTGTCACTGCCACGGCCTGGGAGGTGTCCAGAGTGGGCTGGCCGCGGCTAGGGTTTGCCTGTGCCGTGGCTGCTGCAAGGCCTACTTCATTTTCCTCCCCATTCCCTCACATGCAGTCCTTGTCAGCAGGAGCATCCGGAAGGACCTCCCTGCCTACCCTGGAGCCGCCTTCACCTGACAGCCACAAAGTCGGTGTTTAAAGAAACCCATGGTTACCAGGCGGGACTCATTTCCATCAGCAGAATCTTCATGATGATTTGTGTGTTTACCTGATGTTATTCAAGTTGAGTATAAGTTGGTCACCTTTGGTGTAAAACTGAGCTTCCGAGCTGGCTTCCTGCAACAAGAGAAGCCCAGGCCCCATTGTTCTCAAGAGGATCCGAGTGTGGAATTAGGGGTTATGCAGGGAGGCTCTGGGGTCTGAATCTCAGTTCCTGGCTCTGGGACCTTGGCAAAGGGTTTGACCTCTCTGGGCCTCACCTGCCTCATCTGTTAAATGAGATAGTACTTGCCTCCACTCCCCATTTAACAGATGACAGTCTAGGCTTGCTGTGGGGAATGATAATGATGACGATGACGACGACGAAAGCAGCCACTATTCATAGAGCCCTCACTCCCTTACCCTAGTGTGTAGGTGGCCCAGCTCAGGAAGTTTTCATATTCCATTTTTCTGGACACACTGATTGGCTCAAGAATGGGCAACTGACTCAGGCTCATTCAGTGAGAGTCAGCCCTGAGATGTTTGCTGGAACTATTGGAAAGATAGGTTCTTCCTGCGGTGATTGCCAAGCTGATAGGATATGAGCCTAATGCAGCCTGGGGCACTACCATGAGGGAATAGCTTGCCTGAGGATGAAGGCAGCACAGAGGAAAACAAGGCTGCTAGGTGGGAGAGAGGAGAATGAAGAGGATATTGTTTGAGCACCTGGGTCCAGCTATTCCCGAAGTCAATAGCATCTAGACTTTTTAGTTATAGGAGCTAATACAATTCCTTTTGTGCATATGAGTTGAGTTTCTGTCCAGAGATTCCTGACTAAGAAAGTCACAGGGTTAGAATTGGACCCACAAAGCTCCTGGCTCTTGGTTCAGAGCTCCCTGTCCCCTGTCCCTGCTAAGTGATGAGAGTGGTGGAAATGTTTAACAAAGCAAGAGGGCGAACAGGAAAAGTAGACAGAAGGGTCCCCCTGGTTGCTGCCAATATCGCAGACAACTGAACTCACGATGCCCAGGGTGAACAAAGGGCGGAGGGCTTCACTGGAGGGAAACACTTCCAGCACGATCAGTTGGGCCACCTTGGCATGGCCTTGGTCTATAAAAAACTCGGGAGTGTCCTGAGTTAGGATCTTCACGATCTGGGTAGATCCCAGCTTATCTGCAGCCTGGAAGGAGATCAGACCCACATGTGGCCTCCCAAGTGCCCACCATGGCCCACAGGCTCTGTGTGTGGCCTGGCCCCTGCCTGCCTTCCTGGGCTCCCTGCTCCCTCACGTGTTCCAGCCACCCTGTCCTTCTTGCAGATCCTTGAATGTTGTGTTGTTCTCCCTACCTGGCAGCCTTTGGTCTCCTGTTCCCTCTGTCTGGAATGCCCTTCCCTTCAGGGAGGCCTCCCTGACGTCCCAGACTGTATCAGGGGCCCAGAGTGTTCTCATGGCCCCTAGAACCTGTCCTGTGTTACTGCAGCTGTAATGGAAATACTATCCATGTGATGATTTGCTTCAGGTCAAACTGGCCTGCTAGACTGAAATCTCTGTGCGGACAGGGATGCGGTTTGAGTGTCCCAGTGCTGGAATGAAACACTAGTCCCACTAGATTCTCCTCCCCAGAGGCCTGTGTCCAGACCACAGCAAACACCCCTCAAGCTGCAGATGGCAAACAGACCAACCTTTTCATTGATCAGCCCGATGCTTGACTTCAGCCGATGGGCACTCTCAGGAAGCTGAGGGTGAGAGGAGCCAGAGAAGGTCAGTTGGAGGGCACAGGGAGGCACATCTCCTGCACCCCACTGCTGGGAGGAAGGTTTCCCAGGACCCCAGAAAAGCTGGGTGGGCCCAGTGACCCAAGCCATGTGTCTGTCATTGGTGGAAAAACAGCCCCTAGGTCAGCTTCTATGGGGCATGGGGTCCTGCTGGCCTGGACTTTTACTGTGGGCTGGTGATGGTTGTGGGTCTGGGGGCAGCTTCCTGATCTCAGAGGACATAGAGAGGTGATTTCATTTTTACTGCAATCATGAATGGGCTAGTTGGTGACCACTCCCTATTTTCTCGCCATCCCAGTCCCCTGAGAGCTTGGTTATTGGTTGTCTGTCAGCTGCCCTGAAGTTCTGCCATCCTCCCATAACGTTGGACCAACCCTTTCCCCCTCTGGACCTCAATTTCCCCGTCAGTCACCCGGGAGGAGGTGGCACAACATAGTTGACTGGTGGTGGTTATCGGCTGTGCCCTGTTAATAAGGATTCCAAGGTTGTGTCAGCATCCAGACTCAGTAGAAAGGAGAGCCTTGATCGATTAGTGATGTCTGCCATGAGTGTCATAGTGGTGAGCAGTGGCACAGTCGCCATCCCTGGACTACTCACTATCTGAGATGTATTTATCACCCCTGGACTACTGCATATCTAAGATGCCTTTTGATTTCACGAGACTGTTATTTGGTAGAGGAAACATTTGCATCAGATTCCAGAGGGTAGAACCATGACTGGGGCTGGATGTTACCGGGAGGATTTTAGGTTTAGAGCTATGTCAGAGGCAGGGTCTATTAGAGGAGGGAGTGAGATCTCCATTAAACTGAGCCTGATGGAGGATTCCTGCTTAGGGGCACCCTGTGTTCAGGAAATTCCTATGATGTGGCCTGGGCGGCCCTATTCTCTGCCTTGTGCTGAGGTTTACCACAGAGTCCAACAGGACCATGAATTCTTCTGGAGAGAGCACAGCAGCCACTGCAGCTTTCACCACGTCCTGACTCACGATGAGGCTGAACGGGATGTTGTCCAGGGTGGGCATTGTCAGGGAAGCTGCAGAGTTATTGAACCACTTGGTCACCTTTCCCTGTGAGTCCAACAACTTGGCCTGAGGAGACAGAGCAGGGAGTCAGCTAAGAATTTTAACTCTGCAGCTTACCCAATAGCAACCTAGAAGGAAATGACACCATTCAGCCTGTTTCCTTTTTGTGCATTTGTTGCCAGGAAGCTTAGCCTGGAGCTCAGGTGTGTGGCAACATCTACTCCATCTTTGCCCCTCGGATAATCTCTGACTTTTATTTTTTGTACCAGATATCTTCGTTTTTTTTCCCATGCTTCAACTTCTCAGACACCTCAAACCCTTTGGATGGAGGGAAAATTAAAAACTACAACAAAATGGAAGAAACGATTTGATGCTGCAGTTTTCCAAAGGATCCATAGAAACTAGTCCAGGGGCCAGGCGTGTTGGCTCATGCTTGTAATCTTAGCACTTTGGGAGGCCGAAGTGGGAGGATCATTTGAGCCCAGGAGTTTGAGACCAGCCTGGGCAACATGGCGGAACCCCATCTTTACAAAAAATACAGAAAATTAGCCAGGCGTGGTGGCGAGTGCCTGCAGTCCCAGCTACTCAGGAGGTTGAGGTGAGAGGATCGCTTGAGCCCAGGAGGTCAAGGCTGCAGTGAGCTGTGATGGCACCACTGCACTCCAGCCTGGGTGACAGAGTGAGACTCAGTCTCAAAAAAACAAAACAAAAGAAACCTAGTCTGGGATTCATGCTACCAGGATGGTCTGGCCCTTTGGGGCGTCCAGCCACAGCATGGCTGTGCAGCTCCACATTGGACAGGGAGCTGACAGTTACTGGGCACTTCTGGTCTGCCAGGCATGGTGTGGTCTCATTTCATCCTCTCCTCAGTGGCCATTATTACTGACATTTTGCAGACAAGGAAACTGAGGCTCAGGGAGGTAAAGGAACTTGCCCAAAGTCACATAGCCAGGGAATCATAGAGCTAGGAGAGAAACTTAGGTCTGTGTTTCTTGATCCTTGGCTTTTGTTTCAAGGTTGTCATAGGTTTGGGGATTGGCAGGGACTTGCCTGAGAGAAAGGCTGAGGGCCCAGTGTCCCCACTCGGGCCCCCCCATGTCACTCTGGGTGACAGTGAGACTCAGTCTCAAAAA
Organism: Homo sapiens; assembly: GCF_000001405.40. Classification (NCBI taxonomy): domain Eukaryota; kingdom Metazoa; phylum Chordata; class Mammalia; order Primates; family Hominidae; genus Homo; species Homo sapiens. The sequence continues at coordinate 33,300,165 of NC_000020.11, read as the reverse complement.
AACAAAACAAAACAAACTTGCATGGGACATATTCAGCCTGCAGTGATTTTTCTAGATCAGCCCGTGTCCTAATGGTGACCAGGATTTTCTCTCCTAACACAGGCCCATGCTATCTGACTCCTGGTGGTCAGAGAAGGGCAGCAATGTCCCCACTTCACCCTCAAGGTCCTGGGACACTCACCCCCAGGTAGAGCTGAATGGTGTCACCCTTGATGGCAGGATACAGAAGGTCAAACTCCAGACGGTCAATGCTGAGGGAAATGGGCACTGCTCAAGGACAAGAAGAAAGTTCTGTGAGGGTGGAGGGCAGTATTGGAGGGGGAAGTTGGGGGGCTGCTTCCAGGTGGAGCTGTACTGTTGCATGGGGGGGCAGGTAGGGAGGAGCAGGTAATAATGATGTTGATAATAATGATGCAAACAGTGATGACAGTGACATTTATCGAGCATCCACTAAGTGCCAGGCCTCTGCATGTCAGCTGGTTCATCTGCATGATAACGTTAGGAAGTAGGTCTTATTATTACCCCCTTTTACAGATGGTGAAACCAAGTCTGAGGAAAGGGAAATGACCTGTTCAAAGCCATACTATGAGAGCATGGGAACCCAGTCGGTTTTATGCCAAAGTCCCGGTTTGGAACGGAACTGAACTATTGTATGTAACACTCCACCGCCCCTACCAGACTGAAAGCCGCGTCCCCCATGCAGGTGGTTCTGGGTCTGGACACCCTATGAGCACCTGGATCTCAAGGAAGCTTAGGCTGGAAGCCAGAGGCCTGGTAACATCTACTCTGAAATCCAAACTGGCTCCTCTGCTCCCCCCAAAGATCTCGTGTTCGCGTCAGAATTCCCCACTTGGCCGCCAGGTGGCGGTGGTGTGTCACCTGCCCCGGTGTATGGCCGAGGATGGGGAGTGCTGGAGGGCCAGGGACCGGCCGCCTACCGCTCCAGGGAGACCTCCGGGCCCGTCCTCGGGGCAGCGGAGGAGCCAGCTGGACTTCGGTTTGAGCCCCAGTGACCTTGGCTGGTCTCTTCTCGCGTCTGAATCTGTTTCCTCGTCTTAAAATGAGGGTATAGTGCCCGCCAGGGCAGCACATGTACTAAAATCGGAAGGACATAGAGACGATGAGCATGACTCCTGTAAAAATTACTTTAAAAAAAGAAAAAAGGTCCGTCTCCAAAAAAAAAAAAAAAGTATATTAAAGTCAATAAGGTCCCCGAAAATGGCTATAACAACAACAAAAAAATGTGATTTACAAAGAGAAATCTACAGACTTGTCAACAAAATGTAATGTGTGAACTCTGGATCCTACTCTGAATACTGACCAAATATCTGACGATTGGAAGAACTCTTTGGGAATTAAAAAAAAAAAAAAGAAAAAAGGAAAGAAACGGCGGTAGAATAGTAATTCCTGCTTCATGTATACAACTGGCACCTAGTAACGGCTCAATCCGAATGACACTCGCTCAGAACTCAAGTCTTCCTCTATCACCAACTGCCTCTGTGAACTTGGACAGTGACTTCATTGCTCGGAGCCTCTTTCATCACAGTGAAGGGGGGTCATGACTGCCACCTCATGGAGTTGTCTGAGGAGTCAGTGAGATGTGCCTATACAAAACACCCAGCGGGAGGGCGTGGCCCATGGCAGATGCCCTGTGGCGCTCAGTGCATGCTGCTCTCCCTTCTCCTCTCTGGTCGCCCTTGGAATGAGCCTCTTCTGATCCCAAAGTGCAGTTGGTAGACTTTTCTTCTTCTCCGCCAGTTTCCACTCTGGGGGCCTGAGCATGGCAGAGTTCTGATGTGGGGGCAGGAGCCTGTGCCCTCCCGTATCTGCTATGCTGGGGGAGGGAGAAATGACTTCCTTCCGTCTTTGCCCTTCGAATCATCTCTGATTTTTATTTTTTAAACCAGATATCTCAGTTTTTAACCCATGCTTTAATTTCTCAGATACCTCAAACCCTTTGGATGGAGGGAAAATTTGAAACTGCAACGAGATGGATAGAACTATTTGATGCTGCAGTTTTCTAAAGTATCCATAAAAACTAGTCCGGGGGCTGCGTGTGATGGCTCATGCTTGTAATCTTAGCATCTTCTGTCTGTCCATCCATCCATCCATCCATCTATCCATCCATCCATTTAGCATGCATTTGTAAGTGCTTCTCTGTGCCAAGAGGGACACCTGCTATGTGCCCAGAACTTTCCTGTAGACTTTTATTCCTCACTAACAATCCTATGTTGTAGGGATGGTTAAGCCCCATTTTATGGATGAGGAAACCGAGGATGAGGAGGTAAATTAGCTTTCCCAAAGTCATGGAGCAAGTCAGGGGCAGAGCTGGGATTTGAACTTGGGGCATCCACTGACCTGACAACTGCACAAATAGTAAGAGCTCATGAAGTCCTAGTCGTGGCGAATTTCTGTCTGCGCGTCTGGGGCAGGGATCAACTGATGCTTGTCTCACCTGCTTCTGGGCCTGAGTTGCAGCTCAGGCCTGACTTGGGGAGGCCTTCCCTTGGTGGAGTCAGGGTCTGGAGGCCAGCTCCGTAGTAAAGGAAAAAGTGGGAGAGAGAGCAGAGCACCTACCCTTCACCAGCTGCAGGAGGTCTGCATACATGCCATTGAAGGAAGCCTCGATCACGGGACACAGCTGCAACAGCATAAGCAAGGGGCTCCATCAGGGAGGGGCCAGAATGCAGCCCCACAGCAGCCCCGGGCTGTGCCCAGCCCACCTGGCCTGTGTCCTACTGCTGTGCCCATGGCCAGCCAGGTTCCATCCATGGGTTGAGGATTCATTCGTGTGTTGAACCCAGCCTGCAGGGCCACCTGGGACCTTTTGCAGTGGTTTGTCCCTTTCCCTGTGCCCAGGGTGTGCTTGGCCTGCCAGCAGCCCTCCCTCTCTGACTCCTTGTCTTGCTCACAGGTGTCTATGTTTTCCATGAGAGTGAAATGGAGGCTGGGCGCAATGGCTCATGCCTGTAATCCCAGCACTTTGGGAAGCCAAGGTGGGTGGATCGCTTGAGGCCAGGAGTTTGAGACCAGCCTGGCCAGCATGGTGAAACCTCATCTCTACTAAAGATACAAAAAGCCAGGCATGGTGGTGCACTCCTGTAATCCAAGCTACTTGGTTGGCTGAAGCACAAGGATTGCTTGAACCTGGGAGGTGGAGGTTGCAGTGAGCTGGAATCGTGCTACTGCACTCCAGCCTGGGTGACAGAGCAAGACTCTACTTTAAAAGAAAAAACAAGAGTTAAATGGAGAATTTGTTTATTCATACAGCAAGTTGCTACTGAGTTCTTTTCACATGTCAGACTCTGGAACAGAGGCCAGCAAGGCAGACCCAACCAGACTCCTGGGCAATCTCTTTGTGCCCTTTGTGGCTTTCTAGCCCAACACATCCCTTTGCTCACTGGGCACTTCTCTTCCTAAAATTGCCAGCAGTCCTCAACAGGGGGAGATTTTGTCCCCAAGGAGACATTTGGAAATTTCTAGAGACATTTTTAGTTGTCACAACTTGGAGGGGATGACAACTAGTGGGTAGAGGCCAGGGATGCAGCTAAACATCCTACTGTGCATAGGACAGCATCCAGACAAAGAATTATCCAGCCCAAAATGTCAGTACCACCAAGGCTGAGAAACTCTGACCTAACCTAACCCTGACCTGAGCTGTTCTGCTTAGGGAGAAGGTCAAACATTTGACTCACTTTTCAGGGCAGTGCTCCAAGATTATTGAGGACATTTTTGTCTTGTTGACCACCCCTTAATACTCTTGAGGAATGACAATGCCTTTGAGAAATGTTAACTCCTATGAATAACCGTTCCCTGCTCCTGGCTGCATTGCCAATCTAGAGCCCAGAGAGGATGGAAGACTTTCAGCTCAGAGACTCCCAGCAGGCACTGCCAGGGGAGCCTGTTTCTCACCGGAAAGTGTCCCGGGGAACCTCTGCATTTTATCCCACAATTCCCCATCCTTCATTTCTATCAGCAGGTCTCAATCCTGGCTACACAGTAGAGTCCTCTGGGATACTAGGACCCACCCAGACCAGTTACTTCTGAATCTGGGGTAGGGCCTAGCCATTAGTATTTTTTAAAGGTTTCTCAGGTTCTGATGGCTCTGATGTGCAACGAGGGTTGAGACCCATGGATTTACACTGAAAAAGATTTCAACATTTTCCCTCCCTCCCTCCCTCCCTCCCTTCCTTCCTTTCTTCCCTCCCTCCCTCTCTCTCTTTTTCCGTCCTTCCTTCCTTCCCTTTCCCTTCCCCTTCCTTCCTTCCTTCTTTCCTTCCTTCCCTTCCCAATCCCCTTCCTTCCTTCTTTCCTTCCTTCCCTTCCCCTTCCCCTTCCTTCCTTCCTTCTTTCCTTCCTTCCCTTCCCCTTCCTTCCTTCCTTCTTTCCTTCCTTTCTTCTCTCTCTCTTTCTCTCTCTCTCTCCTTCCTTCCTTCCCTCTCTCTCTTTTTCCTTCCTTGCTTCCTTTTCTCCCTTTTTTTCTCTCTTTCTTTCTTTCTTTCTCTCTTTCTTTCTTTCTTCTTCTCTCTTTCTTTCTTCTTTCGAGTCTCACTCTGTCACCCAGGCTGGAGTGCAGTGGTGCAATCTCGGCTCACTGCAACCTCCACCTCCCAGGTTCAAGCAATTCTCCTGCCTCATCCTCTCTGATTCTCCTGCCTCATCCTCCCGAGTAACTGGGATTACAGGCGCCCACCACCATGTCTGGCTAATTTTTGTATTTTTAGTAGAGATGGGATTTCACCATGTTGGCCAGGCTGGTCTCAAGCTCCTGATCTCAGGGGATCCTCCTGCCTTGGCCTCCCAAAGTGCTGGGATTATAGGAGTGAGCCGCCACGACCAGCCTAGCTAGATTTTTTTCCATGCATCTTATGGAATACTCACAATTATATAAAGCAAGTCATTCCATCATCCCCATTTTATTTATTTATTTATTTTTAATTTTTTTTTTTTTGAGATAGAGTTTCTCTCTGTCGCCCAGGCTGGAGTGCAGTGGCGTTATCTCAGCTCACTGCAACCTCCGCCTCTTGGGTTCAAGTGATTCTTCTGCCTCAGCCTCCCAAGTAGTTAGGATTACAGGTGTGCGCCACTGCGCCCAGCTAATTTTTGTATTTTTAGTAGAGACGGGGTTTCGTCATGTTGGCCAGCCTGGTCTCAAGCTCCTGATCTCAGGGGATCCTCCTGCCTTGGCCTCCCGAAGTGCTGGGATTACAGATGTGGGCCACTGCGCCTGGCCTCAACATTTTCTAAATGAGCTCCTACCAGACGCTCACCTCTTAAACGTGCTATGCCTTTTCCCTTCATGCCAAATAAAATATTTCTATGACCATCATATCAAATCCAGTGAATGTAGTGGATTTGCTGATGATAATGGGATGCCGGCTTTCACACATTGTTCTTTCTACTTAGCTTTTCACCATTAAAGACAGATACTATGCAAGGAGCATTGTATAATTCCAAGTTTTTGTCATCTTTTCTACTGGAAAATATATTTTTAACTATTAAAGTGTGATGCCAGATAAAATATGATTTTGCTGGAGGCTGGGAAGAAAATCTACAGCTGGGTCCTACTTTATGAAATTCCCACCTTGAAACAGATAAATAAAATTATTCAAAGAAACAAAATTTTCTTTCTTACATAAGAAAATTCCAATGTTATGAAGTTTTTCACTTTTGGATTCCCTTTAAAAAACTCCCTGGATACGTACCTTTGCTAAAAGGTCGGAGTCTCAACATTCTACCTATAAGAAGCCATTGTCTTGAACTTTGAGATCACACAATTCATTATATTCATTGTTCATTATATTCATTATATCACACAATTCATTAATTCATTATATTGGTTCCCTCCCTTCTCATCTCTCTCTGTCTCTCCCCATTCTCTTCCAAAAAAGTACTGGAGAAAGGTAGCTTGAATTGGGCTGAATCAGTATTGCTTCTGAAATTAACCTTTTAAGATCTTATTTGAGCTTTATTTAGTTTTTGATTATTCACTTATTTTTCCCTGGCCTCTTTAATATGTAGATATTTCGACTATTAAAATAATGGATCTTCCTTTGACTATACATGCTACTCTTAAGCTTTACTAGTGCAGAAGCAGAAGTTGAAAATCATAACTCCAGCTTATTAGAGAAACAAACGTAATAGTATATTGTACAGTTGATGTATATTTCACAAAATGGAGATTAAATGTTTTACTGTATTTTTCTTGAAGGTAAGGACATGGAAGCCAACTTGGAGAAAAATAAAAATCTCCATTGTTTTAAAGTACTCTTAATAAGAATCACATTGTTTATATAAAGCAGTGTTATTTATTTATTTAGTTTTTGAGACAGAGTCTTGCCGTCATGCCTAGGCTGGAGTGCAGTGGCACAACTGTGACTCACTGCAGCCTCAACATCCTAGACTCAAGCGATCCTTCTGCCTCAGCCACCTGAGTAGCTGGGACCATAGGGGCACACCATCATGCCCAGCTATTCTAATTTTTTATTTTTCTGTAGAGATGGGTTTCTCTGTGTTTTCCAGGCAAGTCGCAAATCCTGGGCTCAAGTGATCCTCCCGCCTCGACCTGCCAAAGTGCTGAGATTACAGGTGTGAGCCACTGGCCCTGGCCTAAAATACTGTTTTAAATATTGCTACTGTCATTTTAAAGTACTCTTAATAAAATCACATTATTTAAAAAAGGATTTGCTGGAATGTTTTCGTAAATTATTAAACCCAATGTACCTATTTAATAATTACAAGTATTGTATAATGACTTTGAAACATAGATCTGATTTAAAGGCTGACACCAAGAGCAGCCTCTTAAAAATACTAGTGCATGTGGATGGAGGTGGGAAGGCAATCTGCAAAAGATCAAAGCGCTCCTGGGTGAAAGTAAAAGGATTATGGATTTTTTTTCCCCAAATTTTTTCATTTATTACATCATCTTTTCAAAGAAAAAAGTCGCCAGGCACAGTGGCTCATGCCTATAATCCCAGCACTTTGGGAGGCTGAGGCAGGCGGATCACCTGAGGTCAGGGGTTTGAGACCAGCCTGGCCAACATGGCGAAAACCTTGTCTCTACTAAAAATATAAAAACTAGCCATGCCTGGTGGTGCTCATCTGTCATCCCAGCCACTTGGGAGGCTGAGGCATGAGAATTGCTTGAACCCGGGAGGCGGAGGTTGCAGTGAGCTGAGATTGCGCCACTGCACTCCCGCCTAGGCGACAGAGCAAGACTCTGTCTCAAAACAAACAAACAAAAACAAAAATCAAAGAAAAAAGTCTTATTCCAAGAAATATTAGCTATTTGACAAGGTGTTTTGACCCTAGATCGGGTGGCCCATTGTTACGAACACATCTTGGAATTTACAGTGGAAATCACTGGTTAATGTGGATGAATTCAATTTACAAAGTTTTAGTATACCTGTGACAAATAGGGGCAACTAAAATGAGAGTCACCTGTGTTTACTGACGCAGAAAAAAAATCCAACAGGACCTGGTGGGTGGTGCAGCCCTGAATACCACAGCCAGATTGATGTGTGACAGTGCCGTGCTAGAGCCAGCTTGTACTAGCTTTTGAGAACCAATTGTTAAATTTCCACAAATTTCTGAGCTGGGTGCTAAGCCCAGACATTGTTACAAATTAGACATATAAACTTACAATTAAATAAATTATATTAAAACAAATTTAATAAAAATTTAAAACGCATTGCTTCCTAATTAGTTTGCTGTATTTTACTACTATCTATTACTCCTGAGATCATGTTTATGTATCTGTTTAGTGGAAATATACAATCGTGTGCTATTGTATATCTTTTCCCAACTCTGTTCAGTGACATCACACTGGTCGCCTAAAATTGGCCCTGAAGGGAGTATTTCCACCAGGGAAATCCGCAAAAGCTACAAATCAGGTTTGCCTCCCTTCAACAACCCCTCCAGAGACAATTGCTAAAAATTTATCAGCACGTCACTGTTCACGGGCTCCTGGCTGACTTTTAGCAGTCCCATGACCTTGCCTGTCTGCCTGGGTCAATGGCCCACCCCACTCCATGACTCTTTGCTATCCAGCCCCAGATAATTCTTTCAGCAAAACCCACCCAAGGAGACTCCAGTCACTTAGCACCAACTTGCAGTTCCACCCAAGCCCCACAGGGGGCGCAATGCCCACAGGCCAGAGAGGCCCTGATTCCACTCACCTGGTTTTTCACTAGATTGGGCAGGGATGGCACTAGGAGGTTCATGACCTGCTTAGCTAAGGCGTTCACCAGGAAGGAGAGCCTTTCAGGGAAGAGAGCACGAGAGACATTAGGAAGGGTCAGAGATGATCACCCCTTCCTCTATTTTACAGAGGGGGAGGCTGAGTCTAAGGGAGGAAGGAACCTGCCCAAGGTCACAGGACGTGTTAGAGACGGGGCTGGGAGTAGCCCCTGAGCCAGGTGTAGGCAGTGGCAAAGAGTTATCAGAAAGCAGCGGCTGGGTGTTGTCATTGGAACTTTATGCTGGGCATTGGGATGATGGGAGCTGGCATTTCTCCCTGTCCTCCTGCTAAGAAGGGAAGGGGGGGCGCCATGTTTTTTGGCACCACCATGCGCGTGCACTGTTCTGAGTGCTTGATGGCTGTTGTCTGATCAGTTTTCTCACCACTGCCTGGAAGGTGTCATTACCTGCACTTTACGGGTGAGGAAAGTGAGACACAGGGTGGCCACTTGGCCATCATCACCCGGAGAGCAAATGAAGAGAATGTGTTGGCCTGACCCAAAGCCTATGTTTTTGCCCCTGGCTCCACCTACACCTGCCCTGGTGTTTGGAGGAGTTTCTAGGCCTCCCCCTTCAAAGATTTGCCCCACCTCCCGGTGTCATGCCTGAAACCCACCATGGTTGCTTCTGACCTTGATGTCCTGAACTTCCCTTGGCATCACAGATTCCCTGGAAGGAGCCCCAGATCAGGAATCAGGAGGGGATAAGTCCCTTTCTTTCTCTAGGCCTCAGCGTTCTCCATTTGTAAAATGGGGGAAGTCCACTGCCTGGCGTTCCTTCCAGGCAGGATGGGAGCCCGGCTGGTGGCCAGCGACACTCACTTATGCAGCAGTTGGATGCGCAGGCTCCCATGGCTGGTGGCACAGTCACTGAGGACCAGGCGGGTGGGGCCACTTGCACTGGTGTCCATGCGGATGGTGGCTTGGGCCTCAGTCGTCATGTGGAACTCCACGATGGTCTTGACCAGGGGCCTAGCGGGTGGAGGCACCTGACCATGTGAGCACCAGGCAAGCTCGGGCTGGAGCAACCCTGCCGTCCGTCTCTGTCTTCCAGCCCTCACCTCCTTCCTCAGTCTCCTTTGCTGGTTTCTCCTCATCTTCACCCAACTTCACCCCAGCATGTCCCAGGCTCAGTTTTCAGACTCCTCTTTGGTTGAAACGTCTTTCGTCTGCTGACAGCTTCCAAACTTACCCCCAGCCCCCTACTCCGATGTCTCACGGGCTTCTCAAGTTTAGCGCATGCAACACTGGACTGGCTCTTCCCCAGACCTGCTCCTCTCATGGCCTTGCCTGTCTTGGTTACTGACCACTCCATCCTGCCAGTGGTGCAGGCAGAACTCTTGGAGTCATCGTTGACTTCTCTCTCTTTCCCCCTGAATACACATGCATATTCAGTTCCCCGGGATATCCTGGTGTCCCCACCTACCTCCAAAACATATCCAGAATCCAATCAACTTCTCAGCACCTCCCTGCCCCAAACCCTGGTCTAAGCCATCATTATCTCCTCCTGAATTGTTGCAGTAGCTTTGGGATAGCCTTCCTGTCTCCACTCTTACCCCCAGAAAGTCTTTTTTCCCCACAGCAGCCAGGAGTCTTTAAAAATGTGAAAGCACAGCATATCCCTCCTCTGCTCAGAATCCTCCCTGGCTCCCGTCCTACTCAGCAAAAGCCAAGTCCTTATCTTCTCCCAAGAGGCCTTGTATGATCTGGCCTCGGCTGCCTGCTGGCCTCATCTCCTACCATGCCCCCTCTCTCTTTCCCCTGTCTTTGCCATTCTTTGAGCAAGGCAAGTACACTGCTGCCACAGGGCCTCTGCACTTGCTCTTCTCTCTGCTCGGAACTCTCTTTTCCAGACACCTGCATGGTGGGGGCGGGGGAGGGGGAACGAGCAGATGAGCCTGTCAAGCCTACTGTACTTGATGGAGGGGTCACTCACGTGTTGAATCCAGCCACCATGTCCAGGGGGATCTTGACTAGCAGCTCCTGGTCATTGGCCGAGGGCTTCACCTGCAGCTGGAGGATGTTAGCTGTGATGACCTTCAGCCTGGATGGGGTTTAGGAGAGATCAGAATCATGCCTCCGGCTCATTATTCCCAAATCCACTCCCTCTCTATCTTTTCCATCTCCCTGGGGTGCCTAGGCAGCAGCGGGACCCTGGCCCTGCCCACCGACTCCTCTCCAGATGGTCTTGCCTCCATCCCTCCCCTCCACTCCTGCTCACAATGCTATTATGGTGCCTTCTCTTCTAGGTGGTGACTCCCAGCTCCTTGAGCTGACTCATAAGACCCTCTGTGACCTGACCCTGCTGATCCCTTACTCCTTGCCTTGAGGTTTGAGCTCTAGCCATTCTGACCGACTGTCACTTCTCCATGCCTTTGCCCAGCCTGATTCTTCTACCTGGATGCCATTTGCTTCTTGTCTCCTGGTGAGCATTGAGTCATCGGCTCCACTGTCACCTCCAGTGAGAAGCATCACCTCATCCCTTCCCTGTGCCACCCCAGACAACCTTGCTCTGGGTTGTTTTTTTTTTTTTGTTTTTTTTTTTTTGAGACAGAATCTCACTCTTGTCACCCAGGCTGGAGTGCAATGGCACCATCTCAGCTCACTGCAACTTCCACTTCCCAGGTTCAAGCGATTCTCCTGCCTCAGCCTCCTGAGTAGCTGGGATTACAGGCTTCTGCCACCATGCCTGGCTAATTTTTATATTTTTAGTAGAGATGGGGTTTTGCCATGTTGGCCAGGCTGGTCTCGAACTCCTAACCTCAGGTGATCCACCCACCTTGGCCTCCCAAAGTGCTGGGATTACAGGCTTGAGCCACCGTCCCTGGCCTTGCTCTGGGGTTGTTGTATTAGGGTTCCTGTGTCACTGTCTTATGGTTCTTGTTAACTATTCTGGGAGCTTCTTGACGGAGGGGCTTTGTTTGATCCACTCTTTGTGATCTGACACAAGTCGATGCTTGCAGACTGGTTGACTGAGCATGCAGAGCGTGTCCCGGGCAAAGGTGTGGGAAGGGGCTAGCTCCTGGTGTGGTCCTGCTCCACTCACCAGATGATGTGCTTCAGGACGGTGTTCACCAGGCTGCCCAGCACAGGGATGCCTCCGGCTGGCTTTTCCCGCATGGCACTGAGCAGCGGCAGCTGCTGCAGGATGCTGGTGGCGTTGTGGTCCTTCAGCTCCTGTGTCAGCTCTGGAGGCAGACCCCAGGGATTAGGGCCCAGGAGGAGGGGCAAGAAGGAAGGCTTGGTGGGAGCTCCAGGCTGGGGAGGGGTATCACTCGAGGCTCCCTGAGGTAAGGCGAGGGTGTAGCCATCTCTACTGTGGTGGAGGTCAGGACCAGCCTGCCAGTCCCCACTGTGTAGATGTAGCCTTGAGGACAGTAGCCCAGATGGGTCGTTTTCACATCAGGAGCGAGGCTGGGACCATTCACACCCCTGAGCATTGCCAGCCTCTGTGGGGAGTGTCGGCCACTGCACTCAGCACCTGGACCTGCACTCATCCCCTGAGCCAGTTGCAAGCATTTCTAGGGCCAACAGGCAGGGAACCCTCAAAACTCTGTTTGGGGCTGTTTTGCTGCCAAAGCACACTTGTTAACAATTGTCTGGCATCCATATCCTATGGATGTGTTGTCCAAAAAGCCTCAAGTGCTGAGCAGAGGAAGAAGGAGCCAGGACAGAGGCATAAGTGTCAAGAGCCCTGGGTTCTTGTCCCAGCTGGCTTTTTGTGAGCAGCTAGAGCCCATCTGGCTCATGTGCAGAGCAGGTCAGAAGTGCTGGAGAGCTGATGCCCCAGGAGCAGACTTCAGCCAGTGATTGGTGAGAGTTGGTGTATCAATATCCCAGCTCCCTCACCCCTCAGGCAGGATGGCTCAGATGTGTGTCCCTCATTGTGTATCAGAGCTCCTGGGTTATAGCCTCTCAGCTGCAAATCCACCCACTTTGCCTGCTCTGTGGTAATGGAACTGGGCCCAGTGAATATTTCTTTTTTGCCATTTGGCACAGTGTTAAGCCCTTTCAGTGGAGACTCTGGAGGGGCATGGGGGGGATTCCCTTCATGGCTCTGGTGTGCTTCTCTTTCCAGGTTCCTATGGTGTCACTGCCCAGTGGCTTTTGCTGAGTGAGTTCTGCAGGCACCCTGGCTAGCTTCTAGGCAGTTCCCCAGAGACAGCTTCCCCGTGAGTTAACAGCAGCCCCCTTCCTCCAGGGGCAGCTTCCCAGAGAATTTTATTGGCCCCCTGGCAGGTAGTTCTCCACCCACTAGCGTCAGATTGCCAACTGTGGACCAGCTCTGGCCTGGGACAAGCCAGCAAACTTCTCCACCACACAGTGGGCTTCAACCACACCCTCTACAAAGAGGGCTGGGGAGGATTCTCTACCTCTGAACTTGCTCTGTCCTTGGCTACCCCCTCCATCCCTAGGTTATCCTTTAGAGCTCTGTCTGTTTTCCCTCTTAGCCAATTCCTCATTCTTCCAATCCCCTGGTAATACTTCTTTACATTAAACTTACCTGTTGGCATTTACTGTGTGGTTTCTGTCTCCTGAATGGCCCTAATAGATGCAGTTGCTAGGCAGGACTGAGCTTCAGTCGCCACAGTGGTAACTGGCTTGGACATGCACCCCTCATGGGATGCCTTTCCTTCCCTGCCTTGCCTCCCCACACTCCTGTAGGTGTTTCTGGGGTCACCTTCAAAACCAACCACTTGTACACAACTCCTTATAGGAGAGCCTAAAGCATGGTTGTTCATCTCTAAGCTCCTTCTGGCTGAAATTCCACATGCTTGAGCTTCACAGTGTGGATCCAGGCCACCTCTGCCTCCCTCCAACCTCTCAGAGCCCTCTGCTTCCCGTCCTTACTTGGGAATCCATCCGCTGGCTACAGAGCCTGTTGGTCCCACAGGACCTGCCCCTGCCCCTCTGGCCATGACCCAGGCCCCTAGTCCCCCTGAATGCAGAGGTCTGGTCCTCTAAGTGCTCAAGTGGCCTCCAGAGCTGACAGGTGAGTCCCCTCTAAGGGGATGAGACTTTAGAGTAGTCGTTCTCCACTGAGATGATTTTGTCCCCTAAGAGATATTTGTCAATGTCTGGAGACCTTTTTGGTTGTCACAGTTGGGTTAGGGATGCTGTTAAACATCCTAAAGTGCCCAGGACACCCCCCATAATAAATAGTTGTTTGGTCCACAACATCAGAAGTGCTGAGGTTGAAACCATGGTCATAGCATTCATAAAGCTCTAGTCAATTCCAACCACCCAGTGAGGAAGGCCCTCTTATTTGTGTCCCAAGGTGGAAGCTGAGGCTCAGGGACTGGCCCAGTGCCCCAGAGCTGGAAAGTGATACACTGTGCCTGGGACCCAGGCTGCCACACTTGCAGTCAAGGGTCTCTGCTCTGGGGAGGAGGAGCACACTGGGTCTAACTAAGACGGGGTGCTCTGACGATGGGATTTCAGGTGAAGGCAGTGGGAGAGGCAGCTGCATCACTGCATGCAGTGGCTGCATGCCCCTTCTGCAGGCTGTGGAAACTCAGGGTCTTTGGAACTGTGGAATTTAAGAAGGGGTTCTTGGAATCGTGGACTCTTGAGATCACAGACTCTCCAGACCTTTACAACCTCCCACTCATGTTCACCCACGTTCTGGGATCTCAGCCATGCACATCCCCCGTGATGAGGAACTCTCTCCCTCCTTTGGGAAGCTGCTCCACCTACCCCCTTGTCTTATGGCAGCCAGCTCCGGAGGGACAAAACTTACTTTCTTTGATGACTTTTGGGCCGAGGATGAGAACTGCAGTGGGACTGAGGGTGGCTTGGATCAAGGTGGCTGCCAGCAAACCACAGAGAAGGGTGAAGGTCCACGGGCCGGCCATCTTCCCAGGTGTCAGAGGGCAGCAAGTGCAGGATGCCAGACCTGGGGTGAGCACAGAGGGACCTGAGGCAGAGGGGCCAAGGGCAGGCCCATGATGCCCGGTGACCTGGGGCACGGTGTCCAGGAGAGGCTGTTGAGTGCAGTGTTTAACTGCCTGGGCTAGCTGTGTAGCCTTAGGCAATCAACGTAACCTCTTTGTGCCTCAGTTTTCTTATCAGACAAATGGGGATAATGACCCCAGCTTCCCAGAGTTGAGGGATTAAGTGAGTTAATATCTGGAAAGCATTTAGCACGGTGTCTTTCACATGGTAAGCACTTGGAATGTATTAGCTATTTTCTTTCTTTTTTTTTTTTTTTGAGACAGAGTCTCGCTCTGTCACCCAGGCTGGAGTGCAGTGGTGCCATCTCGGCTCACTGCAAGCTCCACCTCCTGAGTTCACACCATTCTCCTGCCTCAGCCTCCTGAGTAGTTGGGACTACAGACACCCACCACCGCGCCAGGCTAATTTTTTTTTTTGTATTTTTAGTAGAGACGGGGTTTCACCGTGTTAGCCAGGATGGTCTCGATCTCCTGACCTCGTGATCTGCCCACCTCGGCCTCCCAAAGTGCTGGGATTACAGGCGTGAGCCACCGCGCCCAGCCTGTATTAGCTATTTTCTTACAGAAAATCCAGCAACAATGCTCAGAACAAAGAACTTCTGCTTCCCGTGTCTCCCACCCCTCAGTCTGACACTTAAAACCCTCTATGGTTCACCGTCTGCTGACCTCACCTCCTGCTTTCTCTCCCCTTGTTCTAGCAAGTTCCAAGCAGTTGGAAGGTCTCAGAACATACTGTGTTCTCTCCTGTGTCCGTGCCTTTGCTCTTGCTCTTCCTTGCTTCCTGGAATGCTTTTCTCCTCCCATATCTCCCTGATGAACTCCTATTCATCCTTTAAAACCCTGCCAAGATTTGTCACTTTCCCTATAAAGCTTCCCCTGTCCTGCAGACAGGGAACCTGGACCACACTTGGAGAAATGTTGTCCTGGGGCCCAAGACATGAAGGTTGGAGGCAGGAAGGAAATGAGGAGCCAGGTAGGACTCAAAGTTGTGAAAAAGCTCTTTGCTTAATCTGCAATACTAAGGGGGCTGGGGAGGGACTGAATGGCTTCTTGGAGCCAGGAAAAGAAGGGCAGAGAGAGAGAGAGAGAAAGAGAGAGAGAGAAAGGGCCCTGTGGCTCATGCCAGGGAGAGGAGCTTGGGGGTATTCTGGCCCCTTGGCTGCTCTGTCCCCTCCCTCCACAGGGGTGTGGCATCAACATCTGTAGTCCAGTCCTGAGCTCTCCAGCTTGCACCCTGGCTCTGTCTGCCAGCCCCCCATGGAAGCTCCTGCCCCTGTGGACTGTCCTGCTTGGAGGGAGGGGAGACGCTGCAGAGATCTGAGCCCCTCGCTTGGTTCAGCATGTGGATTTCTTTTTGCCAAAGACAAATGTGGCATCCGGATGACATGTGTCTCCTGTGCCCTGGAGCAGTGTGAGCTCTTCTGAGACCCTTGCAATAATGATTCAGCCTCTGCTTCCCTGACCAAGCTGTGAGCTCTGGGAGGGAGGGCTGGGTCTGCCTGCTCCCTGCTGTGTCCCTGGCATCCAGTATAGTGGTTGGCATAGACCAGGTGCTTAATAAATGGCTGCTGAATAATTGCATAGCCTCTGGAAGCCCCGAAAGAATTGGAAATCTGAGCCTGCTAAGCTGAAAAGGTTAGTGTTAGGAGGCCTGAAGGTGGAGGGGAAAATATTATTGGCTTGGCAGCCAGATGAACCCTAGTTGGAGGCCTGCCTCTACCACTTGCTCTGTGATCTTTGACAAGTGACTTACCCTTTCTGAGCCTCCATTTACTCATCTATAAAATGGGGAATAATTATAGTACTTATGTCATAGGCTTTTTGGGAAGATTAAATGAGACAATCTATTTGTGGCCTGGCATGGCCAAGCGTTCAGTAGATGGTAGCTTCCACGATAATTATGACAGGTATTATTACTAATATTGGAGTCAGAAGGAGACACCTTGCAGCCAAAGCCAGAAGACAGAGCTGAACCCCGGCATCCAGGCACCCCTGTGGCCCCACTCCATATTTTCCTTGCAAATACCTTGACTCTGTCTGTCCTGCATTATCTGTACACACTGCTCAGTCCTCTTTGGATCAGAGAAACCCAGGGACCCACGAGGATGGTAGCATCCCTGTTTCCCTCCTGTGGAAAAGACTCTCCTCCCCCAGATCCAGGCACCACACACGCCCCTGTCATATGGCACCTCCTCTCCCAGCCTTTGCTTCTGCTAGTTCCCCTTCGTGGAATATCTTTCTCTCCTCCTTTGCCCAATCGCCTTCTACTCGGCTTTGCAACCAACACATCACCTCTTCCAGGATCCCTTCTTTGACTGTCCTCCACTCCCATGTCCCTGGGTCTTCCTTGGGCACCACATTGTCCTGCACTGGGAGTTCTTTGAGGGACAGAGTCTGCGTCTCATGCTTCTTTTGTCCCAGCACCACCGCAGCACAGCTGGGACAGAGCAACTGGTATGTGCAGAGTGGGTTTATGTCACTAGGAAGAGGTCAGGAAAACACTCAGCCAGCCCCATCCCTTCGTCACTGCCCTTTGGTCCTCTGGGCGAGGGAGCTGGGCATCTCTCTACACCTGGCCCTGACCCTCAGCGGATCCTGACTCACCGAGGGCCCTTCCCTGAGGGCGAGCCTCCCCTGTGCTCCTGACCTGACCCCAACAGGTATCTCTAGCTCAGAACCTTCCTGGCAACCTTGGCTTTCAGCCCCTTCCCTACTTTTACCTGGGCACGCTGGAGTCCTCGGCCCGCTCCTCTCCTCTCCCGGGCAGTGGGTCTGGAAGTCCAACCTTATATCCTGCACACCCCAGCACAGGCTTTGTCTTTAGGCAGAGGCCTCAGACCAGGCCGAGGTCTCCAAGGTAAATATTTGTGGCTTCTGCTGAACCACAGCCCCGCCCGGAGGCAGCCTTGGGACTCCAGCTTCCTGAGGTTTGGAGAAAGGAAGGTCCAGGCTGAGAGAAGCACAGTGCATATAGCAGAATAAGCACTCCATAAATGTGAGTGGCCGTTGCCATTAATATTATTATTGCTTATAATAGGATGAGCCTTTGTAGAGGGATTACAACAATTGTTTAATCCAGATAATCAATTTGGGAAAAGGAAGGAGTAGCCTTACCCACCCCTTATTCCTAAATACATCAAAGATACACATCTCCATCAATTAATTCACCCAGGAGAATAGATTTGAATCCTATTTTTGCCACTGCTTTGCTGTGTGCCCTTGGGCAAGGTACTTCACCTCTCTGGGCCCCAATGACCTCATCTATAGCATGGGGATAATAGTAGCTCCTCCTCATAGGTTGTTAAGAGCATGAGTTGAAGTGCATGCCTACACAGTGCTTAGCATGGGCTTTCATTTCATTCATTCATTCATTCCGCAGCAATTAAAATCTGCTCTACCTTGTCTGCATCTTTAGGAATCTCCATGAGCACTTGTGGACCAAAAGAATAAGGAGGGATGACCATGAACCTAAAGGACAAATGTCAGAGCCCAGCAGGACGCTGTCATCCACCACCTGGGCCCAGGTCTTGGCTCACGCAGCCTGCACAGTCACCCAGAGGTGGGCATCAGCAGCGTTAATGTTACAGAGGGCACCTGAGGCTCA
The DNA here is from genome assembly GCF_000001405.40 of Homo sapiens. NCBI lineage: Eukaryota > Metazoa > Chordata > Mammalia > Primates > Hominidae > Homo > Homo sapiens. The sequence goes on along the minus strand of NC_000020.11, from coordinate 33,282,370 downwards.
GAGAGGCGAGTGACTTGCTCAAGGTCACATGACCAGGGATTCCAGCTTTGGGACCTGAACCCGATCATCAGTCCAGACCGGACCCTCTTAACCGCCACACTGTCCTTCCCCTGAGACTTCAATTTAGCACTGGAGGTGGTGGTGACACCAACATGGCCTTTTGATGTCATCTGGGGAATTATCCTTGCTACCCAGTTTTTGTCTAGAAGAATGGAATTGTGGTTTAGAGCTGGGATGGCCATTGTTGAATCCTGTCTCCATCTGCAGCAGACAAGTCAGGGGCAGTAAGTGTTCTGAGGTCACAAAGTACGTGGCCAGGCCCTGGCTGGTCTCTTCCTCCTGCTTTTTGACAAGAAGAACAAGGTGAAGAGCGTTTGCTGTCCTGCCATGTTTGCAAACACACCAAAAGCCCTGAATACCTAAAGGTGAGGTGTTTTGAGAGAGCTCTTGGGAGGACCCTGCCGATCCCTTGGGCACATCTCCAGAGAGGCAAATGCCCCTGCTTGGCTTCCCAGCTGGCCATGCCCACTGCCCATGGACAATGACCCTCTGTGCGGTGCTCGGGCCCAATGCCAAGACCTGGGGCCGCATCAGCTCCTGCTTCCTGCCACGTGCTGGGACAGCAAAGCTGGCTGCATCTCTGCAGGCCCATGGTCCCCAGACTCCACACCTGCCCTCAGTACCGCGTGGCCCCTCCTCAGGTTGCTGGCGTCTCTTGGCCTTGGCTCCACCTCTCTTCAGCTCCCAGGCCTTTTTGTGCCGTGTCCTCTTTCTGGAGTACCTCCTTCACCCTCCTGAAAACCTAATTGTGCCCTGTCTGGGAAGAAGCGCAGGAGTGCAGGAGGAAGCCTGTGGAGGCCGACAGACACGGCTCAGATTCCTGCTCCTATACTGACAGCTGTCAGCCTTGGGAAAATTGCTTCTTCTCTATGAGACTGTTTCCTCCATTGTGAAATGGGACTATTTTGAGGGTCTCGTAAGGTCATGAGAAATGCTTGAAACATCAGAGAATTCAGCAAGTGGTAAATTCACACCTGTAATACCAGCATTTTGGGAGGCAAATACTGGTGGATTACCTGAGGTCAGGAGTTTGAGATCAGCCTGGTCAACATGGTGAAACCCTGTCTCTAAAAAAAAAAAAAAAAAAAAATTAGACGGGCATGGTTTTTAGGTGGCACGTGCCTGTAGACCCAGTTACTCAGAAGGCTGAGGCAGGGGAACCACTTGAACCCAGGAGGCAGAGGTTGCAGTGAGCCAAGATCGCACCACTGCACTCCCGCCCGGGCTACAGAGCAAGACTCTGTCTCACACACACAAAAAAGAACGCAACATCTGCATAAAGCTGCCTGACTGCTGCTCCACCTGGCCTGGATGTCCTCTTCCCAGCATGTTTGGCTGCTGGCCACCTTTCAGCCCTCACCTCTCTCTACTTCATCCCTCGCTCCTCTCACTCCCACCCCAGGGCCTGCGCACATGCTGGCCTTATCCCAGGAGCGCTCTCCTTCCAGCTCTCATTCTGGCTTCTTCTAATTCACCAAGTCTCAGCTACAGTGTTGCCTCCTGGGGTGGGGTGGGGGAGCAGGGGACAAGGGGACCACCCTCTCTAAGGTAGGGCTCTTTTTGCTGCACACTGAGGGTGTCCTTACTAGCATTTACTGGAACTGGGTCTGAAAACTTGAGTGTTGTTTTAGGCACCATGATTTCCCAGATGCTGTATACCAAGGAGAGGTCCTGGGCCACAGACCAAGCAGTGGCTAAAAACCAGTTGCACAGCTCCTGCATCTCTCATGCAGGGGGCCCTGACCCAGATTAAGGCAACGAAAGGGCCAAGAAGGGACAGGAAGAAGATGGCAGAGGTATTTCTTGGGAGACAGCTGTGGTCCCTCCTCCTCTCCCAGGGAGGAGGGCAGGAGGTGTTTGGGCCTCAATGCAGGCCTAGCAGGAGGGACCTTTTCAGGGACCACTTAGGGGCTTGAGGTTTGTCTCCCCTGGAGTTGGGGCTTGCAGTAGACTGGGTTGTGTCTCCTGATGAGTTGAAGTCATGTTGGGCAAAGTGACTTCCGTAAGTGGAAAATTACTGCTCTCTGTTCCCTCTGGGCAGGGTCAAAGCGCATGTGTGTGTGTGTTTTCCCAGGGCCGGGTGTGGACCCTGCAAGACGAAGATCGGTCTAGGGCTGCTTGAAGTCCTTCCTAGTATCACCACCTGGAGAGGACGCTAGAGAACCAGGGGCTGGGAGTGGCTGGGGTGGCCTGCGGGACAGTTAGCCATCAAAGAGGCTCTGCCCTGGTGTGGGGGGTGCAGGTCAAGAAGCCCCACAGGGAGGTAAGACTACCTCTTTGAAGGTGCCGACAAGACTTGGCTCTCAACATTTTTTGGGCTCCCCAGAGAGTTGGGAACTACCTGGCAACAATATCAGTCAAAGGAAAATTCTCCTGCCCCTTTTCTTCCTTCTGGATGGAGAGAGAGAGAGAGAGAGAGAGAGAGAGAAAGAGAAGGAGAGGGAAGTGCAGGGAGAGAACACACACCTCTTCTCCCCTTTCCCACCAAGCTGATCCACAGAAGCCTCGGTTAGGGGTGGGGAGATAATCTGATGTTAAATCAAAGCTGGATGCTCAGACACAGCAAGATGGCAGAGTGGAAAAGATCATCTCCATTCTACAGATCACCAAACTGAGGCCAAGAGAGGAGAAAATAGGGGTTTTTATCCTCCCATTTTCCAGATGAAGTAGGACCTTGGAGAAGGGAATTGACTTGCCTAAGGTCCCACAACCATAAAGCAGAGGGCCAGGATTGGGACCCATTTCTGTCTGAATTGAGAGCCCATGCTCCACGCACTGACCCAGCCTGCCCTACCATCTCCAGCCAGAACGAGGGCCAAGCTCTCCTGGGAAGACTGCAGTCATGCGGAAAACCAGAGAGGGTTTCTGATGACGTGGACAGATGGAAATCAGAGGCCTTGCCAACTGTCACTGGCTCGAAAGAAAGAAGGAAAGCAAGAATTCAAGCCACTCCTAAAGAAGCTCAGGTCCTCCATTGTTGCCACCAAAGATGCTCCACCAGCATGGTAGAAGCATTTTGCTCTTGTACCAATTTCAGCTGCCTGGTGATGGCTCTTGAAGCTTTCAAGGGTCTGGGCTCAGCAGGAGAGAATGTGGTGATTGATTAACAATGTCGGTCATGAGCAGACACAGATGCTTCATCCTTGCTACATCCCACCAGCATCCTTGTTAAGGATTATGGATTTTCTTGCAAAATATTAAAGATAATGGAGTGGGGAGAAAATCCCTAGATGACATGGAGTTTGCCACTACCTTTGGGCTGGTTTTGGATAAGTCAGTTCTCTCTGAGCCTCAGTCTCCCCAGCTATAGAATAAAGATGTTGGGCTCCACGATGCAGTGGCCAGGCTGGCTGTGATGACCTTTGCTTATAGTGGAGGGGGCTCAGTTCTTATGCAATGAGGACTGGGCTGTTTCTGAGGTCAAGTATGTTGTTAGGAAGATCAAACCCATTGACCCAGGGTCAGTGGAGGTTCTGCCAAGGGAACTGGCCAGTGATTTGAGCATAGAGAACTGTGAGGATGCTCACTGCAGCCTTACCTGGAATAGCCCTAAAGTGGGACCCGCCTTAACATCCAGCAATGGGATTTATTAAATAAACCGTGGGCCACCAGGCAGCCATCACAAAACAATGTAGACCAACCAACAGAAGTAAGTGAAAAGGGAAACTGTTTCTTCTATTTTTTAACAAAAAAAAATTTTTTTTAATCTAGAAAAAAATACTGGAAGGAAATGCATCAACAGTACACGTTTCTTGGTGGTGTGATCACAGGTCACTTTCACCATCTTCTTGGTATTTTTCAGAATTAAAAAAATGTTTACACTAAATATATGTATTGGATATGTAAACAACCCCACTAAATGGCCTGCAAATGAGTCAATAAAGGTTGGGCGCAGGACAAGGGAGTGGAGGAAACCTCATTCCTTTCCCAATGCCCGACCCACAGCCCCCACCAACCTGGGACTCTGAGGAATTATTGTGATGCCATTGCTGATAGCAGCAACAAACGCCCAGTCATGCCGGTCCCGGAACCACCAGGAAAGAAATAAAGAAATCATTACTGGAACTTACAACATAATCCCTCTTTTGTGGGACAGAAATAGATTAAATTCAGTGCAAATGAACCCTGGCTAAGTTGGAAGCTGTCCTAGCTCTTGGGGGGAGACAAAGACCAGATCTCTGCCCTCGTGGGGCCCACAGTCCAGTTGATGAAGGTGTGTTGGGTGACCCAACAGAGGTGGATGCAGGCAGCCGGCTGAGTGCTGGGATTTTCATCCACGTGGGCAGCATGTGCGTAGGCTCAGAGCTCCAGGAATGGGAACCCAGGCAGGGTGATGTGTTGCTTTCACTGCCGTGAGCCTTGGCCAAGTGTGCAAAGTACCAGGATAGAGGTGACACAGGGATTGTTATTAGGGCCAGACGAGCAATACAAATGCCAGGGTGCAGACAGGATGGGCTTAATAAGGCCAGCACAGGTCAAGTATGTCAAACAGTAGAACAGGGGCAAACACACAGATGGTATGGTCAGCACTGAGAGAGAGGGAGGCTGGCACCTGCCTCGTGTGTGACAGTCGCTGGCAGCTCAGTGGGGCCCAGAAGGGGATAACCTGCCTGATTAGGGAGGGGAAAAATGATTTCTTTCTTTCTTTCCTGGTGATTCTGGAACTGGCATGACTGGGCTTTTGTTGCTGCTATCAGCAATGGCATCACAATGCTTCCCTGGGGAATAGTTCAGAGAAGGCTTCCTGGAAGAGGTGACATTTGATCTGGGCTTAAGGGATAGGGATGTGTTAGGAGGGGAGGGCATTCCAGAGTGGGAGCCTTTCAGGGGCAAAGGAAGGAGGGTGGGTTTTGGAAAGAGTGTCTGGGAGCTTGCCTGAGTCGCTTGAAGGGGAAGGGAGTGGGGCGGGTGGCAGGGAAGGTGGGCTGGAGGGGAAGGGAGTGGGGCGGGTGGCAGGGAAGGTGGGCTGGAGGGGAAGGGAGTGGGGCGGGTGGCAGGGAAGGTGGGCTGGAGGGGAAGGGAGTGGGGCGGGTGGCAGGGAAGGTGGGCTGGAGGGGAAGGGAGTGGGGTGGGTGGCAGGGAAGGTGGGCTGGAGGGGAAGGGAGTGGGGCGGGTGGCAGGGAAGGGGAGCTGGAGGGGAAGGGAGTGGGGCGGGTGGCAGGGAAGGTGGGCTGGAGGGGAAGGGAGTGGGGCGGGTGGCAGGGAAGGTGGGCTGGAGGGGAAGGGAGTGGGGCGGGTGGCAGGGAAGGTGGGCTGGAGGGGAAGGGAGTGGGGCGGGTGGCAGGGAAGGGGAGCTGGGGATGTTCTCATGAGGAGTCAGAACCAGGGGCTGGAGGTGAGATGGGATTGGGGATGGGAATGGAGCACAAGCAGGGCTGGGGTCCTGAGGCCCTCAGTGCCTCCCAGAACGCTGTGGGCTGTATGGAGCCTCCCCCAAGGCAGGGGACAGTGTGCTCAGATCCTCAAAACCAGGCCTCGGGTAGCCTGCTTGTCTTCACTGTCTGGCTTTCCCAGAGGTCTCTGTCTTGCTCTTGCCATCCCCTTCTCTTTCTGTCTCTCCTTCCCTCCTCCTCAGGCTGTCCCTGCCCTGTCTCTCTCTTACCCACTGTCTCTCTCCTCTCTCTGCCAATCTCTTGGGTGCTTTCTGAAGCTCAGGAGGGAGCTGGGCGGCCTGTGGAGAGTGCACCTGGACACACTACGCGGTGACCCGCCCCTACTGTGTGGCCTCAGGCAAATGTCCTCACCTCTCTGTGCCTGCAGTCTGTGCCTGGCAAAAGGGGCTCTGGGCCCCAGCTGTCGGCCTGTGCTGTGCCTGGCCTTGACATGGAAACCACCCAATCAGATGAGCAGGTCCTCTTTCCAGGCCCTGCCCTGAGCATGGTGTTAACTCACTTTGACTTCACAATAGCGGTGCTGCAGGGGACAGGAGCTGGGACATACTCACAGCACGCTCACTTAAAGCAAAGCGGGGAACCCCAGAAGGAACTCTTGACACTGGGATTTCTGTGACTGGTATTGCAGTTGCTCTGATTGATATCATATCATATTGTCTAGCTGTAACTAGATAAAGGAAGACAGGAAGGGGTGACTTACAAAGTTCAGCTGTTGTGAGAACCCTCACGTACCAGTGTCTACCTGTCCTTGAAAACGGTGTGACTATTGAGTGGGGGGCTTGGGAAATGGGCAGGTCCCTGGGAGATGGGGGAATCACTGGACCAGGCCCCTGGGGGCAGCTGAGTCCCTCAAGTTGGGAGCCTCAGTTTGGGGTGCTTGGAGGTTTAACCTCATCTGCCCTCAAATGGCCATCCTTGGAGATAGATTCTTGAGGCAGCCCCCACCCCCACCCCATCTCCAGTCTCTCCAGGTCAGGAGGGCGGGAGAGGTTCCACTAGCAGCCCAGGGCAGGGCCAGAGAGGCTGGAGCAGGCTAGAGCCTAAGACTTTGCTATGTTGCAGGGCTTGTATGATTTTAGGGGTCAGTCCCCCAGTATTTCTCTCCCAACCCTCTAATTTTCTTTAGTAATTCAAGACTGGTGGCACAAACAGATGCAGTCGGCTAGCAGGTCAGTTAGTCAGTCAGCAAATGCACCTTACACACCCTCTGTGTGGACACAGAGCTGGGTGCCTTGGATATAGCAGGGAGCCCACAGATCAGCCCCTGCCCTCCTGGGGCTCACAGTGTCCTGGGGAGACAGAGACGGAGGGAGAGCAAGAAACAGACAAATAAATATACAGTCACAATGTGCGATTATCTCAGTCATGATGCGGAACAAAAATGAGAACATGTGTAGGATCCTGAAACGACACCATCAGAGGCTCATGAGAGGTTTCAGCCTCCTGGGAACGCCCTGGATGCCCTCCCCCAACCAACACTCAACACCCCTGCCACACACACACACACACACACACACACACGCACACATACACACACGTGACCCTCCCTCTATTCATCTTCCACGCATTTGACTTTGGAACACAGTTTTGGGGGCCAACAATGTATGAAAGGAAGGGAGCTTTATGAAATGTATAATATAAATAGCCCTACTATTTCTTTTTTCTTTTCTTTTCTTTTTTTTTGAGACAGAGTCTTGCTCTGTCTTGGAGTGCAGTGGCGTGATCTCAGCTCACTGCAACCTCTGCTTTCCAGGTTCAAGTGATTCTCCTGCCTCAGCCTCCTGAGTAGCTGAGATTACAGGCGTGTCCCATGATGCCCGGCTAATTTTTATATTTTTAATGGAGACGGGGTTTCACCATGTTGGGAAGGCTGGTCTCGAACTCCTGGTCTCAAGTGATCCACCTGCCTCGGCCTCCCAAAGTGCTGGGATTACAGGCGTAAGCCACCGTGCCCAGCCAATGGCCCTCCCATTCCTGAGTGCTCACTACCGGCCTAGCTGAGCCTCAGACCTGCAGGTCCACTGTTATCCCCTATGGCACAGAGAAGGAAATGGGGATACAAAAAGGCCTGGTAACTTGCTCGAGGTCACACAGCTACTGTGACAAAAAGCCAGGATATAAACTCGGGTCTATCTGACTGCAAAGCCCATGCTCTTCACCTTCGGCCAGAATCTCCCAAGCACCTGTCATTTATATACTGTCCTCACCTACCCCTGACAACTACCTTTAGCTTCTCCATATCTGCCAATGCCTGGGTTTTTATGGACTTAGCATGCATCTTGGCAAATGAAATAACTTTTGAAAACTCAAATAAATTTGATCTATTTCTTTTTTCTTTCTTTCCTTCTTTTTTTTTTTTTAATACGGAGTTTCGCTCTTGTTGCCCAGGCTGGAGTGCAATGGTGTGATCTTGGCTCACCACAACCTCCGCCTCCCAGGTTCAGGCGATTCTCCTTCCTCAGCCTCCCGAGTAGCTGGGATTACAGGCATGCGCCAACACGCCTGGCTAATTTTGTGTTTTTAGTAGAGATGGGGTTTCTCCATGTTGGTCAGGCTGGTCTCGAACTCCCGACTTCAGATGATCCGCTTGCCTCGGCCTCACAAAGTGCTGGGATTACAGGTGTGAGCCACTGTGCCTGGCCAATTAGATCTATTTCTAACAGAAAACTGTGTATGCTACCCAAAGTGAAAAAAACAATATCACTTGCCATAAATAGCCAGTGATGATGGGACTATAGTGACCATAATAAGGGTGGCGATTAAGCTTAATGATTACTTATCATGTGCCAGGTTCACTTTTACTCCCAAGAGCACTTGGCACGTGATAAGTACCCATTAAACTCGTCGCCCTTATCATCATCACTATAGTCCCATCATCACTATAGTCCCATCATCACTGACTGTTTATGGCAAGTGATGCTGTTTACAGAGGTGAAATGCCCTTTCCAAAGTCACAATGGAAACAAGTAGAAACATTTTGTTGAACTCTGGCTATCAAATGTTGCCTACTTTCTTTCTAAGGGGGAAGGTAGCGAGTGGTTGGAGAGGCATTGAAGACATTTCAGCACTGTGCCGAGCCTTTCTCCGTGATATCTTCAGAACAACTGAGAGAGAGTAGGAAGGTGACTCATTTTCTCACCACCACCAATGGCGTGGTAGGCAGCCAACACTTGCAGGCAACCCTCAACCAAGCTCTCTAGGATGCATCAAGAATGCCTTTGCTCTCTTTTTGAGAGTGTGTGAGTCAGATTAAGATCTCTTACCGTGTCCACCTGCGGAGGCTCCCAAACCAAATGAAGTGAGTTCTCCAAACCCTTTGTACCTTTCCGGACTGTGTGACCTCCCTGGACTGTGAATGTCGTGTTCTTTGCTTGTCCTGATTCCTGGTGGCCAGGAGGGAAGCATGGGGCAACCACAGGGCACCTCCCTTGAAGTTGTGCACAGGGGTTGGGTTTCTGCACTAATATTTACTCACTTAATCAGCAAGTCTCCCAGGAGGGGAGAAAGAGGCAACGAGGAGCCCAGCCCCATGGAGTGGGGGAGCGAGGACACCCACTGAAAGGTGGGGCCATCACAGATGCTCATCCACTGTTTTCCTTAGTGTTGGAAAGGAGCATTCAGGACCGCTGCTTTCCCCAGCCCCCCTCACCTTTCTGCACTTTCAGCATCTGCTGCTCCTGAGAGAGGCCACTCCTGGGTTTCCTTGCAGGCTAGGCCTGACTTCTGATCTGTCTCCCGTCATTCCTCACTGTGCCCCTCGTCTCCTGAGTCTCCCAACAAACGATGCCTCTGGCTCTCCCTCCTCTCTACCCCACTGCCCTGGCCTCCCCCCAGGCCTCCTCATTTCTTGCCTGGGAAAATCGCCACAGTCTCCTCACTGGCTTTCCTGAATCTCATCTGGGCCCCTCAAATTCATTTTCCATCACTATAGCCAGCACCATCTTTCCTCCCTCCAATAGTTTACAATGAAAAATTTCAAACATAGAGAAAAGTTAGTTTTACAGAGAACACTATATCCAACACCTAAGTTCTACCATTCACATTTTACGGCACTTCTTTAAATATCTATCCATTTGTCCATCTTATTTGATGCATTTCAAAGTAAGTTGTAGACATCTGTACCCTCCCTTCTAGGTACTTCAGCTTAAAGTTCAATATTTGTTTACAGTTGGGCTTTCTGCTCAGAGGAGAACAAGGTGCAACTTTCTTTGATCACTCAGCATCCGGGTTCAAGTGACACCAGCCACGTCCTTCACATGGCCCAGGTTCAACCCCAAGGAAATCAAAGTCTTGTACCTGATGTGCACTGGTGGGGAAGTTGTGCCACATCTGCCCTGGCCACCAAGATGGGCACCCTGGGGCTGTCTCCTAAAAAATGGTTGGTGATGATATCACCAAGGCAATTGGTGGGTTTAAGGAAGGGTTTAAGGATGACAGGGAAACGGATCATTTGGGACAGACAGGCCCAGACTGAAGCAGTACCTTCTGCCTCTGCCTTGACCATCAAAGCTGTCAAAGGACCACTCAGACAGAGAAAAGCAGAAGCACATTAAGCACAGTGGACATGTAACTGTTGAAGAGATCGTCAACATTGCCGACATAGGCGGGAAAATCGTTAGCCAGAGAACTCTCTGGAGTCATTAAGAACTACAAAGGAAAATATCTCAGTATGCAACAAAAAGCGCGGATCCTAAGTGTCCATTTGCAGAGTTTTGACAGGTGCATGCACCTGTGTGACCCAAACCCCATCAAGAGTCAGAATCTCCCCATCGACCCGGAAAGTTCTGTTCGCCCCTTCCCAGCCAATCCCCACTCTTCCCCCACAGCGAGGGTGACGTTCTCATTTTTTCCCCCACTATAGATTAGTTTTGTCTAAGATTCCATATAAATGGAACATACAATAGGTACTCTTTTGTGTCTGCCTTCTTTCACCCAGCACAATGATTTTGATATTCATTCACATTGCTGCAGCTCTTGGTAGTTTATGCCTTTTTATAGATACACAGTATCCCATTGTGTGGATATACCATAATGTGTTTAGTCATTTTCATCCTGTTGATGGACACTTGGGTTGCTTCCAGTTTGGGGCTATTCTGAATACAGTTTCTATGAACGGTCTTGTACAAGTCTTTTTGTGAATACATGTTTTCATTTCTCTTGAAGTGGGATTGCCAGCTCCTAGGGTAGGTATATGATTCGTTTTGTAAGAAACCGCCAGAACTTTCCCCAAAGTGGCTGTATCACTTTATACTCCCACCTGTAGTGTATGGGAGCTCTGGTTGCTTCACTCCATTACCAACGTTTGGCACTGTGAGTCTTTTTAATTTCAGTCTGCTGGCTTCCTACAGCTCTTAGGAGAAAGTCCAGCTCAAAGCCTCGTATTCAAGCCCTCCACTGTCCGGCCCTTGTCTCTCCAGCCTCACCTTCTCCCATTTAATTTTCCTACTACATTGACACCAGTGATTTCTCCTACATGCATCAGGTCAGTTCATTTTTCTCTGCTTTTACATGGGCTGGTTTTTCAGTTTAGGATGTGCTCCTGCCCTTGCCCATCTGGTGATGTACCAGTTATTTATTTATTTTTTTAGCCTGAGCTTAGGTGTCACCTCCTGCAGGAAGTCTTCCTGGATATCTCAGTCAAGTCATTCCCTCCTTAGTGCCACTTTCCAGCAAGTTCTCCTGCAGCTGTGACCACCTTGTTCTGTAACTGTCTCAGCCTCTGGACTGTAAACTCCATGAGGAAGGCACCCATCAGATCTATGCCTGAGTCTCCAGCTTGCGATGGATTTAACAGCATGGACAGTGGCAGCAGTGGCAACTGTGATGGCTGCTGATGTTCGCTGCATGCTCATGTGTGCTGGGCCCTGTGTGAAGCACATCAACACCTTCATTTAATCCCCATGACAACCCATGAGGAAGAGATGTTATCCCTGAAACAAAGATGTGGAAACTGAGGGTCAGAGAGACAAAGAGGCTTTCTCTAAGGAATAGCCAGCATGTGTTGACAATGGAATGCACCCTGGATCTTCTCATCCATCAGGGATCTGCTGGATCTTACATTTTCTTCCTGCACTCCCTGCCTCCAGCCCTGCAATCTTTCTCTCTTACTTCTTCCCACCTTATGGCCTTTGCAGCTCCCATTGCAGCCTGCAATGATCTTATTTATGTATGTGTTTACGTGCTTATCATCTGCCTCCCTTGCCCCCTGCCCTGAATGGTAAGCTCTCAAAAACATCAACTCATATCCACTCTGCTGCCCCAGCACATTGCCACACTGTGTGGCGCACAGTAGGAGCTCAGTGAGTGCTGGTGGAAAGTGAAGCAATGAACCTATACCTGCAGTCTTTAAAAAAAATTAAAGGCTGGCTCAGTGGCTCACACTTGTAATCCGAGTGCTTTGGGAGGCCGAGGCAGGAGGATCACTTGAGGCCAGGAGTTCAAGGCAAGCCTGGGCAACATAGCGAGACCTCGTCTCTCCAACAACAACAACAAAATTAACTGGGCCTGGCAGTATGTGCTTGCAGTCCCAGCTACTCTAGCAGCTGAAGTAGGAGACTCGCTTGAGCCCAGTGAGCCAAGATTGCACCACTGCGCTCCAGCCTCGGTGACAGAGTGAGACCTCATTTCTAAAACCCAACCCAAACCAAACCAAACTAAACCAGATATAAAGTATAAAAGTTAGAAATAGATACACTGAAAGATTTGTGTATTTCATTGCATATAAATTTATCTTGAAGTTAAAAAATAAACAAATATTAAACTCTTGTTAATGGAATGCATCTTGAAAAAATATATATATATATATTCTCTCTCTCTCTCTCTCTCTCTCTTTTTCACTCTTGTTGCGTAGGCTAAAGTGCAATGGTGTGATCTCAGCTCACTGCAACCTCTGCCTCACAGGTTCAAGCAATTCTCCTGCCTCAGCCTCCTGAGTAGCTGGGATTACAGGCGTGCACCATCATGCCTGGCTAATTTTTGTATTTTTAGTAGAGAGGAGGTTTCACCATGTTGGCCAGGCTGGTCTTGAACTCCTGACCAGAGGTGATCCACCTGCCTCGGCTTCCCAAAGTGCTGGGATTACAGGCCTGAGCCACCATGCCTGGCCAGCATCCTGAAATATTTAGGGATAAAGTAAATTGCCACTTCTTTAATTTACTTGAAATGCGTCGAAAAGTAAGATGGTTAGATGGAAGGCTGGATGGAAGGATGGATAGATAGGCAGATATATAAGGCAAGTATAGCAAAATATTAATTATAGAATCTAGTTAGTGGGTATATGGGTGCTTACTATACAATTATTTTAAATTTTCTGCATGTATGAATATTTTTATAATAAAATGTTTGGGGAAAAGTGATTCATGGACAGGATGAAAATTCTACCAGTGCAGAAGGATAATGAGTGAAGCAAGACATACAAGCTCCTTACCCCAGCCCTTTCTGCTCCCTGTAGTTTAATCACTGTAAACCCTTTCTTGCCTGTCCTTCCAGAAAGGACTTGTCCTTTTACAGTCATTGTTGGAGGATCAAACTGGATATTAGGTTTTGCACCTTGTTCCCCGTCTCACTCATGAACATGTTTTGGAAGTTTTCCCATATTGGCACATATAGTTTTAATATTTCATTTCACAGGCTGTATCATACCATCACTTTCCCCCTTGTCTCCAATAATGAGCACCTTGCTCACATGAAATCACTTCCTCCTTGGTGCCCCAGCGATACCTTCCGCTATTTCAACTGCAGCTCTGATTGCCAGTTCTGTAAAGGGGTTTCCTATTTCTCTGTCAGCCTTGGGCACGTGTCAGGGTGAGTTCCTGGGTGTGGGGTTGCTGGGTTTAAGGTCACTCATGTTTTAGTTTTAGATACTGGCAAACTGCCATCCCTGGTGACTATTTCTATTGATAAGCCCTGAGAGTGCCTGCGCCCATGGCTAATGTGTAACATTAATAGTCAAATTTATTGACATACTTTGAATTTCTTTCTTTTTCTTTTCTCTTCTTTTTCTTTTTTTGAGACAGGTCTTGCTCTGTTGCCCAGGCTGGAGTGCAGTGGCACAATCACAGCTCACTGCAGCCTTGACCTCCTGGACTCAAACGATCCTCTCACCTCAGCCTCCTGAATACCTGGGACCACAGGCATGTGGCCACCATGCCTGGCTAATTTTTTAAAATTTTTAGTGAGATGGGGTCTTGCTATGTTGCCCAGGCTGGTCTTGAACTCTTGGGCTCAAGCAATCCTCCTTTCTTGGCCTCCCAAAGTGCTGGGATTACAGGTGTGAGCCAACCACCCTGCCTTGCTTTGGATTTCTTTTCTTTTTTTTTTTTTTTTGAGACGAAGTATCTCTCTGTCACCCAGGCTGGAGTTGCAGTGGCACAATCTCAGCTCACTGCAATCTCTGCCTCCCGGGTTCAAGCAAATCTCTTGCCTCAGCCTCCTGAGTAGCTGGGATTACAGGCATGCACCACCATGCCTGGCTAATTTTTGTATTTTTAGTAGAGAAGGAGTTTCACCATGTTGGCCAGGCTGTTCTCGAACTCCTGACCTCAAGTGGTCTGCCCACCTCAGCCTCACAAATTGTTGGGATTACAGGCGTGAGCCACCGTGCCTGGCCAGATTTCTTAGATTACAGATATGTCTGAGCACTTTTGCTTATGATGATTGGGCATTCAGGTTTTCTTTTCTGTGAACTGCCTGCTCATACCTGTTTTGGATCATGTTCCTGAGAGGTGGAGCCTGGAATGGGGATCCTGGGGAATGCGATTTACTGGGGGAGTGCTCTTCTGGGAAAAGTTATAAGGGAGGGAAGGAAGCAGGATGGGGTGGTGGAGGAGCAGAGCAACATGTGGTCTCAGGGACGTCTGGTACTGGGGGCTCTGGCATGGATAGCCCACAACAGAGTTCCTCCATCTTGCAGCAAGGGAGATAGCCTTCTTCACTCTTAGTCAGTCATTGGCTGTGGGCTGTCCCTTAAGGGGATGAGCCTAACTTAGAGGTGCCCTCCTGTCAGTTGAGGGCACTTCCCTAGAGAGGGAGGAAGCTGTGGGTTGTTAGCCCTCACTGACAGCAGCTGGGGGTTAGCGCCCAGTGCAGGGGATCTGTAGGGCAATGCCGGTGTCTACAGTCCACCTCTTACACATCAAATTCACTCTGTTCAGGCACAGGTGCTCCAGGATTCTGCTTGGTCACTGTTATGGACTGAATTGTATCTCCCAAATTCATATGTTGAACCCTAACTCCCAGTATCTCAGAATGGGACTGTATTTGGACATAGGGGCTGTTAAAGAGCTGATCAAGTTAAACTGAGGCCGTTAGGGCCACCCTTATTTTATTTTATTTTTTGAGAGAGGGTCTCACTTTGTCACCCAGGCTGGAGTGCAGCGGCATGAACACAGCTCATTGCAGCCTCAGCCTCCTGGACTCAAGAGATTCTCTTACATCAGCCTCCCGAGTAGCTAGGACTACAGACACATGACATCACACCTGGTTAATTTTTGTATTTTTTGTAGAGATGGGGGTTTCACCATGTTGCCCAGGCTGGTCTTGAGCCCCTGACCTCAAGTGATCCTACTGCCTCGGCCTCCCAAAGTGCTGGGATTACAAGCATGAGCCACCGCGCCTGGCCTTAGGGCGGGCCTTAATTTAATCTGACTAGTGTCCTTATGAGAAGAGGAGGTTAGGACACACAGAGAGCCACAAGGTATGGCCATGTGAAGAGGCAGCAAGAGGGCAGTTGTTTTAGTCCATTTGTGCTGCTATAACATTATAACATTACCTGAGACTAGGTAATTTATCAAGATCAGAAATCCATTTCTCACAGTTCTGGGTGCCAGGAAGTCCAAGATTAAGGTACCAGCAGGTTCATTATGTGGTGAGGGCTGGTCTCTGCTTCCAAGATGGCGCCTTGAGTGCTGTGTCCTCTTGAGTGAAGGAACACTATGTGCTCATGTGGTGGAAGGCAGAAGGGCAAAAAGGGGCTTTCTCCATCAGGCTCTTTTATATGGGCACTTGATCCCATTCATGAAAGAGGAGCCTTCATAACCTAATCACCTCTTAAGAACCTCACTTGTTAATACTATAACATTGGCTATTAAGTTTCAACACATGAATTTTGGTGGGGCAGGGGGACATATTCAAACCATAGCAGTGGCCATCTGCAAGCCAAAGAGGAGAGGTCTCAGGGGCAATCAGTCCTGCTGGCACCTTGATCTTGGACTTCCAGTCTCCAAAACAGTGAGAAAATAAATTTCTGTTGTCTAAACCACCCAGTCTCTGGTATTTTGTTATGGCAGCCTATGTGGACTAATCCAGTCATAATTCACGGGAAACTTGCAAGACCAACAAGAGTCTCTGATGCTGCAATTGATGATGAGGCTGCAGCAGATACTCACAGTCTCCCTCCTCTACTATGTGTTCCAAATTGTCCTCATCCTCAGCGATCCTGTTGTCCAGGTGGCTTGTCTTGGTGGGGTGATCGGGACCTCATGTCTGAAGGATCTGAGCACCCTGGTCATCAAGCCTTTATCAAGCTGTGGTTATTATCCTTGTCTCTTTAGAGTCAAAGCTGGGCATGGGACTATGGGAGTCACCCCATGGTTGACCTGAGTTTCAAACACATTCCTGCTTTTCCCCAGCCACCTGCGTCCCCAGGGTTTATTACCCCTGCAGTCATGAAAACTCCTTTCTTCATCTGCTGGTCTACTGGCATGAAAAGTCCAAAGCAACCCAATGACAGTGGTAGCTTGAAGTTTAGCGAGATCCTCATTGAGTTCCCTAGAGAAAGGATCCTTCCCACTCTGGGAACCAGAGACTCTAGACTCACAGAGACTAAAGTTTTGGGAATGGAAAGTTCAAAGTCTCCATGTGTGTCACTGGAAGTGATGTTGAATGGGAGATACTTGTACTTGATTTCTAGACCAATGCATTCTATGTAGTGAGCACCCAGCATCATAAAATAGCCTAGGGTTTAAGGTGTGTATCACATCCTAAGGGATGATGCCCATGGAAGCCAGCCTGCAAGTTGGCCTCCAATTCCCCACCTCCTGGTATCCACACCCTTGTGTTGTCCCCTCTCACCCTGTACTAGGGTGGTCTGTGTGACCAATAGAATATGGCAGAAGTTGTGCTATGTCATTTCTGAGACTTAGGTTATAAGACTGTGGGTTCCATGTTGAGCTCTTGGATCACATACTCTAGGGAAAGCCAGTCGCCATACTATTAGGACAACGCCACCTGTGGAGAGGCTCACGTGGTGAGGAAAGAGGCCTCTGATCAATGGCCGGTGAGGAACTGAGGAAAACCAACAACCACTTGAGTAAACTTGAAAGCATGTTCACTCAGTCGAGCCTTCAGATGAAACTGCAGCGCCAGCCAACAACTCAACTGCAACCTCATAACAGACTCAGAGCCAGAATGCCCAGTCCAGCAGCTCCCAAATTCCTGATTCAAAAAAACCATTAAATAACACATGTTTATTATTTTAGAGTCCTGAGTTTGGGATAATTTGTTACACAGCAGTAGACAGTACCATACTGCATCCTTGCAGTGTATCGCCCACAAGATTGTGCCTCTTCAAGAGCCTTCCCATCATTCTACCAGGCTGGCAGCTTCTGGATGGTGTGATACATAGTAAAACCAGTGGATCTCACAACCATGTGCCCACTTCACAATGCCTTTGCTGAAATGGCTCCATTGGTCCAAGGTGATGATGTGTGGGACCTGGTGTCAGTGAATCAGACATTCTGCCAGCCTTTGTTTAGTGATGGCAGTTTAGGCTTAGCAGGTGGGAAAGGCAAACCCATTCTGAAAATATATGCCAGTCCTAGTCAGGGTGAATCAATGCCTTTTCCAGGACTGAAGGGGTCTGTTGTAGTCAACTTGCCACAAACTGGCTGGTTGAGCTCTTGAATGGATGGTACCATAGCAGGAGGTCAGTGTTTGTCTGTGGTTGACAGGTCACACACTCACTGGCAGTTACTAGATCAGCCTTGGTGTCCCCAGTCTTCCAATCTTGTTTCTTCCAGGTCCCTGACTAAACAATTAAACCATTTTCCCCAGCCCAAGTGTCTGTAAATTTTTTTTTTGAGACAGCATCTCTCTGTCACCCAGGCTGAAGTCTAGTGCATAATCATGACCCACTACAGCTTCCACTTCCCAGGCTCAAGTGATTCTCCCACCTCAGCCTCCCGAGTAGCTGGGACTACAGGCATACACCACCTCGCCTGGCTCATTTTTCATATTTTGTAGAGAGAGGGTTTTGTCATGTTGCCCAGGTTGGTCTCAAACCCCTGGGCTCAAGTGATCTCCCACCTTGGCCTCCCAAAGTGCTGGGATTATAGGTATGAGTCACTGCACCTGGCCTATAAATCTTACCTCCAGTTGTTTTTTTGTCAAAGTGGATGAGCAAGTGCACAGCCTGAAGCTTTACTCCTGGGGGGATTTCCTCGGGTTGCTGTCTTTCAGGGTCACTCCTGAGGGTGTGAAACATCGTCGATTTTTGGCTTCCTCTAACATACTGAGCTGACCTACTCATGAATCAAGTTTAGAATTTTTCCTTCTCCATCAGCTGATCCTCGGGAACATCTATGGGGCCATGGGTGTGCACCCAGGGAGAAGCTGGGTGCAACACTAGTAGGTGATGCGAAGGTCTGGGTAGCTTACTTTTGCCCCCTGGACCTTTTTGAGCCCCCACTAGATCAGACACCACTTCTGCCTGATGAAGAATTGCTGTTGGTCCTGCTGACCTGATGACTTGGTGGATGACAGTGACCAGTTCCTGATGGGCAGTTCTGGCCTCATGGTTACTGATGCCCTGTGATCAGGCGCCCCTTCCTGACCAGGGCCCTGTAGCATGTCAGAAGCTGTTTTACTCATGGTATACAGTTCCCTGCTGAAGGCAGCATGGCTTTGCTCCAGAAATCTAGCAGTCTGTGACTCCCTCACTGGGGCTCGCCAGAAAGTCCACATGGCATCTTTATAGATCCCAGAGAGTTTCAGTACCATGGCGGGGCGGTGGGGGGTCTGCCTGACCACCACATAGCTGAAGCATCAGGGCTGTTTGCAGCCTGCTGCAGAGCCTTTTGTTTCTCTGCGTCCCACTCAAAACCAGCACATAGTAGATTCTCTATAAATATTCCCCTCTGTGGGGGAATGAGGGACAGAGCAGGAGTTTCAAATGCAAAGATGCTTTTAGAGTAAGCGTAAGTTCTCACGTTGCTATGAAGAAACACCCAAGACTGGGTAATTTATAAAGAAAGAGGTTTAATTGACTCATGGTTCTGCACAGCTGGGGAGGCCTCAGAAAACTTACAATCATGGCAGAAGGCACCTCTTCACAAGGTGGCAGGAGAGAGAATGAGTGCCCAGTGAAGGGGGAAGCCCCTTAGAAAACCATCAGCTCTCATGAGAACTAACTTGCTATCACAAGAACAGGATGGGGAAAACTGCCCCCATGATTCAATTATCTCCACCTGGTGCCTCCCATGATCTGTGGGGATTATGGGAACTACAGAGATGAGATTTGGATAGGGACACAGCCAAACCATATCAGTAAGGTTGACAGGTAAAATATAGAAAGCCCAGTTATATTTAAATTTCAGATATATGATGAAAATTTTTTTAGTGTAAGTATGTCCCATGAAATATTTGGGACATACTTACACTAGAAATTATTTGTCGTTGATTTGAAATGTAAATTTCACTGGGTATCCTGTATTTTTACTGGTAAATCTGAAAATCTGCTTTAGGAGCTAAACAGTTAATAATGTAAGACAACTTGGTATGCTAGTTGGGGGATATGATGAATGCATTTGTATTTAGCATCCAGCTGGAGAACAATCAAGCATTCAAAGCAAAATCTAAAAAAATAACAATGCATCGGATTTGGCTGGAGCTCATGAGTTTTCAACCTATGACAAATAGCCTGAGCTCCAGAGTCTGACTGCTGGGATTTGGATTCTGGATCAGCTGCTCACAAGCTCTGTGACTTTGGGCCTTAGAGACCCCGTCTCTGGGAAGATTAGATGCAATCCTTAAAGGAGTTACTGCTACATAGATGTTAGTGTTCATTCCCAGGGTGGTAGCTGGGAAGTACATATATGTGCAACAGCTTCCTCTAGTGGCCACAGGACATACAGTGTGAGCGCTGGTGCAAGGTTAGGGGCCTGGAGAGCTTGGCTTCAGGAAATCCAGTAGCCAGGCTGGTCAGGCATTGGAGGCATGGTCCCTAAGCTCCCCGAATTCCAGTCATTCACATATCACCTCTGCGACTTGTGCCATATACAGGCAACCATTACTTTTATTTACTTAATATTTTCCTTTTGGGTGTCTTCCTATTTTTAAAGAAATCTATTATAATATAACAGGAACTTTTACATATTTTAAGTTTCACCATCAACTTCCTGAAATACAGGGTAACTGCTAAGTAGATGCAAACGGAAGAGAAAAACGTTATTAAGTTTTCCTGGATAATGTGGTGAGAAGAACTGGAGTCCAGCTCTCTCACTCTCTCTCTCTCTCTCTCTCTCTCTCTCTCTCTCTCTCCCTCTTCTCCTTTCTCTTTCATAAAAAAGAGATTGCGGCAGCATCACCCAGAGCATTCAAGACAGGCTAGCTCCCAACTGACACTCTTTCCTTGTTGCAATCAGAATAAGGAAAGAAAAATTACAAAAGGAACAGAAACATTTCCCCTTAGTGACTCAAGGTTGTTTCATGCTGTATCTCGGAACCATCTAAAGTCATCGCATGCCTGCCAACACTGGAGGAGACACGACAGATGGCAGAGATGTTGAAACTGTGCCCCTCACCCCCACTTCCACTAGAGTATTTCTGTTTTTATCTGGTCTGAATGAAGCAGGAAGGAAAAATTACCATTAAATGAATAATCAAAACAAGAATAGAAAACAAAAACACCGGACTATAGCCATTTGCACTTTCAAGAGAGATTGAAGAATTTACCTAAGGAGGAAAGACTCATTTATTTAAGAAAGCCTGCTCCTGGGACTTTGGCCATTGAAGGAAATGCCCAGGGTAACTTCCGGAATGGAAGGGAGTATAGTTGTTTATAATATATCCACAATCCTTTGATGCTCCCTCTTAAGAGGGAGAGCCTCATTCTCCTTTCCTTGCATGTGGGGTGGATTTACTCACTTCTAGTGAATAGGTTATGGCCCAAAGTGATGGTGTGTGACTTCTGAGGTGAGGTCAAAAAGAGGTACTGCAGCTTTCTTCTTTCTCTCTCTTGCTCTCTTGGATCACGTGTTTTGGGGAAGCCAGCTGCCATGTTGTGAGGACACTCAAGCAGCCCAGTGCGGATATTCTGGTGGCCAGGAACTGAGAATTCTCCAGCCACAGCCATGTGTATGAACCCTCTTGTATTCTCTGGGGCTCTAGTCAAGCCTTTGGATGATCGTGGCAAACATCCTGACTCCAGCCTCGCAAGAGCCAGAGCCACCCAGCTAAGCAGTTTCTATATTCCTGACCCACAGAAACATGAGGGTAATACCTATGAGATAATACATGTTATTTTAAGCCATGAAGTTTTGGGATACTTTGTTATGTATTAGTGATAGATAACTAATACAAGGGAGAAACTAAGGGAGCTACGTTTAGCTTTAGCATACGTCAAGTGGTGATCTTCCTGGGGACAGAGTTTCATCTGAAGCAAAGACTCAACAGCTAAAAGCTTCCCATTTCTTACCTTGGAAGACTGAGCCCCAAAGAGGAGGATGTTGTGCAGTGAGTTCTGCGGTTGCACTGCTGTTCATACTCAAGAGGGCTGTGGGAATCAGAACTTTGGGAAGCCGAGGCGGGCAGATCACGAGGTCAGGAGATCGAGACCATCCTGGCTAACACGGTGAAACCCCGTCTCTGCTAAAAATACAAAAAATTAGCTGGGTGTGGTGGCGGGTGCCTGTAGTCCCAGCTACTCAGGAGGCTGAGGCAGGAGAATGGCGTGAACCCAGGAGGTGGAGCTTGCAGTGAGCCAAGATTGCGCTACTGCACTCTAGCCTGGGCAACAGAGCAAGACTCCGTTTCAAGCAAAAAAAAAAAAAAGAGGGCTGTGGGATTGTGACTGGTCTTGGCTACTTTGCATTCAGGGTCACACACAGTGGGGGCAGTGTCTGGACTAGCACCCAGTCTCTGGCTTCTATTCCATGGCCTTACCAAACGCCCAGACTCTCAAATGTGTTCACTGAAGGAGCAGGAAACCTTCCTTGTGCCCCTGCATCTGTGGACTTGGAGGTGCAGAGACCCTAAATCAGGTTTCAGTTTTTCTTTGTTCTTCCTCACTTCATATCCATCTCCTCTTCCTGTCTACCCGCCCTGCTGGGTTGAAGCTCCAGCACCAGATGCAAAACAACAGCCTAACAAGGACTATTTAACCCACTCCCATGGTTCTGTAAGATCAAATCTCTACAATAGATCTCTTATCCTATGAAGGTCTCCGAAAAGCTTATGGAAAATGCATATTATGAAGAAACTATGCCTGCATTTCCAAATTCTTTTTGCACCAAAATAAACTTGAACTAATTTGTTATAACATGTTGAACGGGATCTAGTTTGAGGCAATAAGAAGGATAAGACATCACTTAGAAAAAAACCCTATCAAAGCCACATGAATCCTGCTAAAATTGAAGCAAGAATACACATCAAATTTATGGTGAAACTTGGATGGGTGAATGGTGAAATCATTGAGGCTTTATGAAAAGTTTATGGAGCCAATGCCCTAAAGAAATCAGCAATTTACAAATGGATAGCTTTTTTTTTTTTTTTTTTTTTTTTTTTTTGAGACAGGGTCTCACTCTGTCACCTAGGCTGGAGTGCAGTGGTGCAATCTTGGCTCACTGCAAACTCCGCCTCCTGGGTTCAAGCAATTCTCATGCCTCAGCTTCCTGAGTAGCTAGGACCACGCCCAGCTAATTTTTGTATTTTCAGTAGAGACGAGGTTTCATTATGTTGCCCAGGCTGGTCTCAAACTCCTGAGCTCAAAGCGATCAACCCACCTCAGCCTCCCAAAGTGCTGGGATTACAGGTGAGAGCCACTGTGCCCAGCCATGGATAACTTGTTTTAAGAACAAGAGAGAGCAGGGGCAAGACTGAGTGTGTACCGTTATTTATCCCAAGTGAGTGCCATTTGCTTCTGAGCTTGTTACCTTGAGTATTGAAAAGAACACATTTTCCAGATTAAAAGCTCCATAGTAAGTACCTAAGGCTGCATTGGGCTGTTCCAGTAAAGATACTACAACAGTCAACGCACTGTGTTAAATTTCTGGAGGTCCACCCTCATCTGCCGTAATCCAGCTCGTTTTACAAACGGGAGAGTGGAAATGGATGGAGTAAGCCGTTCCACTCTGTATTTCCTACTGAATGAAACAAAAACCCTGGACACAGTGAATGAGAAAGCTCTCTGAGGGTTCTGAAAACAATAGTGGCAGGGACATTGGGAAGGAAGTCATAATTTAAAGTATGAATGATCTATAAGTGAGTTTCCTGGGTTTTTATTCCTTTTATATTTTTCAGAATTTATCTGCATCACAAACTTGAGCTTTAAACAAATAAAAATTCATATCTTCTTCCTGCTTTATAATGGCATGTCTTGACCTTTGATACCTATCAAATCATCCCTCAGGCAGACAATGAGAATTCGGATCCTCTTCCTAACTTCATTCAAGTTGTTGTGTAAACCAATATCTGTTCCTCTTCATTGCCCAGTAGTATTCTGTGGTATAGATGTACTGAAGTTTGTTTATTCACCTAATGAAAGGCATTTGGGTTGTTTCCAGTTTTGGGATATTATGAACAAATTTGCTATAAACATTAAGGAACACGGCCAGGCGCATTGGCTCACGCTTGTAATCCCAGCACTTTAGGAGGCCAAGGTGGGTAGATCACTTGAGGTCAGGAGTTTAAGACCAGCCTGGCCAACATAGTGAAACCCTGTCTCTACTAAAAATACAGAAGAAGTAGCTGGCTATGGTCACGTGCATCTGTAATTCCAGCTACTCGGGAGGCTGAGGCATGAGAATCACTTGAACCTGGGAGGCGGAGGTTGCAGTGAGCCAAGATCATGCCACTGCACTCTAGCCTGGGCAACAGAATGAGACTCTGACACACACACGCAAAACCAAATGCCCCCCCCCCGCCCCCCGCCGCCAAAAAAAAATCCCCAAACATGAAGGAACAGGTTTTGTTGTGAGCATATTTCATTCCTCTAGCCTAAAAATCTAGAAGTAGGGTTGCTGGGTCATATGTTAAGTGTATGTTTAACATTTTTTTCCAAGTATACATTGTGATTAATTTTTATGAAGTTGAAGAAATGGCTAAAATAATGTATGTTACTAGAAATCAAAACAGGGGCTGCATATGGTAGAGTGAGTGGGTATTGGTTAAAACGTTACAAGGAGTTTTTTTTTGTTTTCTTTGTGACAGAGTCTCACTGTGTCACCCAGGCTGGAGTGCAGTGGTGCAATCTCAGCTCACTGCAGCGTCTGCCTCCCAGGTTCAAGTGATTCTTGTGCCTCAGCCTCCCGAGTAGCTGGGACTACAGGTGTTTGCCACCATGCTTGGCTAATTTTTGTATTTTTAGCAGTGATGGGGTTTTGCCATGTTGGCCAGGCTGGTCTTGAACTCCTGACCTCAAGTGACCTGCCCACCTCGGCCTCCCAAAGCGCTGGGACTGCAAGCATGCGCCACAGCACCTGGCCACAAGGAAATATTTTATGTGTTAATAGACATGATCTATATATTGATAAGGCTGTGGTATACTATAAGGAATATAAAGTTTAAAACTCTATAAAGCCATGCATTTAACATGTGCACATTTTACTACATTTTAATTTTATATAGTTACAAAAACAGTGAGAAAGGAAAAGAAGAATGATCATTAGCAGTAATGGACAAAACATATTTTATTTATAAATTTTCTTCTTTCCTTTCCTTTCCTTTTTTTTTTTTTTTTTTTGAGACAAAGTTTCACTGTTGTCACCCAGGCTGGAGTGCAATGGTGTGATTTCAGCTCACTGCAACTGAGGAATTCCGCTTCCTGAGTTCAAGCGATTCTTCTGCCTCAGCCTCCCGAGTAGCTGGGATTACAGGTGCCCACCACCACGCCTGGCTAATTTTTGTATTTTTAGTAAAGACGTGATTTCACCATGTTGGCCAGGCTGGTCTCGAACTCCTGACCTCAGGTGATCCACCCGCCTTGGCCTCCCAAAATGCTGGGATTACAGGCATGAGCCACTGCGCCTGACCTAAATTTTCTTTTCTAACTGACCATAAAAGAGACCAATCCAGGCTTCCAGTTAATAGCTGGGTTCCATTTGGAATGCTGGGGTGTTCTTTGGTTTTTGCTATGCTATGGCTGTGGGATCCATGGTTGCTGGGCAGAGGCCTATGGTGGCTGCAGTGCCATGCAGGGGCTGTGATCTTCTGCGGAGCTGGGCCCTAGGCTGACCCTCGGGAAGCTGGGCGAGGTGATAGTGGAGCTGCTGCCACATGACCTGAGTCCATGACTCATTTTCCATGGCCTCCAAGGGGAGATATTGGTGTGTCTGCCTCTTATCGGCTTAACATTTTAAGAAACTACCATACCGTCTTCCAGAGGGGCCATACTGTTTTTCATTCCCACCAGGAATGTATGAGAGTTTCACTGGCTCTGTGTTTTCACCATCACTCAGAATTGTCAGGTTTCTTTTTCTTTTTTTGGGTCATCCAATTAGGCATGTAGTAGTGTCCCAAATTTAGGGAGTTTTAAAATATGTTAGGTTTTAACTGGTTCCCAAAACCATCATTGATCATTTTTATTCTGTGTCTCTTCCTATCACAAGTTAAGTTAGACTCATTTCCCAGTTGCTTGCTTTTTAAAAATGGACAGATGTGTAGGATCATTTTTGATTCCTTGAACACTTAACTTGATAGCTTATTCTTGTTTATTACTTTCATAAGCAATATGAAAACACTGCTGATCTGAATCCTTTACTCTCAGCCTTCTTCCCATCTCCATTGAGAACTCTTGTCTTCTAATATCCTGTAGGAAAAAAACCTGGGGCCAACCTGGTTTTGCTTCCTTTGCAGGTAACCTCTGCCTTGGCCTCCCAAAGTGTTGGAATTATAGGCATGAGCCACTGCACCTGACCAAGAACTTCATCTCATGCTTAGCAATCCAGCTAGGATGCTTTCTATTACAGAAGTCTGAAACTGATAGTCACATATTGTATCCAGCCCATCTTTAAAGCTGGCTCAGCCAACAGTGTTTTTAATCTCCATATATTTGTAAATTTACCAAATTTCCTTCTGTTATTAATTTCTAATTTCATTCCATTGTGGTCAGATAACACACTTTGTATGATTGCCATCTTTTTAGAGGTATTGAAACTGTTTTATGACCTAACATATGTTCTATTCTGATAGGAGAACGCTCCATGTGTGCTTGGCAAGAATGTACATTCTGCTATTGTTGGAAAAAATGTTCTA
This sequence comes from Homo sapiens, assembly GCF_000001405.40. Taxonomy (NCBI): domain Eukaryota; kingdom Metazoa; phylum Chordata; class Mammalia; order Primates; family Hominidae; genus Homo; species Homo sapiens. The sequence continues at coordinate 33,256,451 of NC_000020.11, read as the reverse complement.
TAGATGTCTGTTAGCTCTAGGTGGTTTTGTAGACCTGTTCAAATCTTCCATTTCCTGTTGACCCTCTGTCTAGTTGTTCTATTGTTGAAAATTGTGTGTTTAAGTTTCTTGCTATTTTTGTTGAATTTTTAATTTTTTCCTTCAATTTTGACAATTTTGGTTTCATGTATTTTGGGGCTCTCTTGTTAGTTGCATACATGTTTATACTTGTTATATCTTCTTGAGGGATTGACCCCTTTATCGTTATAAATGTTCTTTGTATCACGTAACCGTGTTTGTCATAAAGTCTATTTTATCTGATGTTAGTATAGCCGCTCCAGCCTTCTTTGGTCACTGCATGGCATACCTTTTTTTTCATTCTTTTACTTTCAATCTGTTTTTATCTTTGACACTAAAATGTGTCTCTTGTAGAAAGAATATAACTGGATTATGTTTTTAAAATCCATTCTGCCAATCTCTGGTTTCAATTGGCAAGTTTAATCCATTTACATTTAATTAAATTACTGATAGAAAAGAATAGGATTTACTCATAGCATTTTGCTATTTGTTTTTTATATGTTTTATGTCTTATATGTAGCTCTATGCCTCAATTATTACTTCTTGTTATCTAAATAGATATTTTCTAGTGTCCCATTTAATTCTCTTGTCATTTCTTTCACTATATATTTTTAGTTATTTTCTCAATAGTTGCCCTAGGAATTATAATTAACGTAGAACAGTCTATTTCAATTAATGTGAATTTAATTTCAATAGTATATAGGAATTTTGTTCCTGTATACCTCTGTCACCCCTTTTCTTTATGCTGGTATTGCCATACAAATTACATATTTATACATTTGTATGCTCATTGACACATCTAAGTATTGCTTTATATAGTTGTCTTTTAGTCAGGTGAACAAAAAGAGTTACAAACAAAAAATACATTTATATTGTCTTTTATATTTAACTATGTAGTTATTGGTACTGATGTTCTTTACTTCCTCCTTTAGATTTAAATTGTTGACTAGTACACTTTCATTTCAGCCTGAAGGACTTCCTTTAAGCCATGTTTACTAGTGTCAGATTCTCTCAGTTTTTGTTGATGTAGGAATCTCTTAATTTTTCCTTCATTTTTGAATATTAGTTTTTCTGGATGGAGAATTCTTTGTTGGCAGTCTTTTTTTTTCTTTCAGAACTTTGAATGTTATTCAACTGCCTTCTTAACACCGTTGTTTCTGATAAGAAATCAACTGTTAATCTTATTGAGGGTTTAATGTACTTGGTGAGTCACTTCTCTCTTGCTGCTTTTAAGATTCTTTCTGTCTTTGTCTCTTGACAATTTGATTACTATATGTCTAAATGTAGATCTCTTTGAATTTATCCTACTTGGATTTTGTTGAACTTCTTGGATGTGTAGATTAATGTTTTTCATAAAATTTGCGGAAATTTCAGCTACTCTTTCTTTATTTCTTTCTTTTTGTTTGGAGACAGAGTCTCGCTCTGTCACTCAGGCTGGAATACAGTGATGTGATCTTGGCTCACTGCATCCTCTGCCTCCTGGGTCCAAGTTATTCTCATGCCTCAACCTCCCTAGTAGCTGGGACTACAGGTATGCACCACCATGCCTGGCTATTTTTTTAGTAGAGGCAAGGTTTCACCATGTTGGCCAGGCTGGTCTTGAATGCCTGACCTCACATGATCCACCCACACGGCCTCCCAAAGTTCTGGGATTACAGGTGTGAACCGCCATACCTGGCCCAGTAATTTTTTTTCAAATGTTCTCCCTCCATCCCCATCTCTATCTCCTCTTGTTCTGGAATTCCTATGATATGTATGTTAGCATGCTTATGGTGGCCACAGCCTTTTGACACTCTGTTTTTATTTTCTTCATTCTATTTTTTAATTTCTGTTCCTCAGACTAGATAACCCCAATTGATTAACCTTCAAGTTTTCTGATTCTCACTATGTTGGAGAGACACCTGCACTCTCAAATTTGTCACAGCACTGTTCATAATAGCCAAAATTTAGAAGCAACCTAAGTTTCCATCAACAGATGAATGGATATTATTCACAATGGTACTTATTCACAATGGAGTACTATTCATCCATAAAAAGGATGAGATCCTGTCATTTGCAAAAGCATGGATGAAACTAAAGGTCATTATGCTAAGTGAAGTAAGCCAGGAACAGAAAGACAAACATTGTGTATTCTCACTGATTTGTGGGATCTAAAAATCAAAACAAATTCATGGACATAGAGAGCAGCAGGATGGTTACCAGAGGCTAGGAAGGGTAATGCAAGGATGGGGGCAGGTGGGGATGGTTAATGAGGACCAAAAAATAGTTCAAAAGAATGAATAAGACCCAGCATTTGATAGCATAACAGGTTGACGATAGTCAATAATAATTTAATTATACATTTAAAAATAACTAAAAGAGTATAATTAGATTGTTTGTAACACAAAGGATAAATCCTTGAGGGGATGGATACCCCATTTTATATGATGTGGTTATTAAGCATTGTGTGCCTGTATTAAAACATTCCATGGCTGGGCTTGGTGGCTCATGCCTGTAATCCCATTACTTTGGGAGGCTGAGGTGGGCGGACCACCTGAGGTCAGCTGTTTGAGAACAGCCTGGCCAACATGGTGAAACCTCGTCTCTACTAAAAATGCAAAAAATTAGCCAGGTGTGGTGGCGCATACCTATAGTCCTAGCTACTAGGGAGGCTGAAGCAGGAGAATTGCTTGAACCTGGGATGTGGAGGTTGCAGTGAACTGAGACTGTGCCACTGCACTCCAACGTGGGTGACAGAGAGAGACTCCATATCAAAAAAACAAAAAACAAAAAACCAAAACTGATTTCATGTACCATATATATACATATAAATATATATATGTGTGTGTGTGTGTGTGTAGTATATATATGTATATACTATATATACTACATGTAGACATATAGTACCTACTATGTACCTACAAAAATTAAAATAAAAAATTAAAACAAGTTTTCTGGGCCGGGCGCAGTGGCTCACACCTGTAATCCCAGCACTCTGGGAGGCCGAGGCAGGCAGATCACGAGGTCAGGAGATCGGGACCATCCTGGCTAACATGGTGAAACCCCCTCTCTACTAAAAAAAAAATACAACAAAATTAGCCGGGCTTGATGGCGGGCGCCTGTAGTCCCAGCTACTTGGTAGGCTGAGGCAGGAGCATGGCATGAACCCGGGAGGCGGAGCTTGCAGTGAGCCAAGATCGCACCACTGCACTCCAGCCTGGGCGACAGAGTGAGACTCCATCTCAAAAAAAAAAAAAAAAAAAGTTTTCTGTTTATTCAGCTTGCTAAAATCTGCTGGTTAGCCTCTCTAGTGAATTTTTTATTTGTTATTATGCTTCTAAACTTCAGTTTTTTATTTGGTTCTTTAAAACAATTTCTGTAATTTTACTGATATTCTTTATTTGTGAGACATCATTCTGATATTTTCCTTTAGTTCTAAGCCATGGTTTCTTAGACATATGTTCTTTGAACACATTTTAAATTTGCTGATTTAAAGTCTTTTTCTAGTAAGTTCAACGTCTGAGATTCTTCAGAGATAGCTTCTATGGCTGTCATACTTGGGAAGTCATACTTCTTTCTTTGCGTATCTCATTTTTTTATTGTTGTTGAACACTGGTATTTTAAATAATATAACATGGCAGTTTCAGAAATTGGATTCTCCCTCCACTCCAGAGTTTTTGGTTGTTACTTGTTCTTGTAGTTGTTTGTTTACTGATTTTTCTGAACAAATTCTGTAAAGTCTGTATTCTTTGTCATGTGTGGCTACTGCTGTGTCTGCTTAGTTAGCTTACTGGTCAGCTAATGATTGTGTTGGGAAAACCAGTCTCATGCATGCAGCCTTTCGACTCCCACTCAGTCATATAAGAACAGGTCTTGGGCTTGGAACACTTCCTTACCAAGAGATAAAGGGCTCACGTGGCCTGTTCCAGGCCCTGCATGGGAATATATTTCCCTGTTTTAGATTCAATGTGTGCCCCTTTGTTCTGCTTAAGTGTATATGTCAATGGCCCTCAGATATGCCCCCAGCTTTTGGTATTTCTAACTCCACAGGAGAGGGGTCAGAGTCCATCCGTGGCATGAGAGGGGTGTCCATAGCCAATTGCCTTGCACTGGCTATTGGGGGGATCTGCTGGCATGGGGGACAAATGCATACGATTGAAGCTGATTTTGCTTTGTCTCTTCTCTACATAAGTAAAGTGTTATATTTTCCTTGGTGACTCCCATACCAAGATAAAATGGGCAGAAGTGTTTGGAGCCCTCTCCTAGGGTTGGTAACCTGTGCATGGTGTTCCTCTCCCCTGGGACTGGTCACTGGTGCAGGACGTTCAGCTTAACAGTTTGACATAGTGTGCAGGGTTGCCAAGGAAATAGACCATCACATGGTGGAAAGGCAAGGGCTTGTCAGCCCCATTGCCCAAGGTGGTACCAGCTCCTCTGAGGGGTCATAGACTGACTGAGGTGCTCGCTGCCCAGGGATAAATGGAACATAATGTCAACTCCCATGGTGTCCCAGGGACCACAGATGATGTCTGGGGGGAATGGGGGGCCCTGTGCAGGGAATCCTGCCTGGTCCAGGTTGCTTGCAGGCCTCAAGTAAGGCCTGTTTCCAAAAAGTGCTGAACAACAGAAGGCATTGCTGAAAACTAGACTATTGAAATGAGGTCATTCTCTGAAGAGGATATCTGACAATAAAAGGGAAAATGTGGACAAAAGCCAGAAAGTCTAATACAGCCCGGATGGTGTGTTTGTTTGATAAAGGGATATTGCAGACTCAAATGTCTCAGGTTGAATGGCACAGTTAGGAATGGGGCCAAGGCTCCTGGCTTCCCACTGGAGACCAATGATCTTATACCCCTGTCAAGATAAATGGGAAAAGAAAGAGATTCAGACTTTTCTGGGGCTCGTGGATACTCGTTCCCATATGACAATATTTCTGGATTTCCTTAGGGGAAAAATTAAACTGATGTCATTGGATGGTTTGGGGGTTAACATGGTGATCCATGGTGCTTACCTGCTTGTGGTACTTATGTGCTTGCGAGTGAGGCTCTTTGAGCCATTTTGAGTGCTGGTGACCATGGTTCCTTGTGTCGAGTGCATTACGGGCATTGATATTTTGGCTGCTTGTAGCACAGAACATCACCACTGCCTGAGGGGATATTCCCCCTCACAGCTGAGAATTTGAGCCGTAACAGTGAGGTGTGTCCACTCTACCTGCCACTTAAATTCTCCAAGCCTCAGTAGGTTATTCCACAAATACAGTACTGCATACCAAGTGGAGAAGAGGATATTACTCTGTGAATTTGGGATGCGCTTCTGTAGGAATGTTACAAACTACCCTGTCAATGTAACAGCTCAGTCTGGCTGATTGAAAAGCCTCCAGGGTATGGTGGCTGATGGTAGACGGAATGCAGGCTGAATGTTGGGGTTTGCCCTGGGCCCATGAGGTGTCAGATGTCATCACTGTCACTGAGGCAGTGGGAACCCTTACTGGAGATTAGCGTGCTGTTATTAACTTGGTTAGTGCTTTTACTCAATCCCCTTGTGACCAATTTGCATTCACAAGGAACTGCCTGCATAATACTTTCACTATTCTTCCTCAGGGATACCTCAATTCCCCTGCCATATGCCACCAGTGGGTGGGGCTTGACCCTCAACAAGCCCAAGTCCTCATAGAAGATTTAGTCATCCATTGCATAAATGATATCCTGATAGTAGGGCCTACTGAAAAACAGGCCATTGATACAATAACTGGTGTTGGCTGGACTATAAATCCAGATAAAGTCCAGGACTCAGCACAATAAGTGCATGTCCCAGGGGTCATTTGTATAGGAAACCAAAAAAGTATCCCCAGTACAATTGTTGGCCCTAGTGACATCCACTAATAAACAGGAGGCCCATTAGCTGATAGGCCTATTTGTATACAGGAGACAGCATATGCCCTGTCTGGGTGCTCTTTTGGCCTTCCTCGTCAAGGTGACCCACAAAACCACCAGTTTTGAATGGGGCCCCTTGCAGCAGCAGGACTTGGAAGTAGTTCAACAAGTCATGGCTCAGGTACTGCCTTTGGGACCTTTGGAACCTGCTAGCTCAATGGGACTCCGTGCGTCCATGACCGCCAAGCATGCTGATTGGAATCTGTGGCAACAGGAAACTGCCACTGGCGTGCACCAGCCTCTTGGCTATTGGACACATGACTTGCCTGTGGTGGCCACCAGATACACCCCCTTTGAAGGGCAACTCCTTGCTTGCTATTGGGCACTAGAGGAGACTGAGCATTTTATGGCAGGAGTGCCACCTGTGATGCTGTAACCTGTACTGGGGTGCTTACAAATCCCACCAATAAAACCGGACAAGCTCAACAGAGCTCAATCATTAAATGGAAATGGTACATCCAAGTCAACTAGGACAAGTAGACTCCATGAACAAATAGCCAGCTTCCCAGAAGCACCAAGCAACCCACAGGGAGATGCTCTGAACCCTCCTGTGGCTACCTGGGACCCAAGATTCAAAGATGTGTCTACTGACTATATGACCTGGTTTACTGATGGCTCTGCAAAACTAAAGGCAAATGGGGTCCACTGGGCTGCAGCTGCCCCTCAGCCAGCAGATGGCCATCTTTTGGCTGGGATTGGAATTGGACATTCTGCCTAATGAGCTGAATTATGTGCAGTGATGACAGCTGTGGGGGCCATTCTACCACCATATCTTGTTACATTTTCACTGACTCAAGGGCCATTGCCAACAGCCTAGCCATCTGGTCAGGAGAATGGTAACTGAGTGACTGAACCATCACAGAATCCCCTGTGTGGGAACAAAAACTATGACAGCAGCTTGCTGCCTGGAAGGAGACAAATGTTTGTCACTCCTGTGGATGATCATAGCAAAGGACCTTTTAAAATGGAATGTGGACAGAAGTCTTGTGCCAGTTAAGCTTGTGCCCCACAGCCAGCAACAATCGACAACTGAAAGTCCACCGCTATGGTTTGGATATCATTTGTTTGATCGCCAGAAGTGATGGTGTTGGGAGGTGGGGCCCAGTGGGAGGTGTTTGGGTCATGGGGGTGGATCTCTCACTGATGACTTAGTGTCATTCTCCTGGTAGTGATGGAGTTCTTGCTCTCACAAGACTGGATTGGTTCTGGGAGGATGTATTAGCACCCACGGGAGAGGGTTGTTATAAAGTCAGGACACCCCTTGAGTTTGGCCCTTCTCAGCATGTGCCTGCTTCCTCTATGGCCTTCTCTGCCAAGTTGTGTCACCACACAAAAGACCTCTCCAGAAGCTGAGCAGATGCTGGCAGCGTGCTTCTTGTACAGCCTGCAGAACTGTGAGCCAGATAAACCTCTTTTCTTTAGAAAGTACCCAGCCTCAGGTATTTCCTTATAGCAACACAAAATGGACTAAGACATCCGCCTCAGATGCAAGAACGAGCATCCTGGAAGATGCCGAGACTAGGGACACAGTACAACCTTGTGATTCTTGCTAAGGGGCACAAATTGTTCAAAGAGAGGAATTGGGATACATTAACTGAGGGCTAGAAACTGCCCTGGTGTGGCAGATTGACCACAACAGGCCTCTGGCCTCCTGCCATGGGCACTCATGTCCTCATTGCCATTGACACCTACTCAGGCTGTGGTATTACCATTCTAGACCACCATGTGAACTCTGAAACTACCATAGATGCTCTTAAAAAGAACTATGTCATGTTTTTGGATACCTGTGGGACTTTACTCTGACCAAAGAATATATTTTACTGCCCAAGCAACACAACAATGAGCTCAAACTCATGGAATGTGAGTTTGCACTCATATCACCTGCGGGCCAATGGAGCCAATGAATGATGGAGCGGTTAACTCAAGTAGCAACTGAAGAAAGGACATTAAGGTGGTCTGCTAATGGGCTGGTACCCTTGCCTGATTAGGGCAGGATGCACAGTAAATACTGCAGCACATGCTGGGAAACACTGAACTTGGTGGGGCTTGAGGTGGACATGGACTGGACAGTGCTTGATTAGGCTGTGCCTGTGAAATTCCAATCTCCGTGTTCTCAACCATTCTTTTTTTCTTTTTCCCTAAGGAGTGCACGTCTCTGGGGTAGTTTGTGGTTCAGGCTGTCATAATACCCCAGATGGGGCCCCCTAACTCTAATCTGGTGGTGATGCTTCCCCTGGGCACCTCTCTTTTATGGGACTCCACAGGGGTAGTGGATGAGACCAAAGAGTTCCAGGATGTTAGGGTCCCATTAGTGGCTCCAGGGACATCTGATCCTTCTACTCAGGTGGGCAACATTATCAGACCTGTTAAATTTGTGCAGTACATGATCTCCCTTCCTGGACTGGACAATTGAGGCTGAAAGTTCTGGGTCAAGCAGGAAGGGCAATGGGTGTCCACAGAGGTAGTCTCAGGATGGGGACACACAGCCTGGGTTGTAATACCTGGACAGCCAGCCAGCACCCCGATTAATAGACAGACACACCTCCAGCCACAAAGTATGAGAAGAGGGTAGAGGATGGGGAAACAAATCTTTCCCCTTTTTGTTTCATTAGAGTACCTAGTAGTGCCTAGATTGACAACACACTGGTGAAGATTAGCAGTGGCAGCCGTAGGTGGGGATTTGAAACATTGTGGACCTGTCACCCGTGTATTTGGAGCTTTCCCTCCAGGCATGAATAGTCCACATGTGACATATTGCCAATCTGATGGGGGCCCCAGTAGGAGAGTGACCCTCAGTGCGGGTTGAGATCCACAGGTACTGAATACCCTGTTCACAAAGCTTACCTTAAACATAGGGATATGTTCTAATGGGCTTTTCTTAGAGATTAGCAAGTTGGGCAGCATCCCATCTAAAGATTTAGAAAGGCTCCTGTGAGCTCCTGTGGGCTGAGCAGAGGTGGGTTTTATAGGTATAAAAGAAGAAGAAACAGGGGACAAAAAATAGATTGATCATCTCAAAGTTACTTTCCTTATAGGGTTAAGGAAGAGGGAACTTTCTTACCCTCTGGCTCAGGTAGACTTGGCCCCCTCTGGTTGGTTGGAAAACTGGCCTGTTACTAAAGTTTAGTTTGATTACATGATCCCATGCCTGAGTGGCTCCATTCTGGTTTGGTCTGGTCTGTTGGGCCTAGTGCAGGAGCTCAGTTCAAAACAGTGGCCTTTTCTAATTTTTATTTAACACAATTCTGCCTTAATCTTTACTCCTTACATAAACACAGCTCCCTGTAAGCACATGCCCTCCTAGAGCCCTAGGAGTATGTTGGAGATTTTCAAAGCTCATATAGATATCTTATTCCCCAGCTTTTCCTTGTCAGCTTTTTGGTTAGTTTTTTGTTTGCCCCAAATATTACATCCCCTCAGGCAGCTGTGGTGTTAAATAGTTGCCTCTGGTTATTTTTTGACAAATGTATTTGGGGAAAAGGTTGTTCAGACCAGGGGAGCTCTGCGTCAGGTCAAGTAATGACAATCATGAGAATGGGTCTTCCTGGGAAACCAATGGGCCGGTCAAACAATGACAATTCTCTGCGAATGAGTTGCTCTAACTCCCTCCTCACCTCTCCAGTGTCTACTGGGCTGCTGGTTCTCACAAAGATTGTGGGCTTTTCGTTTTCGAGTTGGCTGTGGAGCGGGAGTATGGGGAGATGGGAGAGGTTAAAATGCCACAAAGCTCTCTGTTCTTGCTGAGACTCCATAATTTGTATTGAATAAACTCTCCCCAGATTGCTACAAGCTTTGGTTAATTTCCAGAGCTCTGAAAATGTTAGTTAAGACCATTTCTGTCAGTTTTCTCATTGCTTTTACGTAGGAAAAAATTTTCAGAGACCTTTCCTTTGCCACTTTCACTGACATAATCCCAGAGAGTTTTAAAAATGTGTTTCCACTCTTTAAATAGCATAAATGTTTTTGACTAGCCTGGCCACCTGGCAGGATGTCTTGTATCCAGGGGAATTCTAGATTAGCTAATTAGAAATTGAACTTGTCAGAGAGGGGAGGACCCTTCTGTGGGCTATAGGAAGAAGTCCAGGGGAGCAGGGGGAAAATCATATCCAGAGATGGCCAGGGGATGGGTGTGAGGCAGGAACACGGTTCAGTACAATGGCCAGAGGGCAGCAGGCCCAGCACTGATGGTTCTAGATGTGTGTCCCTGGGCTCCATCCATCTCAGTTCTTGGGGCCTCAGACACAGGGAACTCTCAGTGCTGATCCAGTGCCTGCCCTGAGAGGACCTGAAGGTAGCTTATTCTTGGAGCCTCTCTAGCACGAGCAGGCCCCAGTTGCTGGCTTCCTATCTGGAAGGTCCTTCTGCATTTCCGGTCAGTGCCTAGGTGGACATTTCCAAGGCTCATTCAGCTGCTTGCTGGGAGTTAATTACTCATCTGAGCTCAGAGAACTTTTGTGGGTGTGGAATATGCTTTCTTTCTTAAATTCTCCCTGAAGACACATGATGGTGTCACACAACAAATCTCGAAGTCTGAGCTATGCAACTGTCCTTCTATGATGCCATGTTGATTGGAGGCAACAGTAGGTGGAGATAGTGGCAGGTCTGGACTTGATGATTGATGTCTGACAGGGGTTGGGGAATGGGTAGGTCCCCAGTTTAGAATCAGAGATTTGAGAAACATGAACTGGAATCTGCTCATTCTCACGAGCTCAACAAGGTCTCCAAAGAGCAAGGGACATGGTTTTCTGTAAAGTCTGGGATGTTTCCAGTCTTTCATTGGCCCTTTTGTCTCCCTGTGGCCTTGGGCAAGTCATTCACACAACCCCAAGGCCTCAGTATCTCATCTGTGTAATGAAAGGGTTGGACTAGTCCCTAAAGACCTCAACAATGAGAGTGTATGTATTTTTTATTTGAGGGGGGGTCAGAGTTCTTCAGTCTGGGTAGCCCCATTCTTTTTCCTTCTCACAGCCAGTATTTCATAAATCTTTTCTTTTCTTTCTTTTTCTTTCTTTTTTCTTTTTTTTTGAGACAGGGTCTTGCTTTGTCACCCAGACTGGAGTGCAGTGGCGTGAACATGGCTTATTTCACCCTTGACCTCCATGGCTCAAGCGATCGTCCTGCCGCAACCTCTCAAGTAGCTGGGACTACAGTCACATGTCACCATACCTGGCTAATTTTTCTTTCTCTCTATATATATATCTTTTTTTTTTTTTTTGTAGAGATGAGATCTCCCTATGTTGCCCAGGCTGATCTCAAACTCCTGAGCTCAAGCCACTCACCCACTTCGGCTTCCCAAAGTGCTAGGATTACAGGCATGAGCCACTGAGCCTGGCCTCATAAATCTTATCTGCATACACAGACTCAACTTCCTTACCTCCCCTCCTCTTCTCAGTACCTGAAACTCAGGCTTCTTCCTCCAACAATATGACTCCAACCCAGGATATCAAGAAGCTGCTGCTTACTTACAACTCTAGTTGTATCTTTCTCAAACCCCCAGCAGTGAACACTTTGCACCAGTTTGTCCTTTTCATTTCGTCCTTGGTCATTTTTTGTCCTCCTCTTACTTAGAGAATTGACAAGAGGTCAGTATGACTGCATGCAAGGAAGCAAAAGATGGGCGGTAGGTGACTTGTGTACCATCAGCTTCCTGGATGGATCCTCCGGGTGTCCCAGGCATTTCCACACAGAGTAGCCACAGCTAAGGGCATACTTTGTCTGTCGGAATCAGTTCATCCTCCCAGATCCCCAGGTACCCTTGGCTCCTCAGCCTGACACTGGACACGCACCTCACCTACGCCCTTGTCCACATCCTTCCAGATCTACCTCCTGAACATCTCTTAAATCTGCCATTTTCTTCTTTTCTTTCCAACTTTTATTTTAGGTTCAAGGGGTACATGTTACCTGGGTAAACTGTTTGTTGTACAGATAATTGTGTCATCCAGATAATCAGCATAGTACCCATAGGTAGTTTTTCAGTCCCCACTCTCCTCCCACCTTCTACCCTCAGATAGGTCTGGTGTGTATTACTTCCTTCTTTGTGTCCATGTGTACTCAATGTTTAGCTCTCACTTGTAAGTGAGAACACGAGAGACTTGATTTTCTGTTCCTTCATTGATTCACTTAGGATAATTGCCTCCAGCTGCATCCATGTTGCTGCAAAGGCCATGATCTCATTTTTTAACAACTGTGTAGTATTCCATGGTGTATATGTACCATATTTTCTTTATCCAGTCCATCACTGATGGGCATCTAGGTTGATTCTATGTCTTTGCTATTGTGAATGGTGCTGCAATGAATGTGTGTGTGTCTTTTTGGTAGAAGGATTTATATTCCTTTGGGTATACACCCAGTAATGGGATTGCCAGGTCGAATGGTAGTTCTGTTTTAAGTTCTTTAAAAAATCTCCTGACTGCTTTCCACAGTGGCTGAGCTAATTTACATTCCCACCAGCAGTATAAGCATTCCTTTTCTCTGCAACCTCGTTGGCACCTGCTATTTTTTGACCTTTTAATAATAGCTGTTCTGACTGGTGTGAGATGACATTTTACTGGGTGTTTCTAAAAATTAAATTTAATTTTTTTTTTGATAGGGTCTCACTTTGTCACCCAGACTGGAATGCAGTGGCATGATCTTGCCTCACTGCAACCTCCACATCCTGGGCTTAAACAATTCTCTCACCTCAGCCTCTCGAGTAGCTGGGACCACAGGCACACACCACCACCCCTGGCTAATTTTTGTATTTTTGGTAGAGATAGGGTTTTGCCATGTCAGTCAGGCTGGTCTTGAACTTCTGCCCTTAACTGATCTGCCTGTCTTGGCCTTCCAAAGTGCTGGGATTACAGACGGGAGTCACGGCACCTGGCCTTCATTGTAGTTCTAATTTGCATTTCCCTAACACAAATCTGCCATTTTCATTCGTGGTGCGGCAAACTTGTATGTCATTAACTGTACCTGGAGTATTATATCTACCCTGAATGCCTTATTCCCCCTTTCTAAGGACACCTGGGAAAGCCTTCTGAAATCCACACACACTTGAACATCTCCCTGACCTGCTCAAGACTATTCAGATCTACAAAGTAAGTGCCAAACTCTATGCTATGGGCCCAACCACCCAGGCCAGGGCTGTTTCCAACCCAGGAGCCCTCAAGTAATGGTGAAGGATGACAAGGCCCCTGATGCAGAAGAAGAGCCATTTTATTAGGTGAGGCACATGGGATGTTACACACGCCTGGTGGGAAAGGAGAGGGGGCAGGTTCCTCGGAGAGAAGGCAACTGTGTCATCTTCCAGCACATGGGCCAGCCATCTGTGAGCACTGGGAAGCTGGGCCAGAGGAAATGGATTGAGCAGCAAGAAATAGTTCTGTTGGGGGAAGACCCTAATCAGGATGGAGACTCAAGGTCAGTGAGCGTTACTGATATTGACTCATCATCAAACTCATGCCCCAGAGGGACAGGAGGAGGCTGAGACCCTGGGCAAGCCATCAGGCCTGGAGTCAGGGCTCTGTGAGCATGTGTTTGAGTGAGTGTGTCTGTGTATCCACGTGTACTTATGTGTGGTGAGTCCACTGATGTGTGCATATGTGTGAGGGTGCTGGGTGAGAGTGTGTGTGTCTGTGTGTGGTGAGTCCACCAATGTGTGCATGTGTGTGAGTGTGCTGGTGTGAGAGTGTGTGCATCTGTATCAGTGGCCATGTGTCTGGGCATTTGTGTGTGTGTTTCTCTTGGTAGCTGTGTTGCTGTGCTGCCTGCATCCTTCCACCTCTGTCAGCTTTTCTGTGGATTTCTCTGTGCATCCCTGTGTGTACCTCTGTAGATGTTTGTCTCTTTCTTTGGATGTCATTGTCCCAAGCTCCCGTCTGCCTTCTACCAGGAGAAGAACAGCCAGCCCCCAAAACCCTGGGGTGTGGGGAAGGGCACTTACCAGCTCAGCAGAGGCCAGCCCCTTCCTGGAAGGCTTAGACCTTGATGACAAACTGTAGTCCGTGGATCAGCATGTCTAAACAAACAAACAAGCAATAAAAAAACAGACGACAGTTATGATCTCAACGTGAAGGAGTCCATATTCCTCAAGGTGGGGGGCCAGGGAATGGAGGCCTCTGGAGATCCGACTGTGTTCAGCATGCTTGGAGGAAGCCAGGCCTCCTTCTACCAACCAGCCCAGCTGTCCTCAGTGTCAGGGCTGAGGCAGGAGACACGGTGTCTATCTCAAAATTATCTGGATTATTCGGGGGAAAATGAAGCCCAAAATAGAGAGAGTTGAGGCCAGAGGGACCTAGTATCCTAGGGTGTGCAGGGAAAAAACTCCTTGGGGGAAGTTGCTGCTCCTGCAGAGAGGGACAGAGGGCTTGAAAGCAGGTACTTACTAACAATGTCATGCACCAGGGTGATGTCCAAGCCTCTGAGAACCTCATTGACCAGAGGGCACACCTGGCCAGGGGCAGAGAGGAGAGTTAGGCAGAGTGGCACCCTGGAGCAGCAGAATCCCTAGTGGGGGTTCTCTGGGGAAATTTCCTGTCATTTTTCTGTGTGAAAGTGATTCTAAGCAATCCCACAGATCAATGGTCACACATGCCTGAGGAGAAACTGGAGGCATGAGGGATGTTGTGAAGGGCCCCAAATCACACAACAAGCCCAGTGTTCACCCTGTGACATCACATCTGATTCTAAGTGGAGTGGAGTGCCCTGGTTATAGGAGACACCCAAGCATAGGTTGAAAGACTGTCTGTGGCCATAGAAGGCTGGACAGGGAACTTCTCCAATTTCTCAGAACAGGGGCCAATCCATTTCAGCTTCAGTGTGGACAAGCAGGGCCTGGCCTAGAGCAGAGACTCATCAATGCATTTGGAAAGATGTAAAGAAGAAACATGGACAGATGGATCAATGGACAAATAGATTGATGAATGGAAGTTACTTATCAAATTGAGGGACTCGGACCCACTTAGCTCAGGGCTTTGTTTTAGTGCAAGAAGCTCTAAAACCTGAGGATCAGGGGATCCCCACCTTGCCTACTTACGTTGCCCTGAACCAACTCAGGCAGGACTTTATTCAAGATCCCTGTGAGGCTGTCCAGAAGACCTTGAATGGGGAGGGGGCCAAGTCTGAAAGAGAAAAGTCATGGGTGATGCAGGGACCTGGAGATGGTGTGGAGAAGTCTCCAGAGGGGGCCACTGTGAACCCCACAGTCTCAACACTCAGTCACTAAAGCCGAGCCTTGTCTATCTACACCCACGTGCAGGCCAACAGCAAGGGTCTTATGTAAAGGGAGTTACATTTGTGTACAGCAGTGAACACACAGGTATGTGTAGGATAAACACATGGTTCTCAGAAAAAGCAGGTGCCAATAAGGCTTTGCAGAGTCCATAAATGAATGGATACTACTTAGTATGTAGTTGTCATTATGATCCAATGAGATGACACATGTGAAGCCCAATGTATGTGTTCATTAAAAGTTAACCACGTGGGCAACTTTTGCGTAATAGGTTTGACACAGTCTCCCCATGTGACAGGTAACTGAAATAAATAACCTAGTTAGGATCCACGTCTATTTTACCCCTTACTGGGACAAAGCACTTTCACACCTGTTATCTTGGTAGGTTCTATCAATAACTCCAGTGCAGTTCCATATTGCAGATAAGTAAGCTTAGAACTAAATTGGAGAAGCACTACCCAGGTTCACACAGGAAGCCCTCTATCCCCATTCCCCTGTAATATGCAGGGCTTAAACTCCAATTTCTTGTTGCTAGATCCAGCATAAAATTGGTTAGCTTGGTCTAAGAAGGAATAAGTACTACTTTATCTATCTATCTATCTATCTATCTATCTATCTATCTATCTATCATCTATCTATCCATCCATCTATCTATTCATCCTTCTCTCCATCAACCCAACCATCTAACCATCTGTCCATCCATCCATCCATCCATCCATCCATCCATCCATCCATCCATCCATCTTTCCACGCTCCCTCCTTCCCATCCATTTTCCCACCCTTTCAGCCTCTCACTCATCTATTCTCTCATTGTCTCAGCTTTCCAATCATCCATCCGGCATCACACCCTGTCATCTCTGGGCAGGATAAGCTGCTCCTCTGGCCTCACCCATCAAGCAGAGAAATTTGCAGGCTTCCAGGGGAATGGGTGCAGTCACCAAGGACCAGGTGGATCCTCTCCTGCTTATCTCTCACAGCTAAGATTTCTGCAGTGATGTCCAGCTTCACAGCCAGCCTCAACAGACTTGCACCGACCAGGGGCCTGCAAAGGAGACAGCCCCACTGGTATCTAGCTCCACCACATTCCAAGGAAGAGGGTTATTTTCTCCTTGCCAAGAATGCTAGCCTCACCTCACTCCATCTTGCCCACAGTTGTACTTATCTCATTTTCTAGCAGGAGAAACAAAGACTTAAGAGGTCAAGTGAGTTTCCCAAGTGACCCAAGGCCACTTAGCATAGCAGCAAATGAGCTGAAGTTGGAGGCTCAGGTCTGTTAGACTCCAATACCCCCGTTATGGTTAACCATGGTCACCAGGGTCTCCCTCGGTGAGCCATCCTCTCACCCCCTCTTGGGACCCACTCACGTATTCACTTGGAGCTTTATGCCGAGAGGGATGGTGACATAGAGACGGTGGCCATCAGGGCTCTGCACAAGGCCAAGTTCCAGCAGCTGGGGGTCAGTGACCTTTATGCTGTCCAGGGAGTAATATTGGAGGGGGAAACATTAGCTCCTCTAGCTCCAAACCCAGAAACCATCTTTAACCTAACAGTACCCATCCCAGAGGTAGAGCTTCCCACCCAGGATAGGGAGATGGGAGGGGAGTCTTGCAGCCTAAGCCACGTGGGTTCTGAGTCACACACTAGGTCTTTTCCAGCCTCTGCCCTGGAACAGATCTGACACACACACAGGGCCCTTTCCTTATCTCCAGTCTATGAGGTATTCAGGACAACAACTGTGTCTGGATTATATCTGCATCCTGTATGCCAGCTAAGAGCCTTACAAAGAAAGTGGCTACTTCATATTAGTTGACTGGATTGATGGGAAGGTGGGTAGTGGATATGTGGGTACATGGATGGAAGAGTAAGTGATTAGGTAGAAGGATGGATAACTGGATGATGGATTGGTCAGTGGATGAATGGATGATGCAGGTGCAACTGGAAGTAAATCTGCACAAACATTTATGGGTAAGAATCACTCACCCTGTCAGGTGGCCAATCACCAATGTTTATCATGGGAATTGAGGAGCAGGAAGTCAGGGAGAGTGCAGAAAGGGTGGAAGGAAGCCATTCTCCCATTGTCCTATCTTTCCAACCATCCATCCATCATCACACCCTGTTGTCTCCAGGAGAAGCCAGGCCTGTGACCGCACCCATCAAGCAGGGAGGCCATTTGATGGGTGAGGCCATTCACTGAGCCAGCCACTGCGCCAGGTGATTTACACCTTTTCCAGTCCTCACAATACACTTTCTCTGTGGGTTCTATAATCTATATTTTACAGATGGAGAAACCAAGCACAGAGAGACAGGGTGTCCTGTCCCAGGTCATCCAACAAGTACATTTGAAAATCAAAGTCAAGAAGTCTGTCTGTCTCCAAGTCAGGGAGTGAGACCCTGGGTGGGTAGGATTTTGGAAATGGCTTTGATCCAGTCCTATCCAGGAACCAGGCTCTGCCGGCTCACTGGCATCAAGCTTCCATTCTTGCTTTTTGCTTTGCGAGCTCTTGGGTGTCTCATGGGAAACTCCACGTTAGACCTTTCCATGGACATCACACTGTTTTTCATCACATTGATATCATCAAGGTGGGCAGGTTATACTCTCGCTAACATCAAAGGCCGTCTGTGTTCTAAGGGATTTCACAGGTGCAGAGAACAAAATGACCACAGTGTAGTGGGAAGAGCCTTGGCTTTGGAGTTAGGATAGTAGAGTGAGAGCCTTACTCACTTGGCATCACTCTAGCAGCGTGAACACAGGCACCTCTGTGCTTTGGTTTTCCCATTTGCAAACTGGAGATTATTAAATCGACCTCAAAGGGTTGTGGTGAGGATTATAGATGATGCTGGGGCCTCAGGACATGCCTAGAACTGAGGGCATTGCTGGTTTGGGGAGGACGGGTGTCCCTGCCAAACTGGAGATGGGTCTCAGAACTGAGTCCTGGCTCCATCTTCAGGCCGCTCCCTCGCTGCTTCAGGGTCGCTGCTTCAGGGTCACTGCCTGGGGCTGGCAGATCTTCACCTGGGGTTCCCTGGTGGAGATCAAAGCTCTATTTTAGGACAACTCACTCAATGATGTTGTTCAGGCCAGGAATCACTGACGTCACTTTTCCAAGCAGTCCCCCAAGGAGGCCACCAGAAGTACCTCCTCCAGGCTTCAGGATGTCCAGGAGCGGAAGGTTTTCCAGAATGCCCAACAGGCCCCCAGACAGCAGGCCATTGCTGAGGGCTGGAAATGGGTGTAAGGGTCTCTGGGGGTCAGATCTGACAATTCCAGATCCTCAGGCCCCCTCCCCCATCCAGCCCTGTCCCTCCCCACTTTGCAGGGTTGGACACACACACACACACACACACACACACACACACACACACACACACACACACATGCACACATACACCCCTGAAAACTCACCATTTGTCAAGCTTCCTGCAAGACCTGTGGGACTCAAGGGCAGGGCTGGATTCACATTCAAGGGCAGGGTCTGGTCCAGGGGCACGGGCAGGCCTCCAAACTGGGCCATGGTCTGGGCTAACAGCCCGTAGAAGACAATGAGGCCCCCAGTTTGAAACATCTTTGCTCTTAGTATCTGTGGCCAGAATGACAAGTCCAACATGGCATGGGTATCAGAGAGGAATTTATCCACCACCTGCCCTGACACCTGGGGGGTGGGGTTGTTTGCTCCCCAGAACACCAGGGGGTCACTAGTAATAGCTAATACTGCTGAACAATTTCTCTTTGCCAGGCAACAGGCTGACCACTTTACACAATTTCATCTTCATCACAACCCTAAGACATGGGCACCTGTTACCTGCATTGCACAGGTGAGGACCACTGATCAGGGGCCTAAAAAGGAGACAGCCCCACTCCACCACATTCCAAAGAAGAGGGTTTTTTTCCTTCTTGCCAAGAATCCCAGCCTCACCTCACTCCATCTTGCCCACAGTTCACTTGTCTGATTTTCCAGTAGGAGAAACCAAGGCTCACAGAGGTCAAGTGAGTTTGCAGTTGGGAGTTTCAAATATACTCCCATCCCTTCTTGAAACCCACTTGTGTACTACCGAGTGTGGGTAACTTTCCCCAAGGTCACAAGTACACGGTGGACAGAGGATTAGAAGCTAGAGCCAGGTGAACCCTCGGTTAAATTAAGTAACCATCAGATTTATTCTCCAATCGGGCTTGCTTCAATGGTTTGAATCATTGCTGCTCTTCAGACAAAGCAAATGAGAAGGGTTAAACGTGCAAGTGCTGAAGAATTGAACTGTTTTAGATCATCCCTGTTCAGTCCTTTGGCCTGAGCTCAGGCCATGATGGTTGGTGGATGCCCTTGAAAGTCACACAATACAGGGGTCGCATGGCCACAGCCACCATCTCATGTAGACCTTTGTTGGGGAATTCCTGGGGCCATCAAAGTCTTCATTGCATGAGAAGAACCAGGAGACCAAAGAGGGGTAGTGACTTTCCCAAGGTCATACAATAAATTGATGGCAGAGCTGTGGTTGAAGGCAGGTCTCCCAACCCTCCCCTCACCCAACACACAAACATGCATTCTATCATTTTGACACCTTTCTCTTCTCCTTCAAGCTGCCCTGGATGGAATTCCGGTCAACCCCTGAGGTTTGGCTTGCAGACCTCTCACAGGTCTATTTGGCAGCCAGCAGAGTTGTCCAGAGCCAGCACTAGTACCTACAATTTGGAGACAACTGGTGACTTTGTGCAAAATTCCATCTATTGGCTGACTCAGCTAAAGCTCCATCCTTGTGGTGGAAGGCTGGAAATGAAAGGTCTTTGGTCCAAAGAGCCAGTTGTGCCCTTCTTAGGGAGGTAACTTTGACCACAGCCTCTGAATCTCTTTTGGGCAACAGACCCTTTATGAATCCAATGGAAGCTAAAGATCCTAGTCTCAGAAAAAATGCATCAAAATGTATAAAATTGGGTGAAGAATTTTAGGAGGTTTTTGGATCATCTGTATCCACATTGGTAACCTCAAGCTAAAACTTATGCCTTAGAGGCTTTCATTTACGGCATTAATAGTGCCCATTTCTATATCAATGTTACTGGTCTCTTAGGACAGCAGAGCAAATGGCCATCCCCACATCCCTGACATTGGCCAGGTCTGTTTCTCTTGCACAGCCCCCAGTGAGTGATCAAGATCACTCACTGCCCCACAGGGCAGGAGCCTGAGATCCCTGCCGTTAAGGGTAGCAGAGGGGCCACAGAATGGATGGCTCTTACCTGGACTTCTTAGAGGTCTCAGCAGCTGTCCTGGTCTCCTCTCTCTCCCCCACTCACTTCTGCCGAGGAGTCAGCCTCTTTTATAGTATGGGGACGAGGAAGCATGTGTTGGGTGATGGGTTTCTAGATAATTGAGAATTCTGCAATCTGACAGTGTCTTTCAGGGCTCTCCAAAGTAAATAATTGCCAATCACATTAGCAGGTGAGACAGTTAAGCTATTTGGTCAACAAGATAAACAGAGAAAAACCTGAGATGGGATGTTACTCAAGACTTTATGGTTTCCTGAGCGGAGCCAAGGTTGGGGACCCACGCTCCCAAGGTAGCTTGGAGCATTGAAAGGAGCAGCCAGACAGAGCCCAGGAAGGGACCTCAGTCTCATCTCTTGGCCCCTTTCCTCTCCTGCTCTAATTTTTTTGCTCCAGTTGGAGGATTCTTTCTCCTAAAATGTCAAAAGAGTCACACTGCATCCTACATCTGGGGTGCGTCTCCATTCCAGGGCAAGGGTCTCCTGTTTTCAGAGCCCCTATTGCACGTCAGGAGCTCTCTGTCCTCACAAGAACCCTGAGAGGGAGAGGTGACTCCTCCTCTTTTATAGAGGAGGAAACTGAGATCCAGTGGGGACAAGTGCTGAAAGACCCAGAGAGGATGCAGCAGAGTTAGAATGCAACTGACTGGAGAATGAAAACAACAAAAACAACGCCAACAGCAGACACTGGCCGAGCTCCTGCTGTATGCCTGGCCTGCCATGGTGTTCACAGGCAGCATCTCACAAAATCCTCACAACCCTGTACTCCTATTCTATAAGGGGGAAACTGAGGCTGAGTGTGAGGCAAGTTGTCCAGAGATGCAGTGCTTGCCTGGGGTGAGACATCCACATTCAGGTCCTTTCCCCGAATCACTGCACTGAGAGATGAAGGTGCCTCCCAACACTTGCTGGCCATTTTGATTTCCCCACCTGTGAACTTTACACTTTCATGCGTCCCTTTTTATTTTTTAAATTTTCACTTAATTTTTATTTTATTTTATTTTTTGAGACAGTCTTACTCTGTCGCCCAGGCTAGAGTGCAGTGGTGTGATCTCAGCTCATGACAACCTCCACCTCCCGGGTTCAAGTGATTCTCCTGCCTCAGCCTCCTGAGCAGCTGGGACTACAGGCGAGCGCCACCATGCCTGGCAAAGTTTTTGTATTTTTAGTAGAGATGGGGTTTCACCATGTTGGCCAGGCTGTCCTCGAACTCCTGACCTCAGGTGATCCACCTATCTCAGCCTCCCAAAGTGCTGGGATTACAGGCGTGAGCCACAGTGCCCCGCCGCTTCTCTTTTAGGTCCTGGAAAAGTCTTTCCAGGTTCCCAGGCCTGAGGGATCCTTTGGCATCCTGGTCTCTATCCTACCCTTTCTTCTACCTTTCCCTAAATGGAGTAATCAGGCATTTATTTATCCCCACCACTGGGGCCCTTGGAGTCTGTTCAGCAGATGAAAAAGTGAAGACACAGGAAGGCCAAGGTCCTGGACCAGTGAGCGCAGCTCTTACCCTGCAAAACCTAACACCTTATAAGCAAAAGTGGAGAGAGAAGGAATAAATGTGCTTTTATTAAGCACTGACTGCATGCCAGGTGCTCTCCATATTTGAACCTCATCTTCTTCAGGAGTGGTTGGTATTGTTGTCTCTCATACATTGGATGAGGAGGCTGAGGATCAGAAAGGGTGACTGCTTCCTGGGGACACACAGCGAGTGAGTGTTGGAGTCAATTGACCCTGCCACCCTCTGTGTCTGTCTGAGTCCCTGCTAATCAGTGGGCCACACTGCCTCCCTCACACTAGGCCTTCACTGGCCTGCTCCACTGCTCTCCAGAGTCTGGGTGGTGCCCCCAAGGGTTTGGGGCCATGGCTTTGAACTTAATTATCCATTCAAGGTACTTGCTGGACTCTGCCCACATCTTGTACATGGCAATCATCCTCACAGTGGTCCCATCGTATAACTCTTGTGGGTTGGGTCAGGTTGCTACTATCCTTGTGGGGAAACTGAGGCAGATAAGGCAAGGAATTAGTAGAGTTTGTGCAGCCAGTTAATGAAAGCTTACACCCTCTGGTTTGAGGCCGGGAGGCTGTGTCTGTATTGCAGCAGAAAGTGGGTGAATTTGGGCTCAAACAGCCCTGGTTCAAATCCTACGACCCTGGGCAAGTCAGTCCAGTTCCCTGAACTTCATTCAGTTTCCTCACCTGTAAAATGGGGAGCATAAAATCTGCCTCACAGGGCTATGGGGAGATGATGTCTGGGGAGCTGGTATGAATCACAGTTCATAAACTCAGGCGTCCACACATCTTTCTGATTTATCTATACTTTACCATTTCAAATGCCATTTTGCTCAGGAACAGAAATGTCCCAATTTCCCCCTGGGGTTTCATGTCTGTGCTAGGGGCTTTGTTTGTACCAAGGAGGCTGCCTGTCCCTATTTTTGGCTGGCAATATAGGAGACAGCCATGTGCCATCTGCCCCTAGATTGCAGAGACACTGTACTTCCCTCCTGGTGAAAGGTCCCTTTGGATTTAGCATTTACTTTCAACTCGTTTGTAAGACACAGAATTGTTCTGCTGTTCGCCAGTTCCTTGGGCCTGATACAGGACTGTGAGGGGCTGCCCAAGCCCTCCTGCCTGGATCCACCTAGACCCTCCCTTTACCCTTCTCTCCCTGGGGTCTCATGCCCTCTTCTGGCTCTGGGAGGGAGTGTGGACACAGACGCCCTCTGTCCCTGGATCCCATACATGTGCCTGGGATTCTGTTCCCTTCATCCCATGCTCAGGTCTGCCTGGGAGCAGCAAGGGACGGAGGCACCATCAGAACCCACCAGAACTATGCTCCTTCCAGTTCTCCTGGACCCTCACACTTCACCAACCCAACATAGGGCATTTTCTAGTTTTGTGGGCAGGAAGATTTGCTTCAACTTCATTGTGTGTATGCTGTTCTCAGACTCTCCTATGCCCTGAGTTTAACAAGTCAAAAGCCAAGACTATAAAAACAAAAAAACTTACAGTAAAATTGACTTCTTTTAGTGGTATGGTCCTTTGAGTCTTACCACATGTATAGTCAGCCACCATCATAATCAGGGTAAAGAACAGTTCCATCCCCCCAAAGGCACTCTCATGGGTCCCTTTACAGCCACACCCTGCCTTCATCTGCTGGCAACCACCTGTTTGTTCTCTGTCACTACCACTTTATCAAAAACCCAGGCTCTTGAAAGTCAAGAGCCTTGTTTCTGCTTCTGTTGAAACTGCCCTTCCTTGTGGCCACAGGGACTGCATGCTCCCTGCCCTGAACAGGGGAAAGGTCTCAGGGCACCAGGAAACAAGTGGAAGGACACACCACGAACATTTCAAGAGGTTTTCCCCACTCTGGTGATGTCAATACCCTCTCCATGTGTTTCTCAGAAACTGTAGGTGGTGCCTTTCCTTCCTGCTTCTCAGGTTGCAATTGTGTTTGGGAGCCTTTGCTCAGGTTGTTTTGTCAATCAAGAGATCCATTTCTGGCCGGGTGTGGTGGCTCACATCTGTAATCTCAGCACTTTGGGAGGCCCAGGCAGGTGGATCATTTGAGGTCGGGAGTTCAAGACCAGCCTGGCCAACATGGTGAAATCCCATCTCTACTAAAAATACAAAAATTAGCTGGGCATTAGTGGTGCGCACCTGTAAACCCAGCTACTTGGTAGGCTGAGGCAGGAGAACTGCTTGAGCCTGGGAGGCGGAGGTTGCAGTGAGCCAAGATCATGCCGCTGCATTCCAGTCTGGGTGACAGAGTGAGGCTCTGTCTCAAAAAAAAAAAAAAAAAAAAGATCCATTTCTAAAGGGCAGAATTGGTTTGATTTTTCAAAGGGCTCTGACCTATGCAAGGTCTGTTCTCCAGAATGTGAGAATGGGATGCAGGATCTCCTCCCCAGGAGAAAGGTCAGCGTGGGGACTGAGTTGCAGAGGGTCTTCAGATGGCCTTGGAAGCTCCAGAGCATTCCCAGAGAGCCAGAAACCCCAACTTAGATGAAAAAAATATATATTCTCAAGTAGGGTTTGCTTCAGGCAAGCTCCCCTTGCTTTTGAGATTAATCTTTGCACTTGCTTTTAAAGTGCAAAAAAAAAAATACTACTACTAATGATAACCTTTTGTGAGACACTAGAGCTTTATGCCACCTGTAACAAGCCTGTGGGGAAACTGAGGTTCAAGGAGGGCTGTGACCTGCACAGGGTCATCTCAGCTGGGAAGAGGTGAAGTCAGACTGTCATCTGGGGCTTCAGTGCTCTTACTTCAAGTGCAAGTTTGCATCACAGTTTTCAGTTCAGAAAGCACCTGCCCATCTTCCCTGGAGCCCTCCCGTTGGTGGAGCGCTTCCCCTGCCAACCCCCTTTCTTTTTTTTCTTTTGAGACAGTTTCGTTCTGTCGCCTAGGCTGAACTGTAGTGGCGCCATCACAGTTCACTGCAGCCTCGACCTCCCGAGCTCAGGTGATCCTCTCACTTCAGCCTTCTGGGTAGCTGGGACTACAGGTGTGCACCACTACACCGGGCTAATTTTCATGTTTTTTGTAGACACAGGGTTTTGCCATGTTGCCTAGGCTGGCCTGAACTCCTGGGCCCAATTGGTCTACCTGTCTTGGCTGCCCAAAGTGCTGGGATTACAGGTGTAAGCCACCGTGTATGGCCTTAAAAAAATTTTAATGTAGTAAGAACACTTAACATGAGATCCACAGAGTTTTTTGGTTTTTTTTTTTTTTTAACAGTTTCTTTCTTTCTTTCTTTTCTTTCTTTCTTTCTTTCTTTCTTTCTTTCTTTCTTTCTTTCTTTCTTTCTTTCTTTCTTTCCTTCCTTCCTTCCTTCCTTCCTTCCTTTCTTCCTTCCTTCCTTCCTTTCTTCCTTCCTTCCTTCTTTCTTAGTCTTGCTCTGTCTCCCAAGCAGGAGTGCAGTGGCATGATCTCGGCTCACTGTAACTTCTGCCTCTCAGGCTCAAGTGATTCCTCGTGCCTCAGCCTCCCGAGTAGCTGGGATTATGGGTGTGTGCCACCACACCCAGCTAATTTTTGTATTAATATTTTTGGTAGAGGTGGGGTTTCACCAGGTTGATCAGACTGGTCTCAAACTCCTGACCTCAGGTGATCTGCCCACCTCAGCCTCCCAAAGTGTTGGGATTACAGGCATGATCCACCACGCCTGGCCTTAACAGAGTTTTAAGTGTACAATACAGCATTGTTAACTGTAGGCACGATGTGGTATGACAGATCTCTAGAAATGCTTTGTTGCACCCCCTCTTTGAGCCTCAGTGTCCTTGCTTATGTCATGGAGCTAAGGACATCCACCTCCTAGGGCTGCAGGAGGGCTACAATTTGGGGAAACACATGTAGCTCCCAGCCCAATACCTGGCACAGAGTCAGTGCCCAGTAGTGGGAGGGCATGGAAGTTATAAAGCTCAGAGGGGCAGAGCCAGGACTGAGGTTCTGAACATTTGGGGCTGCATTTGGGCCTTAAACCATCCCCCAGTGTGAACCCCAGTATCCTAATAGAGGTCCATTGTCCAACAAGCCCTTCTGGGAGGAAATGTAATGAGTCCATGCTCCATGAACCTTAAAATGAAAACAGAATGTCAGAAACCCAAGGAGGTCCCTACAGGAAGCCCTGCGCCAGCCCAGGAAGAGTCAGGAGGAAGGCAGACAAAAGCTGCCTTCACCAGTGAACCAGGTAGCCTTGTTGGGGACCAGGCCTGGCCCTCCTGTGTTTGCTCTTTGAATCATGAGCAGGAAGAACCCCACAAGCTCACAGCTGGCAAGGAGAACACTAGCGTTTAGGGTTGCAAATCCCTGATGAAGCATTCCGGATTAGGGAGCTTGAATTGAAAGACAGAGAAGCGAGATTCTCCTGCCCTATTCTCATCTCTGAGCTGTTGACATTTCCTTATTTGAGCTTGTCAGTCCCACTGAACACATATTTCATCAGCCCCCGCTTGCGTGTGTGCATGTGTGTGTGTGTGGTGGGGTGAGGGGTGTTGGAAGGAAGGAAGGAGGATTCACAGTGGTTTAGAGTGTGGGCTCTAGAGCTGGCTGCCTGAGTGCAGTCATTGTGGCCATTTCCTTACTGTGTGACCTTAGACAAGTGACTTTATTTCTCCGAGCCTCAGGCTTCTCATGCATAAAGTGAGCTGAAATTTTGTATCTGGTGGGGTTGCTGGGAGGCATTGATAAGATGCTGGATGTAAGCTCTGAGCACCAAGAATCTCTTTATATAACAAGTGCTTAATGTGTGCTACTGTGATTAATATGTGTGTGTTATTTTCCCTTGATTTCTCAGGTTGCTTTTTCAACTCTTGGTTGGAGGAGAGTGGGAATCCATATTTAATAATTGAATAGTCAAGAGTCAAATCATTAACAATGGATTAATTGACTTTTTTTTTTTTTTTGAGACGGAGTCTCACTCTGTTGCCCAGACTGGAGTGCAGTGGAATGAACTTGGCTCACTGAACCTCTGCCTCCTGGGTTCAAGCAATTCTCCTGCCTCAGCTTCCTGAGTAGCTGGAATTACAGGCACCTGCCACCATGCCTAGCTGATTTTTGTATTTTTAGTAGAGATGGGGTTTCACTGTGTTGGCCAGGCCGGTCTCAAACTCCTGAGCTCAAATGATCCACCCACCTTGGCCTCCCAAAGTGCTGGGATTATAGGTATGAGCCACTGTGCCTGGCTGGATTAAGTGACATTTAATAAGCATTTCCCATGAACCCATCACATGTGAAATACACTGCAAATGGTTTTTCATGGCTTTACTCCTTACAAGCATCCTGCATTATAAATACATATATGGACTTTTTAGAGAGACAAGGTCTTGCTCTATCACCCAGGCTGAAGCACAGTGTTGCAATCATAGCTTATTGTAACCTTGAACTCCTAGGCTCAAGCAATCCTCCTGCCTCAGCCTCCCAAGTAGCTGGGACTACAGGTGTGTGCCACTACCTCCAGCTAATTTTTCAAGCTTTTTGTAGACATAGGGTCTTGCTGTGTTGCCTAGGCTGGTCTTGAACTCCTAGCCTCAAGCAATCCTCCAGCCTCAGCTTCCCAAAGTGTTGGCATTACAGGTGTGAGCCATCACAACCGGCCAATACTTTTATTGTCAAAATTGTTAAAGTACATTACACATAAGAAAAATGTGTATAGGTAAATAGCTCAATGAGTTTTCAGAAACCAAACATCCCTTCCCATACCCAGCACCTAGATCAGGAAACAGAATGCTATCAGCTCTCCAGAAGCCCCCTTCAATGCCCTCCTAGCATCTAACCCTTGCTCCAAGGTAACCACTATCTTATCTCTGGCGGCACGGATTAGTTTTGCTGTTTTTGGACTCACATAAATGGGAGATGCAACACATGCCCTTTTGTGTATGGCTTCTTTCATGTAACATTCTGTTTATGAGATTCATCCACGTGCTGTGTGCAATTGTAGGTCATTTCCATCACTATAGAGATTCCAGTGGGTGCCCATCCCACAAGATATCTGCCCATTCTATTTATTCATTCTTTTGATGGGCATGGGAGGATGTTGAGTTTGGGGTTATGACGAACATTGCTGCTATGAGCTTCCTTGCCTTTTGCTCCACACGTGCATGTATTTTTGTTGAGAATACACTAGGTAGTGGAATTGCTGAGTTGTAAAGTAAGCCCATGTTTAACTCTAGGAGATGCTTTATAAAGTGGTGGTAGAATTTATCTCCCACCAGCAGCATGGGATGGCTTCTGTTGCTCCACATCTTGCAAGATTTCTATTCCATTTTGCAAATGATGAAGACCGAAAGATAACAAGCTTTGTCTCAAATGCAGCTAGTGGATCCTAAGACTAGAATCCATCCACTCATTGAGCCACAGATATTTACTGAGCACTCACTCTGTGCCAGCTGTATGCTGGGGCTGGGATTCATGCGTCACCATGCTGCATGGCACCTACACCCTCATGGAACTGCCAGTTGAGCTGAATTGAAGGTGAGCTCAGATGTGTTTGTGCCCATGGTTTCACTTTTCCACTCTCTCACCCTTTCTCTACACCCTCTTGGAGCCCAGGAGTATTCTTGACACATATTAGGTGCCCAATAAATATGGAATGAAAGAATGAAAGAATGAGAAATCTCAACAGGCCCCTCCCTGCATTTTTTTTTTTTTTTGTCCTGGTATTTCTGGGCTGATGAGCAACCATAGGGATATTTGTTCTCAGGAGGATACTTCATCAGGTCTGACTTCTAGACCTAAACCCCAGGGCCCAGGTGGGAGGGACCTGTGCACCCTTCAGAGCTAGAGTTTATTGTAGGAGAGGATGGTATGTCCACAGAGCCTGGGGTAAAGTTTTTAGGGTAGCAGAAGCCCCACTCTAAGGGAGACTTAAGGTTGCAAGATGTGGACTTTCCTTCTGATCAGCAGAAGTCAGCTGGGGGACTCTCCAGCCTGGCATGCAGAGGGTTGGCTGGTTTCATGGTGGGTTGGTTCATGAGCAGCCTCCTGTTCTGTAAGGAGAAGAGGTAGCGTCTGTCACCAGTGTGCCCACCTCCCAACTCCCACACCGAAGGGAAACCCTCATCCATCCATGGTGACCAAAGGCAGGTGCCGGGAGCGTTCACGTGAAAACCCTCCCCAAATGATGCTGAATTGTTTGCTTCTTGGTGTCTTCACTTCACTAGTCTGTGAGCTCTATATGGGCAGGGACTATAACTGTTTATCTGTAACTGGAGTAGAGATGGTCTCAGGTTTGGGATGGGGCCAGTGTTCCCTACTGGATTGGGTGGAGATCTTGGAAGCAGCTCGAATCTCTGGTAACCTGATGACTTCAGTGACTTGGCAGGGCACAGCCTGCTTGGTAGGGGTACGTTCTGCTGTCCCAGCTCTCTTGGGGGACAGTGTGGTCATCATAATATGGTCACCTCTAAAGTGTTCTCACGGCACATGCAGACGCCCCTTAGCAGGCCTCCCTGGGGGCTCCAGGGCCGGGGGTACCTCTTTCAGCCACTTGCCAGTCCTAAGAAGTCCTCACTGGATGGACCAGACACTCACCTATGAGGCTTTTCAACAGTTTCACATCCAGCTGCCCGAGGATTTCACCGATCAGAGGACATACCTGGACCATCAGCACAGAGAGAAGGATCAGGCCAGGGGCTGGAAAAGGAAAACTGAAGTGACTGTGGCAGGAAACTTCAACTCCATGGGATTTTTTCCAGTAGGAATCGTGGCCAGAGCAGCTCCCTTGTAGTGAGCGCCAACTACCTGCTCAGTGTCATGCACAACACTTCGACGCTTTGTCTCCACAAATCCTCATCATATAAGATAGAGACTATGGTGGATCCCATGCTACAGGTGGGAACACTGAGGCTCAGGGAGGCAAAGTCTCTTGCTCAAGGATAGGCTGGCAAAACTCATGGCCAAACTGAAATTTTAAATTGAGATTTTTCAAGCTCTAAAATCCAATGTTTGAAATCCTTTGCTAAATTGCCAGTGGATATATGCCCTAACCCTCGGACTCAAGGATGCTCAAGATGCAAAGTTTTTTCTAAACTTACCTGACTTTCTACCATGTGTGGGAGAACTTTTTGCAGATTCTCTTTGAGGTTGTAGAGAAACTGATTCATCTTTGGTGGGATAGCCCTAGAAAGAAAGGTAGAGGCACAGAACAGAACAGAGCAATCCAGGCAATATTAAAGCCAGGAGGTATGTGTTGAGTATACTTTCCACAGTCTTTTAGTCCTCACTCAGCCCCATGCCAGAAGTATCATTGTCAGTGATCATCAAAGGGGTAGCTCAGACCTTGCCCAAGGTCACACAGCTAATAAGTGCTGGTTATATTAGAAACATGGCAATAGAGCACCAGATTCCAGAGTCTTTCCCTTACACCGTCCTCCCATGAATGTCTGGTACAATCTAGGTACTCAATGAATATCTGATGAATAAATGAACAGACATCCACTGAGGTCTTCATTGCTTTCAGCATTCCGGAATTACAGAGATAAATCAGGCACAAGTCTTGCCTTCAAGGGACTTACAGTCAGTTGAAATTGAAAGACTTGGTCAGCCAGTCTATGGAGCTTTATTAAAGCTGTATTTTGTGTCTTGTTCACCACTGTATCCCTAGCATCAGGTGTGGTGCTGGCATACAGTAGGTTTTTGGGAAATATATGAATGAATGAGTGATAAGGAGGAGCTTCATAGAAGATGGGACGGGCATTCCAGGCAAGAAGATCAGCATGTGCAAAGGCACAGTGGTGTGAAAATGTACGGTGTGTGGTGGAGGACAAAGGGCTGAAAAGTTGGCAGGGGAGAGGACAAGCAGGGCCTTGAGTGAAATTTGGGAGTTGCTGTTTACCCAGAGGGCACTGGGAACCACTGGAGGCTTTGGAGCAGGGGCTTGGGCATGGCCAGATTTCTGTGTTAGAAAGTTATTTCTGCTGCAGGATGAGGAATGGAGTGTAGGAGGGGAGATCCGGGCCAGGGAAAGCCAGGTGAGTTTCCTGTAGTGCTCCAGGTAGTGGAGTAGGAGATGGAGATAAAAGAGAGAAGCTGAGGGCTACTAGCAAGTCATTGATGGGAACTTGTGATGATGGGCTTGAGGAGTGAGGAGGGAGAAGAGTCTGGCTTCTGGGAGGGTGGTAGGGTCATCACGGATGGGAACATGGGAGGAGGAGCAGATCCCGGGGGAAGGATGAGATCTGCTTTGGACTAATTTAGGAGACGGTCAGGAAGTGACCCTGCAGCTGGGGCTCATCAGGAAGGAGGCCCAGCTCTGGGGAGGGGCAGCTGGGGTCTT
Organism: Homo sapiens; assembly: GCF_000001405.40. Taxonomy (NCBI): domain Eukaryota; kingdom Metazoa; phylum Chordata; class Mammalia; order Primates; family Hominidae; genus Homo; species Homo sapiens. The sequence continues at coordinate 33,225,249 of NC_000020.11, read as the reverse complement.
ACTCAGTGAGGATGGCCACATGGACACTGCTGGGCTCTGCATCGCATTTGCCTATCACCAGATCCCTCCGGCCAAACTCGTCTTTCTCCAGCCAGAACTCCACAACGATGCTCATATGTGCACACATCTTTACGATGTTGTTATCGAAGGACCTGCAGATGAGAGAGGAAGAGGAGGAAGGGCAAGGGGAGGAGGTAGAGAAAGAGTAGAAATCTCCGTATTGGCAAAGACGGGCACTGTCCACCGTTAGGGCTTCCCCTGGCACTCTGAGTCCTTTCAACAAACTAGGCCCAGTTAAATCCTGAAGTCAGTGATTAAAGAGAAAACAGCTGTAGCCAGAGTGACTCTGAAAACCCCTTAAATAGGCCTTTGGAAATTCAAACGTTGAGAGTTAATCTCTGTTTCAAAAATCTTTCCCATTTAGCTGCATCCTCCCTTTCTTGGGGGCAGTGGATGTCAAAGGATAGTTTGAACAGGAGGATGGTGAGCAGGGGCGATGAGATGATTACAGCAGTTCTCCCTTTCTCTCTTTAATCAAGCCCAGTTGTTGTGAACTCTCATAGGTTTGAATGAGCAAATGACTTCCTTCCACTGACTAATGATTGTCATCATATTTCAGGTGAAGAAACCAAGGCTCAGAGAGGTGAAGTGACTTGCCCAAGGTCACACAGCAAGTGGCTTTGGAAGCCAGGATTTGAATTTAGGTTGGGATCAGAAAGATCTGAATTTCCCAGGTTCCCTGCGAGGAGGGCCAGCACCTCTCAGATTCTGCTTCTGTATGACTCACGGTCTCAATTCAAGGTCAAATTCAAGTGAGATATTTGCCGAGAACCACTCCTTATGGAATGATATCTGGATCCCACCACAGTCCAGCTGAATGTTGGTGATGTTGATGCTGCACAAGGAAAGAGCAGAGGCCCCACAAGGGTGAGGGACTTCAGAACAGGTAAGGCTTCCTGCTGAGAAACAAGGCTGTCCGACTATAAAGAGGGCCTGGCAATGGGATTTGGACTGTGATTCTTTTACAGATGCTCTGAGGGCAAGAGTCAGGTGCGGGAGCCCTGGACTGCAAGCTGCCCCAGAGTGGCCCTAACAGTGCCACACAGTTTTGATTTGTGCAGCTGGGCCCCCACTGTTCCTTGTGTGGGCCTTCCACCTTCTCTTCTTTCAATCTTCCTACCTTCCCTCTTCACAGGCCTTGCACCTCCCCAGCCCCCCATCAGCTCTACCCTTCGATCTAGAGCTCTATAAAGAGTTCCAGGGCCACGGATAGAACTCAGGGTCTCACCTGCTCTCTTGCTGCTGCTGGTGTTTCCTGCCGCTGATTAGCCAGCCCACCAGCCCTGGGGCCACTTGTGCTGAGGCATTCAGTCTGTCCCCAAAGTGGATGTTCTGAATTCGGCTTTCTGCGTTGTGCTTTATGAGGCCCTGAGCAATAACTGGAAATGCACAAGGACCACTGACTTTGCACAGTGTCACGGAAAAGGTGGGGGGCTTGGGATTCGGAGGCCTGGGTTGCAGGCTGGTGCAAGATCTGATTGCTTAGTGAGTGGTGCATGTCACCACCTCCCCATGGAGATCTACCTTCTTCATCTATGAAATTATGCTTTGCAAGATTGATGTGAGAAATAAAGAAAAACACCTGCAGAGGGTGTGGCAGGCAACAGCTGCTCAAAGTGGGGTATTCTGGTTGAAAGTTCACCCAACACTGTATTTCAGTCTGGAGCACGGAGCTAACATACAGGATGTAGATCAGAGTCAATGTTGGTTGAAGAGAAAATTAGATGGGTAAGCCTGGAAAGAATAGATGTAAATTGCTCCACACCATGTCTAGAATAAATTGCAGGACCCAGTGGAGCTTCCACCAGAAAGGAATAAATCTCCCAAAGGAAGGAATTTTTAAAGCTATGGAGATGCTTAAGTCCTTTCTATTTTGTCTCTAGACCCTCCTGCCTGGGATGAGGACCCAGCTCTGATGAACCTCGTAGTGTACCACAGGGCACATTATTTCACTGGTTTGACCTGCCCTGAGATCAGTTCCCACACTGAGAACTCTGGGTTACTCCAGAGCAGCAGAAACCTTTGTCATACCCCATCCCCCTCCTCCAAGACAGCACCTTGGAGTTGTTTGTTTCAGCAATGTTTGTTTCTGTCGCTTACAAACAAGAATGTGTCTGGAGTAGCAGATCTTGATTCAAATCCTGGCTCTATCATCTCCCTGGGTCTTGGCTTCTTCATCTGTATAACAGGGGCAGTACCTCACAGGGTTCTTGTGAGGAATATTAAGACCATTCATTCATTCATCCAACAAATATTTATTGAGCATCTACTGGGTGTCAGGCCCCAAGCTGGTCACTGAGGGTACAAACCAGTTTTATGTCTACTAGGAGAGAAATATATTAAACAAATAGTTTCAAGGATAGAGTGAACCTATAGGTATGCCCAGAACTCTTAGTAGTTCTTGGTTCATGATTATAGTGGTGCTTGGGAATTTGTGAGCAGCAGACACCAGTGGTTGCCAGTCTAATATTCATCTATCCATCCATCCATTCATCCGCTCATCCATCCATCCATCCACTCATCCATCCATCCATCCATCCATCCATCCATCCATTCATCCGCTCATCCATCCATCCATCCACTCATCCATCCATCCATCCATCCATCCATCCATCCATCCATCCATCCATCCATCTGTCCATCTATCCATCCATTTATCCATTTATTCATTCTATTTTCCTCATCTGAACCCTGATTTTATTCAAGTACTCCCTTAAATTCCTGGTCTAGATGAGGCTGTTGATTATCTGAACCATCAGGTGTGCCTCACCCTCACTGACTCTTTTGGGTTCAAAGTTGGCACATGACCCAGTTGGCTCTATCAGACCAAACAAGAGGGGAAAATTCCTTTCTGTTTCTCCTATCGGAAAGAAGCAAGACAGCCTATAGCGCCAATGGCCATGGGCCACCATTTTCCTACCACAATGGGAACCAGCATGAGGATAAAACCATGATGATAGCAGAGCTGAGAAATAGACAAAATCTAGTCTGGAGGCAAACTTTGAACTCATGACTGAACCAAACCTGGAGCTTGTCCTATCTCTGACTTTCAGTTATGTAAAATGACAACTTTTTTTATTGTGTAAGCCAGGTTGAGTTGGGTTTTCTGTTGCCTGCAGCTAAGTACTCTAACTGATAATATAGTTTCACTGCCTTGACCCTACCTGAGATCAGGCCCTACACTGAGAACTCTGGGTTACTGCAGAGAAGCTGCTACTGGTCATAGCAATAAACATATGCATAGTCAAAGAACTTTTCACATACTTTCCAGCATTTAAGTTTGAAAAGCAGCTTCGTGAACTAACATTCTAACTGCACTTATTGTATAAATGAGGTTACCTGGGTTCAGAATTATACGCCAATATATTCAATAACCTAAATGAAAAGGATACATTTATGCCAACCACAAAATGCCAAGTTTCAATGAGGAAAAATAGAAAACATTCATAACCAAAGAAATTAAGAAATTTCTTAACAAATAAAAATGATGATTGAAGATCTCATTCTCTGAGAGCTTTTGATCTAGAAGATTTTATGCAGAGTTTTATCAAACTTTTATAAAGAGATAAATGTGAAAGAAAATTTAAAAACAGAAAGACGTTAAATTCATTCTCTGAGGTTAGTATAACTTTCCTAGCCTCAAGGACAGTACCAAGAAAAGAAAGTTACATATTAGTTTTATGTATGAAAAGTTTGCTAAGATCCTAAACAAATTATTAGCTAATGAAATCTTGGCCAGGCGCAGTGGCTCACGCCTGTAATCCCAACACTTTGGGAGGCCAAGGCGGGCGGATCACCTGAGGTCTGGAGTTTGAGACCCGCCTGGCCAACATGGTGAAACCCTGTCTCTACTAAAAATACATAAATCAGTAGGTCGTGGTAGTGGGGGCACCTGTAATCCCAGCTACTCGGGAGGCTGAGGCAGGAGAATCATTTGAACCCAGGCTGGGAGGTGGAGGTTTCAATGAGCTGAGATCCCGCCACTGTACTCCAGCCTGGGTGATAGAGCAAGACTCCATTTGAAAAAAAAAAAAAAAAAATCTAACAGTACATCATAAAAACTTTCATTTTAAAAGTGTTAGGAAGGTTCAACAGCAGAAAAATCTATTAATACAATTTATCATTTAGTAGGTTGGAGGAAAAAAGTGATTAACTTTTAGATGCAGAGAAACATTTGTTAAAGGTCAATACTGACTTATGAGTAAGAAAAATTCATAAAGCTAGGGGCATAAGGAACAGGCTTAATGTGATAAACACTATATTCCAAAAACCCACAGAAAATTTACTTGTAGGGGAATTCTGGATTAATTTCCATTCCTGTAGAAGGCTCTGGCTACAATGCAAGATAAGAAAAAGGCACAGGAAGTGTCAGGCTTAGAAGAGAAAAGATAAAGCTATTACTACTTATGGACAATATAATCCCCTAGATAGAAAAACCTACAGAATAAATAAAACAATAAAAATATAAGAGGTCAGCAAGGCTTTTGAATATCAGAAGAAGTCAACAGCTTTCCTTCCATCTGTACCTGCAATTCCAACTAGAAAATATAATAGAAGATTAGGTAGCATTTACTATGGCAATGAAAACTATAAATTCTCTGGGAATCATGTTAATAAATCATGCTCAATACATTGATAGGACTTTAAAATTCTCTTATGGGATATATAGTAAAATCTGAATAAATGGAAAGATACACTAAATTTATGATTGGGAAGTCTAAAATATCAACTCTCTTTAAATTAACAAATTCATTTTAACTCCAATCCAATTTCCAGCCTTATTTTTTTTTTTTAGATGGAGTCTTGCTCTGTCCCCCAGGCTGGAGTGCAGTGGCATGATCTCCACTCACTGCAAGCTCTGCCTCCCGGGTTCACGTCATTCTCCTACCTCAGCCTCCCGAGTAGCTGGGACTACAGGCCCTCACCACCACGCCCGGCTAATTTCTTGTATTTTTAGTAGAGATGGGATTTCACCGTGTTAGCCAGGATGGTCTCGATCTCCTGACCTTGTGATTCGCCCACCTCAGCCTCTCAAAGTGCTGGGATTACAGGCGTGAGCCACTGCGCCCGCCCTGATTTTTTTTTTTTTTTTAAGAGACAGGGTCTTTGTTGCCCAGGCTGGAGTGCAGTGGCACAATTATAACTCATTGCAGTCTCAAACTCCTGGGCACAAGTGATCCTCCCACCTCAGCCTCCCAAGTAGCTGGGACTACAGGTGTGTGCCACCATGCCTGGCTAATTTTCTAATTTTATTTTTGTAGAGACAGGATCTTGATATGCTGCCCAGGCTGGTCTTGAATTCCTAGGCTCAAGCGATTTCCCACCTCAGCCTCTTAAAGTGCTAGGGAGCCACCGTGCTCGGCCAGACGAATTTTTTAAAGGAACTCAACACACTCTAAAATTCATTTGGAAGAATATAGGTCTGTCAGATAAAACAGCATTTTACAAAGATGTTGTATTTACAATATTATGTTATTGGTGTAAAACAGATGTACAGATACAGCATAGGGAGTTCAGCAGTGAATCCTCATTTTTGGGAATTTGATCATTTAGTAGATGAGTTGGGGAAACTGAGTCATATGGAGAGAAGCGAAGCTGAATCTCTGCCTTACATACACAGGCATACATAAAGATAGCCTCCAGAGATGGGTTAAAATCTTAAATGTGAAAGGTAAAACTATAAAGCTATTAGAAAAAAACAAAGTAGAATATGTCTGAGGTAGGAGCAAGGTCTTAAGACTTTCCAAACACAAACTATAAAACAAAATATTGATGAATTTGAAAATATTCCTGTTCAGTGAAGGACCTACAAAGTTAACAGATGACAGTTTGGGAGAAATATTCACAATGCATAAATCTGACAAAGGGCTAATGTCAAGAATTAAGTAATGTCTCTTCAAGTCAAAGAGGATTAAAAAAACCCAGAAAAGCAAATTTAAAAATGGATAAAAGGTAAGAACAGGGAATTCAAAGAAGTCAAAATGGGGCTGGGCACAGTGGCTTACACTTGTAATGCCAGCACTTTGGGAGGCCGAGGTGGGTAGATCACTTGAGGTCAGGGGTTCGAGACCGCCTGGCCAACATGATGAAACCCCATCGCCACTAAATATACAAAAATTAGCCGGGCATGGTGGCATGCACCTGTAATCTCAGCTACTCAGGAGGCTGAGGCAGGAGAATTGCTTGAACCTGGGAGGTGGACGTTGCAGTGAGCCAAGATCATGCCACTGCACTGCAGCCTGGGTGACACAGTGAGACTCTGTCTCCAAGAAAAAAAGTCAAAATGGTTAACAAAAGTATAAGATGCTCAAACTTCCCACTCACCAGATAAAGTCAAGCTAAAACAAGTAGTTATCACTCAACTACACATCAAACTGGCAAAAAAAAAAAAGTAGAAAAATAGTGTCATAGATCAAATTGTGCCCTCTCCTCCCCCAGTGCGACTGTCTTTGGAGATAGGGCCTTTAAAGAGCTAATTAAGGTTAAACGAGGTCATTAGGGTATGGCCCTAAACTGATGGGATTGGTGTCCTTATAAGAAGAAACAGATCTCTTTCTCTGCATGCACAGAGAAAAGGCTGTATGGAGACATCGAGAAGGTGTCCGTCTGCAAGCCAGCAAGACAGGCCTCACCAGAAACCAACCCTATTTGCATCTTGATCTTGGACTTCCAGCCTCCAGAACTGTGAGAAAATGAATGTGTGTTGTTTAATTCCCAGTCTGTGGTGTCTTGTGAGGACAGCCCTAGCTGACTGATACAGCTCAGTACTCGGCAGTGCTGGGGAACATGGGGAGACAGGTATGCTCATTTCTTACTGGAGCACGTGTAGACCACACAGCCATTCTAGAGAGGATTCTGGCAGTTTTGGTTAAATTGAGTTCACCTCTACCCCAGGACCCAACCACTCTCCTTCTGGGTTTATCCCAGGGAAATTCTCCCACAGGCTGTAACAGGGACACTTGCAAGGAGGTTCATCTCAGTGTAGTTTATAATCATGGAGAGTTAGAGACAACCTGCATGTCCATCCAGAGGGGAGCAGCCAAATAAACTGAGGTGGATGAATCTTATGGCTCTTTCTGCACCAGCTGAAGCAACATAGATGTCAACAGCATAGTGCTGAGTGAAACCCAACACTATACAATTTATGTAAATTAAAGTACAATACAATTTATGTAAATTAAAGTACTGTACATACAAGGACACAGGCATATTTAAGTACATCCATTAAACACGCTGCAATGCCTGCCAAGGCAGTAGGGATATGGGGTGAGAATAAGTCATAAAGGGGGAAAATAAGAAAATAAAACAAAAGGGGGACCTTGCAGTGATTTGTGCCAATGAGGATGTGCTAGAAATTGGCATATGATCAACACAACCTCAATTTTCTGTACTTGAGGTCTAAGAAAAAGAGAAGAGGGAAAGTGACTAACCTGAAGTCACCCAGCGGGTTAGCAGTGGAGCCCAGATGGCACCTTCCCACCTCCCCAGCCCCGTAGGCAGCAGGCAGAGCCCGGGGCTTAGCTTACTTCTTGCCAGGGTGGATTTGTTGTCTCTGTGGGCTTGGGCCAGGCCAGGCCAAGGCTGCTTGTGTGGTGCCAAGGGCAAGGCCAGCAACCCGAGGAAGATGAGGAGCCTCCAGAGTGGACACATCATAGGGTCTGGGACCTGCAGATGTCAAGAGTGTCAGATGGGGCCTGGGCAGACGGCTTTGAGGGTGGCAGTCTGGAGGGATGGTCTAATGGTTTTCTGCAGAAAGATGACATCAGAATTAGCCCCCAGCATGCTGTGGGGAGGGGCTGCACTGGACCCTGGCGCTGCCACCAGGGCTTGCTCACATTGGGAGAGCAACATGTGGAACCCTGGGAGGAGGCCAGGGCTCCAGAGGGAGGCCTTGTTGCTTGGAGACACTCACCAGAGTCTATTGTTGGGTCATCCAACAGGAGTCCTCTCCCAGACCCTGGCACAGGCTGGATGTTAGTGACTCTTTAGTGAACCAATGAATGAATACATTTGAGTGAGGATGGCTAACCCCAGGCTCTCCAATTGGGTTAGGACTTTCTTAAGGGCATGACCAACCACTTCAATCCCTACCACGATACTTGCTTGTCAGAAATTGAGTGTTAATGAATGTTTGTTGAGTGACCAAACGACTGAATTGATGAGTGGAGATGGTTGATCTCTGAATCTCCTCTGAATTATGAGTTTCTTGAGGGCAGGGTATGAGTCTAATTAATCCTCATGTCTACAGTGCCTCCCATGTTTGCCACATGGTAAGTACTGGTGAATGTTTGTTAATGCTACAAATGAATGAATAACTGGATGGATGGATCTTATCTTTCTGGATAAGAATTACAGACTCTTGAAGCCAAAGCATCAGGTTGACCTTGGAGCCCTGGGGTTGGGATTCAGAGAGAATTCAGTTTAAGTCCCCTGTCCTCACTCTTAGGAAATGGTGCCAAGTCCATCTAGTTGTTCTACTCCCAGCCGGTGGAGCTGCCCTTTCCTCCCCTTTTCCCATCTCCCACAACCCATCTGTCAGGAGATCCTGCTGACACTTCCAGAACATGACCACATATAACAACTACTCCTCAGCCACCATCAGCTTGATCTGAATTATTGCCAGTGGGTCCCGGCTGGTTTCCCAGCTTTTAACTGTGCCCACCCACAATCTCTTCCACACAGCAGCCTGAACAGTCATTTTAAGATGTAAGGTAGGCCGGGTGCGGTGGCTCATGCCTGTAATCCCAGCACTTTGGGAGGCCGAAGCAGGCGTATCATGAGGTCAGGAGTTCAAGACCAGCCTGGCCAACATGGTGAAACCCCGTCTCTACTAAAAATACAAAAAATTAGCTGGGTGTGGTGGCACATGCCTGTAGTCCCAGCTACTTGTGAGGCTGAGGCAGCAGAATCACTTGAACCCAGGAGGCAGAGGTTGCAGTGAGCTGAGATCACACTACACTGCACTCTAGCCTGGCAACAGAGCAAGACTCCAACTCAAAAAAAAAAAAAAAAAAAGATGTAAGGTAGACCACCATGCCACTCCTCTGCTCAAAACCCTCCAGCATTTCCTACTGCACACAGAGCAAAAGCCACATTCCATGCAACACCTCCCAGGCCCAGGAGGGTCCCTGCATCCTCTTGGACCGCACTGCCTGCAGCTCTCTCTTCCCCACTCCACTGCAGCAGCACAGGTCTCGGATGTCTGGGCCCCACCTTGCCATTGCTGTGAGCTCTGAGACAAAGGCGTTTGTCACTGTCCCTGTGCTGTTTCCCCATACTACGGGCGACATAGAGGGTCCCATGTGGATGAGGGATGGGAACGTCCTTTGCAAATTTCACAGAAGCCTTGGGGCTATTCTTGGGCAATTCACTCTGGTTTTGTAAGAGATTGTACTGAGAAAGCCTTGGTTCAGGGTGTTGGCTTTCCCTGTTTGAGGTCCTTTCTCAGAGTTCATGCTCCCCTTGGGGATGTTTGTAGAATATCACTTACTTCAAAATGTATTTTTCTAGCCTTCCTGGTCTTATGTAAGTGGTTGGAATTTTGTTATTTATTGTCAAGAAAACAGAGAAGAGTGGGCATTGTCGGGAGGAACAAATCTGTTGTCCTTGGCTCTTTGGACATCTTAACATGGGGCAGGAGCTGTTGGTCCTACCTCATCACAGGCTGTGGTTCTCAGGGCCACAGAGCCTAATGAAAGGACAGCATGGAGGGTATAGATTTTCAGAGCTTGATGCATGACAAGAGAGAGCAGATTTGGAGGGATGAGAGGGCCCTGCTCAGGGGCTGGGGACTGGATTTGAAGCCAACTCGGTGCAGGATCACATGCAGTCCAGAGTATGTGCTTTAGGGTCACGCAGACCGGGGTTCAACTGCTGACTCTGTCTCTTGGCAGACTCAGCTCCCAGGTCTGTAAAAGGATCACAGTGCAGACCTCAGAGCTATAGTGAGGATTAAAGCGAATCATGCTTGGGCCAGTCCTCCAAAACCATGTTATTATGATGATCCTCCTCCTTGTCCTTACGCCTCTGAGCCTTCCTCACCTGTAAACCAGGGAAGCTGATGGAGTCAGTGACATGGAGCATGAGAATCCCAAGATGGTTCCTGGGACACGTGTGCAATGAATGCAGGAGCCACCTCTATCAAGTACTTTCACGAATGAAATGCAACTCCAGAAGGCAGGCAGGAATGATAGAGAGGCTGAGATGGCAGTGAGGGTGTGATGGTCCTGGAGTGAGCTTGCGCGTGGCTGTTCAGATGGTGGGCTTTGCTGTCATTCATTCAATGAATAAAACCACTAAAATCAATGAACACTGAGTGTCAGGAGCCGTGGGCTCTGGGGATCCCACAGAGAGTGGTCAGGCAGGGTCCTTGTCCTCATGGAGCTCACATACCAGTGGGGAGACACACAGTCTTCAATTATCCCTGCAACTGAGCATATGATTATGAAATATGGCCCAGAGGTGAAGGAGGTGGGAGGTACTGTGAGAGGGCACAGGGAGGGGATACCTGGCCAATGGGGGAAAAGGGATGTCAGGAAAAAGACCTCCCTGAGGAGGTGGAGTTTCTTTAGCTGACATTCAAGGAAAAAACCCAGGGTGGCTGGGCACGCCACGCTGGTGCTCTCAGGAAGGATGGTGGTGGATTGAGGACAGCTCCTTAATGAGCAAATACTTGGAGGCTGGCGGGGCTGGCGTTTCTCCGTTGGGACCCGTTCCCTGTGTGAAGCCTGCTCTGTGGTCTATCTCATTCCGTCCTCATCCCACAAAGGTGAGGAGACAGGGACCCAGAGAAACCCAGCGGCTGCCTAAGCTCCCAGCCAGGAAGAGGCTGAGCTGGCATCCCAGTGGGCTGTCTTGCCTTCCCCAGAACTGCCTCAGACACTGTTTTCCTTGGACACTGGCGCTGTGGAACACCACTGAGCCTCACACATTAGCAGCCTCCTTCACTATTCCAAATAGCTTTCCTTAAAACAAGCTTCTTTACCTTCTTGGGGGACATTTTGAAAATGCACTGGAAGCTTTGGTTTGTCTTTTAGGAAAAAAAAAACTCACCAAGCCAAACAATGTTGCACACAGTACCAGGATTGCCATGGACCTCTTAAGGCATGCCCATGGGTTCAATGGTAAAACCCTTGCTCTCCTGGGAAACTGGCTTTCAAGGAGTTTGACTTTGAAAAAAATTCATTTATCCATCCACCCAACCATTATTTACTGTGGGCCAACTGTGTGCCAGGCACTGTGCTTGACTCTAGGGAATAACAGTCACCCTATTCCCCAGCAGCTTATCATCTGGTGAGGGAATCAGAACAAGGTGAAATAAACAAGAAACCAAATAACCATAAATTGTATTAAGGGGAAAAAGCTTACTGTAAGATTGGAAATAGCAAGGAGGCCACATTAGACCAGGATTAGGGAAGGTCTCAGGCGACATTTGAGCAGAGCCCAGGAGGAGAGGAGGAGATGGAGCCAGGCTTGAGTATAAAAATGTGGAAGGGGAGCCAGGCAGAGGGAACCATGAGGGCAAAGGCCCTCAGGTGGGAAAGAGCTCGGCAGGTTGGAGGAAGAAAGGAAGACAGTAGTGGCTGTCTATGGGGTGAGAAGTCTGTACCCATGTGCCCAGGGAGAGGGCCTGTCTCACATCCCTGGCTGCAGGAAGAGCTGTCCAGTGGGACAAGGAGGCAGGAACCTCCCTTGGCAGAACTCCGGGCCAAGCAGGCTTATGCACACCTGTGATCTCTAACGGCCAATTGGGGTGGCCACTTCCCCTCCTTGGGGCTCTAAGGAAATTCCAGGTCCCTAGCAAAAGGCAGAGGTCCCCAAACTCCAGGGAACAGCAGAGGAGGCAGAAGCATTAAATGCAGATTCCTGAATCTGATTTAGTGGGGGCTGGGGGGAGGTGCTGGGAGCTGCCTTTGGAATGAACACCCTAGAGAGATGATGCAGGGGGTTCAGTCCATACTTTGAGAGTTACTCTTCTAAGGAATGGAATTCATTATTCATCTAGTCATTCATTCATTCCATTCTTTTATATATATATAAAAGATATATATATATACACACACATATATATGTATATGTATATATATATACACACACACACACACACATATATATGTGTTTAACATACATATGCCTAACAACTGTACAGAACTAGGGGCTGGAACCTTAATCCAAAGGCGAATTTCCTTAAAATGGCAGGGGAAGAGAGAGTGGGGACCGTTTCTGAATGGCATATTGGGTTTCACAAAGGAAGAGTTGACCTTTTCTGGGTTCTGAGGGTAGCCTGGAGAGGGCAAAGGGAAAATGGAAATGCTGGAATTTCCAGGGGAGCATCACCGAATTTTGGAGGGAGAGATGGGACTTGTAAAAATGCAGATTCTTAGGTCACCTCTGATGAATTGAGTCAGGCTCTCTGAGGGGGATCCTGGGAATAAGCTTCTGGACAATTCTGATGCACACGGTGTGTGAAGATCACTTAGCTGAAATAATAACAGTGATACCAGCTAACAGTTATTGAGTGCTGACTGAGCTCCAGGGGCAAGCTAAGTGCTTTACCTGTAATGACTTATTGAATTCTCAACACAACCCTTTGCAGTAGGCACTGTTATTATTGGCCTCCTTTTGCAGAGGCACAGAAATGTTAAGTAAAATCCCCAAATCCACCCAGCTGGGGAGGGGTGGGGCTCAGATGGGAACCAGGTAGCCTGGCCTGCAGAAGGGAGCTCAGAGGAGCTGTTGCTCATTCCCCACCAACTGCTTCATCCCACACCCCATTCTGCTGCCCAACATGATCCTCAGCCCCCATTCCCCCAGGCACAAGCATTGCAAGGAGAGGCAGGAAGAATAATAAGGGCAGATGGATGTTGAGCCCTGACTCTGGAGACACTTGTCTAAGGACACACAGCTGATAATGTGGAGCTAGGATTTGAACTTGGGCTGCCTGGCTCTGATAGGCTCTACCTTGTTTCTGGATAAATTCACTTACAGCCCTTAACCTTCCCTCGCAGGGGTCTGCAAGCTTGTTCTGTCCGGCTGCATTTCCTCTTATATACTACAGAGGCCAATAAGATTCCGTGGAACACACATGGCAAATACCAACATTTTCAGTGAGTTGAACCACCAGATAGACTGAAGACTGCAGGTCTCACCATAACCATGAACACTCTGGACCACAAGGGGGCAGGAACCAACCTGTCAAGTCCCGGGGCTTACATAGCAGGAGTGTTCTCAGGAGGAAAGGAGCAAGGCAGGTCATTAAGGATAACCAGCCAGGCACAGCCTCACCTGCCCTTAAATGTCAGCCAGTAGGAAGAGGAAACCGGCATGGGTCCTTCTTTTAAAAATGCACATTCAACCTGTTTGATCATTAATTTTATTCTTCAGCCAACTTGGCTTCTCTTCTGCTTCCTGCTGCGTTTCTCAAAGGGACCAAACTTGCTTTCTCTCTTCTTCCATTTTCTGCTTTTGGATCCCAATCCCCCTTTTAGTAATTTTCTCCAACACATGTCACCCCATATTTGCTCATTTTGCTTTACCTGATCCTAAATTCTCGTGGTTGCTGGAGATAGCTGCAGCACTAAATTTCTTCACCCGGATCCTCTGGGAATTGGGGAGCTGTCTTTGGGAGAGGGATTGTGTGACTCTGAGGGTGACATTCTCCATGCTATTGTGCAGTGTGTGGCAGCTCCCAGGAGGGAGCCTTTATCAGGGAGTTGGCAGGTTTCACTAAGCCCCTCCATGTGCCAAGCAGTGAACAGGACAGATAAAAATCCAGCCCAGTGTTCAGCCCTGAGGTTGGAACAAGCTGAGGAGGCAGCACAAGAAAGCCAGTGTGACCAGAGCAAGTGAGACAAGGGGAGAGTGGTGGGGACGGGGTCAGGAACATGCATATGGACACAAACAGTGTGCCCACAGGCCCAGTGAGGACCCAGACTTTCATTCTAAGGCAGACGTAAGTTTGAGTCCTGACTCTCTCATTCTTAGAGGTGCAGCTTGCACACATCACTGCACCTCTTTGAGCCTCAGTTTTCTCACTTATTCAAGGGAAAACAACAGTTACTTCCTAGGTTTATCATGAGAATTAAATTAGAATAATACTTTGGAGAAGGAAGCCATATTGTAAAAAAAAAAAAAAAAAAAAAGAAAGAAAAAGAAAAGAAAAAAAAAATGATGGCCGGTTGCAGTGGCTCACATCTGTAATCCCAGCATTTTGGGAGGCTGAGGCAGGTGGATCACTTGAGTCCAGGAATTTAAGACCAGCCTGGCCAACATGGTGAAATCCCATCTCTACTAAAAATACAAAGATTTGCTGGGCATGGTGGCACACGCCTGTAGTCTGAGCTACTCAGGAGGCTGAGGCAGGAGAATTTCTTGAACCCGGAAGGCGGAGGTTGCAGTGAGCCGAGATCACACCACTGCACTCCAGCCTGGATGACAGAGCAAAACTCCATCTTAAAAAATGACCAGAGGTTGAAGGTGAGGAAGGAGAGGCAGTGAATAGCAGCATATGTTTTGGGAAGTTTGGTGATACAGGGAAGAAAAATGGAGTTACCAGGGCCAGGATAAGGTTTCTCCCATAAGTCACAACTTTGTAGGCTGTTCCTGCCTGAGGGCGCTGGGAAGATGAGACCAACATTCCCACTGCACAGTGATGAGACTGTGGCCAAGAGGATGGAGCCACTCAAGGTCAAAAAATCAGTTCAGAAAACATCCCAGACAAGACAGGAAACCTTTTTAAAATTTTAATTAGCCTTTGGGAAACATCATACCAGAGTGTTCAGATGTTTATGAGATAATGGATAAATCAACCCAAGTATCCTCCCCTGCTTTTCATACTTTTGTTATCATGACCAGACCCACCATCATCTCTGGCCACGTTGCCCCCATCCACATGGCGCTGTGGAAGCTGGACAGTTTGCAGTTCAGAGCTGCTAAAAATTTATTGTGGGAAGATTACAGGGAATCAGCACATGGGTTCTGGTGAGGATTTACAGGGAAATAACCTCCATACCCGGAGAAGCAGGGGCTCTTTTGGTCCAGGGTGGGTCATGCAATTCCAGGCATCAGCTGAATAATCAACACGATCTACGCAGGTGGTGTCCTGGAGTGTGGAGGACATTCCAGGGAGGAGACTAGGATGCAGAAGCTGATTCTGTGTGAGATAATCCAGGTATTAGTAAATTTCACACCCTTTCTTCCGGTCAGAACGGACAGCCTTTCCCGCTTCTGCCCTCCCCCTCCGCACTGGCGTGACTGCTGTCCGTGGTGCTGAAATCTATTCCTGTCGGGACACCCATCCACTGCCTCTCTCTGGATAACGTTTTCTCATTGTTTCCCTGGACTTCCTCTCATCAATTAAGGTGGCTCTTCCTCGTCGCCTTGGCCTACTTCACAACACAATAATACAAAATATCACCAGGTGCCCTAGCTAATCAAAAGACATATTTCTTACTTTTAATATTGGCAACTCAGTCACATGTATAAAACACTTTATAGGCTAAACCAAACATGTCTGTGAGCTGAATATAATATGGGGGGGGGGGTGTCACAGATTTGGGACTTCTGTGCTAAGTGGCAGCCTAGATATATTGGCAGGAATACATGAGATGCCCTAGACCTTTCAACGTTTTGCAACTGCCAGCCAATTTACTTAGAGAGAGCTGCGTTGTCCAATATGGTAGCCACTAGTCACACATGGATATCAGCATTTGAAATGCAGCTAGTCCACATTGAAATGTGCTGTAAGTATAAAATACACATCAGACCAAAGACTTACTGCAAAAATAGAATGTAAAATATTTTATTACTTTTATATTGATTCCATGTTAAAATGATAATATTTTGGATATGGTGGGTAAATATAAACTAGTAAGGTTAATATAATCTGTTTCTTTTTCCTTTTAAAGATGGCCTTGCCAGAAAATTCAAAATTACTTGTGTGTCTCCTGTTATATTTCTATTGGATAACATTGGTTTAGAGTATTACGTAACTAAGCTAATTAACTCAAGGATGTGGATTCCATTATGGTGTTGGGCACTTAATTTTTTATGTCCCCTGTCATGGACTGTACCTTCTTACAGCCCAATTCATCACATGTGACCTTGTTCTCACAAAGCATGTGTACAGCATAGCTTATTACATGCTTATCCTTACTCCTCAGGGGAGGATACCTCTGTCCCCCATGACTCCTATGGGCAGTCACCCAGAGCTTCTCCCCATTGCCCAGAGCTTCTCCCCATTGCCCAAAGCATCAGACCCTTTCCTGCTTCTGTGTACTTGCACATGCTGTATCCTCTGCTTATAATGTCTTTTCCCACAAAGTGAGTCTTTATCATTTTTCAATACCCAGTTTAAATCTTGCCTTTTCTGCAAAGTCTCCTGGAAGTCCCCTGGCTACTGGGTCTTGCCTCTCTACTTCCATAGAACCTTAACTGAGCACCTCAATGCACATGAAATTGCCGATTTATTTGTTTTATCTCTCGCTAGGCTGGGAGCTCTTGAGGTCAGGGGCCAAGTGTGATTCATTTTTGTAATCCTGGAACTTGGGATAAAACAGGGAATAGATAAAGTCCCTGACTTCATGAGGTCTACATTCTTTTAAGAGGTGGAGAGAAAAGATACATATAATATAGTAGGAAGTCAAATAATAATGAGTGGTATGAAGAAAAGTAAAGCAGGGAAGAGAGTGGTGGATGTGCCATTTTTGAGAGACTTGAGATGGTGACACCTGAGCAGAGTGTATTCAGCACTGAAGAGTTGCAAATACATACATGATAAATGAATGAATAATGATATCTCCTTTTATAGAAACTCCCTTCCTTTTCTCTGCCAAATATCACTCTTGTAAAGATGTCTCCTACAACTGAGCTCCCTACACACTCCAGCCCACGACGGCCTCCTTTCTTTACTTCAAAAAGGCAAGTTCATTCATTTCTGCCTCAGGGACTTTGCACATGTTCATCCTCTTGCTTGTGATACTTTTCTCCTGGGTCTTGGCACAACTCCTTCTGCCTTATCATTCAGGGCTCAGCTGAATTGTCCCTTTGTTCCCCAAAGAGCCTCTGTCTGACTGTATTAATTTGATGTCTCTCTCTCTGCCCCCACCCCAGTTACTTTTGCCCACATCCTCCTACTTTGTTTTCTTCTGAATACCCACCATCCTCTGGAATTTAGTTGACTATATATTTATTTCCTTATTCACTGTTAGTATTCCCAACTAGAATACAAGCTCCAGGAAATCAGATTCCTTGTCCATCTTGTTCACTGCTGTATTCCTAACATGTGGAATAGAGTCTAGCATATAGTAGGGGCTTAACTAAAATTTAACAAATGAATGAATAACACACTTATAATGACCCTAAAGGCCAAAGGTCATCACTAAGCAATGGAAACATGCTCTGGTTTCTCACCGGATTGATACACACATAGCTTCTTCACTTTGGGGACATTTAGATGGTGACTTGGTACTTTTCCTGCAGCAGGACCAGATCTAGAATGCAAAAGAGATACTCAGACTGTGGGGGTGGTGGAGGATCAGAGAGGCCAGGGAAGTTTCCCCCTTGGAGCAGCACTGGGAGCAGAATGGGGATGAGAAATGAGCCCAAGGTGTGGAGACAGAAGGCTGAGGCTGGAAGCTCTTATTTGTCACTGGCTGTCTTGTATGATTTAACTGACAGTTCTTTATCCATGCAGTACAGTGACTACCAGTGTGGGCTCTGTAGCTGGAGGATGCGGGTTCACTCTGGCTCTGACATTTTCTTCCATGGAAATATGGGCAAACATTTTGATCTTCCTTTGTTTCTGTTTCCTCATCTTTAAAATGAAGATAGTGATAATACCTAGTTCACGGAGTTGTATGGACAGATCAAATTAACATATATAAAGTCTGCAAAGAGCCTGGCACATAGTAAAGCACTTAATATGCATTTAGCTTTTATTGTTATTATTTTTTACTAAGTAATCCTGGATAAATTGCTTAAAGTTCTTGGATCTTGGTTTCCTTATCTACAGATTGGGAACAACCACTTCTTCCCAAGCTAATCACTTAAGAGCTCCTACATTGGAATGAGACAGTGGAGAAAGGTGCCATTGCTGCAGCCGGAGTCTCCATTCACCTGGCCATCTCTCTGAAGTGATGGCCCATAGTAGAGCGAAGGTGTTGGTTGAGCTGTCCCATTCATTTGAG
The DNA here is from genome assembly GCF_000001405.40 of Homo sapiens. NCBI lineage: Eukaryota > Metazoa > Chordata > Mammalia > Primates > Hominidae > Homo > Homo sapiens. The sequence continues at coordinate 33,207,004 of NC_000020.11, read as the reverse complement.
TGGGCCCGGGAACACAAGCTTTGGGAGTTTTTAGGCTCATCCAGATTAGTTGCCTCAAGCTTCCTACCTCATAAGTAGTGAGTACTGGCCGGGCTCACTGGTGGTGGTTCACACCTGTAATCCCAGCACTTTAGGAGGCTGAGGCGGGTGGATCACTTGAAGTTAGGAGTTCAAGACCAGCCTGGCTAACACAATGAAACCCCATCTCTACTAAAAATACAAAAATTAGCCAGGGATGGTGATGCCTGCCTGTAATCCCAGCTACTTGGGAGGCTGAGGCAGGAGAATCGCTTGAACTCTGGAGGCAGAGGTTGCAGGGAGCCGAGATCGCACCACTGCACTCCAGTCTGGGCAATAGAGTGAGATTCCATCTCAAAAAAAAAAAAAAAAAAAAGTAGTGACTTCCCAGTCAATGGAATAGGCAGAAGTCAGAAAATTGCTTGCTGGGAGAGCCACTCGAGGAATTTTAGAAACTCTGGCATCTGGCACTTGGCAGGACGAGTGAATATTCAGTGAATGAAGGCATATACCTTTCAATTCAGCATTTTTTTTTTTTTTTTTTTTGGTGGTGGAAGTTTGAAGTCCTGCTGGGGGCCTGAGCTGCTGAGATTCAATCTTGCATTTTTTGCTTTGAGTTCTGGCAGATATGAAAACTTTGGATGCTTGAGGTAGCGACTACTGAAAGGAGGCAGTGTTTGTCTGGGCTGAAAACAGACCAATTTTCTGCCCATCATTTAACTCATACAAATTTAGGGGAGGACAAAGGCAGAATTGGGCAGATTTTCTCCCCTGGAGAAGTTTCCATTCATATCTCAGCTGCTCTAGGCTTTGGGAGCAAGAATAGAATTGAAACCAGCACGTCCTTAGCTAAAGGTGCACGTTCAATTGCTAGTGCAGGCACAGTGCTTCATGTTGGCACACTGGGCTCCCTCAGTTAATGTCAGCTGAGTTTATTATTAAGGTTGTTATTATTAGGGACCATTCTACTTCAGCAGGAAAGAGATTTTTGGTCTAGGAGAAGTGCCAGAGTGAGGTAAGGGGAAATGAAATACAAAGGGTGAGGGAGGGTTCTGAGCTTTCTTCTGGAGTGTTCCTGTCCCTTCCCACCTCCAGCACTTACTAATCAACTCTTTAACCACATGCTGGTCCAGGTTGTAGAGCCATTTATTAATCACAGGGCACACCTGAAAGACAAGGAAATAGGCAAAAGTCAAGAGGAGGGCTCCACTAATAAAGTCTAAATGGGAGTGAGCAAGGCAAGTTCTCCCAAGCCAACCCATTCTGGGGACAACCAAGTAGATGGGTTTTGGGGGCAGACTGCCCTAGGGTCATAAGCCAGCTCGGCCACTTGGTAGCTCTATGACTTGAGTAAGTCATTGGCCTTCTCTGGAACTTAAATCTGGAAAATGAAGATGATATTGTTACCTGGAGTATGAGATTGTTTGGAGGATGAGATAAGAAAATTCATTTCAGATACTTAGCACAGTGTTTGCGTGCTTAGTGAATGTTAATTTTGTGATTACTTATCTCCATCTTACAGATAAGGAAACTGAGTTTTGGGGAGATTTATCTACTTACTTCTGGTCATATGGATGCTGACTTTGACCTAAATAATTAAATAATGTCTGTAAAATACTTCACCAGTGCCTGATTGCAGAATGGAAACTTAACAGATGCCACTCCATCTCTCTCTAACTTTCCTTCCTGGAAGATTTCTTCCCACTTCATTAAGAAGATCCAAACTCCCCCATGCTTTGAGTCTCAGCTCAAAAATGGAAGTAATCTGGGTTTGCATACTTACTTTTCGTCCCAGATCATGGGCTACTATGTTTTTCAGGTTTCTCTCTATGTTTGCCACAACAAATTTTGCGCTGGGGCGAGTCTAAATGAAGAGGCAGAAAATATGCAGAACAGATTAACTTCTCTCAGACTCTCCTTTATCCCTATCACTTCTTTGCTCAATGCCCGTGAACTTCTTCAAGTCTACTCCTTGTTTCCATGGCATTCCATCACCCAGCTGTGTCCTACCGCTCCAATCCACACTCTAGGGTTCTTTAAAATTAATCTTCCAATTTAAATCACCTTGCCCTTATCATTGTTACTCACCATTATGTTTTCTGTGACTATTTTGCATCTCCCTCTGGAGATGCCTTCTTCAAATTCTATCACTTTGCTAGGCCCGGCCAACTGGTTTCCTCCAGAAAGCTCTTCTTGACCATCCTAGCCAATTCTCAGTTCTCTCCTTCCTTCTCACTTTCCCATTTCTCTGATTACCTGATGCTACAGTAGAACTTATCTCCTCTGCCAGAGGGCCAATGCTTTCATGGAAGGAACAGTGTAACATCGTTCTTTAATTGGGAGAAAGGAGAAAGAAGCAGGAAATAGCATAAAGGTGTCCTTGTGTTCTGTGTTCCTGACTCAGTCCCTAATCCTTAACATGTGAGGGTAAATCTGTTTTATTCTCAGGCAAAGGGTTTATGTCTTTATTTCTTAAAGAGTTTGCATAGAAATCAGCTACGATCTACTGCTTCCAACCTGAGGTCTCAAATTCCTTGCAAAAGAGGGACATTTTCTTTAGTATATCATGGGAGAGAGAGGTATTTGCAGAGTTTTCAGAAGGGGAGATGGGCTGTGAATCTGGTCTGGTTCTCACTTATGTTTGAGCATGTCAGGAGGACAGGACCAGGTGTGCAAGGGTGCAGAAAGCATTCCACACCCAGATCTTTCCTGAAAGAGTGAGCAACTGAGATGAATCAAAATAAGAAGAAGACAGGATAGAAAATGGACTGGTGATGACCACTGGATTCAGCTAAATGTGGATATCAGCCTTAATTAAAAAAAAATTTTTTAAAAGGGCTAGGTGTGGTGGCTCATGCCTGTAATCCCAGCACTTTAAGAGACTGAGGCAGGTAGATCAGTTGGGTGCAGGAGTTTGAGACCAGCCTGGGAGACATGGTGAAACTCTGTCTCTACAAAAAACACAAAAATTAGCCAGGCATGGTGGCCTGTGCTTGTAATCTCAGGTATTCAGGAGGCCTAGATGGGAGCATTGCCTGAGTTGGGGAGGTGGAGCTTGCAGTGAGCCGAGATTGCACGACCATTGCACTTCAGCTTGGGCAACTGAGTGAAATCTCGTTTCAAAAAAAATATTTACAAAGAAGATTTTTAAAAAGAAATTATAAATTTAGAAGTAAACACTAAAACTCTAATTAATAAAAGGGCAAAACCTCTGAAGACAGTTTCTCTGAAGAGGAAATATCAGAGACTAAGAAATGATGAAATTCTTTTCTACTGGTAGACAAGGTAATGAAAACAATAGCATTCGTGGGATTTTCCTCCTAGTGAAAAGAAGATCTTGTCTTAACATACCTCAGAATAATCATATTCAGCACTTTTCCCAGCACCAAGCAGGCTGAAATAAATGAATGAGTAAGACTGAGAGCCATCTATAGAGATACTTGGGGAAGGTATGTATGTATAAAAGAATAAATGTTGTGAAAAAGAGAATAATTGGGATTGATTGTATATGGGACAAAACTGCCGAATGTCGGCTACAGACATGCCACTTGCTTCAGTTCCATTGGTAAGGCATTTGTTGAGTGGTTTGGCAGTGCCTTAAAACTTAGAAGTTGTAGAACTGTGTATACGTTTGGAATAATCTTAAAAATCTACAATAAGAACGTAATTTTATTTTGGAAAAGTTTCCTGTATCAAAATGTTCTGGGTTATTTATGTTAGCAAATGTTTATCTTTTGAATTAATTTAATTTTTTTGAGACAGGGTCTTGCTTGTTGCCCCGGCTGGAGTGCAGTGGCATGCTTATGGCTCACCGCAGCCTCAACCTCTTGGGCTCAAGTGATCCTCCTACCTCAGCCTCCCTAGTAGCTGAGACTATAGGTGCCTGCCACAACACCTGGCTAATTTTTGTATTTTTTGTATAGACAGGGTTTTGCCATGTTGCCCAGGCTGGTCTTGAACTCCTGGGCTCAAGCTATCCACCTGCCTCGACCTCCCAAAGTACTGAGATTACAGATGAGCCACCTGGTTAGCCCAAAAGTTTAGAAATAATCTATCAACAAATGGCCAAGCAATCCTTCTTTTTTTTTTTTTTTTTGCTTAGTACTATTTGGTAAGTCTCTTTTCATGTCGATAGAATTATTACTTTTGTAAAAAGCAAAATTTTAAAGACACAGAAAGTCCTATTTATTATACACACATCACTATACACACAAAAGCCTAATTTGGTAGGGTATTGTTTTTCTGGTGACATCTTTCAGGTGAAATCTCACTGGGGACGTCATCATAACCAGCTGGACACAGAGAAAGACAGATTGAGAACTCACTGGACTCCAGTTTGGATCCAAATAGCCTCGGGCAAGAGCCTGCAGTTCCCAAAGGCAAGCTCATATCTGCCACCTACATTCTTCTCCAAACGAATCTGGACTTTTATATCTGACTGCATATTAGCTGTGAAGGGCTTCATGGTCAGGAGCCTGTAGGAGGGAAGAGGTAAGGCAGGTCGGGGAGAAGCTCAGAGCTTACTACATCCTCATTTGTTTCTAGAACTAGGGTTCTTCAAAACCACCCTGTTAAGGTCATTTTCTCATTTTTCAAAAGAGGCCATTCAGTCCTGGAGAATGGGAATGGCTTTCTCCAAGTCATGCATCCAGCCAGTGGCTAAGTCAGAGGGTTCTGCACTCAGGGAGTCTAACTAATACTTGCTACCTCTGGCTCTGGGGACAGTTAGGAAGGAAAATGTTGATTCTAAGTATGACATCTTATCAAAACTGAGAAACTGCATCTGACCTTGGAAAGTCCTTTTCTAGAGTCTCAAACTCCATTGCCTTGATGGCCAGGCTTGAAATGGAAATGAATGAAGCAGATGGGCAATTAGTTTCACAGGGAGCGGTAAAGGCTGTGGTGAACTGGAGAATGCGTGGCCTCTGCAGATGCACCATGCAAACCAGACAAAATATATCAGTGGGTCAGATGCAGCCCCTGGGGTGATCTCTAGGCAATAGTGCCACGGAATTGGGGTCCAGAGGTGATTCTTTGCTCTTGTCTTCAGTTACATTCAATCAGAACTAAGAGAACTCATAAAGTCCAAATAAATGAAGGTGGGGGCTGTCTGGATGAGGTCGGGCGAGGAAATCTGCTTTCCCCAGAGAGGCCCCAAGCTTGGAGCACTCAAGTGTTCTGCAGGCCTCTCATTCTACACATGGGGCGACTCAGGCCCAGAGAGGGTGGATGTTTTGCTCTAACCACACAGTGAGTCCGTCGCTGAGCCCTTTGGTTAGGGATCTGCCCACATCCCCCGACTCCTATGCAAAAGCCAATGGAGACTGCAAGACCCATAGCTGTGACTTACTGCACAATCAACTCAGACGTGAATGGTACTTGTACAGTGGCCTCCTTTCTTTGAGGGGTGCTCTCGATGGAGACATGGAGGAGTTGAGGATTTTTCACCTGTATGCTGGGTGAAGAAACAACACAACACAGGGAGGCTGTGGCTCCTGCTGCAGGTGGACCTCACTTTGTGCAATGGCAGGTCCCTTGCAGAGAAGAAGCTGAATATATGCAAAGATCAGTACTCATTCATTAACCAGGTAGTTTATTGCAAAGTTACTATGTGTTATAAGCACGGGGAATATATCCCTGAGCAAAAAGAAGCTCTTACCTTGCTGTATCTCAGAATAATCACGTTCAGCACTTTGCCCAGCACCAAGCAGGCTGAAATCAACGAGTGAATAAAACTGAAAGCCATATATAGCAGATGCTTGGAGCAGGTATATATGTATAGGAGAATAAATCCAGTAAATAAATACATATAGAAAGTGATAGGCACCGTGAAAAAAAAGGCCCTACAGGATCAGGAAGATGGAAGGTAATATTGGGAAGAGTGGAATTTCAGACAGGGTAGTCAGGGAAGGTTTATCATAGGAGGTGATGTTTGGGCAGAGTCACGAATGAAGTGAGAATGAGTCATGCAGATAGCCAGGAGAAGGAAAGGACAGGTTTAAGACAGAGCAAGGCTGGGTGCAGTGGCTCACACCTGTAATCCCAGCACTTTGGGAGGCCAAGGCAGGAGGATCAATTAAGCCTAGAAGTCAAGGCTGCAGTGAGCCGTGATTGTGCCACTGCACTCCAGCCTGGGTGACAGAGCAAGACCTTGTCTCGAAAACAAAACAAAGCAAAACAAAAAATCAAGCAACCAAACAAAAAATTAGCTGGGCATGGTGGCATGTGTCTGTGGTTCCAGCTACTTGGGAGGCTGAGGCAGGAGGATGGCTTGAGCCCAGGAGGTTGAGGCTGCAGTGAGCTGTGGTCACACCACTCACTGAACTCCAGCCCGGGAGATGGAGCAAGACCCCATCTCAAAACAATAATAATAGTAAAAATAAAGAAGACAGAGCAAGTGCAAAATCCCTGAGGCTGAAATGTGGCTGGTGTGTTTGAGGAACAGCAACAGGCTTCATGTGGCTAGCAGGCAGAGAGTGATGCGAGACTAGTAGAAGAGGTGAGCGAGGTAGCCAGGGCCAGATTGTGTGGAGCCTTGAGGGCCAGTGGTAAGAACTTTGGGCTTGGTTCTGAGGGCGAAGAGAACACATCGGAGGGTTTGGACAAGGGAGTTACAGGGTCAGCTCCACTTCTTAGAAAGATTTTTCTGGATACTGGCAGAACAGAATGGAGGAGATGAGGGCTGGTGGGTGGAAGCAGAATAATCTGGGGCTGTAAGTCAAGCGGGGAGATAATGGTGGCTCAGACCACCAGAGGTGGAAAAAAAAAGTGGTGAGATGCCTGGGTATGATTTAAAGGCAGAAGTGACAGGGAGGGTTTGGCAACAGGCTGGAAGCAGGTACAAAGGAGACAGAGGAGCCAGGGAGGACATCATGATTTTTGGCCAGAGCAACTGGATGGATGGAGTTGTCATTAGGTAAGATGGGCTGGGCAGGGGGAGGCACAGGTTGTGGCAGGGATGAAGGTATGAGTCAGCAGTTGAGTTTTGGACATGTTGAGTTTAAGATGCTTGTGAGGCAAGGGACCCAGGTCTTCTATATTCTGATGGCCAGTCTAACCCTAAAGCTCAGCATCATCTAGTGTTAGGATTACCACATTCTTCCTGTTGTTGTTTATTACCTGTGATTGGATGCTCACTGAGGAGAGGAGGATGTGCAAACATTTTACACATATTATTTCACTTAATGTTCACAACAGCCCTATGGGGTTAGAAGCTATTATTCCCCATTGAACAGGGCAGATGTTGAGGCTTAGAGAAAGGGGGAGATGGGTGATGCTGTTACAGCTGGTGAGCAGCCATCCTCTTCCCAGACAAGGGGACTGAACCCCTGTGTCTTTAGCCTCTCCCCTAGCCTCCCGCGGTGGGAGTTTCTCCCAACCAGGGGATCTCAGGCCATCAGAGTTGGAAAGGCTCTTTGCAAGGGAAGGGCCTCTGTGAGGTCAGGAAATGTGGGGAGAGCTCTAACAATCCAACAAACCAGGACAGCCTGGACTGGGGGTGGTTGGTGATCAGAGACCACTCACCTAACAGTGTTGATCTCATTGGTGAGTGGAGGTCCAAAGATGTCCAGGAGGCCTGATACACCATCGAAGGCACTACTCAATGGTTTCTGGAGGCCAGTTGTCTGCAGGCTGGGAAGAAAGTCTGCCCTGAGGAGTCCTTGAGTCAAATCTGTAAAGAATGCCCCACTCCCAAACCCAAGTAGACATTTAGATGCCAAAGATCCTCAGATACAACCTTGACCTCCGAGCATGTCCCCTATGTGGCTCTGACTTGTTGTTCAGCTATTTCTGGCTTGCTGGACTGTGGGCCAAGTTCTAGACATAATCATCCAGCAAATATTCACAGGGGCCTACTATGCACCCAGGCCATGCACCCAGTCTGTTCACCACCCTGGGCACCACCCTGATGGAGCTGGCATTCTTACAGGACTGAGGAGAGACAGACGAAAAAGTGGAGAATAAAGGGACAGGCAGGATTCCGGTGCAAACAAGTGCTGTGAAGGGGTTGGTTTCAAAGTATTTAGCAATGAGCTCAACAGGGGCACTGGTCATAGCTCTGGATCCAGGTCCTGGGCTCCCCGGGCTGTGCCAGGTGTTAACTCCATAGTTGTTTCGTTCATGGGGAAGCTAGAGTTCTGGGGGTGAAGCTGGGATGGTTGGGGCAATGGCGGGCACCTGGAGAGTCTCTAAGCAGGAAATACTTCACAAATAGTATACCCCAAAATTTCAATGTTTTAACCACGATGACCATGCCGCTAGATATCAGTCCATCCTATGATGAAAAAACAAAAGGCAGGGTGAGGGATTCATTTACGCAGGAGGTCAAGGAAGGGCTTTCTGCAAATGTGGCATTTGAGCAGAGACCTGAAGGAAGGGAGGCAGCTAGGTTGACAGGTAGGGGAAGAGTGTCCCAGGCAGAGGAAACAGCAGGTACAAAGGCTGCGACAGGGACCAGTCCATATAGAGCTGGTTCCTTTGATGGTGGGTCTTGATAGATAAAGCACAGCAAGGAGACAGGAAAGAGGGGGTGCTCGGAAAATGAGGATTAAACGATGTTGCAGTCAGGACGGCTAATAATTAATAGTGTTCATTGTGTCCCAGGTACTTTGCTAATGAGAACTTAACTGGCATTGGCTCAGGGTTCTGCATGACCCAAAGCAGGACAGTCTCACCATTAAGGAGCTGGGAAGAAACTCCAGCCAGGACCTCCTGTGCAGAGGATGAGACAAGCAGCCCACAGAGGAGAACAAAGAGGCCGGAGACATTCAGCATCTTCGGTCAGGTCCCTGTGGAGGATCAGGGCAAAGAGGTCATTTGCAAGGACACTTTCTCAGAGGGTCTTCCCAGAGCTCAGATCTGAAGTGGCCACAGAACTCATATGGACCCATTCACCTATGTCCATTTTACAGATGGGTCTACTGAGGCTCAGGGAGGGACCTGCTTTTCCTCATAGTTTAGAGCAAGAAAGGGAGGGTCCAAGAGATGAAGTCACTTGCCCAAGGCCACACAACCTGTATTTATGCCCAAAAGCTGGACATACGGTTTTTCCCGCAGGGACACTGCCTTCCCCAGCAGGGCTGCTCATGGCTGCTGCGAGAGGCTGCATAATGTTAGAGTTATGACAATGGTCTCTGAAGACCCCCACCTGTTAGCAGCTGTGGGATTGTGGGATTTAGTGCAAGTTGCTTCACCACACGATGTTATGCAGGACACACTATCCTCATTTTACAGCAAAATGGTGGTGGTGATATGCCCTGGCTTCAGAGACAGACAGACCTGGGATGGAATCCCAGCTCTGCCACCTACTTGCTGGATACCTTAGGCTTTCCTCATCTGGAAGATGCAGAGGATCCAAACTCATACCTTCCTCTTGCTCTTGTCGTAAGCACTTAGCACAGTACCTTGCACATTGTAAGTGCTTCACAAATGGTCACCACTGTACTAATGCATCATTATGATCATGATTTTCACTTGACATTTTCAAGGGCTTACCTCCCTGAGCTGATGGGAGAGAGTAGGCTCCACAGCACAGACAAGAAGGGCCCAGGCTGAGGGACCAGGGCTGGAGTATGTGGACACTGTAGGACCATTTACTGTGCCCGCTTGAATGGCACACTCCCTGGGCTAGGAGTGGCCCTCGGGATCTTGACACACCCTCCACACCTCCTGGAAAGGAGGTGCATGAAGATGTTCGTGTGGCTTCCTGGGACTTCAACCAAATGCCAGTGCAAATGGTCCCATTAGGACCTGAGACTAACAGGTAAAGGCTGGTAGGGACCGATTCTCTCCTTCGACACTTGACAGATTCCAAGCAGACTCTCAGCCCAGTCCCTGGTCACTATTCTCATGTAAATTCATAACCCATTTGGTTTAGCATTTTATTTTATTTTATTTATTTATTTATTTATTTTGAGACAGAGTTTCACTCTGTTTCCCAGGCTGGAGTGCGGTGTGGTGTGATCTCGGCTCACTGCAACCTCCGCCTCTTGGTATCAAGCAATTCTCCTGCCTCGCCTCCCAAGTAGCTGGGATCACAGGCATCCACCACCACGCTCAGCTAATTTTTTCATATTTTTGGTAGAGACGGGGTTTCACCATGTTGGCCAGGCTGGTTTCGAACTCCTGACCTCAGGTGATCCATCCGACTTGGCCTCCCAAAGTGCTAGGATTACAGGCGTGAGCCACCGCAACTGGCCTGGCTTAACATTTTAATTTGGGTGATCTGTTTTTAGGCAAGTAGAAAAATTAGAAAGTGAAGATATGCACAAAGAGAAAAAAGTAAATAAAAATCAGTTCACAGAGATAACTTCTGTTGTATCTTTTTTTGGAAGTTTTTCTTTCCATAGGCGTGCATTCATGTAACATGATGAGAAACAAGGATTGGCCTGTCATGCTTCTACAGAAGCATTTATTCAAGTAGCAGTACATCAGGACTGTCTACCTCCTTGTCTGCAGAATTTTCTAAGGTATGTATTGACTGATGTTCATGGAATGTCTCCTCTTTTGGGCTATTTTCATGTTTTTACCCCAGATGGCACCGGCAGGAATATCCTTAGGTGTTTTTCTGCATTTACCTGCCACATTATAACCCACGAAGCATTTTCTAGGAATAACCAACCCTGAAGTTCTTTTTGTTTGTTTGTGTGTGTGTTTTATTTGTTTGTTTGTTTTGTGTGTTTGTTTGTTTGTGTGTTTATGTGTGTGTGTGTGGTGTCTTGTTTTGTTTTGTTTTTGAGATGGAGTTTCGCTCTGTCACCAAGGCTGGAGTGCAGTGGCGCAATCTCAGCTCACTGCAACCTCTGCGCAAGCCACCACACCCGACTAATTTTTTTTTTTTAATTTTAGTAGAGACGGGGTTTCACCGTGTTGCCCAGGCTGGTCGTGAACTCCTAAGCTCAGGTAATCTGCCCGCGTCAGCCTCCCAAAGTACTGGGATTACAGGCGTGAGCCACCGCGCCCAGCCTGTTTTTATAAGTATCGAAGCATTCTCTGTGTTCATCCTTCTCACCCTATCCCTGAACCCCAAATGAGGGGTTGCACAGTCCCTATGAAATCTAAGTTCAAGTTCCATCTGCAGAGTTCTGGTTTTGATCATGACAGAGTATCTTGCATCAGACTAACACTCCCAATTAAAGTCAACTATAAGAGATGGAAATCTGTAAAAACAAAGGAGGACATCCATGAGCAACTACATGGGCACAATTTGAAACCCCGTGATTCTTGAGAAAGAGGCATCATTCAAGGCGGGCTCCATATTCACCCAGCTTTTGCCTGAGGTCATTTTCCAACATGTCAACCAGGGTCCAAGCAAAAAGAGCTAGTCTTACAGGGATGAGGGGACAGAAGTTGGAATTTGGGGCTACCAGAGTGGCTGGGACTTGAGGGGCAAAAATCCCAAAGAGGAAGTTCCCCAGGGAAGGAGCCTTGAAATCTCAGCTTTTTAAGCTGCACCCTAGCAGTGTGGGACTCTCAGCCATGTGGCAGAAAATAGCAGGTGAAAGTTAAAAAGCTGAACAGAGACATCAGCACATCCACTGTGTGATGCTGGGGAAGGAAGCGCTAGTTTGAGGTGGGGCCCCTTTGATGGGAGGAACCTTGGTACACATCTTAAGCTCTCAGTGAAGACATAAAGCACTGTGCTCTAGGAGAAAGGGCCACACCCTAGAAATAGTCTCCCTCTAAAAGTAAGAACAAGACCAAAATAGTTCTACTTAATAAAACACAAAGCTAAGCCTAGGCAGGGTCATGATCCATTTCTGCTCTATCTTTCTGCCATCTTCGTTTCTGGAAAAAAGATAATGTCATTTCACCACCATGTTCAGCATCCAATAAAAATTTACAAGGCATGCATGCTTAAAAAATGACCAAGGGACTAAAGGCCAAGAAATTAAAATATATGATATAATAAACCCACAGGCAAGTCAAATATTCAAATATTGAGCAGACAACAGGGCAAGAAACCAACAGAGGATAAGGAGGCCCGAGACCTTCAGCATCTTGGGGCAGTACCCGTGGGATACCAGGTAAGTACAGTCAGCTTCAGGGTCACTCTGAGAGGTTCTCTATGGAGCTAAAGGAGATAGGGGGGAAGCAAAGGAGTCATTTGGACTCATTCTTACCCACCCAACACCCATTTTTTTTTTTTGAGATGGAGTCTTGCTCTGTCACCCAGGCTGGAGTCAGTGGCACGATCTCGGTTCACTGCAACCTCTGCCTCCTGGGTTCAAGCGATTCTCCTGCCTCAACCTCCCGAGTAGCTGGGACTACAGGTGTGCTCCATCATGCCCAGCTACTTTTTGTGTTTTTAGTAGAGACAGGTTTCACCATATTGGCCAGGCTGATCTCAAACTCCTGACCTCGTGATCCTCCCACCTCCGCCTCCCAAAGTGCTGGGATTACAGGCATAAGCCACCGCACCTGGCCCAATACCCATTTTACAGATGGCACACTGAGGCTCGGATCAGGGTTAAGTTTTCCTAAGGCCAGCTGTAGTTAGTGGCTAGCACCTGGCTCTCCCGTCTTTTAGTTTTTTATACTTTAATCTGCATCTCACTCAAAAAGGTTACTAGGAGAATTCAGGAAGCATTTTGAAAATTGTTTAGCCTAGTGCCACTAAATAGAAGTTAATTTTGGATTTGCAATTAAAGTTCCTTTTTATCCCTCCCTGGTTCTGACAGTGAGTACCCTTGGAAGACTCACAGACAGTCTGAAGGAGGGGAGGGTGGCCAGGGAGCATCTTTCCTGCTGGGTGTTGGAGGAGTCCCCCAATTCCTTACAACATCCCAATCTTATGAGACAGTTATTGACATGCTTCCTTTACAGAGCAGGAAACGGAAGCTTGGAGAGCCGAGGGCACATGCCCATTCTTCCCTCTTTATTTACAGAATCCTTTTATTTTTGAGGGAAGAAATGTGCTTAACAAAGAAATTATCTTTCCCAACCTTCTTTGCAACCAGGCATGATCAATGAGATATAAATGGAAATTGTAGGTCGGGGCTTCTTAAAAACTTCTCTAGAGTGGCTGACCCAGCTGCAAATTGCATGCTTTTGTTTTCCTCTCCTGCTTTTTCCTGATTACATATAAGATATGACGACTGGAGCCCAGCAGTTATCTTACTAGCAGGAAGATGAAAGCCACATCCTAGGGGTAGCCAAGGAAGGAGATGGCAGGCTCTGCCAGCCTAACTCTGGGCTTCTCATCATGATTGAAGCCACGATTTTTCATGTTCTGTGCTAGAACCAAACACAATTGGTAATAACTGGTAACATGTATCAAAAGCTTTAGTCTGGTTCAGCATCTGATGAAGAGGCAGGTTGGAGAGTGCCATTGCCTTGTGCTTACCTGGATTTCTCTGGTGTGCTGTCAAGACACTCTGGCCTCTGTAGGTTGATTCCCGATGACTTTGTAGGGGGGCAGACTGTATAAATGGCAAGTGATCCCATTGCTGGGGGAGACGTGGCACTGGGTGATGGACAGCTAGGAAGCTGATGGAAAGCCCTTGATTTTACCACGTCTATCCAATACCTCCAAAGCAAACATTCCTGCTTGGAAGGCCCGGGGGAATGTCAACAACATATTTGAATCTGTACATCATGAATGCCATCAAATGGAGAGGTGCAGAGAGTGTGGAGAGCACCGAGAGGGGCTGCAAGTGGGAAGATGGTGTGCAGGAGTCACATTCACATCCCTGCTCCACTCTGAGATGCTTTTCTCATCTGTACAATAAGCGAGATGGGCCTGGTGACTCCGAGGAAGGAAGCCACTCGGTCTTCTGTGAGTGGGGAGGCAGAGGGTGTCCTAGCTTCAGTTTACTGGTTTGTGGTCCCAGACCCTTGAATTCTAGCATGGCGCTGCCCATTTCTTGCTGTTTGATGCTGGACAGCTCCCAAGCCCTTTCATGGTCTCCGTCTCTCCATCTATAATAATAGTAGCTCACATTGACAGGCAATTTTCACAAATGCATCCTTATCATCTAAGAACTAATTTGCCTGATTTTACAGATGAGGAAACTAAGACTCAAGAGAAGACAAATCTTGCCCAAGGTCCTAGAGCTAGTGTATAATAGAATCAGGATTTGAATCTAGTTCTACATTCTATGAAAGCTTGTAACCTTCACACTACATCACAATTTCCTCCTTTTAAAGCAGAGCTGTGGTTTCCTTGTAGGGTAGGGGCAACTGTTCTCTATCTCACTGAAGATGTTTGTTCCTTGAAGACTTCAGAACAGATGTGCTCAACCATTTGAAAAGTTGGGACCCCACTAAAGCCTTAATTGCAAAGATGTCTTAAAACACGTGCATGGTTTGAATGCATGTGTCCCTCCAAAATTCATATGTTGGAACTTAAACCCCAAAGTAGTGGTATTAAGAGGTGGGGCCTGTTGGGCCCAATTAAGTCATAAGAGTTCTGTACTCATGAATAGGACAGTGTCCTTATAAAGATGGCCTCAGATAGCTGCCTGGCCCTTCCACTTCTCTTCTGCCATATGAGGACACAGCAGTTGTCCCTGTTTGCCCTTCCATCCTTTCTCTCTTGTGATTGCAGTGAGAAGGTGTCATCTTGGAAGCAGAGAGAAAGCCTTTACCAGACACCAAGTCTGCTGGCACTTTGATCTTGGACTTCCAGCCTCCAGAAGTGTGAGACGTAAATTTCTATTATTTATAAATTACTCAGTCTAAGATATTTTGTTATTGCAGCAGGAACAGGCTGTACTTTCTTGATGGTGAGAACAAGTCTAGCCCTTTTCCCCTCTCAGTTCCTCCAGCCCCTGCAGCAGGTGTAGCAGGAACATATTCCTTGCATGCTGAGGTTGGAGAGGCACTGCTTAGGTCACCTCTGAATTGCTCAGCACAGGCTTGGCTCAGCTAGATACTCAACAATCTTCCTATTTTTTTTTTGAAAATGCATTTTTTTTTCTTGCATGCACTAACACAGAAATAAGAGTCATGTCTAACAAATAAACTTCTGTCAAATTTTGGCATCCCTTTTCAGTTTTTTCTCAGTTCCACTTTTTTGCATCATTGTGATTCCAGCTAAGCAAATTCTTAGATCTGTATTCCCACCCAGCTGGAAACTACAGCTATTTTTCCATTTTTAAAAATGCTCAGAAAGCAGTCTGTCGAGTTGGTGTAACAATTAACTCCCCTAATTTGAGAACTTTGGCTTTTCCAGTGTTATGAAATTTATTCTATTCCCATTCACAGAGCAAATATTTACAATAAAGGTTTCCATCTGCTGGCAAAGATGTAGTGAAATATGTACACGCTATCATTGTAATGTAAACAGAAAGATCCAGTTTGGTAAATATTTCGTGATGTGTTCCTGGGGTCACAAAATGTTCCAAGGCATAGAGTTAACAATTTGGATCCTGAAATGTTATCCTGTGTAAATCAGGCAAACATTGGAAAGATCCATATTAATGGACAGCATTGATTTAACTGAATAAAGGCTTCAAAAGAGCCTGTACTAGAGTTGAGTGCTTTACTCTCTGGATAACCTCATGTCCACTTAGGTTTTGCCTTCATTCTTCCCACATATCCCCTTATGGTAGGTGTCCCTCTCCCTCCCAAAGCATCCTCCTCTTACCCAAAGCCTCCTTCATGGGACATCACCACCTCCAGGAAGCCCTCACCACATCCCCACTTTTACATTCTGGGCTTGGTGAAAAAGAAGTCAGAGCTGGTCCCAGGGAGGCTCACAGAGGGGAACCCCCCCCCCAACCCCACATTGGCCACATCAGTCTTCAGTGGGTCCTGGTGATCTTGGCCCTACCCCCTCCACAGCCTGGAGTCATGTACCTAGGAGCCATGCATTTGGTTCATAGTCCATCAATTTTGTCCTCCATTATCTGTCTCTGGTTAACAGAAAATAATGCAGGTCTCCTATACCCCCTAATCCTGGTTTGCTAGAATTTTCCTGCTTACTCACCCATTCAGCTGCCCCAGAGATGGTGTCCATGTACAGTCAAGAAGAGGTTCATTCATTTATTCACTCATCCAGTCATTCATTCATCATGGGTTATTTGCTTGCACCTTTGCTAGGCACTAGAGCTGTTGAAGACTGAAGCACCTGCCCTGGGGCAGATGGGCGGAGGGGTGAATGAGAAAAGTGGAAGCCACGCTATTGAAAGCTGATGATTTTTGAGTGTTCTCTCTGCACTGGACGCTGGTGACAAGGTAGCTTGGTTAGACCTGCCAGTCGAGAAATACAGTGTCTCATTTTTGGAAACATTAAGGAGCAGTCCCCACTTAGCTGGGCGGTGACTCCTGAGCAGTGAGTCTGGAAGGTTGAGGAGGATTTAACCAGCAGATAAGGGAGAAGAAAAGGTGTCCTAGGTGGTTGGTACAGCATGGACTAAGGCTTGGCACCGACCCGAGTTAGTTACTGCCCAAAAGAAGCCCCAAATTTCGAGCACCTCCTTGTGTATTTTCTGTGGGAGGTGGGATTGCCACAAATTATAATCAGCAAGGAAAATTCACATCCTTCATCTTTGGCTAGCGGGGGGAAAGCTATGGAGGAGATGAACTTCGGATTAAATGCAATTTTGCCTCTGACCAGCCATGTGGCCTCAGACAAGTCACTTCACCACTCTGACCGTGAGTTGCCACCCCTATCCAAAGACTCATTCACTGGATCACTCAGAAAAAATCCGAATTCAATGAGATAAATGTGTATGAGGTCCACTACAGGATTTCTTCCCCACCTCGCCACTCCCACAGGTTTTAAAATTTAACACATTGTAATCAAATAGTAGCAGCAGTAAATAAACACTTTGAAAAACAAGCAAGTATCCCCCTGTATCTGGAAGAATATTAAGTCTAAGTATTCTACATGATAGAAGGGAGAACTGACAATGTCCATGGTTAGACAATTCAAGGACATCTTGGAGATTTCTTTTTTTTTCTTTTTTCTTCCTGAGGCACAGTCTCACTCTCACCCAGGCTGGAGTGCAGTGGCGTGATCTCAGCTCACTGCAACCTCTGCCTCCCAGGTTCAAGTGATCCTCCTGCCTCAGCCTCCCAAGTAGCTGGGATTAAAGGCATGTGCCACCACGCCCGGCTAGTTTTTGTATTTTTAGTAGAGATGGGGTTTCACCATGTTGGCCAGGCTGGTCTCGAACTCCTGGCTTCAAGTGATCCGTCCGCTTTGGCCTCCCAAAGTGCTGGGATTACAGGAATGAGCCACTGTGTCCAGCCCAACTTGGACATTTCTAAAGCCATTTCCAAAAAATCAATGGCAACATGTTGGGACACAGCTACTTCAAATGGCAAAATGTCTATATCTACATTGGTTTTTATTAGCAGAGGTCAAATTCTACCTGTATAGCATGACATTCTTGTCTTTAGCTTTAAAAGAAAAAAAGCCTTTTCCATTTGCACCAGTTTGAAATATTTCTGAAATAAGCCTCCCTTAAAATGGATTAGTACAGTACTTATTCATATGACAGAGTTCATCCATGTAGTAAAAAGACAAATACAGGCCAAGTGCGGTGGCTTACACCTGTAATCCCAGCACTTTGGGAGGTCAAGGCAGGTGGATCACGAGGTCATGAGATTGAGGCCATCCTGGACAACATGGTGAAACCCCATCTCTACTAAAAATACAAAAATTAGCGGGGTGTGGTGGCGTGTGCCTGTAATCCCAGCTACTCGGGAGGCTGAGGCAGGAGAATCACTTGAACCTGGGAGGCAGAGGTTGCAGTGAGCCGAGATCGCGCCCCTGCACTCCAGTCTGGTGACAGAGCAAGACTCCATCTCAAAAAAAAAAAAAAAAAAAAAGACAAATACAGGGCTTCATGGGCTTTTTTTTGTTGTTTATTTGGTTAATTGTAGAAAATGAGAGAGAAATACTCACAAGCACGATCTGTTTAACAACTGTTTAACTCCTAGGTACATCAGAATGCAAAATATAGAATGCCCTAAAAGAGACTGACGAACAGGCATACAAAATTGCAGTGAAGCCTGGGATCAGCTCAGTTCCTGCCATCCCTTTAGCATTCCTATGAGGAGGTCTTTCTCTCCTCCTGGAGCATAGACCTTCGACCTAATAGAAAGGAACCTCAGAAAGGCAAGGCATTCTGATAAAACACTCCTCCAGCCTTTGCATGGGACATTTTATTTTTAATTTAAAAGGATCAACTGGCCTTGGTCAGCCTTAGGAAGGGAGGTATCACTTAGGTGAAAATATCTGGGGGAACTTTAAATACCTAGCTGCCTCTTCGCGCATTTAAATCAGACTGACTTTAGCAGTTCTTACAAAGAATTCCGCATAGCTATTCAGAGCAGTCACTCAAGTTTTGGTTCCCTTTTACATAGCTGCATTTGGAGATACGCTATGTGAGGCATGTTTAGGAAAAGAGAAACACGGCCGGGCATGGTGGCTCAGGCCTGTAATCCCAGCATTTTGGGAGGCCTAGGCGGTTGCATCACTTGAGGTCAGGAGTTCGAGACCAGTCTGGCCAACATGGCGAAACCCTGTCTGTACTAAAAATACAAAAAATTAGCCAGGCATGGTGGGTGCCTCTAATCCCACCTACTTGGGAGGCTGAGGCAGGAGAATTGCTTGAACCTGGGAGGTGAAGGTTGCAGTGAGCTGAGATCACATCACTGCACTCCAGTCTGGGCAACAGAGCAAGACTCTAGTCTCAAAAACAAACAAACAAACAAAGAAAACAAACAAAAAAAAACCCACTTATACCTGGAACTGATATTCTTCCAATTAACTTTTAGTCTTGTTGGTAAAGGCCGTTCCCAGATATCACTGTCTGTTAGCAGTGGGTTCACAGAGCTGCTATAGAGATGGTGTTTCCGGTGGACAGTGTCCAGGTTCTTGGTGTCTTGAACAAAGAATTGGACAAAACGCACAAACAAAGCAAGAAAGGAATGAAGAGATTTATTGAAAAGGAAGTGCACTCCACAGTGTGGGAGCAGGGCCGAACACGGGCTCAAAGGCCCTGTTACAGAGTTTTTGTGAGTTTAAATACCCTGTACTTGGGGTACGCCCTGTGTAAATGAACAGGATGAAGTAAAGTTACAAAGTCATTTACTCAGTGTAGGCCCTATGGAGAGGACATTTCCTGTCATAGCTGAAGTGTGAATTGGCCTTATGTTCCCTGTCTCCAGACTCTATTTTCCTGTTTCATCAGTGCTGATGGGTAGAGTGATTTGGTCAGTAAAGGTGAGCAGTGCTGTTCTGGGGCCTTCCCACCCGTCTGCTCATCCTTACACATCTGAACATAGCAGTCAATCAGATGAAACCATACTTGCCACATAGGACAGAGTGCAATCTGAATTTACCATCTTGGTATTTGATTGGAAGATTAGTTGGTCCAGCTGATGTTTTAACAGATATTGTTAGTAGGTCGTCTGAATGGGAGCTATCTCTAATCAAGGAATTTCCTCCTGGTGCCTCTTTTAATTTCTCTTTGGCTCTGTGGACATATTTCCCCCGTACCATCCTGTGGGAGCTCCTGCAGGGCCTTGCCAGACACGCACCGTCTTCAGGCACAGCTCCTCAGTGACCCTGTGGTCTCCCTGCTGGCTCCGCGTC
Organism: Homo sapiens; assembly: GCF_000001405.40. Taxonomy (NCBI): domain Eukaryota; kingdom Metazoa; phylum Chordata; class Mammalia; order Primates; family Hominidae; genus Homo; species Homo sapiens. The sequence goes on along the minus strand of NC_000020.11, from coordinate 33,187,434 downwards.
CCTTCCCTGCCATTCCTGGAGGGCTCCAGACACCGCAGGGTCATGGGAGCAGGGTCACCGTGGCAAAGAGAGGTGGCCACTAGAGCTGGCTGGGGTCAGAGAAGGGTTTGTGTCCTTCCTGGATGTCAGTGGGAACCCCAAAATGAGTCCATCTGGGGTATCTAAAATGGTGGAGGAGGGGTAGGGGATGGGGTTCTTTCTCCCCAGGTCCGAAAACACAGATGGCAAAGTCCTTCGCAGACATGGTCACCCACAAATTGCCTACCCCAGGCTCCCCAGCTGCAAGCGTGGGGAATCCTGAGGCTGCGCCCCGGGGTCCTGGCCCTCACTGTCCTCAGTCAATACCAGTTGCCTACTACAGGGTTTCTTTTTTCTTTTTTTTAAGACAGAGTCTCACTCTCTCACCATTACAAATGTTGTCAGCATTGCTAATCTTGTACTTGGGTTTAATTATTTGCTTTTTGTTTCAGGTTTTTTGTTTTTTAAATTCCCATCATGAATACCCCTATGTCTTTGTGCTTAAATGTATCTGTACTTAAGTTTTTTGGACAGATTCCTGGAAGTGAAGCTAACTAAGTCTAAAACCTTGCCTCTTTCAGCACTTTTCATGACCTAGTTTTGCCTTCCCTGGTGGCTTAGAGGGGTGGGTGGGGTGAGTGGGTCCTGTCATTTTTTTTTTTTTTTTTTGAGATGGAGTCTCACTCTGTCACCCAGGCTGGAGTGCAGTGGCGTGATCTCCGCTCTGCAAGCTCTGCCTCCCGGGTTCATGCCATTCTCTTGCCTCAGCCTCCCGAGTAGCTGGGACTACAGGGGCCCGCCACTATGCCCGGCTAATTTTTTTTTGTATTTTTAGTAGATACGGGGTTTCACCACGTTAGCCAGGATGGTCTCGATCTCCTGACCTCGTGATCCACCTGCCTTGACCTCCCAAAGTGCTGGGATTACAGGCGTGAGCCACCGTGCCCGGCCTAGGGTTTCTTAACACTAGTGACATTTTAGGTTAGATGCTTCTGTTGTGAGGGGCTGTTCTGTGTATTATGGAATGGGTAGCACCACCCCTGGCCTCTACTCATGTGCTCTCCTGGAGTAGCACACACCTCATCCATTTGTGACAACCAAAAATATTGCCAGTGTGAAAGGAAAATATCGATGAAAGCTTTCGGATGGGCAGAAAATGAAGAGAAAAATCTTCCCCTCCCCCTCCCCCTCCCCCTCTCCCTCTCCCCACGGTCTCCCTCTCCCTCTCTTTCCACGGTCTCCCTCTGATGCCCAGCCGAAGCTGGACTGTGCTGCTGCCATCTCGGCTCACTGCAACCTCCCTGCCTGATTCTCCTGCCTCAGCCTGCAGAGTGCCTGCAATCGCAGGCACGCGCCGCCACGCCTGACTGGTTTTCGTATTTTTTTGGTGGAGACGGGGTTTCGCTGTGTTGGCCGGGCTGGTCTCCAGCTCCTAACCGCGAGTGATCCGCCAGCCTCGGCCTCCCGAGGTGCCGGGATTGCAGACGGACTCTCGTTCACTCAGTGCTCAATGGTGCCCAGGCTGGAGTGCAGTGGCGTGATCTCGGCTCGCTACAACCTCCACCTCCCAGCCGCCTGCCTTGGCCCCCCAGAGTGCCGAGATTGCAGCCTCTGCCCAGCCGCCACCGCGTCTGGGAAGTGAGGAGCGTCTCTGCCTGGCCACCCATCGTCTGGGATGTGAGGAGCCCCTCTGCCTGGCTGCCCAGTCTGGAAAGTGAGGAGCATCTCTGCCCCGCCGCCATCCCATCTGGGAAGTGAGGAGCGCCTCTTCCCGGCCGCCATCCCATCTAGGAAGTGAGGAGCGTCTCTGCCCGGCCGCCCATCGTCTGAGATGTGGGGAGCGCCTCTGCCCCGCCGCCCCGGCTGGTATGTGAGGAGCACCTCTGCCCGGCCGCGACCCCGTCTGGGAGGTGAGGAGCGTCTCTGCCCGGCCGCCCCATCTGAGAAGTGAGGAGACCCTCCGCCTGGCAGCCACCCTGTCTGGGAAGTGAGGAGCGTCTCCGCCCGGCAGCCACCCCGTCCGGGAGGGAGGTGGGGGTTAGCCCCCCTCCCGGCCAGCCGCCCCGTCCGGGAGGGAGGTGGGGGGTCAGCCCCCCGCCAGGCCAGCTGCCCTGTCCGGGAGGGAGGTGGGGGGGTCAGCCAGCCGCCCCGACAGGGAGGGAGGTGGGCGGGTCAGTCTCCCGCCCCGCCAGCCGCCCCGTCCGGGAGGGAGGTGGGGGGGTCAGCCCCCAGCCCAGCCAGCCGCCCCGTCCGGGAGGGAGGTGGGGGGGGTCAGCCCCCTGCCCGGCCAGCCACCCCGTCTGGGAGGTGAGGGGTGCCTCTGCCCGGCCGCCCCTACTGGGAAGTGAGGAGCCCCTCTGCCCGGCCACCACCCCGTCTGGGAGGTGAACCCAACAGCTCATTGAGAAGGGGCCATGATGACAATGGCGGTTTTGTGGAATAGAAAAGGGTGAAAGGTGGGGAAAAGATTGAGAAATCGGATGGTTGCTGTGTCTGTGTAGAAAGAAGTAGACATGGGAGACTTTTCATTTTGTTCTGTACTAAGAAAAATTCTTCTGCCTTGGGATCCTGTTGTTCTAGGACCTTACCCCAACCCTGTGCTCTCTGAAACATGTGCTGTGTCCACTCAGGGTTAAATGGATTAAGGGCGGTGCAAGATGTGCTTTGTTAAACAGATGTTTGAAGGCAGCATGCTCGTTAAGAGTCATCACCACTCCCTAATCTCAAGTACCCAGGGACACAAACACTGCGGAAGGCTGCAGGGTCCTCTGCCTAGGAAAACCAGAGACCTTTGTTCACTTGTTTATCTGCTGACCTTCCCTCCATTATTGTCCTATGACCCTGCCAAATCCCCCTCTGCGAGAAACACCCAAGAATGATCAATAAAAAAAATAAAAAAATAAAAAATAAATAAATAAATAAATAAATAAATAAATAAATAAAGGAAAATATCTTGGGCCCCCAAATCACTAAGCTAAAAGGAAAATTCTAGCTGGAAACTGCACAGGGCAAACCTGCCTCCCATTCTATTCAAAGTCATCCCTCTGCTCACTGAAATAGATGCATATTGTGATTGCCTCCTTTGGAAAGGGTTTTCAGAAACTCGAAAGAATGGAACCATTTGTCTCACCTACCTGTGACCTGGAGGCCCCTTCCTTGCTTTGAGTTGTCCCCGGTTTTCTGGACAGAACCAATGTACTTTTTACATATATCGATTGATGTCTCATATATCCCTAAAATGCGTAAAACCAAGCTGTGCCCCCATCACCTTCAGCACGTGTCGTCAGGACTTCCTGAGACTGTCATGGGCACACATCCTCAACATTGGTAAAATAAACTTTCTAAATTAACTGAGACCTGTCTCAAATTTTCAGGGTTCATACCAGACATTACCAAACGTTCCCTGGAAGGCAAAGTCATCATCAGTCTAATACAGTGTCTGGCATGTAGTAGAAACTTAATAAATGTCTATTCTTTCCTTCCCTCTTCGGTTATGGAAGAAACATTAATTTCTGTCCTGTCAGAGTAGGAAGAACCTTCAGGGATATGGAAACAGGGGTCTGAGAGAGGAAGTCGGCTGCCTAATGGTCACACAGCATGTGATTGGCAGAATGAGTTAGGTACAATGTAGACAAAGCAGACTTAGCAAAAAGACCCCAACATAATGGTTTAAATAAGCAAGTTCATTCCTTTCTCCCTTAGGAGCCCAGGGCTGAGTGGTCTGGGGCTGCTGGAGTAGCTGTACTGTACTCAACACAGAGCTTCCACCTCTGGGTCCAGGGCAGTTGCTCTAGTTGCTCCCATTTCTAACTGCAGAGGAGGGAGAATGCCAGGAGGAAGTTGAGGGAATCCCCTTCCTTTTAAAGCCCAAAGTGGAATTTGCATAATTAGTTCTGCTTATTTGCCATTGGCCAGACCTTAGTCACATGGCCACAGTTAGCTGCAAGGGAGGCTGGGAGATGTGGTCTCTGGCTGGGGTCCGTGTGTCTAGCCAAAACTTGGGGAGAGAAGAATGCACAGTGGGAGTTAGTTAGCAGTCCTCCCTCAGAGAGACAAGGTAGAAGCTCAAGATCTCCTTGGGCCACGATTCTTCTACCATATTAGTGTTTTTATCAGTCAATCAACAAACCTGAGTATGGCAGTCATAACAGCAGTTTCAGTGTGTAGAGGCCAACATTTATCCTGCTGTGCTTACTTGATGTGAGGCCCTGGTTAAACACTTTCCACTCACTGACTCTTCATTTAATCCTCACAAGCCCAGTGAGGGAGATTTTACTATTAATTCCATTTGACAGGTAAGAAAACTGAGGTTAAGTAACTTGCCCAAGATCACACTGCTAGAAAGTGGCAGGGACTGACTCGAGCTCAGATCTGCCTAAGTCCTCAGTTTTACCCTGTGTCAGGCAACTCACAGTCATAACCAGAGCTGAGGTCTTCAGCAGAGGGGCTCAGGAGAGGATTCAGCTTGCTGGTCCAAGGCTCTCTAGGCAACTTCAAGGAATCAAAGGACCCTGTAGGTCACCTGACTCAGTGAGGCTGCCTTCATCAGAGAGGAGGCCCTCGAGTGAATTAGCAGCTGGGTGCAGGCTTCAGTGTGGCCTTGGCTTCTCTGAGTTTGAGTTTCTCGTGGGGACAAGAGACATTCCTGCCTCCTAGAGTTGTGCAGAGTAATGAGATGGCTGCTTGGCAAAATCGGCAAAGGTTCCTGGGGCTGGGTTCCCTATTGGAAAGGAGAGGCTGCTGGGATCCTGAGGCGATGGTGTGCATTGGTGTGTGGCCCGTGTTGCATCTCTGCTGAGGCCAACGCGATTGTTGGGAGCGGACAGTGTCCTGCCCCTTCTAGAGCAAAGGAAGAGCCGAGGGTCTACACTTGGGGGAGAAGAACAGCACCCAGAGTACCTCATCTGTCTTGGGCCAGGGAAGTGGAGCCTGCTGGAGGCTGGCAAGAGTAGCGGCCAAAGTGCCTGGAAGCCAGGATGTCACCTCTCTGAGCCTGGGCCCTCTTTGTGCCTCAATGTCTTCATTTGTAGTAAATTCAGGGGTCCTACAGCTGTGGATTCAAAGCCTGGCTCTGCCTCTTGCTCACTGTGTGACCCGGAGGAGTCACTTTGCCTCCATCAGCCTCAGAGTCCTCCTCTGTCAAATGGGTGTGATAATGGCTCTCCTGGTGCATGGGTGTGGTAAGGAATCAATGGAGCCCGTGGGCCGCACAAAGGCAGTCCCCCATGACGTGTTGCCGTGAGCAGCGTGATGCTGTCTCTGCCACAGCCTGGTGCAGCATGGGCCGAGCTGCATTCTGGGGTGTGGATGGAGGGGCCTTGGGTGGAGGGAGAAGCTGGTCTCCATAGGATAGGTGAGCATCCCAGGGTTCTCGACCTCACTAGGGAGGCTGGGCCTCCAGGCAGCCTGGCAAGTGGGTGCACAGGCTCTCAGGTGATGGGAGGGGTGGGTGAGGGTGCTACAGACTGAGAACTCTCAGCACCACCTGGAAAAGACATCTCTGCTCCAGTGGGACCCCTAGAGGGCAGCAGGGCTAACAGGGCAGGTGGAGATGGGGCCACAGGCCTCTGACCCTGCATCACTCTGTCTCATACTCCTGACTCCAGTCAGGCTAGGTGTCCCCTGATTCTCCAAGAATCCTCAGGGCCCCTGGAGAGGAATGGAGGAAAGTGCTGGGTGGGGCTGTCCCCAGAATGTGACTTTCCAGTTCCCATTGCCTGTCTGGCACAGAGTAGGTGTTCACTACATACCTGTTGAATGCATGAATGGATAGATCAGGGGTCTGCTATTGCCACAGATTGGCTGTGTGACTTGGGCTAGTTTGTTGCCCTCTCTGTCTCAGTGGCCCCCTTTATAGAACCAGGAGATGTGGCTGGATATTCCCACTGAGCCTTCTAGCTCTGGATCCAGGTCTCTCCCACCCTAGTTGCAGCCCCCAACCTCCCTCCCCAGTTCCCACCAACAAATCCCAAATGGAGGGAATGCAACAAGCCACACAGAAGGGTGCAGAAATGGGCCTTTATTGCCAGGGGCAGGACAACATGTGTAGAGGCTGCTGTTCTGACTGTGAGGAGAAGGGGTATCTGGGAAGGTCCTTCTGGTGGGACTCAGGCTTTCACGCTGGTTAGGTGGTGGCAGCAGCTTCCTGGAGGGAGATGCTATAAGGGGGTGGGGCAAGCCACTGGGAACCAATCTGGAATGAGACCAAGGGGGTTAGGACATTTGCTGCTAGGCTGCCCTTACACCCAGCTGTCAGTCATCCACTGGGCACTTGATGGGACCCAAGTTGACCTGGCTCCAGTGTCCCAGCTCTTTCCCACAATACCCCATGCGGTTTAAGTCCTGGGAAGAAGAAACTGGCACCTGTGGTTTGGGGTCTTTCATTAGCACCTGGCACTGACTCATCTTCATTCCCCTCACCCTCCTTCAGAACAATGGTAGATGTGAAAAGATTGATTGAGGCCACTACTGGAGCCAGGTTCAGGGCCCAATATGTGATCAGAATCATGGATATCCATTTGAGACCAAGGTTGGGGCTCATTCTGTGACCAAGACTAAGGCTCAGTCAATAACTGGCATCAAAGCTCAGTCTGTGACTAGGATCCAGGCTCAGTCTGGGGCCAGAATCAGAGTTCAGTGATTAAGGCTCAGTGTTCAGAGTGTGACCAGAATCAGGGCCTAGCCTGGGATGGGGGCCAGGGCTCAATCTATGACTGAGATGAAGGCACAGTCTTCTAACACAAAAATAAGGGAAGCCACGCTTGACTTTTACTTCACCATAGGCCCCTGTGCATTGGGGCACAGAGACTGGCTCCTCACCAGCATGCACCACAGTGGTCCTCCTCATTCGTCCTCTTCAGATGAGGGTTTGCAGCTGGGTTTTGTGCTGAGGATTATCTGAAGAAACAAAATCAATAGCAGGCCTTAGTCTCTGCCACTGGAATTGAATAGAGACCAGACTCCAAAAGATGCCGCTCTCCAGCCGGTAACCTGACAGTTGTGGGACCCCAGGGATGTTGCTCCACCTCTCTGAGCTTCAGTTTGTTCATCTGTAAAGTGGGTACAATGACAGTACCTTCCCCACAGGGTTGTTGCAAGGATCCAGTGAGATAGTGTGTACAGAGCACAAAGTGACTGCCTAAGGGACTGGACTTGTGGCTATTTCCTTTCTTCTTCTTCTTTTTTTTTTTCTTTTTTTGAGATTGCGGTCTCACTCTGTCACCCAGGCCGGAGTGCAGTGGCATGATGTCGGCTACCTGCGATGTCCGCCTCCTAGGCTCAAGCAATCCTCCCGCCTCAGCCTCCCGAGTAGCTGGGACTCCAGGTGGATGCCACCACGCCTGGCTAATTTTGTATTTTTTAGTAGAGATGGGGTTTCACCGTGTCACCCAGGCTGGTCTCAAACTCCTGAACTCAAGTGGTCTGCCCACCTCAGCCTCGCAAAGTGCTAGGATTACAAGTGTGAGCCACTGCGCCTGGCTGACTTGTGGCTATTTTCATAGAAGGGTCACCTCCAGGGTCTTGACAGCTTTACTTACTCCATTTCTCCCCAGCAACCCCAGCCATGCCTGTAGACCCAAAAGCCAAAGGGAGCCCCCGGGTGCCTGTGGAGGGGAAGCCATGGCTCCCAATTTGCTTAGGACAGTGGGTCCTTCTGCTTCTCCAGGGTCCCCTGACCAGAACTGCTTATGGGGTGGGCACAGAGCTCCATGCCTGCCTCAGAAGGTCCCCACTTCCCCATTGACTTACCGACGACCTGCTGAATGACATTCACATCCAGGGAGTGGATGAAGATGCGGATCAGTGGACATATCTGACAGCGGAGAAAGGAGGAAGAGGAGGGTCAGGAGTAGGAGGAAGAACAGATCATTCTTCTCAGCTGAGAACAAATTGCTTGCCACCCACAGATGAGCTCATTTCTAGGGATCTTAGAATCTTTGAACCTTAGGATTTTATTTTGTTTTATTGTATTTTTTTTTTTTTTTCTGAGACAGAATCTCACTGTCTTGCCCAGGCTGGAGTACAGTGGTACGATTTCTGCTCACTGCAACCTCCGCCTCCCAGATTCAAGTGATTCTCCTGCCTCAGCCTCTCAAGAAACTGGGTTCACAGGCACATGCCACCATGCCTGGCTAATTTTTGTATTTTCAGTAGAGACAGGGTTTCACCATGTTAGCCAGGCTGGTCTTGAACTCCTGACCTCAAGTGATCTGCCCACCTTGACCTTCAAAAGAGCTGGGATTACAGGCATAAGCCACCGCGCCTGGCCTGAACCTTAGGATTTTAGAACAATGGGATCCCAGCAGTCTTAAATCTGGAAACCCTAGGGTGTTAGAATCCTAACACCTTAGAACACTAGAATTCTAGGACCTCAAAAATCTACATTCTAGATTGTTAACATTCCCATGTTGAACTTTGGAACCCTGGAATTTTAAAGGGTCAAATGGTGCCCTGAGGCATTTGCCCTGAGGTTGTAGAGCGGAGTATCTCTTGCTCCTGTGTGTACACAGTTCCCCGCAGATTGCAATTCAGCAGGTCTGGGGTGTGGCCTGAGATTCCGCATTCCTATCAAGCACCCAGCTGAGGCTGAAGCTGGTGGAGGATCGCTTTTGGAATATAACTAAACTCCGGTTCAGTGGGTCACAGAGCCATCCGGAGGATTTTTCTTTTATAAACCCACATTCCTGGGTCTGCTTCCAGAATGACTGATTTAGAATCTCTGCAACTTTGGGCCTAGTAATCCTGCACATGGTACCTATGGTTTTGGATGATGCACAGATGGAAAAAAAATTAAAACTATTTTATAAGTCCATTGATTGTATGATATGTGATATTAATTTTCTATTTATGATAGGGATATAAAGTTTTATTTTTAAAAATAAATGCTTCTAAAGAAACATATTTAAGTAAAATTGTGTTGAAGATGTTAGCTACAAAAGCATATTGGTAGTGCGTGGATATGGTGAGAGGCTCAAGTTTGGGACCTGGCAATTTCAGCTAATGTCAGGCCTCTGCTCTACCCTGCTACCCACCAGGCTGATTAGTAGAGGAGGAAGCTCCAGCTGACCTCCTAAGGAGAAGCTTTCACCTCCGAAGGAAAAGTGCTCAGAGGATACAGCCAGGCCTGCAAATTCCCCCACCTGCCCCCACCAGGCCTGGATCTGGGCTCCAAGGAGTGGGAGACTCACCTCCTTCTGCAGCAGGGAGGATACAGTGCTTTTCAGCGTGTTGATCACGCTATTCACGAACTTGTTGATGATTTGGCTGTGTCTGGAAAACACAGGGAACTATTAAAGTCTGGTCAAGTGGGCAAGAGATGGGAGAACTGCCAAAAAGTTGGGGGCGGTGCGGGAAATACTGTGGAGTCAGATAAACCCCAGGGACATGGAGACACTTTAACAGACAGAGCCTCCCATCCACATGGATCATCACTTAGACTCCCACATCTGACCAGCGGCTCACCCCAGTGCCTCATGAGATTCTCAGCGCAGAGACCTTATTCGTTCACTCATTCAACCCGTATTTACAGAGCACCAGCTATGCACCAGGAACCTAGCTGGGCCCTGAGGATACCGAATAAGTAAAGTACAAACATCCCCTAACCTGGTACCTAAACATTAAGGGTCCAAACATACCCTGATGTGGTACCTAAACAAATCTTGCCAAAGTTGGCTCCTCCCACCTTCAACTCTTAGTATAATTGCCACCTCCTCAGGGCACCCCTCCCTGACTGCTTACCTAAGAGAGAGCTTTGCTATCACAGTGCCCAGTTAAGGGTAATGCTTTCTGCAGGACTCATTTCCCTGGAGCGTTCTTTACCGATGGACTGAATTTGGGTTGGATTGGATCCAAAGTGCAAAGAAAAGCGCTGAGAGGATTTGGAGCTGTAGAGTGGTGTCATTTCACAGATGTGGACACAGATCCACGGCAGCTTAGCTTTCCCTTGGGTAAGCTCCGCAAGAACAGGGACCTTGTCTGTCATCACCAATCAGTTCTCCAGAGCCCAGAATGGTGCCTGCCTGGCACACAGCAGATGCTCAATACACTTTTTTTTTTTTTTTTGAGACAATGTCTTGCTCTGTCACCCAGACTGGAGTGCAGTGGCACGATCTCGGCTCACTGCAACCTCTGCCTCCTGGGTTCAAGCAATGCTTGTGCCTCAGCGTCCCGAGTAGCTGGGATTACAGGAAACCGCCACCACCCCCGGCTAATTTTTGTATTTTTAGTAGAGACAGGATTTTGCCATGTTGGCCAAGCTGGTCTTGAACTCCTGACCTCAAGTGATCCACCCACCTCAGCCTCCCAAAGTGCTGGGATTACCGGTGTGGAGCCATCGTGCCCAGCCTCAATACATTTTTGGCTGAAAGAATGAAAGAAGTGAACATACAATTAAATATATATTGAGAACTTGTGACGAGTGCTTTAAAGGCAAGAGTTAGACTCTTACGAGAGAGAATAGGAGGAGCCCTGGGAAGGCCCTGAAGGATGCAAAAGTCCATCAAAGTGGAGTGAGAAGAAGGTGCTCTAGGTAGCCAGAGCACCCCAGGCAAAGGTCTTAAGCTGGGAAAGAGCCTTGAGAAACAGCCTATCTGAGACATGGCACAAAGGCCACTGTATCTGGGCACAGTGAGTAAGGGGAGGGTACAGGGATACAAGGGTGGGGCCAGATCAAACAGAGCCTTCATGACCATGGGGAGCACTTGGGATTGAACCACAAGTGCAAAGAAAGACCCTGGGAGGATCTGGAGCCTCAGAGTGGTGCCATCTCACAGATGTGGGCACAGACCTAGTGCAGCAGGATGGCGTCCCTGAGGCTACTTGGGAAGATAGCACCCAGCCAGGCTCCAGCCTCTGAATTTACACCCCGGCCTTCGCAACTCACATCAGGCTATGGAAACTTTCTTTGGTTTTCAGGGGTCTTTGAGCAACCTGTGTTCAGATCCCTCAGTGCAGGGCGAGTGGAGTGTCCTCTGCTCATGGCCACAGGGGCTGAGAGCTGAGGACCCAGCCTTGCTCCTGGCCAAGGCCAAGTAGCCCCAGCCCTCAGCTTCTGGGTCATTCATCCTCTCCCAGCCATCGGCCAGCATCACTCTTTCTCCTTCCACCCTCTTGCCTGAGTCAAACCTGCTCTTTCAGGCACAGAGCTTAAGATGTAGATTTTGTGGATTAAAAGGGATCAGTGAGTCAAATGGAGAGGATTAAGTTTTCAAGATCTCCTTTCAGGAAATTTCCACTGGGTGGAGGATGATTTGGGGACAATCTGAAATTAGAGCCCGTGGCAGGCACTTACTCTCCCCTCTCCCTCCCAACTGGAGGCAAGAAGGTAAATATAATTTTATCGTTATTATTATTATTATTATTGAGGGACATTACATAACAATAAAGTGGACAATTCTCCAAGAAGTCATAACAATCCTAATGTGCATGCACCTAACAACAGAGCTCCAAAGGGTATGAAGCAGAAACTGACCGAGTTGAAAGGCGAAATGAACAAATCCATGATTATGGTGGGGAGCTCAACACTCCAGTCTCAGTAATGGAGAGAACCAGCAGGCAGAGAGGCAGCATGTTCCAGGCTGCGTGCTAAATATTTGTATTTTCTCATCTGGTCATCTCAGAAGCCTATGAGTAGTTATTATGAACACCCCCAGTTTACAGATGTGAAAACAGGCCTGGGTCAAGTTGGTGATAAAGTTACAAGTTAGTGGCAGAGCTGATGTGTAAACCAAGGTCAACATGACTCCAGAGCCTGAACACTTTCACCACTAGGCCTCCTCTTAGGTAGAGGACTAGAGCTGAAATTAGGGGTCCTCAAGTTCCCTGAGAGCCCAGCTCTACTAAGATGAATGGGACTTACTTGTCCAGCAAGGAAAGTGAGATGCTGGTTGGGTCACTGGCGCATTCTCCCAGGACGGCAACAGGCTGGTGTGTCTGGGGATCAGTTTCAATTGTGACTGCGGTCAGGAGGTCCAAGGAGGCTTTCAGGTTGATAATCTGGCCAATGATGGGCCTGCAGGAAGTAAGATGCACAGTGAACAAAGTCTAGAAGTTCCTGCCTGTTGCCCAGTTGGGTTCCTCCACCTGTGTGGACATGAGTCAGAATGTCTATGTGTAATGTCAACATGGCCCAGGTAATATCAACATGGTCCATATCCTCTATGAGATTTACATGTTTATATTAGGGGCTTCTTCTCCTGGCCACTTGGGTTTAGCTCATATGAATTTTTTATACAACATTACACTAATAAGTAAAATAATAATAGTTAACATTTATTGACAACAATTTATGTGTAGGTACTTTAAAAAAGTATTTTACCTGGATTCATTTATTACTATCCCTATTTTCTGAATGAGGAAACCTTGGTACAGAGAGGTTAAGTAACTATCCCAAGATCTCATAGCTAAATAATGGGTGGCATCATTAGTGCATGTAGTTTACAGAAGTGCTTTCACACATGCTCATTTCTTGTCTATCTCCTTTAAAATTAAAATTTTTTATTTTTTGTGAGACAGGGTCTCACTCTGTCGCCCAGGCTGGAATGCAGTGGTGCAATCACGGCTCACTGCAGCCTCGACCTCTCCGGCTCAAGCAATCCTCTTGCCTCAGCCTCCCAAGTAGCTGGGACTACAGGCGTGTGCTGCCACACCTGGTTAATTTTTGTATTTTTTGTAGAGACAGGGTTTTGTCATATTGTCCTGGCTGGTCACGAACTCCTGAGCTCAAGCAATCCTCCCACCTCAGTTTCTCAAATTGCTGGGATTACAGGTATAAGCCACCACTCCCAGCTAAACTTAAAAGAGTTTAAACTTATATTTTGCACACACACACTTTATTATACACTGTGTATTATTGTATGAATTTTTCTGTAGTGGTCACTGCAACTTAGAGAGAATCTTGAGGGACAAAATAATGCTGGAGGAAATTTTGCCAAAGAATGATAAATGTTTGTTATCTCAACTTTTCAAATTTTAAAACCAGATAAATGTCATGATTTCAAAACTATATTCAATGGAGCATTGTTTTTAAAAGACACTTGCTTATGGCCAGAGTTCTCTAGAACATTTTAAGGGTTAAGATCTTAGACCCAGAAGGGTTCTCTCACTCACAGATTGGGAAACTGAGGCCCAAGTTCACCCAGCAGCGGGAGGAGGTGCCCGATTCCCAGGTTGGGCATCCATCGGCCAGGTTGCACTGCCTTTCCCAAATCTCAGATTCTAGTGCATACTCACCCGGCCACAGTGACATTCGCGGTGACAGGGAAGCTCAGGTTAAGGCCTTTGCCATCATCGATCGGTTCAGCTTTGACATCCAGGATGAGGGAGTTGCTGATTTTCAACCTGTGTGAAACCCACAATTCACCCTTGTCACTCCTCATGACAGCCACTTGCCAACCACTTCCCTGGGCCAGCCTCGAGCTGAGCGTTTGGGTCTCGTCAGCCTTGCCTTCTTTAGTCTTCACTATAGCCCTGTTCAGAGGTTTGATTCTCTGTATTTTATGGCACAGCACACTGAGGCTCAGGCTGGTGTGATTTTCCCCCAGATTCCTAGGGGAGTAAGTGCCAGAGGCAGATTTTGAGGCCAGAACTATCTGACTTTAAAAGTTCATGAGTGGGACCGGGCACGGTGACTCACGCCTGTAATCCCAGCACTTTGGGAGGCCAAGGCAGGCAGATCTCCTGAGGTCGGGAGTTCGAGACCAGCCTGACCAACATGGAGAAACCCTGTGTCTACTAAATATACAAAATTAGCCGGGCGTGGTGGTGCATGCCTCTAATCCCAGCTACTCAGGAGGCTGAGGCAGGAGAATCGCTTGAACCCAGGAGGCGAGGCTGTAGTGAGCCAAGATTGTGCCATTGCACTCCAGCCTGGGTAACAAGAGTGAAACTCCATCTCAAAAAATAATAATAATAACAATAATAATAATAAAAGTATGTGAGTGGATCCACTGCCTGGGGTTATGTGGCGAAGACTCCAGTTCCCTTCCCCTAAGGGGATCTGGGCTTTTACCCCCAGTTATATATGGAAAAGGGAAGTTTTATTCCTTGGAAAGGGACTTTGTGTACCAGCAAATGGGTAGAGGTAAGGATAAATATAACCTTCACCCTGACCCTGAAATTAAAGAAAGCGGAAGCCCGAACCCATAAGATGCCCGGATTGACTCTGTAGCCCTGCCTCTAATTTACTCAAGCTCTGGTGGGTCTGGCCTTGCTCAGACCACCTTGGCTCTGTGGGAGGGGAATGAGGCTTGTCCATCTGTCTTTCATCTTAAACTTACCTCCTCAAAGATATGTTTTCCCTTTCCTTAGAGCAAAGATCTCCACCCTGAAGGACCAACTCACCCAAAAATGTCCGTGTTAGTTGGAAGCAGCTTAGAAATGACATTGTTCAGCAATTTCTCAGCTTCCTGGGCCTTCTGCTTGGCCAGTTGCCAAGCACTGGATTTCTGAAGCACTCCTAGGTCGACCTTCAGTTTCTCAAGGATGCCTGCCAAAAACAATCGCCATTTTGTGTCACGCACCACTTACGAAGTAGCTACGATGCTCCAGGTACCGGGTAAGACTGTTTGCCTATGTTATTTCATTTAATCTTTATAACAACTCAGTGAAGTAGATATTGTCACTGTCTGCTTTTTTATAGCTAAGGAAATAAAGGCTCTAGATGGTTAAGAAACGTGTCTAGCCACACAGCCAGGGAACTCTTGTTTCCTCCATACTGCCTCCGTACTATTAATAATATATACTGATTATTTATCAACAGTGCAATCAACCAGTTGGCCAGGCAATTGCTATTGATTGTACACCAGTGTCTAGGAGTGACTTAGGGGTCCATTGTGCTAAGTGAGATGCTCACGTGAGTTTGAAAAACTAGAAAGAATGAGAGAATACACTCAAGAAATGAAAAATCTAGAATCCAGGAGAAAAAATGGCTCCAATCCATGAAACTGGAAAACGAGAGTCCCAGAATGACAGCTTTCCAGCAGGTCCACAGAGCAATAATAATAATTTTTTTTTTTTAACTTTAAGTTCCGGGATACATGTGCAGAATGTGCAGGTTTGTTACATAGGTATACATGTGCCATGGTAGTTTGCCGCACCTATCAACCCGTCATCTAGGTTTTAAGCCCCACCTGCATTAGGTATTTGTCCTAATTCTCTCCCCCACCTTGCCCCCAAGCCCCCAAATGGCCCCAGTGTGTGTTGTTCCCCTCCCTGCATCCATGTGTTCTCATCATTAAACTCCCATTCATGAATGAGAACATGCAGTGTTTGGTTTTCTGTTCCTGTGTTAGTTTGCTGAGGATGATGGCTTCTGGCTTCATCCATGTCCCTGCAGAGGACATGATCTCATTCTTTTTTATGGCTGCATAGTATTCCATGGTGTATATGTACCACATTTTCTTTATCCAGTCTATCATTGATGGGCATTTGGGTTGGTTCCATGTCTTTGCTATTGTAAATAGTGCTGCAATAAACATATGTGTACATGTGTCTTTATAGTAGAATGTTTTATATTCCTCTGGGGATATACCCAGTAATGGGATTGCTGGGTCAAATGGTATTTCTGGTTCTAGATCCTTGAGGAATCACCACACTGTCTTCCTCAATGGTTGAACTAATTTACAGTCCCACCAACAGGGCAAAAGTGTTCCTATTTCTCTACAGCCTTGCCAACATCTATTGTTTCCTGACTTTTTAATAATTGCCATTCTTACTGGTGTGAGATGGTATCTCATTGTGGTTTTGATTTGCATTTCTCTAATGATCAGTGATGATGAGCTTTTTTTCATATGTTTGTTGGCCACATAAATGTCTTCTTTTGAGAAGTGTCTGTTCATATCCTTTGCACACTTTCTGATAGGGTTGTTTGTTTTTTTCTTGTAAATTTGTTTAAGTTCCTTGTAGATTCCGGATATTAGACCTTTGTCAGATAGATAGATTGCAAAAATGATCTCCCCTTCTGTAGGTTGCCTGTTCACTCTAATGCCAGTTTCTTTTGCTGTGCAGAAGCTTTTCAGTTTAATTAGATCCCATTTGTTAATTTTCCATGCTCACGGATAGGAAGAAACAATATCATGAAAATGGCCATACTGCCCAAAGTAATTTATAGATTCACTGCTATTCCCATCAAACTACCATTGACTTTCTTCACAGAATTAGAAAAAAAAACTACTTTAAATTTCATATGGAACCAAAAAAAGAGCACATATAGCAAGACAATCCTAAGCAAAAAGAACAAAGCTGGAGACATCATGCTACCTGGCTTCAAACTATACTACAAGGATACAGTAAGCAAAACAGCATGGTACTGGTACCAAAACAGACATATAGACCAATGGAACAGAACAGAAACTTCAGAAATAACACCACATGTCTACAACCATCTGATCTTCAACAAACCTGACAAAAACAAGCAGTGGGGAAAGGATTCTGTATTTAATAAATGGTGCTGGGAAAACTGGCTAGATGTATGCAGAAAACTGGAACTGGATCCCTTCCTTACACCTTATTAAAAACTTAACTCAAGATGGTTTAAATACTTAAATGTAAAACCCAAAACCATAAAAAACCTGGGCAATACCATTCAGGACATAGGCACGGGCAAAGACTTCATGACACCAAAAGCAGTTGCACCAAAAGAAAGCAATAATTCTTATAGGAGGAGGAGGACAAAGTGTCTTTATGATAGGTCTCTGGAGAACAGGGGGATGGGAATAAATGTCGTGACTGGGTGTGGTGGCTCACGCCTGTAATCCCAGTACTTCGGGAGGCCAAGGCAGGAGGATCACTTGAGGCCGGGAGTTCGAGACCAGCCTGGGCAAAATGGTGAGACTCCACCGCTACAAAAAATGTAAAACTTAGCCAGGTGTGGTGGTGTGCACCTGTAGTCCCGGCTACTGGGGAGGCTGAGGTGAGAGGATCAGTTGAGCCCAGGAGGTTGAGGCTGGCAGTGTACTCTAGCTTGGGTGACAGAGTGAGACCTTGTCTCAAAAAATAATAAATGTCATGATAGATACAGGATGATGCTCATGAAAATAATTAAGTATATATGAGAAGAAAATAATTCAAGTGAGAAACAACAGGGCAATTACTAACTTAAGGAAAAACAAAAGACTATACCGTATAAGAAAAGAGATGTAATCATAATATTGTAACTTGGCTCTGTAATGGACAATATCTACCTAGTTATAATGATTCAGAGAATGACACTTTAAATAAAATTGGTGATATAACTACGTCTAATCGTATAATTCACGAGGTGACTTTGGTTTAGACATTTCTGTCTCTGGGCCTCAGTTTTCTCAGCTGTGAAATTAGAGTGTGAGTCCTTTCTGCATCTTTGAAAGTTACCTAAGCCCTTGACAAGGTTTGAAAGGCAGCCATTTGCAGAAGTTACCTCCTCCTACAAAAACTGTTTTTGATGTGCTGCTAATGTTTCCATAAAACAAAAAGAAAGCCAAGTTATTTTAATAGGTTAGCATAAAAAGGAGGTATAAATAAATATAAAGGTAGGTAGCTTTACAGATACCAAGGCTAGGTAGGGATAATTTCCTTAATTTTCACTGAATTAACACAAGTCCATAAAAGAATATTAAACAACCCAAAAGAAAAATATGCTAAGAATATAGACAAAATCCTCAAGTTAAAATATGTAAGTACATAGTAAATATATGAAAAAAGAAGAGGGCTCCTTCATAATTAGAGGAATGCAAAGTGAAATAAGTTATAGCTTTTCATCTGTGAGACAGGCAGAATATTTAAAGTTGTCCATACCCAGTGCTGGAAAAGGAGTGGGAAAAAAGGCACTTTCGTAGACTGTTGGAGAAAGTGTTAACATAGGAGATTATTTGTCAACAGCATAGTTTTTGAACTTTTGAAATCCCACTTGTAGGAATTTATCTTATGCACGTTTATCAGGATATAATATGTAAAAGGCTATTCATTGTGGCATTGCTTGTTTCTAGAAAGATAAACGAATGAGTCAGGAATTGAATAGCCACTTTTCTCAGTAAACCGCCCATAAAGAGTAGCCCCTGGTGGCAGCCTCTGGTAATGCAGGCATAGTGTTTAGGAGGCTAATTTAGGTGACACTGTTCATCACCCTTGTTGATTTACCTTTAAGAGTATTGTCAACTGTCTCAAGTCCCTCGTGAAGAACAGGTTCCAGCTTATCCACGACATTGCTTAGGTCATTGCCAAGATTGTCAAGAAGAGACTCTGAGGTCCCAGTGAGCACGCCGCACAGGAGAACAAGTTTCCAAAGCTGAAGCATCTTTTGTCTTGACACCTGGACAGTCATGGGAAGAACAGGAGTGAGAATTGCCCAGAGGGAAATGGACTCTTCAGTGAGTTCCCATCACTCTTAACATTTAGCATTCCATTAAGATAGATGTGGTTATTTCCTATTTTACAAATGGGCAGCCAAGGTCAGAAAGCTACAGCAACTTGCCCGGAGACACACAGTCAGTGAGCAGAGGAGCTGGGATTTGAAAAGTCAGACTTGACTCCAAGCCCATACTCTTGACACAAAGTTCCTTTTCATACGCTGTCTTCTCTGCCTAAAATATTTTTCTTCTTCTTTACTTTTCCACTTAGGTCAATTCCTACATCATGCCCTCTGTGAAGCCTACTGTAGGCCCCTTCCCAGATTCTAGGTTGGAGGAGTCCCACCTTGCTGCCTTCATTATCCTGATCAAGGTCTTGGATAACACTTCCCTGATGATTTGACCACCTTTCCTACCAGGCTGTGAACTCCTTAGAGGAAGGACTGTGACTTATTTCACTGTCGAATCCTCAGGCGCCAGTAAAAAGCCTGCACCTAGTACAGTACAGTAAACGAATAAATCTTTGTTGAATATAAGTATGAACAAATCAATGGAGACCACCTCATGACCCTGCATTGTTCATTAGTTTGACACTTATTTTAATATAATCTATAGATCTCTAAATTTACTCTGATTTGCCATTTGTCTTGACACCTGGACAGTCATGGGAAGAACAGGAGTAAGAATTGCCCAGAGGGAAATGGAATCTTTAGTGAGTACTCATCACGAACTTGCCATTTAGAGCACATTTAGAGATATATTGATTATCTCTGCTGTATTCAAAATATTAGCTAACCCAAGCAATCCCACCCCTCTGCCTCTTGCCCCCAAAGCCTTCCAAAGACCACCACGTGTGGTGCCACTGGGGGGAGCACGCCACTCACGCGTTTAGAGGAGGATGCTCATGAAATCCTTGCCCCACTGCACAGTCTGCTGGGATTCTGCTGAATGGTGGCGGCTATTATATGGTGGAGATGGGATGGAAGGCTGCCCACAGAAGCAAGCCTTGGTTCTGGGATCATCCAAGGACACTCCAAGGAAAATAACCCCTCTCCAGGATGAGCAGAGAGAGAGATTTCCAACTCAAAGGTCACCCAGGATGCTTGAATTGAAACGGATGGCTATGGAGAGGGCTTTCCGCCAAGACTAAGACCAGGTCCTCATGGAGCCTGCAGCTACCGAGGGGGTGGTCCTTGGTCCTTGTGGGTGAGGACTGGGAGAAGACTGAGAATGAATGAATTGGAGAATGTCCTGGCAGGAGGACCCATAATGACCATCCGGTCTAACTCCGTCATCATTTGGAAACTGAGGCTCAGAGAGGGGAAGCCACCAGCCTGGGGTCATTCAGCAAGACAGGGACCGAGATGGGTCTAGAATTGTGGCCCACAAGGAGTCAGACAGCCTCCCAGGGGTCCTGCCCCCAGGGGTCTGCACCCGGCAGGTGCAGCAGATGCCTGGCAGCTGCTTGTGCTGACACTGGGCTTGGTGTCCCTAAAGGGCACTTTAGATGCACTTTTCTGTTAGTCTTTATGAAAACTCTGTAAGGCAGGTTTTCAGAGCTCCATTTTCCAGTTGAGAAAGCTGAAGTTCAGAGAGGGAGGTGGCTTGTCCATACTTGCAAGGACAGGAACCAGGCATTTGGGCCACCAGGGAAGACCCTTCCACCCATATCAGGCTGAGGTCAGTTAGCAGAGAGGGAGAGTCCCTGGGCCTGAGTATCCTGTTTTTGCTTCGGCCACTGATGTTTGGGTTGGTTGTAACGCCTGCTGCATTGGGCCTGTGTCAACCCGGAACAGCACAGGAAACTCGGGTGGGTGCCCACTTGGCCTCAGGCTGGGAAGGACTGGCACAGAGCTCAGGGTCACCATAGGTCTCTGCCCTTCTGCTCACCCACCTGCAATTCAGCAAGGACCTGGGGGGCCTGTCCTCAAAATGATGCAACCAAGCAAACGGTGGGACAAGACCAGTGGCTCCAGGAGCTGGCTGTTCCTACACTGACCATGGCTCCACTGTTACAGCACAGAGCTGGGCGGCTGCAGGAAGGTGATGGCCAGGCCCCAAGAGCCCAGACCATTAGACCCCTGCTGCAGTCTTGCCTGTGGTCTTGAATGGTTGTCACACCTCCTTCCCTGGCTGCCTGACACCGGGTTCTCCAAACGTCTGAGCCCCGCTCTTCCCCCAGTTGTGAAGCACAGAGCCAAGGGCTGTGCTGAAATCTTGTGAAGGCAGTTTGTCCCAGCCCAGGAACATAGCCCAGGGTGCTGAGCATGATGCAGTGACCTCGAGACCTGGTGTTGGCCCAGGCCTCAGTTGCCTCATCTGTAAAATGGGTAAACACGCTGTTCCTGGATCTCAGAGGCATGGTGGACAGGCAAGGACCTAGGAAATCAAAACGATGGTGAGGGGCTTTGAGGGCAGTGCTCAGAGCCTGGCACTGGGCTTGGGCTGTCCTGGGCATGAATACTCTCTCTCTGCTGGTTGCTGGCCATGTGACCTGGGCCAGAGACCGCACCTTGCTGAGCCTCAGGCTCTTTATCTGTGAAATGGGACTAAGAACAGTGCTCACCTCAAGGGCATGCTGTGAGGTCAAATTAGTGTAATACCCATGAAGGCTTAGCATAGGGTAGGCCCATGATGCACGGCAACAGCAAAGATGGCGAAGAAGATGCTGATGAATATGTGCGCATATGGTCCCGGCTTACGATGGTTTGACTTCAATATTTCAACTTTACTATGGGTTTACTGGGACACAACCCATTATAAAATGAGGACCATCTGGCCAGGCATGGTGGTTCACACCTGTAATCCCAGCACTTTGGGAGGCCGAGGCGGGCAGATCACCTGAGGTCAGGAGTTCGAGACCAGCCTGGCCAACATGGTGAAACCCTGTCTCTACTAAAAATACAAAATCTAGCCGGGTGTGGGGGCAGGCATCTGTAATCCCAGCTACTCTGGAGGCTGAAGCAGAAGAATTACTTGAACCCAGGGGGTGGATGTTGCAGTGAGCCAAGATTGTGCCACTTCACTATAGCCTGGGCAAAAGAGCGAAACTCCGTCTCAAACAAACAAACAAAAATAAAATAAAATGAGGAGCATCTGTCATAAGATTAATATTATATAATATATAATATAGGGTCCTTGGTGGGTGGGGAGGTTGGGATCCTCAGAGGTCACCCGAGGTTCAGGCTGGCTGGTCTGAGTCATTCCGGAAAAAGAAACAGTGACAACTCCTCCTGTGTGCTCCTCCTCCTCCTCTTCTTCCCTCTCCAGGTTACACAAAGTCTTCTCACATAGAAGATGTTTGCCTCTTAGGGACAAAGGCCCCAGCCATGAGGGTCGCGAGATGAATTTCTTATTGAAAATTCCCAGTGAGGCATTAAAGATTAGCTGTGCCAAGACTAGGACATCCTACCTGCTGCGTGACTGCTAATCCCCAGCTGGGGCAGCTTCCTGATCCCACTGGCCCAGCCTTAACCTCCAAGCTGGTATCTTTTTCCATACCTGGCTCAGTGCCCTGGCTAGAAACAGCCTAAGAGGTCATGCAGCCTACTGAGACCAGAGAAAGCGAGTGACAGGGCTGGGGTTGCATGAGGGGCCAGCCAGGCTGGGGGGTGCTCAGCTGACCAGACTGCCCACTGACCTTCCTTCTCCTGTGGACAGAAGCAGCCCCCACCCCTTCTCCAGATAACAAACACACAGGTGTGCACTCCCATTGCACCCATCAAAGATAATTGCCTTATTTTGCTAGTAAAATTGCTGAAAGGCTTGTCACCATTTTGCCTGTGAAATCAGTCAAGTACGAATCATCCATCCAATTTCTAGTAGGTCCTGGTTTCTCACACTTGAACTGCCTACTCAGGAATTCTGGGCAAATAAGAAAGATCAAAGCAACAAAACCTGTTCACACGTTACTGTCCTTCCTGTGACTGCTAAATAGAGCAATTAATAAAGTTGTCACAATGTTACAGTCTGAAGACCTTTAATTCAACTTTTGGTAATTTTGACTTTGCCGGGTTTTCTTCTGGTGACACAGTTTATTCTTTCAGCGCTCAAGTATTTCCCTAAGTCCCGGATTCCACATCTGGACACTAATAGACCCCTCTCAAGTCCTGCCTTTAGAATATGGAGAGCCACTTCCTATGGACTGACAGATGGAGGGGGCCTTGCCCCACTGCAGGCTGGAGTCTTCTTCCTCCTGTCCCATGGAATGTTCCCTGAATGCTTCATCCAACACTCCCAGAGAAAATTTAAAGGAGTTTTCACCGGGTCAGGGTCCTCCCCTGGGTCCTTTGAAGTCTGGGCACCTTGTCTTCGTTCACCTTCGTTCCCCCAGAGCTGGCACAGGGTCTGGTCTACAGCAGGAGTCAAATGATGTTTGTGGCAGGAAAGAAAGGAAAAAGAGAGAGAGAGAAGGAGGAAAAAAGAGAGAGGAAGGAAAGAGAGAGGGAGGGAAAGAAGGAAAGAGAGGGAAGGAGGGAGGGAAGAAAGGCAGGAAAGGAGAGAGGGAAGGAAGAAAGAAAGAAAGAAAGAAAGAGAGAGAGGGGATGTGGAGAGAGAAGAAGAAAGGGAGGAGAAAAGGAAGAGAAGAAGGGAGGGAGGGAGGTCAGCCACGTCTCGCCAGTCCCACTCTCTGAGGGCAAGACCACAGCATCTCCGAGGTCCCAGTACCCAGCACAGGGTCTGGTTCCCCTCATGGGCATTGACTTTCTGTCTTCCCCAGGTGGGTGGGCCTCTTGACATGAGCGAGCTCTCTGGGTCGCTCCCTGTTCTCACCTCACTCCCTGGAATTTGGCCCCTCAATCTCTCTGTGCCCTCTCTCATCTTCCAGATCCTCCCTGCTAAAGTGGGCCTGGCCCTGTATCTAGTCATCTGTCCATTTATTTATTGTTCATTCACTTTACAAGTGCAAATTATTTTCTGCTGGAGCCACTCATGCTTTTGACAACCCTTTAGTGGGCACCCCAAGCCCTGTGATGGGGTCAAAGATGTCTGAAGCTCAGTCCTTGTCCCAGAGACAGGCCAACTCCAGGGCAGTAGGTGAGCTGATTCGATCGGCCCATGTCTGGCAAGAAGGCATATTCTCTCCATTTACTCCTCCCAGCAACCAGAGGCAGGGACTGTCTTATTCCCATTTTATAAACAAGGAAACTGAGGCACAGAGAGGTAATGTGTACTGCCTAAGGTCACACACCTAGTAAGTGGCAGAGCTGGGGCTTGAACTCAGAAAACCTGGCTCCGGAGTCCATGCTCTGAGCTACTCACAGTGCACTGCCATTTATACTGTACATATATATATATATATATTTTAAACAAAGTCCATCTCGGCTCACCGCAACCTCCACCTCCCGGATTCAAGTGATTCTCCTGCCTCAGCCGCCCGAGTAGCTGGGATTACAAGCATGCACCACCACACCCTGCTAATTTTTGTATTTTTAGTAGAGACGGGGTTTTACCTTTTGGCCAGGCTGGTCTCAAACTCCTGACTTCAAGTAATCCGCCTGCCTTAGCCTCCCAAAGTGCTGGGATTACAGGCATGAGCCACCGTGCCCGGCAGCACTGCCATTTATATTCTAACAGTCGGAATCCTCCCTGGGCTGTGTGGGTCCTTTCGATTCATCTCCATTGCGCTAGCACCCCCAGCCCCAAGCCTGTGTCAGAGAAATCCCTTCATAAAAGCTTACTGGTTGAAGGGTTGTGGGTTAGCCCTTTCTCCTCCGCTGGACTGGGGCTCCTTAAGGTTGGGGATCATGATTCTGCCATCTGTGTGTCCTCAGCAGCCAGCCTGGGGCCTGGCTTTTGGTGGATCCCAATAAATACCACAATTAATTAAAGTGAGAAAAGCAAGTTAATCCACAGACTGAATAGATGAATGTAGATGAGACCCAGAATCACAAGAAGAGTCCTTCCTTCCCTCCACCCACCCATCCTGTCATTCATTCATTCGTCACACACTTACAGAGCGTCTCACCTGGGTCCTGTCCTGTGTGGGGCTCTGGGCCCCACAGAGCACCCCCACATGTGTCCATCCTTAGACCCCACCAGCAGGGGCAGAGGCCAACACGCACACTGACAATTACTTTCCACAAAGCAGGTACAGTTCTTGCAAATTTTCTGTGCATTGATGGCCCCAAGCAAATGGGGAGCTGCTGTCCCTGGCACAGTGCCCAGCCCTGGTGAAGGTCCTTCCTTTAAGCACTGAATGGGGTCGAAGTTAGCACTTTGGGAGTGAAAGAGGAAGTGCTATGACACTGTGGGGTAGGTGGAGACAGATCATGTAGAAGACAAATGATGGGAGGATTCCAAAACGTGGCTAAGTCTGGGTATATTTATCTTGCAGGGGCTTTGGGTAACCAGCCAGACCTCAATTTGGGTCCTAACCCTGCTGCTTTCTAGCTGTGTGACTCTGGAATGGTGGCATTGCCTCTCTGGGCCTGCATTTCCTCATTTGCAAAATGGTGACCATGATCATCTGCCTGACATAGCTGATCTGGGACTTAAGCCTGGAAAAGAGTTAGCCCAGTGTCGGGCACATCATAAGTGCTCAGTAAAGATAACTCAGAAGTGCTGTGCCCAGCGGCAGGATTAAGGGTGGGAAAGAGGGCAGAGCCTCATTCTAGATTCCGCCACTGGCCAGCTGTGTGATGTTAGGCAAGGCATGGCCGCTGTCTGAGACAGTGTCTTCTGCTCTCTAAAATCGGTGCTAATCCTGGCTAGTAGGGACTGGGGAGGCATTAAATTAAAGGGGGAATGCAGAATCCTGGAGCATCGTGTGGTGGCCACTCAATCAAAAGGGGGAATAAAAACCATGGGAGAGGCTGGGCACAGTGGCTCATGCCTGTAATTCCAGCACTTTGGGAGGCCAAGGCGGGTGGATCACCTGAGGTCAGGAGTTCAAGACCAGCCTGGCCAACATGGTGAAATCCCGTCTCTACTGAAAATACAAAAATTAGCCGGGTGTGGTGGCAGGTGCCTGTAGTCCCAGCTACTCGGGAGGCTGAGGCAGGGGAATCATTTGAACCCGGGAAGCAGAGGTTGAAGTGAGCCAAGATCTCACCATTGTACTCCAACCTCGGCGACGGAGCGAGACCCCATCTCAAAAAAACAAAAAAATCAAAACCATGGGAGAAGTACCATAGCTCCTTGTCTTTTCGTCCGGGACCCTCGAAGGACTTGTTTCTGTGGGGTCTTGGCTTACCACCTCAGACTTCTCTGTTTCTGCTGGACAATTCCCAAAGCCTCCTCTCTGGCCTCGCAGAATTTCTTTGCATCAACTCTTCCCAGTGCCAAGGGCCAGGTCTGAGGATGTCACCCCCCTGCAAATTCTCCCCATCCTGCAAGCACCTCTTATATAAAGCCTTCATTGAGCCACCCAGCTGACCTTTTCTCACGTTCTGCCTTGTCATTTTTGAACAGGTGTCTTCCTTGCCTACACACCCACAGCTGTCTCTTCTCCATTGTCAACTCCAGGAGGCCAAGTTCTCTCTGGGGTTCATCTCTGGTTTCCCACCATGGCTTGCCAATAAACTGAAATGTTTGTCAGTTGCATTTGTCAGGATTCTTTGGGTTATATTTGTAATTGAAAACACAACCCAAAGTGACTTAGATGTGAAAGAAAGTCATTGGCTCATGTAACTAGCAGGCCAACGGGTTTCAGGCATGGCTGAATCTAGGTGCTCAAAAGAAATCTCCAGGCCTTTGTTTCTTTCCATGACTTGGCTTGGGGTTTCTCCTCAAACTGACTTCCCCAAAGAGGTGGCAGAGATGGCCACCAACAGATTCAGGTCCACATTCTCTCTTAATAGTCTAGCAGAAGAAAGTATGTCTTTCCTAATATCTCTTCACAAGTTCTAGGACTGATTCCCATTGGTCCTGCTGGGGTTACATGCGGAGCAATGAACCAACCAAAGTGGCCAGGGTGAAGGAAGCCACTGGTTGGCCGATTTGAAAATATTACATCTGCAAAGAGGCAGAGGTAGAATGGTCAGAGGAGGAGGAGGAGGAGAGCCAGGGGAGTAAGGCCAAGGGAAGAACTGGATTCATGGAGGAGGAAGTGGTATGTGTGCTATGGTCAAGATGAGGCTGACCTCATCTATGATCCATTGACTTCCTCTACCTGGTGATCACGGAGGACCTGGTAAGGCCGAGTTTGGTGGGGCAACCAGTGGAAACAAGATGGGTGGTGGGGTGGATGTATCCAAAATAAGCATGCTGCTCAAAGGGTGGCCCATGGACCGCTGGCCTCTCCCTAGTTCAGACCAACTGCTCTAGAACCTGCATCTTAACAAGAGCCCAGGTGGCTCATTTGTGTGTTCAAGGTGGAGAAGCACAGCTCTAAGGAACTTTGGCTGCGAAGGGACGAGAGAGGGAAGGAGGTTGGTGGAGGGAGTGTGGAATTACAGAAGGGACCTTTATTCTTCCTGAGAAGGGAGGGACTTGAGCAAGTTAGGTGTGTGTTCTTAACAATGGAAAAGGTGGGGGGAGGGGATGTTTTATTTAACTTTCTGGTCACCATGTAAAACTTAATATGTTGCAGGACACTGTTGCAGATTTGCAGGTCAGATTCATATCAAATGGGACCTGGCTATGCTTACTGCCTGAAAGAATGAATGTCGTGATGGTGATATTTCCCAGGAGCCTCCCATAGTGGATCCTGTGGTGACCCAAGTCCTCGCCATCCATCTGAGCATTTATTGCTGGACCAAGAACAGGTGCCCTGGGCCTGTGGAGACTCAGGAACCCTGAAGGCCAGCTCCACTTGCTTCTTCTCTGCCTTCCTTGTGCCACCCTCAGGCTCCACGTGACTCTCCCCGCAGCCTGCAGGGCCCTCAGGTTGTTCACAAAGGCGGTCCTGACGAAAAGGTTGAGAAAACAAACATGGTCATATGTGTCATCAGCCATGCACCCAAGTGACACTAGGGAGGCCCAGTGTGGACTGAGCTCTGGGTGGCTTTGGCTGGGGCATGGGGAGACACCCAGGAGCTGAGGGCCCTCTTCTTGCTGCAGGGTCCACCCCCGCAACTCCAGGAGCCTCCTGGATATGGCTTCTTGGCTGTTGCACTGCATTTTTCTCCAGAGAACCAGGGGACCGTGAAGGCACTCCACTTCAAACATCCCAATCCCTGTGGTATCAGTGGTGAAACTGAGGCCAGAGGGCATGGGAGACTCAGCCAAGACACAGTAGGGTCCCCCCTGCTCCAGGCCCCAGACACCCACCACCTCCTGCAGCTCCTGCTCGCTGCCAGAGGATCTAGGTGTGAAGCCCAGCTCTGCCTCCTTCCAGCTGTGTAGAAGTGGGCCAGGCAGCAGCTAACCTCACTGGGCCTCAGTTTCCTCATCTGCAGAATGAATATGTATCAACAGCTGCCTCTTAAGGGGGGTAAAGGGCGGAATGAAATGATCCATGGCTGGGCATAGGATAAACAATCCACAAAGAGCTAAGGTCTATTCAAAATATTATTGCTATCATTGGCCCCATTTTTCCCCTTTGGAGCCTGAGGCACGAGAGGTTATGTGTCCTGATAGGCTGAAGAGCTGGGATTTGAGCCGAATTCTGACTCCCCAGTCAGACTCCCCAGTCCATCCATGCAGTCCCATCACCACTTTGAACCTCAGTCTCCTCATCTCTAAAATAGAGATAATGATACTGCTGACCTTGAGAGGTGGCTATGAAAATCACATGCGATCCTGAAAGCCAAATGCCCAGCACAGTGCCTGGCATAAAAAATAAAAATAAAAATAAAATGCTGCATTATGCAAATATCCTTAAATTCTAACAGGTATGAGAAACATGGAGTAGCAGGGTCACAACTCTACCTTGTGGCAAAATCTGAGAACTGTGCCTGCTCTCACCCCAATCCCTCCGCCTGGGAGCCCTGCCGGTGCCCAGGCCATACCTGCTGCTCCCTGTGTGTGGCCAGCAGCGGGAGAGACGTGGAAGGACAGGCAGTGTCCAGCTTCTGTCACTGTGCTTGTCTACGGGGAACAGGGAGAGGCAGAGAGTGTGATTGTGGGTTCTCACAGCCCCTTGCGGTTCCCCACTCCACACCTTAGCTCAAGCTGCCTGTCCCCTCTGCCTGGTGGTGTTTAGACAATCTGCCAGTGGTCATATTTGTTTAACAGTCAAGGAAACTGAGGCCCAGTGAGGTGAGGTGCCTGGCCCACTTCTGCACAGCTGGAAGGATGCAGAGCTGGGCTTCACACCCAGGTCCTCTTGACAGCAGGCAGGAGCTGCAGGAGGGGAGAGGTGACCGGAGCCTCAGGCAGGGGGCACCCTACAGTGTCTTCGCTGAGTCTTCCATGCCCTTCTGGTCTGTTTCCCCCATTAGTACCACAGGGATTGGGGTGTTTGAGGTAGAGCTGCTTTACCACCCTCTGGTTCTCTGGAGGAAAGGTAGAGTGCAGAGATGTGGTTAACTGGAAATGCAATGGTTCCAGGTAACTTTACATTTAGCGCTCATTTCCTTTCATTCTTTTTCTTTTTCTTTTCTGTTTTTGAGACAGCATCTCACGCTGTCACCCAGGCTCTGAGCATAGGCTTTCTTCATGCATTTTCTCACAATTTTCCTATAAAATAGGTGCCATTCTCACTCTCATTTTGTGGAAGAGGAACCTGAGATTCCGAGTCATTGGAAGGGTGGAATTTGAACTTAGGTCTACCTGACCCTAAAGCCTGTCCCTTTCACTGCCACACCAAAAAGCCATGACAGGGGCCACCCAGTTCCCAACACACTACTGCATCATGAGAGTTTCATGCAATTAAAGGATGCAGGGCTTCAATCCTGTGGACCCAGCAGGTCCAGCACCTCTGCTCATTCCCACCCATTGCCAAGGTCTTGGAGTTCCCAGGATCTCTAAGGCCAAGATTCTGACCTTCTGGAATTCTAAATGTATATAATCTTGGCATTCTTTACTTTATTTCCCTTGGCAGATCCTAAAGTGAACCTTACTCATTGAGAAAGTGGCTTGGGAGCACCTTGCTTATGCAGGAGAGGAAAGCAGAGTGCAGAGATGTGGTTAATTGGAAATGCAGACAGTCCAAGGGTTCCAGGTAACTTTACATTTAGCACCAATTTCCTTCAGGTCTTTTTTTTTTTTTTTTTTTTTTGAGACAGGGTCTTGCTTTGTCACCCAAGCTGCAGTGCAGTGGTGCAATCATGGCTCACTGCAGCCTTGACCTCCCCAGGCTCAGGCCATCCTCCCACCTCAGCCTCCCAAGTAGCTGGGACTTCAGGCACACACCACCACACCCAGCTAATTTTTGTATTTTCTGTAGAGATAGGATGTCACCATGTTGCCCAGGCTGGCCTCAAACTCTTGGGCTCAAGCGATCCTCCTGCCTCAGGCTCCTGGAGTGCTGTGATTATAGGCAGGAGCCACTATGCCTGGCCTCTACTTCCTTTAGTTCTAACAGACTTAAAGTCAGGCTTGTAACCTGGCTTCATACATCTTACTGCAAGGCCATTGACCTGCTGGATGGAACATCTCATCAGCTTCAGATGGTCCTCAAGAATACTCAAATCCTAAGCTATAAATCCGACCATCTGTCTGAAGTGGAAGGGGCATTCACTTCCCTTCCCCTGTCAGGCACCATTCCTTTAGTCTGCTTCTTAGAGGCTCTTCTACCTCCATCAGCTCCATGCTGAATTACCTTCCCTTGGGAAATTTCCCAGCTTATCAGCTTTGGGCATATCCAAACATAAGCTCTAATGAAGGAACTATTTGTGGTTTGGCTGCGGGAAATCATTGGTGGGTAGATCAAGGTCACAGCCACTTAGAGGGGAGTCCCACAGTGATGCTCCAGCGTTTGAACATCCTTACCATAGTCTTGGCGGGGTCCCATGCTCATCCTAGAAATAGGAAGACTGAGGGGTCACTGCAACCGACAGCACAGAAGACATTAGAAGACGCCACCATGAGAAAGACTTGTTGCGGCCAAGGTTTTGCCCTGCTTTTCACCTTCCCAACATTCTTATTGAAAGAAAGGCCTTTGGAGACTCGGCACACTTTACAGATGAGAGGAGAGAGGCCCAGAGAGAGGGTGGGGCTGGCATAAGTTCTCCCAGAGAGTTAGTGTCTGAACTGGGTCTTAAAACCTAGGTCTCAGGATGCCTGGCTTAGGGCTGTTTCTGCTCACCTTTTCTGGCTTTCACCATAATGTTGGAGAAGTCCCAGAGAAACAGCAAGAGGGCTTAAAAGCTTCCCTGTCTCCCCAGGGGAACAATAGGCTTCCCCGCCTGCTTGGGGGAGAGGAGTGTCCCATCTTTTCTCCTGCCTCCTGCCTGGTGCCCAGCCTCGGTGAGAAACTGAGAAGTGGCACAAGGCACCCTATAACGGCAGTTAGTCCAGAAGTTTGGTCCAGGACAACTCTCCTTCTTTGCCTACCTCCCTCCGCTCTTGCCTCAGCAGTAAGCATAGGAGATTTGGGAAATGTAATGAAAGCACAGTGATTTTTTAAAAATTCCTCCAGACTCAGAAATCAGTTCTGGAAAGCTTCTCACAATAGAGCAGTGGGCTATCCCAGGAATTCCAGCCCTGCATTCTTCACCAAAAAGTGGCATAGCCCAGGAACGTAGCTATAACACCAAAACCGTAATAACCATAACGTTTCACTTTAACACCAAGGGAAGGGGCTAGTCCTGAGTCCGATGGTAATGCCTTCTTTACGGAGTCAGTTATTTCAATAACAGACCACAGTAGTGAAATATTTTAGGAATTTCACTATAATAGTCTTCCCTGTGGGGCAGGCTATCCCAGGAATCCCACAGCACTGATCATTATGGAATGGGAAATTTCAGCAATTTCACCAGAAGACTAGTCATCCTGGAGTGCGTGATCACAGGAAGCTCATGATAAAACCCTTCACTGCGCAGTAGGTCAGTTCAGGAGACCCACCCTAACACTGATCACTGTAGAGTGGGCTATCCCACGAACCTAACACTGGCCACTATGGGATGGACACTCCAGAGATCCCTCAATAACAAGAATCACTACGGAATAGGATGGCCCTAGAATGCATTGTAACAGTAATCATAGTGGAGTGGGCTATCTCAGGAACCACACTGCAACACTGGTCACCATGAAATTGACTATTCAGAAACCCTGCTTTGGTGCTATTGATCAGGGCACAAATTCTGTGTCAGGTAGGTGCTCTGAGGTCCTACGGTTTTACACCAATGTTTGAGGAAGGACTGTCCTGCCCTGAAGAGGGAGGCAGGACTGGGAGACAGTGGGGTGGATATGAGAAAACAAAACTTACTTTCAAGCAGCCAGTTAATGAAAGAGCCTGGGAAGTATTTGTCCTGGGGAAAAAACCAGATAGCCCACATTAGTTGAGCACCTATTGTATGCTAGACTATGTGCCTCTCATTTAATCCTCACAACAACCTTGCAATATAAGAATTATGGACAAGGAAAGGAGACTCAGAGATGGCTCTGCCCCAAGATCCCTGAAGGTTCTACTTTGTGGAACAAAACACATTCTCTGTAATTCAAGAATTTCTGTGAGTTAGAGGGGCCGGCAGGATTATGCTAAGGCTTGGGAGAAGCTGAGAGGAAAGGGATGCAGGCCCATCATGGACTTAAAACCCCCGAATATTGTGATGCCAAGTAACTCACTTAATTTAATATTTTAAACTAAGGGCAGGTTGGGCATGGTGGCTTACGCCTGTAATCCCAGCACTTTGGGAGGCCGAGGCAGGCAGATCACCTGACGTCAGGAGTTCGAGACCAGCCTGGCCAACATGGTGAAACACTGTCTCTACTAAAAATACAAAAATTAGCCGGGTGTGGTGGCGCGTGCCTGTAATCCCAGCTACTCGGGAGGCTCAGGCAGGAGAATCACTTGAACCTGGGAGGTGGAGGTTGCAGTGAGCCATGATTGCATCACTCCAGCCTGGGTGACAGAGCGAGACTCAGTCTCAAAAATAAATAAATACAAAAAATAATAATAATAAAGGTAAAGAGGAATAAACCACTAGTGTTTGAGCTCCTAGGCTGTGCTAGGTAAATAACCAAGCATGTTCTCATCTAATCATCATATTATATTCCACACACACTAGAATACCATTGATTAAGATATGCATTATTTAATGTGCCACTAAGAAATTTTTAAATTGCCAATTAAATTATGAAATGCCATTGAATATACAATGCATTCCAATTTAAGATATTTACAATGTAAGGAAAATGCACGTCTTGCAAGTGATGAATTAGCTTTATATGGGGAATGCTAATCATCCTCACCTGATAGAGGAAGAAACCGAGGCTTAGAAAGGTAAAGGGATTTGCCCAGGGTTGCACAGTCAAGCAGAAGCAGAGCCTGCCTGGCTCTGAAGCCATGGCACATACTCCCTCTTTTAAGGGGACAGCTGTGGGCACATTTGCTTGGGAGACTCAAGTGAGTGATGGGGCACCATTGAGCTAGTTTCAGATGTGAAGAAAATCTCAGAGGCGAATCCCAGAACATTCCTTAGGAGAGAAGCAGCTGCTCCTACCTGAAACTCCAGGCAGTGATACTGCTGAGACAACAGGGGTATTTGGGAGAGAGGTGAGAGGTGGTCCCTAAATAATCTGAGTAAGTGGACATCTGATGGAGACAGAGGGAGACAGGGGGCGACGGGAAGGGCGGACAAGAGAAACATAAGAGATAAGTCAACTGAGGTGGAGACTTATGAAGCTCATTCATTTTCCCTTGTCATCCATAGATTTATGCAGGAGACGGAGATTATTCCCAAACTGTTACATTGCAGCTATAAAGCCCACTGTCTTCTGGCTCAGACAGTGGAGCGTTCTCAACTTGGCATGTTGTAATCCATCTCTCTTCCTTGTCCAGCCATGAAGCTCTCCTTACTGCCTGCCTAACCAGCATCTTTCTACACATCTTCCCATCCATCCACCCAGCCACCAAGTTTTCCTTTTTTTCTTCCTTCTTTTTCATTCATCCATCTCTATAGCTTTTTTCTTCCTTCACCCATTCATTAATCCATCTATTATTTATCCATCCACCTAGCCACCATTCATCTTCCCACACATCCAGTAATAAATCTTTCCTTCATTCATTCACTCACCTCTCCAACCACCATTTATGTACACTTTAATCCATTCATCCTCCTATTCAACCTTCCTTCTTTCCTTCTCTTTCCATACTTTTCTCCAACTTTCTCCCTTTGCTTCTCCCATCCATCCATCCACATATTCTTCACCTTTTATCCAAGTTGCCTGCCTTCCTTCCTTCCTTCTTTCCTTCCTCCCTCCCTCCCTTCCTCCCTCCCTCCCTCTCTCCCTCCCTTTCTTCCTCTCTCCCTCCCTCCCTCCTTCTCTCCCTCCCTTCCTTTGTTCTCCATCCATCATTTCACATCCATACTTCCTTCTATTTAAATATCACTCATCCACCCTTCTATCCATACATTCTTCCATTCATCTTTTCATTTTTCTATTTTATCATTCATTCATACTTCTGTCCATCCACATTTCTTCCTTTCATCTCCAGTTCCTATGCCAACAAAGTTGACATGGTGGGTCTACTCTGTGCCCAGCAAGGACTATGAGACAAATACAAGAGAGAGTACAACAAAGTCTCAACCCTTAACAAGCTTCTGGTCTAGATTAAAGACACAGCCAAGAAACAGAGAGTTACTAAGCTATATGATGAATACCAGATGGGTGTGCACAGTCCTGCAGAAGTCCTCAGGAGGGAGTCCTTCTGCCTGGAGAGATCTGCAAAGGTTTTGGAAGGACAAATCATGGGAGTCACACCTTGAAGGGGTAAAAGAGTTTTCCAGGCACAGAAAGAGGGTGTAGGAAGTCTCCAAGAGCAAAGCCATTGTGTCTCAAAAGGGGCTGGCATGTATGGGGGTGGCTGAGGCCAACCAGCTGGAGCAGCAAGAAGAAAGACAAGACTAAGGCTGGATGGAGCAGTTGCAGGAGAGATCTCAACTGCCAGCCTTGGGGGTGTGCCCTTGATCCTCCTGGTCATCTGCAGAAGATTTTGATCAGAGATGTGATCCAGAAAAATCTCTCTGGCAGCCATGAAGGGGAGAAAGCAGGAGTGGGGGAAGGGGGTATGCAACGGTCTAAACAGATTTGGTCTCAAGCCATCGGCACAACTCACTTTTCAGAACGTTCAACTGTTGATAGATAATGTAGAACCAGAACTGGACCACTGGGCACAGCTGAAATACAGAGGAACAGAGATCTCGGTGAGAGGAGCCTTGGGCTACCCTTGCAGCCCAGCTGTCTCCACCTGGCTGTGTGACCCTAGATAGATCCTATCTCTCCATGGGCCTCCAGGTCCCCATCAAGGGACTAAATCAATCTAATCCAGTCTGAGCTCTGCCATTTTCTGCATGATAGAAATATCATCACATTACCACCATCAACATCAACCATTTCATTCAGGGCTTCTCAGTGTTGGCACTATTGACATTTTGGACCAGATCATTCTCTGTCATGCGTGGCTGTCCTGTGCCCTGTAGGATTTTTACCAGCATCCCTGGCTTCTACCCACTAGATGCCAGGAGCACTCCCCTAGTTGTGACAACCAAAAATGTCTCCAGATGCTGCCAACACCCCTTGGCATGCAAACTTGCCTTGAGTTGAGAACCAATGTTTTAATCAGTTTGAGCTCCACTCAGCAATGAACTATTTAGCAATGATAACAGCTAACACTTATATAGTGTCCTTGGGCAAGTCACCCCACCTCTCTGAGCCTTTTTTCTCATCTCAAAAATGGAAGGAATTATAGTCTACACCTCATAGCATGGCCATGTGGGCGACAAAATTATAAGCCTCAAATATTTAATTATTATAGCATTCTCTTTTCTTTTCTTTTTTTTTTTTTGAGATGGGGTCTCGTTCTATTGCCCAGGCTGGAGTGCAGTGGCGCGATCTCAGCTCGCTGCAATCTCCGCCTCCCGAGTTCAAGTGATTCTCCTGCCTCACCCTCCTAAGTAGCTGGAATTACAGGCACCTGTCACAACGACAGGCTCATTTTTATATTTTTAGTAGAGACAGGGTTTGACCATGTTGGCCAGGCTGGTCTTGAACTCCTGACCTCAAGTGATCTGCCCTTTTTAGCCTCCCAAAGTGTTGGGATTAAAGCCGTGAGCCATGGTGCCCAGCCAATTATAGGATATTCTGATAAGCCTCAAATGCATTAATTCAATGTTTGACAAATTTAAAGAACAGAAGCACAAATCAGTAGATGTGATGGCATTTTAATGAGAAACTTTTAAGAAAAAGACTTGACAAGATGCTTTTGTGAGTGCATCCTAAGAGCTAATTATTACCTTTAGTTAAAAGATAAGGGAGTAAGTTGGAGATTCACATAACAGTGTAAGAGAACCAAGGATAAATAGCTTTATTCAGGTGGGGTAAATGCTTTAGGTGAAATTTATATTTATTCTCTAGCTTGTCATCATAAAATTGGATTTCTGGCTGGGTTGCTAAGAAGGTCAGGAAAACATTGTTCATACCTCCCCATACTCCCTTCCTTTGCCACTTGAGTCCAGCTCCCACTTGCATCTGTCTATTGGAGCCTCCAAAACCTGCTTTTCCTGCCTGTGCATAGGCTGGAAGTACCATGGAATCAATGCTCCCAGGAGCAGCCCTCAACCAAAGACTGATGGGAGTTGGTATATAAATACCCCAGCTTCCTCACCCTTGGGTGGGGTAATTCTAAGGCATGTTCCATGCACTGAACCAGGTTTCCCCAAGGAGACTAAGCTCCAGCGCTCATAATGGTAACTGGCTTGATATCACACCATATGAACTGCCTCCTCTTCCCTGTCTCTAATCCTCACTCTCCTACTTGTACTTCCTGGGACTACCTCCCAAATAAACTGCTTGCATTCAAACCCTTGTTTCAGTGTCTGCTCCTGGAGGAATCCAAACCTGGTCAGCAGGACACAGTGCTCTTTTTCAAAAAAAAAATTCTTGTTATTTTGCAAGCATTGCAACCTATACCCTTAATCCAAACATATTTGTGATGGAGGCACTGCGTTTATTAGGCTGTTGTAGGGAATTGCGATTGTTTGTTTAAGTTGTAAACCCATGTTTGCCAGAAGAAGCTGATTGTTTACCAACCTTGTAATAATGAACTTGCTGGTGGAAAGCTCATTGATCAAATTGTAACCAGTAAACAGATGCTGAATTCTCTTGATAAGAAAAAATCTGTATGCCTTTCTCTTTGAAGAATAAATTTATCAGATGAGATTAAATGATTCTATCAGAATTTGTAACACAATGCAAATCTTCATCTTCCACAGGTGTAAACTACCTGGTATATAGTTGTCCCTCATGAAATGTCCCTTTCTCTCCGCCTTGCCCAGTATCAGGGACTCATAAAAAGGACAGGAAAGAAAACTCTGAGAGATTAGAGAGCCCAGGAATAAAACTGGCATGGCTGCCTCTCCCATCTTGGCTACCCCTCCATACTTCAGCTGCAAAGGGTCTGCCTAGTTTCCCTTTTCAAACTTACCATGTTGGGTAGGGAGGTATCCAGGATCCATTTCAACATGGTCTCCATCACTGCAGAGAGCAGGCTGGGGAGTAGGAGCATTAGAAACAATAACAATTATAGCTAAAGGTTACAAAATGTTTCCTTTGCTCCGGGGACTAGTCTAAGTTCACGGCATATTTTTTTTTGTTGTTGTTTGTTGTTTGTTTGTTTGTTTTTAGACAGAGTCTTGCTCTGTCGCGAGGCTGGAGTGCAGTGGTGCGATCTTGGCTCACTGCAACCTCCACCTCCCAGGTTCAAGCGATTTTCCTGCCTCAGCCTCCCAAGTAGCTGGGACTACGGCGTGCGCCACCACGCCCAGCTAATTTTTTGTATTTTTAGTAGAGACAGGGTTTCAGCATGTTGGCCAGGATGGTCTCCATCTCTTGACCTCGTGATCCACCCGCCTCGGCCTCCCAAAGTGCTGGGATTACAGGCATGAGCCACCGCGCCCGGCTCAATTCATGGCATATATTAACTCAAACTACCAGAATAGTTAAAAACACAGATTGCTTGAATCCCAGCATCACTATTTCCTGGCTATATGACCTTGTCCAATTTATATAACCTCTCTGTGCCTCTTATCTATAAAATGTAAAATAGGGTTGTTGTGAAGACTAAATGAGTGAAAGAAAAGAAATTGGCTGGAGTGCATTCAACCCATTACCACAGGGTACCTGCCTTCTCTTAAACAAGGGGTGTGTTTTACATTCTTTGTGACTTGAGCTAAGGCACTTAGAGGGCATTTCTCCTTAGAAATCATGTTCTAAAATAGAGACTGTAGAATGGCAGGCTGCAGGCCACACGAGGCCCACAGGTGTGTTTTCTTTTGCAAAAATAGTCTTTTAAATTTTTACAGTGAAGTTTCAAAATTTACGTTCCAGTTTCTTCAAAATACAGAAAACTGGCAAGACTGGGCCCATCTTCCCATATGGCCATAGTCAACTGGAGCCAAGGAGAGGCTGCCCACTTCAGATGAGACATGTGCTGTCCAATTCGCCACAGTGCCCACCACTCTCTATTGCATCCCAAAAATTGAAATTGAACTTGAATGTTGTATTTCCTTAAACTGGACCCCGCTTACTAATTTATGCCACTTTCCTACCCCTAATAGGCATTTGAGCATGTGACCCATGTTCTAAGGCATTGAATTCAGAATCTGGGAGTTAGAAAGGATCTCAGAGAACATGTGGTTGAACTCTCAGGTTAGCCTGCCTACCTTGTTAAACCCATGATGAAATTGAACTGTAGCACTCCTGATTTATAGCACCTCCCTGAGGCTTACAGCATCCTTCTCAACCATGAAATAATGACCTTAGAGATCATCATGGTGATTGGGTACACAGCCCAGCCTCTGGATGCTTTTTTAGAGAATGATCTGTTTGAAATATAGTGCTATAGAACTTGGTTAACCCTGAGCTCATGGCTCTTAAATTAAGTAAGCATGTATTTTTAGACCTCATCTCGTGAGCCAAGCTTAGGTTTTCAGGGTAGTCTACTAAAGTCTTTTCAGGGTAGTCTACTGAAGTTTTCAGGGGAGTCTACTAAAGTCTACTATAGTCCATCATTTGCTCTATTTATACTTCAGTTCATCCCTCTATCCATCCTTGCCTCCATCCATCTACCTACTCATCCATCCTTCATTCATCCATCCAACCATCATCCATCCATCCATCCATCCATCCTCCCAGCCACCCCTCCTCCCATCCTCACTTTCATTCATTTATTCATTTAACCATCCATCCATCTTTCTCCGTCTTGTTCTCCAGGAACAACACAGTGCCTACCTGGCTCCATATTTGTTGAATAAACAAATGATAAATCTAAGGCAGCCTCTGCTCCTATAGTGCTCATGCAGGCATATGCAGACAATTACAACACAGCATGGGAAGTGATTTGACAGTGATCCTGTCCAGGATCTCTCTATGTAAGTGCAAAAAGGGGAGCATGCCAAACTCCTTATAGGCAGGGGCACTATCAAGGAAGGCATGTGCTTTCAGAAAGAAGGCATTCCTCCTGCTTAGAAATCTAACCTCCCTGGTAGAGAAACCTGGGCAGAAGAGGGGACTCTGAAATAAGAAGAAAGGTATTCTGGTGGCATAGTTTGCTGGAGCTCTGGCCCCAGTAAGCCTGGTGATCACTGCAGCATGGCACTGTCCCCGCACTGCACCCTGCAGGGCACTCAGCCCGCTCTGCACAGTACCTACCTTGCTCGCATGTGGATCCTAGTGAAGACTGGCTGGCAGTTCTGCAAGTCAAGAGAGATTTGACCCAGCTTGGTCTGGGAGAGCACAAAGGTAGCCATGATGTTCACGTCCACTGTGGAGCCACTGAGGAAGCCAAGCAACCTGTGCACACAGCAGGAGGGCTGGCTGAGCTGAGCCCAGGGACCCACCAGAGGGAGGGCTCAGCAAGAATGGCCTGGGATGTCACCTGCCAGGGTGCACCCAGAGTTCCAGGAAAGGTCCAGGACAAATCGCTGGTCTCTTCTTCTCCACCTCAGTGATGTAAGCAACACTCTCCTCCCAGAGCAGGTGTCTGGAGATGTTCTAAAGGCTTTTCTCAAACTCAGAAACAAGTACTGGCATTTGTGTGTGAGAGAGGTGGCCCATATACAAAATTTTTTAAATGATGCCTGCTGTTCAGTATATATTTTTAAATTTATTTATTTATTTATTGACAGAGTCTTGCTCTGTTGCCCAGGCTGGAGTACAGCAGTGTGATCACAACTCACTGCAGCCTTGACCTTCTGGGCTCAAGCAATCCTCTCACCTCAGCCTCCTGAGTAGTTGGGACTACAGGTGCGCACCACCACACCTGGCTAATTTTTAAATTTTATGTAGAAATGGGGTTTCACTATGTTGCCTAGACTGGTCTCAAACTCCTGGGTTCAAGGGATCCTCCCACCTTGGCCTCCCAAAGTCCTGGAATTATAGGTGTGAGCCACCACATCCCGTCTTGATTTGTTTTTGAATGTATATAGGAAGTGAGTTAAGTAAATGTTTTAGTTTATTTTTGAATACGGAATACATTGCTGTGGTTTAAAATTCAAAAGATGGAAAAACGTACAGTGAAGAGCCTGGCCCCCACCAATGTCCCCTCGCTACCCAGTAACCCTGTTGAGATCACACACCTCACCAATGTTTTCCTTCCTTCCTTCCTTCCTTTTCCCTTCCTTCCCTCCTTCTTTCCCTCCCTCCTCCCTTCCTCCCTTCCTCCCTTTCTCCCCTCCTTCCATTCTGTCTTTCTTTGTGTATTCTGTGTCTATGCTTACCCAACCGATGTTTTTCATGCCTCCTTCTGGAGATATGTGCACATCCACATCCCCAAGCACAATTGACTTTAACCTCTCTGAGTTTTTTTTTTTTTCCTGTTCCGTAAAATGAGCAGAATAGCAGTACCTCGTTTCTAAGGTTCTGGTGAAGATCATATGAGACAATTCATAAAAGCCCTTAACAAGGGGCCTAGAATATTTTAAGCACTCAGTAACATTGGTCATGTTTTATCACCACCGTCATCTCTTTGGAGGATAATTTGGCAATACTTATCAAAAGCTATAAATTACCCTTCTGAGAATTAGTAAGTAAACAGAGATATGAACAAAGGTTTATTCCTCAAGATATTAATCACAAAGTTATTTATAAGCGTG
The DNA here is from genome assembly GCF_000001405.40 of Homo sapiens. Taxonomy (NCBI): domain Eukaryota; kingdom Metazoa; phylum Chordata; class Mammalia; order Primates; family Hominidae; genus Homo; species Homo sapiens. Next base: position 33,146,951 of record NC_000020.11, on the reverse strand, counting down.
AAAATTGAAAACAACCCAAGTATCTAACAGTAGAATGGTTAAAAATGTATCATGGTGCATCTATGTATGGAATATTTATTGACATTCAAAATAGTGCTGGAAAAGGTCTGGAAAGAAGCAAACAAAACTGTTAATAGTCATTGTCTCCAAGCTGCAAGATTAGTGATTTTTTTTGTTTGTTTATTTGAGACGGAGTCTCGCTCTGTCGCTCAGGCTGGAGGGCAATGGTGCGATCTTGGCTCACTGCAACCATCGCCTCCTGGGTTCAAGCAATTCTCCTGCCTCAGCCTCCCATGTAGCTGGGATTACAGGTGCCCACGACCATGCCTGGCTAATTTTTTGTATTTTTAGTAGAGAGGGGGTTTCACCATATTGGCCAGACTGGTCTCAAACTCCTGACCTCAGGTGATTCACGTGCCTTGGCCTCCCAAAGTGCTGGGATTACAGGCGTAAGCCACCGTGCCCATCCAGATTAGAGATTTTTTTTTTCTGCCGCATTTTATTTTTCTCCCCAAGTTTGTTACAATAAGACATAAAGAAATAGCAGAAAAAGAAAAAAATTAATCTCACACCTAACTTCCTGTTAACAGCCATCTCTAAGAAGCTGTTTAGGCAGATATTGCCAAGAATTGTCAGCAAATGCTAAGAATAACCAAAGGCCATTTTGTCAGTTGTTAAAAAACTGCCTTCTGAAAAGTAAAGAAGACTTTGTCTTGCATCTTGGATACCAGCTCAGCCACAATAGGATAGGGCACCAGGCAGAGTCGTGAGGCTGGCGTTTCAGGCCCTAGCTCCTGGACCATGTTTCTAGACACACCTTGGGCCAGAAGGGAACTTACTACTTTGAAGGGAAGGAGCCAGTCCTGGGAGGATCCATCACCTGCTGAATAAACAGCCCTTAGGCCCTGAATAACCAGCAGTGATATCCAGGTGCTATGTCAGAGCCTTGGGTGAGACTCTGAGATGTGTTGGCTTCAGGTGAGACCCAGTACACTCTCAGCTATGGTGGCAATGGTGAAAGACTCTTTCTGCTTGAAAAAAGAAGAGGGAAACATAAAGGGAACTCCATCTTGCACCTTAGGTACCAGCCTGGCTACAGAGGGGTAGAGTACCACGTAGGCTCTTGGGGTCCCCAAATCCAGACCTGGGCTCTTAGACATTTGTGGACCTGCACTGGGCCAGACGGGAGGCCACTGCCCTGAAGGATGAGTCCCAGGCATGGGCAGCATTCACCACAAGCTGACTGAGGCGCCCTTGGGCTTTAAGTGAACATGGATGGTGGCCTGGCAGAGCTCCCGTGGGCTAAGGCATAAGTCTAAGGCAGTCTCTGCTCCTGTAGAGCTCACACAGGCAATATACAGGCAATTACAACATGGCATGGGAAGTGATTTGACAGAGATCCTGTCCAGGATCTCTTGACGTGAGCACAGAAAAGGGAGCACACCACACTCGCTATAGGCAGGGCACTGTCAGGGAAGGCGTGTGCTTTCCTGGTAGAGTCCTAAGGTTGCTGAGCACTTGTGCACCCAGGTATATAAAGCTGAGAGATCGACTTTAACACTCCTCTTTTGGCATTGGACGAATCTTTCAGATAGAAACTCAACAAAGAAACATGGAACTTAATCTGCACTATAGAACAAATGGACTTAATTGATATTTATAGAACATTTCATCCAACAGCTGAATAATACACATTCTTCTACTCAACACACAGATCATTCTCAAGGATAGACCATATGTTAGGTCACAAAACAAGTCTTAAAACATTTTTAAAAATTGAAATAATATCAAGCATCTTCTCTGACTACAATGAAATAAATGAGAAATCAATAATGAGGAATTTTGGAAATGGTAAAAACACACGGAAATTAAACAATATGCTCCTGAATGACCAGTGGGTCAATGACTATATTAAGAAGGAAACTGAGAAATTTACTGAAACAAATGATAATAGAAACACCGCATACTAAAACCTATGGGATACAGTGAAAGTTGTACTAAGAGGAAAATTTATAGCTCTAAGTGCCTATATCAGAAAAAGAAGAAAATCTCAAATAAATAACCTAATGATGGATCTTAAAGAACTAGCAAAGCAAGAGCAAACCAAACCAAAAGTTAATAGAAAAAAAGAAATAGTAAAGATTAGAGCAGAAATAAATGAAACTGAAATGAAGAAAACAATACAAAAGTTCAATGAAACAAAAGTTGATTTTCTGAAAAGATAAATAAAATGAACAAAATTTTAACCAGACTAACTAAGAAAAAAGAGAGAAGACTCAAATAAATAAAATCAGAGATGAAAAATGAGATATTACAACGGATACTTCAGAAATTCAAAGGATCATCACTGGCTACTATGAGCAACTATACACTGATACATTGGAAAACCTAGAGGAAATGGATACATTCCTGGATACACACAATCTACCAAGATTGAACCATGGAGAAATCCAAAACCTAAACAGACCAATAACAAGTAACGAGATTGAAGCTATAATAAAATATCGCCCAGTAAAAGAAAGGCTGAGACCCAGTGGTGTCACTGCTGTATGCTACCAAACATTTAAAGAAGAACTAATACCAATTTTACTGAAACTATTTCAAAAAATAGAGCAGGAGAGAATACTTCAAAGTCATTCTTATGAGGTCAGTATTATTCTGATACCAAACCCAGACAAAGACACATCAAAAAAAAGAAAACTACAGGCCATTATCTCTATATCTCTGATAAATATTGATGTAAAATCCTCAACAAAATACTAGCAAACCAAAAAGATCATTCATCATGACCAAGTGGGATTTATCCCAGGGATGCAAGGATAGTTTAACATATGCAAATCAATCAGTATTATACATCATATCAATAGAATGAAGGATAAAAACTATATGATAATTTCAAATGATGCTGAAAAAACATTTGATAGAATTCAACATTCCTTCACGATAAACCCCCCCCCCCCACAAAAAAAACTGGGTATAAAAGGAACATACCTCAGCAAGATAAAAGCCATATGTACAGATCCTCAGTTAGTATAATACTGAACGGGGAAAAACTGAAAGCTTTTCCTTTAAGATCTGCAATAAGCCACAGATGCCCACTTTCACCACTGTTATTCAGCGTAGTACTGAGGTCCTAGCTAGAGATATCAGACAAGAGAAAGAAATAAAGGGCATCCAAGTTGGAAAGAAAAAGTCAAATTGTCCTTTCTTGCAGATGATATGATCTTGTATTTGGAAAAACCTAAAGACTCCACCACAAAACTATTAGAACTGATAAACAAATTCAGTAAAGTTGAAGGATGCAAAATCAACTTGCAATAATCCGTAATATTTCTTTATGCCAACAGTTAACAATATGAAAAAGAAATTAAAGTAAAGTAATCCCACTTACAATAGCTGCAGATAAAATTAAATACCTAGGAATTAACCAAATAAGTGAAAGATTTCTACAATGAAAACTATAAAACACTGACAAAAGAAATTTAAAAAGGCACCAAAAAATTGAAAGATATTTCATGTTCATGGATTGGAAGACTCAATATTGTTAAAATGTCCATACTACCCAAAGCAATCTACAGATTGTATGCAATCCCTATCAAAATACAAATAACATGGCTCAAAGAAATAGAAAAATAATTATAAAATTCATCTGGAACCACAAAAGACCCAGCATAGCCAAAGCTATCCAGAGTAAAAGGAACAAAACTGGAAGAATCCCATTATCTGACTTCAAATTATGCTGCAGAGCTACAATAACCAAAACAGCATGGTACCGGCATAGAAACAGATACACAGATCTATGGAATAGAATCGAGAACTCAGAGACAAATCCATACACTGAACTAATTTTTAACAAAGGTACCAAGAACATATACTGGGGAAAAGACAGTCTCTTCAATAAATGGTGCTGGGAAAATTGGATATCCATATGCAGAAGAATGAAACTAGACACCTATCTCTCACCATATACAAAACTCAAATAAAAATGGATTAAAGACTTAAATATAAAACTTCAAACTATAAAAGTACTAAAAGGAAACATTGGGGAAACTCCAGGACATTGGTCTGGGCAAAACTTTCTTGAGTAATACCCCACAAGCACAGGCAACCAAAGCAAAAGTGAACAAATGAGATAACATCAAGTTTAAAAGCTTCTGCACAACAAAGGAAACAATCAACGAAGTGAAGAGACAACCCACAGAATGGGAGAAAATATTTGCAAACTACCCATCTGACAAGGGAGTAATAACCAGAATATATAAGGAGCTCAAACAACTCTATAGGAAAACATCTAATAATCTAATTTGAAAATGAGCAAAAGATCTGAATACACATTTCTGTAAAGAAGACATACAAATGCCAAACAGGCATATGAAAAGGTGCTTGATAACATGGATCATTGGAGACATGCAGATCAAAACTGCGATGAGATATCATCTCACCCCAGTTAGAATGGCTTTTATCCAAGACAGGAAATAATAAATACTGGCGAGGATGTGGAGAAAAGGGAACCCTCGTACACTGTTGGTGGGAATATAAATTAGTACAACCACTATGTAGAACAGTTTGGAGGGTCCTCAAAAAACTAAAGATAGAGCCACCTTATGATCCAATAATCCCACTTCTGAGTATATACACTCCTAAAAAGGAAATCAGTATATTGAAGGGATATCTGCACGCCCATGTTTGTTGCAGCACTATTCACAATAGCCAAGATTTGAAAGCAACTTAAGTGTCCATCAAAAGATGAATGGATAAAGAAAACGTGGTACATATATACAATGAAGTAGTATTCAGCCATAAAAATAATGAGATCCTGTTATTTGCAACAACCTGGATGGAACTGGAGATCATTATGTTAAGTATAATAAGCCAGGCACAGAAAGACACTTTGCATGTTCTCACTTATTTGTGCAGCTAAAAATTAAACCAGTTGAACTCATAGTGATAGAAGGATGGTTACCAGAGGCTGGAAAGGGTAGTGAGGTGATAGGAGTGGGGAAGGGATGATTAATGGGTACAAAAATCATTAGAAAGAATAAATATGACCCAGTATTTGATAGCACAACAGGGTGATTATAGTCAATAATAATTTAATTGTACTTTAAAAATAACTAAAAGAGCATAATTGGATTGTTCATAACACCAAGGATAAGTGTGTGAGGGGATAGATACCCCATTTACCATGATATGATTATTACATATTGCATGCCCATATCAAAGTATCTCATGTAACCCATAAGTATATATGCCTACTATGTTTCCACAAAAATTAAACATTTAAAAAAACTGCCTACTATCTCCAAGAATTCTCTTCCACCTGGCTTCTCTTGCCATGAATAAGTTACTCACCCTGGGAGTTTGATAGTCAACCTGGTCTGAAATTCTAGTTGGAGGTTGGATAAAGGATAGACCTTCTTCCACGCCACCTGGATGATATCAAAGTTGATGATTTTGAGCCTGAAGAATGGGAAGAGCAAGGTGAAGTGGAAAAGCAGAACTTCCCAGTCTTCTCGACTTATTACTCAAACTTCAACATGGCTTTTCTTCTATCCTGGGCCTTCGTATCCTTGACCTAGATTTCCATTCTAAATCCCATTTCCAAATCCTAGACAAGAAAAGCATTAGCTGATAACTAACACTTTTGTAGTTAATTAAGATGTTAAAGGAAAATTAAGATGTCAAATTCAAAGCATCAGTTGGAAATTACAGTGTTAGCATACAAAGATGCTGTTTTTAACCACTGGGGTATTAAATAATAACTAAAGTACTAGCTGGGAAGAGCTTCTGCTGTACCCCTTTTCAATGCTATTTGTAATTTAGTGGAGGCTTAGACAAACCTTCATAAATCCAAGGGGTGAAGCCATAATGATGGGATGCTGGGCAGTGGGCTGAGAGTTTGCAGGAGGAGGCGGCGTCTGAGGCTGCCTTCTTACTGTCTGCCTTCCAATTAGGTGAGTCAGACTCCAACACTTAACATATAGTGAGCACCTAGAACCCTTGTTGATCAGTGCATTGGGAAACTGTTTTATTGATGAAGGACTTAAACTTACCAGCTGTTGAGTTTCCCGAAAGAAGTGCTCTTCAGAACATTGTTGATGCCAACAAGACTCCCGTGGCCACAGAGGCCCCCCAGAGAACCCTTGCAGAGCAGTCCTTCCAGAGCCAGAGACCCTGCTGCCTCCAGCAGATGATCTTTTCCAGTAGGTAAGGTCCTGCTGCCCAGGAGGATCTTAAGTAGCATCTCTCTCTCCCTAACCAGATTCTGGTTGTTGAGAATGATGGCTCCAAGCAGCCCTTCCTGAGCCAGGAGGTCTTTGTTGAGGGCAGTTGTTGGCAATTGCTGACTGAGTGTGTTTCCAGCTCCTGCTCCTATACCCCCCTCCTTGACCATCATGAACCGGGGGAGGCAGTGTGTTGCCATTGACTGGACTCCTGTGTTGGGGAGCCTTATCATCCACTGGGGATCCCATGTGGCCAAGATCTCCAGATGGTGTTTCCCCAGGTGGACCAGAGGGGCCAGGGGTGCCACGCCCAGGCTGGCCGTGACCTAAGTAGAACCCAGCCCCAGACTTGTCATAATCATTAGGTGGCCTAGCTCCTGAGTGGCCACAGCTAAAAGATACTCCAGCCCCAAATTGACCATAACCTCTAGACTGACCGAGCTTCAGACTGACCATGACTGTCATGTGACTTAGCTCCAGACTGACCATAGCCAACAGATATCCCAGCCCCAAACTGACCAGAATTTATAGATGATCCAGCCCCAGAATGCATATCACGATCAGATGTCCCTTCTCCAAGTTGAACATTTCCTCCTGATGATCTTGCCCCAGGTTGAACAGAGCCATCAGACAGTCCCACCCCAAGCTGACCATTCATTGATTCAACCCTAGACTGACCCAGCACACCAGATGACCTAACTCTGGGCTGACCATTCAATGATACAGTCTCAGATTGACTAAAATGACTAGGTGACCCATACCTAGGTTGGCCATATCCTCCAGATGCTCCTAGTGCAAACTGACTGTCACCAGCATATGTTCCTGGCCCAGGCTGACCATTCATTGACCCTACCCCAGATTGATCAATACTACCAGTTGTCCCATCTCCAGGATGAACATTCATTAACCTTGCCCCAGACTGACCATAGCTTACAGATGTCTTTGTCCCAAGATGTCCATAACCACTAGATGACCTATCCCCAGTCTGACCACTCATTGACCCTGCCCCAGACTGACCAAGACCACCAGATAACCCAGCCCCAGACTGATCATTTAGTGGCCCTGGCCCAGTTTGACCATAACCACTAGATGACCTGTCTCCAATCTGACCACTCATTGACCCTGTCCCAGACTGACCAAGACAACCAGATAATCCAGCCCCAGTTTGACCATTATCACTAGATAACCTATCCCCAGTCTGACCACTCATTGACCCTGCCCCAGATTGACCAAGACTACCAGATAACCCAACCCCAGACTGACCATTTAGTGACCCTGCCCCAGTTTGACCATAAGCACTAGATAACCTATATCCAGTTGGATCATTCACTCACCCTGCTCCAGATCGACCCAAAGAACCAGATGATCCAGACCCAGACTGACTATACGCTCCTAATGACCCTGTCCCAAACTGACCATGGCTACCAGATGGTTTAGCCCCAGGCTGACTGTTCATTGACTCTGCTCCAAGTTGACCCATACCATTAGATGGTCTAGACCCAGATTGAACATTTATTGACCCTGCCTCAGACTGACCATACCTTCCAAATGACCCTGTCCCAAACTGATCGTAGCCACCAGATTGCCCAGCCTCAGTTTGACCATAACCACTAGGAAACCTATTGCCGGTCTGAGAATTCATTGAACCTACCCCAGATTGACCCAAACCCCTAAATGATCCAGCCCCTTACTTACCATTCATTGGCTCTGCTCCAGATTGACCCAAGCCACCAGATGACCCAGGCTCAGGCTGTTTATTGACTCCACCCCAGACTGACCATACCCTCCAAATGACTTGTTTCCTTGCTGACCATACTCATATGACCTATCCCCAGTTTGACCGTAACCAGATGACCTACCACCAGTCTGATAACTCATTAACCCTGCCTCAGACTGACCAAAATCATCATTTTTCCCAGTCCCAGGATGATCAGTTATTAGTCCTGCCCTAGATTGACCCAAACCATCAGATGACTCAGCCCCATACTGACCGTAACTGCCAGGTGAAGCCACCCCAGACACAACAGCATTTCCTGAAGAAGCATCTGAAGGTTGACCACTGCCTGAGAAGCTCATATCACCCACACCTGTATGGCCAGATTGGGTCATCCACTTGTGGTCAGAGTAGCCAAGGCTCTTTATAACCTTCTGACTTAATTGTCCAGGGGTAGTCATTCCTTTGTGACCTAAGGATCCTTGACTGATCACAGCACTTTTGTCAGTAGAGCCTGGACCGCCCATCTCACTCTGACCAAGTTTACCCATAGTGTCTTGATTGGTCACATGGATTCTCACAGATGGAGTAGGGGCAGAAGCAGCCATTCTCACTGGGGGTGTGGGCAGCAGAGTGGGCATCTGGAACATACTGGATTTCCCAGGCTTGATGCTGTACTCAGTGGCATCTTCGGCATGAGGGGAACTCAGATAAATGTATTCCTGGTCATTCTCAAGGTGGTTTGGCTCAGAGAGGTGAGCAGCAACTCTTGTAGTTGGGGAACCACTGTTGGCCCCAGCCTGATGGTTATTCCCACTGAGAAGGCCTGTGCCAAGAACACCACCATTGCCGAGCACCTGGCCATTCTTGAGAAGTCCTGTACCCAAGAGACCACTGCTGCCCAGGAGACCTCCATTTCTACTACCTGTTGGGACAGAGACACATAGGTGAACTCAAGGCTACACACTCCCATTAGGAACATAGGAGTAAGGAGCTCAACCCAGAACCAGCTCTGTGACCACATTCAGGAATCAGGATAAGAATTCTGTTGTGGGGTGGGGGGAGGGGGGAGGCATAGCATCGGGAGATATACCTAATGCTAGATGACGAGTTAGTGGGTGCAGCGCACCAGCATGGCACATGTATACATATGTAACTAACCTGCACAATGTGCACATGTACCCTAAAACTTAAAGCATAATAAAAAAAAAGAAAAAAAAAGAAAATCAGCACTATCAAAAAAAAAAGAATTACCCTTGCAAATTTAGAACTGAGTCTCAATCTTGCACTAGATTTTCTTGAGCACTTGACCCAGGAGGCAATGAAAAGTCAGATACATGGTGGTGACCACACTTGGGCCATCTATGGTGGAATGGATAAACAATAAAGAGAAAACAATGATATAGTTATGCTCAGAGAATCAAAAAGAAGCATCGTGGCTGCTTTAGTTGTTGTTAGTTTCCCAGATCTTGTTTTTAATGCCCTGGGAGGTCCAGGGGATGTATAAACTTTGATATCAGAGAGATAACCCTACTTCCCTTTTCACAATTTTTTTTTTACTGTTTTCTTTTTTGTCAGAAAAGTTTCTGCTCCTTGCAACCAAACCAATAACTAAGACAGAAACTGGTACCAGGAGTTGGGTTACAGATAAGAAATTTTCAGAGAAAACATGGGTCAGGCTGTGGACTCGAAGCATATGGGTGATTTTTTTTACGAGCTCTTTATTGTAAAATTGGAAGCTATAAATCTGTGATATGTGGTCCCAAAGCAACTGGTCAAGCTCCTTTCTGCAATCTCATGGGACTCAGATCATCAGTGATTAAGGCTAGAAAGATTTACCTGGGAACTAAGTGTAAGAATGGAATACTATGATTAAGACAGCAGAGAGTGCATGTGGTTTGTGTTAATATAATACATAATCTAGACACCAAGAGGTGATCTAAAGGAGATTAGGAACCTCTGAGTTGCCTCCAGTTGCCTCTTGTGACACTTGCAAATCTAAGCTCTTCTAATGAATCAGATTTGATGACAGATGACTGTTTGTCCAATGGAGGTAAACTTGCTTCTTTTGGAATCTCCTTGGAAGGAGCTTCCAGGAAAGATGGGATGGCTTACCTGTTTGGGACCTGGAACCTCCCAACTGAGCATGGCTTATGCTAAGCAGGTACCAAGGGAGGAGGAAAGTCCACAAAAACATCCCCATGTTCAGAGCAGGTGCCTGCGGAGACAACAGTTGGTCAACAGGTCACCACTGATCTGGGATCCATTCTTACTGTTGCCAGGTAGGATATGTGTACCCATTCTGGATGAAATGTTCCATTATTAGGAGAAGCAGGAATTTTTTTTATTATTCTAATGCAAACACCTGTAAAATGTCAGTTTCTTTTTGGCCATGTCCTTGTTTTGTTGACTTCTGTATTCCCAGCCTCTGAAAAGGGGCCTGAATCATAGCACACAGTCAACAACAACTTGTCAAGAGGAGGCATTAAAGCTCTTGGTTTTAAAACACTATAAACTAATTCAAAATTGTAAAATTGTTTAAATACACTTTGTCTCTCTCGTGTGCACACACACACCCGCACACATCCCTGGGACTGCCAGTTTGAGAGCTCAAGCAAACCCAGGCCTAGGACTGAGTGAGATGGGTGGAGGAGGAAGGTGGGCCCAGCATGCTTGGGATTGGAGAACAGCAAGCTAGGGCAGATCTTGCCCATGTGGGGCATAAGGAGGGCAGACATGGAACGGGAAAATCTGAGCTCTCGCTTGAAGGATGCTGATGAAGCTCTGAATGTGTGGCCCTCATGCAGGGCGGTGACACATGCTAGAAAGAAAGGGTCCAGGCCTCAGGTTGCTGAGGGATGGAGGCTCCAGCAGGATCCCCTCAGGCCACCCTGCAGACGGAGTGGGGAGCCTTGGGCACAGCCAACGCACAGGCCAGGGGGAATTGTTTGCTGCCAGAGTGCACCCCAGCAGGGAGGGCAAGAGAGAGGAGAAGCCTGGGTTCCTGAACCAGATTTTTCCATTTTTTTTCTAATTTTTCATTAAAAATAGATGTAGGAGTTATCTGTGCAGTTTATTATATGGATATATTGCACATAACAAATGGTGCAATGGACCAGGTGTGGTGGCTCACGCCTGTAATCCCAGCACTTTGGGATGCCGAGGCAGGTGGATCACCTGAGGACAAGAGTTCGAGACAAATGGTGCAATGGTGCAGTTTAGGCTTCCAATGTACCCATCACCCTAATAGTGAACATTGTACCCAATAGGTAATTTTCCCCCCTCACTCCCCTTCCCCATTCCCCCCTTTTGGAGTCCTCAGTGTCTATTATTTCCCTCTCTATGCCCTTTTGTACCCATTCTGAACCGGGTTTAGTGTGATGTAGAAAAACAGATAAATTTGCTAGAAAGCTGACACAGGCAACAACATAGGGGGATCTCACAGACATGACATTGAACAAAAGAAGCCAGCTACAGAATCGCTCACACTGTATGGCTCTTTCTGTGAATTTCAGGAGCAGACAGTACTTGCCCACAGAGATAGAGGTCAGAAGAGGGGTCACCTCTGGGGGCAGGTACTGACTGCAGTGGGGCAAAAAGGGGCTCTTTCTGGGTATTGGGAAAGTCCTGTCCCTTGATCTGGGTGGTGGTTGCAAGGGTGCACACATAAGCAAAAACCTGTCTTTCTTACTGCATCTTTTACTGTATACAACTGAAACCTCCATTTAAAACACGTGGAATAGGCTGGGCAGGGTGGCTCACGCCTCTAATCCCAGCACTTTGGGAGGCCGAGGTGGGCAGATCACCTGAGGTTAGGAGTTCGAGACCAGGCTGGCCAACATATGGTGAAACCTCGTTTCTACTAAAAATGCAAAAATTAGCTGGGTGTGGTGGCACACATCTGTAGTCCCAGCTACTTGGGAAGCTGAGGCAGGAGAATGGCTTGAACCCAGGAGGCGGAGGTTGCCGTGAGCCGAGATGGCAACACTGCACTCCAGCCTGGGTGACAGAGCAAGACTCTGTCTCTCAAACAAACAAACAAACAAACAAACAAAAACATGGAATAAAGAAAAAAAGAAAGACTACAGTGGGAAGGAGGACACTCCTTGCCCCTTAAGGGCTGGGAGGTCGTATCAATTACCTTGATGACCCCGTCATGGTTTTTACACCATGTTTCATTGGCTTGAAGACATATCTTTTTCTCATTTTACTCTCTTGGAAATCAGAATGCATCTTACCATCAACGTGTTTAGGTAACAGTGTGTTTTTTTTCTTGCTAGTACATAGAAAAGAGTGGCGTGTTTTACAGCCAATGGCATTCTTTCCATGTCTGCTCTAGAACCCTACAGACAAAGTAGGCGGAAATTCTCTCTTCTCAGAAATTGGACAGAGAAATGGAACGACAACAACTATTGTTTGCAAACACTCAACTTACCCATCACCCCCGTGAATGGCTCCTCACGCGGCTTCCCCCCTGCAGAGTATGGGCATGAACTCGTTTCTGGAAGTGAGGGTGCTCCCTTCTCACCTGGGACCTGTGCACACAAAGCAGTTGTGCAAAGCAGGGACCCTGTTCTCTTCGGGGCTAATGGGGGAGCCCATAGAGTGATGACGACAACATTTTCTAAGCGCCAGGCCCTGTACACAGCACTCCTGCACCATCTCTTTGAGTCCTTATGTCCCTGCCCCCAGGTAGGAGCTTTTCTTAGTCATGTTAGACAGATTACAATTTTCTGCCGCTGATGAAATTATTATTATTATTATTTTGGAGATGGAGTCTCACACTGTTTTCTGGGCTGGAGTGCAGTGGAACAATCTCAGTTCACTGCAATCTCCACCTCCCAGATTCAAGCAATTCTCCTGCCTCAGCCTCCGGAGTATCTAGGACTACAGTCGCCCACCACCACACCCGTCCAATCTATGTTTTTAGTAGACACAGAGTTTCACCATGTTGTCCAGGCCGGTCTCGAACTCCTGACCTCAGGTGATCTGTCTGCCTCAGCCTCCCAGAGCGCTGGGATTACAGGCGTGAGTCACTGTGCCTAGCTGGAATAATTATTTTTGATTATCAGAGCAAGAAATTTTGTCCCCAAAATTAACGGCATTGTCTTAAAAAGGACCACAGACGAGCAAAATAAACACAAAACATCCATGAGCTGACATGGTTTGGGTCCCTGGCTGAGTGGGCTTTGGTTCTCCCTCAGGTCGGGCATCGGCTGTTTGACAGACATAATATACAAAAGACCGAGGGTGCCCATTTTGCAGATCTGGAAATTGAGGCCCTTGGGTTCCCTGGCAGGTCAGTGACAAAGCCAGGACTGGGACCCAGGGCTCCAACTCTTTCCTCCTCATCACCTGCGCATTCCCCAGGGCTCTGAGAGCAGGGAGGGCAGGGTCCTTACCTAGGATGTGGTTCCGGCCACCCAAGACCGGTGGGACTCCTGCATCTGCCTCCGGAGTAAGATCCAGGAGCAGAGGGAAGCTTAAGTTGCAGGTAGGCAGGCCAAGTGGGGGCCGGGGCCAGGGGTGGGCAGAGGCTTGAGAGGCCTGAGCAGGGCTCCTGGAGCACCAGTCACTCTGGCTGACACCAGGACGGAGGTGGGGAGGGCATCCAGGGCCCTGCCCTGGAACCCTGAGGGGAATGAGGCCATAAGTCATCTGGGCTGGCAACTTTGGGAGGAGTGTGACTTCCTGAAGCCACTGCGAGTCCATGTATGTTCTGGTGTGTGTCTGTGTCTGTGTGTGCTTTTGTGCAGGTGCCTGTGTGTGTCTGTGTGGACTGCATCTGTGCATGTAACTGTATGTGGCTTTGTGTGTGTGTACGTGTGTGCACTTGTCTGTATGTCTCTTGGGGGGCGGGTCTCTGTTCTGAGTGAATATCCACAATGCATGGGGAAGAGCCCACCCCTTTCCGCTGATTGCTCAAGCTGTCCTAAGCCCGGGGAAGCCAGCTCCGGACTCCAAGGCAGCTCCCTGGGGAGTCTCTCCGTGTTCTTGGAGAGAATCACTGTCTGGGGGAGCCCGCTGCCCTCCTGTGAGGGTCTCATCGTTCCTCAGAGAAATCTCAAAATTCCCATGAGAATGCACACATTCCTGAGAGGACAGCCCAAATTCCTGAGGAATGCCAGCCTTTCTTTATGAAATGTCCCTATTTCCAAAAGACCTTTTACTTGTTTCTGAAGGAATTCTAATGACGCTTCAGTGTTTCCTCAGAGCTATCATTGTCCATAAGAATGTCAATGTCTCTGAAGATACTGTACAAATCCTGCAGGAATTCTAGGGAATTGGCAATGTTCCCAAGGGATCCCGGTTTTCCTGAGGGAATCCTGGTGCTGGCTGACAGAAGTGTCACCATTTCTCTGGAAATGCCAGTCATTGCACTGGAATTCTCCCTCCCCACCAGGGGCACCCAGGGCCCTCGGAACATCCCAGGCCAGATCTGGAATCTGCACCGGGGCTTCAGGGCAGGTCTCAGCTCTGCCATTGGCCAGTCGTGGGACTGACTCTTCTCTGTCTCAGGTTCCCCCTTGGTGCTGGCCTTAGCACCTGCTCCCTGAGGGACAAGGAGAGCAACTTGCAACCTGTGAAGGGTGGTACCCATTGAAGGGGCTGTTGGTCTTTCTGTCACCATTCACAACCTCAGTGTGACTCTTCCTGAAACCCTCTTGGGGGTTTGAGGAACGTCAGAGCAGGAGGAGGCTGCAGCCCAGAGAGGCCGAGCCATGTCACACAGCACTGACCCCAGTGGGCCTCTCCTGATCCCTCCTGCCATCCCTCTCAGGTACCCTGGCTCTACCCAGTGCCCTCTGAGTGTCACTGGTATGGGAATGGGAGTCAGCCACAAGGTGGCTGGGGCACTGCCTGGGGCTGGCTGGCTGGCCTCCTGTCTGTCTGCAGCCTTTTCACCTGTTTCACACTTTACTCAGCAGGAGAAAGAAAAACGGCCCCACCAGGGTGGGGTGATGGCAGGCTTGAGGGACAGGACAGCAGGGCCAGGCTGAGTCGGGGAGAGAGTGCTCACGGCCAAGGAGCCAGGGCCTCCCATGCTTGAAGCTTGGTTTGCACCATCAGAAAAGCAGGCATCTGGGGGCTGGAGAGCTCCCTGTGGGAGGCCTGGCCAGAGGGTGGTCTGCTGGGGATGGGGCAGACCAGCCTGGCCAGCGCCTCCACCTCCAGGGAGCTCTTCCCTGGAGTTTGATGCAGAGTCCTGGTGGATGCTCCATTTCTCTGGCTGTTCATAGCCTTCTGTGATTTATGCCAGGCATATTTCTACAGCCTTTGGAGGAAACACCATACTTGATGGTCAGAGCAACCTCTATGTTTTGTTCAGAATTCCTTAAAACCATGTGCCCCTCACACCATCTTTATTGAAGCAGGACAGACATACATAAAGGGCCCATACCATAGGCAGAGGGCTGTAGGGATTTGTACAAAGTGAAACTTCCCAGGGGTTAGGGACTAATCTGTGTCCCCAACCAGCACCCCAAATTTATATGTTGAAGTCCTAACCCCCCGTATCTCAGAATGTGACTGTATTCAGAGATAGTGTCTTTAACGAGGTAATTAATCCATTTAAAATGAGCTCATGAGGTGGGGCCTAGTCCAGTATGACTGGTGTCTTTATAAGAAGAGATGAGGACACAGACACACACAGAGGCAAGGCCATGGGAAGATGGAGCAAGGAGACGGCCATCTGCAAGCCAGTGAGAGAGGCCTTGGAATGAAACGGACCCTGCCAATACCTTGAGCCTGGATTTTGAGCCTTCCAGACGATGAGAAAAATAAACACCTGTTGTTTAAGCCACCCAGTCTGGGGTACTTTGTTATCGCAGCCTGAGCAGGCTAACATGCCACCCAACCAGCATCCAAGCAAAACATATGGCATCGTCCACATCCCCAGAGCCCCACTTAGGCCCCTCCCAGTCTCTAACTTGCCCCCAAAGGGAACTCCAGTACCATTCTCATGTCTCACACTGCAGATTCATTTGGCTGGGTTTTGAATGTTACGTAAATGGAATCGTGCAGAACGTGCCTTTTTGTGCCTGGTTCTTTCACTCAACATCACAGTTGTGTGATTAATCCATGTGGTTGTGTGCAGGCCTTGTTTGTTCATTTTAAATGCCTGAGTGTGCTCCATTGTGTAAGTTACCGCAATGTCGTTTTTCCGTCTACTGTTGATGGGTGTTTGGGCAGTTTCCAGTTTGGGGCTTACGTACAATGCTGCTGCAAAGCTTCTGGTGCCTTTTGGTGAACATGTGTGCTTATTGCTGTTGGGTGTGTACCCAGGAGTGGAATGGCTGGATCCTGCGGTTTGTGAGTATTCAGTTCCAGTAGACACTGCCAAGCAGATTTCCACATACACCATCTGATACTCTCACCAGCAATGAAGGCAAGTTCTGATCGCCAGCACTTGGCATTTCCCATTTTACACTTTAGCCATTCTGGTGGTATCACATGACCCTCACCCGTTTGCAAGTTGACGTCTCAAATTTTCAGCATGAGTTGAAGTAGTTGTCAATTTTATTTTCAGGGGATTGCAAATACTGACATTTAAAAGGAATACATTTATATTTCTTTATGTGCATTTATACATGTATCCAATGGACTACAAATTCCACAGTGGTTTGATTTCCACCTTCGTCCATTTACAAACATGTGAACTGGCCGGGCGCGGCAGCTCATGCCTGTAATCCCAGCACTTTGGGAGGCTGAGGTGGGCAGATCACCCAAGGTCAGGAGTTCTAGACCAGCCTGGCCAACATGGTGAAACCCCATCTCTACTAAAAATACAAAAAAATTAGCCGGGTGTGGTGGTGCATGCCTGTAGTCCCAGCTACTTGTGAGGCTGAGGCAGCAGAATCACTTGAACCTGGGAGGCAGAGGTTGCAGTGAGCCAAGATCATGCCACTGCACTCCAGTCTGGGTGACAGATTGAGACTCCATCTCAAAAAAGAAAAAAACCACAAAAAAGAAAAAACAACAACAAAAACGTGAACAAATTCTTTAACAGTCAGAAATTTTGTGGCATTCTTTTTTCTCCTTGAATTTGTATTTGCATTGCACAAAAAGCACTGTCCCCACAGAGTTTTAGTCTAATGTAATAGATATTTATGCTTGAAAGTCCGATGTTGATTAAACTCATTCATCCATTCCTTCATTTGCTCATTCCTCCATTCATCTAAATACAGTGTATTGAACGTCTGCTACAAGCCAGGCTCTGTACTGGGGTCACCAGGTGAGCAAAACAGACAAAAGCTCCTGTTCTCATATAACTGACATTTTAGTTGATATATAAACAAAGCAAATAAGTATAACAGTGATTGGTGGAGTGAGGGGGAGGCAGGCAGGGCAGAAGGAGAAAAGAGTTGAGGGGAAGGAGGAGAAATTTTAGATACAGAGGTCAGAGAAACCTTCCCTGAGAAGGTGACTTAGAGTGAAGACTGCAGAGGGTGAGAGAGGCAGCCATAATACTATTGAAGGTTGACCAGTCCAGGCAGAGGGACAGTACATGCAGAGGCCCTGGGGTGGGGAAGGTGCTGGTGCATTACAGGAATAGTTAGGAGGCCAGCAAAGCTGGTGTGAAGCTCGCAAATGGAAAAAACAGAGAATGAAGTTGGACAGGGAAGGAGAGAGGTAGACTCTTCTGCATCAGAAATATCTATCTTTGTTGGTGTGGATGCGGTGAACAGGAAACACTTCTACACTGCTGGTGGGAATGTAAACTAGTACAACCACTATGGAAAACAGCATAGAGATTCCTTAAAGAACTAACAGTTGAACTACCATTTGATCCAGCAATCCCACTACTGGGTTTCTACCCAGAGGAAGAGAAGTCATTATGTGTAAAGATACTTGCACATGCACGTTTATAGCAGCACAATTCACAATTGCAAAAAATGTGGAACCAACCCAAATGCCCATCAATCAATGAGTGAATAAAGAAACTGTGGTGTGTATATATATACGATGGAATACTACTCAGCACCTTCATCCATTTAAAAACATGTGAACTGGCCGGGCATATTCATTCCTTCAGAAAGGAATGAATTAATAGCATTCGAAGCAACCTAGATGGGATTGGAGATTATTATTCTAAGTAAAGTTACTCAGGAATGGAAAAACCAAACATTGTATGTTCTCACTTATAAGTGGGAGCTAAACTATGAGGATGCAAAGGCATAAGAATGACTTTGGCGGCCAGGTGCAGTGGCTCATGCCTGTAATCCCAGCACTTTGGGAGGCCGAGGCGGGTGGATCATGAGGTCAGGAGATCGAGACCATCCTGGCCAACATCGTGAAACCCCATCTCTACTAAAAATACAAAAATTAGCCAGGTGTTAGAGGCGCTTGCCTGTAGTCCCAGCTACTCGGGAGGCTGTAGCAGGAGAATTGCTTGAACCTGGGAGGCGGAGGCTGCAGTGAGCCAAGATTGTGCCACTGCACTCCACCCTGGGCAACAGAGCAAAAAAAAAAGAATGACTTTGGCAATTCAGGGGGAAAGGGTGGGAAGGGGGTGAGGGATAAAAGACTACAAATCGGATCCAATGTATACTGCTTGGGTGATGGGTGCACCAAAATCTCACAAATCACCACTAAAGAACTTACTCTTGTAACTAAATACCATTCCCCCAAAACCTATGGAAATATAAAAATTTGTTAAAAAGTAAACATTAAAAAAATATGTATCTTGATTAAATTTTTTTCAAATCTCCTTTGACCAGTGGACACTATGTATTTAAAATAATCTTTTAGATTGTTACTATTAATAGTGATATACAATTTATCAAAACAAATTTTGATAATAATTAAACACAAAGTAATATTGATTTGGAAATGGATGTGTTAATGACATGGATTGGGCTTTTTTCCAATTAGTTCTTTTAACAGATTTATAATTTGCTTATTGCTAGAAGGAGGCAGTGTTTAGCACTCATCAGAGACCTAATTTTCATTTTTAGAGACCTAAGCGCTCTTAAAAAACATCCGCTTATTTGTTTAGCAAATACAGGTCAGCAGATAAGAATGAACAGAGTTTTGGTAAAACAGTGTTGCTCAATTCTTTGAACTGCTTTCAATGTAAATGCCAAAAATCATGTGATGATGTTTTATCAAAAATGGTTTTGCAACAATTCCAGCAGATTAATACCACCACCAGCAGCAACACTCCTCTTTTGTTGAAAGCTAATTGAAAACCACCTGGCTTGCTTCCTGGCCACTGGAGCATCACTCTGTCCCTTTGTTCAGAGCCCTGGAGGTTGAGCCCCCCAGGCAATGCACTTGAGTAGGGGTTGGGGACAAAGAGAGAAATGCTAAGAAGCAGAAAGATTCAGTGGCAGCTCCTATCTGTAATCCCAGCACTAGGTGGGAGGATCGCTTAAGGCCAGGGGTGGGCAGGCTGCCTGGACAACACAGTGAGACCCCATCTCTACAAAAAATATGTTAGCTGGATGTAGTGGCTCATGCCTGTAATCACAGCTATTCAGGAGGCTGAGGTGGGAGGATTGCTGGAGCCCAGGAGTTCAAGTCTGCAGTGAATTATGATCACACCACTGCACTCCAGCCCAAGTGTCAGAGCGAGTTCCTGTATTTAAATTAATTAATTTATTTATTTATTTTTGAGACAAGGTCTCACTCTGTCACCCAGGCTGGTGTCCAGTGGCGTGATCTCAGCTCACTGTGGCCTTGACTTCCCGGTCTCCAGCGATCCTCCCACCTCAGCCTCTTGAGTAGCTGGTACCACAGGTGCGCACCACCAATGCCCAGCTAATTTTTGTATTTTTGGTAGAGATGGGGTTTCGCCATGTTGCCCAGGCTGGTCTCGAACTCCTGAGCTCAAGTGATCTGCCCACCTTGGCCTCCCAAAATGTTCGATTATCCCTGTACTTAAAAGAAAAAAACAGGAGAAAGAATGTGGAAAAAAAGATGGGAAAGGAGAAGCCACCCTTAAAAGGAAGATTCTTGGAAAAGAGAACACAGGAATGATGACACTGCAGAAATGGATTCATTTAAATAATCCTACATTCAAATCTGTGGACAGTTTTCTTGTATCCCTGCTCCAATCCACTGGATTAAAGATGGTCGAGGCATCTGTGGGCACTGGGTTTAAATCCTGAGTCTTCCATTTATGAGCAGTATGCTCTTGAAGTGGTCAGCTAACTTGACTAAACCTCAATTTCTCATCTGTAAAATGAGGACAAGAAAAAGTAAAGAAATAGGGAAATATAGGGCTTGGCCACGTGGCACCTGGCACATGGCAAGTGCTCGGAACATCTGAGCTGCGACTGTGACCATCCGAGCTGTGACTGTGACCATCCTGTCCATCTTCCTTTAGTAGAGAGCTATCACCATGGTTGCCGTGTTATCCTCATTAAGTAGGGGCAGTCTTGGAGGTGAAAGGGTCTGCAGGGCAGGGCTTCCAAGCCCCACAGCAGCTCCACCTGTTTTTCTATCAGGGAGCCCAGAAACCCCCATCTGAAGCCACGGCCATGCTGTGTCTTATATCAGGTAAATTGCAGCAGGGATACAAGAAAACTCTCCATAGGTTTGAGTATAGGATTATTCAAGTGTCAGTTTCAATGCTGATAGTGCAATGTGGACTGACTCCTAACCTCACCCCCACCTCCTCTGGCCACTTTCCAGGACCACACCTATGGCTGGATTTAAATTTCCCCCCATAATCTCTGTGGCTTAGGTTAGGATCTGGCGCTCTGATGTCAGGACAACCTGCATTTGAAACCGAACTTTGCTCATCATGCACCAGGTGACCTCAAGTGCCCTCTCTGGCCTCAATTCCCCTCTCTGGGCCTCAATTCCCTCACATGTAAAGTAGAGATAATGGTTGTTCCTGCTTTGAGGAGCCGTTGTGATGGCTGAATGAGTGCATGCCAGGAGCTTATCACTAAGCTGGGCACCGAGTAGACTCGATCCATTGTTGCTGTAATGATCAGAGGAAAGAGCCCTGCAGGCGAGATCAGGAGGCCTGAATCACCATCCCAACACTGCCTTTCCTCACCAGATCACCTTCCCATGCTTCAGTTCCCCCACTTGTGAAATGGGAATTCGAATCTCTGCTTTCTCTCTCAGTTCCCAGATGAGGGTCAAGTGAGATTGCAACCACAACATGCTTTATAACCCTCCTGTGGGGTAGGGCACTGCCCAAGTGTGCGGAGGAGCATGGGAACCTGCTCCTGGACCCCTGGCAGTACACTGGAGAAATAATAGACCCCCAGGGGTTAGTGGATGGAGGTTGGCGGGGGAATCACAGACTTGGCAAAGATTTCCAGGTCCACACTTGGCCCACAAAATAGTAGAGCTGCCTAAATTTGGATGACAATAGGGAAGGGAGGCTGTCCACATAACCACATAACCTGGCATATAGTAGTTGCTCAATTAATGCTCACTGGATGAAGGATCAGATGCTCAGATCTGTGACTCATGACAGGGCAGATCTGGGCAAAGACAGGACCTGGGAGTCTTTTCGGGTCCAGAAACTAGGAAAGAAGGTCCAGAACCAGAACAGTGACGACAAAAGGGTCCCAGCAACTTGAAGTGGAGAGGGCTGTGGCAAGACTGGGTGAGGACAAGAGCAGGTGGAGGAGGACTGATAGGGCCATGGCAGTGTGGCCTGAGAGACTGGGAGGGAGGTGTGGAATCCCCCAGGGGGCAGATATATGGCATCTGGTGAGGCCAACAGGTGAGATGTCAGCATTCAGGTGGGGCGGGGAGGGAGGCAGGTCTGGAGTCAGCTCAGGGCTCAGAACAAGTGTTCCTTAGAGCTGAGCCCCTGTGGCTCCCTTTGGGCAAATGCCCGGCTTGTTTTTATCAAACCTGGGCCATGCCAGCTTCTGTATTCGTCCTTTTCCGAGTCACCTTTTGCCTGGAAAGTGGCTGGGCTGGGAGTTGACAGCTGAGCTGTCACACTTGGCTCATACCTTGAGCAGGGGAGGGAGACACTCTTGGGGCTTGAGGGATCCCGTGGAACACCATCACATGTAAGTCACGGTCACCTGGACTTAGAGGTGGGCATCAAATACCTGGTTCTACAATCAACTCCATCACCTGCTTGCTGTGTGCCCCTTGCCCTCTCCAAGCCTTAGTTTCCCTGACTGCCTAAAGGCAAGAGTCGACTAAAGCAATGTTTCTCCAAGTGTCCCCCAATCCAGCTGCATCAGACCCACCCATGCAGCTTATTAAATTTGGATTCCAGTTCTCCATCCTGGAACTACTGAGACAGAAGCTCTGGGGAGTGTGGGCCTGGGGATCTGCAATTTTTTTACCTGCTGCCCTGGGGCTTCTATGATGAAGTGAGAGAAACTTTGATGAGGGCTCAGAGGCTGGGTCCTGACCCTGCCGTACTACTCCTGGTAAGTGGCCCTTTGATGTCCTGGGCCTCAGTTTCCACGAAAAATTAAAGGTCTTATGGGGGGAAGCAGGAGAGGACTTGCATTTCTTGAGCTCCATGCTGGGGACTTTTAGGCTGATGGTGTCAGTGAACCACAGACACTCACTCTGCTCCAGAATCATGTGCAAAACAGAAAGTTTAATCATTTGAGAGCAAGCATTGGTGACATTGGCAGGGTGCCTGCATCCAGTTGGAGAACCTCAGGCATGGCAGAAAGAAGGTGGTAGCTGGGGCATGGGATGGGGCTTCATGCCTGAGCTCAGACCTTGGGGCTTGGAAGTGGGGACACCTCAGGGATCCAGGCGGTAGCACTCACTTCACTCAAGGAGGTCTCATGAAATGAAATGCCAATGTCCACTTGATCAGATCCCCTCCCCTGCCCCCAGGGGTCTCCTGTCTTCCTCCAAGGCCCTGACTCCAGCCTTTCTCACTCCAGTCTACTTTGTCCATCTCAGCATATCCAATACCAATGTCAGGTACCTCTCCTCCCCAAGAAACTTCCGTAGCTCCCCACTGCCTGCAAGAGAAAACCCAAACTCTTCAGCCAGCCTTCCAGGCATCAATGCATTCATGATCTGGTACCAATTTACTATACCCATCTCCTGCTGCTCACATGTTCTCATGAGACTAGTCCTTTTTCTTTTCTCCAAACCCTCTTGTTTTTCCTTCTTGTTTTTCTGTGCCTCTACTCGCTATGGAGCAGTGAAAAAGAGCAGGTTCTAGGGTCATACTTGGGGCCATGTCCCAGCTGCTCCACTTGCTTGCTGGATGGACCTGAGCTGGTCGCTTAAGCTTTCTGAGCCTCACATCCTCATCTGAAATGAGGATAAGACCCCTTATTACCCAGGATGGCTGTGAGAGTTTCACAAAATAATCAATGGGTGTATTAGTTTATTTTCATGCTGCTGATAAAGACATACCCGAGACTGGCAAGAAAAAGAGGTTTAATTGGACTTACAGTTCCACATGCTTGGAGAGACCTCAGAATCATGGTAGAAGGGGAAAGGCACTTCTTACATGGTGGTGGCAAGAAAGAATGCGGAAGAAGCAAAAGCGGAAACCCTTGATAAACCTATCAGACCTCATGAGACTTATTCACTATCATGAGAACAACACGGGAAAGACCAGCCTCCATGATTCAATTACCTCTCCCTGGGTCCCTCCCACAACATGTAGGAATTCTGGAAGATACAATTCACGTTGAGATTATGGTGGGGACACAGCCAAACCATATCATTCAGCCCCTGGCCTCTCCAAATCTCATGTCCTCACATTTCAAAACCAACCATGCCATCCCAACAATCTCCCAAAATCTTAACTCTTTTCAGCATTAACCCAAAAGTTCACAGTCCAAAGTTTCATCTGAGACAAGGCAAGTCCCTTCTGCCTATGAGCCTGTAAAATCAAAAGCAAGCTAGTTACTTCCTAGATACAATAGGGGTACAGGCATTGGGTGAATACAGCCATTCCAAATGGGAGAAGTTGGCCAAAACAAAGGGGTTACATGGTCCATGCAGGTCTGAAATCTAGTGGGGAAGTCAAATTTCAAAGCTCCAAAATGATCTCCTTTGACTCCATGTCTCACATCCAGGTCACACTGATGGAAGAAGTGGGTTCCCACGGTCTTGGGCAGCTCCACCTCTGTGGCTTTGCAGGGTACAGCCTCCCTCCAAGCTGCTTTCATGAGCTGGCATTGAGTGTCTGTGGCTTTTCCAGGTGCATGATGCAAGCTGTCAGTGGAACTACCATTCTGGGGTCTGAAGGACGGTGGCCCTCTTCTCACAGCATCACTAGGCAGTGCCACAGTAGGGACTCTGTGTGGGGGCTCTGACCCCACATTTCCCTTCTGCACTGCCCTAGTGAGGTTCTCTATGAGGGCACCACCCCTACAGCAAACTTTTGTCTGAGCATCCAGGCGTTTCCATACATCTTCTGAAATCTAGGTGGAGGTTCCCAAACCTTAATTCTTGACTTCTGTGCACCTGCAGGCTCAACACCATGTGGAAGCTGCCAAGGCTTGGGCTTCCACCCTCTGAAGCCACAGCCCAAGCTGTATGTTGGCCCCTTTCAGCCACAGCTGGAGTGGCTGGGATGCAAGGCCCCAAGTCCCCAGGCTGCACACAGCACAGGGACCCTGGGCCCAGCCCACAAAACCATTTTTTCCTCCTGAGACCCTGGGCCTGTGATGGGAGGGGCTGCCATGAAGGTCTCTGACATGGCCTGGAGACATTTTCCCCATGGCCTTGGGGATTAACATTAGGCTCCTTGCTACTTATACAAATTTCTGCAACCAGCTTGAATTTCTCCCCAGAAAATGGATTTTTCTTTTCTATCACATAATCAGGCTGCAAATTTTCCAAACTTTTATGCTCTGCTTCCCTTATAAATCTGAATGCCTTTAACAGTACCCAAGTCACCTCTTGAATGCTTTGCTTCTTAGAAATTTCTTCCTCCAGATAACCCTAAACCATCTTTCTCAAGTTCAAAGTTCCACAAATCTCTGAGGGCAGGGGCAAAATACTGCCAGTCTCTGCTAAAACATAACAACAGTTACCTTTACTTCAATTCCCAACAAGTTCCTCAGCTCCATCTGAGACCACCTTAGCCTGGACCTTATTGTCCACATTACTATCAGCATTTTGGGCAAAGCCATTCAACAAGTCTCTAGGAATTTCCACTTTCCCACATTTTCCTGTCTTCTTCTGAGCCCTCCAAACTGTTGCAGGCTCTGCCTATGACCCAGTTGCAAAGTCGCTTCCACATTTTCGGATACCTTTTCAGCAACACACCACTCTACAGGTACCAATTTACTGTATTAGTCTGTTTTCACACTGCTGATACAGACATACTTGAGACTGGGAAGAAAAAGAAGTTTAATTGAACTTACAGGTCCACATGGTTAGGGAGGCCTCAGAATCATGGCAGAAGGTGAAAGGTACTGCTTACATGGCGGTGGCAAGAGAGAATGAGGAAGAAGCAAAAGTGGAAACCCCTGATACACCCATCAGATCTCGTGGGACTTATTCACTATTACGAGAATAGCACAGGAAAGACCAGCCCCCATGATTCAATTACCTCCCTTTGGGTTCCTTCCACAACATGTGAGAATTCTGGGAGATACAATTCAAGTTGAAATTGTGGTGGGGACACAGCGAAACCGTATCAATGGGCAATGCCTGGCACTGCTCTTGCACTTGCTAGGCATTTAATAAACACTAGCTCCTTCCCATTTACCCTCCTCTCTGTCACACCTGACCTGTGTCCGTGAATTTACACTCAAGAGGTCACTTCACCTAATCCAAAAACTAACCCACTAACACCAAAAGGCACAAGGATTTTCTCACCCAAAGAGCCCCTAGGTTGAGCTGTGGGTGCTGCCTTGTCCAAGACTCCCAAGTCACTGGGAGAGGATCCTGGCTGGGAGCACAGGGCAGGAGAAGAGGCCTTGGGAAGTCTTTACTCAAAGAGGCTCTCTTGAGCTGGGGCCGCACTGACACTAGTGAGGGCTACACTGAAGGGAAGGCCTCAGGCGCAGTGCCTGGCTGCAATTCCCAGAGAGAATAACTGGGTTGTTTTGGTGCCCTTTGGGAATTTCTTTTTTATTTAAAAAAATCAATTTCTGTGGTAATTTTTTAAAGAAGGTACAAATTCGCTAGAAGAAAAAAAGAAATCAATGTCACCCTCTGAGATAACCACCACAAGAATGATGGTGTATCTTCTTTCAGAAGCTTTTCTGTGCACATACAGGTAAAGTTGGGTAAAATTTTCCCTAAATAAAAATGGGATTATGCCCTGCACAGTGTTTTTATAAGCTCTTTTTTCATGTAGCAATGTATTACAAATACGTTTCTGTGTCTTTTGTTAACAGTGATAGAGTACTCCACCGCATATATTGAACATAATTATTTTAACTATCCTCCTCCTGTTGGTCATTAGTTGTTCCTCATGTTTACAAACCACTCTGGGATTGACACCTGGGCCTTCAACTTTGCTCACCTGCTTCACTACCAACTGGAGAACCTGTGGTGAATTAAAGATGATCACATATTCTTTGCCACTCATTCCATTGCTGGGTGGAGTCCACTTCCTGTCTCCTTGAATCTGGGCTGACTCATGGGCTATTTTGACAAAAATAATAGTAGAATTGACACTGTATAACTTCCAAGGCTAGGCCTTAAGAAATCTGTAGCTTTCACCTTCGCCATTCTGGAATGTCTTTGTTTTGAACCCAGCCACCATAATAGGAGGAAACTCAAGCAGTTATGTGGAGGAGAACAGAGGCTCCCTAGCCAAGAGTCCCAGCTGAGCTCCTAAACAGTGGCTGACAAAACTACCAGCTGTGTGAGTGAGGTCATTTGGACTGTTCAGCTATCCCAGTGCCCCAGCCAACGCCACACTTAGAACTACCTAGTTAATCCACAGAAGCATGAAAAATAATAAAGTGTTGGGTTTATTAAGCTACTGAATATCGAGGTGGCTTCTGATGCAGTTGAAATAAGAAACCAAGTATTTCCTGGGAATCACCAGCCTGCTGCTTCTGGGGGATGCTCTTTGTCTTTCTGAACCTCACTTGCCTCATCTGAAAAATAGGAGGACTGGAGTAGCATAGTACTCTTTTTAGTAGTCAACCTGCAAATAAGATTATCAGTGTGGGATTGAAGGTCAGGGTGGTGAAGCTAAGAAGAAACAAAGTGAACCACTTCAGAGATGCTAGGGTCACTGAAAATGAGATATGAATAATACAGGGTGGTTGCAAGAGAACAGAAAATCCCAGGCAGCAGTTTCACATGACTAGTAAAATGAAACTGTTGAAATAGCTGATAAGATGGTGAAAAATGGTGTGCACCAAACTGGCTAAGACCAACTGGACCAAACATGGCACTGGATTTGACCTAGGTTTCACCTAGGCCCTCATTATATGATCATTAACATACTAAATTACACACCCACCAGCACCATGACAGTTCCAGGAACATCCATATTTGGTGTAAAAATGAATGGCACCACAGTTCTGAAATGTCCACTTTTTTTCAGGAATCTTTATGAACATTCCACCCCTTGATTAAAGAAATCCACAAAGGTAGCAGCCTCAAAGCCCCTCGCATGACTCTCTTAAGTGCACCTGCACTCCCCTTTTTTTGAGTGAGTACTTTTCACTTTGCAATAAATCTCCATACTTTCACTATTTTCTGACTCATCCTTGAATTCCTTCTTGCAATGGTGTCAAGAGCCTGGATGCTGGCTGGAGTCAAGGTCCCATTGGCATTTGGGGACCTCCCCCAGCCCACCGGTAACATCAGGGTTGTATGCCATTGTGATAAGACTGATGAAGTGGCCACTTTGTTGAACCTAGAAAGGCTCTCGTGACCACCTTGACTAACTGTGTATAAGCAGAAGTGACACTACGTGACTTCCAAAACCAGATCACAAAAGTACCATGCAGCTTCCATTTTGCTCCCTTGGGATACCAGTACCCAGTACCCAGAGGGGCCATGTGTAGGTGTCACAGCTGACAGCCAACATCAACCAGCCGGCAGGTGAGTGAAGAAGACTCCAAATGATTCCAACCCCCTGCTCTCAAATCACCCCGAGTTGTTTGAGTCTTCCCAGCTGAGGACCCCGGACATCTTGGAGCAGAGATAAGCTGTTCTGACCCACAGAATCTGTGAGGAAGCTAAAATTGTGTTTTGTGCTATTAAGTTTTGAGATGGTTTGTTACTCAGGATTAATAGCAGAAACATCTACTAAGTGAAGTCTTTAGGAGGCTGCTCGAGTTTGTTATTTGTCATCTACAACTGAATTAAGACATTAGCGGAGATACATGGCATATTCTGCCATGAAATCTGCTGCCACACAGGGCTTCCAGGAGCCCACAGCACTTACACACAGACAGCTGGAATCCTGACATTTTAAGGAGCATCTATGATCATCAGTGAAACCTCTGTATCATCCCAAACTGGTGGAGATGCTCAGTGAGGCTTTCCTTGTGTTTAAATTTAAAACAACCGTTCACTTGGTTTTGTCATTGTCAATGCAGGGTGCAGTGATGGCTTGATCCACTGTCATGAGCAAGAATGGATCAGTGTGGTCTGAGCCCTGGACCATCAGGCTGGGTGTTGAGGCCCCTCTCCTGAGTCAGCAGCACTAATCACATCCTGCTTCACTCCTCTTCTCCAGAATTCCAAGCCTTCCTGACCATCCACCGTCATCTGGGCACTCAGCCCCATGCTGCTCTGCCCAAATTCTCATCTGGCCCAATCCAGTCTCTTCCTCCTTCCCTGGTCTCCCAAATCCTTCCATTTTTTCACTTTACAAGAACACATGAGCATGTCATTTGACTTTTGAGAAATCAGACCCAGTGGAAAATGAAATGGGTTATTTTATTTTTTATTTATTTATTTTGAGATGGTGTCTCATACTGTCACCCAGGCTGGAGTAGAGTGGCATGATCTTGGCTCACTGCAACCTTTGCCTCCTGGGTTTAAGCAATTCTCCTGCCTCAGCCTCCCAAGTAGCTGGGATTACAGGGGCATGCCACCATACCTGGCTAATTTTTGTATTTTTTTTTTTTTAGTGAGAAAAATAATAATTTTTATTTAATTCAGAAGTTATCTAAAGTTTAATTCAAAATATGGACTTGAAAAGGTTATTCATGAAACAAAGTAGTAAGGAATCAGTAAGTAGGGGAGAGTGATGTGAAGAAAGTTACAGATATGGGCTGGGCGTGGTGGCTCACGCCTGTAATCCCAGCACTTTGGGAGGCCGAGGGGGGCGGATCACAAGGTCAGGAGATCAAGACCATCCTGGTTAACACGGTGAAACCCCGTCTGTACTAAACATACAAAAAATTAGCCAGGCATGGTGGCGGGTGCCTGGAGTCTCAGCTACTCGGGAGGCTGAGGCAGGAGAACAGCGTGAACCCGGGAGGCGGAGCTTGCAGTGAGCCGAGATGGCGCCACTGCACTCCAGCCTGGGCTACAGAGTGAGACTCCCTCTCAAAAAAAAAAAGAAAAAAAAGAAAGTTACAGATATGAAGATGTGTTTTTGGTAAGGAAGGGTATAAAGAAAAGAGAATACTTTCATATGAGAAAGGATGGTA
Source organism: Homo sapiens (assembly GCF_000001405.40). Taxonomy (NCBI): domain Eukaryota; kingdom Metazoa; phylum Chordata; class Mammalia; order Primates; family Hominidae; genus Homo; species Homo sapiens. Next base: position 33,117,513 of record NC_000020.11, on the reverse strand, counting down.
AATTGTAAGGTAAATTTTTGTCCTAAAGTAAAATGACTGGTTATTTAAAAAAAAAAAAAAAAGTTGAAAAAGCTTAGATAGTAAAATATTCTTTAAAAGCTGATAGAAAATTGGAGAAATTCAGCGAATTAACACTGTTCATAAAGTTCTTAATCTTGAAGAAAGTAAAATAAAAAATATTGTAAAGAAATACATTGGCAGTTTGGCCATTCTTTTTTAATAAAGTTAAGCATGAAGCCAGATTTAGTTAGCATGGAGCCAAATTTCACATATATGCTTGCATTGCTTCACACTATTTTTGCTATTCTGCATAGACAGTTTCAGCACTAAAGTACTTACTGGTCATGTACCTAAAGTGAATTTCTCAATTGCAAAAAATACATAATGGTATTGGTGGACTTAAAGACATTAAATTGTGTACCAGGAACAAAATATTCATCATTTGTTTTTGTAGGCTCTGGGCAATACTATAGCCTCCTGGGTAAACCAAGTAAGAGAAAAATTGGGGAGTGGTTTCCTGTTTGTTTTTTTTTCTTCTAATTTTCATTTATTTGCTGTTTTTTCTCCTTTGCATTTTGCTTATATAAACACATAAAACACCATTGATTTTTTTTAGTTTCTAACGGAAGGCTTTTATTTGGTTCTATAAATAGTCATTTTGTTTCCTATGGATTTCCAAGAATTCACTATCTGCTCTATTTATCCAAAAATTCCTAAGCTACCATTATCAAGCCTCTAAAAATTGATAGAGGATACCAGGTATTTGAAATTTGATTGGTTTTGCTACTTCTGATGCTCCCGAGAGCTATGAGAGCTTTAGGGTTCCTGGTGAAAAAAATTACATAAAAGACTTTTATAAGTTCTAAGCAGAAATAGTACATTATATATCTTGTTATTTGGAAAAGTAGATGAGAATAAGATTTTCTAAGTGGTGTTTGTTTCCAAAGAAATTCAATTCACTTAATAATTTGAATTGATTTCAGATCTTTTCCTTTAGGTCATGAAGAGAAACTGATATGGGTGCAAAGTTTTTTTTTGTTTTGTTTTGTTTTTTTATTGATCATTCTTGGGTGTTTCTCGCAGAGGGGGATTTGGCAGGGTCACAGGACAATAGTGGAGGGAAGGTCAGCAGATAAACAAGTGAACAAAGGTCTCTGGTTTTCCTAGGCAGAGGACCCTGCGGCCTTCCGCAGTGTTTGTGTCCCTGGGTACTTGAGATTAGGGAGTGGTGATGACTCTTAACGAGCATGCTGCCTTCAAGCATCTGTTTAACAAAGCACATCTTGCACCGCCCTTAATCCATTTAACCCTGAGTGGACACAGCACATGTTTCAGAGAGCACAGGGTTGGGGGTAAGGTCACAGATCAACAGTTTCCCAAGGCAGAAGAATTTTTCCTAGTACAGAACTAAATGAAAAGTCTCCCATGTCTACTTCTTTCTACACAGACACGGCAACCATCCGATTTCTCAATCTTTTTCCCACCTTTCCCCCCCTCTCTATTCCACAAAACCGCCATTGTCATCCTGGCCCGTTCTCAATGAGCTGTTGGGTACACCTCCCAGACGGGGTGGTGGCCGGGCAGAGGGGCTCCTCACCTCCCAGTAGGGGCGGCTGGGCAGAGGCGCCCCTCACCTCCCGGACGGGGCGGCTGGCCGGGCAGGGGGCTGACCCCCCCACCTCCCTCCCGGACGGGGCAGCTGGCCTGGCGGGGGCTGACCCCCATCTCCCTCCCGGACAGGGTGGCTGCCGGGCGGAGACGCTCCTCACTTCCCAGACGGGGTGGCTGCCGCGCGGAGGGTCTCCTCACTTCTCAGACGGGGCGGCCGGGCAGAGACGCTCCTCACCTCCCAGACGGGGTCTCGGCCGGGCAGAGGCGCTCCTCACATCCCAGACGGGGCGGCGGGGCAGAGGCGCTCCCCACATCTCAGACGATGGGCGCCGGGCAGAGACGCTCCTCACTTCCTAGATGTGATGGCGGCCGGGAAGAGGTGCTCTTCACTTCCCAGATGGGATGGCGGCCGGGCAGAGACGCTCCTCACTTTCCAGACTGGGCAGCCAGGCAGAGGGGCTCCTCACGTCCCAGACGATGGGCGGCCAGGCAGAGACGCTCCTCACTTCCCAGATGGGGTGGCGGCTGGGCAGAGGCTGCAATCTCGGCACTTTGGGAGGCCAAGGCAGGCGGCTGGGAGGTGGAGGTTGTAGCAAGCCGAGATCACGCCACTGCACTCCAGCCTGGGCACCATTGAGCACTGAGTGAACCAGACTCCGTCTGCAATCCCGGCACCTCGGGAGGCCGAGGCTGGCGGATCACTCGCGGTTAGGAGCTGGAGACCAGCCCGGCCAACACAGCGAAACCCCGTCTGCACCAAAAAAGTACGAAAACCAGTCAGGCGTGGCGGCGCGCGCCTGCAACAGCAGGCACTGGGCGGGCTGAGGCAGGAGAATCAGGCAGGGAGGCTGCAGTGAGCCGAGATGGCAGCAGTACAGTCCAGCTTCGGCTCGGCATCAGAGGGAGACCCTGGAAAGAGAGGGAGAGGGAGACCGTGGGGAGAGGGGGAGGGGGAGGGGGAGGGAGAGGGAGAGGGAGAGCACCGGGTGCAAAGTTTTAATGTTCAGGAAAGATTAGCCTTGTTCTTTTTTTTTTGAGATGGAGTCTCACTCTGTCACCCAGGCTAGAGTGCAATGTCGTGATCTTGTGTCTGGAATTGGTGGGTTCTTGGTCTCACTGACTTCAAGAATGAAGCCGCGGACCCTCACAGTGAGTGTTACACTTCTTAAAGGCGGCGTGTCCAGAGTTTGTTCTTTCTGATGGTCGGATGTGTTCGGAGTTTCTTCCTTCTGGTGGGTTCATGGTCTCGTCTCGCTGGCTGCAGGAGTGAAGCTGCAGACCTTCACGGTGAGTGTTACAGCTCTTAAGGCGGCGCATCTGGAGTTCTTCGTTCCTCCCAGTGGGTTCGTGGTCTCACTGGCTTCAAAAGTGAAGCTGCAGACCTTGGCGGTGAGTGTTACAGCTCATAAAGGCAGTGTGGACCCAAAGAGCGAGCAGTAGCAAGATTTATTGCAAAGAGCAAAAGAACAAAGCTTCCATGGTGTGGAAGGGGTCCCAAGTGGGTTGCCCTAATTTTTGTATTTTTAATAGAGACGGGGTTTCACCATGTTGGGCAGGCTGGTCTTGAACTCCTGACCTCAGGTGATCCGCCTGGCTTGGTCTCCCAAAGTGCTGGGATTACAGGCATGAGCCACCATGCCTGGCTGAAATGAGTTATTTATAATGCCAAAACTTTTTTTTAAGTTTCAAAAATCCTCTCAAAAACTGAATAGCAGAATAAATCAAACTTGTTAAAGGATGTGGGTATGTTTTAAGATGTCCGACATAAGTTGGTGTGAAGCCTCCTGAGGAAAGGGTGGGAGGGCCCCGTGGAGGGCTTCACTTTCCCTTCTTCAGCAGAGGACTAGGGAGAGGTGGGCTGGGGAATGGGGATGGGAGAAGACCCTGCAGGACCTTGTGGGCAGTGGTGAGGGTCTGGATTTTGCTCTGCACCCATGAAAAGCTCACGGAAGGAAAACCTGGGGAGGGAAGTGATTGGATCTGCAGTTTTAAAAATCCAGACCTGTTACAGCTGACTGGAGAATAGATGGTACAGAGGTAGGAGATCACCAGGACTTGTTTTCCGAGCACTGGTCATAACTTTGATCATTACCCTCCTAATCAGAGCAGGATTTGTTCAAAAGAGGGTGCAGTGAGGAAGCCAGGGAAAACCAGCAGATGGCCACGAAGGCGACTCTAGTTGCCCTCACTGCATAAGGACACTCCCACTGGGCCACGACAGTTTACAAATGCCATGGCAATGGGCCATGGCAACAACTCAGAAGTTACTTAAATGGTTCCAGAAACTTCCAGCTCTTTTCCCAGAAAGTTCCAAATAACTCACCTCTTAACTAGCATGTAATTAAAAGTGGGTTGACATACAGCTGCCAAAAGCCTATCCGCTGCTCCTCTGCACACACTGCCTGTGGGGTAGCCTTGCTCTGCAAGGAGCAGTCCCTCTGCTGCCATGCATTGCTGCTTCAGTAAAAGTTGCTGTCTGACACCACCAGCTCGCCCTTGAATTCTTTCCTGGGAGAAGCCAAGAACCCGCCTGGGATAAGCCCCAATTCTGGGGCTCACCTGCCCTCCATCAGTCAGAGCAGGAGTGGAAGGTGGGGGAGCACTGGGGAGGCTGGAGCAGTGGCCCAGGGGAGAGATGATGGGAGTGGAACCAGGGTGGTGCAGGGATGGAAACAAATGGATGAATTCATGAGGATTTATAGCAGGTGGTTCTAACACAGTGGAAGGAAAGAGAGGGCAGCCATGACAGGAAAGGAGCAGCCTCCTCCCCAAGCACCACCCTCTAAGTAAGGACTTCCTCCCCTTTAGCCCTTCCCTGGGCAGGCTGGACAGGAAGTCCCACCCTGCTTCTTTCTGAGCCCCTTCCTCCTCCAAGGGGTTAGGGTTTGGCCGTTACCAAGGAGACCAGGAGGCACCTAGACCCAGGAAGCTGCGGAGGGAAGGGTGGTGGGCTGTGAAGGCCCCCAGAGGGGTCTCTGATGATGTGTTTCCTCCTCAGAGACGCCTTCCCTGACCACCCAATGGTGCCACCTCCTTTCCCCTTCCCTCCCCAAGAGGAGTCCCTGTTTATTCCCTTTATAGCCCCCATGACAATCTCAAATGACCTCTGTTTATTGATTTACTCGTTATTGTTTACTTAGGCCGTAATTACTTAAAGTCTGTCTCATGGACTAGAACCTAACCTTCATGAGGAAGCCCTGTATCCCTTGTCAAGTGTAGAAATCCCAGTCCCTAAATCATTGCTAGACAGTCAGTGAATGCAAGAATGGATGGATGGTGAAGCCAGAAATCTACTATTGAACCCGACAACCCAGTAGCTTAGATTCCTGATATTTAAGTAAAAGAAAACAACAGAGACATAAAAAAAAGTCTTTTTAAAAATCACTAGGAGGAAAAAAAAATCCTTAATTATGTAAAAGGGACTTCAGTATTTCTGCACGCCTTCAAGGCTGGGATCAAATAACTCTCCTAAACTGCTCTGAATGTGCCCTATGGCTCTACAGGGAGATGTGGCACTGTCCCTAGGAGGGGTCCCCTGGGCACTGTCTCGGCCAAGAGACATGCCAAGGACCCCTCCTTGTCCTCAGTTTACCTCTGACTAGAGGCAAGGGGTTCCACAAGCTCACACTTTAGGAATTAGTGGACTTTGTTACTAACCACAGTGAGCACATATTGAGCACCTACTGCATGTCAGCCTCAGTGTTAAGTGCCTCAGAAATACCTGATCTTATTTAATATCCTCACACTCATTTTGGAGTATAATAATTATTACTATTATCCATTTTACAGATGGGAAAATTGAGATTCAGAAAGGCTAAGGACCTCATCAAGTCACACAACCAAGTGACAGAGTTGGGATTTGAACCTCATCCTCCCTACTCCAAAACTCCTGCACTTTAATGACCTCCTGATGCCAGAGTTGAGAGTAGTGAAGTACGAAAATGTCCTGGTGGCAGGGGACCCTCTCCATAGAATGCTGTGTGGTTGTTTTAATATGAAGAGACAGGTTGCTTCCCCCGCTGTCCCCAGAGGGACCATCATTCCCGCAGTTGTAGCTACAACTGCCAAGTGCCCGGGCGCAGCCAAAGAGGGAAAAAAACCCAAACCATCCAGACCCTGAGGGAGGGTCCTTCATGGAAACTCGTCACAAGTGCCGGGAAAGTGGAGTCTTTTATTGAAAGTGGGAATACTCAACCTGCTGTCAGGATGGGGTCTGAGAGGCCTCCAGCCCCAAGGTGACTCCCCTCCTCCTGGCAGGCTGACCATGGAAGGGAATGTTTGCCAACAGGGTAGTGGCTGGACCCTTTCTCAGGGTTGGGGCAAGGGAGGAAGAGGGTTGGGGGGCCAGGGAGGGACCTGTCATGGAGGCTGAGGGGACTCTGGGCAGGGGACTGTTTCCAGGCCGAGCCTCTCTGGGACTGGTTCCAGCTTCTTCCAGTTGCAGCAGCATCTCTGCCTCTGTCACTCATGCGCTCAGCACCAAAAGGTCCTTGGATGGCAGAACAGAGTAGCCGGTGATGGGTGGGGTGGCTCTGGCTAGAGCCTTGCTACTCACCTGCCTACGGATCTGGCCGGTCATGTTTCTAGGAAGCAGTAACTCTGAACAGCGGAGATAAAGGGGTCATGCAGGCCCGAGGAGCACCTGGCCAGGTCATTATCTGGCCCTGTGCAGAGGACCTTGGGCAAGACACTTCCCATCCCCTTATTCCCCAAAATAAGAGAAGTAGGCCTGAGTCCCTCTTCACAGTCTTCCAAAATCCAGTTTTCATAATTAAAAAAAATTTTTTGGCCAGGCGTGGTGGCTTACGCCTGTAATCCCAACACTTTGGGAGGCTGAGGCAGGTGGATCACCTGAGGTCAGGAGTTCGAGACCAGCCTGGGCAACATGGTGAAACCATATCTCTACTAAAAATACAAAAATTATCTGGGCATGGTGGCACGTGCCTGTAATTCCAGCTACTTGGGAGGCTGAGGCACAAGAATCACTTAAACCCGGGAGGTGGAGGTTACAGTGAGCCGAGATCGCGCCATTGCACTCCAGCTTGGGTGACAAGAGCAAAACTCCCTCTCAAAAAAAAAAAAAAAAAAACTTCAACAAAATAAATAATAAAAGTAAGAGATGATAACCCATAGACCAAAAAAAAAAAAAAATTCGTGAGTCTCTATCGACAGAAATAAATAATTAAATGGATAAATAAATAAATGGAAGAGAAGGGACAGCTCTTCCTCGGTAGAATTCCAGCTGACACATGTCAAAGGAATTGGAGAAGCAGAATATCACCATTAGGCACACACCACAGTCATAACAGTTGCAGACAAAACCGTGAACACTGAATGGCAAAAATTAGTGGGAGAAAGTCTAACGAGAAACAGGATATTTGCATGGTCTCCTGGTACCTCCTCACAAGAGATTGATTAGCTACTAAGGGAAAAATAGTAATTTTACAGTGAAGAAGCACTTAAGCAAGCACTCAAAGTGAACACCTCCAGGAATAAGTCACATGGACATCGGTATCCCCTGAAAGGATGCACTGGGGACTGCGTCACTTCTGTGGTGTTCTTGCCAAAACCACAAAACTTCAATCCAATTGTGAAAAAAGTGTCCATCAAATCCAGGGCATATCGCACAAAATAGGCCAGACTCATCAGAAATGTCAAGGTTATGAAACACAAGGAAAAGGTGAGGAATTGTCCCACCTTGGAGGACTCTAAAGAGACATGACAACTGAATGCAAGAGGGGATCCTTGACTGGACCCTGAACCAGACCAAAGGCAATAGAGGGGAAACTGGTGAATACGTCTGCAGATTCTTCACGGTTTTGTACCAATGTTAATTTCTGGGTTTTGATCATGGTACTCTGTTTATGTAAGATGCTAACATTAGGGGGAGCTGGGAGAAGGGTATTCTGGAACTGTCTGTACTATGTTTGCAACTTTTCTGTGTGCCTAAAATTATTTCAAAATAAAAAGTTAAAATAAATGGCTAGACCTATATAATAATAATAATAGCAGCTGCCATTTACAGGGGGCCTACAGGGTCAAGCCTGGGACTGAGGTTTTCTTTAAACCTTTCAAACCCAATACCCATTACACATTTGATTACAGGCATTTGTGTTATCTCCCTTATTATTCTGGAATAAGGTTCACAGATTCTATAACCTGTGTATACCTATATTTCAAAAACCAGTATAATTCCCTTACCAGAATATGAAGGAGAAAGAAAAGGTAAGTCATTTATAATAAAATAATATGTATTTTGATATGAAAATATGCACACATTCAGGAAAGAAAAATTCATCTCCACCAATTTCAAAAAGGCCCTGGGGGCCAGGGAGGGTGTAGTACAGCCCCACTGAGAGCCATTGGTTTGAGCTGCTTCACACTGTTTTGGTGGAAACTCTAATTCTCACCAGCTGGGTGACCTCGAGCAAGTGGCCTACCCTCTCTGATACTCAAGTCCTTCATCTACTAAGTGAGGGCAAACATCAACCAGGGCTGTTGATGGCCAAGTCCATGAAAGGTCATGTGGTAAGGCCAAGTCCATGAAAGACTATGTATGGGGCACTGAACATCTCAGTAAATAGTAGAGATGATGATGATGATGATGATGAAGATAAACCTGTGCCAATCCTGTTCGTGTTTCCTAACCCCTTTGTTGAAGTGAATAATAACATTTTATAATAAAATGCTGTATCTCGTTTAATTTCTCACCACAAACTGTATGAGGTGGCCATTATCGTTCCCCATTTTCAGATGAGAAAACTGAGGCTCAAAGCAGTGCCGAGGTCCTACAGGATCTCAAGAGACTGGGCCAAGGCAGGGGACTGTCCCAGAGCCAGCATCTGACCCCTGCCCACACTGCCCATCCAAGGTCATTGTCCACCTCCCTTGACTGACTCCCTAATGTGGGAAGGGGGCTGTTCCCTGGGTCTGAGCCTGTCATGAATGTGAGGGGCAAATGTGAGGGGGCAATTTCCTTCGGCAAGGAAATTGTCAATCTGGCACAAAGGCCCCATTCATTCCATTTCTGGGAATTTGTTCCAAGGAACTAAATCTAGAATCAAGAAACAGTTTATGCATTGAGATGTTCACTGCAGCATCCTTTATTACAGTGATGGTATTTATAATGGTGGACACTTCCAGAAGTGCTTATTATGTGCCAGGCCTGTGCAAGGCACGTTACACACAGAATCCCATTTTCTCCTAAAAGCAGCCCTATGGGTAGGTAGTATGATTAGCCCCTTTTTATAGAGGAAATAAATGGAGGCTTGGAGAGGTTACCCAGCTGGAAACTGGCAGAGTTAGGATTTGAACTGGGGTCACTGGGCTCCAAGCCCTCGTTCTTTAACCCCAATGCTCTACTGATTCCCTGAGCAAAGCCATGTTTAAAAATAAAACTTCAGAAAGACTGGAATGAAAAGCAGCAAAATGTTCTCAGGGGGAATTGCTGGATTGTATATATGTCTATATATATATATAGACATATATATATGGATGCATACTTTTTTTTAATCTTTTCCATATTTTCCAAATTTCAGATATTGAGCACGGGTGGTTTTTATAGTGGAAACAAGAACCCCTGCATGTGAACTTCAAAGCACCTGCCATGATTATAATTAGCCAATTACTTCGGGAATATTTACCAAAAGGCCATCTCCCCATTGGGCTAAGAGAGCTTTGCAAGGGCCAGGGTTGTCCTTGTTCACTGCTGGATCCCCAGGCCCCTGCATAGTGCCTGGCACACAGTAGGTGCTCAATAAAAGTTGCTCCAATGAACTATACCACATTCCATTTTGGGCAAGCCCCTTACTGCTGTGAGCCTCAGTTCTCACATCTGTAAGATGGCAACAATGACACCTGTGGTGAGGGCTAAATGAGACTGAATGGGAGAGTGTCTTCAAGGATCCTTAACAGCTCTGCTCCTTGTTCCCTCAGCCCCATGCTTGGAAGGAAGAGGACCCTGTTTCCTCCCCTTCCCTCCTCTTCTCTTCCTCTTCCAAGTTCCTGGCCTGAATGCAGTGGTCAAAGGTGATGAGCAAAGGGCAGGGAGGAAAAGCAGAATGGAGCTCGATCTCCTCTTACCTCCAACACGTCAATGTCTGCATTGCTAAAGTCGATGTTGAGGATTTTGGGGAGAGGGACGCCAGAACCCAGCACAGCTGTAAAATAAAAAACAGTCAGACATGGTCAGTGGTCCAAGAGGTGTTGGTCTCACCAGAAGCCGCCAGTATTTGTAAGAAGATTGGCAATTTCTTTTTTCTTTTTTTGAGACAGAGTCTCGCTCTGTTGCCCAGGCTGGAGTGCAGTGGCACAATCTCGGCTCATTGCAACCTCCACCTCCCAGGTTCAAGTGATTCTCCTGCCTCAGCCTCCCAAGTAGCTGGGATTATAGGCACATGCCAACATGCCTAATTTTTGCTTTTTTTGTTTGTTTGTTTGTTTTGTTTTTTGTTTGTTTGTTTTGTTTGTTTTAGTAAAGACAGGGTTTCACTATGTTGGCCAGGCTGATTTTGAACTCCTGACCTCAGATGATCTGCCCCCACCTCGGCCTCCCAAAGTACTGAGATTACAGGTGTGAGCCATGGTGCCCACACCTGGCAATTTCTTTTTCTTTTTCTTTTCTTTTCCCTTTTCTCTTTTCTCTTCTTTTCTTTTCTTTTCTTTCCTTCCTTCCTTCCTTCTTTCTTTCATTTTTTTTTTTAACTGAGTCTTGCTCTGTTGCCCCAGCTGGAGCGCAGAGGCACGATCTCAGCTCACTGCAACATCCACCTCCTGGGTTCAAATGATTTTCTTGCCTCAGCCTCCTGAGTAACTGGGACTACAGGCGTGCGCCACCACGCCCAGCTAATTTTTGTGTTTTTAGTAGAGATGGGGTTTCACCATATTGGTCAGGCTGGTCTTGAACTCCTGACCTCGTGCTCCACCCGCCTTGGCCTCCCAAAGTGTTGGGATTACAGGCTTGAGCTACTGTGCCCGGCCCTGGCAATTTCTTTTATGCCTCTAGGCCTTTGTCCTTGCAGTTCCTCCTGCCTGGTGCACATTCTCTCACCCTAGCATCCCTGGTGAGTTCTGAGCCCTCTCTGAGACTGTTCAGATGTTACCTCCTCTGCAAGGTTTTCTGGACCCCAAACGACTCAAGGCTCCTGCAGCACCCCCATCCCACCTCCGAACTGCTCTATTAGAGAAACCATAAAATATTAATTATCTGTTTCTGTATCTGTCACGCCCACCACATTGTGAGTTCCCTGAAGGCAAGAACTATGTCCCCTTGGGAGGCCAAGGTGGGTGGATCACTTGAGGTCAGGAGTTTGAGACCAGCCTGGCCAACATGGCAAAAACCCATCTCTACTAAAAATACAAAAATTAGCTGGGTGTGGTGGTGCACAGCTGTAATCCCAGGTACTCGGGAGGCTGAGGCAGGGGAGTCTCTTGAACCTGGGAGGCAGAGGTTGCAGTGAGCCGAGATCGTGCCACTGTACTCTAGCCTGGGCCACAGAGTGAGACTCCATCTCAAAAAAAAAAAAAAGAAAGAAAAGAGCTGTGTCCCCAGCATCACCCAGCCCTTCGCCCAGTCATAGAGGAGATGGCAAATGTTTGCCGAGTGAAGTAATGGAAAGTGCACGTGGAGCCCTAGCCATTGACTCTGCCGTGGGATGTGCTGTTTGTTTTCAGATTGTCAGAGCCTAAGTAAACCTGCTAATTACTGTTCTAGAAAGAGAGCAGGAAGAGAGAAAAAGAAGTGGGGTAGGAAAGAGTGGATGGGGGAAGTAAATTAAGTGAAATTTAACAGACTTCTCTATTCCAGCAGGACTTTTCAAAAAGCTAAGGACATTGTGAATCTACCCTGCAGGAGTATCTTCAGCACTTCCCAAACTTGCTCGGCCATGGAACGCTTTTTGCAGGGTATTTTGTGGGACTGCTTTACGGAGCTCACTTTGGGGACTATGGACCTTGTCCAAGCTCTCATTTTGAAAATGGTGAATTGCACTTCAGTATGATTAAAAGACTCGCCCCCAAGTTCACACCACTCTTAGTGATTAAGCCAGGCAAGACGCTCCGTCTCTTCCCTCCCAGGTCAGCCCAGCCCAGCCCCTGACCCCATCCTCTCACAGAGAAACCACCACTTTCCCCACCAGTGAGACTCGGCTTCCTCTGACCACAGGGCCCAGAACAAGGGTTTGTTTGACATCAAGATGGCTCCAACAGAACCCCCGCTGGTGTAGCTGATGACATTGGCTGGGATGTGCCAGCCCTCCTTGTCTTCTCATCCAGGAAGCAGGAGTGGGAGAGAGTCTGGGGCCCAGTGACCCCAGGGCTTGGGCAGTTTCCCAGTCCCAGTATGTGAGTAGCCAATGACCCCCATAGTTCAACAAGCAGCCTTCCCAGTAACATTCCTGAGACGCCCCAGAGAGCAAAGCAAGCTCAGTCTACTCTGTTTATAAAGTTGGGCAAGAAAACCTCCTAACTTGATGTGGTTCCCTAGGGGGGCAGATTCTGGGCTAGGAAGGAGGCTGGGGATGTCGATAAGAGCAACTTTAGCTGTATCTGCGCCAATGGAACTTTTCACAATAAGAATGTATTCCTGTAGTTCCTGTATCATTAAAAATAAATACATGTTTAAATATGAGTCAGGAAAGATCTCAATCATATGGGAAAACAATGGAGAAAAAGAGTTTAGAAGGAAATATGCTCAGATGTTGAGATTCATTGCCTCTGCGAGGTGAGTTTTTTTTAAATTGTTTTATATTTTCTAAAACTTGCACACACACAATGTTAATACATAATCGGAATTTTCATAGATAATCAGAAAAATAAAACAATCAGCCAAACAAGAAAGAAGCAAATAAGGAAGGTGCTGGAACTTTGGGGGCCACGTTTGGATTTGGAGGCTTTCATCGACACGCTTCAAAGGAAGTGCTCAGAAATACTATTGAGGTAGGATAGATGCACATCCAGCATGCCCAACAAGCCAGTATCCCCCAGTACCCAAGCCACAAGCTCCCAGAGAGGCACAGGCACCCGCTCTCACCGTTCATTGCGGGCATGAATGCCAGGTCAAAAATCTTCTCCACCAGCACCTCCATGAGGCCAATCTGCAGAGGAAGAAGGAGGACAGAGCCTGGGCAGGGGGTTTGCTCAGCTCCAGAGGGCCCCTTGGGTCTGCTCCCCTGGCTCAAGGTGGAGACACAGACCTGCTCTGGGAGAGTCTAGGTTCTGGCAGTCAGAACCCCTGAGACCCCAGAATTTCTCACCGGCAGCCTTAAGGTGCCCCCCATCAACTTGCACATTGTGCAGATGGGCAGACTGAGGCCCAGCATGGGTGGTGGCCCAAGGCCCCTATGAAGCAGGGATTGAGGGAGGCCTAGTTCCTCCCCTGGGAGGCACAGAGCACAGGTTTCAGGGTGGCCTGGCCCCGATGGCACTGTCATGGCATCACAGAAGTCCCAATGGCCCTGGAGCCAACACCCCAGGTTCCCATCCCAGCTCAGTCTCCGTGGGCCTCTGGGCAGGCTCCTTCACCTCTCTAACCCTCAGCTTCCTCAGCTGTAAAATGGGTCAGTGAGCTGAGTTTGCAAGGATGCGGTGAGGATGGTGGGTAGATCACGTAAAACTCCTGGCCTTGAGCCTTTTCATATGTTACCTCCCTTAACTTCTCTAAGCCTTGGTTTCCACATCTGAAAACAGGAGTGAGTAACCCTTGCCTCATAGGGTGGTTATAAAAATCAGACATAAGCCCCTATATGTAACATGCCTGATGTTCCAGTCTGCAGAGGGTGAGGGCATGGACTCACTTTCCGGCAGTGCCTCTTCCTAGCTCTGTTGCCTTGGGCAAGTCACTTGAGCTTACCTTCCTTATTTGGAAGAATGGGTGTAATAATAATACCCAAATCATAACACGGTGGTAAGGATTAAATGAGAAAACCTCATTAAAAGAGAAAAAAAAGCATAATTCAGTGCCTAGGGCCCATCTCGATAGCTTCATTAATTCATTAATTTTACACTGTCAGCCCCTTTCTTCACTTGGAGTCCAGAGATTTCAGTTCTAATCCCAACTCTGCCCCAACCAGCTGGGAAGCCTTGGGCAGTTTATCCTTATAAAATGAAGCTGGCAAGATCGGCTTCACAGGCTGTAGCTTTTTGGGTTAGAAAAGCTATAAAATTAGCAACACAATGAATGGGTTTGACTTTTTCTGCACATGTGGAGATCTCATCCAAGCTTGTCCCAGAAAGCTAGCAGATGCTTAGTTGTCAATTTATAAAAAGCGGAGGTGGGGGGGTGGGGAGGAAGGAGTGTTTCTGAAGCCTTAGGTGGGGGTGGGGCACCCAAGAGTGAACAAAGAGATAAAACAGGACCCAACGCTAGAATGTGAGCATCTCAGATTTCTGGACCCTTGGAAAAGCAGAATTCCACAACCCAGGGGCAAGAAGGGAGGTTAGAAATGAACTCAAATTGTATTCATTTTACAGATGGGGAAACTGAGGCTCAGAGTGGGTTGATATCGCTCAAGGTCACACAGGAGTCAGTGGGCTCCTAACTCCAGAAGGAAAGTGGTCCTGTAGGACAAGGCTGCCCACTGTGCCTCCCCACCCTGAAATGGAGCGATTTGGGCCAAGTGGCCCCCCATGGGGCAGCCAGTTAACATGGGACAGCACCCGAGGCAGAGTAGAAGGAGCTGTGAGTCTGTCCTCTGCCCCTCACTTGCCTTGTGGGCCTCAGTTTCTACATCTGTCCATCTGCAAAATGAGGGCTGATAGTGTTGACGGGAGCACTTTGGAATTCACAAACTCCCCATGCCCAGCCAGCCTCACAGGAACACCATTCCCGGAAGACACGTCCTGGGCTCCTTCCCAGAAGATCTTGCCCTGGGAACTAAACATGGTACTTACATCAAAGTTGCCCACGTTTGAGGTTCTGAGGTTGAGGCTGGTCCTGTAGACGAAGAAAACAGCCTGTGAGAAGCAGGGATTGCCTGAAAATCATAAGGCTCTTGCATTGCAACAAATTGTGAGAAGCCCCTCCACTATCCTCACGATCACTCTCCACCTGCAGGGATTTAATAAGAACAATGCTGGCTCTCACATGCTGAGCGCTAACTACACGTCGGACACCATGCTAAGGGCTTCATGCACCACACGGAGAAGGCTCAAATCATAGCTTTGCCACCTACTAGCTTTGTGACCTTAGTCAAGGTACTTTACCTTTCTATGCCTCAGTTTCTTCATCTGCAAAGTGGGTGGCTGCTAGGACTAAAGGGGATATTCCCATAAAGCGCTGCTCCAGAGCCCTGCCATAGGTGCATGAGTGATCACCATCACCTCGTGTAATCCTTCCAGCCCTCCAGTGGAGCAGGCTCCAGGGTAATTTACTGCAGCCACAGAGCCAGGGAGGGATAGCCTAGGCCTCGCACCCTGAACCTGCACTCTCACTGTTGTGCTGTTCTGAGATGGGAGGCTGAGGCCGGGGTTTGAGGTCTCGCTCTGCTCTATAAGGGCCTCCGTCTTGCTGCACCTGAATCTCAATACAGCTGACAGTCCTACCCGAGAGAGGCCAGACCGGGCTTGCCCGTGGGGCGGAAATCGTTCGGGGCTGTTCAGAAGCATCAGCTCGGTGTCCAGCAGGAGGGAAATAAAGGTACCTTCTAAGGAAACAAGACTCTCCGCTTGGGACATGTTTTCTTCCTTCCTGACTTCCTTACCCAGCCTCTCTCCCTCTCAGGCACCGCACCCCACAGTATCCGTGCCCTTTTCCTCTCTGCGAAGCTTGCCCATGCTGCTCTCCCTGCAGGAAATACCCAGCTCTTGCCCAGCTGGCCCCTACTCCTTATCCAGGCTGCAGGCTGAATCTTGCCTCCTTGGGAACTCCTGGATGTCTCTGATGTGCACTATATTAATCACGAGTAACTGCCATTGGTGGGCTTAAGAAATATTGGTTGTAAAAGAAAAGCTTACAATGATCTAGTCACATGCTAAAAATTTTACATATGACCTCATTTAATCTTGAAATGGAAATAATGATAGTACTTATTTCCATAGGCTTATATCAAGAATTAAAGGAAGGCCGGGTGCAGTGGCTCATGCCCATAATCCCAGAACTTTGGGAGGCCGAGGCAGGCAGATCACTTGAGCCCAGGAGTTCAAGACCAGGCTGGCCAACATGGCGAAACCCCGTCTCTACTAGAAATATAAAAATTAGTCTGGCGTGGTGGTGCATGCCTGTAATCTCAGCTACTTGGGAGGCTGAGGTAGGAGGATCGCTTGAGCTGGGGAGGTCAAGGCTGCAGTGAGCCGTGACTGTACTCTAGCCTGGGCAACAGAGCGAGCTCCTGGCTCAAAAGAAAAGAAAAAGAAAGAATTAAATGAAGACACACCTAGGACTTAGCCAAATACCTGGCACACGGAAAGCATCCAATGAATAATAATTATTCTTTTTATGAATCTTACGAGGTAGTGACTATTATCCCCATTTTCAGATGAGAAAACTGAGGCTCAGAGTGAAGTTGGTTGGCCAATATCACACAGTCAGTCAGTGGTCACATCAGGATTTGAACCCATATTGCTTGGCTCCAAAGCGCATGATTGTACCCATCCAATGCAGCAGGTCACATGAACCTGGGTTGGCTCACAGCCCCTCTATGTACTTGCTGGGTGGCCCTGGGTAAGTAAATCCACTGTTTCCAGCCCTAGTTTTCTCCCTACAAAGGGAGAATAATAGCCCTGACTTCCACTGGGACCATCAGAGGGGAGAAACAAGATAATACGTACACTTCAAGTACATAGAGCAGAGCCTGGTATGTCATCATCACCAGCATCCTCCTCCTCCTCCTCGTCCTCCTCCTCATCATCATCACTGTTACTTAGAGACAGGGTCTTGCTCTGTTGCCCAGGCTGGAGTGCAGTGGCACAATCATAGCTCACCACAACCTCAAGCTCCTGGGCTCCTGCCTCAGCCTCCTGAGTAGCTGGGATTACAGGCACATGGATACCAAGCCCGGCTAATTTTTTCTAGGACTACACGTGTGTACCTATGCCCAGCTAATTTTTCTATTTTTGTAGAGATGGTGTCTTGCTATGTTTCTCAGTCTGGTCTCAAACTCCTGGCCTCAATCAGTCCTCCAGCCTCGGCCTCCCAAAGCACTGAGACTACAGGCATGGGCTACTGTGCCCACACCCCAGCATCATTATTACTGACTGTTGATTTTGGCAGTAGTTTCTTTCTAAGTTCACGGCTTCACCCACCTTGCCTGGCTTGTGACAGTGGTAATGGTAGGCATGAGCCATCGTCACCTTTGCAGCCCCTTGGGTTTACCCAGCCCTGATGGCCACACAGGAGACCTCTACCCGCTCCCTGGTGGCTCCTCCATGAGCAGCACCAGCACCGTCAGGACCCCAAGGCAGCATAGCCCCTTACTTCTCCAGCTTGGCATCAATCATGAGCTTATCTCCTTCTGTGGAAAATGAGGCCAAGAATTCTGTGTCCTGGAGGGAAAGGAAAGGAGAAAGACGTCACTGCCTTCATGTCTTGGCCAGTGCTTGCCAAAGGCTCATTGTGTGCCCAGTGCTAGCTAGGGCTTCGTTAACCCTGAGCATGATGGCAGGTTGTTCCCCGAGGCCTGGGTCAGACCTCCTTTTATAAGCATGAGACTCCTGGTTAACACTCACCATGTACTGGATTTGCACCACCTCTGGAGGGAAGGAGTTCGGAATAATAAGTTGCCAACATTAACTATCGTTTGCAAGTGAGTCACAGTAAGGGCTGAGTGAACACTTCTCAGTAAGGCAACAGTCACAGGATCCCCATGATTTATAGAGGGTGTTTACCAGGTGTCTCTGCAATGCCTCGGAGTGGGTGGGGAGTGGCTCGTAGCCTATGAAACTCACTTTAGATGACGAGATTGGGCATCACCGCTGCCAATCATAACTGTCCCATCCCCAGGAGAGGATATAAAAGGCCCAGGCTCATCTCTCTCTCTCTCTCCAAGTAGAGGCCTTTTTGTAGGAAAATCCCTTTTTCCTTCCCTGCCTCCCACCCAAAATAAATTGAATTTAAAAGTTGGCTTTATGAAAAAACAGTAAGCTCCTGAGAAATTCAGGTGATGTTAGTAGATAACAATGACCACGATGACTGGCCTGATGAAGAACTGGGGGCTCTGGGTGCACGTGCCAGGGGTGTAAGCTGGTGTGGGAAATGGTGTTTGGACTGAGGACTGAAGGGTATGTAGGACTTGGCCAGATGAAAAGAGGGTGGGAGAGTAATCCAGGCAGTGGGGAGGGCATGGGCAAAGGCCAGGAGGCAGGGAAGAGGTTGGCATTAGAGAGGTAGAGAGGAGGCCAGAGAGCAAGGAGGTAAAAGGGTTCGTGAGGCTGCAGTGAAAAGGGACCAAGCCAGGCAGAGCTGTGCGCTGGGGAGGAGTCAGGGCTGCATCCCTGGGACAGCAGGAGTCACTGCAGGGTGCTGGGCTGGCTCACACAAACCTCTGAGCTGCTGATGGAAAATCTCCACACAGTAGAGGCTGATTGATGGAGGACAGATTGGGACAGCCATTCCCACTCGTGGGCTAGAATCGACCCTTTAATCGACCATCTTATAAGGCCCACACAAGAACCCCCACACTCTGTGGCTTGGCATGCTCCAGCCTAGAGCACCTAATTCCCAACTAGAAGTGGCTTATTTGGTCTCAAGCTTTGGGAGTAGGAGGGACTAGCAGGAAGACAGCAGATGGGACCAGAGTCCCAAGTGTCTGAGTTCCAAAGCCTGAAGCCTTAATCATGGAGGGAGAAATGGCATTTAACACAGCTTAACACATTCCTGTGACCAATGTTTACTGAGCATCTACTGTGTGCTGGGCCCTAAGCTAGACCGTAGCCTAGGGTCTCACCACAGAGTGAGACTCCATCTCAAAGAAAAAAAAAAAAAAAGGAAGTAAGGGAGTAACTGTGCAGATACCTGGGGGAAGAGCATCCCAGGCAGAGGGAACAGCATCTGCAAAGGCCCTGAGGTCAGACAGTGCCTGACATGTTGGAGGAACACTGAGGAGCTCAGAGGTGATGAGGGGATGGTCATGAGGACTTTGTGGGCCATTGTCAGGAGATGGGCTTTTATTTCAGAATTGAAGGAATGCAGAGGAGAAACATGGTTCATTTTTTTTTTTTTTTTTTTGAGATGGAGTCTTGCTCTGTCACCCGGGCTGGAGTGCAGTGGTGCGATCTCGGCTCACTGCAGCCTCCGCCTCCCAGGTTCAAGCGATTCTCGTGCCTCAGCCTCCCGAGTAGCTGGGACTACAGGTGTGTGCCACCACATCCAGCTGATTTTTGTATTTTTAGTAGAGGCAGAGTTTCACCATGTTGACAAGGCTGGTCTCGAAATCCTGGCCTCAAGTGATCCACCCACCTCAGCCTCTCAAAGAGCTGGGTTCTCAAGTGTGAGCCACCATGCCTGGCCATGGTTCACATTTTAAGAGGATTCCTTTCTATGAAATAATTGTGAAAATTGTTGTATTTGTATCTGTCCCCTGCTAGGTACCAGGTACAAGAGAGCAGGCACCATCTGTCTCGTTTCCCCTTTCCCCAGTGTCAAGTAGAAAGCATAACACATAGTAGGTGCTCAATAAATATTGCTGAATGAATGATCAAGACTGGCTTGGCCACACACTGGGTATAGGCAACCTGTGAGAATAATATCAGCTAACACTTTGGCAGCCTTTAGGGTATGTCAGGCACTGCTCTGAGCATCTTACTAATGCCCTACTGCCATCCCCCTGTGGCAGAGGAGAAAATCAGTCTTAATTTCATTCAGTCATCACGACAACCCCATGTGGTATTTTTTCTCCATGTTACAGATGAGAAAACTGGGGCTCAGAAGGAAATGCCAAGCAAATTGTGCAAGGCCAGCAAGAGAGTTAAGATTCTAGTCTAGAGATAGGGAGTGACTTGTCCAAAGTCATGTAGCTGGAAGTGGTAAAGGCTAGATTTGGGTTAGAGCCTCTGGCCCCAAAGTTGGGCCCATAGTCATGATGGTGGAGATTGAGGGGATTTGAAGGGGTCTTTGGGCTCCAGGAGACCATGTGGCTCTGTCTTGAGGCCCAGCTGGAGGCCACCAGTACCTCCAGACACTCACCACGTCAATGAGGCAGATGGTAGTCTCCAGGTCTTTGGGCTGGGAGACCATGACCTCGGCAGTGGCCAACACCTTCACCAGCGCTTTGTCCTTCTGCAGCATCACAGATGGTGGGTTCAGCACCTGGATCCTGATGATAAGTGGGCAGGACTCGGGGTACTGCTGGAACACCTGTGGGCAGGCACCAGGCCAGATGGACAGGGCCCTTAGCATAGGAGGTACCCAGGGGGTTATCAGCCAACCTCTAAACACAGAGCACCGGGGTCTCATGTTGCTTGAGTCCAACAAACCACAGGCAAAGCCAATGACCCACTGTGAGAACTGGGCAAGGAGCTGCCCTCTCCAAGCCTTGCACATGGGGTTACTATGAGAAATAACTGTGATCATGCCGGCAAAATTCAGGCTCAATGCCTGACACCTGGAAATGCTTAAAACTTGGTACTGAGTGAAATGGGGTCTCCCAGAGATGCTGGCCAGGTGCTGAATGGACAGTCTTAATTTCATTCAGTCATTACAACAACCCATGGGGTATTTTTTTTTCTCCACATTACAGATGAGAAAACAGGGCCTCAGAGGGGAATGCCAAGGAAATTGTCCAAGGCCAGGAGGAAAGTTAAGATTCCAGTGCATGTCTGTGGGCTCAGAGCCCAGAGCCTCCCAATGCCTCTGAACACTGTTCCTGAAATGAGAAGTCCACGCCTGGGGAATCCCACAGGGAGGTCCCAGGCAAGGCACAGGCTGCCCCCGAGCCCGGATTGCTGGAGGGACTTGAGCTTGTTTGCTGCAGTTTGATTCCCTGAAAGCTAATTTACTAAAGGGACAATTCATAAAATGGCAGTTTGCCATATTTATCAAATGATTGACTTACCAAAAATACATACTTTAAGGAATATACTTCTTAAATATGTTAACTGACCATAGAGAAATGGGCAAAACCACAATATTACTTTCAAAAGAAACAGAAAGAAGTCCCCTCCCCTGGTGACTCCGTGCAGCCCAGGTCTCCAGGACACATTGCTGGGTCCAGCCTGAATCCCCCCTGCTGCAGTCCCAGCGCCACTGAGGACTCAGTCCCTATTCTACCCCAGCTCTGCTACTGCCTCATCATGTGACCTCTCTGAGCCTCTGTTTCCCCATCTGTAAATGGTGTGCTTCTCCTCTTTGGTCCTGTGGATAGAGGGAATGATCAGAACCAATTGAAAAAGTATATTCTGACTGGGCACTGTGGCTCATGCCTGTACTCCCAGCACTTTGGGAGGCCGAGGTGGGCAGATCACTTGAGGTCAGGAGTTCGAGACCAGCCTGGTCAACATGGCGAAATACTGTCTCTACTCAAAATATAAAATTAGCCAGGCATGGTGGTGCATGCCTGTAGTCCCAGCTACTCAGGAGGCTGAGTCAGGGGAATTGCTTGAACCAGGGAGGCAGAGTTTGCAGTGAGCTGAGATTGTGCCACTGCACTCCAGCCTAGGCAACGCAGCAAGACTCTGTCTCAAAAAAAGAAAGAAAAAGTATACTCTAAAAAACAATTTCATAAGCTGTAAAGTGCAGTGCACATAGGAAGTGACCCAGTAAATAAAAGGTCCAGTTGATTGAGGGGTCCACCTGCTGGCTGGAGCTGCCACTGTTACCACCCTAGAGAATGATCCTTCCGATGTTCAATTTGCAGCCACATGAGGGCAATAGTGACCACGTGTTGAGTTTGTTCTCCCCCTAGAGCCTTTGAATTCCACCCAGGACTAAACAGGGCAGGCAGAAAAGAGGTGAAAAATGTCTAAAATGGCTATAGATTGCAGCCATCATTCACACCTGCATAACACTTACTAGGTACAGAGCCCTTTGCTTCCAGGTGCAAGGTAATAGGCCCAGAACCAGACATGGGACCAGAACTGGGGTGGGAAAGGCCTTTGTTCCAACTCTATATGGTCACTAATTGGACAAAAGCACACTTGCTTTTTTTTAAAAAAAGAAGTAATGTGTAATTATTAACAACAGCAATAATAGTTCATGTTGATCAAATGCCTGCTCCTTGCCTTGGTGCAGACTCCAGGTCCACAGCCACCCTCTGAAGTGAGCATGGTTACCCCGTTTTCCAGATGAGAAAACTGAGGCTCAGAGAGAGGAATTGTGCATCTAAGGTCATATGACTGGGATGTGCTGACTCATGTCTGTCTGTTCCAAAGGCCTGGCTTTTCCCTCTAAGCAGCTGTGCACCCGAGTGTGCCTGGCCCGCGTTGACACCTTTACATGCATCATCTCATTTACCTTCCTATGATAACCTATGGAATAGGTATCAGCAGCCTTTTTTGACAGATGAGGAAGCTAAGGCTCAGAGATGTTAAGACTCTTCTCCAAAGTCACACAGCAAGGGAAGTGGCCAGGCTAGGATTAGGCCTATGCAGGCTGGACCACCTATAGAATTCAGGGTCTTTCCACCTCAACCCTCTGTGTCTTCCCCCGCCCCCACCCATGGGGGTCTAGCCTGCAAGCCCTTGTCACTGTCACTGCACTCCCAAGCAGGGGTTCGGGGGAGAGCACCCCACCCCAGCGCTGAGCATCTTCCCTTCCAATCCAGTTTCTCAAACAAGATAGAGAATGAGGCTGAAGGCAATGGGACCTGCCCACCTTACATACCTTGGGGATCAGGGCTCCCAGTGTGGCTGTGGTAAGTGGAGGAAGCTCTTCAAACTATAGGACAAGAAGAAGGGC
Source organism: Homo sapiens (assembly GCF_000001405.40). Taxonomy (NCBI): domain Eukaryota; kingdom Metazoa; phylum Chordata; class Mammalia; order Primates; family Hominidae; genus Homo; species Homo sapiens. Next base: position 33,095,078 of record NC_000020.11, on the reverse strand, counting down.
CACGTGAATCCTGGAGGCTATCGGTACAGACAGGAGTTGCTAATACAGTGATTAAACTCCTACATGCTTTACAACACCCAGCAGGGCGTCTTCGTCTTCTCTCCCTGAAAGACCCCTGGGGAAGTCCTGCCTACCCAGCCATCATCACCATACGCAGATCACCGTAGCCAGTTTGTGGTTAAGTGACCTGGGCTGACTTAAGCTGACCAAGGAGTGTTTCAAAGAACAGCAGGCAAAACCTGAATATTTCTCCTCTAAAAATGTTATTCTTGGGCGAGAACGGTGGCTCATGCCTGTAATCCCAGCACTTTGGGAGGCCGAGGCAGGTGGATCACTTCAGATCAGGAGTTTGAGACCAGCCTGGCCAACATGGTGAAAATCCCGCCTCTACTAAAAATACAAAAATTAGCCGGGCATGATGGCACATGCCTGTAATCCCAGCTACTTGGGAGGCTGAGGCAGGAGAATTGCTTGAACCCAGGAGATGGAGGTTGCAGTGAGCCAACATCACAACACTGCACTACAGCCTGGGTGACAGAGCAAGATTCTGTCTCAAAAAAAAAAAAAAGAAAGAAAGAAAAAGAAAAGAAACAAATGTCATTCCTTATTAAAACAAGGAGACCAGCATCAAGTCCATTTGCATAACTCAGTGTCCACTAAATTCATGACCTCTGTCATATCCTTGAACCACCTGTACTATTATTTACTTAGCATTTTTAAATTGGCTTGCTTCTTAAGACCTCAAATACTCAAAATGGAAAGCCAGTACCACTTGACACAAAGAGATGGCAACTGTAAAACCAAATACAATAAAAACAAAATAATGCCATTACCTTCTGCATGGATATCATTGTCTGTGGAGAGCTTTGGGCATGAGCTCTGTTCTCTCTTAGTTTAAAAGGGGACAACGACAAGTGCAAGAGAGGGCTAACTATATACGGACACCAAGTGGAGACTTTTCTCTTAATGGAAGCAAGTGTTGGCATCATTTGTATGATGGTTTTGTGCAGAATGTCTTGTTCTTAGGAGATATACAGTGAAGTTTATGGAATGAATTGTCATGATGTCTGCGAAAGCTCAAATTGCTCAAAAACAGATAAGATAGATGGATAGACAGACAGGGAGACAGACAGAGAGACAGACAGACAGATCAGACAGATAGATTGATAATGGGTGAGTGGGTGGATGGATATATAAATGGATGGATGGATTGGTGGATGGATGGATGGATGGATGGATGGATGAATTGTGAAGGAATGCATAAATGGGTGGATAGATGGGTGGATGGGTGGGTGGATGGATAGATAAATGGATAGATGGATAGGTGGATGGATTAGTGGATATGGATGAGTGGGTTGATGGGTAAATGGGTGGGTGAGTGAGTGGATAGGTGGATGGATGGATAGATGGATGGGTTGATGGATGGATGGTCGGGTTGATGAGTAGATGGATGGATGGGTTGATGGTGGATGGGTGGGTGGGTGAGTGGATAGGTGGATGGCTGGATAGATGGATGGGTTGATGGAAGGATGGGTGGGTTGATGAGTGGATGGATGAATGAGTTGACGGTGGATGGGTGGGTGAGTGGGTGGATAGGTGGATGGATAGATAAACAGATGGATGGATAGATGGATGAATTGGTGGATGAATGGGTGGATGGTTTGATTGGTGGATGGGTGGGTGGGTGGATGGATGGCTGGATGGCTGGATAGATAGATGGAAGGACTGGTGGATAAATAGATGGATATACAAATGAATGGGAGGGTGGGTGGATGGGTGGATGGATAAATAAATAGATGGATGTATGGGTGGATGAATGGGTGGGTGGATAGGTGGGTTGATGGGTGGAGGAGTGGGTGGGTAGGAGGGTGAATGGACGCATAGGTAGATATGAAGCAACTGTGGCAAAATTTTAACTAGTGGATCTAAGTGAAGGATATATGTCCATCAGTTGTAGCATTTTGCAACTTTTCTGAAGCCTTGAAAGTTTTCAAAAGAAAAAGTTTGGAAAGAAAATGACTGGAGCATGCCTAAGGGTGATATTTTGTTATGTGTCATTTTGTTACTTATGTATTAGTGTTTACCAAATGAAAACATTCTAAACATTTATATTGAGGTTCATATATGTGAATATATGTTATGCTTTTAAAAAACAATTGAAATAAAGTTAAATAAAATTGAATAGGGAGCAACTTTCTCATCGTGAGATTTGGTCTGTGGACCACCTGAAATCCTCCCAAGCACCACTTTGGCAAGTACTGACGTAATTGACGCACACCCATGAGCTGGAGGTGAGTCAAGGGGTGGACCATCTGCAGTTCTCACTTCACAGCAAATTCCCCAAGTCTGTGGAGACTGAGAAGGGTCACTGGCAGCTGTCTGCTGCCCAGCCACCTCCCCCTGGTGGGGCTGTGACTCACCATGCCATTGGTGATATCCAGGTCTAGAGCATGCTGCTTCTGCAGTAGAGTCAGCACTGAGCCCAGGAAGTTGGCAGACATGGCCAGCTGGGACTTGGTGTTGTCACCCATGGGAGGCAGCTCTGGCATCGGCTTGGGAGACACAGCTGGCCACCCCAATGGGTAGTCGATGAGTCCTCCTCCAGCCTCCCCAACCAGCGTCTGGGGGAGAAGAGAAGAAAGGGGTCACAGGGAGGGAGAAGATGGAAAGAAGGGGACTGAAGGCTGGAGTGAGGCCCTGAATCTGCCTCCAGGCAGCCATTTTTGGTTAAACCCACTGAGTCTGAGTGGCTCTTTGATGCATGGTCCCCACTCTCCTCCAGTTTATGATGCAGTGGAACCTTTCGCAGTTCCTGCTTCATGGTCACTTACAATTACAGCCATGGTATGACAGATCCTCTCCAAACTCAGCCCTGCAGTGATGAACTAGCATATGTATGCATCTGTACAATGCATATCTACCCTCTAAAGACCAGACTCCTCTCCACGGTCTACAAGGTGCTAGGTGATCTGCTCCAGGAGACCTCTCCAGCCTCCAAGCCACTCTGTCTCTCACCTTCCCGCTACACAGCCACCAGGGCCTTTGCAGTCTCCCCACAACACCACTACCCCCACCATGGAGCCTTCCCACAGGATATTCCCTTCCCCACATTCTTCTTTTGTTAAGTTCCACTCATCTGGCAGCTCTCAGCTCAAGTGTTACCTCCTCCAGGAAGCCCTCCTTGACTTCCCTGGGTGGATCATACACCCCCTGCTTTAGGCTCTGATAGCCTCGGATCCTTGATCACCGTGCTCATGACTTAGAATTGCATATTTGTTTGAGTGATTCTTTATGGCCTGTCCCCTCCAAAACATTCTAATCTCCATCAGGGCAGAGACTTTGTCTTGTTCATCACTGTACTTCCAGCACTCAGCCCAGAGCCTCACTCAGCCTCAGCTCAGGCATACAGCGGGTGACCAATGAATATCTCTTCAACAGATGTATGTTTATGAATATATTAGGTGTGCATGCACAGGTGCTGGAAATATATATGCATGCGCAGGGGCGCCTGTATACACGGGAGCACGGATGCACTCCTGCATCTCTGTATCTGCTGGAGCAAGTGTGGAGTCATCTGTGTTCATGAAGCCTAGGGAAAGTACATATGTGTGCGTGCCCCATACAAAATTAGGGGCCAGATGCAGGCCAGTGCTGGAGGAGCCAGCTCATACCACCTCACATGGTCAGATTTCACACATCTCTTCCCAACTCTGCATCCACTGACGTCATGTTGGTAACTTGAAGCTGTCCATGATGGGAGTTTTGATACCATGGATATTGGCCAATGCTACAAATCAGGACTTTTTTTTAATCATGGAGAGATGATGGTTAAATGCTTACCAGCATACCTCTGGCCACATTTATTCCTCCAGTACACCCAATCCCACAGCAGCAGCTCTTTTAGCACCTAGTAGCTCGATTGCCTGGGTTCAGACCCCAGGTCCACATTTATTAGCTGTGTGACCTTGGGCAAGTGATTTAACCTTTCTGTGGCTCAGTTTCCTCAATAAGAAGTGCCTCCCTCATATGGTTGCTGTGAAGATAGGCTGAGTTAATCGACACAAAGCACACAGAATGTGCCTGGCACACAGTAAGCATTTGGAATGCTGGCCATGATTATGTTTTCTAACACAGCTCTTAGAAGGCCTTCTTCTAATCGAGAGGGTCCTGTCAAGTGTTACTTCCCAGGCATTCAGCAGAAGCCCTGGGAGGGCCTCACTGATACTCCTGCCTTTGGGAGGAGGGCCACCACCCTTTGCCCTGAACCCCAGGCACTCACGTTGAGGTCCAGCTCCAGGAATTCCCCGGTCACAAGCGGGAGGCTGGAGAAGGTGTACTGGACACTTCCCAATATCCCCAGAGGAATCAGAGCTGCAGGCAAAGGAGAGGGTCACAGGGAGGTCCCCTCACCATCCAGATGCCTTCCCTCCTCATACACTGGGGCTGGGGATGGACAAGGTAGGCCCAGGCTCCAGCTCCAGACACCATGAAAAGAGCAAAAGTTCTGGGTTTGAATCCCAGCTCTGCCTCTTCCTTGCTGTGTGAACCCAAGCAAGTCATTGCACTTCTTTGAACCTCAGTTGCCTCCTCTGTAAAATGGGTTTACTGTAACCTCTGGGACTACGTTGGTGGGGGCAGGGGGGTGCAATATCCTGGATGTTGATGAGCTTTGTAAACTGTGAAGTGCTGTGCACCAGGGAAGGAATTTAGGGTTCCACAATGTGGTGCTTAGTTGAATCTGTCATTTCCTTGACTGTGTAATGAACAGCCCCAGCTTTTGGGCTCTTCCTTCCTCATCTCTGGCCACAAAGGGAAGGAGATTTCCCTGTCTTGGAAAGCCATTCTCAAACTGCCTAGAGTCCCAGAGAAATGGGAACACTATCAGAGACGGCTGCCCTGTGTGGCTGTGGAGGCTGTGCACTGCACAACTCGAGGCACTGCCATTGCACTGTAATCCATGTGAAAGGAGGTCCCTGGAATGGTGCAGTGCACAAATGGCACAGCCATACAGGGCGGGCTTGCTTTCAGGAATGTTCACTCAGAAATCAGGGTCCGAGATGGTGGTAGAGCCTGGTTCTGAGGCCGTGGTCAGTCTCCACAGTGTGTCTCCTGCTAGTCACTCTCCAACCCCTCTGTGAATTGAGAGATTTGAGAGATGAGAAAACTGGGAAGAGTCTCTCCAAGTCCACACAGCTGCCAGGGCAGAACCGGGGCTCAAACCCAGCTTCCTGGCTCCCAGGACGAGCCATTACCTCCCAGACCCCTGACTCCCAGGACAGAGCCATCACTTCCCAGACCCCTGACTCCCAGACCCTGGTGGAAGCTCCTCCCTCTGGTACTCGGGGGGGGTGTTTGGGAGCAAGAGGGAAAGCCAGGTGGCACCTCCCTTGTGGCATTAGCCACTCCTCACTTCAAGGGCCTAAGGGCAGGTCTGTGGCCCCCACCACATTGAGCCCTCCTCCCAGAAAGGGCCCGGTCCTCAGTGCCTTCCCCAGGCTGGAGAAAGTGTATTGGACTTACAATCCACGAGGCCCAGCTGGTCATTGACAAGACCCAGCACCACATCCACGATGGGGCAGAGCTGCAGGGGAGAAATGGCACAAAGCCTTGTTGACGCTGCAGGGAGTAGGAGCAAGGGAGTCGGGGACGCAAGAGTAACGATAGCTAAAATTTACTGACTGCTTGCTCTGTGCCAGGCACTCTCCTCACCACAGCCCTGTGGGGAAGGCTGTCTCTAATTCCCACTTACAGATGGGAAAATCGAGGTTCAGAAAGATGATGCAACTTGGCACCCAGCTAGGAAGTGCCCAAGCCGGGATTCAAACCCGGAACTGTGCAATTCTCAAGGTCCCTCTCCTTAGCCCTTCACTAATCTGTCCTTTCGTGTTCCTCAGGGTCCTCCCCAGACCCTCCAAATACATGCCCCAGGCCTTGGCTCTCTCTGTCCCTCTGGGTTACCTGCAGGCCCCCAGGGATGGAGGCTGGACTATGGCCCCTCAGTCTGGGGGAAGCCTGTGCCCCTTGCTCCCATACTGGGACAGCTTCTTACCAAGTCAGGGAGGACGTCGGCCAGGACTCGGTTCACTAAATTGTCCACGAGATTGGGGAGAAGCCTAAGGAGACAGGAGCAGGATGAGGTCAAGGCTCGCAGCCATGTGGGGCTCACCAAGGCTGTCCACCCTGTGGGTCACTAGTCCAGGCTCTGAACAGTGAGAACCTCTGAGTGCTGGAAAACTGTTCGAAAGCTGGGAGGACAGAGTACCTTCACCTTGGACTGACTAGACAGGCCACCCAGGCAAATTGTTTGGCTTTTCATGAATTCATGCATTCATTCATTCAATAAACAAAGTGTCTGGAGCTTTATAATGGGTCAGGCCCAGGCTGTAATGTTGCTGATTTTCAACTGCAAAAGTCATTCCCATCTGCTGATCTGACCCTCAAATGGGTCATTTGCTGCAGCCTTATGTTGTGTTTCCAAAGGGAAAACGAACGTGTTTATTTATCTAAGCATCTGACTCAAGATCTAGTACATAGTAGGTACTCAGTAAATGTTTGTGGAAGGGAGGGAAGGAGAAATACTGGCCAATAAAATGTGCTCATGTGATCCACAAGAAAGGATGGATAGTTGGTGCTCAAACAATTGGGAGAGGTGATCCATTTTACAGACAAGGAGGCTGAGGTCCACAGAAGTAAGCCATGCAGCTCTTTTTCTTTTTCTTTTCTTTTTTTTTTTTTTTTGAGACAGAGTCTCAGTTTGTTGCCCAGGCTGGAGTGTAGTGGTAAAATCTCCGCTCACTGCAGCCTTGAACTCCCGGGCTCAAGAAATCCTCCTGCCTCAGCCTCCTGAGTATCTGGGACTACAGGTGCACATAACTGTACCCAGCTCTTAACTAACCCTCCCAAGCTGTTAGTTAAGGAGGAAAATCGACGATAAACAAGATGTATAGATGGGCAGACAGATTTTTGGTCTAAGAATTTGTTTCCAGGGGCCTGCAGTGATAAGAAGACGAAGGAAACATGATCATCCTACACCAAAATGTCTCTGACCGCCGGACCTCTTGAGAACTTCACTCCGTCCCTCGCCACCGAACCCTGCCTGGGTTCCCGCTTCTGAGGTTGTGGCTGACTGTTCAGAGCTGCGCCAATTCAGCAAAGCAAAGAATTTCTTGAAATAAAGCCCTAATTAGAACATTTCTCCCAAAGCTAACTATGCATTTCGGTCCCCCTTTTAAGTGGATTCACCTTGACGGGCTTATCCTGGTTCCACCTCTCCTCAGATGATAAGGGCCTTGAGAATATATATGTGTGTGTATGCATGCATGCTTGTGTGTGTGTGTGTGTGTGTGTGTGTGTGTGTGTGTTGAGGGGATAGTTGGACTTTCCTTTATGTACATTCAGGGCATAAACTCTTTTTCTCTTCTGGGAAATTATCCAACAGGTTCATCGACCCTCCTGTGAAATGACATATGTAAAAGGTTATTCATTGTGACCTTACTTGTCAGGACACAAGATCAGGCAAATTATATCCAACAATAGAGGACCAGCGAAATAAGAGATGGCTCATCCAGGCAATGGAATATTACGTAGCTGTAAAAAGTTAAACAAGGAAGCTCTCGATGTTTGGATGCAGAAAATTCTCCCAATAGGGTAAATGAAAAAAAGCAAAGTGCAAAACAGTATTTATAGTATGTGCCCCTTTGCATAAAAGGAGGGTGGAAGATGAGAATCTATGTTCATATTTGTTTCATGTGTACAAAGAAACTGGAAGGAGAATTGAGAGATGAATAACTGGTGAGCTTGGTGGGAGGGAGGCAGAGGGAGGTGGGATAGGAGGAGGCCCTGTGCTCTGTGCCTTTTTGTTATTTTATGTTTGTGAACCATGCAATACCAAATATCTATTTCCTAGTGAAAATGTGAATTTAAAAATCTGTGAGGTTTCCATGGTTTTCCTCACCCTCCTCTCCTTGCCTGGACCCTGGGAGCTGATTTTCTTTGCCTCCATCGTCTCTGAAGCAGAAGTAAAGTCTCCAAGAAGCCCACGGGAATCAGAAAGTTTGGGGTTCAAGTTGCACAATGAGTTTCAAGGGCTGGGGGGACTGGGCCAAAAGATGGATAATAATGGAGAGGAAGAAGTGGGGACAGAGGCCTCCAAGAGAGAAGCCAAAGAAGAGGGCAGGGAGTGAACAGAAAGAGACTCCGCTCTGAGTGTGTACTCATCCAAGAGCACCACCTGGGGACAGCGTGCTGGCCAGTATATGAACACTTGACACCACTTCGCCAGAGGATGGAGACTTGGACATTTTGTAAGGAGCACGTCATAGGAAAACTCTCATCCCCTCACCAGGTTTGAACTGGGCAGAACCAAGTGGGGAATGCCCCTGTGATCTGGGGCACCAACGCACACAACCCCTGTTGGACGTACGTTCATCAGCTCTCAAGATATCCCAGCTGATCACTAAGTGTTTTCCATTCCTTATCTCAATTCCTGAAGGAAAAAGAATTACCCATTTCACAGAGGAGGAAACTGGAGCTCAGAGAGGGCAAGAGAGCTACCCAAAATCACACAGCAATGAACCATGGAACTGAGATGTGAGTCTCAGGCATGCTCCTGACCATTCAGATCAAAACCTTTTCAAAGCTGGAAAGAATGTGTGTCGCAAATGACATATTTTCCAGGCTGGTCGAAGGCCCCATCCTGGGTTTGAAGGTGCAGGCCATGAATTCCCATCAGGCATGTGCCAGGTCAGGGACAGAGGTGAGAGTACAGCTGGCTCAGCATGAGTACTCACCACCCCACAGCATCATCGTCCTGCCCACCCCAGAGCCTATGGGCAGGTGGGTGACGTCATGTTGTTTGCCAAAGACAGACCATTCCAGCAACCCCCAAGGCACTCCACTGCCGGCTAGCACTCACCCTCGCAGCAGCTTGACTTTGATGCCCCCTAGGAGGGTGTCACATCGCTCAATGACCAGCCGAGGATAACCCGTGCGGTCCATGGTCAGCCGGACCTTGGCTGTGATGTTCACTTCTACTGCGATGTCCAGGAAGCCAATAAGACTGGAGGAGGCCAAGGGGCCAGGGAGACCATGAGTCACCCCCAGCCGCCAGGAGCTCACCCTTACCCAGGCCTGTCCTTGCTGTCCCTGCCATCTGCTACGCTCCTTGCTCATCTCTAAGGAACCCAACCCAGAACTCTTCCCTGGTCCCTCAAGTCACACGTGAACAAGTCTATCTCCCCCTCAGCCCATGAGCTTCAAAGGCTGGGAACAGGGCTCAGCACACATTCTGGTTTCCAAGGTGACTCCCAATTGCCTAGCTTGGTGGACACGACCTCATCCCACGGGGATAAGTCCACACAGAAGCCCACCCTCTGAGGTCCTCTAGTCAGCACCTAGTGCATGGAAGGCCCTATTCCAGGAAGCATTTTGCTTGCCTTTCCCCACTTACGGCCACAGTCACCTGGAAAAGGGGGTGACCTCATTATCCCATTGCCAGTGAAGACACTAAGATTTAGTGACACTGGGGGACTGGCCCAAGGTCACACAGCTTATGAGAGAATCAGGATTTGAACCCAAGCTGTCACCTGACTCCAGCCTCCCAGATTTATTTATGTATTTATTTTGAGATGGAGTTTTGCTCTTGTTGCCCAGGCTGGAGTGCAGTGGCACGATCTCAGCTCACTGCAACCTCCGCCTCCTGGGTTCAAGCGATTCTCCTGCCTCAGCCTCCCAAGTAGCTGGGACTACAGGCACCTGCCACCACGCCCAGCCCATTTTTGTATTTTTAGTAGAGACGGGGTTTCACCATGTTGGCCAGGCTGGTCTCGAACTCCTGACCTCAGATGATCTGCCTGCCTCGGCTTCCCAAAGTGCTGGGATGACAGGCATGAGCCACCACTCCCAGCCCAGCCTCCCAGATCTTAACCACTGTGCTAGGCTGTTTTCACCGCTGACAGATGGCCTCTGGTGCAAGTCTGTGGGCATGCACTGGCAGAAGTTTAGGTCTTCCTAGCCTCTGTGTTATGGATACAGAGGTTGGGCCATAGGGTGGTGGGGACCCCTCCAGGGCCAAGGGCACGCACCTCTTCCCGTTGATGGCCACACGGGTGTACAAGCTCAGGTAGACACCCACGCCGGGCAGGAGCCGCACGGACACCCGAGGGAGGGTCAGCTCCACGATACGCAGCCTGCTCGGGACACAGAGTGGTGAGAAGGCCGGCCACCCCAACTACCACCCACTCACCCGAGCGCCCTCCCCTACACCCCCTTTCTCTGCTCCCCGTCTGTTCCTTCTGACTCTAAAGACACTAGACACCTGCAGTTCAAGGACAGAATGTGGAAAACAGAGAAATTAAGGCAAAAATGCCATGACCTGTAATCCCAATGCCCAGAGGCCCACTGTGTGCATTCCGTATATTTCCTTTGAATCTTTTCTGCATGTCAAGATGCCATTCCCTCTCTCTGCTCATCCCTGCCCCTCTTGCCTGGTTCCCTCCTATACATATAGGTTCCTCCTGCTTAATTCCCTCCTATACATTCTTCAGATTTCAACTTAAGGTCCTCTTCCTCCAGGAAGCCTCCCTTGACCTCCCTAGGTAGGTGAGCTGCCCCGTTATAGAGATTCTTACTTCTCCATGAACTTCTTGCCACTGTTGAAACTGCATGGTTATGTTTAGGCTTCTTATCAATGCCCATGTACCCTATCAACCTGCAAGCTCCGTGGAGACAGAGAATGTGTCTTTTCTTGGCTTACCATTGGGTCATGTCCCCAGTGCCAACACAGTACTCTGCACATAGCAGGAGCTTTAAATATTTGTTAAATTAAACATCGACTATGAGGAACAGGCTGAGCATAGAACTTATGATATATATGTATAGTTTTTAAATCCTTGGGGTCTTTTCCACTACACTGTATTACTATGACCATTCTACAGATGAGGAAACTGAGACTCGAGAGATGATATCAATGGCCCAAAGTCACACGCAAACATGAAAAGCTGAACTGGGTCTCAAACTTAGGACTGTTTCATGCCAAGACCCAAACCATGTAACTTGGGGGTCTTAAAACTTCCAATCCTGAGGCCAAACCCTGAAGTGTGTGGGGCTCTGAAGACCTTCCCTCCGGCAACCCCAGCTTCAGGGAGTGATCACCCCCATTTGGAGGTGTATGGGGGCTTTCTGGGGAGAACCCGTCCCCTCCTTACCCCGTGATGCCTTGCACAGTGCTGAGGATGCCACCCTCGCCGAGCACGCCCAGGACACCCCCTCCTCCAAGAAGTCCTCCATCACCAAGGAGACCACCTCCGCCGAGCAGGCCACCTTGGCCTGCGAGGATGCCATCAGCTGCCAGCATGCCTCCAGTGCCCAGCAAACCACCTGGGCCCACCGCCCCAGTGGCAACTCCAGGTGGGATTTCTCCAGGCTGCAGCTCTCGCCGGTGAAGCCTGCCCACAGGTGCTGCCCTGTATCGCCCGAGGCCCCTGTGGCCTCCATATGCATTCTCGGCACTGCGATAGCCACTGTTTCGGAGGTCCCTGATGCTTCCCTCGGACTCAAGGATCTCACCATATCGGTATTTGCCCCCCAGCTGAGCAGTGTTGTCGTTGGTCTCAATGTGACCATACTGGTAAATACCATCAAGTTTTTTGCCGTTGGTATATACTGGGGGGGGTCCTCGGACATGGAAGTCATTGTAGGGAATATCACCAACACCTCGGGGGAATTCAATGCGTCTGTAGTCATTGTAATGGTGTCGGCCACCACCCAAAAGACCACCACCACTGCCACCCAGCAGCCCCCCTCTACTGCCACCCAGCAACCCCCCACCACTGCCACCCAGCAGCCCCCCACCACTGCCACCCAGCAACCCCCCACCACTGCCACCTCCTCCACCCAGCAACTCCCCACCACTGCTGCCACTGCCACCCAGTAAGCCTCCACCCAACAGATCACTGCCACCCCCTCCACCCCCACCACCAAGCAGGCCCCCCAGGAGACCACCTCCCCCACCACCTCCACTTCCACTTCCACCAAGCAGACCGCCCAGGAGAGGCCCACCACCATCACCACGGGCTTTACCCAAGGGCACCTCTCTCAGGGCCGAGTGGAGAGCATCACTTTGCTGCAGCATGCCTGAAATGGCTGCAGAGAGGCAAGGGCATCAGTCCAGGGTTCCTCCCTTTTTTCCACCTCCAGCCCCCAGGCAGCACCTCGCAGTGTTGCTCAGCTCCCTGGGCCTCACTTTTCCCACCAGCGAAGAGCAGAGGCTGAACGGGATGACTTCTCCAGGCTGATCTAGCCCTGGCATCCTGGCCAGCTCATTTTCTGCTGGGTTTTGTCTGGTCTTACTTTAACTAGATTTGGACATCAGCCAGCCCTTCATGGATTTTCTTCATCGCCCTCCCTTCTAAGTGCTCTGCACTTTACAGCTTTAAAAAATTGACTTCAGGACGGGCGTGGTGGCTCATGCCTGTAATCCCAGCACTTTGAGAGGCTGAGGAGGGTGGATTATGAGGTCAGGAGTTAGAGACCAGCCTGGCCAAGATGGTGAAACCCCGTCTCTACTAAAAATACAAAAATTAGCCAGGTGTGGTGGTGGGCACCTGTAATCCCAGCTACTCAGGAGGCTGAGGCAGGAGAATCGCTTGAAACGGGGAGGAGGAGGTTGCAGTAAGCCGAGATCGCACCATTGCACTCCAGCCTGGGCAACAAGAGCGAAACTCCGTCTCAAATAAAATAAAATAAAATAAAATAAACTTTCTTATGTATTATCGCAACTGATTCTTGGGAAATAGTCAAGGCCAGAAGTGTACCCGTCTGATGGATAGAAAGATTGAGGCCTGTGAGGTACTCAGAGATCACTTAAATAGGAAATAATCTCATTTTTTTATGCTCATGATAGCCTGGGATGGGTGTTGAGGGAGAAAGTATGTCCTCACATGCTAGATGACAAAAGCAAGGTCCTAAGAATTGGAGGCAAGAATAATTATAGCTCCCACTTTTGAGGGCCTTCTAAGTCCCAGGAGCTGTGCTAAGTTTTCAAAAGGTCATTTCATTTCATTCTCATATCAGTTCTCTGAGATAGAGACTATAATTACACCCATTTTACAGATAAAGAAACTGAGGCTCAGGGAACTCAAGTCATGAACTTAAGGTCACACAGTCAGGATTTGAACCCCACGAAGGCTGATCCAGGGCTCTTAATCATTGTTCTCTATTGCCTCTAAAGAATGAGCATAAAGTCACCAGTATGGTGCTTGGCACATAGTAGGTGCTCAGGAAATGGTAGTCAAAAGAAAAAGGAGAAACTAAGGCCCAGAGAGTAGAATTCACCCAGCCTCCCGATGTGAACTCTGCTAGCAGGAGGAGGTTCCTGGGTACTTCAGAGTTGGCAGAGCTGCCCTGCTCACCCCATGCCAACCCTCACCCCTTTGGGGCTGGACTCACCATTGCTCAACACATCTTTCGTCACCCTGAGGACCGTGTTTGTCTCGTGGCTGGTGCCACACACAGCCACCACAGACAGCGCAGCCACACACCAGGCCATCCACATGCTGGCACTGCTTCCCTGTGGAGGAGAAAGTGCAGATGCAGATGTGGCTGGGCGCCACCACCCTGGCCAGCAGGTAGCACTAGGCAGCCCCAGCCAAGAGTCATCTCAGGACCCTGGGACCCAGAGAGAGGGGAAACCAGCCAAGGTCACATACTAAGGCAGGGTCCAGAATTCCAGATACTACCTTTTGAGTTTTTCAAATTGAAATGAATCTGGTGACACAAAGCAGACCCATTAAACACACTGTTTCAGAGAATGGATGTCTAATTATCTCCCAAGATGGAATTGACAAATTGAGCATCAGGGAGATGGGTAATAGGGATTCCAACAAAAACACCAAACTGGGAGCTCGCAGGTTCTAAGGAACTCTCTCCAGCATCTACCCATCTACTCATCTACTCATTCCTCTACATCACTCACCCATCTACTCATCTACTCATTCTCCCCTTCGTATTTATTCTCCTATTCACCCATACATTCAACCTACTATCTTTCCATCTATCTATTACCCATCTGTCATGGAAACACCCAGCAAGCCATATATCTATCCATCCAACCAACCATCCATCCAACCAACCATCCATCCACTCATCAACTCATTCTCCTCCCTCTATTTATTAATCTGTCCACCCATCCCACCATCCATCCATCTTCCCATATATCTATCATCCATCTGTCATCCAAACAGCTGGCAAGCCATATATCCTCCTGCCCATCCATCTATCCAACCAACCATCCATCCACCCAGCTATCCATCCATCCATCCATTCATCTTTCCATCAGTTTATCTACTCATCAATGCATTCATCTAGCCACCCTTCCACACATCCAGCTCACCAGCAAACACTCTTCCCATCTCTTTGGAGGAGTCAGTTCTACACCACGTGGTTAATATTAATGGCTCTAGGTCAGAGATATCTGGGTCTTAATGCTTAGGAAAGGGACTTTACCTTTTTGAACTTCTGCTCCCAAATCACAAACAAGTTGTATCTCATACATAGTAGACACTCAATAAAGAGCAGCTATTGTTATTACTTTGGGACTGTTATTTCAGACCCCTAAGAAGTGGGTGAGGAATGTTATGAGATTGGGGAGGTGAAACATGCATTTTGGAACGAGCTGCATAGCCTCTGGGAAACTTTCTTTTGCTCCTTTTGTGCCCTCATCCACTTCTCTCACTCCATCAGCCCCGGCTACACATCCACCAACCTCAGAGAGTCAGCACAGGGCATGGCCTCTCATCTGAGCCAAGAAATTGTTGGTTTCAGCCACCTTTGTTTAGGCACACTCTCCTCTTTTTTCTGTCCCCATTTCTCTTGGACTTCACAGCGCCCCCAAATTCTTTCCCTACTCCTATCTGCTCCCAGAAGAATATTAGAGGCATTCATTTACACTAGAATATAAAGGACTACTATATGCAATAATTTTTTTCTGGCTTCCTCACCTCATCCTAACCTCACTTTCCAGAGAGCTGTGTTCAAAAAGGAATCACCCCTTTCAGTTAAAAAGATGGGCACCGATGGAAGATTTCTGGCATCAGCAAACAGCTGAGGAGTCTCCAGGAGGTAGCAAAGGCCCTCGGTACCCAACGTCCCTGGGAAAGATGAGTGCAGCTCTGCGCATGCATGTAATTGGCATAACCCAGGCCTTTTTGCTGATTCCCAAGAGGCTCTCCTGACTAGGCCCATGCTACAGACAAGACCCCTGAACTTGGAGAGGGGCCATCCTGATGGATCTCCAGGCTGGGACTCTCTCTCCTTATTACCTTCCCAGGCCTGTGCCTCCCCTGCCGGACACTGAGTAGACAAGGTGCGCCTCCTTACCCCTAGGAGGTCCCTGCCGCTGAGTCTTGAGAAGTCCTGTTCCCCAGCCCCTCTGCTTTTGGCTGAGTCTGGTCACAGATCAGTCTTATATAGCAGCCTGAGGCTGAGCCCAGACCCCAGAGAGGGAAACACTGTGTAATTACAAGAGACCGGAATTCAGATTTGCTCTGCAAATTGGGCATTGAGCCCCAAAACCATAAAGGTTTGCGGTTTGTGGCTAATTCCAAGACTTGCACTCAGCCCCAGATGGTGTCACATGAGCTGGGTTTTATCAGCCCTTGGGCTGGGCACATTCCCAGAGACCCCAGCTAGGCCTCAAGCTTGGGGAACTGGAATCACCCCCAGATGCATCTAGTTTCTAACTCTAAGGCAGGCACTAGCCATTCCAGATGATCTGGGTAGACAGGAGGTGCCCAGGCTGGACTCAGCATCAGGATGACCCAGGTTCAAACCCTGCTCAACCCCCAACTCACCGTATGACCTTGGGCCAGCCACTTCCCTCCTCTGAGCCTCACATTCTTTCCATCTGGCAAATGAGTATAATACCTGCCTCACAGGGCTGATTTTAGGACTAAAGGAGACGAATATGAATCCAGCTCCTCAAACTTGGGACTGGTGCACGAATGTGCATTTTTTTTATCTGAAAAATATTCCTCACTCATTTCTTAGGGGTCTGAAATAATAGTCCCAAAGTAATAACAATAGCTGCTGTTTATTGAGTGTTTACTATGTATGAGATACAACAAGGTTTTTCCCAACTATTTCCTCATGAAATTTTCATACCTATAGCAAAGGTGAAGGAAATGTACAGCGGACACACATGGTTGTCACGTTGTTCCCACCAACTATACCCACCATTTACATTCTTGTCATATTTGCATCCATCTGTTAGTCCATCTTTTATTTTTTATGCATTTGAAAGTTGCAGACATCAGTATACTACCACTAAACACTTCACCCTGCATGGCATTCAGATTCTTTTCTTTATATCTTTAAATACAGTGACATGCACAAATCTTAAATGTTCATTTGCTGAGTTTTGACCATTTTTTACGGTCATGCAGCCCACACTCCTATCACAATATAGAACATTTCCACCACCCCAGAATGTTCCGTCTGCCTTTTCCCAGTTGCACCCTCCAAAACCTGCTGGGACACAGCCCAGACCACTTCACTTGGCATCCAAGGCCTTCCGTACACACATCCCAGTCCTCTCTTCACACAGAGCTACTCATTCCTTCCATCCCCTCCTCATCACCCCCTGTGCTCCCTGCCTCTGGGCCTTTGCATGTGCAGTCCCTGCTGTCTACAAAGCCCTCTCCAGATTCTAAGGGTGAAAGGTAAGCAGCTGCAGGAAGCTTCCCCCAGCCCCTACAGTTCCTCTGGCCCATCCAGAGATCCCTGGGGCCCATAGTGAAGTGTTGTTTCTCCAGGCGAACCAGCTATGTGCCCCACTCCTAGGCCAGCACAGGCATAGATGCCAGTGTAACAAATGAACAAGTGAATGAATTAATTAACTCATCTTTCGCTCTCCACTGGACAAAGTGCTCCCTATCTTCCCACCCCATAGCCCCAACCCAGGTCCTACCTCCATGTTTAATCAATGCCACCTCCTCCCTGCTCCAACCCTGCCCGTCTGTGAATTCTGAGAGGCAGGAGACATTTCTGTCTCCACCAAGGCCTGCTTTCAAGTCAAACTGGGAATAAACGTGTTTTGCCCCTGACTCCCCAAGGAGATGCCTCCTCCTTCCTCCCTGGAGGCAGTGGGGACTCTAAGGCAGGCGTCATTGATATAAGTCCTGCCAAGCTCAACCGATGTCACCCCTCACTTCTGTGCCACTGGGCCAGTCCCACCTTGGAACTCAGTTTCCCCATCTGCAGTGGGTGCATTGATGGAACCGTTAAGAGCACAGGCTCCAGAGCTGGCTGCTGGGCTTGACTTCTGCTGCCAGTTCTCCCTGTTTCCTTGGTTGTAAGATTGTGATTGGAACTGTCCTGACCTGCAAAGCTCTGGGAACAGGGCCTTGCACACAGCTGGGCTCAGCGAGTGGCATTTACGTCCTTATCATCCTGGGTCCCACACGGCAGCAAGTCTGGAGGGCGATGAGGGGCATGAGGAAGTAGCTTCAGCCCAGACCACCTCATTGCCTCCTGTGCGGGCTGGAGGGGTTCCTGGAATGGGAAATAGGGACTCCAAGAGTCACACACTCCTGCGTTCCCACATTCATCTGCCCTTTTAGCCTCAACAATCACTTCTCCCTGGCCACCGTCTGGCCACCTGCAAAATGGGCATAATTACACTTTCCCAGGAGGGTTTTGAGAGTTACATAGGAAATGTGTGGAATGTCCCTGGAGCCTCGGAGCTCCGTAAACAGCAGCCCCCTTTAGTTTCCCTTGATGAAAGCAGACACTGAGTAGGGGTAAGTTCTGCCCAGCCTGCTAGCAGCATAAACTTGTGACAATGACTCTTTCTCAGTGCCTCAGTCTGCACCCCTGTAAAATGGGGAAACTAGAAAGGACATTTCAAAATGATGCTACTCATCTGAGTAACTCAGCTCCTGGGTCTTCCCTGTTTAAAGTCGTTGTGGTTCCCCATTGCCTGGCACTTAGTAAGTGTGATAAAAATGTTTGTGATACAAATATATGACAGTTTTAAATGGAATACAATGCAAAGAGGGCAACTGTGCCTTTCCCCACTCCTAAGAGGGCAGGAACCAATGCACACTATAAACTGTAGAGGGAGGTGCACACATGAAGGTGGTGCCAGTCACCCAAGGTTCTGTGCCCATTCTCAGTCCTCAGGCCAGCCTGTCCCCTGGGTCCTTCCTGGCCACCCTGAGAGGATTAGGGCAGCCCTGGCGCCGGGGAGATCACCTGGGCTTAGCTTCCAAAAGGTACCTTTGTCTGGAGCTGGAAGGACCTAGTGGGGGACGGCTGGAAGGACATCCAGATTCCCTGGGAGGTGACTCACCTCCAAGGTGACTCAGCCACACAGGAGCCAGGGGGTCACACTGGGGCTGCTGAGATTAGAAAACAGATCAGACCCACCACCAAAACTCCACTCAGCCCTTGCCCCCCTGCCATGAACTGTCAGCCCTCCAGGGCTGCAAGGGGCTCCCTTCAGTCTTGTTTGATTCCTCACCCTAAGGGCGGAGTTCAGAGACTGGGGTCCAGAGGCAGGGGGTCAGAGACTGGGTACTAGGTTCAAATCTCAATCTTGTCACTACCTAGCTGTGTGGCCTTGAGCATACCACTTAACTTCTCTATGCCTCGGTTTCCTCAACTGTATAATGAAGGTGAAGACAGTTCCTAGAAAGCAGGCCTGATTCAAGAAGCTGATGACATGACGTACCTAAAGCACTTAGAACAGTGTCTGGCACTTAGTAAGCATGCAATAAATGCAGCAAGAACTTTCTGGCATAGCAGTGAAAGCCCAGACTTTGGAATTCGAGTCAGAGGGATCTGGTTCAAATCCTGCTTCTGCCACTTAGAAGCTGGCTGATTCCATTTCTCTGAGCTTCAGTTTCCTTATATGTAGAACAGGATGATAATATCCACCCATCCTGGGGGCTGTGAAATTAAGTGCACTAAGGGATGCTAAGCATCTGACGTAGCATCCAGCACACAGTAAGCACTCATCAGAGGTTAACTGCTCTCACCTCTACTCTCTGCAGCTGCAGGACTCACCATGATGAAGCAGACACTGTCCCTGACCTTGAGGAGCTCTTGGGCAAGTGGGAGAGTGAAACTGAGGCAGTGACCAGTGTGGCCCATACAATACTGGGCCCTGCTGCCACACGGGGAGGCGCTGTCCTGTGTATGAAGGATGGCACGGGTTTGCCAGGCACACTTGGAGGAGAGGAGAGGGAATGTTCCAGGAAGAGGGAAGAGCCGTGCAAAGGCCTGGCTGCACATTGTTACTCGTTTTCCAGGTGCCAGGCACTCTTCTCAGAACTTTACAAGAATTGTCTGGTTTCATCCCTAGATGACCCGTGAGTAAATACTATAATATTCCCACTTCGCAGACGAGGAGCCCGAGGCACAGAGACAGCTCTGCTCCCTCTGCATGCTCCAGGAGGAATCAGCTGAGGCCAGGTCACAGGCAGCCTTAAATGCCAAACCTCGGAGCTTGGAGGCTTTCCTGTTGGCGCCAGGAATCCAGCCACTGCAGGGCTGTCTGTGACAGTGAGAGACGGTCAAAGGAGGTCAAGGATGGGCAGGAGGGGGATGGGATGAAAGAGAGAAGGGTGGGAGTCAGGGAAGGGTGTTCCCTGTGAGAGATGAGGAGGGACAGCTGGGGCTGTGAATGGAGAGGAGATAGAATAATGCAACCGTAACAAGAGCTAACTGGAACTGGGGGCTTCTTACAGATGGGTCACCATCCTGAGTGCTGGTTTAATCCTCAAAGCCATAATAGAACATCCTCAAGTTACTGATGAAGAAACTGAGGCTCAGGGAGAGGAAATGACTTGCCTGAGGCCACATGGCTAACCAGAAGCCAGGAAGGGATTTGAACACGGACAGCTAACTCAAGCCACTCATTTAACCATGATGGGAATCAGTAGCACTGGAAGTGTCTGGAAATCAGACACAGGAAGATAAACCCGAGCATGTCACCCGGCACTGGCATGTAGCAGGCACCAATAAATGTAGGGTGGATGAATGAAAAGAAAGGACGAGAAAAGGGAAGGGAGGGTGGGACAGAGGAAGGGAAGGAGGAAGGGAAGCAAGGAAGAAGGGGGGAAGATGGATGGATGCATGGATGGATGGATGGATGGATGCATGAATGGATGGATGCATGCATGAGTGGATGGACGGATGGATAGATGGATAGATGGATAGATGGATGGATGGATAGATGGATGGATGGATGGATGGGAGAATGGGTGGGTGGGTGGATAGAATAATGGATGGGTAGAAAGTTGGATGGGAGGGTGGATGAATGGTTGAATAGGAGGCTAAATGGGAGGGTGAGTGGATGGATGGATG
Source organism: Homo sapiens (assembly GCF_000001405.40). NCBI lineage: Eukaryota > Metazoa > Chordata > Mammalia > Primates > Hominidae > Homo > Homo sapiens. The sequence goes on along the minus strand of NC_000020.11, from coordinate 33,074,714 downwards.
GGAGGCTGGATGGGAGGGGGGATGGATGGATGGATGGATGGATGGATGGATGGATGGATGGATGGGAGGCTGGCTGGCTGGCTGGTCGGCTGAATGAATGAGTTGTGGATAAATCTTCAGATGAGCTCCAAGTCTCCCCTACCTATTGCCTAGCCTCAAATCCTCTGAGCCAGTTATCAAAACTTGGTTGGCACTTCTTCACTCAGGCCATCTGTAAGTGCCAACTTGGGGATATTTTTCACCAAAGGTGCCCATCGTAAGCAGTGGGGAGAAGCCCAGGACCTAGAGGCAGGACCCCTAGTCTCTCATCCCAACTCTGCCGCTGTGTGGACCAGGGCCAGCCAAGCCCTGCTCTGGCTTCAGTCTCCCCATCTGCACCAAGAGCGTTTGGCACAGCTCTGTTCTGAGCTGTGTCCATGTCTGATGTGCAGCCAATAGGGACCCCCCCACACCACAGGGCAAGAACAAGTCTCACTCATCCTTGCTTCCTGGGGTGCTAGTGCCTTTGTTTCCTGGAAAGCTCCTATTCTCCCTTCAAAATTCAGCTCAGATGTCACTTCTGATAAGCATCCCAAAGTCAGAAACAGAGAAAAATGCAGACTCAGAGAGAGAGAGAGTGAAAAGTAGAAGTATTTAGAGAAAGAGAGAGAGAGAGAGCTGGAGGCAAGGGGGGCAGGGACAGAGAGGAAGGCAGAACAGGACACAGAGGCTGCCCAGGCCAACAAGGTCAGTTTGGGACTCAAAGCTACAATGACAAGGCCCTGAGTCCCCTCACCTCCCAGAAGCTCCTACCTGGAGCTAAGGAGGGCACTGGAGGCAAAGGCCAAGTCAAGTCCTACGTGACTGGGGAATAAACCAGCCAGGAGATACCGAGATACAGGAGTCATTTATTGAAAGCTCAGGGTTTGCTACTGAGGCCCCAGAGCTCTCTCTGAGGCAGTTCTATGATTAGCCAGGCAGTTCCCACCCCAAACTTGGAGTAGTGCTTCAGGGCCAGAGGGCATTTTTACTGTCACCAACATCAGCTAGAGACTGGGAGGGAAATTGAGGCAGAGTAGACAGGTGGTCTCTAGTAGTCAACAGGGAAGGCTGGTGGCCATGTCTCAGCCTCAGGATGCCACGGTCAGCACAACAGCATTCTGTAAGGAACAACCGCTCTTGGTTACACCCCTGAGTCTCTGCAATGCCCCATCCCTGCAGCCATCTTTACTCCCCTGCCCTGGGATTGGCCCTGTACCTGGAACACAGCAGGCACTCATTAAATGAATAAATGAATGATGAAAAAATGACATCCAGTGTGGGACAGGCTCTGACTTGAGGACTTAATAGACTCAAGTTCAACTGCCATTTCTGCTATTAATTTACTGGTGAACTTGGGCCAGAAATCTGACCTACTTCAGCCTTGGTCCTCATCTGAGAAATGGGTACAGAACTCTCTGCTCTGCCCACCTCCTAGAGCTATTCCACCACCCAAAGTTGGGCTGGTTTGAAAAGGATTGTGAGGCCATATCAATATTCCACAAGAAAAAGGGTCATGATCCATTGGTCATATCTGCTGCAGACACAAGATAAGGGAGAGATGGCATATGTATTTGTTGCTGTTGGACCAGGGGAACTGTGATTCTGTGAGTGAATCTTAGGTTCCATTCTAGAGGCCAGACATGTCTCTGAATCCAATGGGAAAGAACTCCGTGATTGATTGATGATGTCTGCCATGGGCAAGAAATGGAGGAGTAGTAGCACACATGTCATATATTTGCCATTCCTAAGTTAGGCAATTTGTAACTCACTGAGAAATTTAGAAAATGGATCAGGGACAGACAAGAGGATGAAGCAAAGCATTCCCCTCATTAGTTTCAAGCAGAGCTTTCCAGAGACAAGCTTAAGGCCCACCTGGGCCGTATCTGCAGAGAAGGCTCACCTCTACGATCTCCAGAACTGAATTGGAAAAATTGATATTAAGAACCTTAGGCAGGGGAATTCCAACATCCAGGGCCACTGTGAAAAGAGAATCGTTGAAAACAAAGGTACATTGGTGGGGAGCTCTTGGACCCTAGGAACCCTCGGACCCTGCTGACCCTATTCCATCACTTTCACTAGCCAGCCAGTTCTCTTCTCACAGAATCAGCTTCTTATTGGCAAACTCCTACTCATCCTCCTACACCCAAACAAAAATGTCCCTATTCTGTATTGTGTCAGTGGTGCCCCCGTGTCAAGCCTCCTAAAGGCTTCATCAATCCCTTACACACTCTGGGTCATCTATATTCTAATCATTTGTTTATATGATTATTTCCTACTAGACTGTGGGAGCTTAAGGCAGGACTGAGGTCAGATCAGCGCTTGAAGTCCATAGGCTGGCAAGATGTAGGTGCTAATCAATGTCATTTAAATGGAAAAATTGGTGCCTCAGTTTCTGCATCTTGCAAATGAGGATCGACCTCTCTCTCTGGCCTCAGTGTCCCCATCAGAACCATAAAGAGAGGCAACAGACTAGACAATACCAAATTCAGACACTCCATGTGTCCAAGAGAGCAAAACCTGCCATACCGTTAAGCTTTGGTGCATACACTGCCCCGACCACATGGCTGAGCCATTCTTCTAAACGCGATCCCTGCAACAGAACACACAGGGTGGTGGGGGTGGTGCTCTGGGGTGTGGCTTTACAGGCAGCAGCATCCCGTTCCCAGGGAGAGAAACCCAGGGGCCCAGCTGCCTCAGCCTCCCCCAAGCCTGAGGACACAGCTCCTGGCAGGCACTGGGCACTTGGGGGTGGCCTGGGCTGTCCACCAGTGACCTCGAAAGAGATTCTGTGATTTAGGCTGGCTTTACCCCAGGCCCCATGAGCTTGGAAGAAGTGCCTTCCTATAAGACTCTGTTGGGGCTGGAGGTGGGCAGTGCCTAAGAAAGAGGGAAGGAAATGTGCCCAGCTCCAGTCTATGGGGTCTGACCTTAGATTCCTGTCAGTTTAGGGACTCTGAGAATGTTCTAGAACCTGAGCCCATGGTGAGATTCCAGAACCTCAGAACTCTGTAAGAAGCAGGAACCTCGGGGCTCTGTGAGCTCTGAAATGGAACTTGCTGAGTTCGGGAAATTTATTACTTGGGAGAAGTTCCAGAATGATGGACCCTTGTGAGGTTCTAGATGTCCACAACTTTGTGAGGTTCCAAGACCGTGGAAGATCATGAGATTCACTTTCCTAAGATGATCACTGTTTCTCTCTCTCTCTCCCCACTGCCCACACCCCCTGCTCTCTCTCACGCACACCCGCCCTGATATTTGCCCACTCTGGCTTAATTGGGGAGGATCCCAGTCCTGAGGTCAGCTCAGTCATATGGCCCATGACTCATGGCCACCCCCTTTCCATGCCACACCTGAAGACTCTCATCACTGCCAAGCCCCTCACCCTCCCAGGAACTTACGTCAAAGGCATGGGTAAAGGAGGAGGCCACCTTGACACTGAGCCTGGTGGAGAGAAGAGAGATGCTGGGGCCCCCGCTACCCCCAACCACCCCTGTCCCACCCCCAGCCTGCCCCACCATAGCTCTCATCATCAGGAAACAGGATTACCAGCCCAACACTCTGCCTCTATCCAGCCTTGACTCAGAGACTCAGTTTTCCTACCTGTAAAATGGACCCAAAGGGACCTAACCTCCCTTCTGAGGCATCATGACCACCACCTCTGGCCTTGGCGCCTTTGTCTGACTCCCAGCTATTTGACCCTGGGCAGGTGGCTGAACCATTCAGAGGAGTGACCTCCCCCAGACTGAGCACTGGACACAGAGTGCCTTGCATACAGCAGGTGCTCACTCAAGGCAGCAACTCACTGATGGATCATATCTGGCCCAAGTGCAGATTCAGGGCCAGAGCCTGGGCACGCATCTCTACCTCCTAAAAGACTGAGGCGTGAACTGCCATCAGGAAGTGGAGGTGCACCCAGGCAGCAGGCGAGGCCCTCCATCAAAGTCGGCAATGGGGCAACAATGGAAGGCAGAGGCCAGCAGTGGCCTGAGGAGCCTGTGGGGGTGCTAAGACGGAGTCAGAGGAGCACTGGGTGCCTGTGGCGTAGGACGTCAGGTCTCAGCAATCTCCAGGAAAGTCCCTACTGCCAGGGGAGGGACAGACAGGCCGGGGCCCTGCCATGGTGACAGCACTGAGGCCCAGACTGCAGACCTGCTCTAGGGACGGCCTGCCGTGTGAGCCTGGGCCAGCACGGCGTTTTGCAAACTGTAAAGTACTGTGCATGTAGATGGTGCTTTGCAAACTGTAAAGTACTGTGCGTGTAGATGAAGGACTGTCACCAACACCATCATTCTGGTCATTATGATTATCTTGATGGACGCCTAGTTACCACAGGGGTGAGGAGAATAGAGAAGTAACAAGTAACAAGTCCACATAAATAACAACACATTTCCTGACACTCAAGGCCGGTTGTCTCTTGGTTAGCCTCTGGGGCTGATAACTCAGGAGTTTGGACTCCACATCCTGGCGGCAGGTTTATCTTTCAGAGGCAGGTTTTCAGCAGCAAAAGGGTGCCGTGGAAGAAGCCCACTCTTGAGCCTGCTGCTCTGAGCCCCCGATTCCTTGTCTATAACATGGACTAACACTGTCTCCTCCCTGGCGGGTCCTGAAGGCAAGGAGGATGCTGGAAAAACACCTGGAATTGCGCTGATGCTCAAGAAACGGGAGGCGGATCCTGTCAGCCCCTAATTCTTGTTCCTAAAGACAAGAACAAGATCCTGTCCCCAGGATCCCAAGTTACCGTTCCAGGGACAGGGAGATGTGCAGCTTGGTAGCCGAGGGAGCCAGCTGGGCACGCACAGTCATGACCTGCATGGGCAAAGCAGGCAGAAGTCACCCCCAATCGGCAGAAGGAGCTTGAGGACGGGTCTGCCTCCATCCATCTGTTCCGTCCACTAACCCTTACTGAGGCCCTACTGTGTGTCAGGGTCTGTGCTGAGCCCTGAGAAGGTAATTTGAAGGTTTTGCTGTTTTCTTGAACAGCAGAGAACCACAGTATTAAAATTGAGGGCAATTGGTAATGTAGGAGAGGAAGCTCTGGGGCTGCAGGAGCTTGGAGAGCCCCTCAAGCATGCCTGCTGTACGGTGAGGGAAGGCCTTTCCAGTGAGGTAACAGTTGAATCTTGAAAGATGAGGAGTTAGTGGAAGGAAGGGGAAAATGGTACTCCAGGTGGTGGACCTAGCACAGACAAGCCAGGGAGGGAGGACCTGGTAGACCTGAGTAGCTGAGGCTTAGGGGACAAGGACGGGCAAGGCAAGGATGGGGCAGAAGGACAATGAATGTCAGGCTCAGGTGTTTGGCCATGGGGAGCCAAGGTGGAGGATAGGGGGAGGGGCCTGCCTCGGTCCAGATGTGTGCAGAGGTGCGATGGAGGAAGCTGACTGGAGCGGGAGGGTCAGAGGAAGCTGGAGGGTCGTCAGGGAGATAGCTGGGCAGAGAGGCTGGGGAGATGGGGAGCAACGTCTGAGATCCCCAAGAAGCAGTGTGGGCAGCCCAAACAGGCCCAGGCAGACATGACAGGAGGGAGCAGGCAGGAACTGAAGCAGGGGCTTGGGTCTCAGCCCAGATGATGACAGTGGTTGTGGGGCGGGGGGCTTCCTGTGCTGGACTATGTGGGGCTCCCACCCTGAAATCAGGGGGACGGTACCTCCACAGTCCTGGAGACAGTCACCCCCATTTGGAACCCCAATGCCGGGCCCCCAGCCACCCCTTGACCACTCACGGAGTTCAGCTCAAAGAGGGATTCAGGGGTCCCCTTAGGGACATAGAACAGCACATGGATGTTGGCTGGGAGGGAGACCAAGGCCTTCTTGTTGTGGAGTGTGACCGTGGGAGCTTCCCTCACCCGCAGGAACAGTAGGAGTTGCTGGTGCAGGGGCAGCTTCCCCAGGGCCTGGAGAAATGCAGGGGCATAACTTAGATGCCCCAGGACTACAATCAGTCAGTCAGTCAGCAAACACTCACTAAGCACCTACCAGGCACTGGGCAACGTGCTGGGCAACGAGGTTACAGCCTGAAAGACACAGGCCTGGGCTCAGCCCCCATGAGGCTGACACTCAGGTGTGGAGACACCGACCTGCAGGACTGCCAAATCAGACTTCCTGTCTCAAGCAGAGTCAGAATCCTCCCCGAGGCCATAGGCTCTGTGTCCTCCATCCCCTGCCCGCCTCTCCACTTCACCTGCTCTCCTCCCGCTGCTGCCCTGCGTTCTCCCTCCAGACTCACTGGCCACGTGGCTGCTCCTCCAGCTGCCAGGGATGCTCCCAGCAGGCGCCAGGGCCTTTGCACTTGCTGCTCCCTCTGCCTGGAAATATCTTCCCAGAGAACTGCAAAGTTCCCTCACTCACCTCCTTCACTCAAATGTTACCTCCTCACTGAGGCCTTGCAAAGCACCATGTCTAAAAGCACCAGCCAGCACTCCTAAGCCAGCTTCGCCACTCCATGCTCTTCCACCTTCTGACACTGTCTCTGTTTCTGTTTATTTGTGCAATGTCTGTCACCTCCAGCAGAATGGCAACCCCTTGAGTGCAGAAGCTTTTCTCTCCTTTCACCTTTTGCCCTTTGTGCAGCCCCAGCTGCAGGTATGCCCTTGTTCCATTGCAGGGCCTGTTACACAGTAGGTGCTCAGTGGATATACGCTGACTGCCTAAATGAGGCACACAATCAGGAAATTCTGAGTCTCATAATTGCAACGTCATGAGACTAAGGAAATTACAGAACCACAGAAGCTTGGAACACATAAGTATGTCCCTTGCCTGCTGGAATTTGAGTCTAGGTTTCCTCAAGCCCAGAATCCCTAAGGGGCAGGATCATCAGGACCAGGAATCACCTGATTCCACCCTCACATGCCACAGAATCTGAAGCCACATGGGGCTCTAAAGCTGCGAGGCCAGCAAATGGAGACCAAAGGATTCAGCCTCCAGAGACAAGCCCAGCTTCCCCATGCTGGAGGGGCAGGCCCAGCTTGCTGCTTCTGGATACCCCTGCCCCAGCCAACTCCACTTGCCCCATGTCCCTCTCCACTCCTACTCTCTGGAGGTTCTTCTGAATGTCTGACTCCAATCGCATCCCTTCCATGAGGCTCCTATGCCCTTTAGCCAAGGGACTCTGGAAAGCTGAGGCCCCGACCTCATTCATCCAGACTGCTTTGAATCACCAACTTCAAGAACTCACAGAGTTTGTCCTCTGTGCCCCCAAACCCAGCTTTCATTTCCATCCTCTCTGGTGAGAGCCCAGGCCCCTAGGCCTCTTTCCAACCTCTTTCAGAACCTGCTGTTACATAAGGACCTTGTAGTAGACATTTTAACTTCAGTACGAATTCCAGTTCTCACAGCTGGAAAGCAGCTGGTCCAGCCCCAGTTGAAGGATGGGAAAGCTGAGGCCTGGCCTGGAAGTCATGTACTTATGTCCACTAGTGAGACCTACCTGACACTCTCCCTTTTCTTTCCTCTCCAAGACAAGTGCCCTAGTCTTTTCTCTGGGGACATTGAAGACTAAGGTCAGGATGAAGTAAGCCAGTTGGTAGAAGGGAGCTCAGTAACCTGAAAAGACTTTTGTCCTTGTGTGCTACAGAAACAATTTCCATAGGATAAATGCCCAGTTGATTTCTGGGGCAGTCAAGCCCTAATCCTTTACTCTCTAAGCAAAATCTGCTATCAGGAAAGGATGTCGTGTTAGTCATTCACACTTTAGTGTGAATTTGGACTCAACTGTTCAATTGCAGTTGCCTGGAGAGCTGTATTGAGAAAGATTCTGGACTCCATTCATGGTCATCAGGAAAGAGCTACAATGATCAAAACCCATGAGAGCGTCACTCACCTCAGGGAGCAAAGCTGCCAGGTCTGTAGTTGTCAGTGGGACATCGCTGGGAACCTGGACCCCCAATGGGAGAGAGGGTTGGTGAGCACAGAGACAGAACAGGAATCCCTCAGCACACTCAGAGCAGTTTCGTTCACCACTCTTCCCCCTACCCTGCCAATTTCATACATATATCACTACAAACACTCAAGTTTGTTCTATCAGCTAGCAATTACTGAGCACTTACTGCATGCCAGACAGATGCTAGGGGCTCTGCACGCCTTTGCTCATTTCACCTTTACAACAGCTCAAAGAGGTGGGTGCTACCATTGCCCTCATTTAACAGATGGAGACACTGAGGCTGTTGCCAAGGGTCACACAATTGGTAAGTGGTGACACCAGGATTTGAACCTGGGCAGGCTAACTTCAAAACCTTTTACTCTGCCAAGGCTCACGATCTAAAGGCCCAGGGATCTGACCCCAGATCTTTTTGCCTTTTACCCAAATAGTATTTTCAAAAACTATGAATTTATTTCTAGTATTTATAAATCAGGAAGTCACATGTAAATTTTTCAGTTTCTGGCTAAAGAGTTGGAAAATCTGGTCACACTGAGCCTGCACCCCCTCCCCTTGTGGCAGCTGAGTGGCAACTGCCTGAGAAATGGGGCACAGGGTCTCCAGTTCACTATAGTCCCATCAGGCTGCTAACTGATGGCCCAGCCTCCGGGGGCCCTGATGTTTGAGACACCCCCCGCCCACCGAACTACATATGCCCACTTCTCAGAACAGCCCTGTTCACACAGGATAAGCATACATGCAGCACCAGGACGAGGCCTCTGACATTCCTCTCTCTTGCCACGATGCTCATATGCAAACACCCAATGCTCCTATACACACACCCACATCCGCAGGCCGCTCAGACATGCACGTTCTTACACGCAGAGTCTCTGCCTGGCTATGACTACCCCCATCCCCCAGCTGGAAGACACCCTCTCCCCAGCTCAGGGTCCTGTTCCAGCCTCCCAGAGGCCTTCAGAGTGCTGTCTGGACCCCACTTGCAAGAAGTGAGTGACCAACCCCTGTTTCCTTGGGCCTGAGCTACAGGTGGGGAGCCCAGGCTGAGACCAAAATAAATGTCTCTGGGTGGGGCTTCTGGGGTCTGGGCTTTCCAGGATGTCAGAGGGGCCAGAATGGACAGAATGGAAGTTGGGAGGTACTAGAAGCTGCAGAACAAATGTTTGGGTAACTCTTGGTACAATCCAACCCTAGTTTTCTTCCTTCCTTCCTTCCTTCCTTCTTTCCTTCCTTCCTTCCTTCTTTTCTCTCTCTTTCTTTCTTTTTCTTTTCTTTCTCTCCTTCCTTCCTTCCTTCCTTCTTTCTCTTTTTCTGAGACAAGGTCTCATTCTGTGGCCCACACTGGAGTGCAGTGGCGTAATCACAGCTCACTTCAGCCTTGACCTCCCAGGCTCACATGATCCTTCCACCTCAGCCTCCCAAGTAACTGGGACCACAGGCATGCACCACCATGCCTGGCTAATATTTGTATTTTTTGTAGAGATGGGGTGTCTCCTGGGCTCAAGAGATCCTCCCACATCAGCCTCCCAAAGTGCTGGGATTACAGGCATGAGCCACCCTGCCTAGTTTTCTTTTCTCCCACTCAAATCTGCTCTTGAGAAAGCAGTGGAAATTTTAGTGGTTCACACTTTAGTGCTTAGACTCTAGAAAGGCTCATCTGATACAGGTATGGAAAGTGGGCTTCATTCCACATGCCAGTCCTGACCAATTGAAAGTGACCTCCTGGAGTGCCAAGTTGAGAAGGATTCAGAAGTCCCAGTCAGGTTTAACCAGGTAGAGGACCACGATCGATTAGCAATGTCTCCCCTAAGTATAGGAGTGGAGAACAGCAGTGTACACACTCTAAACTTGTTCAACTCCCTTTTATTATAGAGAGGAGGGCTCAGCAAGGCTGATCAGGGCCTAGGTCAACACTAGTAATGCCAAGGCACAGCAGGGCAAGGAGCCCCCATCCCCATCCCCCGGGCACCACACTCACCAGCTCAGGGGTGATGTCCATGTCGAGGGCGCCGTTGGTCTGCAGGAGTCCAAACGTGGTGTTGAAGAGGTACAGTGGCACCATCACCTGGGATGTGTGGTCCTTCTTGGGGGGCACCTTGGCTGGGGCACGGGACTTGGGGAAGTCAATGATATCACCAGCTACACTCTTCACGATAGGCTGCAGGGGCAGGAAACAGGGCCGAGGAGGGTCTTAAGGTGCTCACCCACCTGCCTTGATCCGGCATCCCCTATCTAGCCACCCCCAGCAGGAGGAGAGGCCCCTCTGGTTACTCACGTTGATGTCCAGTTCTATGTACTGGTTGGAGATGAGAGGCAATGTGGCCAGAGAGAATTCCACGGACCCAAGAGCCCCAAGGGACACCAGGCCTGCGTGGGAAAGTGGGGGCGAGAACGACCCTATAAGCCCAGTTCCCAATCATAATAGCCCCTATTTCCATTTATTGAGTGTCTGCTGAATGCCTAGCACTCTACTAAGCATTCACTTGGCTGCTACTGTCATCCCCATTTTACAGATGTGGAAATTGAGGCTTAGACAGGGGAAGTCACCAGGCCAAGGCCACACAGTCACGGTGTTCAAAACCAGGATTCCTGTTTTCCAGAGTTGATGCCACTAACACACTGCTACCCTGCCTCTCTTACATAACACCACCCATAGAGACATACCGGCCCCAAGTTTTCTATTCTTTTCCTGGTTGTGCCTTTTTATATTTTCCCAAACCCATTTTGTGAACACAGAAGGCACTTGTGTCTCCATAAGGCACAGAGAGACTGGGGTCTGCTGTGGCTGCGGGGCCTTGGGTTCCTTACTTGAGCTCTCTGGGCCTCGGTCATCTAGTCTGACCAGGTAATCATTATATCTTCCCCCTGTTTCTGACAGTGCCAAGCGCACACTAGGTGCTCAGTAAGTGTTGGTCTGCAGCACCCAACATAGAGAGAACTGATGGTTCTGGGTCTGCATGCCCTGCTAGGCGGCCTCAGCCCAGGCCTCCTCCATGAGGCTCCTCAAAGGGGCAGCCTGTCAGTGTGAGGAGGAACTAAAGGACCCTGAGATCCTGCCGCTTCTGGCTCCCCTTCGTACCCTACCCCATTGGGGTCATACAGAGACGGGTAGAAGGGGCAAAGAGGAGGGCATTGAGCCCTGACTTACCCAGCACAGCCCCCAGGAGCTCATTCACCACACCCAGCACACTGTCCACCACGGGGCACAGCTGTGTCAGGGAGACACATGTTACAGGGCAAAGAAGAGCTCACTGCGAGGACAGCTGCATGTTCTTTAAATGCTTTGCTATCTGCTGCTATGTGGTGCTGGGGACCAAGGCAAGGCGGAAGGCAGAGACAGACAGAAGACACACAGGTGGGAGGCAGGGAAGGGGCTGGGGGCTTGAGGTGTCAGAGGGTTGGGTGGCCCCCAAGCTGTCTTCCCTTGGTTACAAGAGCCCCATTAGAAAACCCCTAAAGGTGGCTGGGGGACCACGGGAGACACATTTCAGGGGCTGGTTTGGGCATGCGGACAAGGCCTTCACCTGAGGAGGCAAAAGCGGCTTTGGTTCCCCATAAAGTCACAGGCCATCCCCTGCCATTCTACGTGGGCACTGGGAAGCCTAGGATCAAGACCCCACAGAGGGGCACCTCCTCTCCTCCACCCAGAGAGTCAGGCCTGGATCTGGAGTGTCCATTCTGCATATCACCACGTGTTCATTCCTAACCCCTGTGCTAGGAGAATAGGGAGCAAGTGGTTCAACTTTCAGAATCCAAGTCTGGGAATCACAGAACCTGAGTCCCATAGCCCACTGGAGTGGGAGCCTCAGAGAGGATGCAGTCCAGCCCCTTCATCCTCCAGCTGAGGCCAGAGAAGAAGGTGGCCTGTCCAAGGTCACAGCTGTATTCAGAGAGACAAAAGAGGGCTGTCACATGTCAAGTGGGGGCCCCAAACTCCAGGATTTCTGGGGTCAGGCAAGTCACAGAAATGAGAGGAGACCAGAGGGGCTCTGCTGGGGATGGAGAAAGCAAACCCTCTGAGCACCAGATGGGAGGTACCAGAGGTACTTCCCACTTACAGGAGGGAGGTATCAGGCAGCCAGGATGGCTGATTGCAAAACAGAAGCCAGAAATCTGGACTGTTACGAGAAATCTTCAATGCTGAATGTTGGCAATGAATGCTCGTTTTCAAAACCTCTTTGTATCACACAAAACCTAGCTGCTGGCCAATTGCCCCAGAGACTAAGTTAGGGGCTGCCGTTGAAATGCACCTTCATGCCCTGGTGGAAACCTGCCTGACATGGTCTTGCTTAGGGGCCCCTCCTCCTGCTAAGCTTCTTTTCCAAACTGGCTTCCTCAAGCCCAGGGCAGTTTTGCCAACCCTAGGCTCCCATTCTTCTGCTGCCCCCAGCAGCGTTCGCAAGAATGCACAGGGAGAGCCAGCTAGGCCGTGGGGTCAGGAGGCCTGACTGCCCTTTGCTGTCTATGTGGCCCTCCCCTCTTCCTCGGTGATATGGGGTTTGGGCCAGACCAGCTCTCTCGAGTGCAGAAGCCAGGATGTTCTGGGGCAGGCCATGGACAGGCATCCTTTAATCTTAATATGTTTAATTGTGATGTATGAATAAAGGTACATGTGTTTTTCTAGACATGATTGCCAAGCACAGGGCTCAGTTTAAAATCACCAAGTGATCCAATTTTCATTTCACGCTAATTTAAAGAAAAACATAAAGTTGGTACTAATACAAATGGCAGAAACAGAGCAGGGGTTCTTACCCTTCTTAGGAGCCTACGATTTGGGAGCAGGGGACCCAGGCCGAAAGGATCGTGTCATCCACCCCCAGACTAGCAGGCGCGCCAGGAAGGCCGGTCAGCAGGCCCGGATGGGATTACCAGGTGGGTGTGGAAGGGAAGTACAGCCTAATCCTGCCTGGCGCCAAACTTCACCCAAAACCAGAGGGGGAAAGAGGCCCAGTCCTGGGAGAGGGCATGCTGGCACACGGCCCGCACACTCACCAGTCCCGGAAGCACCTTGAAGAGCATCTGTTCCACGACCCCAAAGAGTGGTGTGGGCAGCAGCCTGAGCAGAGGGAGACACATGTGGGTGCGGCTGCCAGGTGGACGGTTCAACCCAGATGACAGGGTCGGGCGGACACTAGGGGCTCTGGATTTCTCCTCTCCCTTCTCTTGGGGGTGGTGTTGACTGCGGCTTTGGAGACCTGAGTTAAATCCTGGCTCCTCCTCCCGAGGGGACCCAGGGGATGGCTTCATTTTCCCCAACTGTACAATGCCCACCTTAGAGAGCTGCTGCTGCCCGGGTTACATGGGAGTGTGTATGTGGCTGGTGTAAAATCTGTGCTTGACAAATGTCTGTCTCCTTTGTCCCTCTAACAGTTGTAGACAAGAGACATTTAGGCCTAGGACAATGGTTGTTATTGAGCCCCCAGAGTGGGGGTTCAACAAGTATTTGTTAGATGAATGAATGAATGAATGAATGAATGAATGAATGATGGCCTGAGGATAAGTGCATGTAGACAGGCTCAGGTCTGTTTGGAGACCATGGGGTGCAGGATGGCAACCACAGAGCCCCAAACACAGGACACCAACACCATCCTGGGAACCACTGGAATTTAAGGAGCCCAAAGCCCTTGCCTGGAATCCCTTTCTTAGGGCCCTCGTGGAGACAGGAGCAACCCAGTTACCCTGTTCCTGGGAGCTAACACAGAACTGCCTGATGATCCCCCACTGCTCAGAGTTACCCAACAAAGATGGAGCAGGGGCCGGGATTGGGATTGGGCCTGGAAGGTGGACACAGAACGGGGAGACACAAGTGGGAGGCAGCTGTGGGCTGGCTCAGAGTGCTGGCAGAGGCCTTGGACCCAGCCAGAGCGCAGCCCCTCTCCATCCCTGCCGGATCTGTGCGTGTGATCCTAGGCAAGGAGACCTCTGGGCCTCCATGGTCCCATGAAAGTGATGATTGAGAGGTCAGGCACGGTGGCTCACACCTGTAATCCCAGCACTTTGTGAGGCCAAGGAGGGCAGATCACTTGAGGTCAGGAGTTCGAGACCAGCCTGGCCAACATGGTGAAACCCCGTCTCTATTAAAAATACAAAAATTAGCATGGTGGTGGGCGCCCGTAATCCCAGCTACTTGGGAGGCTGAGGCAGAAGAATTGCATGAAGCCGGGAGGCAGAGGTTGCAGTGAGCCGAGATGGCACCACTGCACTCCAGCCCGGGTGAAAGAGTGAGACTCTGCCTCAGGAAAAAAAAGAAAAAGAAAAAGAAAAAAGTGATGATTCAACAAGGTGTAGGGAGGGCCACCTGGACAGATCCTGGGAAGAGACTGAAGTCACAGCCCCTTCCGAATCATCAAATCCAGCTCCACATATACAGATGGGGACATGGGGGCCCAGAATGGGGAGATAGGGAGTGGGTCTCCCTGAGGTTACACAGCAAGTCAGAGGCAGAGTTGGGTCTCATGTGCTGAGAGCAGGGGCTGAAATCCCGCAAATGGAGGGATCCCAGCTGACCCTGGGCCCGCTCTGGCGGAGAGGGGACGGCAGGATCCCGTGAACCAGACTAGAGGAATTGCCCAGGAGTGGGTGGCACAAGCTATGGATTAAGCCGGAGTCCCTGTCAGTGGTGGGACTCAATCTGTCGGTCTGTGAAGTGGGTTGAAACCGGCGGGACAAGCAGGGGTAGGACGAGTTCAGGCCCCCGCAGCTGGCAGCTCCAGGGAGACCTGGGAGATGCCCAGATGGGTGCGAGATGATCCTGAGCGGGTCAGGGTTGCAGGCTGGAACCTGCAGACTCACCCTGAGAACAGGCTGATGTGGCCCAGGAGCGTGCTGCAGCGCTTGAGGATAAGGATGGGTGTGCCCCTTGAGCTCACGGCCAGCGCCACCCGCGATGTCACGTTCACCTCCGCAGCCAGCTGCAGAAGGCCACCAAGGGGGCTGCAAGAAAGGACACTGGGGGTGTGGCCAGGCAGCCAGCTCCCACCCTTGGCCCCGCCCACCAGGGTGGCCCTGCCAGTGGCCTAGGCTCTGTGCCCCCTTCTCAGCCTCTGCCTCCCTGCCCCATTTTGCACTTCCCTGCACCCTCTTCCCTGACCCTCTCAGGTGAGCCTGAGCGGTGGGGTCCGGGTCTGGAGGAAGAGCGAAATGGAAGTCCCTGGGGAAGGGCAATGGCATAGGATCCAGGGGGGAAACAGTAGGATTGGGAGTCCCTTGGGGAGGAAATAGGGTGAAAGGAAATGGGGGATACAGAGGGGTGGGAGTGGGGGGACAGCAGAGTAGGAGTCTCCAACAGGTCAGGGGGTGGGATAGGAAGCAGGAGGGTAGAGGTCCCCAGGACACACTCACCCAGAGCAATGCATGCCCACTTTGGTGTGCAGGCTCAGCTGCACCCCAAATCCCGGCAGCAGCTTCAGCAACACCTTTGGCAGCGTGAGCTCCTCAATCTTCAGACTAGGATGGGAGTCAGGGAGAGGGTTGCTCACTCCCAGACATCCCAGCCCAGGCGGCGCCCAGAGTGGCTCTTGGTGGTGTCCCCTATCTCACCTCAAACCCACAGAGCCAGCTGCGAGCCCTTGGCCCATCACTTCATCTCTCTGGGCCTAGTTTCCTTATCTGTAAAGTGGGGCGATACTAGTTCCTACCTCACAGGAGTGTTGCAAAGACAAGTGAGATAATTCGAGTGCAGAACCTGGTACGGTGTGTGCTCAACAAATGTCCTATCATCATCACCGCTAGAGGCTCAAGGAATTAAAGTTTTTCCTCACTCCATCCCCACAGTCTCAGCCCTGGTTTGGTTTCTGGCCTTGACATTGCGCCCTGCTATACCCCTGCACACTCACACAAATGCAACCCGAGTGGGTTCTCAAACACGACTCCTCACAAGTCATTACTCTCTGTCCTCTGGGTCTTTGCCCAGGCCATTTCCTCTGTCTGGAACACACTTCCCTTGACCCTTCTTCCATTCTGCATCCCTCTTCAGCTTGCTGACTCCTCCCAGTTCACGTGCACTCCTCCAGGAAGCCTTCCATCCTGGTTTTCTGCCTCGGGCAGATGCCCTCTGAGCGCCTATCCCACCCTGCCTGGGCTGCCTCCATCACTGCCCTGAGCCCATGGGATCTTCGCTGTCAGACTCCACCACCTATGAGGAGCTCTTCAAGGCACGAACAATGCCAAGCTCATGTCTGAGACTCCAGCCTCACCAAGAAAGCGGATTTCACAGGGGAGGGAGAGTAAATATTGCATTAATAATAATAATAATATCTATCCAACACTTACTCTCTGCCCGGCTCTATTTCAGCTGCTTGGCACAGATTAACTCACTGTCCTGGCAACAACCCCATGAGTAGCTGCTAATACTGCAGCCAGTAAAAGGCAGATGGTTCAAACTCCAGCTCTGCCACTAACTGACTGGATGGGCTTGGGCTAGTCACAGTGCTGCTGTGCCTCGGTTTCCCCATCTGTAAAATAGGGACATTGACCACACCTACCACAGAATGACACACAGCGAACCTCGAGCAACATCAGCATTTACCAGCCTGCTTTCCGGACATTATGTTCCGTTTAGGGAAGTGAACACCCATCAGCCCTTCTTTCCGCTCCCAGTACCCCATTGCCTCCTGTCCAGTGACTCTTCTCCATACACTGGGCTTCAGCCTTGCCTGGGCCCTGTTGTTTGACCTTCCCCTAATTCACCCACCAGCCATAGACTGGTTTCCACTGGACTTGACCAGGCAGTATGGGCTGTGATGAAACACACAGACACATTCCCATCTCCTCCCCTAGCTGGGTGAGCTTGGGCAGGTCACTTCACTGCCAGGAGCCTCTATCTCCTCACCTGTTAAATGCAGTTCATAATAGTCCTACCTCTGGGCTCAGTGAGATAATTCATTTACAATGCACAGTGCTAGACACACAGAAAACCCTGAATAGGTGCTCATTGAGTTAGTGCATATTAGCTATAATGTGATGCTCTTCATTCATTCATTCAAAAATACTTTTTTTTTTTGAATGAAAAAAAAAAAGCTGTGTTCTGCAATCCTATGTTTAGGAAAACATTGAGACCACAGCAGGAGTGTTCTGGAATCCTATATGAGCAACAAACTTTCAGACCCTAACTGCAGTGTTCTTTGGTCCTGTGTGAGGGACAAACACTCATACCCTAGTAGCGGTGTTCTGGAATCCTATGTGAGGGACAAACATTCAGACCACAGCAGGAGTGTTCTGGAATCCTATTTGAGGGACAAACATTCAGAACCTGGTAACAGTGTTCTGGAATCCTGTGTGAGGGGCCAACATTCAGACAATCGTAGCAGTCTTCTGGAATCCTATGTGAGGGACAAACATTCAGACCCCAGCTCACGCCTGTAATCCCAGCACTTCGGGAGGCCGAGGCAGGCAGATCTCCTGAGATCAGGAGTTCAAGACCACCCTGACCAACATGATGTAACTTCTTCTCTACTAAAACTACAAAAATTAGCCCGTCGTGGTGGTGGGCGCCTGTAATCCCAGCTACTCGGGAGGCTGAGGCAGGAGAATCGCTTGAACCCGGGAAGCGGAGGTTGCAGTGAGCCGAGATCATGCCACTGCACTCCAGCCTGGGCAACAAAGCAAGACTGTGTCTCAAAAAAAAAGGGAAAAAAAAGCTTTTTGAGCATACACTGTGTCCCTATTTATGATCCCGGGGACACAACAGTGAATAAGCCAGACAAAAATCCTACCCCTCCTGGGGTTTATAATCTAGCAAAGGAGACATAAAATAAACCTGTAAAATGTATGGTGGGGATAAGAAAGGGCTAATCAGCCCACACCTCTTTTGAGCGGACACCTGGAGGAGGTGAAAAAGGGAACCATGCTGATAGCTAGATTAGCCCAGAGAGACTAAGCAACTTCCCCAAGGTCAAACAGTGAGTAACTAGTGTTGACCCCAGAGCTGGAACCCTCAACCACAGTGGCATTCTGCTGTTCTTGTCCTGCCAGGCATGCAGTAGAGTCATCATTTTTAGACCCGGATCACAACCCTCCCACACAACCTTCACTGCCTATTGGACAAATTACAAAGAGACAATCTCTCCTCAATTCCTGGAAGCAAAGCCAAGTCTTCCTGTAGGGCATGCAGCAGGTGGGACTCACCCAGAGAGCTCCTCGACAACGCCAAAAACCCCTCCGTGGCCCAGCAAGCCGCCTCCTCCAAGCAGCCCTCCTGAGCCCAAGAGGCCCCGGTTCACAGCTGTGACCGATCCCAGCACATTCTGCAGAATGGGCTCCCCAACCAGTGAGTTCTGGATGGCTGCAGAGAGAGTGGAAGTAGGAAGGTACTAGAAACTCCAACCTCACCCCCAGGACCATGGCAGCTGCCTCCTTCCTCTGAGATTGAGTAGGCTTCTTTTTAAAAATGGAATTAACCCAGAGGTTACACTCAAATGGTGGAACCCACTAAGCCATAACAGCCTCTTACTCCCACCGCAGGGCCTGTGGCCACCCTCCCTGCCTGGCATGTGGGAGGTACCCAGTAAGTGTTTGGAGAATGAATGAGCAAATCTCATAACAATCCCTTCATTTTACCAGTGGGAAAACTGAGGCTCAGAGAGGGGCAGAGACGTGTCCAAAGTCACACAGCAAATTGGGTTGGGGTCAGTAGTGTAACTTGGCTCCTGATCCTGGACTGCCCTACAGCACTGAAAGGGAGGGCAAAGAAGGGGGAGCTTGTAGCCACCAGGGCTCAATCAAGTTGGAGGAGATGGTCTCTGCTTCTCTCCTGGGCACTCCAGGCCTGACTCTGTGCAGACTGTGGGAAGGGCAGGATGGAGGAATGGCCCTGTAGAGTAGAGGCAGGCCAGGGGGCCTCTCTGAAGCATTTCCTGCTCATGACCAATCTACTCTATCCCTGAGACTGTCACCACAGGCCACCGGGCTCTGTAGTACCAAATGCCAAGTACAGTTCCCTTACCCTAGTGATGTGAGGCAGAGACACTGGCCCAGCTAGCACCCTCCCCTCGACCTCTTCAACCTCACTCTGTCCCTGTCCCTGAGCCACACACAGTCCCCAAACAGCCTCAGCCCATATCACCCAGTCCACCTCCCGTAAGAGGGAATTCATCGCCCATTCAAGCCTGCAAGGGAAACTTTCACTCCTGCACAGCTACTCCCAGGAGAATGTGCTCTCTAAGCAGCTGAGAATCACAACCTGCTCTTATCTGCTCTTAAAGCAGATGCTCTAAGCATATAGATTGAGTCGTTGACATTGCAGCAGCCCCCTCACAGACTGCCCACCTGGGGCTCACCTTTGCCGAGTTCATCCTTGTCAATCCGAGCGAGCGTGCCCACCGTCTCTAGCAGCTCCTGGCATGGAGTCGCCAGGCCCCAGAGCAGAAGCAGGGACCACAGGGCCAGCATGACTGGCTGCATGCCTATAAGGAGCAGAAGGAGGAACTCTGAGACCCTTCTCCTGCTCAAGCCTTTCCCCTCTCTGTTCCCATTATCAGCCTTCCCCCTTCCTGCCCACCTGGCACAGCCCAAATTGAGCTTCACTCCCAGGAAAGCCTTCTCCTCCCAAATGTAAGCAGAGCTAACACGCAGGTGGCACGGTGCAGCTGCCAATGCACTCAAGTCTCCAAGGCACTTTCCAAGCCTCTCCCTCATTGGGTTCCATTTCTCAGCTGGGAAAACTGAGACCGAAAGGGGTAGGGGACTAGACCAAGGCCACAGAACTAATCAGAGACAGTCAGAATTCAAGCCTGAGTCCATCTGACATAAAAATCTTCATCCTCAGAGGCCCAGTGAGCCTGGCCGGGTGTCTGGAGTGACAGCTGCAGACAGAGGGGCTTCCCCCTCCAGGACAGCAGGATGAGAGCTTTGTTTCCAGCAGCTGCTTCCCACTGGCTCATGAGGCTGTTTCAGAAGGTCTAGCTGACTGGGGACACCCAACACTTAGACTTAACATGTCTTATCTTTCTCCTTCCCCCACCTCCACCCCAAATCTTGTTGAAAAAGGGAATGGGGTGGCAGGTGGGGGCATGGCTAATCTGCTAAGTTCACAGAGTGGGATTTTTCTTTAAGCAGTTCCGTATTTGCCCACCCAATCACATATCCATCTATGCCCACCCATCACTCCTGCTTAAACCCTTCAGTGGCTCCCCGCTGCCCTGGGTTGAAACCCAGGCTTCTTGCCATTACCCACAAAATCCCTGCCTGCCTTTTTGACCTCCTTGAGCTTAAACATGCCAGGCCCCTTCCCACCCCAGGGCCTTTGCACATGCGGTTCCTTGTTAGGAAGGCTCCTCCCTGCTTCTTTGCATGGCTGACTCCTTATCATTGAGATTCCGGATAAACATTGCCTCCCTGGAGAGGCCTCCGTCCTTCACTTTGTCTAAAGAAATCCGTCTGTCACTAAACATCACGCAGAATATTTACTTTAAGGTGCTGATCTCCATTTGCAATTATGCATCTGTTTGTGTCCTTATTTCTCTTCCCTGTAAACTCCATGAAGGCAGGGACCATGTCTAAGGCCTCTGTGCGTGGTTGTGTGTCAGAAGGGGTCCCTGCTGAGGGGGCAGGGGATAGAAATTCAGCAGCATGTCACTGGCCAGGAGAAAAATGGGCACTCCTGGAACTCTCTCCATAGGATCATCCTATGGACAGGGATCCCCTGCCCACCCCTCCGGCTGTGAATATATACAAGTCTTTGCCTCTCTCTGGGCCCCAGATCTGTAACATGGTTTTTCTCTTCATCCACCCTCTTGGTACCCCCAGTCTCCTCCTAGGGTGAGTTCTTTCCGTGCCCATCATTCATATGGGAGGGCAGAAGGCAGTGGGGTCAACGGCTGGGCGTCAGGACAAGAGCAGGGCTGCCTCAGGCTGTCTTACCCTTGCTCCTGCAGCTCCACAAGGGGTAGGTGGGGGCTCCCGGCCTCCTGTCGGTTCCTCCACCCACGCGAGCTGAGGGGTGGCCCTTATATGCCCACGCGGCTCTGAGGACACAAAGGGGCCACGGCCGCCAGAATCCCGTCAATATGTCATGTCAGAAGCAAATTGCGGTTTTCCCCGAGGGCCTGGGCTAAGCCTTCCTCCTTGGAGGCGAGTAAGGGGACTGGGGTCGGTGCCCAGGAGTGGGAGTGAAGGCGTGGGGGCTGCACAGGCAGCCACCTCCCTCAGAGCCAGGGGTGAGGTGTGGGGCCCTGCCACCTACCCATTCAGCCACCTATTGGGCTCCCTCCAAGGCTCCCCAAGAGCCATTCCAATGGCACAGAATCTACCCTGCCTACCCCACCCCTTCCCCAGCGAAGGCCTACGGAGGGAAAGAAGGGACTTAAAGCTGCTGGGTCTTCTACCTTCCGCCACCCTCCCCCCGCACCAGGCCTCACATGGAGAGGGCTATGGGCCTGGAGACAGGGACTCTGGGCACACTTGGGGGAGGGGCATCAACTCCACCCCCACCTCCCAAGGCTCAGTATCCCCAGAGTTCCAGAGCTTTGTCCCCTTTCCGAGGCTGGTGCAGATGACAGCGACGAGAAATGCGTCCATTCATTCACTCCACTGCAGGCATTTGTGAGGCACCCACTGTCTGCTAGATGCTGGGGAAATCGCTGTAAATAAAAGAGACAATCTCCCCTGCCCTGAAGGAGCCGACTAGTGGAAATGCAATGCAATTTAAAACTTTCTAGTAGCCACATTTTTTGAAAGGCAAAAAGAAACAGGTGAAATTAATTATAATAGTCTAGTTTATTTACCCCCACCAAATCCAAAATATTCTCATTTAACATATAACCAACAGAAAATTATGAATGGGGTACTTTACTTTCTTTTTCTCATACTAAGTTTTCAAAATCTGCTTACAGCACACCAAGATTTGGACTTGTCGCACTTCAGGCAATCGCCTTGTATGGCTATTGGCTGTCATATTGGAAAGCACAGCTCTGAAAGGGACAAATAAGCACATAATACAGTAAGTTGGGGCTGGGCGCGGTGGCTCACGCCTGTAAACCCAGCACTTTGGGAGGCCGAGGCAGGCAGATCACAAGGTCAGGAGTTCAAGACCAACCTGACCAACATGGTGAAACTCCGTCTCTACTAAAAATACAAAAATTAGCTGGGTGTGGTGGCAGGAGCCTGTAGTCCCAGCTATTTGGGAGGCTGAGAGAGGAGAATGGCGTGAACCCAGGAGGCGGAGCTTGCAGTGAGCTGAGATCACACTCCAGCCTGGGTGACAGTGAGGGACTCTGCCTCAAAAAAAATAAAAAAAAAATTATATATATATATATATATATATATATATATATATATACACACACACACACACACAAATTAGCCAGGCTTGGTGGCGCATGCTTGTAATCCCAGCTACTTGGGAAGCTGAGGCAGGAAAATCACTTGAACCTGGGAGATGAAGGTTGCAACGAGCCAAAATTGCCTCACTGCACTCCAGCCTGGGCGACAGAGTGAGACTCCATCTCAAAAAAAATACAGTAAGTCGGAAGCTAACAACAAAAATAAAGCAGGGAAGGGGCTCAGGAGTGTGGGGAGTGGGTGCCATTTTCAATAGCGTGGTCAGGGAAGGCCTCATATTGAAGCAGGGGTGACTTTTGACCAGAAGGAGAAGAGGGAAGGAGTCAGATGGCTGTCTGGGAAGAGCCTGCTGACCAGAGGGACCCCCACACAAAGGCCTAGGGTGGTGTTCCAGGAACAGCAGGGGGGCCATGTGATTGGAGGGGAGTGAGAGATAGGTGGTAAACAATGTGTGATGAAGCCCTGGAAGCTACTGTATGGATTTACAGACTTTGGCTTTCATTGGCAATTCCTCTGAAGGCACCAGCTCAGGCATCCCTTCCTCCAGGAAGCCTTCATGAGCCCCAAGCTGCATGAGGTATCACCTCTGAGCTCCCACAGTCCCCTGGGATTTCCTCTCTCAGAATCTGTGACATGCCAAGCTGTCACTGTGTCTGTGGCTCTGTGAGTCTGTGGGTCTGTCTCCTGCGTGGGGCCCTGAACCTCTGCCTGCTAAGATGGGGAAGAAGGATGGCATTTGCCTTGTTTACCTCAATCATCTCTAAAGCCCTCACCCTACAATGTTCATTCTGATGACTTTAGGCCCTGGACCAGGTTACTCAACCACACCACACTTTTTTAAAAGATAAACTTTTTACTAAAATCTAAACCATGTACACAAAAAGGGGCACAGATCACAAGTATACAGTGTGATGAATTTTTACAAATGGAGCCCTCTCAAAGCCCTCTTTGTGTCCCCTCCAAGTCACTGCCCTCCTGGTGGTGACCACTGTCCTGACCGCTAACTCAGTGCTGAGTCCAGCATGCTCCTGGGGGTCACTAAGTGCAACCGCTGTGTGCTTTATGTGCGTGGCTTCCCTGCTCCCATTGTGTGAGGCAGTGACTGGGTCTTCTTTGCTGTGTACTACTCAATTATGCGAATCCCTACAGTTTGCTTATCCATTTTCCTGTCCAGTGGTGCCTGGGCTTTCCAGGTGTTGGCTATTATGAATGAAGCTACTATGAACACTCTTGTTTGTGGACATTTTTTTTTCTTTGAGACAGAGTCTTGCTCTGTCACCCAGGCTGGAGTGCAGTGGTGTGATCTCAGCTCACTGCAACCTCTGCCTCCTGGGCTCAAGCAATTGTCCTGACTGAGCCTCCTGAGTAGCTGGGATTACAGGCACCTGCCACCACACCTGGCTAATTTTTGTATTTTTCATAGAGACGGAGTTTCACTATGTTGGCCAGGCTGGTCTCGAACTCGTGACCTCAAGTGATCCTCCCACCTCAGCCTCCCAAAGTGCTGGGAATACAGGCATGAGCCACCACCCAGCTTGGGCCTATGTTTTTATTCTTCATTTCTTTTGGGTAAATAACAAGGAGCTGAATTGCTGGAGCACAGCATGCATGCGCATGTTTAGCCATACTCTCTATGGCTATGGTTCCCCTGAGCATTATGCCATTGCACGTGGTCAATGCTGCTACTCCACAGCCTCATCTGTGCTGGGTATCCCCAGTGTTTTTAAGGCATTTGTTTGAAGGAAGAGGAAAGAAAACTAACACTAGTATTTATTCGGCACATACCGTGTACAAGGCACCTGCTGTATGTGAGCACATCTAGTCACCACAAAGACCCAGTGAGATCAGTGCTGTTATTATTTCCTCTTCTTACACTCAAGAAGCCAAGGCTCAGCAAGGGTAAGCAGCTTGCCGGATGTCACACAGGAGTCCAGCCAGACCGTCTAACACTCATTGTCTTAACCACTGCCCAGCCTAGCCTCTTGGAAGAGAGGAAAATGCTACCTAGTTGTTTCTGGCCTGCTTCGTCTCTCCTCCTCCTTCCCGATCCCCACCCAACAGGGGACTCTGACACACCCATAAGCTCCCCAGGCGTCCCCATATCCCCTCATGCACCAAAGCCAGGTCAGGGATTGGGCCTGCCCACGGGAAGGGATTCATTAAAATACATATCTCTTGGCCTCACCTTTGGCAACACTGATTCCACTGACAAGCACCTAGGGGGACGTTTAACAAGCCCCCAAGGCAATATGATGTGCAGCCCTTTTGATATCCCTGGTGAGGGTGATGGGAAGCCAAGGAAGGGATTAGAGCAGGGGAGGGACTTGATGAGGAGAAATACCCCTGGGCATTAGTTCCTAGAGTAAAGGCTCTGGAGCCAAAATTTCTGGGTCCACATTCTGGCTCTGTCACTCACAATTGAGTGACTTAACTCACAGAGCCACAGTTCTCCCATCTGCAAAATGGGCTCATATTAAAGGTGGCCCTCCTCACCTAATTGGTATGGCTGTGAGGACAGGTATCCTAGAAATGAAATTTAAGGCATCAAGGGAGGGGGGCCAAGGGTGCAGATGGTGGTGAGATCCCTGGGAGGCCTCCCCATGCTACTCGAGCTGAGAGTGGGCTGAGAAGGGAGAAGGCAAGGTAAGTGGGTACTGGTATGAACACAGGTGTGGGGAACATCGTGTGGCTTCATTTTCCCAGGGTGAGGCTGTCTGACAGGTCCCGGGGGGTCAATAGCTGTGGGCCCAGAATCGAAGACCTCCCTCTGCTCTTTTCTGACTCTGTAGCCTTGAGCCTCACTTTCTTGAAAGGAGAACACTGCATTCCACTGCTGAGTGTGGTGTGAAGGAGTGAGGAAGAGACTTGAACTCAGGAAGATAGGGTTCAAGTCCAGCTCCACATGTGCCACGTGCCCTTGGGCGGGCCACTTCATCTTTCTGGGCCTCTACTTCCTTATCTGGGATTGGAGGATTCTGGGAGGTGAGCAGTGCCCAGCAGACCTCCTATCACTGCCTCCCCAGGAAGTGGGGTCATGGAGTAGGGATCCCTTGCCAGTCCAGCCCACATTTTCTGCTCAGGGTGAATCTGGAGGAACTGACCACTCAAAGACTGTTGACATCAGATTAGAGGTCAGAGCATCCAACCCCTTCCTTACTGTAAAGATGAGTAAACTGAGGTTGAGAGAGGAGTTGTGGCTTGTTCAAGGCCACACAGTACCCAAGGCCTGGCAAGAAGCCAGGCCTTCAAACCCTAACAGCTTGTGCCTTGGTTTCCCCATCAGCACACTGAGCCTGGAGAGGGTGGCAGCAAGGCTTTAGGTAGCCATAAGTGTGCTGTGGGAACATCCAAGGGTGGGTTGGGGGCAGAGGGGCGTCTCTGGCACGCCCAGGGCCAGGCATCAGCAGCCCATGGATTACCCTGGCATCTGAACCTGCCAGGCCTCCCTCAAGGCTGCCATTGTCCCAGAGCTGGGGAGACGATTAGTGACGGGATTAGAGCTCATGTTGAGGGACAGGGGAATAGCCCTGGCATCTGGGATGAGGCAAGATGGGCCCTCCTTCCTCTGTGGCATGGGCCTGGGCTAGGCTGGGAGAGGGCTTACCTGCCAGGGCCCCATGGCTAGGGGAGCAGTGACCTAATCAGGCCTCTGGCTACACGACACCACCCACACACACATGAATGTGCCCAGACACAGACCCACTCACAAAGACGCCCCCAATCTCCCACATCCAGAGCCTCACCCCAGGGAGACAGACATTCTGACACACACACACACACACACACACACACACACACACACACCCCAACAGACATATGGACACACATAGCCGCCACCCCCATAATTTCCAGGGCTGGGGCACCAGCTGATCATAGGAGGCCCCGATACATTTTTTTCCCCATAGTTAAAGGTTTTTTTTTTGTTTTTTTTTTTGATGGAGTCTTGCTCTGTCACCCAGGCTGGAGTGGTGGTGCGATCTCAGTTCACTGCAGCCTCCACCTCCCAGGTTCAAGTGATTCTCCTGCCTCAGCCTCCAGAGTAGCTGGGACGACAGGCGCGCACCACCACACCCAACCAATTTTTGTATTTTTAATAGAGACGGGGTTTCACCATGTTGGCCAGGATGGTCTCCATCTCCTCGTGATCCGCCTGCCTCGGCCTCCCAAAGTGCTGGGATTACAGGCGTGAGCCATTGCACCCAGTCTAGATTTTTAAAAAAGACATTAAGCAAGTGACACTGATTTGCAGGCTCCACTTAGAAGTCCTTTTCTGGAACCTGCAGTGCGTGTGCGGGGCTGGTGGGTATGTGCACACCTCCTGGTTGCCCCAATGCAGCCCAAGCAGAGGCATTATGGCTGTACCCCTGCGGCCCACCACCCACCTCCTCTTCGACGTGGATGGCCTGCTTCTGGACACTGAAAGGCTCTGTTCAGTGGTGTTTCAAGACATATGTGATCGCTATGAAAAGGAATACACCGGGGATGTGAAGTCCCTGGTCATGGGTAAGAAGGCGTTGGAGGTGGCGCAGGTGGTCGTGGATGTCCTGCAGCTCCTGGTGGAAGAGCTGTTGGAAGAAAGCCAAGCCAGGCCAAGGGATGTGTTCCCCACTGCAGCGCTCATGCCAGGGGGCTGAGAAACTCATCCTCCACCTTCGGAAACACAACATCCCCTTTGCCGTGGCCACCAGCTCAAAGTCTGCATCCTTCGAGGTGAAGACAAGCAGGCACAAGAACTCTTCAGTCTTCCATCACATCATGCTGGGAGACGACCCGAAGTGAAGAGCAGCAAGCCCGACCCTGCCATATTCCTGACTTGTGCCAGGAGGTTCTCTCTTCCTCCTCCTGTGGAGGAGTGCCCTGTCTTTGAAGATGTGCCCAACAAGGTGGAGGCAGCCCTGGACGCCAGGATGCAGGTGGTCATGGTTCCAGATGGAAACTTGAGCCAAGACCTGACCAGAAAGGCCTCCCCGTTGCTGAGTTCCCTGCAGGACTTCCAGCCCCAGCTGTTTGGTTTGCCCCACTACGAGTGAGAGGGAGTCGGAGTCTACATGGTGGTCCTCCTAGGCCACTCTCATGGTCAACACTACTGGGGGAAAGACAGAGGAAGTCGATAACTCCCACATTGCCCCCTACATCACTAGTGATTTTAGCCTCCTGAAGTCTGCCTTTTCATCCCGTGTTGCCTTGACCCACTCTCTAAAGTATTGATAAGACGTAACTTGACAGTTGAGAGAAAACACAGTAGCCCAGAACAAAGATCAAACTTGAATTACCATCTAAAAAATCAATCGGATGTAGCATATGATAAAGTGAATGTACATACATACATATATATTAATATGCATGTAGGCATTATATATATGTATGTGTATATATATATATGTAAAATATATGATTTTCTTAAGACAAAATAATTATATTTGTCCTAAGACAAAATAAAATTATATTTGTGTTTGTTTCTTTTTTTATTTTAGTTTTTCTGAACACTGCCTGGGAAATGTAAACTATCCATATATGTATACAATTTATGTGTGTATGTGTGTGTGTATATATATATATATATACACACATACACATATATTTCTGTCATATACTGCTTCCTCTTCTTGGTGTTAATGTTAACATTGGATAGAACTGATAAAGTGAGATGGTAGTTCTATCTGATTTACAAATAAACCTGAATGGGAAAGTCATGTTTTTGATGAGCACTAAGAAATAATTTTCCTCATTAACTAGCGTTAAAATTATTTTTGTTACCTCAAAATATCTCTGGATCTTTACTCATTGCCTGCCTCTGAGCTGTATCATCAATAGTGTATTTTTCAGCTACTCTTCAACTCTGGAAGCTGTAGATGAACCACAGGAATGCATGTGAAGGACAGAACAAGCCTCTGGCAAATTCGTTTCCACATCCCTGATGGCTTGTGTATGTGTCTGCACTTTGAATTCTCCTTCAAGCTAGATGCAACATCTTACTGTTTCCTTCACAAATTGATTTAGTTTAATCGTTTGACAGATTTTTTTAAAGAATACATTTAAGATGTATTTTAACTTGATTACATGTAAACATAATTTATGTAAAAAAGGAGTCAGTTTAAAGAATAGCATCAGTGTGAATCCCAGGAGAGGCACTGGGGACAGATACGGCAAATGTCAGGGAGCTGATCCTCACATGAATGAAAGACATAGAAACACCCTTGGCACAGACTATGTGCAAGTTAACATGGGAACACAGACACACACAGGCACGGATGGACACCAGGGGCCTTTCACACACAAACCTCCACTCTTGGCCCTGCCTCTGCACAGACCCTCCCACCAGGTCACTCATCCACAGGCTATTTATACACTGATACGTGCGCTGGTTCAGGGCCACATAGTTACTTGCCCACACACCAACACAAAAACACTTGTGCACATCTCTCTGACTCAAAAACCCACCTGTGGCTAACATTTGTTGAGCACTTACTCTGTGCCAGGCACTGTACTAAGTACCTTTTAAGATTTCACTCATGTGATCCTCACAATGACTCTGCTGAGGTTGGTACTGAGGTTTATCGAGGGAACCAGCCCCCAATATTTCAATGTAGGTTCTTTACTATTTTCCCTAAGTAAAAGAGAAAGAGTACAAAAGAAAGAAATTTTACAGCTGGGTCTCCGGAGGTGACATCATATGTCGGCAGGTTCCATGATGCCCCCAAGCTGCAAAACCAACAAGTTTTTATTAGTGATTTTCAAAGGGGAGGGAGTGTATGAATAGGGTGTGGGTCACAGAGATCACGTGCTTCAAAGGCAATAAAATATCACAAGACAAATGGGGGCAGAGCAAGATCACAAGGCCAGGGTAAAATTAGAATTGCTAATGAGGTTCCATGTTCCACTGGGCACACATTGTCATTGATAAACATCTTAACAGGAAACAGGGTTCGAGAGCAGACAATCGGTCTGACTAGAATTTCTCCAGGCTGGAATTTCCCAATCCTAACAAGCCTGGGGGCGCTGCAGGAGACCAGGGCGTATTTCGTCCCTTATGTACAACTGCATAAGACAGACACTCCCAGAGCGGCCATTTTAGAGACCTCCCCCTGAGAATGCATTCGTTTTCCCAGGGTTATTCCTTGCTGAGAAAAGAATTCAGCGATATTTCTCCTATTCGCTTTCTGAAAGAAAAGAAATATGACTCTGTTTTGCCCGGCCTAGCAGGCAGTCAGACTTTATGGTTATCTCCCTTGTTCCCTGAAAATCACTGTTATCCTGTTCTTTTCAAGGTTCCCAGATTTCATATTGTTCAGATACACACGCTTTACAAACAATTTGTGCAGATAACACAATCATCACAGGGTTCTGAGGCGACATACATCCTCAGCTTACGAAGATGACGGGATTAAGAGATTAAAGTAAGGACAGGCGTAGGAAATTATAAAAGTATTGATTGAGGAAGTGATAAATGTCCATGAAATCTTCACAACTTATGTTCAGAGATTGCAGTAAAGACAGGCATAAGAAATTATAAAAGTATTAACTTGGGGAACTGACAAATGTCCATGAAATCTTCACAATTTATATTATATTCTTCTGCCATGGCTTCAGCTGGTCCCTCCGTTCGGGTTCCCTGACTTCCCGCAACAGAGGTTGGTACTGCCATCATTCTCATTTTACAGGTGAGGAAACTAAGGCTCAGATTGGTGATGTGACTTGCCCAGGACACACAGCAAAGAGGAGGCAGAGGAAGGATTTGAACCCAGGCAAGCTGGCTTCACAGCCCAAATTCCAATCCTAGCTCTGCCTCCTGACTTGCCAGGTGGCTTAAGCCAGTCATGCCACCTCTCTGAGCCTCAATCTCATCAGTGAAATGAGGACCTTTCTCACCCCCGTCAACTGCTGTGAGGATTAAAGAAGGTGACACAGGGAAGGCTCCTGGTGTAACAGGTTCCAAGGGAATACAGCCATCTTCAAGTTGCCAAGATTTTGCACACAGCTAAGGTGGGAAGAGCTTTGCCACTTGCTAAACTATGTGACCTTGGACAAGGGAGTTGGCCTCCCTGTGCCTCAATTTCCTCATCTGTAAGGTGGGGATGACACTTGCCCTCCACCAATAGAGTTATTGTGTAGATTAAACGAGATGGTACAAGTAAAGCCCTGGGCATGGCATTGAGCAGGTACTCAATATGTGCCCAAGAACTCCCCCAAGCTGTGACCAGCTTCCCTCCAGATCCCAAGCTGGTCTTAGACCCCAAAACCCACCAAAAGGAAAGAATCGCCACACACAGATTTGTCACTTAAAAAAATAAAGAGACCGAAGTATCAGATATTTATAAGAGCCTTTCTCCTGTTTATTGGCAAGGCTCCAGCCCAGGCCTGACCCATTCACTCCTTGTCAAAGGAGGCAGCCACCAGTGGTAGGGGGCCAGGCCCACCTGGCTCCAATCAGGGGGTCTCCTCCATGGGGTGCAGGTGGTTGGTGGTAAGCAGGCAGCTGGCAGGGGAGTCCTGCCATGGTCAGCCCAGCTTCAAGTCCAGCATCAGGGCATTCTGGCAAAAGGCAAAGGGGTAGGAGAGCAATGACCAGGGACCACCTAGGCCCAGGGATGGAATGGAACTGGGCCCCTTGTCAGGAAATGGAAACCAGTGTGGTGGTTAAGCAAAGGTTGAAGTAGACTTGCCTTGTGACCCTGGAGAGGTCACTTCACCTCTCTTACCCTCAATTTTCTCAACTGTTAAGTGAGGACAAGCACCCCCACCTCCCAGAGCAGAGAGATCAGATAAGAAAAATGTACATTTACCACTCGAAGCTCAAAGGTTGGCATGCAATACAAAGGTAATATTTATTCAGCACTTACTATGTGCCTTTAGGTAAATGATCTTAGTGAAGCATAATAACAGCTCTATGAGGACAATAATGTATTATCATCTCCATTTTATGCACCGGAAAATGGAGACACAGACAGAGGTGAAGTAATTGGCCCAAGATGGCAGGAGAAGAGAGTAGCAGAGTCCAAGTATCCTTCTATGGAATCCCTGGTCAAGGAGTGTTCTAGATTCTGAGGGGCAGGATTATATTGATGGCCACCTGCCCTCCCAGGCTCTACCCTTTCCAGTTTGAGAGAGGTAGGCTCTTGCTCATCACTCACTGGCTGACAGTGTTGATTGACATGACCTCCCCTAGCCCCTCCTCTCACCTCTACTATGTCCAGCTCAGCCAGGTTGTAATTCATGGCCAGAAAGTCCGGGAGTGGGAGCCCCACTTGAAGCACATCTGAGAAATACAGTAAGAGTCATATCAGCCTGACTGCTGTGCAGTTGATTAAGGAGTGGCAGCCTGGGGTAGGGATAGTGGGAAATAGTGCAGTGATTGATTCATGATGCCTGCCAGCTGTACAAGCAAAGAGCTAATAAGCCTGATTTGCAATGTATTTACATCCCAGGTCAAGATGTGGGGTTATGATATGGGGTCAAAAGTCAGAGCCCAAATTGTGGGAGAGGCATTTGTCTTCAGACAGGTGACATTAAGACTATATTCACTTCAAAGATTCAGCAATTATCTTCCACTCCCTTTTAGCTTCCCCCATCTGGGCCCAGTGATAGGGCTTTGAGACCACCCAGGTGGCATCCCTTATTGCTTAAAGTGCTTCTTGGCACCATGGTCCAAAGCCTTTTGGAACCCTCACCATTGACAACTGGGATGTAGGCTTCTTCGAGATAGCTGGTGATGAAGCCAGTTAATTCCCTCTCCTGGAAAGAAGAAAGAGAAAGCATCCACATTCCATTCAGTCCAATACCATTCAACAGATCTTTTCAGCCCTCTCTGGCTAGGCCTGGGGACCACAGAAGTGAATATTAGACATCAAATGGTTTGTCCAGCTGGCATCAAAACTGGGCCTGGCCTTGGCTCTGTTTGGACTGTAGACCCGTGTCCTTCACCTCTGCTTAGTACCTATGACATGTGGGGCTTTGGGCCATGGTGCAGGAACAGGAAAACTCATGAGACAAGAAGTGGCTCTGTGGACCCCAGTCCTGGTCCTACAGAAACTCAGTAGCTTTGATGAGTCCCTCACTTACCACCGCTCTATAGCTGAGTTTCCCCACCTTTGAAAGTGAACTATAATCGCACCTGCTCCCAGGGTTTCCATGAGGATTAAAAGAGTTTGGATAAAGCACATGATCGCAGAGTAAGTGGTGGTGGTGTTGGCACCTCCTGGGGTCAGGTTCTGTGTTGGGCCCTGAGGCTACAGAGACTAATAAAAATAACAGCTTGGCCAACCAAGGCCAACCCAGGCTGCCACTGTTCATGACAATGTTTTTAAAACCAATCCAGGGAGATGTCCAGATTCTATCCAGAAAAGGAAACAGGGATTCAGAGAGGCTAAGGGACTTTCCTAAGCTCACACGGCAAGTCAGGTGCGCCACGCCTCACAGTGGCCTTGCTCTGTTCATCTGCCTCCATTTCAGGGCCTCGGCCCTGTAGTTCCGAGGGAGAATAGGCCCAGTCTTGTCCTCACGCCGGACAGGCAAGAGCACTTGGGACACTTACATTGAAGTTGCCAATCGATGAGGACTTCCGGGACAAGCTCAGTAATCTGTGGGGGAGTGGGGAAGCAAGCCAGGCGGGGAGGGGAAAGAACGGTCAGAGCCAGTGGCCCTGGCGCTGGAGAAGGGGGTCCCAAGCACCCCAACGCCTCCCTGATGCAGGAGTCCCCTCTACAGCCTTCAGACCAGGTGCTCCTGAGTCTGCTTGCCTGCTACCTGTGATGGGACACTCACTACCTTTCGTTACAGCACATGATTTCTCAAAGCTCAAACCACTAGACTGGTCCTGACTCTTCCCTCTGGGACCCCCATTTGTGTCTATTGCTCCTGCCCAAGGCCAGCTATGCAGAGGTTTACAGCCCAACTGGGCAGTCTCAGATCCTTGCAGGACACAGAACAGGAGCCCTTCCCCCAGCCCCGTCCCTGTACAGCCTCCAGGAGGCACTAACATATGTTGCCACCAGAACAGGCCATGTGATGGCCATCTGGTGGCTCTGCTCATCTATTCTCTATTCCAGTAACACATCCTCCATTTTCCACTCTGATTCCAAGTCATTCAGATGGGCTAAACCCAAAGTCCCTCGGGTGAGTCTATGACCCAGAAGCTGCCTGAGAATTTAGTCAACAAAGTGGGTAGCAAAGTCAAGAGGAAGAAGGAGATAGATTCTCAAGGAGTTCATTTGTGTGCCTGGATCCAACCACACCTGAAGGCAGAGCTACCCCTAAAGTTAGGCCGGGTGTGGTGGCTCATGCCTGTAATCCCAGCACTTTGGGAGGCCGAGGCGGGTGGATCATGAGGTCAGAAAATCCAGACCATCCTGGCTAACAGGGTGAAATCCCATCTCTACTAAAAATACAAAAAATTAGCCAGGCGTGGTGGCGGGCGCCTGTAGTCTCAGCTACTCTGGAGGTTGAGGCAGGAGAATGGCATGAACCCGGGAGGCGGAGCTTGCAGTGAGCCGAGATTGCGCCACTGCACTCCAGCCTGGGCAACAGAGCGAGACTCTGTCTCAAAAAAAAAAAAAAAAAAAAAAGAACTACTCCTAAAGTTTTCAGTTATATGAGCCAAGGATTCCCTTTGGGGCTTAAGCCAGTTAAAGTTGGAATTTTCTCTCTTGCAACGGAAAGAATCCTGACATAATTAATCCTGATGTGATTCATTATTAAGGCAAGTACAAGAATTAATAGGGACCGAATGTTAAGCTAAGTTGTTTGTAGTACCCTCCTCCCAAAGTGTAAGAATGAAATAGGATGATGAATATAATGTATGCAGCCAGTGCCTCACATATAGAGAGAGCTCCATAAATAAATGTTAGCTGCTATTAGTATAAGGAAAGGCTTCGTGGAGGAGGTGGCATTTGAGCTGGACCCTGACTCTCAGGTGAATGGCATGGGTAAAGGCTTATTAATGGAAAAGGGGGCATGGGCCCATGACCAGATTCACTGTAAAAGAGCCTAGGGGAAGAGTGAGGGTAGAGGTGGAAGAACTTGAGAAGGGCCTTGAGTACCAGGCTAAGATTTGAGAAAAGATTATGCAGACAATGAGGAGCCATTGAGGGTTCTAGAGCAGGAAAAGTAGCTAGAGCAGCCTGGTAGTTGGGGGTGTGCTGGGTGGATCAGCTCGGTAGTGTGGGGTGTGCTAGATCAGAAGGCCAAATGTGAAGGTAACAGGGATGCCAGCATTGGGCAGCAGGGTCGTACCTGTCCAAAGAAGTGGCCATCTGCAGCTGGTTCTCATGCACTGAGTACTGGACCTTCAGATTGAAGTGCTGGCATGGTGGGGAGGAAGCAGGGAGAAGGCAGTGGGTTCCCCACCATCAGGGCTGGCAAAGCCAGAGACCACCACCCTCCCAGCACTACCACCATTGCCAAGACAAAGCAGGGGATCTTCTCTCTGCCCATCCTCAGGAACTGAACCCAGCCATCTCCCTGTAGCGCCAGCCCAGGCTTCTCATCCCTCCTTGTCCTGAGTCAGGGCAGCATCCCCCAAAATACCTGGCACTGTCAGTAGGTCCCTGCACACATCATACTATTGATCCAGGCCTTTGCACATGCTGGAACCTCTGCCTGGGGTGTCCTCTGTCCCCAGTCTCCCTGGTAAGACTCTCTGTCCCCAACCCTTCTCTGGCAAGCTCCTGCTCAACCTTCAAAACATAGCTCAGCTATCACCTCCTCTTGGAAGCCCTTTGTGATTTCCCCAAATTGGATTTGGGAATCTCCCTAGGCACCCACAGTCCCTTCAGTGCACCCTTCACTGCCTTTGTAGTTGCTGAAGAATGTTGGAGGGAGGAAAGAGAAAGGAAGGACTAAGCCACTGACCCTCCATTTTCTGGGCTTTCCAGCCATTCAAAGGTTCAGTGGCAGAGCCAAGGATCAGACATAATCAAGATTAACTGATCCCTCTGATCCATGACTTGGCTGTCAACTAAAAATCCCATCCTCCAGCCCTGAATATCCAAGAGATTGGGAATAAATGGGGAAGGGAACGATTTCCCTCACCACTTCTAGGAGAAAGAGGGACATTGGAGCCTTGCTCCGCCACCGAGCTGCGAACATCTCCAGGGTGCTGTGGAGGTGCAGCAGGCTCTTGCCTGTCTTCATAGTGACCTTGGGAGGCTTCTTTATCTTGATCTGGGTCGTCAAGGGCTTTGACTTGGGATAAGCTACAGCCACCTACAGAAACCAGAACACTTCACTCAGGGCCAGTCCTTAGACTGGTGGCTTCAGTTGAAATAAGGGGTCCCTCAAGACATAGGTGATTTCTACGTTGGACACAGGAAGTACAACATGCAAAGGCCAGGATGTGTCTATCAGGAAATAAAAGAAACAAAATACACAATTTGGCTATTCTCTATTGGACAGAAAGTACAATGCACAAAAGTAGAGCTGTTTTCTATGTTGGACCCAAAAAGTACTTTATAAAGAAGAAAAGATGTTTCAGCATTGGACAAGGAATATGTGGCATGAAAAGCTGTCTCCCAAGTCCCACTGCAGGACAGACTGGAGGACAATAGGGCAGGACAGGGTGCAGTGGTGATGGGGAGGTGGGGCACTCACTTCAGGAATGAAGCGAGCCAGGGTCTTGGTGGTTTGTGGGGGCAGCTCACCAATCTACAGAATAAAAGTCAAGGTTAGGGTTGCTGGAGTCCTCCCTGGCCCATCCTAACAAACATCTCCACTGACTTAACAAGGTGTACCCTTTGAGGCTCCCTTCATCACAATACTTAACGCTCTGAGTTTAACTAAATATTGTGCCTTCTGGGCAGCCCAGGTGATGACTTACACATTTCAATGCTCATAACTCTTAGCACAAGGTCAAATGCTAAGAAAATGTTGTTGGATGAAAAAGCAGGAAGATAGATGGGAGAATGGGTAGATGTGATGGGTAAAGGGGATGGGTAGACATATTTGGAGATGAATAGACAGATGGATGGGGAAACGGATAAACAGAGGAGTGGGTAAATGGGTGGGAGGATGATGAATGGATGGATGGGTAGGTGGAAATCTAGGAAGAATACATGGATGGATGATGTGTGGACGGAAAGATGGGTGGGTGGATGAATGACAGGAATGGTGGATAGGAGGATGAGTGGATGGGAATATGGTGGAGTAGAATGATAAATGGATGGGAAAATAGATGAATGGACTGATGGATGGGAGGATGGATGGAAAGGTACATGGATGAATGGTAAACAGATGGTTGGGAAGATGAATGGATAGATCAGCGGGGAATGAACGGACATGTGGGTGGATGGTTGGATGGATGGATGGCTGAATGAGTGGACGAGTAGGAGGATGGATAAAGGAAAGTTGGGTGGATGTAGTGGTGTTTGGGTGGTACATGGCAGGTGCATACATTCATTCATTCAACAGTATCAGACTTTGTAGTAGGTGTTATGTGGATGATATGAAGGGATGGATGGATGCTAGTTGGAAGGATAGAACCTAGGGTATGATGAATACATGACAGCTAGAAAGATGAGTGGGTGGGTGTTGCTTGGACAAAAGGAAGGTGGATGGATGACCAAGACATTAGAGATGTAGGTTGATAAATTGTTGGTTGTACGGACTGATGGATGTACAGATGAGTAGATGGTAGTTACATGGACAGAGGGATGGTGGATAGTGAGATGAACTGCTGAGAGAAACTCAAATCGGTCCTGCATCTTCCAGTCCTAGTGTTGCCCACAAGGCCAGGATAATTTTCATGATAGAAAAACTAGGCAGGGACTGCATTGTAATGGACAGAGGCAGATGGAAATGGGGAACTGGACAGCTCACCATTGTATCCTGGATATTCACATGAAAGGACTTCTGCAGAAGGGCAAGCTCTGCAGAGAGGAAGGTGGCTGGGAGCAGCAGCTGCGACGAGCCTTTGGCATAACCCTCAGGGAACGTGAGGGCCTCCCCGGCATCAGCAAGCTTGATGGTTTTGCCCTTTTGCTGCTGCACCACAGGCTATGGGGCAGCAGGAGGGAGACACTCAGCCTTGGCCGAGAGGGATGTTGGCCAGGAGTGTCTCAGTCCTCCAAGCAAATGGGGCTCCAGCCAAACCCAAAGTCAGCAAATCATTAAATCTTATTAAGAGAACCACAATGGGCTACAGTGGGCCAAACCTCCCAGTGTACAGGTGGGTAGACTGAGGCCTGGGAGGATAAGGGAGTCAGTCACTAAACCACGGGCACTTTCTCCTAGCACTGCTTTAGTAGCCTCAGTTGCTCTGAGTGGTTGGAGGCTTCATTTATTCGGAACATGATTTCTGCCTTGTTCTCAAGAGAAAGAGACAGGCGGAAATCGACACGGGGCGTGTAAGAATCCTGCTGGAGGAAGACTTCACAGCGGGGTGACATCTTGCCATTTTACTTCACGTTCCTGAAAGATGCATCTCACCTCTTCGCCTGGAGCTCTGGAGATCTGGGTGAGGGCCCAACTCTGACACCAACTCACTGCAGGACCCTAGCCCAGCCCTACCCTCCCCCAAGGTCTCAATGTTCCCATCCGCAAAATGGCAGGATACAACTGGGTGAGGGTGAGGTGAGAGTGGTGGGGAATGCTGTGCCAAAGATCTCAGGAGGCCAGGTAATGGAGCTGGTGAGGGATGTGGGGTCTCTTCCCTGCCTTGTGCTGTCTTGCTGTGTGGCCTTGGGTAGGTCACTGCTCCTGCCTGTGCCTGGACCTCCTCAGCCATTCACTGGGGACAATATTTGCTTCACTCACTAGGAGAAGCAAACAGCCTAGCGGGGATCATGAGTGTGAAGTCAGCAGCCCCAGAAGCCAGCTGGGGCACTGAAGGTTCGCGTTTAGAGCAGAAAGAGGGAGAGGCCCAGGGTCCACAAACACCCACATGGCATTGGCCTCCACGGCTTGAGGGGCCTCCCTCCCTCCACAGCCCTAGTCCAGCCACCTGTCCTGGCAGAAGCATCACCCACTACCCAGACCAGTGAGCCTGAGACCCCAGCTCCCAGGTGGCCCTAGGCGCTTACACTGAAGTCCAGTTGGATGTAGCTGGCTGTGGTGGCTGGTGCGGACATCAGAACATATTTGACGGTGCCCATCTGGCCCACAGGCATGGGGTCTGTGTGAAAAGGAGGTTCCACTCAAAGAGGCACCAACCCCAGGAACAGCCCAGAGAAGCTGGCACCAGCCAGCTGCTACCTGCACCTGGCCCTCCACGTGACTCAAGGCAAATTCCTTAGCACTTCTGGGCCTCTGTAACTTCATCTGTAGAATAGAGGCCATGGTTCCTGGCCTGGAAAATCACATCACTCAGCCAGCACAGAGCTTGAGAGTTCACCAAAGGCCATCACTGCTTGGACCTTGCAACAGACTGGCATGGTCAGGATTATCAGCTCTATTTCACAGCTAAGCAAACCGAGGCTGAGAAGAGTGAAGTGACTTTTCCCATTCCACACTGCTGGGGACATGAATGAGTTTTCTTCAGTTCCAGTCACTGAGGTTTCCTCTCTCCTGCTTTGGGACCCAAAATGGGACCCCAAAATGATGGAGGCAGTATATCCCCTCAGCAAAGGCGATTCAGGCATTACTACCATCGGGATTACTACATAGGCACGAGGCTTGTGGACGAGCAAAGAAGGGCTGCTGTCTTTGGAGTCTTGTGGGGTTCAGGATGCAGTATTGAATAGGGAGATGAGAGAAAAGGAACCCAGATTCCCTGGGGACTTCAGGCCTCCCATCGGGACAGTGGGGGGATGAACATCATGACCTCAAGCCTCCTCTAGTCCCAAGGCTGGGCTGGAAGCAGGCACTAGGATGGGGAATGGGACATCAAAGTCTATCTATCCTGATATCCCTAGGTAGGGGCAAGGTGTGGGTAGGGCTACACTCACCACTGAGGTTGGTCCACTTCCTGTTCACATACACCAGGACTGCATCGATGGCGGGACACATCTGGAAGCAGAGAAGGCACTGGGCTGAGAGGGTCCCTGCATGGAGAGCCTCCACACAGCTGAATGGTACACCACGGGCCATCCCAAGAGCCCTGGTGGGACAGGGACTGGGGAGAAAACTGAGGTCCCAAGTCCCACAGAAAGTAAATGGCAGAGCTCGGACTAGAGTCCAGATCTGTTGACCAAATCAAAGTCTGCAAAAATTAGCCGGGACTCTTTCCCTGGGACTGGACATCAAAGCACGGTTGGCAAGCTGTGCATGCAGGCTGTCATTTTCTCCTCCTCTGTTCATGGCAGACATCACTAGATGATTGTGGCACTTTCTTCCACTGAGCCAGCCACAGTCTCAGAACCCTTCCCAGCCACTATCAGTCAATCAGGGTCAGCACCCAACATGAAATGCATTTGCCAGCCCTGGCCTAAGCAGTCCCAGCAACGAGGGGTGGAGGCTTTCTCTGGGTCACTCACCAGCCCAGGGAGGACTTTGTGCAGGGTGCTGTCCAGGAACTTGTTGACCATCTTGGGGAGCATGCTAGATGGACACAGGCACCGAGGATAGGTGGGCAGGTGCACCAGTGCAGGAATTTAGGCACAGGACATGAAGGGGCATGGTTAAGGGGGTTCCATGGCTCAGGAAGTGATATGCTGGGGGGTATAGCAATATGGACCGGCCTTCCTCCCCAGCCACAGAGCCCCTCACTTGCTAGGCAGGTTAGTCTTCACATTGACCAGGATGACCTCACAGCCCTCACTCTTGAACACGGGGAGGCCTGTCTCCTCATCCCGCAGAAGCCGGTTGGTGGCTGTGATGTTCAGGGCCACGATGATCTCCATGTTCCCTCCCATGAAGCTGGAGGACAGAGCAGGAGGGCACCATGGGCATCTCTGCCATGGTGTCCGCTCTCCCTGCCTTCTCTTTGCTCACAATCTGAGCAGCTGAGAGGGAGAAAGGGTAGGAGACCACCCCTACAAGACAGAAAAGGGGATGGGACCTGCCCCAGGTGACACAACCAGCTTTTCTCCCTCCCTCCTTGTTTTGGTGAACCCCTACACACCCTTTAAAATCTGCTTTGCTGTCATTGCCTCCCCATAACCTTTTCTGACCATCCGCCACCACTGTTCAATGCTTCCTCTGTCCTAGACCAGTCACTCAGTCTGTGATTGTGCTTAGGTCTGGTTCCTGACAAAGGTAGGGACCAAGTCTACATCATCCCAGATTACAACACTCAGATGGTACACAGTAGGCACTCAATATATGTGCATGTAAGGATGAGACAGGAAGGCCGTTCTCCTCCCCGCTGCCCCTCCCCTGCCACACTCACCTCTTGCCAGTGACGGTCATGCCTGTGGACACACATTGGAAGATGCCCACTCCAGGTACAAAGTTCAGTGTGATGACGGGCAGCTGGACATCCTTCACCTTCAAACTGGGAAGGGACAGGCAGCCACACCAATAAGATCTGAGCAGGCAAGACCCAGGACCTCCACCCACTTCACCACTTTACTGGGAAGACTTTCGATAACCCCGGCCTCCTATCCCATGTCATGGGGGTAAGCATGATTCATGGGGCCATTATGAAATGCAAAACAAAAGGCTGGACATGAATCAATTTGTATATAGAAAGCACTCATTATATGGGAGGTGGGACACATGGCTGACTCTGTGTGACCTTGGGCTGTGTCATTTCCTTATGTGGGCCACAATTTCCCCATCAACAAAATGGGAGGCTTGCTTAGATCAGGGTTTCTCAAAAGTGGCACTATCCACATTTTGGGCAGGATAATTCTTTGTCATGAGGCTGATTTGTGCATTATTGGATGTCTAATAGCATCTCCGACCTCAGCCCAGTAGATGCCAGTAGCATTCCCCCAGTCCCCGCAACTTGTGACAATGAAAAATGTCCCTGGACATTGCCAAATGTCTTCTTGGAGGCAAAATCACCCCTGTTTGAGAATCACCAGTTGAGATCCAGGGTAACAAAAGATGTGGCACACATACCCCCACTTGCCCATCCTGAGCTCTTGGCAGACATTGCTAGTTGATCACAGTCCTAGTTCCTGCCGAGTGCAGACAGTGCCTCAGAGCCCTCCCAAGTGCATCGTTTCAGGCAGCCCCTACTGATCAATCTCATGTGGCACTGGCAGAGGAACCAGTTTCCTCTTGTCATTAGATGATTGTTGATGCCTTTCCAGCTCTACCATTTGAGGATGTTTTCATTTAATTTCACGTACATTCAATGAGTTCATGTTGCATGCAGAGTTGAAATTTGACTTTCCAACCTCATTTCCTCCTCAAAATGACCCTGCTCACTACAAAGCAGAAATTGTCCCCAGTGAATGGCTGAGGAGGTCCAGGCACAGGCAGGAGCAGTGACCTACCCAAGGCCACACAGCAAGACAGCACAAGGCAGGGAAGAGACCCCACATCCCTCACCAGCTCCATTACCTGGCCTGCTAAGATCTTGGGCACAGCAATCCCCACCACCCTCTGCCCTAACCACCACCCTCCAGCTCCCCTCCCCTACTCACTTGGTGATGCCCTTGATAGGTTTCATCCCTGGCTGTTTCTTGCCTGCCTCGGCTGCCATCTTCTCCAGGATATGACTCTCATCCATGGCGCTCTGGACCTCTGGAGTGGAGACACTTAGTTGGAGAGATTTTCCCTGGGCCAATCACTCAGGTATCCCAGGCCACTCACCGTCACTGTGCCCCACCCTGGGCTGGACGATGGCAGAGACCCAGAGATGAGTCCCACAGCGCCCCAGCCTAATGGGGGAAGATGGAGTCACCAGCAATGACAGTAACAAGCTGTAGGAGCCGCACGAGGGTTTAGGTAGGAAGAGAAGAGCTGGGGAAGGCTTCCAGGAGGAGGTGACAGATCAGTTGGTACTTGAAAGGGGAATAGTAATTTTCAGCAGGAAGCAAAGGGATAAAAGATATCAGTCTGGACAGAGGGCACAGCAAGTGCAAAGGTGGGTGGGAGAGAAGGTGGCACAGTTGGGGGAAGAGGATAGATTCAGCATGGCTGGAGGGTGAGGACAGACACGACAGAGAAACTGGAGCAGTTTGCAGGGGGCATGTAGTGAAGCTCTTGAACCCTAGGGTACTGACTTTATCCTGTGGACCAGCCACTCCCAAGCCTAGGTGATTAGGGGACTCCTCTGGGGACTTGAATGCAGACTTTGGGCCTGAAGCAGAGAAATTCTGATTCCCCAAACCTGGAGGACCCAACCCCAAGTAACACCCCGCCAGAAACACCTCCATTATGGTCACAAGCTAATTCCAGAGAGGGCACAAACACTGAGCTGGTAGAACAGTCATTAGCCTTTTGTACCTGGATGTGACTCGGTTTCCCTTGTGCTAGTGGAGTGGGGGATGGAGGTGGAAAACACATTTTACTAAGGTCTCCTCCAAGAGATTATTCTATCCTGCTAGGGACAGACTGGTCACCCTATTTTACATTTCTTTACATTTCACCTTTACAGATGAGCAAACAGCAACACAGGGAGGCCAAGTAACTTGCCTGAGGTCACACAGCAAGTTGTTGCTGGGATTTGACCCTTGTCTGTCACTCCCACAGCCCACTTGTGGCTAAAACCCCTGCCATCAGGGCCAAGGAGAGACTCCAAAGGAGCAGGATTTTCAGCTCTGCCTCTAACTTGCAGGGGGAGCATGGGAAAATCATCCCATTTTCTCTGGTCC
Organism: Homo sapiens; assembly: GCF_000001405.40. Classification (NCBI taxonomy): domain Eukaryota; kingdom Metazoa; phylum Chordata; class Mammalia; order Primates; family Hominidae; genus Homo; species Homo sapiens. Next base: position 33,031,910 of record NC_000020.11, on the reverse strand, counting down.
TTGGTTTCTCCCCTCTGTAAAGTGGGAGAATAATAATAACACTTGCTTATAAGTTTACTTGGAGCTCACGGGATGCTCCAGGATGTGCAACCAAGAGCAGTGACTACCTACCACCTACCCCAAGCACCGCCTCCCAGCTGCACGCCCGGGCCCACAAGCTCACCACGGTTCATGATGTCCATGCCCAACCGCAGCAGTGCCCCAGGGTCAGCTCGCGTGCCAGTCAGCAGGCTGCAGAGTGCCAGGCACAGGATCCGCAGCATGGCACCACCTGTGCCAAGGGGCCTGAATTGGGCGCAGCCCACCAGACCCTGGTCCCCTTGGGGACCTTCTGTCTCAGAGCAGATTGAGCCCCCTGGGTGTTTCTGGGGTCCAAGAGCCTTTAGACTCCAGCCAGTTCAGCAAACATGAGCACTGCCCTCTTCCAAGGGATTGAGGAACCCCCAGATTAAACACAGGGCCTCCAGCCACCCCCAGCTAGCTCATTTCCCTCTGTAAGCCTCAGTTTCCCCATGGACATGGTGTGTTCTGACCAGCCTGCAAGATGGGGTTGGAGGAAGGTTCAACTGCAGTTTTTCATGGGTTCAAGGACGGCTGAATGCTGGAGCCACAGAGAGAGTTCCAGACTTTCCTTGAGCCCCACACGGCATTGTGGGAGTGGGGAGCCCTGTGTCCCCACCTTGACCCTACAGCCAGGGTCCCTCCCCACCTCTTCCAGCTCAGCTCACTTCCATGTGGAACTCAGAAAGCTCAACTCTGAGCCCTGAAAGGCCTCTTGAGACATCGCCTCTCCGATAGAGAAACTGAGGCACAGACATTAGGTCTCCTAGCATAAGGACCTCCCACCCCAGACCTTTTCAGGTTCCCAGGAAAGCCCTACCCCACCCCGGGCCCATAGAAATCCTTCCCTCTTACTTACCAAGATCTGAAACTCTTCCAACCAAGGGCCAAGTGTATATTTCAGTTTTGAGCTTTGGCTGAAAAGAATGAAGGCAGGGCCCATGGGAGCAGGGCCTATGTCCACCCAGAGAGAGGAGGTTCCCACCAGACTCTCTCTTGCTCTCAGCGGGCTAAGTCACTGAGGGCTCACCTAATGCACAAACTAAGATGGGCCCTTACCATGGGCCTGCCTTCCCAGTCCAAGCCAATGCCTGCATTCATTCACTCATTCACTCATTCATTCATTCGGCTCACATCTATTGGGTGTCTTCTCTGTGCCAAGCAGACCGGGCTTGTCTCTTTTATCTCGGTGGCAGAGACAGCCCTGCTCCTCCTAAATCCTAAAGTCTGGCAGGGAACGAGAAGCAATAGGGTGGGATATGGGATAAAGGGGTCAGGGACGGACTCCTTATGGAGGAAACATTTAGGCTGAGACCTGAGGGATGAAAAGGAGCTTAAGTATCGAGAAGTGTTCAAGCCAATAGTCAATATTCACTAAATGGAAGATATATCTGGGCTTAAAATAATCCACAGTAGCGCTTCTCGACCACTGTGAATGCACAGGTGCGTGCCATGACGTGTGCTCATGTCCCGGCACACCCCATGTCAAATCTCTTTAAAAATCATCCCCAAAGGGGCTGTGAAATTCTGAGCCAGGCAACAGAGCTGGGAGGGGCTTGGTGAAGGTCTCCTCCAGCCCCAGCCCCATCTCACAGACGGGGTGACTGAGCCTCACCCCAGTCTCCCGTCCCCAGGCCAGAACTGATGCCAGGTGTTAGGGTCACTCAGGGCAGGGTCTTTTTTTGCCCTTTCAGAATAATAAGTGGCTTCAGGTAACGTGGTCATGCGGGTGTCTCTGGGACAAATGGCTAATGCTAGGGTTTTGTTTCTGAATGTGCTTGTCCTAAGCTGCCCCTCCCTTTTAGAATGCCTTCCCTCCATCCATCTATCACTGACTCAACCCTCAAGTCCTAATTTCAGCACTTGCCTCATCTACCAGGAAGCCTTCCTCAACCCCCGACTGCCCTGAGCCTCAAAAATCACAAATTGAACCTGACCGTGCAAATAATCCACCCTACCTGTGATGAGTGTTTCCTGCTACCCCCAACCACCCCCATCCTTTGCTCATGGTTTCCCCCACCAGAAGTCCCTTCCTCCCTCTTTCTGCCTGGCACATACTCCCACTCCTGGGTGCCCCAGCTTGGCTCTGAGCTCTTACAAAGCAGAGCCTGGGGTTTCCCTCCCTAGTCTCCCTTCAACCTCAGATGGAGACCAAGGAGACCCATTGGATCTGCTGTCTCCTTGATCTTTCCTTACTCCTACAGCATCGGAAAATTGCAATGCCTAGTGATCACCTGTGAGGTGGGAAGCACTGGATGGGGGTCAGGACATAGATCCAAGCCCTGGCCCTGCCACCCATTTACTGTGTGACCTCAGGCAAGTCTCTTCCCCTCTCTGGGCCTCAGTTTTCTCATCTGTAAAATGACAAAGCTGGAAAAGACACTCTCTGGGGAGAATTCCACAGTTGGGGGACTGTCCTTACCTTGCTGAGCTTAGGGAAGTTCTGCAGATGACTGACCCCTGCCTCGTGACCCTGAGCTGAAGAAGCCCTTATATTCGGGAGCCTGATTAGTGGCTTGGAATAATTAAGGGCTTAATAAGGCCCAGATAATTATCTAGAGGCTTGAAGAACAGGAGCCCTATTGCTCACGTGACGTTTCAGTCTGTTCCAATGTAAATAGTATGGAAGACAAGAGTGGCTGGGAATCCTGGTGGCCACATGAGGGCGGGTACCAGGGGCAGGATGTGGCTGCCCAAGGGACCATCAGTGCTCACACTGTCCCTTTTCCTAGACCCAGCACCTCCCACAAGTCTGGGCACACAGAGGACATGCATTTGTTTCTTCAAGAAACATTTATTGAGCACCTACTGTGTGCCACGCCTGTGCAGTGAACAGGCAGTTGGGATTCCTGCCCTGAGAGAGATCTTGGAGGCCAAAGGGGGAGACGGGCACTGTGCAGGTCAACAACCACAAAGCCTATCGTTCTCGAGGGAGGCAAGGGTGATGAGAGCCACTAAACCAGAGAGATGGGACAGAGATGAAAGAACAGGGTGATCATCAGAACCTGGAGACCTGTGAGCAAGGGTTGTTGGAGCTGATGCCAGGGGGTGAGCAAAACCAGCTCTGCAATACAGGGGCAAGGTGTTTCAGGCAGGGGCCAGCAAGTGCACAAGGCTTAGGAGATGCTGGCTAAGCCCACTGGGGCTTGTGTCCCCCAAGGTTCATTCACAGGGGACACAAGGAGCTAATGGCCAAGTAAGGTGTCTTCAAAGGGACCCCCTGAAGATGCTACCATGCAGTACCAGGTGGAGGGGTGCTTTCTCTCAAGGTCCAAATCTGGGAGAAATGAAGGCGGAGGTGACTTCAGAGGCACAGAGGGAGCCGGCCACAGACCTGGGACCGGGCCTTGGGGTTTCCAGCCTCTGTTCTGCCCATCATGAGCTTCTTGGGGAGGCTTGGCTCAGAGGCCCCTTGAGGGATTTTGTGCTTGAGGAACAGTCCCCGGGAGGCTGCTGGGGGCCTGGGGTTTTCCTTTCCCACCCCACACGGACTCCACACGTCCAGGAAGATGGAGGAAGCCACTGTGCTCGTGTGCATCTGGGGCCACTGAGGCCAGAGGGGAGTGAGGGCCTGCCCGAGGTCACATGCCGCGGCTGAAGCCAGGCTGGAAAGAGCAAGAGCAGGACCCAGGGTGGCCAGATAGTCTCTACTCTGATCCAGGCCCTGAGGTGCAGGAGCCAGATCCACAGATAGCATCGTCTTATCCCTGCTGACCTGCCCCCAACAGAGAGGCAGGCCTTGCATCCTCTCTCACCACCCACAAATCCACCCCAGTGCACCTTGACTGCAGTTGCCTGGCTCTCCCTGCCTCCCACCAGGGCAGAGCATATTTGGGGTGGAGAGCAGAAAGGACATGGGGTGGGTGAAAGAGGAGAAGCCCCTTGAATGGGTTTAGGGACCTGAACACCAGTCCCAGCCACTTCCCTCACAAGCTGTGTGGCCTTGGGCAGCTCCCTCAACCTCTCTGGGCCACTTCTGTTTAATCCTCTTTATGATGGATGAGAGGGTAGAACTCTATGCTGCTGACAATAACAGTAGGACCCATTTACTGTGCATTCCCCCTGTACCAGGCATCACGCTAAGTGTTTATTTACACTTACCCATTTAATCCTCAGAACTACCCTATGAGGCAGGCACTTCAGCAATTTTCCCCATTTTATAGCTAGAGAAACTAAGGCTCAGAGAGGTTGAGTCATTTGCCCAAGGTCATACAGCAAGTGAATGGCACAGCTAGGGGTTGAATGTGGATCCAAGGGCTCCAGAGCCCAGGCCAACACCTGCCAAGGCATACTCAACAGGGCTCCTCTCTTCCTCCGGGCCCCAGAATCGCCCTGCCTGGCTCCTTATGATGCCCTCCCTACCCCAGCTCTAAATTCAGCCATGCTTCCAGGACGAGCTGAGGCTCCTTCCTCCAGGGAGCCTTCCCTAGCCTCCTTTCCTCTCTAACTCTCAGACGCTAGAGACTGGGCCAGTCCTGAAGCTCAGTGTCATCTTTTCCCTTCCCCACTGACCCTCTGGGGACCCAACACAGGGGACTCCAAGTCTAGCAGCCCCCACCTGCCTATGAGGATGGGGCTTTCCACATGGCCTGCCCAGGGCTTAGGGTTGAGGCAAGCCTGGGCCAGAGCTCCACCATGTATGTGTGCAAACAGCTCGCTCACCACACATTTATTATGCATTTGTTGTACTCTGGGCTCTGGGAAGGGTCAGGGAGGTGCGGTGGGGAAGGAAGTCATGGACACCAATAACCATGGTGTGCAATCAAAGGGCAACACAGTGATTGAGGAGGAGGGGTTTGGAGACTGAAACCAGGCAGGTAGGTCACCCCATGCTGTGGCCAGGGGAGACTGCATCTGAGCTGCTGCGTTGGGGTAGACAGGCTCCGGTAAAGACATCCCATGTTGGGCAAAGAGCCTAGCGAGGAAATATGCAGGGTAGACATTCAGGGCAAAGAGTGGCCATGCAAGTGGACAAGTGAGAGATTTGCAAAGGCACCTGACCTGGGAAAACACGGTCCTTTTCTCCTCTGCCCCACTGTGTCAGTTAGCAATTTATTACTGCCTCTCAGCTCCAAAAGCACCCTTCAGTGTATGTTCCATGATAAGCAATGGGACTCACTTAAGTATTTCTCCTTTAAAGTGAGCATGATGTCAACCTTTCTTAGGAGAGGGCAGTACAAGAGGAAGAGGCTTCCTGCAGTTTCCAATGTGGGTTGGAGTTGGCTGTGTGAGTGTGTGCAGGTGAAGCCTATCCCAGCCATGGGTCCAGAACTCAATCCCTCTGCAAACTTGCAACCTCAGCCTGGGGCCAGCCCTTCCAAACAGAAATCAGAACTACTCTCCATGCCCCCACCCATCTGGCCCAACCCCTCTGAAGGCCTCTTGCCCATGCCAGTGCCCAGACTCCTCCATAAGTAGCCCCACGTTACCTCTATCCAGTCGCCTGTAGTCCAGAAAGCCACACCCTGAGCTGCTCCATGTGCAAGCCACACCCCAGAGCTCCCCTCTTTCGTCACCCCATGCTGCTTGCACACTGGATCCCAAGGTCTTAGTTTCCTGTTGTTTGCCCAGCAACTCTAGCAACTCTAGGCCAGCTGAGGCCATCTCCAACCTGGCCACACCAGCCAACATCTGTGCTATCCACTAGGCTGAGCAATGCCTTCTCCAATAACGCCTGAAGCCCTTCCGAGTTTGTCTTTCCTTGGGTACTCTCCCTCAGCCCTAGAGGACCATATAGAGTTTCCTTATGTCTTGCAGTGACTCTTTTATCATAGTTAATAACTCTTCATATTAAACTTCCCCTGTTTGAGCTCCTGTGTGGTTTCTATCTTCTAACTGGACTCAAACTGCTACACCCATCTGTCCCTCTCAGCAGCCAGAGCCCAGCAGGCACCTAACTGAATGACCAAAGGGTGTCCCTTAGGATGAGGGCAACTCTCTTTGGACAGACCACCATCTTCCTTCTGGGCAAGGAGCTTGACTGAGGCATTTTCATCCCCCCTTCACCTAAAAGAACATATATTATTGAAATAGGTACATCATGGGTACAAACAAAGCCTGGCTGGTTGGAAAAAATGACTGAATAAATGGGCAGACGGATGGATGGATGGACGGACGGACGGACGGATGGATGGATGGATGGATGGATGATGAACAAATGGATGAATGGTTATATGAATTGATGGGTAGTGAGTAGATGGATGGATGGATGATGGACAAATGGATGGATGGTTATATGGATTGATGGGTGGGTGGATGAATGGATAGATGAACAAATGGATGGATGGTTATATGGATTGATCAGTAGTGAGTAGGTGGATGCATGGATGGATGGATGGATGATGAACAAATGGATGAATAGTTATATGGATTGATGGATAGTGAGTAGATGGATGGATGAATGAATGGATGATGGACGACAAATGGATGGATGGTTATATGGATTGATGGGTGGGTGGATGGATGGATGGATGAACGAATGGATGGATGGTTATATGGATTGATCGGTAGTGCGTAGGTGGATGCATGGGTGAATGGATGGATGATGAACAAATGGATGAATGGTTATATGGATTGATGGGTAGTGAGTAGATGGATGGATGAATGGATGATGGACAAATGGATGGATGGTTATACGGATTGATGGGTGGGTGGATGGATGGATGGATGAACAAATGTATGGATGGTTATATGGATTGATGGGTAGTGAGTAGGTGGATGCATGGGTGGATGGATGGATGATCGATAAATGGATGGATGGTTACATAGATTGATTGGTGGGTGGGTGGATGGATGGATGGATGGATAGATGGATGGATGGATAGATAGATGGATCACTGGACTGACATATTGAGCTCATAATCTTTTCCTAGGTTATTAACTTCCTTTATGGACTATGGCTCTGTCTTAAGTTTTTTGTCTCTCTCATACTGCAGACCACTCTGAGTGCCTGGGTCTCCCTCCCTCACTTCTAGAGCTCAGCCTATTTTAACCCTCAATAAAAGTAGGATGAGTGAATTAATTAACCAAATAACCAAATGAAATACGAGTCACATTGTCCTGAGCAAAATCATGGGGGTGGATTTTCCAACCTGCCCCTTGCCACTCTCTCAGTACCACCCCCAACCTGTTCTCCACCACCAAGACTCTGGGCTTGGTCCAGTACCTTCGATCTCTCATGCTGGAAACTTTAGGAATGAACCTGAACCCTCACAGGAAGAGTGGCTAGGGTCACACCGTGCCAAAGGCTTTGCTTACTGGTGGTAAAAATTGAGGCACCTTTTACTCCCCAAAGGAAACATAAACAGAACATAAACACCATATATCTAGGCAGGAAGGAATCCTATCTCTGGCTAAGAGATTAGCTTATCAGGGGTAGAAAATCACATGGCTTTGACTTGCCAGCATTTACATCCCTTGGTGTTCCCTAGGTCATCTTGTTCTGTGTGATTCACTGGGTGTGAAGGGCATTCAGAGGCTAAAGGGGTTAGACATGTTCAGTGTGACCAGAAGGGCAGAGGCCCAGGAAGCAGATGCTGCCTCCTTAGAACAAAAAACTTGCTCGTAAAACCAAAGGCAGAGAAACCAAAGATGGAGAAGCTGCCTAGAAGAGCAATGAACTCCCCATCACCTGAAGTTCATGACTCAGGGACAAGGTCCAGCTCTGGGAGCCGGAGAATGGCAGAGGGAACCAGACATCTCATGTCTGGATTGAAGGAAGGTCATGTCACCATCCAGCTCTGAGGCACCGTGCATTCCCCTCCTCAGTGGACCTTAGTCCCCACATCCATAAAATGGAACTCCAGTCTCTGCCTGCCTGATTCATGGGGCTCCTATGAGGTTCTAGTTACAAGACGGGGCAAGCTGCCAGGCAAGGGGCACTGTGCCCAAAGTGCCACCATGGTGCTCTAACTTCAGGCTCATCCATGCGGCTCTCCAGGGTCCTCTTTCAAAACAGGAGCTCCCCCAGGCAAAGAGGTGACACAGTCAATGGATGTCATCAACAGAGATGTCATCAACAGAGATGTGGTTATGTCTTCTTCTTCTCCCAGGCAGCGTTGGTGGCTCCAGGGACAGACAGAACCTGGAGACTGCATGTAGGGAACTGGCCTTAGGTATGCAAAGAGGTTGCTGGGCTTGGCTGAAAGTTGCAGCTCAAGAGAAGTTGTTTAATGCAAGAGGGCAGGTCTATACAGCCTGGAGGAGCAGTCTGCTCCCCGCTGGGGTGGGGCAGAGGAAGGAGGGGGGAGATGAGGGAAGAGGGAGGAGAAGAGGAGGAGGAAGGGAAAGGGCAGAAGTGAGGGAGGGAGACCCAGGCACTCAGGGAAGATAAAACAGCCCAGCTAAGCAGTCCAGCTTGTTGGTGATGACTAAGTATGGTTTTGCCTCAGTTTCCCCAGTGGCTTGAAATGAGAAATTCGCCTGAGCAGCGAGCTGGCCCACTCTCAGGCCTCCCAGTGGTCTTGCCTCAGCTCTGGTAGAAGAGTCCACTGGATATCACCACGTAGCCCTGAAGGGCAAAGGAAACCATGGACCAGGTCAGAGGAGGCACAGGCAGGACCCCAGCCGCCCCCTCAGCCTGGCTCTGAGTTCTGCTCTGCCATTCTTGCTGTGGGTTGTGAGGAGAGTCCTTTGCCTCTCTGGGCCTCAGTTTACCAGTCTGTCACTTTGGGGGTAGTAACAGCCTCCACCTCACAAGGTCACTGTGAGGATGCAGTGAGACCCCCATGGAAGGCACTGGTTGCTGCTCCGATGGTGGATACCACTGATGCTTTATGAATGGGAGCCCAGAACCATGGAGCATCTTCTCCAAGTCCAACTCTCTCCAGCAGACTCAGGCACCCCCCATAGCTCCCCTATGCTACACTCCACTGCAGGAGCATTCTGGAGGGCTGCCGATCATTCATTCATTCATTCAGTAAATCTTCATCAAGCCTCTACTATAAGCCAAGCCCTGTGGCAGGTGCTGGGGAGCCAGCAGAGAACAAGCCAGACCCAGTTCCTGCCCCAGTGTAGCTCGTAGCCTAGGGCTCTGTGGTCCAATAAGGCAGCCACAATTAGTGGCTATGGCTAATTAATTAGTCCTATGGCTAATTACATGGAAATTCATTAAAATGAAACAAAATAAAAAATTCAGGTCCACAGTTGCACTAGCCACATTTCAGTGCTCAGTAGCCACATGTACCTGTGGCTTATCATGGCTGCTGCTTTGGACAGTATAAATTTCCATCCTTGCAGAAAGTTCCATTGGTAACAGTACTGGACTAGGGACTTTTCACCTCTGACCCAGTGGCTGGGTCAAGTGCCAAGGTGGGTCAGCCACTAACTGCCTGTTTTGGGAAGTCCTAGGGAAATCCCCACAGAGCCCTGCTCCTCTGTGTACCAATCGTTCCTTCTCATGGGGGCGGATAATCACCCAAGTGCCTTGAGAGAGTAGTTCTTAAGGAACAAGGGCATCCTCCCTGGAATTACATCAGCAGGTCACACTCATCGGGTATGAACAGCACGTGAGACATTGGGCTTGAGAGACCTGGGTTCAGCTTTCTGTCCTAGGCATGTCTTGCTGACTGAATTTCCTTTTATATCCCAGGTACAGAAGAAAGCAGCTGTCGCATCTCACCCTGGGCAGTGTTGTGACTGAAGCTCACCCTGGGCCCACAATTTCAGGTCCAGGGAAAGCAATTTTAGAAAGTTCAGGAAGTTCCCTACTCCCATCCAGCCTGCACAGTTTGTCTACAAAGTGGAAGGAGTCCCACTGTCATCTGCTCCAGATATCAAAGGGGTTGTGCCCATTCCAGGGCACAGGATCACGGGACAAGTGAAGGCCCCAATTGTCCGAGTGTGGTCTGGTGTGATATTTTATGAGGACTAAAGGAAGGGTGAAACCTTTGACCCAGCATCTCTTGGCATCCTGGACTTTTCATTTCATTGCAGTTAAGGATTCATGGCATGGTTTTGGCAGCCACAGAGGGGGAGGGAGAGAGGTGACCCCCACCTCAATCAGTCCCTCTGAGTGAAGGAGGCCCCTCTGGTCACACCCAAAGGCTCTCACCTCATAGACAAAGATCTCAGGGGCGACATAGTGGAGGTTGACCACACCAGGGAGGGCAATTCCCATGGCCAAGAGAGCTGCAGGCGAGAAAGAAGAAAGGATCGTCCCCTGGAGCCAGCCTGTGCTGAAGCCCTCATGTGCATCACAGCACTGAGTCCTCGCAGGCATCTGGAAGATGGATGCCATTATTGTTATACCCCTTTTACAGAAGGGGAAGCTGGGGCTCAGAGAGAAAAAGGAACTTGGTGAAGATCACACAGCTGCTTGGTGAAGATCACACAGCTGCTACACAGATATGTGCCAAGGGGCATGCACACATGGGCTGCTAGACTCCAGAGGCCCCCTCTCACCCTGTGAGCCTGGGAGGTGGGAAGGGGGCTGGGATTGAGCACCGAGCAGATGTGGGATATGGAGGGGGCCAGAGGGGCCCTGCTGGGGTGGAGGGCAGGGCTTACCATTGAGATGGTCCAGCAGGGGCTTCTCAAAAACGGTGCCCATCAGTGTGCGCACCTGATCTGTCTGTGGCCACGGAGCCAGGGAGATGGGCCCGTCCCAGCCGAGGGGCCAGGAGAGATGGACAGTCAGGCACATACATAAATATACACAGAGACAGACAGACAACAGATGGATGGCAGAGGCTGAGGCACAGGGAGGAAGGCAGATCACCCATGTCCTGGGTTCAAGTGGGGCCCAGAAATACCCCCATGGTTGGCTCAGCCTTCGCAGGATCACACCCAGCAGCAGTGCTCACCGGAGTGGAGGCTGAGGGACAGGCACTGACTGTGGACACTCACGCACTGTGTGACCAACAGGTGGACTGGCCAGCAGACTGCCTGACGCAGATGACCGACAGACAGACAGACTGACGGCTGGGTAGAAGGGGGGCATGTTGATGGCATGCCGGCTGACAAGTGGATGTATGGTGGCCGATGACCCAATCACATCACCTGGCTGAAGGGACAGCTGACATTCTTTGTCCAACTGACCAATGGACTTTTGGGGTGAGGGCTGGGTGACAAGTCATCGACTGCCAGGCAGAGTATCAGGCAGATGGACTGACTGGCCACTGTCCCCAAGCAGCCCGGGGAAGCCTGACTATAGTGGCACACACAGGCACACGGGTCAGCACATGTACACAGCCATCTCTTCCCCAGGCTCAAGGTGTGCCCTACCCAGGACGGGGGTTTCTAGAGGCCCCAGCCCCACACTCACATCAATGAAGCCCACGTTGGAGGAGGCCACCGTGAGCTGGACATCCCTGAAAGAGAAGCAGGAGAATTCAGGACAGGGTCTGGCACCTCCCTACGCCCAGGCTCCCTGGCTAACACCGTGACCCAGGGTGGTGATGGACCCATGGCACAGAAGAACACACTGAGGCTGCTGGGTCCAGGTGGGCTCGTTTACCCCAGCACAGACGTGGTCCCCTGAAGCTTCACCTTGGACACAGAGAGCTGGAGTCTCAAGTTCACTACCTGGGCACATGGGGAGAGCAGGGTCAGAGGGCACAGAGCCATGAGGGGGGCACCAGCCACCCAGCCTCCCACCCATCCCCCGACTCATTCAGGCAGCAGGTGTCTGTGGAGCCCCTGCTATGTGCCAGGCCCCACGCTGAATGTTGGCAACAACACAGTGTGAACAAGGCAGACCAGCTCCCTGCCCTGGGAACGAGCCGCCAGCTGTGGGAGAGGGGGACCGTAACCACAGTAACCAGGCGCCATCCTTTCAGAGAGTGGCAGGGGCCACAAATGCAGAGAGGAGGTGCCGAGAAGGCTGATGGGGACCTTCTTACTCAGGGTAGACCAGGAAGGCTGCAACATTTAAGCTGAGGCCTGGAAGAGGAGGGGGAGCTGGCCATGCCAAGAGCCAGGGTGGGAGAGTCCTAGGCCGAGGGCTCAGCACATGCAAAGGTCCTGGGGCGGGAGTGTCCTGACACATTCAAGGAACAGCGAAGACAATAGTGTGAGTAGAGCAAAGATGAGGGGACAGTGAAGCAGGGAGGGAGGTCTCTGTGACAGTTGCCTGCCTTCCGACCAGCCCCACCGCACTCACCACATCCAGGGAGAAGAGGGACTGGAAAGCCGAGTTGGAGGCTGTGGCCAGGACCTCCACGAAGGGCTGCAGCCGCAGGGTGGCGTTGTTTGTGTGGAGCATGGCCACAGGTGTGGCACCCAGCCGCACCTTGAGCACCACAGGCATGGGCTCGGGAAACTGGCGGGCCACCTGGGGAGGCAGAGGCGGAGGAGGCCCTGCTGAGGCAGCGGCTGGCGGGCTCTCTGGTCAGTCACTCCTCAAATGCTGATTGGGCCACCATGGCGCTGTATGTGACTGGGCACAGAGGTGGGTCCCCCCTCTGTGTAAGCCAGTGGGTCTTACAGGCCGCTGGACAAGACGAGGGGGTTGGATCTCCCCGAGGAGGTGACCTTGAGCTTGGTCTTGAAGAAGGATAAGGGAAAGGGAGGAGAAAGACATTCCAAACAGCAGACACTGCTCAAGCAAAGGCACAGAGAGACAGAGTGTGATGTCTGGGCAGAAGTTAGAGCCTCCCCAAGATGGAGGAGTAGGTTTAAGGACAGATGCTGAACTTCACTTGGGACAGATAAGAGCCAGCAGAGATCCCATGACCCAGAGAACCCCCACCCCAGTCCCTTGTCTCAGTCCCTGGAATGATCAGAAACATCACCGACCTCCGGGATGAGCCGGCCCAGAGCAGAGGTGTTCAGCAGGTTGTCATCCGACCTCTGAAATCAGCACCCCAGGCCACAACAGGTTTTAGGACAGCTGCTCCCCAAGACAGATCACCACTTTCCCCCTGAGCAATCGCTCCCCATAGCCCCCGTTTAACCCTTCCAACAGCCACCCTGTGGCGCCAGCTTCAGCGGCCCCACCCACCCATGATTTGGCCTCTGGGAGGTCTCCCTAGGCTGGGCCACAGGGAGCTCTTGCCCCACAGGCCCTGGGCTGCAGGTCGGGCCCTCACCAGCTGCCCTGTGATGTCCAGGTTGAGGGCACCGGCCTTCTGCAGCAGCAGGAGCGCAGAGTCAAACAGCTGCTGGGAGAGGCCCACGGTGGCCATGGAGCCCTCGGTACCCACATGCCTTGGCAACACAAAAGGGGTGGCATCCGTGGGCAGGATGATGGGCTTGCCCAGCAGGAAGAGAACAGCCTGTAGGGGTGGGAGGGGGAAGTGGGAGAAAAGCAGCAGGGCCTCAGCACGGAGGTGGCTCCATGGCAGAACCTGGACTCCTAGATGCCACTCCCTGCCCCCCAGCCCCTGCAAGATGCCACATGTGTAGTTCACACTTTCGCCTGTGTGGCATGCTCCCGGCTGGGACACTATTCCAGCTCCTCCTCTCCTTTCCCACTCCCCCGCTCCTTTAGGAATCTTCTGGAACACCAAGGACTCCAGAGGCAGCAAGCCCCCAGCTCTGGGCTGGCCAGGAGGCACTTACATTGACTTCCAGGGAAATGTAGTCACTGGTGACAGTGGGCACACTGACCATGGAATAGCGGATCTGGGACTCAGGACCCACGGGGTTGAGGCCTTCATGAAACCAGGGTAGAGAAGAAAAGATGGCATATTTAGCACTGCTCACCAACGTTTCATCTATCCAGAAAAGTTTATTTATTGTCTGATTACCCTGATTAGCCAGAGCCAGGCCACGAAACAAAAGAGGCAGAGCAAGCCTCTGAATAAGCAAATTTAAGTGGCAAAGTGCACATGGCCAGGATTGAGCTACTCACAGCCTGCTGACTCTTAGTTTAGGCACAATTCTAACAGGTATGCTTTCTGCTTTCCCCCTTGGTGGGAGACTAGTGACCCCAAGTTAGAAGGAAGGAGAAGGGCCCAGTCCAGGCACAAATATCCCCTGACAAAGGTGAGAAGCAACCACAGAAAAAGAAGAGAACTCTCACTTATCAAGGTCCAGATGCTTGACTTACAGCATCTCATTCAATCCTCGTTACAATCCTGTAGGGTTATTTTATACACACGTATGCACACATGCACACTCACACGTACGCACACACGCACACGCAGTCTGGTGAGGTTCAGTCTTGCCCAGGATTGTAATACCTGGTCAGTCTGACCCCAAAGCTATGCTCTTCCCACCTCATCACACTGTCTCCTATGAGAACTCCAAGAGCACACACCACTGGGGCCAGTTATGCAAGATCACAGAAGTCCAGCTTCCCTAACAGACCCTCCGAGCAGCCTTCAGGGAGGCATGGCTCAGAGCCCAACTCCTCTGAGCCTCAGAATACTCTTGCAGGGAAGTTTCAAAGGGCGAGGCCAGGGGTGGTGGCTCATGCCTGTGATCCCAGCACTTTGGGAGGCCGAGGCAAGAGCTGGTCTTTGGAATGATGAGTCTAGATTCTAGAATGATTCCAGATTCTAAGTGTCAATGGTCCTTGGATTCTCCAATGTTAAGACTCATGATTTCAAAATTGTATTTTGTTTTTCAGATTTTTTGATCTAAGATACACAGATTCTAGAATCAAAGACTTGGTTTTGGTTCTAGAATTTGGAGATTCCCAGATTTCATGAATAATTACACTGTTTTGGGAGCTCACAATTCAGTCACCCTACAACTGACTCTCCTAGAGGTCGACCGTGATCCAGAGTGGAGCCTTTGGAGGGTTCTAGGGGCTCCAGGGGGTCCCAGAGGCCCCAGCCCCCTCCCCTGGCTCCCAGATCTTACCAATTAAGGTGCCCAGGTGGACATTGACACCCTGCACCAGGTTGGAGATGCTCAGGCACAGCTGTGGTAAGACAGAGAGAAGGAGGCTGGGGTTAGGGCAGCCCTGGGGCTGGAGGGCACAAGGCTGAGAGGGGTCTAGAGTCCCTGTCTAGAAGCCTCCCCAACCCATACACCATGCCTGGAATCCCTTCCTCCACCCGCCAGTGGGCATCTCCTGGGACCCCTTCCAGGCACCGAAGAAACAGAGGAGAAGCAACCCAAAGGCTGATGGCAGTGTGAGCATAGGTCCCCAGGCACGGAAGAAAGAACAGAGGCCGTGGAGCCCAGCCCAGGTGGTCGTAGCTGGGCCTGAGCAACGGAGGCAGGGAATCTGCTGCAACGGGGCTGAGAGCTCAGTCTTGAAGCTCAGCTGGTGAGAGGGTGGTGCCCATGCAGAGGCAGGCAGTGATCAGCAAGCCAGACCAGGCCAAGCTTCAGATGCCAGGCCAGGGAGCTACAGAGGTTTTCCCTGGGCACCATGGGCAGCCAGAGAAGTACATTATGTTGGGATCAGTGTGATAGAAGATGGGGGCAGAGGAGGAACTGCAAGGCCAGGGGCACTCGCAGCCTTAACCAGGCAAGAGCTGGCGAGACTGGGCAGGGCGAGGTCGAGAGGAAGAGGAGAGGGTGGGTCTTCCTTCCTGCAGTGCTGCCTGAAGCCCCTTGCCCAGAAGAGGCTGGCTATGAGGGCAGCAGGGGGACTACAGGGAGAGGAAGAGGCTGGACCAACAGACAAAGTTAAGCTGTCCACTTGGGCATCCCGCAGGACTCTCAAGAGGAGCTGCCCCACCTTCACCCCTCGAGCCTCGGTTTTCTCATCTGTAAGGTGGGCATGTTGCAGTCGCCCTCTGGGGGGTGTGGGGTGGCATGCAGGAGGTTGACTTCGTCTCTACTACTGCCCCTTAAAGCAGTAGTGGGGTTGGGATGGGATAGGGCAGAGAGAAAATGAGCTCCCCCTGGGCAGTGGGACCCTAGCCCCTGGGCTACCCTCTCTCACCAAGTCAGCTCCACGCAGACAATGACAAGAGCTAAAATAGTAATAATAATAGCAGCACCCACTCTGCCAACCACTGTCCCGAACTCTTCTGAAATGTTAATGCATTTCATGCCTGCAACCACCCCACGGAGGAGGGGCTTTGTCTCTTTCAGTACAGATGTGGAACCAGGAGCAGAGACTGCACATCTGGAAAGGACCAGGACCCGTCCAGGCCACAGGTGGCCCCATGCCCACACCCTCGTTCACTCTCGTTCTGTCTTCTTTTCACAAACCACAGGCCCATGAACCCCACTCCATCCACCCTCTAGCATGAAATTGGGGCTGCCCTAAGAGGATGAACCTCCCCCTCCCCTCCAACCCCATAAACTCTGCCCTCATTTGTGCCTCCCCATCACTCCCCTGGACCTGGCACCAGCCTTTTCCCTGCCTTCATGGGGACCATGAAGGGGCGTCTTTTTTTTTTTTTTAATCCCAAGCAAAGTACCCCCTGCCTGAAATCCCACTCTTTCTTCACTGTGCCTTCTCGGTGAAGCCATGCCCTCCTTTCTGAGAAATCTGCAAGCCCTTTACCTTGTTACTCAAGACAGCTTTAATGTGCTTCTGCACCAGGACCAGCAGCGCGTGGGAGGTGCTGAGGGAGAAACACAGAAAGAGTTCCTGGGCTCCCAAACATATTAAGTCCCGTCACTCAGCACAGTCGCACGTCTGGGAAGAGAAGTCTCTATCCTCAGCCAGGAGGCCAATCAATTCCATTCGATGCCCTGCCATCTGCCAGACACAGTGCTGGCATAACTGGCCCCATAGATGAGGAAATTGAGTCTCAAAAGAGAGGGTCATTTATCTCAAGGTTTGGAAATGGCCAAGAATGTGGCGCGTGAGACAGAGAGGGCGTTGCAAAAGCCAGACTTGGCCATGACCTTGGCCAGCTGGCTTCGTGGCCACTCTAAGCCCAGTAAAGGTTGGGTTAGGGGGTAGAGCTGGGATCCTGGGTCTGCTTCATGCTTTGGGTCCAATTTTCTGTGACACACCTAATAAAATCCCTTCCTGACTCTGGGCCTCCGTTTCCCCTCTAAACAACTCAACAGTGCTCCATAGGCACCTATAGTTCCTTGATTTGCAAAAATGTCGATCCAAGCCACAGCCCAACCTTGCTGAACCAGCTCCCTGGGGGGGAGGTGGGAGGGTGGCCTCTGTGTTCCCAAAGCCTCTGGGCTTCCATTTCCCCTTCAATAAGCTGTGAGCATCCCCTGCCTGTAAGGACAGTGAGGGGTCGTGAGTCACACGTGGTGATCATGCGACACAAGTGTGAATGGGTTTACGCAGCCACATCCCTCTCTGGGGAGAAAGCTCAGTCTTGATGCATACGTTGCATTCTTCTAAGCCTCCAAGATGCTCAACACCTCAGCAAGCCCCGCTCACATTGGGAAGGTGCAGACATCGTCTAGGGGGATTTGCAAGCCATGGGATTAGTCGGGCTGCCTGGGCCTGAATGTGGTTACACCATTTGTCAGCCGGTGGCCTTAGGCAAGTCACTTAACTGCTCTGGGCCTCCATTTGCGCTCCTGTAAAATGCAGGAAATACTTAACACCTACCTGGTAGGATACTGTGAGGATCAAACGAAATGATCTATGGAAAGGGCCTGAACAATGCTCAGCACACATAAGTGCTCTGGAGGCGGGAGCTGCCATCAGCCTTTATGCAGAAGGGAGCGGCCTGGCCTGCGAGAGCTGGCTATTGGTGGGTCCCAGGCCCTCCCTGGCTTCCTTTCCCTCATCTCTGCTAGGAGGGGTGGGTCTCCGAGGTCCTCACAGCCAGTCTGATCCACCCAAAATCCCTCCCCAAAGAGTGTGCTAATAGCTAGTGTGTATTGTCAAGTGGTGCAGGGGATGGAAAGGTCCCAGGCTCTGGCCGCTCACTTGCTGTGTGACCTCAGGCATGCCTCTCCCCCTCTCTGAGCCTCAGTGTCCTCCGACATAAAACAAGCACAATAATGGGGGCCCCTGAGGCCCTTGTGGCCATTGGTTAAAGTCCTGAGTGGGCAGCTCAGGAAACAGCAGCACAGCTTTGGCATCTGGGATTCCTGTGACCCTGCCCTCACCAGGCACCCACCTGTTACTGCCATCAAACTCGTTGGCGTGGCCCGAGAATAAAGAGCAGGCAGAGATGCTGACCACAGGGGTCCTGATGGAGCTCTGGGTCACGCGGGTGTCAGCCAGCAGTTCCACAGGCAGCGTCAGCTCCAGGGGCTCTGGGGCGCTGTAGGGATGCCAGTCCTGAGCCCGAGCAGCACCGCCCAGCAGAGCCCACCATGACTGATGATAGATCTTACAAATTCCCCAGCCCCTGCCTGCCCTCCACTTGGCCCAGGCAGGCCCCCCACTCCCAGAGTGAGATGGCCCTACCTGGGGCAGGCCCACAGCCCCCAGCCTCAAGACTCCACTTGGGGTCATAGACGTTGCAGCAGTGGGTGTGAGCACTGGCTGTCCGGAGCCTCTCACTGTGAGACCCTGGGCCAGTCATTTACCATGCTGAGCCTCAGTTTCCTCTTCTGTAAAATGGACATAAGGTTGGTGGGACCTATTTCGCAGGGCTGTGCTGAGTTTCCTGTGAGATAATCATGTGAAAACACCCAGCACAGAGCCTGGCCCACAGGAAGCAATCATAAAATCATAGTGTCAGGGTAGAGAAGCTAGATAAGAGACCCCTCTGACTGCACAGCTCATGGTGTGAAAATTAAATGCAGTAACATACAAGATGCCAGGCACACAAAAATAACTCTGATCGTTATGCTTATTGAGCGTCTCTCATGTGCCTTGCCCTGGGAAAGAGAGGACAGTCATTATAATCACAGCAATGAACCCATTCACCAAACCGTCATTGGCACTTTACAGAAGTTCATCCCATTTTACAGATGAGGAAGCTGAGGGGGTAAACAAGCCAAGTGACTCTGCCCAGTTGCAGAGCTGTTGAGCAGGGTTCTCAGAAATGTTCTCACTATCTTGCTCCCCTCCAAGCGTGAGGGGAGAGAGAGCAACTGGACAGAGAGTCAAGAGGCCTGGATGAGGGCCCTGGAGGAGTTGCTACCCCCCGTCCCCTCACTGTATCCCTCGGAGCATCCCCAAAACCCTTCTCACCCCCTAACAAGGAGATCCGCTCACCGAAAGACCTTGAAAGTAAAATTAGCTGCTGCCAGCAGGCGCACTCCGAAACCAGCAATGAATTTCAGGTGGAGGCGGGGCACATGGACATTCAGAATCCGGATCCTGCAGGGTAGTAATCAAGGTGACAGAGTGGCCCCCATTAAACCATGGGATCAACTCTGGGGTGGGTGCTCTGAGCCATACCCACACGATGTTATAAAGAAGGGCTTTCTGACAATTGGAACCATGAGGTAAGGGGAAGATGGTGAGTTCTCCATCACCACGGGGCATGCAAACCAAGGTTGGACACCAGCTGGTAGGGAGAACATGCAGAGGGGCCCCCGCTTCGGGCAGGACTTGGGTGAGATGATTGCTCAGGTTTTTGACAGTTTCCGACCCCTGCCTGGAAAGTTGGGAAGGTTGGAAAAGAAAAACTTCAGGAACCACAGAAGGCAGAAATCCTCTCTCTGGTATCCTAGTCAATGTCTGCAGCTCGTAGCCTACAGCAACAGAAGCTCCCCCACTTCAAAGCTCCAAGCACTCTCCAGCTAACCTGTGATTTATTTTATTTCCTAAATGAAAGTCATTTCTGCACTGTACAGTTCAGGTCCCCGTACAGAAGCTGCGTCTGTGCACTCAACAATCCTGGGTTCAATCCTGTGTCTACAAACAAGAGCCCCGGGCACTGTTTTCAAACAGCCCCATGGTGTCCATTGTGTGGCCAGACCACAAGTGATTTAGGCATCTTTGGTCGCTGGGTATTTATGTCCAGTTCTCCACCTTTATTAACCATGCCATGAACTGCATTTCAGCTCTTCCTAAGGGATCTCAAACTGGTGGCCCCCAAGCCAGATGTTTTTTTCACCATCCACCCATTGTTCCAGGGTCTTAAAGTCTTAAATATTTTTTGTTTGTTTGTTTGTTTTTGTTTTTGTTTTTTTGTTTTGAGACAGAGTTTCATTCTTGTCGTCCAGGCTGGAGTACAATGGCACAATCTTGGCTCACTGCAACCTCTGCCTCCCAGGTTCAAGAGATTCTCCCACCTCAGCCTCCTGAGTAGCTGGGATTACAGGCACACGCCACCACTCCCAGCTAATTTTTGTATTTTTAGTTGAGATGGGGTTTCACCATGTTAGCCAGGCTGGTCTTGAACTCCTGATCTCAGGTGATCCACCCACCTCGGCCTCCCAAAGTGCTGGGATTACAGGCGTGGACCACTGCGCCTGGGCTTTAAATGTTTTTTCATTAGTTGCTATCATTCCAAATTTGATGGATTCTAGATGTATATCTTCTCTTGGAAACCCAAAGATCTGACAGTAGTGAGCCCTAGTTCCTATGTGGAAGGTGACTGTTGACCAGCCCAGGGGTGTCTAAGTTTGGGATGCTCCACATCCCTATGCCTTTAGTTTCTGCATTAAGCAGAGTAGGGTGGAGGTAAAGGAGGCTCAGATTCGTGTCTAAATTCAGTATCCAGTTTCTAGAAACAGAGGGTCCTGCCAGCCCTGGGGACCCAGGAGCCACTCTTAGCCCTTGAGGGCAGAAATTCACTAATTCAGAGGCACCAGGCCCGGCTTCTCCATCTTGGGTCCCTCTCTTAAATCATCTTGTGACCACTCACCTTGTGGGAGGGAGCACTCACCTTCAGTGGAGAGTGCTCATCTGGTGGACTGGAACACTTTGCCCCGTGGATAGGAGCATCTGCCCAGCAGGCAGGAGCACATGCCCGGTGGACTGAAGCACCCACCTGGCAAGCAGGAACACTCCACTTGGTGGCAGGAGCACCTTCTCTGGAGGAGGGGAGCACTCACCTGGTGGGCTGAAGCGCCTCTCCACTCCAGTCCAGGAAATGAGGGACAGTGACCTGCAGGGCCCGCTGGAGAGGGGCTTTCCCAATTTCAGACACTGTGGGGCCAGGGTAGAGTGAGGTCAGGGTGCCCTCGGGAACCACCAAGTAGCAAGAACACACTGCCTGCCATCTACCCTGCACCTTGGGCAGAGGGTACTCAGACTGGAAGGGGTAGGCTTACTCCAAGCATATGGGGAGGGCAGCTGACTCCCCATGAGCCCACCTTGGGTGCACCACTCGCATCAGGCTCTCTCCACCTGGGCATGACCTCCTTCTCCCACTCTGCCTCTCAAAATCCTGCTGATTTACCCCGTCCTTCAAAAGCAACAAAATCCTTTGCCCTCTTGCAAGGTTCCAACCAGATCCCATCTCCTCTGGGAGCCTTCCCTAAGTTCCCAAGCAGAAGGGGCATCTCCCAGTCATCCCTGGCCTGCTGTGGAGGCGCCCATGGGAGCAGAGGGGACGTCCCTTGGGAGGGGAGGGGACAGCCTCACCTGGGGGCTGAGGACTCAAGAGTCTCTCAGATCCTGGTTTCAAACCGCAGTGCTCACTGCTACTCACTGCCTGTGTGGCTACTCTGTGCCTCAGTTTCCCCATCTATACATCTGCAATGATTCTAATGGTATCTGTCACATAGGATCATTGTAAACACTCAGTGCACAGCAAATGCTAGCTTCTACCATTGCTATTTATTTTTGTAATAATAGCGGCAATCGTTTATGTTGTGATCCTGTAGTGCCAGGCCCTGTTCTGAGTGCTTTACTTTTCCTGTTATCGTGCCCAGTTTACAGAGAGGTGAGGGCACCTGGCCAGGGAAAGCTGGCTTTGGACCGAGGGACCTGGCTCCCGAGCCTCTGGGCATCCTCACTCACCTGTGCTGCTGAGCCCCAGAGAGGTGCTAATTAAGCAGGAGTTGAATTAGAATAAGAGGTGATGGTGCTGGAAGGGAGCTTCAAATGAGGAGTCAAGAGGCCTGCCCACTGCTCAGACTCACTGTGGGAACTTGAGGAGTCCCTGCACCTCTCTGGTTCTTAGTCTCCCCCAACAAGAAGCATAAAGGCGGTGGTTTCCATGTTTCCCAGCACCCCTCTCCCACCTAACCATCTGCAGCTGAGCTGGAACTCACACCCAGACCTCAGACTCCATCTACAGTGCTCCCTTGACGCAGGGTTTGAACTCTGGGGCTTGCAGGATGGGGTGGGGAGGACACTGGAAGTAGCCACTCAGCCCAGCCTGGGGAGCAATGCGTCCAGCGTGGGCCTCCAGCCAGATTTCTGCCAAAAACAAACACAGGCAGGCAAGCTGGGGAGGGCTCCCTGGGGACAAAGGAGGCTTGCACAGGATGGGCAGAGGGCAGGAAGGCGGCGGAGGGCGCGGGCCTCATGGCCCTACCTGCAGGCATCCATGAATGGCTCCATGTCATGCTCTGGCACGGATCACTGACCCCTTTCATTGCCTGCCCATCAGCCCGGATATGAGGTCCCGGAAGGCTGTGTTTACCCAGGGGTGGGGGAAACCTGCTACTTCCCTGAGCCACTGCTTCATGTCCTGGGCCACTGAAGGTCCCATCTACTGTCTGACCTGACTTTCTCACACTGTAATCTGAGTTTGGCCTTGGGGGAAACCGCTTCTGATCTCCTGGCTTTGGTGGGAAACCAAATTCTCACCGGGAGGCAACTCGAGGTGAATAAACATGTTTGTGCTGGCGTCCTGGACCTTGGCAATGTCTGTCCCTCCCTGGGGCTAAGTTTCTTCATTGTGCCCTCCTTAGGGGATTGGGGCAAGACTTGGAAGGATCTAGCAGCACAGCCGTAAGACAGAGCCCTCGCACAAGTGGGACCCAGAGAGCGGATGGTTCTCTCACGCTGAGCTCAGAAGGGATATAACTTTAGAACACTCCTTGCATCACGGTGCTAGACAGACCTCTCCCAAGAACACACGTGCGTGCACACACCACATACGCAAACGTGTACACCCAGGGTGAACAGCCGTACCTGTGCACACACATCCAGGCAGCATCATGGGCTTGCACCCTCCCCGACACTTAAGTACACACGTGGGCACAGCTCTATGAAATTTCAAACTCATAAGTAGACACACACAGGTAAAAATAGCCCCTCAAACCGACCTATGCCCACATCACCAAAGCATGTGAGCAAGTCACATGTGCACACTTGCACACTGGCCACATGACGTACTCCCCCCTCACGCATTTATGTAATAAGCATTTGTTGAGCAGCGCCATGTGTCAGGCACTGTCTGGGTGCCAGGGACACAACTTCCAATTAAAATCTGGGTCCTCATGGGCCTTTTGAGTTCACAGCTACGCACACACACTTAGGATTGCACACGCATGTACAGGCTCACAGACACTCACTGGGTAACACACCGCTTACCGTAGCTCAATGCTGCCTTGTTGAGTCGGACCACGGTGCCTGGCGTGGAGGCACCGACCACGGGCAGCAGCAGTGCCAGCAGCAGGCCCAGCCTACTTGCCCAAGCCATGGCTGCCCTGGCCGCTGCCCACAGGATCTGTGGGCTGGGGTAGAAATGAGCATCAGGGAGCTCAGCCAAAACAGCCCACCCCTGAGCCACCCGAACCCCACTCCAGCCTGGAGGGAACAAGCCCTGACTGGTGATCCCAGCCCTGCCCCAGGCCCACAGACATCAGTTTTTGCATCTCTGCATTGGGAACCATCACCTTGCCTTGCTTGCTTCATCAGGAATCATGGGGGAGTCCCTTCTGGAAATGACCCGCAATGCCCAGAGAAGAAATGGTCTTGCCTAGGGCCACACAGTGGACTGGGACCAGGTGCAGGACCCAAGCCATGGCATAGAAGGATGGTGAGACTCCCAAACGGGGAGACTGAGGGTAGTTTCCTGTCCCAAGAAGATGCCCAGGACTGTATCACCTGATGCCGGAGTCCAGCCCCGTGTGACAGCCAGCTTGGTGTCCAGCTGTCCACCAAATTCAGCCAGGGGAGGACCCAGGGTGGCTCCTGTCCTCATCCCCTCCTGGCCAGGTGGTAAATGGCCTAAGAGTAGGCCTCTCACATGGCCCCCATCCTCTCCTGACTCAGTCTGGCCAAATAGGCAGATCTGTGTCTGACTCAGGGAGAGGGAGCCAGGCAGGAGTGAGGGACTGCGGCTCAGGTGGGTCTGCTGAGACCCAGGATGGCGGCACTTGCCCAGGTCCTACAGCAAGGCCAGGGGTGGAAGGACCCTTCTGCAGAGGGTGGCTGGAGGTAGCATCCCCACTGAACAGATAGAGAAGCCAAGCCTCCTTGGAAGTGGTGTACCAGCCCAGCCCCATGCCTACCTCAGGTGGTTCCTGAGACAGGTGAACTCTCAGCCCCAGGGTAGCCCTCCTCTGCCCGAGGCAGGCAGATGCAGAGGCTACTTTATAAGGCTCCCAATGTGCAGAGTCCACTGGGAAGGGACCCAGGGAGCGGCGAGTTTGCTTGTGGTTGCAAGTGTTTTCCCTGCAAACATGGCCTTTGCCAAAGTGTCTCATCCCACATGTGCGCTGGGGCTGCCACGTAGCCAGTAGCCAGGCCCAGCTCCCAACCACTACAAGCCCCTGGGGCTAGGCAGCTATGGCCTTAGTGAGGGCCAGGAGATCTCTGGAAGGAAAGCTGCTTCTAGGAGGGTATCTTATCATGCCCAGCCAAGGCCTGGGAGGATGGGGCCCATGAGGACCCCATCCCCCCTCCCATAGGCAAGGGGATGGCTGCAATGACCCCTCAAGCCTGGTACCTCCAAGCTCTCTCGGAAACATGACCCTTTTAGGAGGGGCAGAAGGCTACCTGAGCACCATCCTCAGTCATTGACTGAGCCCTGACCCTGTCACATATTCACACACTGAGTCCTGACCCCAGTTACTGAGCTCTGACCCTGATCACATGCTGAGCCCTGATCCCAGTCACAAACTGAGCCCTAACTCAGAAGGGAACAGAAGAGAAAGTGTGCGTGACCTGTCCCCACAGCTTAACATCCCAGCCTCTCTCCAAATGCACATTCCACTCACAATGGATTAGTCCACGGTCTCTTTCCACATTACAAACGTCAGCCTCCGCCTTGGCTGGATGGGACCCAAGGAACTGTGTGTGCGCATGAAGGAATTTGCATATGCACATGTGTGGATGAGGGTTGTGTTGATACATGCATGTGAGTGTGTGTGCATAGTCACATGTACGGGGAAAATGTGTGCTCTTATGTGTGAGTGTGGACATGAAATGGGCACGTTGGCATCTTGGTTTATGGTGTTGTGTGTCTATTCACACAATCCAACAGGACCACAGAGGTGGGGAGTTTTGTGTACATGTATGCATGTGTGGGCTTGGCCTACTGAGTGTTTGTGGGTCTGTGAGTGTGTGGTGTTAGGTGCATGTGTGTATGCAAGTGGACTGTTTCCTGGGATGGGGAGGTACATGTATATATGTTCTTGTGTGTGTGCATATATGTGTGCACAGCAGGCGATGGCCTTTCCATTTTTCTTCATTGGCACAGGATGACTTGGGGCCTTTCCCCAACTCCAGGGCACTCTTTGACTCCCACTGACCCCACACCAGCCCAAATATCAGGCCCAGCTCCCAGGCCCACCCTGTGCTAGGCCTCCACCAGTGTCTACAAAGCTGACCACAGACACCATCAAGCCCTCCCCTGAGCAGCTGGAGCTCACTTGAACCAGCCCTGCCTCCCAACCAGTGCTCCCTTGCCCCTATTCTAGACGCAAAGAGGAATGAGAAGAGCCTGCTGTGAGCTCCCTGACACCCTGCTCCTGGCCTTGGTCTGTCCACCAATGCCCAAGACCGGCCCCTCCTGCGCCCTCACCATAGCTGATGCAAACAGCAGACTCAGTGGACAGAGGCGCAAATATTGACCAAACCCACTCTTGGTGTTTGCTGTTGGCCTGGACACTTCCTTTTCTTAAATATTTCCAGCACAAGAGCCATTTGGGTGACAGCCAGTAGACATAAAAGAGGGAGATTCTCACCAGCCCATCCCAGATCTCAACCGGCTCCTGACAGCAATGGCAAGCACCGTTTGGTGAGCACCTGCTATATGCAGAATGTTCTGCCAGCCACTTTGCCTGCATCCGCAGGGATGGGAGCTGGTTCTGCTCAGCCCTGTTTCCAGCACCTGGACCATACTAGGTGCATAAATATTTGTTGAATGAATAAATGAATGAGTATACATTTGAAAGACCCTTGTAACAATTGTAGTGGTGGCATTTCAGAGTTTCCCCTTCACTGAATATTCTCAGGGGTTTTGCATTGGTGTCCTGTTGCTGCAATAATGTATTATCACAAACTTAGTGACTTAAGACACAATTTATCATGTTACCATTCTGGAGGTCTGAAGTCCCAGATGGGTCTCCCTGGGCTAAAATCAAGGAAGTATTGGCAGGGCTGTGTTCCTTGCTGGAGGCTGTAGGAGAGGAATTGTCCACCTGCCTTTTCCAGCTTCTAGAAGCTGCCCTTATTCCTTGGCTCCTGGTCCCTTCCTCCATCTTCAAAGCCAGCATGTTGGGCTGAGTGCTTCTTGTGCTGCCATCTCCCTGCCTCCCTCTTCCATTTTTAAGGACCCTTGTCATTACATTGCACCCACATGGGTAATCTAGGGTATTCTTCCCATCTCAAGATCGACTGATTAGCAACTTAAATTGCTCTTCTAGTTTTAACTCCCTTTTGCCTTGTGACTTAACATATTTACATGTTCAGGTTTTAGTGTGTGGGCCTCTTTGAGGGACCATCGTACCACTTCCCATTGGTAATTAGCCTGCAATTTTAAGCAACTGCCACCAGGGGGCAAAAGTGAATTCATTTTAGCTTTGCTATCCAAATAGTCAAGCTCCCTACAGGCAGGGTGAACAGAAAAAACTTAGCCCGACATTTCCACTCGGTTATGCTTTTATTTTCCCCAGTAAAAAAGTAGAACTTTATTTTTGGACATAGAGTCTCACTCTGTTGCCCAGGCTGGGTGCAATGGCGCGATTTCTGCTCACGGCAACCTCTGCCGCCTCCCGAGTCAAGCAATTCTCAAGCCTCGGCCTCCCGAGTAGCTGGGATTACAGGCACACACCACCACACCCAGCCAATTTTTTGTATTTTTAGTAGAGAAGGGGTTTTGCCATGTTGCCCAGACAGGTCTCAAACTCCTGAGCTCAGGCAATCCACCCGCTTCTGCCTCTCAAAGTACTAGGATTACAGGCATCAACCACCGGGCCCAACAAAAAGTAGAACTTTATTAAAGCAACAACACATGCAATGTTATTTTGTGTTATGCACAATGTCCACCAGTGAGAAGCTCAGCATTACAAAATGCATTCAGGTGCAACCTAAGAAGGTGAAAAGCCTGGGAAGCTTGGGGCAGGAAGGGATCTAGGAAACAAGGAAAAGCATGGTTGGGTTACTGGAGCTTCAGCTCTCGCCCCTGTCCAGCTTCTGAGACCCCAGCATGGCCCTTCCTGTCTTGATGCCTCAATTTCCCCATCTTAAGAAAGGAAAGTGGGTCACAATGGCTTCCTCTGGGGGAGGTTCTAGGGCCAAGCTGGAGACTAGCCCCATCCCCTGCCCCTCCACCCACCTGCTCTGTGAGGTCACAATGCCAACTGCTCCACTGATCCTGGCAGATTCCACTTGGCACTTTTCAGGGGACATTCAGAGGCATCAGCCCCTTCCTCCTCACCAGCTCCCAGAGTTCCCATCTCCATCCCCAATCCTAAAGAAGGAAATCGATGCCACGGTCCTCAAGGAGCCCTGGGGACCCAGGCGCCCTACTCGAAGATGTGGCCCACAATCCCAGACCCCGGAGGTGAGGATGGCAGCCCCTCCCTTTGCCCAGCCCTTTACAGTTTACAAAATGCTGCCCCTCCACCCTGTCCTTGGAGATGAGTGGCATTGTCAACTGTACTGTACAGAGACAGCCACCAAGACCAGAGAGGTTTGGCAGTGGTATTCCCAAAGTCTCCCAGCCAGGAAGTGGTGAAGCAGCCATCCTTCCAGCACGCATTTATTGAGCATCTACTGTGTGCCGGGAAATGCACAGAGGACGGGGAACACGGTGTGGCACCAGTCTGATGTGCTCCGTTCCCTCATGGAGCTCACGGTCTAGTGCAGGAGACTGGTATGAAAGAAGGAAACAAGTATTTCGCCATCTTTATCTGTCAGAAAGCCTCTGAATGCAGGTGACAGAAATTCCAACTTAAAATGATGCCTATCTCTGGGCACCCAAATCTGGGTGTATATCCCAAGAGAGTATACCAAACAATCCCCAAGGGTGAGAAAAGAAATAACCAGGCTAGAATGTATGTCTTTCATCCTCTTTTAATTTATATTATTCAGGAATGTTACCATAAATCTGTACATTTGGGAAGGGTAAACAATGTATTAGTACAATTGGGTGTATATATAATTTATTAATAAACCAATATAAATACTCTGAGGTGGTATAAACAAAAATGTTTAAAGACCTTTGACTTAAGAAATAAGGGAAAATTTTAAATCTCACATATCAAGAGGTCCCAAGGTGCAGGGGGCTCCGGAGTGTGTTAATTCCTCAGTTCTGCCACCCAAGACCCAGGTTCCTGTCATCATTCTGCTCTTTTAGCCCCCTCTCATGGTCACAAGATGGCCACCACAGTTTCAGGTGTCACGCAGAAATGTGGCGTCTAGGGGAAGGAGAATAAGCATCGTTTTCTGTGGGTCTCATTTAGCTAATCCTAAACCTAACTTTTCCCCCAAGTCCCTTACCTCGTAACCACCCCCCTACCTCACCCTACCTCACCCCTGCAGACTTCCTCACCCTTGAACCAATCACAGCACAGGGAATGGGAGCACGACAGCAGGCTTCGACCAATCAAAATGGCCTAAAATCACATTGGGTAGGAGCAGACAAAGGAACAAAACCAAGCTTCTGCCAACCTCGGGGACATGGCGACAACCGCCTGTGACTGCCACAGCAACCTGGGTCTTTTCCTTGATGGATACCTGGATTTGGGGTCAGCCAGACCTGGGTCTGTCCCTGAATCACAGGCTGGTGGTGTTGGGAAACCTTCTCTGTACCTCAGTTTCCCAATCTGGAACGTGGTATGCACATTCCAAGGACACTATGTTCCTCATAATTGTAAAATGCGACTATGAATCTTATCATCCCCAGGATTGCCCAGCGAGGCCGGAACACCAGCAGGATGGCAGAGGACACCTCCCCAAACATGAGTGAGCAAGGACAGGTGCCCTGGTATTTTCATGGGCAGCTGAGGGGCTGAGGCTCAGGGATGTCAAACGGGCAACCTGGGGCTACCCAGCAAGGGGCAGGGGCAGGGATGTTCGCACCAAGCTCTGGGTGCTCCCTAGGTCTCTGCAAGCACCAAATCAAGAGGCTGGCAGTGACATGACAGTCCTGTGCTCTCTGCAGATGACAACATCCTGTTGCCTGTCCGCAACAATGACCAAGCCCTAGGCCTGACTCAGTGCATGCTGGGATGTGTGTGTACGTATATACTGAATAATCACCTTCGTCATCAATATGGGTCTGGGGAGAGGGTCCAGCCTCGGCCCAGGCTGACCTGGGGGTGGCAATGCCTGCCCTGGACTGCAGGGGTGGTGGGGAGCTGCAGGTTGAACTCTGGAGTTCTACCCATCGGAGGTATCATTCCTGCCAAAGTCTTTGGTGGCTGGAGAGGGGAACTGGGAGGGAGGCTTGCTGTCTGGAGGAGGAGTTAACTGCCAACCCTCCTCTACCACCAGTCTGGCTGCTGGTTTCACCCATCCATCCACCTGTTGAGTTCATCAGTTCTCCCAGACCTTATTTCATAGGTACATCCACCCAGTCATCCCTCTTTCTGTTCATCCACCCATCCTTTCAGTCTCCCATTCTCTCATCTATCTCCTGATTCATCCACCTCCAAGCCAGACAGCCATTCCCTTCTTCCTTCTTCCATCCACCCCTGTGTCCTCTCACCTTCCTGTCAATTCTGAGTCCCCTACTTTTTGCCTAGCTCCATAGTGGGCATTCTGGGATGAACCAGACAAGGCCCCAGCTCTTGCCAAGCTCCCAGTGTCTAGAAATGGGCATTGTTACATTCCAGGCCTTTTGTGCTCCTGAGTCACGATTAAGTGTTTATTGGCCAAGCGCAGTGGCTCATGCCTGTAATCCCAGCACTTTGGGAGGCCAAGGCGGGCAGATCACGAGGTCAGGAGTTTGAGACCAACCTGGCCAATACAGTGAAACCCCACAAAAATTAGCCGGGCGTGGTGGCACGCACTTGTAGTCCCAGCTACTCAGGAGGCTGAGGCAAGAGAATCGCTTGAACTTGGGAGGTGGAGGTTGCAGTGAGCCGAGGTCATGCCACTGCACTCCAGCCTGGGTGACAGAGTGAGACTCTGTCAAAAAGGAAAGAAGGAAGGAAGGGAGGGAGGGAGGGAGGGAGGGAGGAAAAGAAAGAAAGAAAAGAAAAAGAAAGAAAGAAAGGAGAGAAAGAAGAAAAAAGAAAGAAAGGAAGGAAGGAAGAAAAGAAAGAAAGAAAGAAAGAAAGAAAGAAAGAAAGAAAGAAAGAAGAAAGAAAGAAAATGTCTGTTAACTGCCAGTGGCAACCAGTGCCCACCTGTAGTGACCTGTACTCACTCCAGGCTAGTGCGTACCCATAAGCAGAGCCTGGTTCTGTCCCAGGCTCGGCCAACAAGTCGAGAGGGTCTCCCAGCTCCAGGGCCTCCCCCAGCCCCAGAAAGGTCAGCAGGTCCTTGTAGTGGGACAAAGATGAGGGCGTAGTGAGTCACTGCTTTTCTGTCTCCCGTGCAGCCTGGTTCACCTGTTTTGCCTGCTCCCTGAGAACTCAGGCCCAGCAGGTTCTGTTTAACACGTGCAGGTGAGCAGGGAAGGCAGGGGGAGGGTGGATGGGGAGTGGGAAATGGCAGCTGGGGACCATAACAGCCCCTCCATCAGTTTGGATCTCCCCTTGGTAGCCAGACCAGAAAAGCTATCCCAAACCTGGCTTTTATCAAACACTCCCACCCCAGAACCCACTGTGGCCCCCCATTGCTCCAGCCCCTCAGCCTGCAGTGTCCTGGAATCCTGTCCCACCCTTCCTTTCCAAGCTGCTCTCACTTGGCTTCCTGCCAGGGACCCATTGGGCCAGCAAGGCCAGGGTTCTCACTCCCTGGGCACACCATTCCTATTCCTATTCCCACCTCCACACATTTGCACGTGCTGTTAACTTTTTTTTTTTTTTTTTTTAGACAGGGTTTCACTCTACCGCCAGGGCTGGAGTGCGGTGGTGCCATCACGGCTCACTGCAGCCTCTACTTTTCGAATTCAAGCAATCGTCCCACCTCAGCCTCCCAAGTAGCTGGGACTACAGGCACACACCACCACGTCTGGCTAATTTTTGTATTTTTTGTAGAGACAGAGTTTCACCATGTTGCCCAGGCTGGTCTCAAACTCCAGTGATCCTCCCACCTCAGCCTTCCGAAGTGCTGGGATTACAGGCATGAGCCACCGCACCCAGCCCAGCACATGCTGTTCTTCCTGCCTGGAGGGCCTGCCCCATTCTTTCCTTCCCTTTTCCTTTGCTGTCCTTGGAAATTCTTCCAAACTCCAGCAGATATATCCACCTCATTCATTCATTCATTTGAAGTTTAAATTTTAAATGTTTTCTTAACATCTATTCTGAGCCTAGCTCAGCCCTGCCACTCATGAGCTCCCAGTCAGGTGGGAAAGGCAGGCACCAAAACATTGCCAAGTTCACAGGGTTGGGAGCATTGCCTGTGGAGGTCTTTGGAGGAGGGGACATTTGAGCTGAATCCTGAAGGACACGTTTACCAGGGAGAGAAGAAGGGATAGGGCAAACAGCATGCCTACGGAGAAAGAGAGTGACGAGGAGGAGGGTGAACACTTGGCAGGGCCTTGCCCACCTGATCTTGACCACCACTCCCTGCCTTCCAGATGCAAGCTGCTGTGCCAGAAGCTCATGGAGAAGACAGGCATTCTGCTCCTCTGTGCTTTCGGTGTGTCCCAGGGCCCTGCCCAGTCCCAGGTGGAGGTATCCCTGGGCCCTGGCACTGATTATAGGACACTGGGCAAGACACTGCACTGCCACGTGACTCAGTTTCCCCATCTGCCTGATGGGTGTTGCTGTGAGAATTATGAAATGAAATGATGACCATGAAAATATTGTAGAAGCCAAGAAATGCTTCAGAAGTTATAAAGCTCTCCCCAAACCGTGTTATGAACATTGTTACTTCCGCTTTCTGGGTTTCCATGGCTTCTTTCCAGCCACCACCCCCACCTCGCACAACACAGCTTAGCTTTCCCAAGCAAAGGAATCTCCTCCCTCCACTGACATATACTGGCTTTGGAGTGGAGGCTGGGGGTGGGGTAGGGAGGGAGAATCAGCTCCCCATGGGAAAATAGACAGTGAATCCTAGAGAACCGTCCCACTTTAAAATCCAACAACTAGGACTTCGATAAATAACACCTTTGTTGTTGTTGAGACAGAGTCTCACTCTGTTGCCAAGCTGGAGTGCAGTGGCGCAACCTCGGCTCACTGCAACCTCCGCCTCCCGGGTTCAAGCAATTCTCTGCCTCAGTCTCCCGAGTAGCTGGGACTACAGGCGCGCGCCACCACACCCTGCTAATTTTTGTATTTTTAGTAGGGATGGGGTTTCATCATCTTGGCCAGGCTGGTCTTGAACTCCTGACCTCATGATCCACCCACCTTGGCCTCCCAAAGTGCTGGGATTACAGACGTGAGCCATCGTGCCCAGCCTAAATAACACCTTTATTGTGACGCTATTAGAAATGGGTTTCTTAATTTTGTTTTCAGGTTATCTATTGCTAGTATATAGAAATACAGCTGACTTTTTGTACCTTGATCTTGTATCCTGCAACCTTGCTGAACCCGATTTTTAGTTATAACACAAGGCAAGACACCTAACCTTGGATCCCTTAGAATTCTAATGCAAGATCATGTCATTTGCAAATAGTGGTAGTTTAACTCTTTTCTGCATGATAATCTGGACGACCTTTACTTCTTTTTTGTTTTTTAAGACAGGGTCTGTCTCTGTCACTTAGGCTGGAGTGCAGTGGTGCAATCATAGCTCACTGCAGCCTCAAACTCCTGAGTTCAAGTGATCCTCCCACATCAGCCTCCTGAGTAGCTAGGACTATAAGCGTGCACCATCACCCCCAGCTAATTTTTTAATTTTTGTTTAAATTTTTTTTTTTTTGGAGAGATTGAGTCTTGTTGTGTTGCCCGGTTTGGTCTAGAACTCCCAGCCTCAAACCATCGTATCTCAGCCTCCCAAAGTGCTAGGATTACAGGTGTGAGACACCACGCCTGGCCTACTTCTTTTTCTTGACTAACTGGCCTGGCTAGAACCTCCAGTACCATGTTAAATAGAACTAGCAAGAGGAAGCATCCCTGTCTCATCCCTGATCTTAGGGGAAAAGCGCCCAGTCTTTCACCATTAAATAGGATGTGAGCTGTGAGCTCTTCATGGATGGTCTTTATCATGGTGAGGAGTTTCCCTTCTATTCCTAGTTCGTTGAGGGTTTTATCAAGAAGAATAAATAAATTTTAAAGGCTGTTTTTGTTTTTTGGTTTTTGGGGTTTTTTGAGACAGAGTCTCTGTCACCCAGGCTGGAATGCAGCAGCATGATCTCGGCTCACTGCAACCTCTGCCTCCCGGGTTCAAGCGATTCTGCTGCCTCAGTAAAAGCTGTTTGTTTTTTAGACAGGGTCTCAACTCTGTTGCCCAGGCTGGAGTGCAGTGGATCACAGCTCACTGCAGCCTCGACTTCCTGGCACAAGTGATCCTCCCACTTCGGCCTCCGGGTAGCTGGGACTATAGACGTGCACCACACCGGGCTAATTTTTGTATTTTTTTTTTTTTTTTTTTTTTTTGTAGAGATGGGGTTTCACCACATTGGCCAGACTGGTCTTGAACTCCTGGGCTTAAGTGATCTGCCTGCCTCAGCCTTCCAAAGTGCTGGGATTATGGGCGTGAGCCACCACACCTGGCCAAGACTTTTAAATAATGGCTTGAATGGTGGCTTTTCAGCCAGCATGGAGATCATAAAATGCAGAGCGCCTTCTTCTCTTTGCCAGTTATCCCCAGTAGAGTTGGAACAGGGAAGGGGGAGCCACAGATGACTTGGTTTATGTGCCATGTATTACACATTTGATATCATCTGATCATGAAGTGGATATTATTGTTATTCTTATTTTACAGAGGAGGGAACAGAGGCATAGAGCATTAAGTAATTCCCCCAGTGTTGCACAATGCTGGCAAGTGGCATAGCTGGGATTTGAACCCAGATGTCCTAACTCCAGCACCTAGGCTCTTCATCTTGCATGTTAAATGGCTCATTCTTATTCTCATGGCCTCACAGGATTCTGGATGTTTTCTATTCACTTACCATCGAAAATGAAAGTCTGGCAGGTGAGTGTGCACCCTCCTCAGGCCCCACAGCTGACAGGTCTCACCCTAACCAGTCAATATCACCTCCACAGCTCCATTCATTCTCACCAAATGGGGCCCCTCATCAGTTCCTGACTTGACCCAGATCCAAATCTCACCCTTCATCGTACCATCCACCTAGAACCCATCTCTCTGCCAGAGGTGACTTTCAAAGATTGGATGCAATAGTCCCTCCTCCAAGATGGCTCTCCTGTATTGACTCTCAGAGATGACCCATCTCTCCTTTCTCAAGGCCCCACTTAAAGTGGGGTGGTGATAACAGGGAACACATTTCTGTACTTAAGGCAGCTTGTCCTTCTGCTTAACAGCAATGATACTCATTTGCTTTCAGGTTTCTGAGGAGGAAGGAGGAGGAAATAAGTAGCGAAACTCCCTACATGAGGTCTGCAAAAAGTCTCAGAGGACCTCAGAAAGGGAATCTGAAAGGCCTGTCCCTCCCTCTCCTCTTTTCCTCCTTATGAACCCCTTCATATCCATCAAGGTCCATCAAGGTCCGGCTAAAATATCACCTCCTCTAGAAACACCCAGGCAGAAGTTGTCACATTCCTCTTTCCTCCGATAATTTTCTGTGGTCATGACTGTCTCTCCAACTGTACTGGCAGCTTCTTGAAGGAAGGAGCCAGGTCCTATTCACCCCAGCAATGTTTAGTTTGGTGCCAGCAACAGGGTTGCCACTATCCATGTTGGATGACTGGATGGCCAGATGGGAGTGTGCATGGAGAGAGAATGGATGGGAGGATGGACAGATGGAAGGTTGGATTTGATGGATGTAGGACTAGGGGAAAGAGATAGGAGGCTAGGTGAATACATGAATAGGTGAATGGGTGGATGAAATGATGGGTGGATGCAAGAGCAGATGGGATAGATGAGTGGGTGGGTGGGTTGGTGGATAGATGGATGAATGAAAGAGTGGGTAGATGGGTTAGGGTATATGGATTGGAGTGTAAATAGATGGGGGAAGTTGGGGAGTTGGAAGAACAGATGGATAAGGGAGGGTGGGTGGGTATAAGGGTGGATGGATGAAGGTGTGGATGGATGGATAAAAGTCTGGAAGGATGAATAAAAAGGGCAGTAAATTAGAGTTTGGAGAAATGATAGGTGGGTAGACGGGTGGAAGAGTCAACAGGAAAGTGGATGAATGTATGGGTTTATAATTGTGGGAGAATAGATGGATGAAGTTCTCCTGGGGCCAGATTAAGCCATCTGAAGGAGACCCCTTACTTTCTCAATACTCCACCAGGATGACAGCATAAATGGTCCACTGCAGAGCTTGAGGTAAGAGGAATCTTCTGGGTAACCATATTATTACCTAAAAAGCAGAGCTATAGCCAGAATCTGGGGTGTATTGGCTACAAATATAGGCTCTGCAGTCAGATCAACCTGGGTTTAAATCCTAACTCCCATGCCTTCTACATGGCTGACCTTAGGCAAGTCACCTATTCTCTCTGGGCCTTTGACTCCTCATTTATGAGATGAAGCATAACACCCATCTTGCTCTTGGCAATTATGGGTGCTAAAGAAGATGCAAAGTGTCTTGAATAGCTCCTGACCCATAGTCAGTGCTCAGCAAATGGTAGCTGAGAAGAAATTTTAACCAAGACACCACCTGATGGCAGCATCCTTAATTGCAGACAAAATACTCAGGAATATTTGGAAGGAATGAGCTGGGTATAAAGATATTCCAAGCAGAAAGAAGAGAATGAGTAATGTTTTAGAGATAATAACCTGATGAATGGGTCCAGGGATGGGCCCAAGAGATTAGGAAAATCTGAAACTCATTCTTTGAGAGCCAACTAGCAAAGGGAAAATCTGAGGGTAACAACAACGCATCACAAATCAACCTGTTCTTGTTATCACTCCTTCCTGATAAGGTTGTACCAGGAGAAGGTGCGACATCACAGTGGGGAAATCCAGGACCTCCGAGGTAGCATGAACCAGCTCATTGCCAAGCTCCAGGAGATGGAAGCCATGTCCGATGAGGTGAGACGCTGGCCATTCTGCCCCAAACATCTAATTTCTCTTTGTTTGATGTCCTGTTTCCTATACCTCAAGTGTTCTTTCTTGGTTTTATCTCTCATTTTGAGGGAGCACATCCCCCAGTGACTTTCAGGAATACAGTGAAAGAAGTATATTTTTAGTGCTTGTATGTTTAAAAGCATCTTTTTCTATCCTTGTACTTGGTTGATAGTTTGGCTGGGTACAGAATTCTAAATATGAAATAGTTTCTCCTGAGAATGTTGAAGGAAGCCCACCACTCTATTATAGTTTATACTGTTGCTAATGAGAAGTCTAATGGCACTCTTATTATTGATCCTTTGAGTATGATCTATTTTTTATCCCTGGGAGCTTGTAGAAAAATCTTTTTGTCTCTAATGTTCCTCATATAACCTGGTTTGTGGTTTGCCGAGCTTATTAAATCTGTGGGTTGATATTTTTCAATAGTTTTGGGAAACTTTTACCTTTTATCTCTTAAAATATTTCTTCTTTCCATTATCTGTCTCCTTTCCTTGGATTCTAATTACACCTATGCTAGGCCTATGCTTTGAAAGCCTTTAGAGTGCTTTATGTGATTCCTACGCTATTACCTGGTTTGTTTTTTCATTCTTTTTCTGTTATGTGCTTATGTTTTGATATTTTCCTATTAACCTTTCTTCAGGTTTACTAATAATCTTGCATCATTCTGTCTCTCCAATTTATTATTAAATCCATGCATTTAGTTCTTTTTGTTTTTTTAATGGAGTCTCCCTCTGTCGCCCAGGCAGCTCACTGCAACCTCTGCCTCCTGGGTTCAAGTGCATCCTACACCTGAGTAGCTGGGATTGCAGGTGCACATTACCACGCTCAGCTAATTTTTATATTTTTAGTGGAGACAGGGTTTCACCATGTCGACTTGGCTGGTCTTGAACTCCTGACCTCAAGTGATCCACCTGCCTCAGCCTCCTAAAGTGCTAAGATTACAGACGTGAGCCACTGCATCCAGCCTTAGTTCTTAATTTCAGATACTGCATTGTTTAGTTCTAGGATATACATTTGATTTTTTTCACAGACTTTAATTCTGTGGTGAAATTCCCCAACATTTCACCTATGTTGTCCATCTTTTCCTTTATTTTAATTAACACATTAGCAACAGTTATTTTAAAAATCCTTGTCTGCTAACTCCAATGTCTGGATCATCTGTGGCCTCCCTCTGTTTTCTGCTTTTTATCTTGGGTATCAATGATATGGTCTTGCCTCTTCAAGTCTAGTAACTTTTAGTGGTTTCTCAACATTGTATACAAAAGAACTGTAGCTGTTCCAAATAATTATAATTCCACTAGAGAAAGTTCCCCTTTTCTTTATAAGGAGGATGAAATAGACTGGTCACTTCTATCTAGACATGCACTAAGCTAGTTCAGACAGACCTGGATCACAATTTTAAAAAAATTTATCCAGAGGTTTTAAGCTTAACTCTTTAGACTCCTTCCCATGCAGCTTCAAAAATTTGACAACTGTCTTAGTGGCAGACTTACTGTATGTTTGAGGCCTCACAAGTCTCCAAATGTGTCTCTCACCCCTGCATGAACGCAAAAATCTCTGGGCCTGGTGGCAGCCTTCTCCGCCAGGAGCAAACTTGGATTCCTGGGTTCTAATTGTGCCCAGGATTGATTTAGTGCCCCCAGGTGAAGTGCAGCTGAAGCACAGTATTGACTCATCACCACCCCTTCTAGGGTAATGGATCTCAAAGTACGGCCCACGGCCCACGTGCCTGCATCATCAGTATCACCTGGGAAAATGTTAACAATTCGAATTAATAGGCCTCACTCAGACCTTCTGAATCAGAGGCTCTGAAGATGCAAACCAATCATCTGTGTTCCAGCAAGCCTTCCAGGTGGTTCTGACATATACCAGAGAGAATCACTGTTCTAAGGCCTTGATCTCTTGCTTGTTGTGTTTTGCGGTGCCCTCCCTCAAAGGGACTTCGTTTCCTAAGCACTGTGAAGATATGAAGTTTTATTCTGCTTTTCAGAAATGTTTGAAGTGGCCTATAGCCTCCTATAGTCTTGAAATTCAGTTAATACCTTGTGAAGAAAAGTGGCCATATTTGAGGCTCCTCAAGTCCCCAGTTTTGTTACTTTAGCTCTTTGTCACCATTAAGAACTTTGCTTCCTTCTCTTTCACCAGTAGCAGCAGCCCATTGTCTGGCCTAAGCCCAGATCCTTAGCCTATGCCTAGAATCGTCAAATACCCCCAGAGATTTAAAACAAACGGACAAAAAATGCCAGCACATCTCAGAATGGTTTTCTGCTCTGCAGAATTTTAGTTCATCTGGTCCTTGTTGCTTCCACAGATGTGCCTATGGGCTGGCCACCCTTTGGAATCCGTCAATCTGGAAACTCCTGGCCTTTGGGCCTAAGAAATGTTATTTATTCATGTGACTAAATTGGTGATTTCCCACAGCAGCATTTGCTCTATTCTTATTTTTGAAGCTCCTGTTGTTTGAATGTCTGCTCCTGAACAATTATAATTTTTTTCATATCATTGGGTGAACATATATACTTATTGATCTTGGCGGTAGATAT
Source organism: Homo sapiens (assembly GCF_000001405.40). Taxonomy (NCBI): domain Eukaryota; kingdom Metazoa; phylum Chordata; class Mammalia; order Primates; family Hominidae; genus Homo; species Homo sapiens. The sequence continues at coordinate 32,993,039 of NC_000020.11, read as the reverse complement.
AACTAGGAGTGGAATTGCTGGATCATGAGGTATGAGTGTGTTCATGTTATTAGATGCTGCCAAATAGTTTTTCAATTTACGCTCCCATGAAAAATATATGCAAATTCCAGTTGTCCCACATTCTCACCAGCAATTGGTGTCATATGTCTTTTTTACTTTATTCTGCAGGGTGAGAAGTGGTATCTCACTATGGCTTTAATTTGCATTTCTGGTTGTTAATAATGTGGAGTGTCTTTTCTTGTATCCAGCGGCCATTTGGATTTTGTCTGTTGCCTTTTGGGGGAGAGTGCCATTTCTTATTGATATGTCGGAGTTCTTCTGTGTTCTGGGTAAACATATTTTATTGGATGTACATATTGCAAATATCTCCTCCCAGGCTATAGCGTGGCTTTTCACTCTCAATGGTGATGAACAAAAATGTCTAATTTTAATTAAGTCCAGTGTATCTATGTTTTTTTGTGCAGTGCTTTGGGTATCCTATTTAAGAAACCTTCACCTGTCCCAACAGAGCCCTTCTGTTTTACCCTCTCCAGAGAATAACTTCTAGTCTTCTACTGGGGAACAGAGAAGTCCACTCAGCTTCTCAGAGTGAGAGGGAGTCCCCAGGGAATATGCAGATTCCTCTTAACTGTCTTAACACCCAATTCTCTACCCCAATTTCAGGGGCACCTAAGGCCACCAATCCTGAGCTTTTTGAGGATGGCCAGTTTCGGATTCAGATTTCTCATTTCTGCTAAATCAGTGGTTCTCAATTGGGGATTATTTTGCCCCCTGGGGAACATCCAGCAATGTCTGGAGATATATTTGGTTGTTACAATGTGAGGAGGAGACGCTACTGGCATCTAGTGGGTAGCCAAGGATGCTGCTAAACATCCTACAAGGTGTAGGACAACTTCCAGAATATTGCTGCTGTCTCCAGGGCCACTGCTGGGACACATTGTGCCTTTTTGCAGACTGGAAAAAACTATCTGTGCTGGGCAGATGAATTCGCAAAATGCACCTTCCTCCAAATCAAAGAACAGGGGAAGAGCTGGGTTTCAGCACCCACACAGGGCCCCTCAACTGGGAACCTTTCTGCTGTGCGCAACGTGCACAACCATACGCAGCAGCCTGGTTTTCTCCTCTCCTGTGCTTCCTGTTCATATGGGTTTGGGTCTTTTCAAATCCCTTTACTGAAGCTGTAATGGAGTGTTGGGAGAAACTAAAATTACGTGATGTCTTCGATCCATCAACTTTACCTAGAAGTTGAATTTTTAAAAGAGTTCACAAAGATAAATTCCATTGTGCAAGATTCAGCAAAATTTGCTAAAACTCATCTTTATCTTTTATTGTCCCAAAGTCCTAGGTCTCCAGTGCCCCTGAATCTCCCCTCTAAGCTCTGTTCAGACAGACCCAGGAGGAGAGACCGTGTCAGTCACTCACTGTCAAGTGAGGCTCTTGGCAGGTGTTTCCTCTGCAGTGGGGAGGGAAGCCCCGCTATGACTTACAAAGGCAGTAAGGTATAGTGATTATAAGGACTGGCTCTAGAGTCAGGCTGCTAGGCTTTGAATTTCATCCCCACCACCTATAAGCTGTGTGACTCTGGTCAATTTACTTACCGTCTTTGTGCCTCAGTTTCTTCATCTAGAAGATGAGTTGTAAGGATTAAACATGGTAATTCATGTAAACTTAGACTAATGTCTGTCCTATGGTGAGTGCTCCCTAAATGTGTGTTGCATTTAAACAAAGGCAGAATCCAAAGGCATGCACTCATCAATGTGCAATCATTAAGTGCCTACTGCGTGCTGGGGATCCAGGATCGGGGATCAACTAGAGCTCGTCCTTGCCCTCAAGCCAGTCCCAGCACCTGTGGATCCCAGAGAAGAAGACTGCACTCAGCCTTGGGGCAGAGAAAGGGTGGGGGCCATCAGGGAAATTCCTTAGGGTTGGCGACCCAGTTTTGAAAAGTAATAGGTGAGATTATTGTCCCCAGTAAACGAGGGGAGGAGTTGGGGATTTTTTTGCCTTTTGGAGCTGTGTAACCTCAGGCAGGTCATCAACCTCTCTGAGCCTCCAGTTTGCACATCAACAAGACAGAATCATAATCACTGCCTTGTAACACCCTGGCTATTGTTCTAGTTACCATTGCCACATAGCAAACCATCCCAAAACTTAGGGGTGTGAAACAACCACTTGTGCTCAGAGATTCTGTGGGTTAGGAATTCAGACAGGACACAGTGGAGATGGCTTGTCTGTGTTCCATGGTATCTGGGGCCTCAGCTGGGAAGACTTGAAGGCTGGAGGTGACTCTACATCTGGGGCTGGAATCATCTGGATTCACTCACGTGACTGGAGATTGATGCTGGCTATCAACTGGGACTCAGTTACGGCTGTTGATCAAAGCACCCATCTGTGGCCTCTCCGTGTGGCCTGGGCTTCCTCTCAACATGGCAGCTGGCCTCCAGGAGTGGCTGTCCCCAGAGAACCAGGCAGTGCTGTATCATTTTTTAGGACTTAGCCCTAGATGTCACACAGCATCACTTCTGCCAAGTCATTAGCCCAGACTGGTGGGAAGGGAGCTTAGACCCCAACTCTCAGTGGGAGGTCACACTGAAAGAAGAGCCTGGAATGGGAGACCTTGTTGCAGCCATTTTTGGAAAACAGAATCTTCCACCACTGTGAAGAGTCTAATAAAAAGAACAGCTGGTATTTATTGTGCACCTACTGTGCTAAGTGCTTTGCCATCCGCATCTGGCAGCAGAGTGGAGCGGTTAAGGGCCTGAACTCTGGAACCACAGTGATCGCTCTGCCTCATACCAGCTGGGTGATCTTGAACAAGCTACACCTTTGTGCCTCAGTATTCTCATCTTTAATACAAGGATGATAATAGTGCATACTTCTTAGGGGTGCTGGGAGGGGATAGGGTGAGCATATGTGAAGCCGAGGATAGCCCTGGCACATAGTAGGGGCTTTACAGATCCACAGTGGGAGGTAGACACGATTATTGTCCCCGTCTTACAGGTGAGAATATCGAGACTCAGAGGGGCAGTAAGTTGCCCAAGGCCCCACAACAGTAAAAGTTGGCCTGACGTCAGAGCCCCTGCCTGAACCTCACTGAGACTCCGGGACCTCCATATGACATCTGGTCACAGTGGACTTGAAAGCACCCAGTGAACCCAGGGTGGGGTCAGGATGGCTTTGTGTCACCTGGGCTTTCACAGAGCCACAGGCTTCCACAGGCAGGGGTGGGCTGTTAGGGAGAGGACAGCGTCCTGCAGCCCCCTGTTACCTCCCGTGGACACGTGGGGATCACAGTCCGTGACAACACACCAGGGCACAACTTGTGTTTTCTGCCTTTTCAGCAAAAAATGGCCCAGAAAATAATGAAGATGATACACGGAGATTACATCGAAAAGCCAGACTTTGCCCTGAAGTCTATAGGTAGGTGACCCCCTTCCCCACCATCTGACTGCCTCAAGTGTCCTGGGAAGCTGTACACAGGGTGGGTTTCAGTTCTGGTGTGGTACTCCCTCTGCCGCTGGGAAGTTCATCCTCTGTTCCAAGCTGGTTTTCTTGCTACAATTTTGTTTTCTCTCAAGGGGTTCTGGGACGGGGTGGGGTATGGGGGTAGGGGTGGGGTGGGGTGGGAGGGAACACGGGAATCCACAGGCCCTCAACATTATAGAAGATCTATAAAGACCCTACTATGTGCTTAGGCTGTTCTTGGCTTTACCTCTCCACCACCCCCACCCACCACTCTTCTCCAAACCCGATGCTGGGCACACAGGTCAGCAAGACAGAGCCATCTCCAACCCGCAGTCAAGAATCAGTGCTTCGGCCAGGTGTGGTGGCTCACGCCTGTAATCCCAGCACTTTGGGAGGCCAAGGCGGGCAGATCACGAGGTCAGGAGATCGAGACCATCCTGGCTAACACGGTGAAACCCCGTCTCTACTAAAAATACAAAAAATTAGCTGAGCGTGGTGGTGGGCGCCTGTAGTCCCAGCTACTCGGGAGGCTGAGGTAGGAGAATGGGGTAAACCCGGGAGGCAGAGCTTGCAGTGAGCCTAGATCGCGCCACAGCACTCCAGCCTGGGCGACAGAGAGAGACTGCTTCTCACAAAAAATAAAAAAAGTAAAATAATAATAATAAAAAAAAGAATCAGTGCTTCAGGGCTGGGCTTGGTGGCTCACACCTATAATCCCAGCACTTTGGGAGGCCGAGGAAGGCGGATCACCTGAGGTCAGAAGTTCAAAACCAGCCTGGCCAACATGGTAAAACCCCATCTCTACTAAAAATACAAAAGTTAGCTGGGCGTGGTTGTGGGCACCTATAATCCCAGCTACTCGGGAGGCTGAGGCAGGAGAATCGTTTGAACCTGGGGGACGGAGGTTGCGGTGAGCCAGGATCGCGCCACTGCACTCCAGCCTGGGCAACAGAGCCAGACTCTGTCTCAATAAATAAATAAATAAATAAATAAATAAAATAATAATCAGTGCTTCCGGAAGAATAAGGCAGGTGGCGAGGAGGGAGGGGACCTGGGCAGAGAGGCCTCCCTCTCAGGAGAACGTTTGGGCTGAGACTTGGTGAGGAGAGAAAGTACTCCAGACAAAGGGAGGCTGTGAGGAGGCCGGTGAGAGCCATTCAGGGACAGCTGGGAGGAGGCAAAGTATGGGCCGCAGGCTGCCCCCAACGCAAACCCCTACCAGGCAGCACCTCCAACTCGGGCACCCCCAGGATCAGTGAGACGCGGGGTCAGATAGTGTCAGCCCAGCCCCTGAGTGACACTGGGCCTCACTTAGCCTCTCAGAGCTGGAATTTCCTCCTCTGCACAATGGGTGTCGGTCGTCATCACAAGACTGTTACGTGGGGAGCGCTTACCCTGTGCCAGGCACTTTGGGAAACGTGCTCTGATGATTCATCTCAGCGCCACAGCAGCCCTATGACGTGGGGGCCGTTGCCACCACCATGGCTCTGCTAATAATAGCCACCATGAGAATTGCTTTAACCTGGGAGGCAGAGGTTGCCGTGAGCCAAGATCGCGCCACTGCAATCCAGCCTGGGGACTGAGCAAGACTCCATCTCAAAAAATATAAGATAAAATAAAAAATAATAGCCACCATGATTACCATTATTAACATGGCTGTAATCACATTTCCTAGAGGAGAACAGGGCCAGTGACTCATCCAAAATGCTCGCCCGGCACATAGTCAGGGCCCATCAGTGGCGTCCCCTCCACCAGGCAGAAGCCCGGCTGCTTGGCTGAGACCCCCTTCTCCTATACAGGGGCCAGCATTGACTTTGAGCACACGTCAGTCACCTATAACCATGAGAAGGCCCACTCCTACTGGAACTGGATCCAGCTGTGGAACTACGCACAGCCCCCAGACGTGATCCTTGAGGCAGGGGGGATGGCGGGAGATGGGACAGCGGCAGGGGAGTGGTCCGGGCAGGGTTTGGGGACAGGAGCTGGCAGAAGAGGTAGGGGGTGGGAGCAAAGGGAGTGGGGGCAGGGGCGGGGTTAGAGGTAGGAGCAGGAGACAGATGCAGGGGCAAAGGCAGGGAGCAGAAGGAGGGGGCTACTGACAAGGCGGGGGCTGGGGAGAAGGCGGGGGCAGGAGGTGAGAACAGACAGCAGGGGCTGCTGGGGCTAGGGTAGGAGCGAAACAGAGGGACAGCTTGCTTTGGCATTGGGAGGGACCCCACCACTCAGCCCTTAAGATTTGAGGGTCAGAGAAACCTCAGGACTACACTGGGCATGGGCCCATCATAGACCCATTTTGCAGAAAAGGAAACTGAGGCTCAAAGAGCCAGGTCACTTGACTGTGGCCACAGAGCTGGTCACTAGTATGTAGCAGAGCCAGAGTTCAAACCTGAGCTCTTCAGCCCTCCAGGATCCTGCCTCACAGATGAGGAAAATGAGGCCCAGAGAAGGAAAGGGCTTGTCCTGGTCACAAAGCAGGTGCCTTCATTCAGTGAACACTGGCTGAGAGTGTCATCCCAGTGGCACACCCTGGGTGATGCCAAAAGGTCACAGGCCACTCATCCGTGGGTTCTACCTTAAGGAGCTCCAAGATCTTGGCACTCGAGGTCAAGCTGGGGCATTGGCCTTGCTCAGCTTGGACGGGGCAAGGGGCTTCCTGGTGGCCGCAGCCGAGGACTAGCAGATCCGCAGGCAGATAGAACGCAGGGGCACAGGCCAAGCACAGGGCCCGGGAGTGGGGGGTGGTGCACACATCCAGGCTGGGGCGGGGGACGCGGCGGGCAGTGGCTGGGTTGCAAAGCGCTGGCTGCAGTCAGGTTTGGAGCAGTAGTGAAAAGCAGCCCAGCCAAGACTCTGCCCCTCCTGGGCCCTCTCCCAGCTCCAGCCTGACTGAGCTCTCCAGGTCCTCACATCATCAAGCCTGGCTCGCCCCTGGTCCTTTCCCGTGCTGTTCCCTTAGCTCCCTTTCCCAGCTGGCTCCTCATCTCCCCTGGCCCCAGCTCCTCAGGAGGCCTTCCCTGACACCCACAGCCCCCTGCACCCCTGGGCTAGCATCCACTGTTCAAATAAGGACTGTCCATGCCATGGCTCCAGAAGCTCAGAACCGACCGAGTAATCGCCTTTCCTGGGTGATTTCCATCAAACCTCTTTCTCTCCCTGGGCCTGTTTCCCCGTCTGTGGGGCAGGAGATCGTGGTGCTTAATGGCAAGTTCCAAGGTCAGATTCCCTGGGCTGCACTTCCAGCTCTGCATGGCCCTGGACCAGTCATTGTCCTGCTCCCCCAACTCAGTTTCCTCACCTTCAAAACGGGGATAGTGATGATGCCTAAGTCATGGGGTGATTGTAAGACCATGTAAAGAATAATGGGAGGGATGAATGAGTGAATGAATGAATGAGTGAGTGAGTAAATGAATGAATGAATGGGTGCCAGTGGGGAGCGGGTGGAGGCTGGGAGGTCCCAAGCAGGCCCCTCCCTTACTGCATTGAACTGAAGTAAGGCTTACCCCCTGCATGGGTAGTCAGGAGAGCTTCCTGGAGGGGGTGGCACTTGAGCCAAGCTTTGGAGACAAGAAAGGACTGGCTCACCCAGGAGGTCCCAGGAAGTACAGGGGATCAAAGGTGGGATGATCCCCCTACCCACCCAGCATATCCCTTATTGTACTTGCCTCTTCTAGCCCAACGTGACACCTGGCAATTGCTGGGCCTTTGAGGGTGACCGCGGCCAGGTGACCATCCAATTGGCTCAGAAGGTTTACCTGTCCAACCTCACGCTGCAGCACATCCCCAAGACCATCTCATTGTCAGGCAGCCTGGACACCGCCCCCAAGGACTTCGTCATCTATGTGAGCACTCCCCTGCAGGGAGCTATGCTTAGCTAAAGGGACAACCTTCCAATGGTGATATTCCAGGCCTGGGGTAAACAGTGTCTGCACAACACTTGCAGGCTGGAGGGGCTGAATGCAGCTTGGTTAAGGCTGGAAGTGGCCAGCGCTGGGGTCCAATTTCAGCCTTCAAGGGTAGGGGATAAACAGCTACTCTATTTTAAACCAAGCTTTTCAGAGCCGAGATAATCTTCAGAGACCATGGAGCCCCCATTTTGCTAAGAAGGTCCGAAGCGTTATCTGAACTGTCTCGGTGAAATAAGGTCCAGAGAAGGATCAGGGAAACACCCTAATCCTACAAGTCAATGGCAGAGCTAGTCATAGACCCCCAGGCTCTGACTCCCAGGCCAGTGCTCTTTCCTATTCATTACACTGTGCCACAGTGAAACGGTGCCCAAAGAGGTAGTGAGCTCCCATCCTGGGGAGTGTGCAAGTCTCCACTGGAGAGGGGAGACACCCTCTGAGGGCCCTGCTTGTATCTGACGCCTTCACCTTGGTTCTGGTTCCACAGGGCATGGAGGGCTCCCCCAAGGAGGAGGTGTTCCTGGGGGCATTTCAGTTTCAGCCAGAAAACATCATCCAGATGTTCCCACTCCAGGTACCTGCGAAGAGCTGCCTGTGCTGAGCACCTGCTGAATGCACAGTGTGCAGTCTGTACCCAGGGACCCCCTCTTCATCCCCCAGTATCCCCAGGAGGTGCCCAGTCATGACTAACCTGTTTGACAGGCAAGGAAACTGAGGCTCAGAGAGTAGGAGCCGCTACCCAGGGCCAAATGGGACTCCAGGGAGATCCCACCGCCTGTGGCCATGTCCCCTTTTTCCTGATGAGCCCAGGAGCCCTCTTGCTGTGTTTCTTCCCGGGGACAGCAGACGCTGAGCAAGAGGTTCCCATTGGGCAGGGGCTGCTGGCTCCAAAGGTAGAGTCTCCGTAGTGGGTGGCCCCATAATTATCACTGGATCCAACCACAGGTGGGGAAACTGAGGCCTGAAGGAGAGGGGTTTGGAGACAGAAGCAGGTCCGGAGGAGTGACCACTGGAATGGCCCTGGGGCTTGACAGGGTGAAGGTTCAGGCTTGGGAATCAAACCCATACTGGCCCGAATTTCTGCCCAACCACAAATTATGTGTGAGCTTGGGCCAAGCCCTGCTTCTCTGGAGCCTCAGTTTTCCCCTTCTGTCATTCCCTGGGAGGTTGAAAACATTCAGTGAAGGCCAAGCCCGCCCCACTTTTTACACTAGATAGGGAGAGTAATAAACACAGGCTCCACCCCCTCTTGCTTGGCAAAAACGGGGAGGGGCCTCACTTACAGAGAACTTACTATGTGCCGGGAGTCTGTGGATGAGCTGCCTCTGTGAATGATTCTCTTCTAGAGGCCGCCTGTTCCCAAAATCTCATTTCATGCCCACCGCAATCCTGGGAAGCAGATATTACCATTCCCATCTTACGGGCGGGGCAGGGCAGGAGTGGGAGACTGAGGCCCAGAAAGGGTGGAGGTTTGCCCAAGATCCCACAGCATTAAGGCCAGGACATTTCCTTACCCACAGCATGTCTGTCCTTCTGGCCTCAGCATCTTCAGTAAGAGCTCCTGAATATCGACTTGCTGTGAGGCCTTGGGACAGTCCATCCTCCTGTCTGGGCCTTAGTTTTCCCACCTATGAAATGGGAAACTTCCCTTCCACTCCCCACCTTTGGAAAGGCAGGGTGGGAGTCTATGGGTGAGCTGCCTCTGTGACTGATTCTCTTCCAGAACCAGCCGGCCCGGGCTTTCAGTGCGGTCAAGGTGAAGATCTCAAGCAACTGGGGGAACCCAGGCTTCACTTGCCTGTACCGCGTGCGAGTGCATGGCTCTGTGGCCCCGCCCAGAGAGCAGCCTCACCAGAACCCCTACCCTAAGAGAGATTAAAATTTATTCTTTACCCCCAGACCAAGTCTGAGTGTCTTTTGGCCCCAAAGAGAGGGAGTAGGCTAGCCTTTCACATCTGAGCATTTGATGGTTAGCAATGGTTGATCCCATTCCGGGTGCCCAGGCACCTTCTCAGCAGCCCCAGGAGACCCCATTCACGGATGGGGACAGTGAAGGCTCCAAGCAGCAAACTGACTTGCTGCAGATGACAGACAACAAATGGCAGCTCCAGGATTCAAACCCAAGCAGTCTGACTGTTGCACATGAGAAGCCTTTCTTGCTTCAAGTTAAGCTCTGTCCCCAAACTACGTGTGACATCGGTCAAGACCCTACCCTCTAGGAGCCTTGGTCTTCCCAGCCATAAAATAGGGACAGGATTATGACTATTGTGTCAGACAAGGTGATAGATGAGAGGTCCCAACCCTACCCACTATGGAGTGTTTCAACGTCATACTGACAATTTACTGTGTGACATTGGGCATGTCAGACACCCTCTCTGGACTTCAGTTTTTCCAGGTATGTAAGTATTGTTTCCCAAACTTCAGTCACTCATATTTTGTCTGTGTAATCTTTGCCATAGCTGAGGTCCATCCTGCTCTAGCATTGTCTTGAGAGCTTATAGAGGTGCTAAAAACAGTGCCTATTCCTGGAACCTACAGGAGCTGTGTGCACAAAGCTCTCAGCACAGAGCATGACACATGATAGGTGCTGGGTAAATGACCCTCAAGGTTATTGTCAACCTCTGGCCCCAGGCAAGTGATAGGAGGCCTAGTCCTCTGGGAGGGGCTGAGCTCCAGAATAGGGCAGGCTGGCCCAGCTGGAATGGCAGCAGGAACTGGAGCCTTCGAGGGAGGGAATTCCTAGCAGGCAAGGGCAGGGAAGTGAAGACTCTGGCACAGGGCCAGCTGGGCATTAGAAGGGTGGACAGATCGGAAATATGCTTGTCTCCAGGGAGGGCACCCTGTACCAGCCCGTCCTGCTGCAGAATCCGCCATTCTGGCCATCTGCCAGGCCTCCACGCCAGCACCCGGGGTTCCTCCAGCACCTGGCCCAGGCCCATCTCTGATGGGCCTCACAGTGGAATGGGCTTCAAGGGGTCGCCTCATATCCCTGCTGCAGAATCCGCCATTCTGGCCATTTGCCAGGCCTCCACGCCAGCACCCAGGGTTCCTCCAGCACCTGACCCAGGCCCATCTCTGATGGGCCTCACAGTGGAATGGGCTTCAAGGGGTCGCCTCACATCCCTGCTGCTCCCTGCTCCTCCAAGCAATCAGGGCACCTGGAAGCCATACACGTCCAGCCTGGCATCATTAGGGTAGTTTTTCTGTAAACCATTCTTGTTATTAAAAAGCCAAATCAAACTGAGGTTTGCTAAAAAGCGAATCCATTGAAAAACCCCACTTCCCCCACCCCCACATGCCCCTCCCAGGCTCACTCCTCCAGCTGTTCTGTGTTTTTTCCCAATCATTTGTCTTTAAGTGTCTTTTGTTCAACAGATTTTCTTGAAAATATTATCACCTCAATGTTTTTCTTTATGGCATCTAAGTTGTGTGCATTGTTGGGAAGGACATCCCCAGTTCCAAGTTTATAGACATATACTCCTGTACTTTCTCCTGCTAATCTTTTTTTTTTTTTTGGAAACAGTGTCTCACTCTGTCGTCCAGGCTGGAGTGCAGTGGTGTGATCTCGGCTCACTGCAACCTCCACCTCCCAGGTTCAAGCAATTCTCCTGCCTCAGCCTCCTGAGTAGCAGAGACTACAGGCGCCCACCACCACACTCAGCTAATTTTTGTACTTTTTGGTAGAGACGGGGTTTCACAATGTTGGCCAGGCTGGTCCTCTGTTAATTTTATTATACACACATTTTATACATACATATATATGAATATATATACACTTGTTGGTGCATAAACCCACACAATATATAAATGTATAAAAGCTCCTAATGCATCTGGAATTTATTTTTGTGCATGGTGTGAGGTAGGGAATCTAATTTAATTTTTGTGTATTACTACCCAAAGACCACAATATGGGATCATCATTGAATGGTTCGTCTTTTCCCAGAGCTTGGAAACACTCTCCATGCAGTGCCTGGCCTCTTTTTTGTTTCACTGAGCCCTGTCTCGTCCTGCATGACCACCATGCTCTGTGACTCCAGCTTTGGAATATATTTGGTACGTACCAGCACCCCCTCTTTCTTCCTGTTTCAAAACCTCCTTGGCCATTCTCATCCACTTTCTTTTCCAGGCAAACTTGAGAATCAGCTTGTCAACTTGCATTTTTAAAATGCTGCTGAATTGGCACTGGTTTTATGCATGACGAACAAATCTCTTGGCCATGTCAGCTCTTCTCAAAACATAGATTCTTCTCCCATTTCTTATGGTTTTCCTTCAACGTCCTTCAGTCAGGTATCCTCGCTTTTTTCATATGAATTCTGCACTTTTCTTGCGAGATTTAATCCTGGATACTTTACCAGTTTTAGGACTATGATGAATGGGATCCTTACCCTTGGTGACATTCTCTGTGGTCAGGGCTGTGGTGGAGGTAGCTCCTGCTGCCTGACACTCATGTGGCACTTGCCCCCAACCCCATGCCACCCTCCTGAGGGTTCATGTAATTCTCCCAGGGGGACACCCGGTCCACAAACACTACATAATCCACGGTGTGTCACACCTGTCACCACATCTCCACCCGACTATGGGGACTGAACATTCCCCTAGACATGAGGAAACCGAGGCACAGAAAGATGTGGCAGCTTCCCAAGGTCACACAGTGAGTCACAGTGATGCTCTGACCCCCAATCCAGACCTGCCAGGCCCCAAAATGCTTGGTTCCCCCCCTCAACTCTTCCCACAGCCATTCAGGTCCCAGTAAGTTTGGCTGAGCCAACTCCGTGGAGCCGTGAGTAGAGGGTTGAACCCTGGTTCTTACAGTGATGCCCAAGGGAGCAGATGGTGGCCCACCCCCTCCCCCAACCCAGATGGCTGAGACTGTCGCACAAACAATGGACAGGCGCTCAATGAATGGGAGTTCTGTCATTACATCCGAGGAGCCCCACTGCATGCAGCTCAGCCCCCTGACCAGATGATCAGGTACCCTTTATCCACCCACCCCTTCCCCACACTCCCTCCTGTCCTCCAAGGTCAGCAGTCCCTGGATGGAGCATTACAGTTCACAGTGCAGTTGAATAGCCCCTCTGCGTAGACAAGGAGGCTGAGGCCCTGCGAGGGACCCAGTCTCACCCAAGTCCCACAATAGGACTTTGATTCAGCCCAGCAGGGGGAGGGGCTCGTTTCTGGGGCAGCAGGAGAACAAAAGTCTCCCTCCCACCCACCCCCAGTCCAGGTCCACAATGCACAAGGCTGGCCGCCTGCCCGCCACTCAGCCCACCCACTGGACTGCAGCAGAGGAGTCGGCTGCCAGCCAGGGTGGGATCCAAGGCGACCAAGACAAGAACCAGAGGTGCAGAGTGCCAACCACCCACAGGGCCGCCAGAGTGGCGCCTCCGTTACGCCCAGTTCAAGCCCTGAGGTTTTAGCTAATCCGCTAATCCCTGGAGGCCAGACCAGGCATGGCTGGGGCAGGCTGCTTCTCTGAGACTCAGAAACCCCTGGGCAGACGGTGGCGAGAGCCTCAGTGATGAGACCCCATACAGATGGTGGCAAGGGCCCAGTGATGAGACTCAGAGACCCCTGGACAGACAGTGGCAAGGGCCCAGTGATGAGACTCAGAGACCCCTGGACAGACAGTGGCAAGGGCCCAGTGATGAGACTCAGAGACCCCTGCACGAGACCCCTGGACAGACAGTGGCAAGGGCCCAGTGATGAGACAGAGCCTAGGCCCTTCCCCTGGCCTGTGCCCCTTCACTGAGTGCCCAAGGGAGTCAGTCTTTGAGCCTCACTTTCCTCATCTGCACCAGGAGATGCCTGTCCTCACCTTCTCCCTGCCAGAAGTGGCCTAAGGCCCCCAGGATGCCAGTGTGAAAGGCTCTTGCCGGCTGTGTGATAAGTGGGGTCCCCAGAGCCTAGCACAGAGCCTGTCATGCAAGAGCTGCCCCATAAATAGAAGTCGGGTGAGTGAACAGGAGGGCTCTTGACGGCACAGGAGACGGCACAGGTTCAGGTTCTAGGAATTGGAGCAAACAGTGACGTTTATTTGCAGCATAAGGCCCGCTGTGGATGGGCAGGGGGCTGACACAGCCTGCCCTCACCCAAGTCCCCAGGGGACACTCCTTGAGGGTCCTCACAGAGGCTAGGGTCAGGGTCACAAGCACACCAGCAGCATTCCCTGGACAAGACAATCTCAGGGTGACAATCTCATGGTGGCTCGTCCATAAATGGACAGGGAGAAAAGCAAGGGCTGAGAAGTGGGAGCCCTGGAGTCCAGCCAAGGCCCTCTCTGGGCCTCAGTTTCCCCATCTACACAATGGGCACACCACCTCCTACTCTATCGGCCTCACAATGGTGCCCACCAGCTGATACCCAGGACATTGGGCAGAGAGAGAGGGGGAAATAAAGAAAGAAATAAATAAACACCAACCCTATTAATCTTGGCCAGAGTTAGAAAGTGTAAAGTCGGCCAGCACAGTGGTTTGTATCTGTAATCCCAGCACTTTGGGAGACAGAGGCCGGCAGATCACTTGAGGCCAAGAGTTTGAGACCAGCCTGGCCAACATGGCAAAACCCTGTCTCTGCTAAAAACACAAAAAATTAGCTGGGCATGCTGGTGCACACCTGTAATCCCAGCTACTCGAAAGGCTATGGCAGAAGAATCGCTTGAACCCGAGAAGCAGAGGTTGCAGTGAGCTGAGATCACGCCATGGTACTCCTGCCCGAGTATCAGAGCGAGACTCCATCTCGAAAAAAAAAAAAGTATAAAGTCATCAAGACTTAGAACCTATCCCCACCACCATGTCCAGGCAAGCCATGATACCCACTGGCCCCCAAAACATTCTAGGAATGCCCTGGCCAAGCCAGCAAGTTGGGAAGTGACACAGGGTGGCAATCTCATGCAGAGCAAGGTAAAGAAATTTACCTGTAAGTACTTAAGCAGTGTTTCCTTTCTTTCTTTTTTTTAGATGGAGCCTCAATCTGTCGCCCAGGCTGGATGCAGTGGTGTGATCTCTTCTCACTGCAACCTCTGCCTCCTGGGTTCCAGCAATCCTCCCACCTCAGCCTCCCAAGTAGCTGGGATTACAAGCATGCACCAACACGCCTGGCTAATTTTTGTATTTTTTAGTGGAGACAGGGTTTCACCATGTTAGCCAGGCTGGTCTGGAATTCCTGACCTCAAGTGATCTGCCTGCCTCAGCCTCCCAAAGTGCTGGGATTACAGGCGTGAGCCACTGCTCCCAGCTGTTAAGGAGTGTTTCCATATTAAATTATATTATGGGGTAGAAGGCCAAAATCAGGCTAATCTACGTAAAAGAATCAGAGCCTTCTGCTGCACTCTTTTGGGCTATGTCTCCAGTGGACTCCCAGCTAGCTGCCTTCAGAGAGACTGAGATCAGACCCACACTGACCACCCTTCTCATCACCCTCCAAATACCTCTCCCTCGCCCTCATGAGCTGGGGGCCCTCAGCCAGTATCTGAGGCACCGAGTCCAGGTTCTGCCTTCGGTGTCCACACCAGGCAAAGCTAGCTCATTCCCCCTTTCCCGAGACCAGAGGTCGCTACAGGATCTGGTGATCACAAGAGCCCTGCCACATGCAGGCTGCTGGGCTGCAGGACATGAGCACTCCGGCACTGCCAGGGGGAAGCTGGGTAAGTGACACCTCAGCTCGACCACCTCCCAGCTATGTGACCACTCACCAGTCCCTATCCCTCGCAGGGCCTTGGTTCATGCAGGAAGGACTAGACCAACGCCTCGCCTTCCATTCAGGTGTGGATGCCTGAGTGGCCTGCTGGGCACTGTGTGGGGTCCTGAAGCCGGTGGAGCTAGCTCAGAGGTCGGCCGTGGGGCTCAGGCAGGCAGGGCAGTGCTATCGACCACAACCCCACCAGGAAGTCCAGGTCAGAGCTGACCATCAGTGCTGGGCACCAGGAGGTCACACTGGAGCTTGGGAGCTCATAGGCTGAGGTCTGACACCTGGGCTGGTGAGGGAGGAAGCATCAGAGCAGATCTCCCTCCACCAGCAACCCTTCATCCTTCAGAGAGAATGTGCCCGAATCCCCAAGCCCTGGCCTCACTTACAGGAACGTTCCTCATGGAAGGTGAGGACCCGGTGAGGGAGGCACAGCAGAGAGAAAGGGCATCTCTGAGGCTCTCCCCAAGAGGGACTGCCTTGGAACAGCCTGGGACAGGAATCCAGCACTCAGCCCTGGTCGCTTGCTGTGTGGCTGAGGGCAAGTCTCAACTTCTCTGAGCCTCCGTTTCCATCAATGTGACCAGACGCCATGGGAGCAAGGAGGGAGTGAGCTCTGGCCCTGCTAGGTTTGGAGCCAGTCCCTGGATCCACAGGGAAAGAGGGACAGAAAGAGAGGCAGCCTCCTGGGAACAACAGCAATAAGAAAGGACTTCCTGAGCAACTGTGACTGTGGAGCCTGCCAGCTGCCTAACCTCTGCTCCCCAGGAAGTCTGGGTTGTGCCTGCAGCCATTCTGCTCATCTCTTCATGTCCACAGAGACAGTGAGTTTGCATCCATCAACCACAAACATGGCTCTGAGGATGAGATCCTGCAAGGGGGATTGGGGGTGAGGCAAAGAGGAGCTCCCAGGTGTTTGGAGCTGAAAAGGCCAAAGGAATCGTGACCAACTCAGCATTCCACTGGCTATATGATCAAACAGCAAACTGTTTATCATGAATGCAGGATGTGGGCAAACTCACGACTGCGCCTACTGCCAGAAGGTTTGCTGAGGGCCCTGGCACCGTGCTCATTGAGGTTATCTACTGGGACATCTAGAACCTATTGTTTGAAGAATGCAGTCTTGCAAGCCTGCTGTAAATTAAGCCCCTGATCGACAACCACCCCCACTTCTCCCTATCTCCTTTACCCAATCAAATGCGAAGGGCTGTAAAGCTAAGAGCCCTTGTTCACTAGAAGCAAGGAGCCCCCTGACCCCTTCTTCCAAATACACTCTTTTGTCTTTATCTTTATTCCCACGTTTGTCATCCTTTGTTCGGTCCCCCAAGGTCCGTGCAGATGACATCCAGGAGTCGCCCCACCCCTCAGGGCCCTCCCAGGCCTCCACCTCCACCCCACAACTGTGATCTCTGCCTGGAAGTGCAGCTCCTGTGGGCCTGCTGCTGAGATCATTCCATTCCCATCACGTGCCTTTGGCCTGAAGCTCTGTCCCTGTCTGTGCTGCTCTCAGTCACTCACCCCTCAGTGGGGAGGAGTCCGGCAGGGCCTATGGCACAGGGACAGTGAGGGGAGGAGCTGGAGGGTGAGGGTGCCTCATGCAGCACTCACCTCTTTGAGTCCGAGCAGCAGGAGGCAGCGAACCATTGGGTCCACACAGCAGCAGCTCCACAAGGGTGCACATCTCCACCATCCACGGGCCCTCCTCCAACAGCACCATGGGGGTGCCCAAGTCAGCTTTAGCCCCAAGGTCACTGCTGGCAAGTTTGATAAGCACTGTGGGGTACCTGTGGCTGTCCTCAGCCCTGTGAGAGCCCAGAGGCCCCGCCACCAGCCCATGTCTTCTCCCCACCAGGGAATTAAGCTGCCAATCATTCATCCCATTTTATGAATGTGGAAACTGAGGCTCTAAGAGGTTTAGACGCTTCCTCAGGGTCACACCAGGAGTGAGTAGAGAAGCTGGGATTTGAACCCAAGTCAGTCAGTTCAAGTCTGGAGCCCACGTTCTGTGGAGCATCAGCTCAACCCTGAGACACTACCCGTTCTAGGGTCCTCCCCATCCTGACATCTCATGTTGAGAAAATGAGTCCTCATGTTAAGAAACGCTAATCTAATTCAAGGCCCACGTGGCAAACAGAGGCCCAGAGAGGAGCAAGGTCTTGCCTAAGGGTACCCAGCGTCTCTATGGTAGAAATGGGCATAAGTGCAAGCCTCCATGGGCCTTTTCTTCCTGTGATTCTACCACTGGGATAAAGATTCAGCAGCTCTGAAAACTGAACATGCCAGGCCCTGATAGTCAAACCCTGTCTCGGCGTCAATACTGAATTGTACCTGAGAGAGTTAGAGAAAATGCCACACTTTGAGACGAATTAAGAGTCCGTTTATTTAGCCGGCGGCCAAGAGACGGCTAATGCTCAAAATTCTCTCGGCCCCGAAGAAGGGGCTAGATTTTCTTTTATACTTTGGTTTAGAAAGGGGAGGGGGGTCTAGTTAAAACAATTTTACAGAAATAAAGTAGGCAAAAAAGTTAAAAGGATAAATGGTTACAGGAAAGTAAACAGTTCCAGGTGCAGAGGCTTTAAGATTATTACAAGGTGATAGACGCAGGGCTTTTTGGGCGTTATCAATCAGATGAATTCCTGGGAACTGCGGATATTGCTTGCCACAGTATTTTATCAGTTAATTGCATTCTTGAATGTGCTGGGAGTCAGCCTGCACAAGTTAAGTCCTTGAGGAAGGCGCTGCCAGTGAAAGAGCCAAGATGGAGTCTGTCTGGCTCTCTTAGCTAAGGGAGAGCCAATTCAGGTGGAAACAAGGCTGGGTGATTAAAGGAAAAGGGAGAGTCTAAAAATAGGGTTAGTAAAAACAAGGTTGCGCATTACACTAACAGTTTACACGGGAAGCCATGTTTGACTTCTCTATACACCCCAGGCCTGTGACACCAGGATCACAGTTTCACTCGCATCTATGTGAAGAGACCACCAAACAGGCTTTGTGTGAGCAACAAGGCGGTTTATTTCACCTGGGTGCAGGCGGGCTGAGTCTGAAAAGAGAGTCAGCGAAGGGAGATAGGGATGGAGCTGTTTATAAGATTTGGGTAGGTAGTGGAAAATTACAGTCAAAGGGGGTTGTTCTCTGGCTGGCAGGGGTGAGGTCACAAGGTACTCAGTGGGGGAGCTTTTGAGCCAGGATGAGCCAGGAGAAGGAATTTCACAAGGTAATGTCATCAGTTAAGGCAGGAACAGGCCATTTTCACTTCTTTTGTGATTCCTCAGTTACTTCAGGCCATCTGGATGTATACGTGCAAGTCACAGGGGATATGATGGCTTAGCTTGGGCTCAGAGGCCTGACACACAGTGCCCACCTTTGGGTGTGTGAGCATTCCAGCCTGGGGTTGGAGCTCAGCACAGGAGCCAGTGTGCCATTGAGCAAGTCACAGCTCCCATCTGAGCCTCAGTTTTCTAATCTATAAAGCAGAGCAGTCATTTTGCCTGACAGGGACCATTCTGAGGCTCAAATGGGACTGCAGCCATGAGGCTATGGAAAGAGGCACAAAGTTCTCAGCAAACATCAGAGGCACGTTGGCAGTCACCACTTCATGGCTACATCCCCCATGTCAATTTCTTGTCCTCAGGGGCCCACTCTGATGGTGTCACAGCTCTGTTTGTTCTCCCTAACTTGATGGAAGTCTTTCCAGAAAGGACGTAGCTCCTTCAGCCATGAAGAAGAGCTGTTAACCCCTTCACCTGCTGAGCCGTGGGACCATGTCCAGCCTACGCACCTGAGCTCTGCTCTTAGTTTTCCATGCTCTGCTGTCAGCATGCCCCTACCCTCAAAGCCTCCTGCACCTTCTTCCAGCTTCTTGTCTATAATAATGATAATAACAGCTCATAATTCTTGGGCATTAGGTACCCTCAGAGGATCAAGATAAAGACACAGGCTGTTTTAAAAGAAAAAACAGTGTGGTTAAAAACATCACCTAAAAAAAACGAAAAAAGAAAAACTGTCTCTGCAGCTAGGCTTCTTCCTGGGTTCAAATCCCAGTTTCACCACTAACCAGCTATGTGACCCTTTGACAAGAGACTTTACCTCCCCGTGCCTCGGTTTCCTTATCTAACTGATTGGAATAATATTAGTACCTACCTCTCAGAATTGTGAGGATTAAAAGTAAAATCTTTAGAACATATCAAGCCTTTTGAATAGTGCTTGGTACATAACAAGTGCTCCGTAAATGTTAGTCATTACTACTGCAGAGGCAGGATAGCCTGCTGGTTAGGGATGTAGCTTCCTCCTAACTGTGTGACCTTAGACCAATTACCCGACCTCTCTGAATCCCATGGGTGTGGGGGTTAAATGTAGTCTTGCCTTGCATAAAACAACTACTCAATAAAAAGTTGCTATTTTTCCATGCCAGGCACTGTGATGATCTCATTGAATACTCACAACATCTCATGGGGTAGGTAATATCATTGAACCCATTTTATAGATGAGAAAACTGAGGCTTAGAAAAAAGGGTCTAATACAGGACAGAATTTGAATTCAGATTCAGGCCATCTGGGTCCATGCCCTTAACAGTTATATTACATCACCGGCCTAATATGCTCTGAGCTTTGAAAAACCCGTATCCAAGGTGGTTAGAACTTGTGAACATATTGAGTAAATTGGCACCAAGAGAGGACTTAAAACACATCTCACCTACATCATGCATGAGGACCTGTGGAGCTCAGAGGCCACGATCCATGGCCCCAGCCGAAGTCTAGAAGCCTGAGGTTGCAGCAAGTGTGAGCTCCTGATGAGTGAGGAGTTGGTGGTTGGGCTGTGATTGCTGCATGGAGAATCTAGGAGCCGAAGCGCAGGGCCAGTCCCTCACCACCAACTCCTGCGTGCAGGGAGGGATCTGCGGGGGGACGTTGATCAGGACAAAGAACACAGCCAACAGGAAGGCCTGGAAATGCCCAGGGAGGGCGCATATCCTCGGAGCCGTGGCTGGGCCACTGTCAGAGGACCAAGCTGTGGTGCAATGGCTGTGTTCCTTGACATCAAGTGCAGAGCCACCTGGGGACGGGACATACCGAAGGCACATCAGGCACAGCAGGGGCTTCGGGCCCCCATCCCCCACTCATCTCTAGCCTGAGCCCTGCACCATGGCCCATGAAGACAGGCCATCCAGCCAGGGTGCCCTGGATGGTGTCCGGGATGCCAGGTGGGCACCAGCACTGAGGGCAAGAGTGGGTGGGAAGGGCACAGAGGGACGAGTCACCAGCCCATCCCACACCCAGACCCCCAGGGCCTCTCCTTGGACACCACTTAGCAGGTAAGGCCCAGAAAAAAGCAGGCAGGGTATGCCCCACTCCAGTCACAGCAACAGTCTGGCCAGCCATTCTGGTTTGCCCAGGACTGGGGGGTGCCCAGGATGTGGAACCTTACATTTGAAAACCAGGACAGTTCCAAGCAAACCAGGACAAGCTGGTCACCATCTACAACAGGAAATAGGGGCTCGTGAGACAGGCAGGCTGACTGGTTTCCTGGTTTTGATGTGGTTTAGAGAAAAAGTACAAAAACCCCTTATCAGACTGTAGCTCACCTGACTTCCAGCCAATCAGCAGCCAAAGACCCAGGAAACTATTCACCACGAGTTCCTGCTCTAGGGGGCTAGGGACTTCCCTGGGGCCCCGCATGTGCAGTTAGACTTAAACTTCAACTTACCCTCTTCCTCATTTTAATGCTGCAAATCGTGCCCAAGCACGGAGATTTAAAATGCTGATGTTACATGCAATGTTTGAAAAAGTGTGTTGAGCCACTGTGCAAGTGCTAGAGAAACCCCTCCTCCTATACATGCCCTGGCAAAATCCTTCCCTACAGAAAGTCCCTGGAAATCTGACCCCCACGCTCCCCTGGGGAAACCCTTCCCTATAGAAAGGCCCTGGAAATCTAACCCACACACTCCCCTGGAGGAACCCTGAAACCCCTCTCCATAGAAAGGCCCTAGAAATCTAACCCACACACTCCCCTGGGGAGCAGCCTGCCCTCTTCCTTTCATGTTGCTGACTTCCCTCGTGCACAAGCTAAATAAAGCTCTTTCTCTTTGCTGCTATGTCTGGTGATCGCTCTTGATTTCTATCCTGGCAGATTACAAGGACCCAGGGCGCCGATAACACTAGAACTCTGGGATGCCTGAGAGGAGAGAGAATCAGGATGAGAAGCAGTGCCTGAGAGAGCAGAGAAGTGGAGACGGAGAAAACACAAGGCCAAAGACAGGAGGCAATGAGACTGAAGCAGAAAGAGAATGGATGGAGAAACAGGAAGACAGAGTCACAGCTAGAGACACAGAGATGGGGGAAAGAGAGGCAGGAAGTGGAACAGGACAGGGAGATGGCGTTAATGGTGGAGAGCGTCCTGGTTCTTGGAATCTTGAACAAAGAATTGGACAAAATACACAAACAAAGCAAGGAAGGAGTGAAGGGATTTACTGAAAATCAAAGTACACTCCACAGTGAGGGAGCAGGCCCGAGCGTAGCGGCTCAAGTGCCCCGTTATAGAATTTTTGGGAGTTTAAATACCCTCCAGAGGATTCCACTGGTTACTTGGGGTACACCCTATGTAAATAGAGAGGATGAAGTAAAATTACAAAGTTATTTACTTGGCCTACACCCCACGGAGAGGATATTTCCTGTCCTAGCTGAAGTGGGAATTGGCCTTATGTTCCCTGCCTTCAGACCCTATTTTCCTGCCTCACTGGGGGCACTCCAAAGACCCTGTGGCTGCCTCCCTGTCCCAGCTGAGCCCTCAGCCCCTCACCTCCTGCTCTGGGCCTCCCACCTTGTCTCCCACCCCCATCCCATGCCCACGTTGGTTCACGGTTGAGCACAGAGGCCCCCACCTGCTGGTACCCCATCTAGGGAGACAGAGGTTCAGGGAGGGAAGGGCCTCATAGGGCTCCCACAGCACCTCAAAGGGGTAGCTGGAGCCTGCAGCCTGACCCACCCCATGCTGCCCATGGCACTGGGAGGAAGGGAAACCACCTCACGGCCCTTCCCCAGCAGCTGCTGTGTGCCAGGCGGCATGCCCAGGCATAACGGGCATGAGACAGGCAGTACTGTCACCCCAGTTTTGCAGATGAGGCTAGCAAGGAGCTGTCTCTGACCTGAGGTCACACAACCAGGACTCGAACCCAGGCTTGCTGGCCCCAGATCCTAAGCTCTTTCCCTAAGACTGACAAGAAAACCAGAGGGTGGAAAGGGGGCTTGGTGTCCCCTGGACCCTGCAGCTCAGCACTTTAGCCCCACCCAGACCAGGACAAGCCCACCGTGGAAGAGGGATCCCACGCCCAAGCCTCCCCAACCCAGCCTCAAGCCAGGGGCTCAGGAGGCCGGAGACAGGGCTGGGGTCTGAATGGCGGAGCCAGGATGGGGCTGAGACCTGGACCCGGCCCTGCCATTGATTTGTTGTGTGGCCCCTGCCTGGTCCCATTCCATCTCTGGGCCATTGCCCTGACCTGCAGTGTTGCTGTGAACTCTGTGGAAACGGGGGTAGGGTGCTAGGCCAGGCCACCAACACAAAGCACAGCTCTCTTCCCACCTGAGAACCGAGCGAGTGAGCAAGAGTTTTGCCTACATCCCTGGGCCCCTGGGTCTGCTCAGTTTCCCTACTTTCCAAAATATCCATGCCCCCAGACCACCTGATCCTCATCACCTCCTGCGCCTCAGTTTCCTCATCTGAATAATGGGCACTGCTCAGCCCATTGCAGTATTCTTCTCCTTCCTTGCAGTATTCTGGGGTACTGAGCACAGCCTCTGGGTGCCTCGAGCAGTTTCTGGGTCCTGGGATATTTCTCTTCCCACAGGCAGCACCACCAGCCGTGGCAAAGTAGGAGTGTGTCCCTGGTCATGGTGGCCTGCCGGGCACTCTCCAGTGTGCTCTATGACCCCTGGCCATGGCTCAGCCTCTCTGGGCTCAACAGGAATGAGTGGAATTGCAAAGGCCCCCTGGCTCACCAGGCAGGACAGCGGCTCCCAGATGCTTTTGGAGACCAGGATTTGGACATGCGTGGCCAGGAGGCTGCCGTGAGACAGGGCATAGGCTGAGTCAGCCGGCCGCCCCCTGCCTTCCCACTGCCTTCTGTGGGTGATAGGCAATGCCAGGCTTCTAGCCGACCTACCCCATGGACTGTCTGCAACTGGTGAGAACTTTCTGTGTGCCCAGGCACCTTCATGAGCCACCTTCCCTCCCCTAGCCCGATCCTATCTAAAGTCAGGGCTTATCAGAGGATAAAGTAGGCCAGGGGTGACCGGGTATTTGAGGGGATATCTAAGCAGAGCCTGAGGGAGAGGCATTCCATCTGGGGGAAGGCCTTCTCAGGCAGAGAACAGGGTCCTGTTCTCCAAACACAAAGGTCCTGATTGGCCCTGGGCTCATAGACCCCCTCCTCCAGGAAGCCGTCTTGGATTGCTTCTCCCACGTCTGCCCACTCTCCCGTGAGATTTGCCTGGCTGGCACAGAGAAGTGGGTATGCATTCAGGACAGCTAATCTGCTGGATAAGCTAACAAGAAGCTGCATCCATGCTGTAGAGGAATAATCCGTGTCCCAACAGGAAAGGGGGGGGTCTTCCTCACTCTAGTGTCCCCAGTGCCCCCCACACAGTAGATGCTTAACAAGAGTAGAGCACATGTGAAATTTGGAAGTGGCACCAGAAAATGAGGTCAAGGGTGGCTTCTTTCTGAGGACAAAGCTGTCCCCACACTCTCCTCAGTGCCCTCATGTCCCATGTCCCCGTCCTTGGGCTGCCAGCCTGTGGCCACGACCCCTCAGCCCAGCCGGGCCCGAGGAGACAGTTCTGCTCCACCGCAGAGGGATGGCTGTCCATTCCTTTGTCTGGTGGCAGCAGTACATTGTTAGGGGCAGGCAGGATGCCCTCATGCGTGTCTTCCTGCTCCTTTAAAGAGTAGCTGGGTGGCAGCTCTAGATCCTGGAGAAGGTTCAGCCCCCAAGGAGCAGCCATCGTGGGCGAGGCCTCCAAGAACTGCAGCATTGAGGCGTTTACTCATCACATGAAGAATGATGTGTATGAAGCGTCGATTTTGAGATTATGAGTTGTGCATGTGTGTGAGTATATAAGTGAGTGAATGAGTGTGAGTCTGAGTGTGCATGTGTGAGTGTAAGGGTATGCTTGGGTGTGTATGTGGGTGTGTGCACACATTCACATAAAAACAGAAAAGTCTCTGTACACAGACAGGGAGGGTTCCAGGGACGATAGAAATTTCATGATCAACTTGGCAGTCAGCCTGTTGGACAGCCTCCCACTCTGCAGCCCATTTCCTCCTGAACCCTATGTGGGGCCGGGTGCGGTGGCTCACGCCTATAATCCCAGCACTTTGGGAGACCGAGGCGGGTGGATCTGTTGAGGTCAGGAGTTCAAGACCAGCCTGGCCACCATGGTGAAACCCCATCTCTACCAAAAATACAAAAATTAGCCGGGCGTGGTGACATACACCTGTAGTCCCAGCTACTCAGGAGGCTGAGGCAGGAGAATCGCTTGAACCCAGGAGGCAGACGTTGCGGTGAGCCGAGATCACGCCATCACACTCCAGCCTGGGTGACGAGAGCAAGACTCCGTCTCAAAAAAAACCCCTATGTGGGATGCAGTCGCCTAGTTGGTTAAAACGGGCACCCCACAGACACCGGCAACTTACGGATGAACTCCAGTGAACTTTCTCACAACCATGCTGAAGTCTCCCGCCCAGAAGGAGCTGTAGCCTCATCACCAGCACATGAGACCTATGTGCCGCATGATGACTCACTGCATCTGTGCAACTGGGACCCCTCCTCTGTATGCTGTGATGCACCCCTTCCCCTCTCCATCACCCAGAAAGCCCCCCGTCACTTTCCCTCAGGGAGACCGTGCTTTGGAGAATACACCCAGCACCCTCCTTACTTGTGCCAAGTAATGAAGCTCCTATTGATCAAAACCCGAGTTCTCACAGTGAGTGGTTTGTGGCTCACCAGGCAAATGAACCCTGGTTTTTTTTTGGCGGGGGTAAGAAATCTAGAAGAAAAATGCACCAAAATGATCGCTGGGTGATGGAGTTCAGGTGGTTTTTATTGACTTTGATGCTTTTCTATGTCTTTCTAATTTTCTACACTCAGTCTGTGCTACTTTTAGAATCAGAAAAGAGCTAAATCCAAGTGGGGTTTACGCCATTGGTGCAAAAAGCAGAGAGCAGGTGCGAAGGGGCATGGGCACTCGAGGACGCACCAGGATGACTGGTGACCAGGAAGCAGGGCCTCAATCCAGCTTCCTCATGCCGGCTCCTGGGGGACGTTGGCTTCCATTTCCCCATCTGGGTTCTAAGCTCCTTCTGACTCTGGTGTTCTGGAATGATCTACCCGGCATCCCAGGTAGGGCCTGGGTGGGAGAGGCTGGGTGTGGGCAGTGGGACAGACATGGCTGCTCACTCGCTATTGGTGGAGCTCAACCCTGCCTGTCATGCTGGGGCCTGTGACGGCTGCATCTTGGGCACCTGCTGCCTGGAGGGATGGCCTGTGGGCTGTGGCACCTGAGGCAAATCTCCAGGGTTGGCTGAAGTCAGAGTAGGAGATGAGACTCAGACCTTACAATTCTTTAAGTGCCTACAATTCACCAGATCTACATCGTGTGAGAAACATAGTGAAAGCGTCACTGCAGCATGATCTTAGTTTTTTCAGAAAAGCCCCGCAACCTGCGAAATTAACCTGTGCTTGCTGCTGTGCTTGCAGAAGTGAAGGCTGGAAGCCAATAACCACGAACCAGCCACAGGATGAGCTGAACCGAGCAGTGCGGCCTTGACTGAACTCTTGCCTCATTACCCTGAGAAAATCTCCACCCAGGGGGAGCAATGCACCTTGCTAGGCACAAAAAGTGCTGGGTGCAAAAGACAAGACTGTGCAGGGTCCAGCCCCTCCTGGAAGAACCCACCTTTCTCCAGGAATCCCTGGCCCAGTCTCCACCTACCTGCCCTAAAAGCCCTTAAAATCCCCCTTTGCCCTATGCCTTAGGGAGAAGGTGGTTTGAACATGAGCTCCCCTTCCCCATTCCTTGATCAACGAATAAAGTTTGACTCTGCTTTGCCCAACCTGGTTTTGTCCTCGTGGCACAAACAGCACCGGGCAGGGAAAAGACACATTAGGGTCAACTGACCCCTTCAAGGGTGGGTCACAGAATGTTATTGTAATGGGGCTGGGTGCATTGAGGGGAGGTTTGAAGAGTCCCAGAGTCAGGGGATTGGGGACAGGTTGGCCTGTCCTGGTCCATGGTGTCCAGCCAGGTGTCCCCATGTCAGGATCTTGGGTCTCTAAAGGAAACCCTGAACCACCCTCCAGGTCAGGGTTATGCAGAAGCCTCTAAGAAAATCCCCCGAAGCCTGGTTGCTACCACCCCCATCTTCCCTGCTCCCCAGCCCCAGTGTCCTTCCCCCGTGTCCTTCCTCTGGGCAGAGGAGGGACCAGCCCTAGGCCTGGCCTTGGGCTTTTTCACCAGCTTATCCACACACCTCCCCACTTCCTGAGTTCTCCACCTGAGATGCTGCGCAGAGCAGGATGTAATGGAAGGATCGAGGGCTTTAGCTCAGAAAACCCTGGGTTCGAATCCTAGCTCTACCAGTTTCTAGCTGTGAAACCTTACTCCTCGCTGAGCCTCAGTTTGCCCTGCTGTAAAATGGGGCAAATGCCTAAGAAAACTGTTGTCCAGCTCAAGTGAGCTGATGGGCAGGAGAGGGTTTTGGAAATAGAGTCTGGACTGGTGAGGAGCATCTCGCTTATCCCGCTCAAGAGAGCCCACAGCTGCCCCAGGCCTTGCCTGTCCTGCCTTTCCTTTCCAATCCCAGCTGCGCCCCTGCCCGGGCCCACAACTCACTTTCCAAACCTGTACAGACTACACCAGGGCTCAGCGCTGGAGAGGCAGGACCCTGAGGTGCTGACAACCAGGACTGGGTGCATCAGCTGGGTACCTTGGGTAAATGAAGCTGATTTCTGGCATCAGCCAATGAGCCTTTGGCAGGGACACTCCCCTCCCACCTCAAGTGGTGGCCAAAGTCACCAAGCCCTTCGCAGGCTGGGCTAAACTGGACAGACACCAGGACAGCACAGTCAGGAGGGACCAGGGGTCCTTCCTCCCAAGGGAGCAAGGCCAGAGCCCAGGACAGGCCCCAAAGCCAATGGACATAGCTTTGTGGGGGTTGAGTTATCTGGGACAGCCCAGCAGTTGCACTCAGAGCAGCTGAGCCTGGCAGCGTTCAAACGCTGACTCCCCCACTTCCTGGCGTGATCGTGGGCAAGCAATTTCACCTCTCTGAACCTCTCTTTCTCTGCAAAATGAGGTCATATCAGCACCCACCTCGTGGAATGATGTGAGGATTAAATACAGTTTCAGTACCTGGTTCAGGACCTGATGCTTGGAACGTGTCTAATAAAGGTTGTCTCTCACTTCCTTCAACTTTGAGAAACAGGGAATGCTGGAAATTCCATCCTTTTGCAGAAGGGAAAGAGAGTTCAAGCCCACTCCTTCTCGGATAAGTCAACGAGGGAAATCCAGTGAGGGTGGAAGAGAGGAATCGAGCACAGCCACCCCTGTTCCGTGCCTGGCTCAGAAACACCGGTCCCTGGGTCAGTGGGGAGGTGGCAGGTAACTTAGAGTTCATCATTGGTTTGAGGGACTCTAGCTGAAATTTGCTGGGAGAACAGCTGGGATTTAAGAAGAGGGCGTCAGCTACAAAGCTGAAAGCTCTAGAAACTGGGAAAATCGGCAGGGCCTGGTGGCTCATACCTGTAATCCCAGCGCTTTGGGAGGATGAGGTGGGTGGATCACCAGAGGTCAGGGGTTCAAGACCAGCCTGGCCAACATGGTGAAACCCCATATCTACTAAAAATACAAAATTAGCCGGGCATGGTGCCGCATGCCTGTAATCCCAGTTACTTGGGAGGCTGAAGCAGAATCGCTTGAACCCAGGAGGCGGAGGTTGCTGTGAGCCAAGATCACGCCACTGCACTCCAGCCTGGGCGACAGAGTGAGGCTCTATCTCAAAAAAAGAAAAAAAAGAAAAAGAAACTGGGAAAAATCTTCAGTGCAGCCACACTCTCTTCTGCTCCCCGACCTCGGGGGCTGTTATGGGTTGACCTGTGTCCTCCAAAGGATACGTTGAAGCCCTCAGGCCCAGTACCCCAGAATGTGGCCTGATTTGGAAATAGGGTTGTTGCAGAAGTCATCAGTTAAGATGAAGTTATACTGGAGTAGGGCGGGCCCTTAATCCTGTATGCCTGGTGTCCTTATGAGAAGACACTGTGGTCGGGTGCAGTGGCTCATGCCTATAATCCCAGCACTTTGGGAGTCTGAGGCAGGAGGATCCCTTGAGCCCAGGAGTTTGAGACCAGCCTGGGCAACACAGCAAGATCTTGTATCTACAAAAGTTTTATTTTTTATTTTTTTATTTTTCTGAGACACAGCCTTGCTCTGTTGCCCAGGCTGGAGTGCAGTGGCACAATTTCAGCTCACTGCAACCTCCACCTCCCAGATTCAAGCAATTCTCCTGTCTCAGCCTCCCAAGTGGCTGGGATTACAGGCATGCACTACCATGCCTGGCTAATTTTTGTATTTTTAGTAGAGACGGGGTTTCGCCACGTTGGCCAGGCTGGTCTCAAGCTCCTGACCTCAAGCAATCCTCCCGTGTCGGCCTCCCAAAGTGCTGGGATTACAGGCATGAGCCACTGCACTCGGCCTCTACAAAAAATTCTGAAAAGTAGCCAGGCGTAGTGGTGTGCACCTGTGGTCTCAGCTACCTGGGAAGCTGAGGCGGGGAGGTTCGCTGGAGCCTGGGGAGTTGAGGCTGCAGTGAGCTATGATCATCACACCACTGCACTCCAGCCTTGGTGACAGAGTGAGATCCTGTCTCTAAGGAGAAGGAGAAGAAGAGGAGGAATGAGAAGAAGGAGAAGAAGAAGGAGAAGAAGAAGGAGAAGGAGAAGGAGAAGGAGAAAGGAGGAAGGAGGAAGGAGGAAGGAGAAGAAGAGGAGGAGGAGGAGGAAAAGAAGGAGAAGGAGAAGACGAAAGAAGATAGAAGAAGAAAGAAGATAGAAGTAGAAAAAAGGAGGAGGAGGAGATGGAAGAAGGAGGAGAAAAGAAGGAAGGAAGGAAGGAAGAAAGAAAAGAAAAGAAAAGAAAGGAAAAGAAAAAAAAGAGGCATCATGGAGACCCATGAAGAAGATGCCCGTGTGACAATGGAGGCAGAGTGAGGAGCGGGGCGGGAAATGCATCTCTAAGCCAAGGAACACCAAGCAAGGATTACCAGCAAACACCAGAAGCTGGAAGAGGCAAGGAAGGGTCCTCCCCTACCAGGTTCAAGGTGCCCTGTTGACACCTTGATTTTGGGCTTCTGGCCTCCAGAACTGTGAAAAAATTAATGTCTATTGTTTGAAGGCCCCTGTGTGGGGTGCTCTGTTACCAACTTCCAGGGGCATCCAGAAGCCCTGGGACACAAAGGCAGGGTTCTAAAATGAGAAGCCACTTCCCAGGGGAGGTGGTATGAGGGGAAGGTCAGGGGAGGCACTGCTTGGGGTCCGCGTGGCCTGGGCAGGGCCCCATCACCTGTGCCCCCAACCCCGACCACAAAGGTGTCTGATCCCCAGCACCTCCTCCTGGGGACACATCCCATGATCCTCTGTGGCCCAGACAGCAGCCTCTCCTCAGCCCCAGACGGACGCCTTTTTCAGCTCCACCATAAGGAAGAGTTTTCTAGATTAGAAGGCACTTAATAGGTGTTTGTTGTGAAAGTGAAAATCAACAAGGGCTGCTGGGTGGGTTTACTGGGAAGCTACTGACACGTAAGCTGCAGCCTCTTCCAAGCTGACACCTTGACCTCCAGCCTCCAGAGCTGAGACAATTAGTTTCTGTTGTTTTAAGACATCAAGTGTGGTACTTTTTTTCCAGCAGCACTAGGAAACGGATACAGAGATGGTATTGGGATACAGACTGCAGATGGACTTTGGCCTCAATAATGCCTGGCTCCTGCGTGCCCCTGACTCCTTAATGCAAGAACCAAGCTGGGAGGGCTTAGATCATAATTTCTTCATACAGGAGAGGATGCAGTGACCCCAGGAAGGAGGCACAGGTGACGCAGAAACTCCCAGCAGACCGGGCGCAGTGGCTCACGCCTGTAATCCCAGCACTTTGGGGGTCTGAGGCGGGTGGAACATTTTGGGTCAGGAGTTCGAGCCCAGCCTGGCCAACATGACAAAACTCTGTCTCTACTAAAAATACAAAAATTAGCCGGGCATGGCGGCACATGCCTGTAATCCCAGCTACTCGAGAGGCTGAGACAGGAGAATCACCTGAACCTGGGAGGCGGAGGTTGCAGTGAGCCGAGATCGTGCCACTGCACTCCAGCCTGGGTGACAGAGCAAGACTCTGTCTCAAAAAAAAAAAACCTCCCAACCTCCCAGCAGAGTGGTGGTGGGGAGCCCGTGCTTCCACCCCTGTGAAGTGTAAAGGGAAATGGAAGGAGAAACACAGAGATGAGAAACGACACATACGCCCCTCAGGGCTGAGCCTCGGACTGCACAGGAGGGTCAGTGAGGACACTGAGACAGAGAGATCCCCCAAGAACCCCCAGCCTATAGCCCACCTCCTCCTTGCTCAGTAGCAGTGGGCTGCCCCAGCTCCCTTCAGGCTGCAGGTGATATGTCCAGAGGGCCCCACATGCCCCAGAATGGGATCTCCAGCTGCCAAGAGGGCTGATGGCCCAGCAGAGGTCTGGAAAGGTGCCTCTGGGCCAGAGGGGAAGGACACATGGGACTCCATAGCCTGACAGCGGCAGAGCCAGGAGGGGTGCTGCCCACCATGCTTCCAGCCCTCTCTGCACACGGGACAGAACAAGGTGCTTGGGGTGGAGTGTTTGATGATGAGGGAAGACTGACAGACAGCAGGGGCAGAAGACAAACAGCCATGACCCTCACCAGATGGCTGCCGGTCCTCACTCTTGCCATGAGGCTGAACCAAGTTTCCAAGCCAACCAGCCATGCCCAGGTGTCCTTGGACTCTCCTCTCTGCCTCTGCCAGGGCCAGGGGATGTGACTGGTCTCAGAAAAGGAAGGACCTAAGGGGGCAAGGAACACACAGCCCAACCTCATCACCTGTGGATGCCCACAGCTGAGAACATTTATTTTCTGCCCCAGGGCTCTGTGCGGGGCCAGAGAGAAGACAAGATTAGGAGACAGGTGAACTTCCCCAGAGAGGCCCAGTGGGGTGGCCGGGGGAAGAGCCACATCCTCTGGGTCTGGTAGGGAATAAGCCGAGAACATGCAGGACCGCCATGGGCCTGGTTGCCCTGCTGGAGGACTAGAGAAGACAGCGGAGCACCTCAGAACCTGACATGGGAGCTCCCCTTCACAGAGGACATGAAGGTGGCCTTCAGAGGCCTTGGGGGCCGCTCGAAGGAGGAGACAATGTGCTTGGGGGTCACTGACCCCTGCAGGGTGGACTTGGACACCGGGGATGGGACCGAGGGGGTGGAATGGGCTGTGGAGGCTGACTGGGGCCGCAGCAAGAAGGAGAACTGGGGCGTCAGGAAGGTGGGCAAGCTGGAGTCCAGCAGCCTGGAGGCTGAGGCAGTGACAGATAACAAGGAAGATGGGGAGGAGGCGGCCGCAGGCGTGCTGTCCGTGGTATCCAGCACAGCCTGCTCCCTGCTGGGCACCAGGTCCTTCTGGACATGGTGGGCCACCAGGCGGATGTGCTGGTCTTGCTGGTCTGGGCCCCTGCTGGTCAGGAAGTCAGGCTGCTGAGTCGGCATCAGATCACTGAAGTGCAGGCTTTGGTAGACCTGAGGCGAGATCTGCAGGGAACAGAGTGGGGAGCGGGAATGGGGCACCAGTTGGAGCCGGGGACACCCAGGATCAAGAGTAGACTCACAGGAAGGAGGCGCCCTGAGGTCTTCCCATGCCAAGAAGGCGTGTGTCCAGAGGACTGTGGCTACCACTAACCACCGTGGCCTGCGGGCCCATGCATCCACCCTGCACCAGGCCAGGTGCCCAGCCCTGCTCTCCACCCAGTTACGGCGCTTGTGGCAACTCTGTGAGCTGGCGAGCAGACTGCCCGCTTCTGAGAATGAGGCCTCGAGCTGGACCCTGGGTGAGGCCCAGGTGCAAAGAGCTCCTTGGAGCAATCCATCTCACACCAGCCTCTCCCCAGCCCGAGACAGGGGGGCCCTGCAGGGGCATGGCCTTCGGTGTTATCTCATTTATTCTTAAGGGGACCACAGGGAGGAGGGAGCTCCCACAATATTCCCCTGGCAGACAAGGACGGGGAGGCTGGGATCTCAAATCTGGAGCTCAAATCTGCTCTTTCGAACATCCCCTGCTCCTTTCTGTCCCTGATGGAGAGCCACTCCGTTTACCCTGTCTCTTACTATGGGCCTGGCATGATGCCCTAGTCTGCTGTTTGAGCACCAAAGTAGTGGGGACACAGGTGGGAAATATGCTAACCAGCAAATAGACAGCCACAGACCATAGGAAATGCTTGGAGGCTATAGACAGGAGTCCTGCCCAAGGAGACCTTGTCCCACAGGCCCTTGAGGCTTGTCCTCAAGGACAAAAGCTGCACCACTGACCTCAGCCAGGGCCTTGGCAAACAAACTGGCCACATTAGTCTCATCCCAGACCTGTCCATGGCCCAGAATCCTGTTAAAGGACAAAGGCTCCTGTCCACCCTCACTGAAGGGCTGTGTGGGCACAAGGGTGGCTGCTGGTGGACATGGGATCCCCTGGCCCCTGACCCAGCCTCTTGGGGAGCTGCCCCATCCCACCTTACCTGATGCTTCATCCAGCCATATGGCACCCTGGTGGACAGGAACCTGGTATTCTGCAAGCGTTCCTTGGGCTTATACGCCGCTCCCAAGACTTTGCTCACCTGCAGGAGCCACGCCCAAGAATGAAGGCTGCGAGTTGGGGGTCCCTGCACTCCTCCCTGTGCTCCCCTCCCAGCCTCACCTGCTTGTCCCTGGACTCCCACTTGTTCCAGCTGTCCTCAATGTCTTCCAGGGGGCGCTCTCCGGCCCACGGGGACATCAGGGCCATCTTCTGCAGCTTGGCCCAAGTGTCTGCCTCCTTATCTGCCTTCCCATGCAGGAGAGCCATCAGCGCCGCCTGCTCTCGCCGCTGGTATATCAGGGCCTCAGCCAGATCCCGCTGCTCCCTAGTGTGGGGGCTTTCCTTCACAAGATGTCCCCCCACTGCAAAGCAGGGTGACCCTCCCAGAAACCCTGAAAGCCTCTCCCCTTCCTGGCCTGATCCTTTCCAATCTTCCATCCCTCCCTCAGGCCAGACTCCCCAGAGTCCATCACTGAGTAAGTATGGAATTAACATTTGCAAAGCCTGGATCCAGCTGGCCCAGCAGTCCTGCCACTCTCCCACCACTCTGTCCTCTCCACCATGCAGACCTGACACCCGATCTGGCTTTATCTGGACCTCCCCTTGTGGACTATTTAAACATGTCTGCCCCCTGCCCCAGGGAAACCCTGCCTTTGCCTTGTTTGATGTCCCTCCACTGTACTGTCAAGATGTATGCCTTGATGGAAGCATAGGAGTCACAAAGATTCTGTGGATGCCTGACAGACTCCTACTTAAATGTCAAAACCCAACTCCAAAATCACCTCTCCTACGAAGCCTTCCTTACTTGATCCACTCAATCATGTAGATTGTCCTCTGAGCCATCCCTGTTCCTAATACTCTCATTACTTATCACATAAAATTGCAGCCATGAGTTTGCATGTCCACCTCCCTGAGTAAACTGTGAGTTCTCTGAGGCAGGACTGTGTCTGGATGTCTTGTATTTCTAGAACCTAGCACAAGGTCTGGCAGTCAGTAGGATCTCAATACACATTTTCTTGAATGAACCAGAATTACTGGAGACTTGGTCAGGAATAAAGATGCAGTGGATGGAGTGGGTAGGAGATGAACCTGCAGGGGGAGGACCAAGTAGCCAGCAGCCTGCTCCTCCCTGCAAATCAGGGAAATAACACAAATGTCCTCTCAGGATCAGGGACTTGGGCCTGGGCCTGAGCACTCCTCTGCCAGGGACCTCTGGCCATGCAGCAATGATCTCTGCAGGGAAGCCAGCTCTAGCAAATCTGGGCCTGGCTGGGGGACAGGGCCCCATCCAAGCACTTGGGTTTTTGTATTTTCCCCTTTCACTGCTCAACCTTTCAGCTGAGCTGGGCTAAAATAGGGCCTGGGCTCTCCAGCCATAGCTGCCACTGTGGAGTAGAGCTGCCTGCAACCCTCAAGCCTCTGGCCTTCTGAGGGTCCTCCCCACCCATGCCTAGCTCTACCCAACCCAGGTAGAGGCTTCCCAGGACCTGGGAAGACTCACAGCCTCTCCCTCCTCAGGCCAGAGAAGATCAAGCAGGCTGTGCTCACTCACTGCAGCTCCAGATGTAAGACCTTCTGGGTGGTGCCAGTGGAGTCACCATCTTCCTCTAAGCTTGCTCTGTTTTCACGAGGACCATCACAGGCATCCTGTAGTCTTTTCCACACACTCAGGCCAAACGTTCCTGTGATTTGACCAGACTGCTCAGAACCACAACTGGCATACCCCCTCCTCCATGCCCTCTGCCCCTTATCCTCTCCCTTCAAGGGTCAGCTAGCAGCCCCTATCCTCAGCCCCCACACTCACTCAAATGTTGAGTGCCCACCATACACCAGGCACGACACTGAGTACTCAACAAACGTGTGGATGAGCCAGACAGAAGCCCTAGGACACACTCGGAGCTCAGGCCTAAAGCATCCTGCCCCACATGTGAACTGAGATGGGGAGAGTACTATGGCAGTGACTGAATGATCCTCAGTTGGGCTTCAGGTAGCTTGTGTGTAAAATGGCAATGGCATAAAACGGTCAGACACCCATCAGATATGAGATTTGGGGTGGTGGGGGAAGGAATGGGGCTGGAGTAAAAAGTAGGTACTGAAAACAGAATTAAGTCCTGCTCCTGGGCAGAGAATAGTGAGTAGTAGGCCATTCTCCTGCTGCAGGATTTTTAAAGTTAAGAAAAATAAAACAGGTAAAAAATCATTTAAGAAAAAAAAAAATCACTGGAAAGCAGTAGAAGCAAAGAGGGCCAGGTGAACTAAGATGACAGAAAGGGACAAGTCTTTCCAAGAAGAGCTGGGAGTGGGAGCTGCTTTCTTGTCTCGGGGGCACTCCTGAGTCTACACACGGGCTGAATGAGAATCAGACTTGGCTTAGAGAGAGAGAAACCAGCAGAGCTTCTGACATCCACTGTGGCTGGCATGATTAATTAAGTCTCGCCTGAATGCACAGCTGTTTTTCTTGTTAGGACATTTGCCGAGCACCAGGGAGGCTGGGGTTGTAGGTGCTGGTATAGAAAAGCCGAATGAGATCATTGGGAGACAGAGTCCCACTGAAGGAGGAGCCTGAAACAGACACAGATTTCAACCTTGAGACAACTGAACACAGAGGCAAACTGAGTCCTCCTAAAGCTGCTATCCAGCCCCAACCCAGTTCAATCCCCAACTGGATGGAGATGCTCAGCCCTATACAGAGGAAAGAGCAAATGCTCTGGGGGAAATAATATCAACTAAAGTCTTTACAATCCATTTATACAAGCCCAGAAAAGTTTTGGGTTTTTTTTTTTTAATTTTATTTTGTATATATGACATGTGAAAAGGCCAATATAACCAATAATCAAGAGAAGAAATAGGCATTAGAAGTGGGCCCTCCAGAAGATTCACATTGGAGTTAGCAGATTAAAACTTTAAATAACTGTTACAAATAATGTTAAATAAAATTAAGGAAAATTGAATAAAATGGTGGAAAAGAATTGCAATCTATAGAAAAGAATCAAATGGACATTCTAAAACTAAAAAAATACATCTAAAATTAAGAACTAATTCAATAGATTTAATAGCAAGCTGCATACAGAAGAGGATAGGATTCGTGAACTGGAAGGCAGGTCAGCAAAAAAATAATCTGGAATTCAGAGATTGAAAAAAAATGAAAAAAAAAAAAAAGAATAGGGCATGAGACCTATGAGACAAAGTCAAATAGTCTAGTATACATATAGTTAGTACCCCCACAATGAGAGGAGAGAGAGAATAATGCAGAAGTAATAGTGAAGAGATAATATCTGAATGCTTTTCAAAACTGATGAAAGACATCAACCTCTAGATTTAAAAGATCAGTGAACTCCAAGCAGAATAAATACAAACAAAACCACACTTACGCACATCATAGTCAAACTGCTGAAAACCAAAAGCAGCCAGGGGAAAAAAAGACAAATTACCTTCAAAGAAGCAACTTGCAACTGACTTTTCAACAGAAAATATCAACACCAGAAGACCACTGAATGATTTTTTTAAATGCTGAAAGAAAAGAAACTGCCAGCTGAGAATTCTATACCCAGTAAAATAGTCTTAAATTTTACGGCAAAATAAAGATATTTTCAGATCAATAAACTATTGATCTGAAAATTTGATCAGAAAATTTGATCTGAAAATTATTAATCTGAGAATTTATTAGTGGCAGATAACACTATAAGAAATAGGAATTTCTTCAGAATAAAGGAAAACAACTGCAGACAGAATCCTAGAACTCAAGAATGAAGAGCACCAGAAATGGTAAATATGTGAGTAACCATAAAAGGAAATTGACTGCTGAAAGAAATAATAATGACAATGTCTTATAGGAAGACATAACATATGTAGAAATAAAATATATAATAATAACATAAACATGGGAGGGATGTAAGATTCTTGTACAGGAAGCAGCACTAGGTCAAGAATACATATAATCTCTAAGGTAATCACTAAAAGAATAATACAAAAGATACCATTTAAAGAGCAGAGGACATAAAACAACAATTTTTTAAATATTTGATTAATCCAAAAGAAATAAGAAAAGGAAGAAAAAAGAAACCAAGGATAGGATAAACAGAAAAAATAAATAGCAAGATGATTGACTTCAACCCAACTACATAATTGTTGATATTTAAATGGACTAAATACCCAATTAAAAGGTAAAGATTGTCAGACAGGATGAAAAAAATAAGACTCAATTATACATTGTTTAAAAGAGGCACACAAATATAAGAACAGAGATGGGCTGAAAGGGTCGTTTTTAACAAAAAATAGAGAAACAGCTTTTTCCCTCCCTTACATGGGCAGGCAGCATTTGCACATGTGAGGCAGGACCTTTATTCCAACTGGGTTGGAGGCCACCTATACCCTCGCTCAGGACGTGGAACAGAAGATATATGCTTGCTGTTTGGAGGTGGGGAAGGCTCCCAGCCCCCTTCTCAAGCCCTTCTTGGGGTTTCTTCAAGAATAGAACATTTACTAATCCAAACAGGACTCTCGAATACTGAGAGGGCATGTTTTTTAGATAATTTGTTTTATTTTATTTTATTTTTATTTTTTGAGACAGGGTATTGTTCTGTTCCCCAAGCTGGAGTACAGCAGCGCAGTCTTAACTCACTGCAACCTCAAACACCTGGGCTCTAGCGATCCTCCTGCCTCAGCCTCCTGAGTCACTGGGACTACAGGTGCACACTTCCATGCCCAGCTAAGTTTTTAATTTTTTGTAGAGACAGGGTCTCACATTGTTGCCCATGCTGGCCTCAAACTCCTGGGTTCAAGTAATCCTCCCACCTTGGTCTGTCAAAGTGCTGTGATTACAGGCATGAGCCACTGAGCCCAGCAGGGATCACTTGTTACAAATGCACTTGGAGGAGCCATTCTGTTTTTCACTTGTGTTCTTGTCTCTAATGGCCAGCTAGGATAAGATCTGGGTTTGGCTTTAGGGGGAGGGAGGGGCCTGCCTTAAGCAAAATCATACAGCTCTATCTCCACTTACCAGAAAAATGCTGCATTTTTTTAGGTAAAACCAAGAGAACCAAAGTAAAATGGTATTTTGAATTCCCATTGGCCACTCTACTCATGGGGAGGATAGATGTCCAGGACCAAGAAGGTTTTGGGCACTCAATGGTTCCTGGCCATAATACAATAAAGTTCCATTAAGAGTAAAATAGAATTCAACAATATATTAAAAGAATAATACATCTTGACTAAGTGGGGTTTACTCCAGGAATGCAAGGTTGAATTTTCAAAATTCAAAAAATGTAATTTACCACATCAACAGGATAAAGGACAAAAGCTATATGATTATCACAGTAGAAGCAGAAAAAGCGTTTGACAGAATTCAACACCTATTTATGATTTTTTTTAACTCTCTTGGCTAATTAGAAATAGAGAAAACATCCTCTCTACACAACAATTAATTGAAGATGGATCATAGAGCTAAATTAAAAGCCAAAATCTCTAGTTTCTAGAGGGAAATCTAAGAGAATATCTTTGTAATTTTAATGTAAGCAAAAATTTATTAGAGAACAAAAACATCTACTTGCTGATTTCAAAACATATTACAAAGCTACAGGAATCAAGACAGTGTGGTACAGGCATAAAAACAGACATATAAACCAATGGAATAGAAGAGAGTATCCAAAAATAAAGCCTCACATATATAGCCAAATGATATTCAACAAAAGTGCCAAGACCACTCAATTGGGAAAGATAGTCTCTACAACAAATGGTTTTGGGAAAACCGAATTGCCACATGCAAAAGAGTAAAACTGGACTGTTATTTTATGCCATATACAAAAATGAACTCAAAATGAATTAAATACCTAAAGATAATACCCAAAACTGTAAAAACTCCTAGAAAAAATATGGAGGAAAAGCTTCATAACATTGGATTAGGCCATTATTTCTTGGATATGACACTAAAAAAACAGGCAATGAAAGCAAAAATAGACATTAAACTTGAAAACCTCTGTGTATCAAAAAACGTAATCATGCTGGGTGTGGTGGCTCACATCTAAGATCCCAGCACTTTGGGAGGCTGAGGCAGGTGTATCACCTGAGGCCTGCAGTTCGAGACCAGCCTGGCCAAAGTGATGAAACTCTGTCTCTACTAAAAATACAAAAATTAGAGAGGTGTGGTGGGCCTGTAAGCCCAGCTACTCGGGAGGCTGAGGCAGGAGGATCGCTTGAACCCAGGAGGTGAAGGTTGCAGTGAGCTGAGATGGCACCATTGCACTCCAGCCTGGGTAACAAGAGCAAACCTCCATTTCAAAACAAACAAACAAACAAAAACCACAATCAACAATCAACCCAATGAAAACGAAGCCTACAGAATGGGAGAAAGTATCTGAAAATCATATCCCTGATAAGAGGTTAATATCCATAATATATAAAGAACTCCTACAACTTAAAAACAACAACACCCAATTTGAAAATGGGCAAAAGACTTGAATAGATATTTATTTCTCCAAAGATGATATACAATGGCCAACAAGCACATGAAAAGATGATTGCCAACCTCATGAATCATTAGAGAACTGCAGATCAAAACCACAACATCATCCCATTAGAATGGCTGTTTCAAACAAAAAAAACAAAAACAAAATAACAAGTGCTGGCAAGGTTGCAGAGAAATTGGAACCCTTGTGCATGTTTGGTGGGATTATAAAATGGTACATGTGCTATGGAAAACAGTATGGAGGTTCCTCAAAAAATGAAAAGTAGAACTACCATATGATCCAGCAATCCCACTACTGGGTATTTATCCAAAAGAATTGAAAGCAGGGTCTCAAAGAGATAGATACTTGCACACCCATGTTCACAGAAGCACAATTCACAACAGCCAAGAGGTGGAGTCAACTAAAGTGTCCATTAACAGATGAATGGATAAAGAAAATGTGGCATATATATACAATGAAATATTATTCAATGTTAAAAAAGAAAGGATATCTTGTCACATGTTACAATATTAATAAATATTGAGGGCATTATGCTAAGTGAAAGATGCCAGTCACAAAAAGATGACTATTGTATTATTCTACTTAGGTGAGTAACTAAAGTAGTTAAATTCGTAGAAACAGAAAGTTGAATGATGGTTACCAGGGGCTGGAGGTAACGGGAAATGGAGGAGTATGTTCAATGACTATAAAGCTTCAGATTTGCAAAATGAAAAAGTTCCAGAGATCTATGGCACAACAATGTGAATATACTTAACACTACTGAACTGTAGACTTAAAAATGGTTAAGATGGTAAGTTTTATGCTATATATTTTACCACAATTTTAAAGTACCCAACATGTTCTTTAACTTGGTAAGTTGGACTTCAGCAAAATTAAAAATTTCTGCTCATCAAAAGATGCCATCAGGAAAATGAACGGGCAAGTGATACACTGATAAAAGTACTCACAATGTGGATACCTGTTAAAGGTCTCATATCCAGGACACAAAGAATTTCTACAAATCAAGAATACAAAGACAAGCAACCAAATTTCTTAAAAACAACAAAATACTCAAAGAGACACTTCACAGGAGTAGATGTATGAGTGGCCAATAACAAATTGATTTTTGACAAAAGTACAAAAGGAACTCAAAGGAGAAAGGATAAAAATAGTGCTGGAACAAGTGGCTATCTCCATGCAAAATTTAAATTTTGTCTCATATTTCACAACATTACAAAAATTAACTCAAAATGATTATAGACCAAAAAGTAAGAGTGAAAACTATAAAACTTATAGAAGAAAATATAGTGGAAACATTTGTGACCTTGGGTTAGGCAAAAATTTCTTGCATACAATGCCAAAATTTAAAACTTCTGATTTTTTTTTTCTTTTTTTGAGACAGGGTCTTATTCTGTTGCCCAGGCTGTAGTGCAGTGGCTCAATCACAGATTACTGCATCTTCAACCTCCCGGGCTCAAGCAATCCTCCTGCCTCAGCCTCCTGAATAGCTGGGACTATAGACATGCACCACCACAACTGGCTAATTTTTAATATTTTTTTTTGTAGAAACAAGAGTCTCACTATGTTGCCCAGGCTGGTCTCAAACTCCTGAGCTCAAGCAATCCACCCACTTTGGCCCCCCAAAGTGCTGGTATTACAGGCGTGAGCCACCATGCCTGGCCACTGATCTTCAAAATGCACTATGAAGAGAATGTAAACACAAGCCACAGTAGTGGAGAAAAATATTTTCAAAACCTCATATCTGATCAAGAACTTGTATCCAGAATAAAGCATTCTCAAAACTCAATAAGAAAACAACACAGTTTTTTTTAATGGCAAAAGATCTGAACAGGCATTGCATCAAAGAAGATATATGGATAACTAATAAGTGCAAGAAAATATTTCAACATCATTAGTCACTAGAGGAATGCAAATTAAAATCACAGTAAGATACCACTATAAACCTAGTAGGATGACTATTTTTAACAGTTTTATTGAAGTATAATTGACATGCAATAACCAGTTTCTATTTAATGTGTACATATCCATCACCTGCAAAAGTTTCTTCCTGCTTCTTTGAGCTCCCACCCTTCCAACCCTCATCAGCCCCCTATCCTCAAACAACCAGTTATCTGCTGTCACACTACACATTTGTTTGCATTTCCTAAAATTTTATATAAATAGATGCAGGTGTAAATGGTTGGGAAAAAATAAATAGAATCATACAATATGTACAGGTTTTCGTCTGGCTTCTCTCACTAAGCATAATTATTTTGAGATCCAACCACGTTGTATAACGTATCAATTCTTCATTCTGTTTTATTGCTGAGTGATATTCCATAAACCATAGTTTATCAACTCAACTATTGATGGACATTTGAATCGTTTCTAGTTTGAGGCTGTCACAAAAAAATACTGCTGTGAACATTTATGTATGTAGTCTTTACCCGGGCATATGCTTTCATAGAAGTGGAACAGCTGATTCATATCATAGGGGCACATTTAACTTTTTAAGAAACTGCCAAAATGCTTTCCAAAGTGGTTGAACCATTTTATATTCCCATTAGCCGTGCAGGAGAGTTTCAGCTCCTTTAGCCATTCTAATAAGATAAATGGTATCTTACAGCGGTTTTAATTAGTATTTCTCTTCTAATGAATAAATATTGCGCATTGTTTTCCATGCTTCTATATATTTCCTTTGGTGAATGACAGAGCAGGAGCACCGTCATCTCGGACAAACACTGCCACTTTAAGTTCCAGCTCCCTTTCTAGCCTCATGCATTTCAAGGAAATCACGTCTCTTCTAACTACAAGCAGCCAAAAAGAGCAGACAGTAAAATACAATAGGACAGCTTGGGCACAGAGGGAGGGGGAGGTCTCTTGGGTAACTGCTAAACTTCACCCTCATACAATGGGCTCCAGTAAAACAGTGGGTCTTAAGAAGCACATTCCTTTCCCTTCAGGTGCACTAAGATAGGGAAGCTAAAAGCAACCCGGGGGATTTGCCTGCAGCTGCAGAAAGATGTATGGGAACAGACACACAACTCTCCCTCCCAGATAAGCA
This sequence comes from Homo sapiens, assembly GCF_000001405.40. Classification (NCBI taxonomy): domain Eukaryota; kingdom Metazoa; phylum Chordata; class Mammalia; order Primates; family Hominidae; genus Homo; species Homo sapiens. The sequence continues at coordinate 32,950,595 of NC_000020.11, read as the reverse complement.
CAACAAAGAGACACAGAAGCAGTCCAAGCCTCTGATAAATTCTCCCACCCTGAATCCTTAAAAACTCTTAGTCTGTAAGAGAGTGTGGCTCTAACCTAACTCAGCCAGCCGCCCCTCTCAGGTTTATTTAAAATAAACCTGTCCCTGTTGACTGTTGAGCTGTCCTTCGTGTTTCCTCTTTAATTCTTACAGTGAAGTCTCTTCAAATTTGGTGAAGTGTCTATTCAAACCTCTTTCTAATGTTTTTATTGTATTACTTGTTTCCTTGTTGAGTTCTGAGAGTTTATATATTCTAAATAGGAGCTTTATCAGATATAGGATTTGCAAATATCTTCTCCCAGTCTGTGGTTTATCTTTGTTCTCTTAACAGTGTCTTTTGAAGAGCAGAAGTTTTTAAGTTTGATAAACTGTTATTAACTTGATATTTTATGAATCATGCTCTATCGGTGTTGCATGCAAACAATCTTTGCCTAAACCAAGGTCACAAAGGTTTTCTCCTACGATTTCTTCTGGAAGTTTTAGTTTTAACTTTTGCCTTTAGTTCTATGTTCCATTTTTGTTGTTGTTGTTGTTGTTTTGTTGTTTTGTTTGTTTTTGAGACAGAGTCTTGCTCTGTTGCCCAGGCTGCAGTGCAGTGGTGCGATCTTGGCTCACTGCAGCCTCCGCCTCCCAGGTTCAAGCGATTCTTGTGCCTCAGCCTCCCGAGTAGCTGGGATTGCAGGCAGGCACCGCCATGCCTGGCTAATTTTTTGTATGTTTAGCAGAGATGGGGTTTTGCCATGTTGGCCAGGCTGGTCTCGAACTTCTGGCCTCAAGTGATCTTCCCACCTCATCCTCCCAAAGTGCTTGGATTACGGGTGTGAACCATCATGCATGGCCCATTTTGAATTGCTTTTTGTATGTGGTGTGAGGTGTGGATCCAAGTTCATTGCTTTAAGACTGTCTTTTCTCCACTGAATTGCCTTTGCACTTTTGTCAGAAACAGATGTCCATATATGTATGGATATATCTCTGGACTTTCTGTGCCATTCCATTGATCTGTCTGTCTGTCTCTATGCCATTACCACACTGTCTTGATTACCATGGCTTCACAATAAGTCTTGAAATCAGGCAATGTTAGCCCTTCATCTTAGTTTCCTTTGCCAAAGCTATTTTGACTGGCCTAAATAAATTTTAGAATCAGTGTGTCAATTTCTACAAAAATTCTTCTGGGATATTGATTGGTATTTCAGTTAACCTATAAATCAATTTGGAGATAATTTTATTCTTAATCAGAGAGTCTTCTACCCATTAACAGTAAATCTTCTATACTTTGTCTCAGCAATGTTTTGTAGTATTTTTCTGTGTACTTACATATCTTGGTATTTATGTTTTATGTTTTCGTAAATGTATCTTTTACTTCAATTTCTGGCTGTTCATTGCTAGTATATAGAAATACAATTGATTTTTTGTATTGATCTTGTATCCTGCAACCTTGTTAAACTCCTTACTAACTCTTTTTAGTAAAATCCACTGGATTTTCTACATAGACAATTAGTCAACTACAAATAAAAACAGTTTTATTTCTTCCTTTCCAATCTGAATGCCTTTTTTTTTCCTTCTGTAATTGCCCTCTACTCTTCTAGTATAATTTTGAATCGAAGTGACATGTCTTATTCCTGGTCAGGGGAAAGTACTCAGCCTTTCACCATTAGGTGTGAAGCTAGTTTTAGGTTTTTTCACAGATGCACTTCCTCAGGTTGAGAAAGTTTTTTCTATTTTGCTAAATGTTTTTTATCAGAAATGGATGTTGAATTTTGTCAAATGATTTTATTGTATCAAGATAATCACATAGTTTTTCACTTTATTAATATAATAAATTACACTGATTTTCAAATATTAAACCAACCTTGTATATCTGGGGTAAACCCTATGTGATCATTGCTGGATTTTATTTGCAAAATTTTGTTAAGATATTTTGTATTTATGCTTATGAGGGATATTAATTGATAGTTTGCTTTCTTTTCCTTTCTTTTCTTTCTTTCTTTCTTTCTTTCTTTCTTTCTTTCTTTCTTTCTTTCTTTCTTTCTTTTTCACTTTCTTCTTATAACGTCTTTGTCAGATTTTGGTACCAAGTTGCCTCATGAGTTGGGAAGTATTGTACCCTTTTCAACTTTCTGGAAGAGTTTCTGTAGAATTTATATTATTTCCCCTTCAAATATTTGGGTAAAATTCACCATGGAAGCCATTTAGGCCTGGAGGTATCTTTGTAAGGAGAGTTTTAAACTACAAATTTAATTTCTTTGATATAAGGATATTCGGGTTATCTGTTTCTTCTTGTGTAAGATTTAGTAGTTTGTTTCTTTCAAGGAGTTTATTTCATATAAGTTGCCAAATTTATTGTATAAAGTTGTTTATAGTATTTCATTGTTATCCTTTTAATATCTGTAGAATCAGAAATGATGTCATCTCACTCATTCCTGATATTGGTAATTGGTGTATTCTCTCTCTTTTTCCTGCCCAGTCTAGCTGGAGGTTTATCGATTTAACTATCTTTTCAAAGAACCAGCTTTTGGGTTCATTGATTTTCCTTATTATTTTTTACTTCCCTGTTTCATCGATTTCCATTCTAATCTTTATTATTTCTCTTCTATTTACTTTGGGCTCAATTTGCTCTTTCTTTCTAGTTTCTTTTTTCTTTTTTTTTTTTTTTAATTGAGATGGGGTCTTGTTATGTTGCCTAGGCTGGTCTTGAACCCCTGGGTTCAAATGATCCTCCCACCTGCCTCCCAAAGGCGTGAGCCACCGCACCAGACCTCTTTCTAGTTTCTTAATGTGGAAGTTGAGGCTGGAGATTTGAACTTTTTTCCTTCTAATATAGGCATTTAGTGCTACAAATTTCCCCGTTACTACTGTTTTTTGTGGCATCTCATAAATTTTGAAATGTTACATTTTCATTTTCATTCAGTTCAAAATATTTTCTAATTTCCCTCTGGATTTCTTTTTTTGGCCCATGGGTTATTTAGAAATGTGTCATTTAGCTTCCAAATATTTAGGGATATTTCAAAGATATTTCTGTTTTTGATTTATAATTCAGTTTCATTGGGATCAGAGAACATACTTTGTATGGCATAAATCCTTTTGAGATTAGTGAGATGTGTTTTGTTACCAGAATATGGTCGGTTTAATTAATGTTCTGTGTGCACTTAAAAATAATGTTTGTTTATGAATGATCTATAAATGTTAATTAAGTAAAATTGTTTGATAGTGTTATTCAAGTATTCTATATCATTAATGATTTTCTGTATAGTTGTTTTATAAATTGAGAGAATATTGAAATCTCATGCTACAATCATAGATTATTAAAATTTAAAATAATAACAGATCAAACACCAAATGTTGATGAAGACACAAAGGTAGAAATGCAAAACAGTTTGGTCATTTTTCATAAAGTTTCAATACACTTACCATACAACCCAGCCATTCTGCTTCTAAATACTTACCCAACAGAAATGAAAACAATGTTTAAAGCGGCTTCATTCATAATCATCCAAAACTGACAATGACTCAAATGTCCTATAATTGGTGAATGGATTAACAAACTATGACAGAGCCATACAGTGGAATAATACTCAGCAATAAAAAGAACAAACTACTGATACGTTCAACAACAAAGATGAATCTCAAATTGATTATGCTAAGTGAAAGTTAGACTTTCACTCAGCTACATGTGTATGTTTCCATTTATGATAATCTGGAAAAGGCAAAACTATAGAGACAAACAGATCAATGGCTGCCAGGGGTTAGGAGAAGGAAATAGAGTTTACTATGAGGAGACATGAGGTCACTTTTTGGGGTAATGTCTATGTCTTGATTGTGATACCAATTACACAATTGTATGCATTCATGAAACCTCACAGAACTATATACTTTTAAAAGGTGCTTTTATTGGATGTAAATTATACTTCAGAAATCTGATTTTTAAAACAAGCTTCTAAAAGATAACACTAGATATTATATTTAGGGGATAGTCAAAGACGTCTTTGAAAGATACAAAAAAATGGGTGACATCAGCAAGATGGTAGAATAGGAAGATCCAGAACTTCCTTCTCCCTATGGAGACACTGACTGAACAACAGTACATGGACCAGAAACCAGGACCATTCATCCCAGATGAATGAAAAAACAAACAAACAAAAACCAAAAAAACAAAAAACAAAAAACCAGCTGCACTGAAGCCAGTAGGAAAATTCATAGTGCTCACTTGTAATCCCTCCTCCTGGCTCAGTGAAGCAGATTGGGAAGGAACCACCAGCTTCCAGCTTCTCCCTGGGAGGGAAAGACTGAGATGTACATCCAACATGCAGACTTTTCAGAGGGCTGCATGATTAACCAGTTTCTGTCTTGCCTGAATCTAAGCACTGACAGGAAGAGGCACCAGACTGGGCTACTAAGAACAAAGGTGACAATTTAGACTAGCACACACTATCAGAGTCCCTCCTGCCGCTCTGTGGAATGAGTAGAGAAAACAACCCAACTTCCAGCTTCTCCTTGAGGAGGCAGATTTGGAGCATACATATCCAATGTTAGCCTTTGAGGGGTACCCAAGAAACTGGTTTCTGTCTTGCCTCTCTCAGACTATTGAAGGACCCAGCATATTCTAGAGGCCTGGGGGAAGCTTGTAGCCGCTCTAGAGAACTTGCAGTACTGCAAATAGACACCAGAGAGAGCAAGAGATAATGGACTCCTGAAAAAAATAAACCTGTAGATTCCTGTAATTGCGAATTTACATGCGTAAGTCTGGTGAAAGTATCCACAAAAAAGATTGGGGAGGCACCCAGAATCTTTAGCCAAGCTGATTGGTGCAGAATTTTCCCTGAATGAAGCCAGTATATAAAGACTGGGAGAGGTGGCTGATTTTACAAATGCATGGATCCCAATATAAAGTTATAAGGCACACAAAAAAAATAGGAAAGCATGGCCCAAAGGAACAAAATAAATCTCCAGAAACTGCCGCTAAAGAAATTGAGGTATATTAATTATTTGACAAAGAATTCTAAGTAACCGTAATAAAAATGCTCAACAAGCTCAGGGAAACAATACATGAACAAACTGAGAATATTAGTGAAGACACAGAAAATATAGAAAAGAACCAAACAGAGGCCAGCCATGGTGGCCCACACCTATAATCCCAACACTTTGGGAAGCTTAGGTGGGCGATCACTTGAGCTCAAGAATTCAAGGCCAGCCTGGGCAACATGGTGAAACTCTGTCTCTACAAAAAATACAAAAAATTAGCCAGGCATGATGGCATGCACCTGTAGTCCCAGCTACTCAGGAGGCTGTGGGAAGATCACTTGAGGCTGGGAGGTCAAGGCTTCAGTGAGCTGAATTCGTGCCACTGCACTCAACCCTGGGTGGCAGAGCAAGACCCTGTCTCAAAAAATAATAATAATAATAATAAAAATAACAGAAATTCTAGAGCTGAAGATGAAGAGTAAAATAATTGAATTCAAAAGTCATCTACAGCAGGCTTGATCAAGCAGAAGGAAAAATCAGCAGACTTGAAGATATCCAGTCAGAGAAGCAAAAAAGAAAAAAGAATTTTAAAGAGTAAAGAAAACTTAAGGGATTTATGAGACATCGTCAAATGGACAATATATGCATTATGGTAGTACTAGAAGGAGGAGAGAGAGACAGAGAGAGAGAAAGGGACAAAAAGCTTATCTGAATAAATAATGGCTGAAAATGTTTCAAATCTTAAAAAGGAAAAGAAACCTATATTCAAGAAGCTCAAGGGATTCCAACTAGGATAAAGTCAAAGAAATCCACAAGGAGACACATTATAAAAAGAACAAAAACTCTCATCCAAAAATACTATATCCAGGAAAGCTGTCCTTTAAAAATGAAGGAAAAATAAAAATTTTCCCAGATAAATAAAAACAAGAGGAGTTCATCACCATTAGACCTGCCTTTAAAGAAATGCTAAAGGGACCCCTTCAAGTTGAAACAAAAGGATGCTAGGCAGGAACATGAAAGCATATGAAAATACAAAGCTTTCTGATAAATGTAAACACATAGAAAAATACAGAATGCTGTAATACTGTAATAGTGGCACATAAGTCACTTTATTTTTATTATTATTTTTTTTTTAGACAGAGTCTCACTCTGTTGCCCAGGCTGGAGTGCAGTGACATGATCTCAGCTCACTGCAACCTCTGCCTCCCAGGTTCAAACGATTCTCCTGCCTCAGCCTCTCAAGTAGCTGGGATTACAGGCATGCACCACCATGCCTGGCTAATTTTTGTATTTTTAGTAGAGACAGGTCACTAAAACAAACAAACAAACACATAGGAAGACAGCACAGGAGGAAAAGGGGACAAAAAAGTGTTGGGATTACAGTAGTGAGCCACCGCGCCTGGCCCTAATTATTTCTTGACATGAACGGTGGCTATATGGGTATGTATTTACTTTCTCAAAATTCACCAAGCTGAACCCTTCTGGTTTGTATGTTTTTCTTTATATACAATGCAACAATTAAGTTTATTTTTTAAAAGAGAAAGGAATATGCTTTATCAGATATATGATTTGCAAAAATATACATAGGTGAATAATATTGGGTGGATGGGTGAATGGATGGACCGTTTGCTGAATGGATAATTGGACAGACTGTAATATTATTTAAGTGAAGGCAGTTGCTGTGGCCTGAGAGTCCCTCCCCACAGAGTACAAAGTTCATACCAGCTTATGTTCAGACAGGGACAGAGACAAGAAGGGCCATGGGCATGGCTGAGCTTCAGCAGGACCCATACCAATGGCATCACCGGAGAGTTTCCAAGCCTTGACGTCCCGGTCCTGGCCAGCGCTGATAACCAGCTGGAAGTTGTCCACATACAGGATGTCTGCCACACTATTCAAATGGCCTTTCCAGGTCATCAGGAGCGTGGGGGGAACCAGGGAAATGGTATGGCCAGCCACAACCTATAGGGGACAGTACAGGAGAAACACTTTTACCAAGACCACTACACAGGCTAATTAGAAGGCACCCAGGACTGCAGGCAGCAGAGCCCAGTTGGAAGGGCCCTGGGACACAGGCTAGCGTTCTAGTTCTAGATGCATTCCACATGAACTTGCTTGCGACCTTACATAGGTCCCGGCACTTCTCTGGCCCTCACTGGCCCCTTAGGTAAAACCATAAAAAGAACTTGCATTTACTTTCTCAAAATTCACCAAGCTGACTACATATGACTTGCATATGACTTGCATATGACTACATTGTTTACCAAGTGCCTCTGTACACATTATTCCATTTGAACCTCACAACCTTATAAGAAGTATATAATTCTCACTGACTTACAGAGGAGAAAAGTGAGAGTCAGACATGTTCAATAACTAGCCTAAGCCCACATAGCTAGAAAGTGATGGGGCCAGGGCAAGAGCCTCAGTCTTCTAAAGTTTTTCAGCTGGGTATTGGGAGATGAATAGGGTGAGCAATGGGGTGATAAATCACATTACACTGAGAGAATAAAACTACTGAACTGGAAAATGAGTGAAAATGACCATTTTTAAATAAAACAAGATTAATAAAGGAGGACTTATTCGACCATATTCAAGTATGGAAAGTCAGAATAATAAACTTTAAATTTTAAACAAAGCAATGGAAGACAATAGAAAGCTCAGAAACCAACCCAAATGTATGTAAAACTGGTATATAGTAAGAGTGGTAACAGAAAACATGACTCAATAAACAGTAGTAGGATACCTGATGAACTATAAGAGAAACCTACGTTGTTATCTTTTATCTTACACCCAAATGAATACTAGATGCGTTGAAGATTTTATTTTCAATGAAATCATAAAACACCTACAAAAGAACGAATCAGTATTTATCTTTTCTCTAAGAAAGTGATAAACAGGCAAAGGAAAATATCACAATGGGGACAAAAACTGACTTGAACACCAAAAAATATATTGTAATTTTTAAGTCATCATAAATAAAATTAACAAGCAAATGACAAATTGGGGGGGATATTTGTAATCCATATGATAGACAATCAGTTAATCTTTTAATATATTTTTATTGGTTTTTTTTTTTAGAGATGGGGTCTCACTATGTTGCCCAGGCTGGTCTCGAACTGTTAGGCTCAAGCAATCTGCCCACCTTGGCCTCCCAGAGAGCTGGGATTACAGGCATGATCTACCATGCCCAACCTAATGTATTTTTAAATAATTATACAACATTTATAAAAGATAGTTACCACAATAGAAAAGTAGGCAAAGGACATGAAGAGACAATTCATAAAGTTATACAAAGCCAATAGATTAAGAAAATATGTCAACATCACTAATAAACAAAGGCATCTTAATTAAAATCAAAAGAAACCATTTGCACCTAAAAATCAACCAAAAATGTTTTGCTCACTTAGGACATTTATTTATTGAATGCCTTCTATAAGAAAGACACTCTGATAGACCTAGAGGATCCTCAGATGAATACCACTAATAAATTCTTTAGGTTGTCAAAGATAAAAAAAACAGGCTAATGAAATGCAAAACTGTATAAACCTTCTAGAGTGCAATTTTGTAGTATACATTAAAGGCCTTAAAGTGACTTATGTTCTTTTACATACTCTTTCCTTGGGACAAATTACTAGATGTACAAATAAACAACTATAAACAACAACAAAAAACATTTGTGAAAAAGAATATTTGTACCATCATTTTTAGTAATATCTAAACACAACTTTATTGAATCATAATTCACATAAAAATTTACCAATTTAAAGTGCTCATTCAATGGTTTTTAGTATTTTCAGAGCTGTGCAACCACCACCACATTCTATTTTAGACCATTTCATCACCCCAGAAAGAAACTCTTTACCCAGTAGTCACTACGCAATTTCCCCAACTCCCTCCCCCAGCCTCAGGAAACCACTAATCTACTTTAATATGGACATTCTGGACATGTCATTTAAGCAGAATCACACAATATATGGTATTTTGTGGTTGGCTTCTTTCACTTAGCACAGTATTTTCAAGGTTCATCCATGTTGTTGCATGCATCAGTACTTTATTCCTTTTTATTATTAAATAACATTCCATTGTATCACCATACCACACTTTATCCATTTGGAAGTTGACATTTGGGTTGTTTCCACTTTTGTATTATAAATAATGCTACTATAAACATTCATGTACAAGATTTTATGTGAACATATGTTTTCATTTCTCTTGGGTATACACTTGGGAGTGGAACTGTTGGGTAATATGGTAAGTCTACACTTAATTTTTGAGGAACTGCCAGACTGTTTTCCAAAGTGACTGCAGCTTTCTATGTTCTTTTTCTTTTTTTTTTTTTAAACAGAGTTTGGAGTTTTGCTCTTGTTGCCCAGACTGGAACGCAATGGCATGATCTCTGCTCACTGCAACCTCCGCCTCCCAGGTTCAAGCGATTCTCCTGCCTCAGCCTCCCGAGTAGCTGGGATTACAGGCACCCGCCATCATGCCCTGCTAATTTTTGTATGTTTAGTAGAGACGGGGTTACACCATGCTGGCCAGGCTGGTCTCAAACTCCTGACCTCATAATCCGCCCACCTCAGCCTCCCAAAGTGCTGGGATTACAGGCCTGAGCCACCGTACCTGGCCAGCTTTCTACATTCTATCCAGCAATGTGTAAGAGTCCCAGTTTGTCCACATCCCAGCCAACCATTGCTATTATCTATAGTTATCCTGGCAAGTGTAAAGTGGGATCTCATTATAGTTTTAATATGCATTTCCCTGATAGCTAATGATGTTCACCATCATTTAATATACTTATTAGCCATTTGTACATCTTCTTTGAAGAAATGTTTATTTAGATCCTTTACCCGTATCTTAATTTGGTTATTTATCATTTTTATCAAGTTGCAAGAGTGCTTTATATATTCTGGATACTAGTCCCTTATCAGATATATGATTTGCAAGTATTTTCTTTCAGGTTACCCTTTCACTTTCTTGACGGTATCCTTTGCAGCCCAAAAGTTTTTAATTTTGACAAAGTCCAATTTATCTGTTTTTTTCTTTTGTAGCTTGTTTTTGGTGTCATATCTAAGACACACTGTCTAAGGTCACAAGTATTTTCCATTTATTTTCTTCTAAAAGTCTTATAATTTTGGCTCTTACATTTAGGTCTATGATCCATTTGGAGTTAATTTTTGTATGTGTTATGAGGTAGGAGTCTAACTTCATTCTTCTAATACAGATAAAGTTATCCCTATTGTCCCAGCAGGACATGTTTTAAAAAATATATTATTTCTCCCCATTTGATTGTCTCAGCATTCTTGTCAAAAATCAATTGATCATAATGTGAGAATTTATTTTTTAACTCTAAATTCTATTCCATTGATTTACATGTCTTTCTTTATGCCAGTATCACATTGTCTTGATTACTTAACTTCATATTCAGTTTTGAACTTGGGAATTGTGAGTCCTTCAACTCTGTTCTTTCTCAAGATTTTTTTCTTACTATCTATATCCCTTGTATCTCCAAAAAGCAAGGAAGGAAGGAAGGAAGGAAGGAAGGAAGGAAGGAAGGAAGGAAGGAAGGAAGGAAGGGAGGGAGGGAGGGAGGGAGGCAGGCAGGCAGGCAGGCACAGTGGCTCATGCCTGTAATCGTAGCACTTTGGGAGGCTGAGGCGAGTGGATCACCTGAGGTCAGGAGTTCGAGACCAGCTTGGCCAACATGGCAAAACCCCATCTCTACTGAAAATACAAAAATTAGCCAGGCATGGTGGCGGGCACCTGTAATCCCAGCTACTCGGGAGGCTGAGGCAGGAGAATCGCTTGAATCTGGGAGGCGGAGGTTGCAGTGAACCGAGGTGGCGCCACTGCACTCCAGCCTGGGTACCAGAGCAAGACTCTGTCAAATAGAAGAAAAAAAAAAGAGAGAGAGAGAAGGAAGGAAGGGAGAAAAAAAGAAAAAGAGAGACAGAGAGAGAAAGGAGGGAGGAAGGGAGGGAGAAAAGGAGGGAAGGAAGGAAGAAAAGAAAGCCAGCCCGCCAGGCGAGGTGGCTCATGCCTGCAATCCAAGCACTTTGAGAGGCCAAGGCAGGCGGACCACAAAGTCAGGAGTTTGAGACCAGCGTGACCAATACAGTGAAACCCCGTCTCTACTAAAAATACAAAAAAATTAGTCAGGCATGGTGGCACATGCCTGTAGTCCCAGCTACTTGGGAGGCTGAGGCAGGAAAATCGTTTGAACCTGGGAGGCGGAGGTTGCAGTGAGCTGAGATTGCACCACTGCACTCCAGCCTGGGCGACAGAGCAAGACTCTGTCAAAAAACAAAAAACAAAAAAAAAAAGGAGAGAGAGAGAGAGAATATGGAAGGAAGGAAGGCAGGGAGGGAGGGAAAGAGAGAGAGAGAGAGAGAGAGAGGAAAGAAAGAAAGAAAGAAAGAAAGAAAGAAAGAAAGAAAGAAAGAAAGAAAGAAAGAAAGAAAGAAAGAAAGAAAGAGAAAGAAAGAGAGAAAGAAAGGAAGGAAGGAAAAGAAAAAAGAAAGAAGTTGGGGAGAGAGAAAGAAAGAAAGAGAGAAACGAAGGAAGGAAGGAGGGAGGGAGGGAGGGAAGGAGGGAAGGAGGGAAGGAAGGAAGGAAGGGAAGGAAAAGAAAGAAAAAGAAAGGAAGGAAGGAAGGGAGGGAGGGAAGGAAGAAAAGAAAAGAAAAAGAAAAGGGAAGAGAAAAGAGAAGAGAAAGCAGCTGGGATTTTGATATAAATTGCATTAAATCAATTTGGGGAATATGCTATATTAACAACATCCAGTCTTCCAATCAATGAACATGAGATGTATTTCCATTTATTTGGGTATTCTTTCATCTCTTCCCATAATGTTATGCAATTTTCAGGAATCAAGTTTTGCACTACTTTTCCAAATTTATTCCTAAGTATTTTTTTGATGCGATTATAAGTGAAATTTTTAAATTTTCATTTTCAGATTGTTTATTGCTAGTGTATATAAATATATTGGTTTTGTATATTTATATCAAGCAACCCTATTGAATTTATTAGTTTTAATAGTTTTTAATAAATTATTTAGGATTTTCTAGATATAAGATTATGTCATCTGCAGATAGAGATAGTTAACTTCTTCCTCCCCAATATAGATACTTTTTATTTCATTTTCTTGCCTAACTGACCTCCCAATAAAATGTTAAATTGGGGTGGCAAGAGTAACCATTCTTGTTTTATTTCTGATTTTACAGGAAAGTATTTAATATTTCAACATGAAGTTTTATGCTACCTGTGAGTTTTCATAAATGGCTTTTATCAGGTTGAAGGAGTTTCTATTTCTAGTTTATTGGGTGTTTCAATCAGAAAACGGTGTTCAATTTTGTTAAATGCTCTTTTTGCATCTATTGGCATAATCATATGGCTTTTGTTTTTTATTCAGTTAATATGGTGTATTACATTAATTGATTTTGGATATTTAGCCAACTTTGCATTCCTGGGATAAATCTTACTTGGTCATGGTGTATAATCATTTTCATATGTTGTTGGTTTCAATTTGCTAGTATTTTGAAGATTTTTGTATCTATATTCATAAAAATATTTGGTCTACAGTTTTATTTTCCTGTGATATCTTTATCTGGTTTTGGTATCAAGGTAATACTGGCCTCATAGAGAACTCTTTTGGAAGAGTTTGTGAGCAATTGACATTAATTCTTTAGCCAGGTGTGGTGGCTCACGCCTGTAATCCCAGCACTTTGGGAGGCCATGGTGGGCGGATCACGAGGTTGGGAGTTCGAGACCAGCCTAGCCAATGTGGTGAAACCCTGTCTCTACTAAAAATACAAAAATTAGCCAGGCATGGTGGTGCATGCCTGTAATCCCAGCTACTCGGGAGGCTGAGGCAGGAGAATCACTTGAACCCCGGAGGCAGAGGTTGCAGTGAGTCAAGATCACACCATTGTACTCCAGCCTGGGCAATAGAGTGAGACTCTGTCTCAACAAAAAAAAAGAAAAATCTTTAAATATTTGGTAGAATTTACCAGTGAAACCATCTGAATGTGTACTTCTCTTTGTGGGAAATTTTATTACTAATCCAATCTCCTTACTTGTTACATTCAGATTTTCTATATATTCAGATTTTCTATTTCTTATTAAGTCAGCTTTAGTAGTTTGTGTCTTTCTGAGGTTTTGTCCATTTTCTTTTATTTTTTGATAATGAAAAGTTAGAAACCACATTAATGTCCAACAAAAGATAACAAGCTAAGTAAGTGATTATAACCCCATAAAATGAAAATTTGTAACTCCATAAGGTGAAATATTATTTAATCAACAGAAAGTGTGGTTTTCAGCTAGGTGCAGTGGGCAGTGGCTCATGCTTCTAATACCAGCACTTTGGGAGGCCGAGGCAGTCGGATCACCTGAGGTCTGGAGTTCGAGACCAGCCTGACCAACATGGAGAAACCCTGTCTCTACTAAAAATACAAAATTAGCCAGGTATTTTAAAATAAAATAAAATGCTTAATTTTATTACAAATAAAATAAATACAATATAAAATTAAATACAAAATTAGCCAGGTATTTTAAAATAAAATAAAATACTTAGGGGTAAATTTAACCAAGAAGTTAAAAGATCTGTACACTGGAAACTAAAACATTGTTTAAGAAAACACAAATAAATGGAAAGCTATCTTGTGTTGATAAATTAGAAGAATTAATATTATTAAAATATTCATACTACCCAAAGCAATCTACAGATTCAATGCAGTCCCTATCAAAATTCCAATGTCATTTCTTATAGAAATAAAACAATCCTTAAATTCATATGCAATCATAAAAGACCCTGGCTAGCCAAAACAATCTTGAGCAAAAAGAACAAAGCTAAAGACATCACAGTCCCTGATTTCAAAATATATTATAAAGCTAATATAATCAAAACAGTATGGTGCTGGCATAAAAATAGACACATCGACTAATGTAACAAGATAGAAAACCCAGAAATAAACCCATGCACTAATAGTCAATTGATTTTTGACAAAGGTGTTACTAATACATAATGGGGAAAAGACAGTCTTTTCAATAAACTGTACTAGGAAAATTGGATCCACATACAGAAGAATAAAATTGGATCCTTATCTCACACAGTATAAAAAATCAACTCAAAATGGATTAAAGTCTTAAATATAAGATCTGAGACTGTAAAACAACTAGAAGAATACCTAGAGGAAAGGCTCCATGACATTGATCTGAGCAATGGTTATTTAGCTATGACCCCAAAAGCACAGGTAATAAAAGCAAAAATAGGCCAGGCGCGGTGGCTCACACGTGTAATCCCAGCACTTTGGGAGGCTGAGTCAGGCGGATTGCCTGAGGTCAAGAGTTCAACACCAGCCTGGCCAACATGGTGAAATCCTGTCTCTACCAAAAAATACAAAAATTAGCTAGGCATGGTGGCACACGCCTATAATCCCAGCTACTCAGGAAGTTGGAGTAGGAGACTTCCTTGAACCTGGGAGGCAGAGGTTGCAGTGAGCTGAGATTGCACCACTGCACTCCAACCTGGGTGACAGAGCAAGACTCCGTTTCAAAAAAATAAAAAATAAAAATAAAAATAAAAATAAATAAAAGCAAAAATAGACAAATGGGATTTTAGACAAGATACAAAGCTTTTGGACAGAAAGGAAACAATGAACAAAGTAAAGAGATAACCCACAGAGTGACAGAAAATATATGTAAATCATACATCTGATAAGGGAGTAACATCCACAATAAATAAGAAACTCAAACAACTCAATAGCCAGAAAACGAATAACCCAATTAGAAAATGAGCAAAGTGGGCCAGGTGCACTCACTCTTGTAATCCCAGCACTTTGGGAGGCAAGGTGGGCAGATCACCTGAGGTCAGGAGTTCAAGACCAGCCTGACCAACATGGAGAAACCCCATCTCTACTAAAACTACAAAATTAGTTGGGCGTGGTGGCGCATGCCTGTAATCCCACCTACTTGGGAGGCTGAGGCAGGAGAATTGCTTGAACCTGGGAGGCGGAGGTTGTGGTGAGCTGCAATTGCGCCATTGCACTCCAGTCTGGGCAATAAGAGCAAAACTCCATCTCAAAATAAAATAAAATAGGCAAAGTGGCCAGGTGCAGTGGCTCATGCCTGTAATCCCAGCACTTTGGGAGGCCAAGGCGGGCAGATCACTTGAGGTCAGGAGTTCGGGACCAGCCTGACCAACAAGGTGACACCTCGTCTCTACTGAAAATACAAAATTAGCCGGGTGTGGTAGCCTGTGCCTGTAATCACAGCTACTCAGGAGGCTGAGGCGGGAGAATTGCTTGAACCCGGGAGGCGGGGGTTGCAGTGAGCCAAGATTGGATCAATGCACTCCAGCCCGGGCAACAAGAGCAAAACGCCATCTCAAAAAAAAAAAAAAAAAAAAAAAAAGAAAGAAAGAAAGAAAGAAAAGAGAAGAGAAGAGAAAATGGAGAAAGCATCCAAAGAGACATTTCTCAAAAGAAGACATTCAAATGGCCAACAGGTTCAAGAAAAAAAATGCTGAGCACCACTAATCATTAGGAAAAACAAATTAAACCACAATGAGATATCATCTTACATCTGTTAGATTAGATGTTATCAAAAAGACAAGAAACAAGTGTTGGTGAGGAGGCAGAAAAAAGAAAACCCTTGTACAATGTTGGAGGGAATGTAAATCAGTACAACCACTGTATTGGTCTGTTCTCATGCTGCTAATAAAGACATATCCGAGACTGGGTAATTTATAAAGTAAAGGTTTAATGGACTCACAGTTCCACATGGCTGGGGAGGCCTCACAATCATGGCAGAGGTGAAAGAGGAGCAAAGGCACGTCTTACATGGGAGCAGGCAAGAGAGCATGAGCAGGGGAACTGCCCTTTATAAAGCCATCATATCTCTTGAGACTTATTCACTATCATTAGAATGGTGGGAAAAACCCACCCCCACGATTCAATTACCTCCCACCAGGTCCCTCCCACGACAGCTGGGGATTATGAGAGCTACAATTCAAGATGAGATTTGTGTGGGGACACAACCAAACCATATCAACCACTACGAGAAATAGTATGGGGTTTCCTCAAAAAACTAAAATTAGAACTACTATATGATCTAGCAATTCCACTTCTGGGTATATATCCAAAAGAGATCAATATGTCATATCAATATGTCAAAGAAATACCTGCACTCCCATGTTCATTGCAGCACTTTTCACAATAGCCAAGATATAGAATCAACCTAAGGGGCCATCAGTGGATGAATGGATAATGCAAATGTGGTGTATATACATAATGGAATACTATTCAGCCTTAAAAGAGAAAAAAAATCCTGTCATTTGGGACAACATAGATTAATCTGGAAGACATTATGGTAAGTGAAATAAGCCAGTCATGAAAGAAAAATACTGCATGATTGTATTTATATATGGAATTATAAAAAGTCAAACTCATAGAAGTAGAAAGGGCTGGGCACGGTGGCTCACACCTGTAATCCCAGCACTTTGGGAGGTCAAGGCAGGAGGATTCCTTGAGCCCAGGAGTTCAAGACCAGCCTGGGCAACATAGACCTCATCTCTACAAAAAAAAAAAAAAAGTTTTTGATTTGCTTTGATTTGATTGATTGATTTTTTGAGACGGAGTCTCACTTTGTTGCCCAGGCTGAAGTGCAGTGGCGCAACCTCGGCTCACTGCAACCTCTGCCTCCCAGGTTCAAGTGATTTCTTGCCTCAGCCTCCAGAGTAGCTGGGATTACAGGCACGCATCACCATGCCTGGCTAATTTTGTATTTTTAGTAGGGACAAGGTTTCACCATGTGGGCCAGGCTGGTCTTGAACTCCTGACCTCAGGTGATCTGCCCGCCTCGGCCTCCCAAAGTACTGGGATTACAGGCTTGAGCCACTGAGCCCGGCCAAAAAGAGGTTTTTAAAAAGAAGTAGAAAGGAGAATGATGGTTACCAGAGGCTTAGAGGGTGGGGTGGGGAATAAGGGAGAGAGAATGGGAAGTTATTGGTCAAAGGGGTACCAAGTTTTGGTCAGACAGGAGGAAAAAGTTTTGAGATCTTCTGCACAGCAGAGTGACTATAGTCAGTAATATATTGCATACTTCAACATAACTAAGAGTAAATTTTAAATGTCTCACCATAAAAATTGTAAGTGAGGTGGTAGATATGTTAATTGGCTTGATTTAATCATTCCACATGTGTACATAGATCAAAACAGCACACTGTGCCTCAGAAATGTCTACAATTATGATTTATCTATTTGAAACAATAAAATTTTTAAAGAAAAAAGAATACTTGATGGTATAGGAAATTCCAGTTACATACAATATAATCCCAATTGTTTAAAATATATCATTATAAAACTAAGAGCAGATGGTCAGGAACACAGATTCTGGAGTCAGACAGACTTAGGTTTAGTCTCAGGTCTACACTGGTTGCTACTGGAGCTTAGACGAGTCTCTCAGCTCTTCAGTTTCATTACTTCCTCATCTGAAAAACATCATCTCCCTCACAAGTCATTATGGAGATTAATGAATGCATATATAATATACTATCACCATCCCTGGAACATTGCAAGCAGTAAATAAATATTATTATGATGATGATTGTATCAACATTATAAATTCTTCACATACTGACACTGTGGGTAATCAGTTCCCAAGACATTTTAATATAATGACATTCTCTTCATACTAAAACGAACTAGCCATAACATACTCATGTAGAGATTCAAAAGGCACATAAGACTGCAAGAAGGCTATCAAAATTGCAAATGCATGTAACCCTTTTACCTAGCAATCCCACTTCCAAGAACATCTCCTACAGAAATGCCTTCACATATGTGAAATAACATTCACTATTCACTTTTGTGTAAGATTTTTTTAAAGACAAATTTACCTTAAAATGGGATAGTGCTGCTATGCAAAGGTCTCCAAGATATATCATACAGCAAGAAAAGCAAGATGAGTACCAGTATAAGTGAAATGATACCTTCAGTAGAAAATAACTTTACACATCGTGTTTGCATAAGTAAACACCAGAGGAATAACCAAAAATCAACACACGTGGTTACTTCAGGGAGCATGAACTGTTTGGGGGAACAGGAATGGGACTTAGACTCTTCGCTGTAAGCCTTTTTACGTTACCTGACTTTTTAAAACTTTCATTGATGTATGATATACACATAGAAAATCGTATATAAGTGTAGTACTGAATAATTTTTTTTTTTGAGACAGAGTCACACGCTGTCGCCCAGGCTGGAGGGCAACGGAGCAATCTAGGCTCACTGCAACCTCCACCTCCCGGGTTCAAGTGATTCTTGTGCCTCAGCCTCCCAAGTAGCTGGGATTACAGGCGTGCACCGCCACACCCAGCTGATTTTTGTATTTTTAGTAGACAGGGTTTCACCAGGTTGGCCAGGCTGGTCTCAAACTCCTGACCTCAGATGATCCACCAGCCTTGGCCTCCCAAAGTGCTGGGATTACAGGCATGAGCCACCGTGCCCGGCCCACCACTGAATAAATTTTTAGAAACTGAATACAACTGCATGATCAGGCCCGTTAATGAAGCAGAGCACTGCCAACCTCTCCAGAAGTCCCCTTCATGATTCCTTCCAGCCTCTCCACTCCCCCAACAAAAACAATCATTTCTAATATATGTTCTTCTGGGTCTGACTTCTTTTGCCTAAATTGTTTGAAGAGTTCTCCATTTTGTAGTGAGTAAATTCACTTCTGGTGCCAGATATTACACTGTAATTTATTTGTAATTTATTTTCCAGTCTACGGTGATGGGCATTTGAGTTGTTTCTAATGTGGCATTATTACGAATACTAACTCTTTTTCTTTTTTGAAACGAAGTCTTGCTCTGTCGCCCAGGCTGGAATGCAATGGCGCGATCTCAGCTCACTACAACCTCTGCCTTCTAGGTTCAAGCGATTCTCCTGCCTCAGCCTCCTGAGTAGCTGGGATTACAAGGAGTGCACCACCACACTCGGCTAATTTTTGTATTTTTAGTAGAGACAGGGTTTCACCATGTTGGTCAGGCTGGTCTCAAACTCCTGACCTCGTGATCCACCCGCCTCAGCCTCCCAAAGTGCTGGGATTACAGGCGTGGGCCACCACGACTGGCCACGAATACTAATTCTATCAATATTTTTGCTCTTATCTTTTAGTAAGTGTATTTCTCTTGGGTATGAGTTAGTTTATGGTCCTAGCTCATTTGTGGGGCTCAAAGGCACTTTCCTGAGCAACTCTCCAGTAATCCTCCTACCTCTTTATCCTCCAAGGGAATGTAGTGTGGGAAGTTGGTCCCAAGTTGCTGAGGAATTAACAACCGGAACTTGTTGTGTGCTTCAGAGACAACCTTGGCCCCACTGGATTGGAATGGCTGTTTATCAATCAATGCGCAGTAATCCTTGATGTCCCAGATCTAGACATAAAGTGTGGGTTAGTGGCCTCACACCCCTTGACCCAGACCCCAACTCACTCTGCGGGCTCCTCCCAGACCATTCCTCTTCATTTGGTGGGGGTGGGGGGCAGTTCTTACTTACATCTCTGAGATACCTCACCACTAGGGCCAGAAAGGGCCTTAGGGATCTTCTAGGCCATACTCCTGGATTAGCAGGCAGGAAGGGTGTGACCGGCTCAAGGACAGCACACCCCTGCCTCATGTCTTGCCACAAGGCACACAATCAGCTCCTGAGACAGCTGATCCTAGATTAGCCACATGACTTCGGGATGAGGGAGTTGGAGAAGACAGTGATGGAGCACGGAATTCTCCAGGGAAGGCTTCTCAGAGGGGCTTTTTGAACCAAGACCCGCTCCTGTCACTGGGCTTAGCAGAGCAGGAGAGGACTCCTCGCTGCATTGTTTCACAAATGGAACCAGTACCCAGACAGAGTAGGAACTAGGCAAGGGCCATGTGAGCAAAGAGATGGCCGAACACTTAGCTGGCACCAGCCCCTCAATCTTCCTGCCAGTTCTTCCTCACCTTGATGTATCCTTTACAATCCCCCGTGATGAGGATCCAGTCATTTTTATCAGTGGCCATGGCACCCACGACAACATCCCCATTGTCTAGGTCCACAGGGAACTTCCCCAGCAGGCCTCCATTCTCATGGAGGGACCAGGCGTAGATGTAGCCGTCCATGCAGCTGCTCAGCAGGGCAGCCGTGTGCGGCAGGCGAGGCCTGGTCTGCAGGAAGATTATCTGAGGAAGAGAGGAGGGCCCGGCTCAGCAGGGCTGTGAGCCACTGTCACATGGTGCTGAGGGACCTCAGCAAGTCACCACACCCACCTGGTCCCCCAGTTTCCTAGATGCCCAGTGAAAGTGGTGATGGTGGTCCCACCCTTCCTCCCCAGCTGGTGACAAGGAACGTCATACTCGACTATGAACTACTAGAGGGCAGGGATTTTGCGTCTTTTTTGTTCACTACTTTGTCCTTAGTAACCACAATGGTGCCTGACACATAATACATGATCAATAAATGTTTATCAAATGAAGGCTTACAAGTTTGATTCGACATAGGCTCAGACAAGATTTTCACAACCTGTAACTCAACCCAAAGTGATGTGGGGAAGGAACTCATTCCCCTTCATGTATATCTATAGTGAAATATCCATATTTTCCAGCCAATCATCAAGAAAGCATTTTAAACAAATTCTTGTTCAAGACTTGTTTTGATCATGCCCTTTGCTAATTCCTCACTCTGCTCACTTTTCCCTTACATGTCACACCTGTGGCCCATGTGGGGGCCACAGTGGGAAGTTACTCTGCATGGCAAGCATGAGAAGAAAGTTTCTTGCCTGGCACCCAGCAGGAGGCTGAGAGCATAGTGAGGGTGGTAGAGCAAATCAGGCCAGAAGGGGGAAATTGGAAGCTTCCTCACTCCTGCTCAGAACTTTACAGTGTAATAGCTTATGTGTCCCCAAAACATGTCACCAACAACAAAAATCTCGATTATCAAAAATCTCATGGTGGCTCATACCTGTAATCCTAGCACTTTGGGAGGCCGAGGCGGGTGAATCACTTGAGCCCAGGAGATCGAGACAGCCTGTGCAACATAGTGAGACCCTATCTCTATTTAAAGAAAAAAAAAAAAAAACAGAAGGGAAGAGAAGCGGAGGGGAGGGGAGGGGAGGGGAGGGAAGGGAGAAAAAAGAAAAGAAAGAAAAGAAAAGAAAGAAAAAAATCTCAATTATCCTTATTGTTGTAGAAATCCGAAATTAGTTGTTCAACCTGCTTCCCACTGGCCCCGGTGCCAGGGTCAAAAACCAGAAGTCCCTTGTGCCCAAAGCTTGATGGCTTCACCAGTGAATTCTACCAAACATTTAAGGAAGAATGAATGCCAATCCTTCCCAAACTTTTCCAGAATACTGAAGAGGAGATAACACTTCCTAACTCATTCTATGAGGCCAGCATTACCCTGATATCAAAGTCAGACAAAGACATTATAAGAAAAAAAAAAAGACTACAGAGAAATATCCCTTATGAACACTGATATTTAAAAATTATCAAAAAAATTAGCAAACTGCATTCAGTAGCATATTAAAAGGATTATATACCATGACCAAGTGACTTTTATTCCTGGAATGCAAGGATGATTCAACATATAAAAATCAATAAATATACCACCTTCACAAAAAAAGAAAAAAACCCACACGATCATCTTAATTGATGCAGAAAACGATTTGACAAAATTAAAAAAAAAAAATAGGAATAGAAGGACATTACCTAAACATAATAAAAGCCATATATGAAAAACCCACAATGAATATCACACTCAATAGTAAAAGACTGAAAGCTTTTCCTCTGGAATTAGGAACAAGGCAAGAATGTCCACTTTTGCCACTTTTATTCAACAGAGTACTGGAAGTTCTGCCAGAGGGATTAGGCAAAAAAAGAAATAAAAGGTATCCAAACTGGAAAGAAAGAAGTAAAATTATAAGTTTGCAGATGATATTATCTTATATGTAGAAAACGCTAAAGCTCCCACACCAAAAAAAAGGGGCTAACAAATGAATTCAGCAAAATGGCAGGATACAAAGTCAACACATAAAAATCAGTCGCATTGGCTGGGTGCGGTGGCTCATGCCTGTAATCCCAGCACTTTGGGAGGCTGAGGCAGGTGGATCATGAGGTCAAGAGTTCGAGACCAGCCTGGTCAACATGGTGAAAGCCCGTCTCTACTAAAAAATACAAATATTAGCCAGGTGTGGTGGCATGCACCTGTAATCCCAGCTACCCATGAGGCTGAGGCAGGAAAATCACTTGAACCTGGGAGGCAGAGGGTGCAGTGAGCCGAGATCGTGCCATTGTACTCCAGCCTGGGCGACAGAGCAAGACTCTGTCTCAAAAAAAAAAAAATAAAAAATCAGTTGCATTTCTATACACTAACGTTGAACAATCTGAAAAGGAAATTACAAAAATAATTCCATTGACAATAGTGTCAAAAAAAGAGTAAAATACTTGGGAATTAATCAAAGAGGACATTATGCTAAGTGACATAAGCCAGTTACCAAAAGACAAACATATGATTCCACTTGCATGAGGTAGAATAGTCAAAATCATAAAGACAGAAAGTAGAATGGGGGTTTCCAGGGTTTGGAGGGAGAGGGGAGTGGGAGTTATTTTTTAATGGGTATAGTTTCAATTTAACAAGATGAATGGATAGTGGTGATGGCTGCACATTATGAATATATTTACTACCACTGAACCATACACTTAAAAATGGTTTCAATGGTAAATTTTATGTTATGTGTATTTCACTACAAGAAAAATTTTTTGAAAAAAAGAAAAAACAGGAATCCCTGAACCAAAGACAAAGGGCAAGCATTTCCCCCACTTTATGCAAGTGCTCACTGTACAAAATGTGGGCAGCATAGACATATGAAAGGAAATTAAAATCACCTACAAAATCCCAGTACCCAGAAATAATCACCATTAAGACTTTAATGTATTTTGGCCAGGCATGGTGGCTCTCGCCTCTAATCCCAGCATTTTGGGAAGCCAAGGCGGGTGGATCACCTGAGGTCAGGAGTTCAAGACCAGCCTGACCAACATGGTGAAACCCTGTCTCCACTAAAAATACAAAAATCAGCTGGGCATGGTGGCGGGCACCTTTAATCCCAGCTACTCGGGAGGCTGAGGCAGAAGAATTGCTGGTACTTGGGAGGCGGAGGTTGCAGTGAACCAAGATCACGTCACTGCACTCCAGCCTGGGAGACAGAGTGAGACTCTGTCTCAAAAAAATTTTAAATTAAATAAATAAATAAATAAACAAATCATGGTGAATCCAAAGAAATACACTGCAGCCAGTGGCAGATTTACTCGTGAAGTTCATGAAGCTCAAGGCTAAGTTCAAGTTTAAGTTCAAGGTTCTAGGAAAGAACTGGTAAGTTCTGGTGACTTTTGTAATTGTCAGATTTATAAGTTTTGAAATTTGTTGACACTTTTTTCTCATTCTAAATAAATATTCACTTTTGTACCTAATTTTTTATAATTTTGTGCATTTTTCTTGCAAAAGTTTTAGGCTCCAAAAAACCTAGATAGGTCCCTATATAAAGCTATTAAAAAGAATGAAGTGGTATACCCAAAGGACTATAAATCATGCTGCTATAAAGACACATGCACACGTATGTTTATTGCGGCATTATTCACAATAGCAAAGACTTGGAACCAACCCAAATGTCCAACAATGATAGACTGGATTAAGAAAATGTGGCACATATACACCATGGAATACTATGCAGCCATAAAAAATGATGAGTTCATGTCCTTTGTAGGGACATGGATGAAATTGGAAATCATCATTCTCAGTAAACTATCGCAAGAACAAAAAACCAAACACCGCATATTCTCACTCATAGGTGGGAATTGAACAATGAGAACACATGGACACAGGAAGGGGAACATCACACTCTGGGGACTGTTGTGGGGTCGGGGGAGGGGGGAGGGATAGCATTGGGAGATATACCTAATGCTAAATGACGAGTTAGTGGGTGCAGCGCACCAGCATGGCACATGTATACATATGTAACTAACCTGCACATTGTGCACATGTACCCTAAAACTTAAAGTATAATAAAAAAAAAAAGAATGAAGTGGATAGATTATTATGTGCTGAGAGGAAAAACTGTCCACCACAAATTGCAAGGTTTGAAAAAAAAAAAAAAGCAAACAGCTAAATAAACAATAGTTTCAAACGTTCTCAGTTTTGTTTGAAAAATCAAAACCATAAAAAAAAATTTAACGTGCACACAACTTTCACAGTAGTCATTAACTGTCATTTTAAAGGATGTGCTTTAAATTTTGTCATAAGCACATTCCAATGATTAAGTATTTTTCTAAAATGTGGTTCCTCATAACTGCACAGGATTCACCAAAGTGATGCACCACAAAGTTCTCCCATGTCTGAACTGGGGAAAAGCTGAGGCATCCTTCCCAGCCATTCCTTTGCCAGCCCTGGGACGGTGAGAGCAGGTAGGGTGAAGGTGAATGAGCGCCCAGGACTTCAGCAGGACTGGAGAGGGGCGGCCTGCTGAGAGCACAGGGTCAACTGCGTAGCCAGCATCCGGTGCTCACAGTGAGAAAAGCACAGTCAGAATGGTGGCCCTAGGCAGGACAGAGCCGTGTGGCTGCGAGGGACAGGTAACCAACACTATTCCTTTTGCACTCTGCATCCAGCCCCATCCAATACATTGCCCTGCTCATTTTGGAAAGAGCTGCTGGACTGAAGGTGAGCATTTCAGTCTCACTCAGCCCAGGAATCCCAGATAGTATCTCAACCACAGCGGGTTAATGGCCTCCCTGTGGGTCCCTTCAGAAGGAGCCATGGCAAGCTACTCACGGGCTAAACTTCATGTAACTTGGAGCAATTTTCTACTGCGTGCCATCTGGTCCTTCCCTACTGGGGAGATGGCCAGGGGCAAGTGCTTCATCTAAAGACTGTCAGGGGCTGGGCGCCGTGGCTCACGCCTGTAATCCCAACACTTTGGGAGGCTGAGGCAGGAGGATCACTTGAGGCCAGGAGTTCGAGACAAGCCTGGACAACATGGCAAAACCCCGTCTCCACTAAAAACCCAAAATTAGCTAGGCGTGGTGGCTTACGCCTGTAATGCCAGCACTTTGGAAAGCTGAGGCAAGAGGATCACTTAAGGTCAGGAGTTCAAGACCAGCCTGGACAACATGGTGAAACCCTGTCTCCATTAAAAACACAAAATTAGCCAGGTGTGGTGGCACACACCTGTAATCCCAGCTACTCAGGAGGTTGAGGCACGAGAATCACTTGAACCCAGGAGACAGAGGTGGCAGTGAGCTGAGATCACGCCACTGCACTCCAGCCTGGACAACAGAGTGAGACTCCATCTCAAAAATAAATAAATAAGTAAAATTAAAAATAAAGACTGTCAGGGACACAGCTGGGCCTGGATCTGCATCCTGGACTCCTTCCTAGTGCTCTTTCTGCCATGCCTCACAGTCTTCTGGGATGGCCAGACAGAAATAATGGGAAGGAAGACCCAACAGGTAAGACCCCCACCCACTCCCTGTCTGGTGTCCTTACCCCAGCCCACCCAAGCCTCTCTTCCACTAAGGAAAGGCTGAGATCAGAGATGACCCAAGCACTCTGGACCCTCTCCAGGGCACCACCCTAAAATGCTTCACTGTGCCCACAAGTGCCCCAGAGAGAAGGGACCCTGCTCCTCAAGGAGTGGTGCGGGTGGGAGACAGTACATCTTGAAGCCAGGGGTGAGGGTCAGCATCCAGAGGGGACACACACACACACACAGCCCTGCCAGCCACAGTGCCTCAAATCTCACCAATAGACATTCAATCTTTTGCATGCAATTCTGTGGCCAAAAATTCAATCAAGATTCATGATACAAATCCTTATTACACACAGATCACCAGGCCACGTAAAAAGCCCAAGGAATTCCCAACAGTGGCAGCACAAAAACTTAAAAGAACTTGAACTTTGAAAACAAATAGACCTAGAATCAGGCCCTGGCTCTGCCATTTTCTGGCCATAAGAATCTTGGGCAAGTCACTTCACCTCATTGGGCCTGTTTCTTCAGCCATAAAATGGGAATAATAATAATAGTACATTCTTTTCAGATGTATTAAACATTCTTTTCACATACATTCTTTTCAGATGTATTAAATAAATAAAAATCCCTCATAAATAAATAATAATAGTACATACTTCCCAGGGCTGTTTGATGGACAAAATAAAAACAACACATGTAGCTGGGCATGGTGGCTTATGCCTGTAATCCCAGCACTTTGGGAGGCCAAGGCAGGAGGATCGCTTGAGCCCAGAAGGTCAAGACTAGCCTGGGCAACATAAGGAGACTCCATCTCTATAAATATATATTTTTTTAATGAGCCAGGCACAGTAGCACACACCTGTGGTCCCAGCTATTAATACTCAGAAGGCTGAGGTGGGAGAATCGCTTGAGCCTGGGAAGTGGAGGCTACAATGAGCTGTGATTGTGCCACTGCACTCCAGCCTGGACAAGAGAGCTGAGATTCTGTCTCAAAAAACAAAAAATAACACATGTAAACCATTAAGTTCATTGTCTGGCAGATATTGAGAGCTCAATAATTACTAGCTACCACTGAAACATAATGCAAGATAGCAAAAGCTTTCCAGGAGTATGTTTCTAATCCTAGAGTTTTATATCTGGAAATAGACAAGAGATCCAAAATTTATGTACAAGGGTATTCATTGCAATGCTTTCTATAGAGGCAAAACCCAGCGGCAGCAGATAGCTATACAGACTCTGTGCAGTGTACCCAGGACATGATGTGACTAGTAAAAGGAATGCCATGGCTCCGTAAACACCGTCATGAAGAGATGCCCGTGAGGAGTCAAGTGAAAAACAGCAAGTCCCGGAATAATACATGCAATATGATATTATCCAGTGAAAAATATCTAGATTTATATATATACATTCATACATGTATGTACTTGTATATGCACAAAAAAATTCTAGAAGGCTACAACACATGTCTTAACGTAATTACCTCTGGAGGCTGAGGAGGGAGACAGCCATTCTTTTACTTTATACACTCGTATAAAGTTTCATTTTTTTTCATAGGTGGTGGTGGTGGTGTTGTTTTGGAGGCGAATCTCACTGTGTCACCCAGGCTGGAGTGCAGTGGCACGATCTCAGCTCACTGCAACCTCCGCCTCCCGGGTTCAATCAATTCTCCTGCCTCTGCCTCCCGACTAGCTGGGACTACAGGAGTATGCTGCCACCCCTGGCTAATTTTTTGTATTTTAGTAGAGACGGGGTTTCACCGTGTTGCCCAGGCTGGTTTCGAACTCCTGAGCTCAGGCAATCTGCCCACCTCAGCCTCCCAAAGTGCTAGGATTACAGGTGTGAGCCATCGCACTGGGCCAGGTTTGTTTGTTTGTTTAAGAGACAAGGTCTAGCTGTGTTGCCCAGGCTGGAGTGCAGTGGCACAATCACAGCTCACTGCATCCTTGACCTCCCAGACTCAAGTGATTCTCCCAACTCAGCCTCCCAAGGAGCTGGGTGCACCGTGCACACTATCAAACCTGGCTAATTTTTTTAATTTTTTGTAGAGATGAGGTCTCATCATGTTGCCCAAGCTGGTCTAGAACTCCTGGGCTCAAGCAGTCCTCCCACTTTGGCCTCCTAAAGGACTGGGATTACAGATGTGAGCCACTGCTCTTGGCCTGAATTTTTTTAGTTTTAATTAAGGACATGTATCACTTTCTAATTAGAGGAAGAAAGTATCAGAGAGAGATACAGAGAGAGAGAGAGAAGTACTCATTCTCGAACATTCCATGCCAGCTCTCCCATGTGGGCCCTTGCACCTACCTTCTCTGCCTGCATCACCCTCCTTCCAAATAACTGCAGGCCATGTTTCCTCGCTTCCTTCAGGCTCTATGCAGATGCCACCTCCTCTGTGAAGCCCTCCCTGACCAGCCTATTCATAAAACAGCAATGCCATCTCCTCCCATGTCTGTTCTCCCTGCCATCTTCCCGGCTTTCTTGTCCTCCATTGTCCTCACTCACTCTGTGACATGCCCTTTATTTTATTTGCTGGTTAATTGTCTATCTTGCCCCAACTAGAATGACAGCTCCAGAGGTCAGGGGCTTGATATCTTTCATTCACTGCTCCTTCCCCAGCGGCTGGCATGTAGCGAATGCCTGTGTCCTGACAGCACTAGGTCACTAGCCCAAAAGATCAAGCTTTGAGCCATCTACCTTGACTTCACAGATTTAAAGAGATGGGATCTGTTGGCAATTCTGTTTCCAAGAATCCGTCCTCTCAATATACTCACACTAGTGCCCAGAAATGTACGTGCAAGAATGTTCAATGCAGTGCTGCTCCTAAAAGCTAAAAACTGGAACTAACCCACAGACCTATTCATAGAGGACCAGCTTCACAGTTCCTGATGCATCCAAGTTATGCAGCAGTGGGCAGTTGTTAAAAAGAATAAGATGGCCAGGTGTGGTGGCTAATGCCTGTAATCCCAGCACTTTGGGAAGCCGAGGCCAGTGGATCACCTGAGGTCAGGAGTTCAAGACCAGCCTGGCCAACATGGTGAAACCCCGACTCTACTAGAAATAAAAAAGCAGCTGGGCATGGTGGCACATGCTTATGGTCCCAGCTACTCTGGAGGCTGAGGCAGGAGAATCACTTGAACTCAGGACGCAGAGGTGCAGTGAGCTGATATCGCAACACTGCACGCCAGCCTGGGTGACAGAGCAAGACTCCGTCTCAAAAAAAAAAAAAAAAAGAATAAGGTAACAAAAGAATAAGATGAATCTAAATCCCTCTCATGAAAGTATATCCATGCTATAGACTTACAGAAAAAAGCATATGGCAGGACATAGCTATCATTTTATATTACTAGTCAAAAAAAAAAAAGTACAAGGCTAAAACCAACCTGTTAGCAGCGAATGCTGCTGTTGAGAGTGGGATGGGATAGGGTGAGTGAGATATAGGGGACTTTTATTTTTATTTTTTCATTTACATACACTTCCTTTTTTATTATAAACTAGTATTATTACTTTTAAAAGTTATCTAAGGTATTTTTTTAAAGAGAAGGAAGAGGCTGGGTATAATGGTTCACATCTGTAATCCCAACACTTTGGGAGGCTGAGCCAGGAGGATCACTTGAGCCCAGGAGTTCGAGACCAGCATGGGCAGCATAGTGAGACCCCATCTCTACAAAAACACACACACACACACACACACACACACACAAAATAGCTGGGCATAATGGAGCATGCCTATAGCCCCAGCTACTCACAAGGCTGAGGTGGGAGGGTCCCTTCAGCCCAGGAGTTGAGGCTGTAATGAGCTGTGATCACACCACTGTACTCTAGCCTGGGTGACAGTGAGACCCTGTCTCAAGAAAAAAAAAGGAGAGAGAAATAATCAGAACCTGGAGGAGAGTGTGCAGCCACTCCTGCTCTCCCTCCCAACACTGCAAAACCCAGCTCTCAGGGCACTGCCCTCTTGTTCTCAAGTCCTGGTCCCTGGACCTGGGTGATGGGGCAGGCCAGCCACACCCTAACTCAACTATGATTTGTATTTTCAGGACGGGGAGTCAGTATCACAGTGAGGGGTGTCCAGGGTCAGAAAGGGGAAGGTACAGTAGGAAGAACAAAGATGAACCCATACCCAACTCGTGTTCGGTATAAAACACCCTTCCAGTTAACAGGAGGGCATTCTAACTAGAGTCTGGAGATGCCCCTTCTCCTACCTCCCTACCTCCCCTCCCAGAGGGGACACTGTTACCCCCAATCCAGAGGGGACACTGCTCACTTCCCTAGGCACCCCAACTCCACCTCCTTGGGAGCTGATATGGTTTGGCTGTGTCCCCACTCAAATCTCAACTTGAATGGTATCTCCCAGAATTCCCCCGTGTTGTGGGAGGGACCAAGAGGGAGGTAACTGAATCATGGGGGCTGGTCCTTCCCATGCCATTCTCATGATAGTGAACAAGTCTCAGCGAGATCTGATGGGTTTATCAGGGGTTTCCGCTTTTGCTGCTTCTCATTTTCTCTTGCTGCTGCCATGTAAGAAGCACCTTTAGCCTCCCGCCATGATTGTGAGGTCTTCCCCAGCCATATGGAACTATAAGTCCAGTTAAACCTCTTTTTCTTCTCAGTCTCGGATATGCCTTTATCAGCTGCATGAAAACGAATTAATACAGGAGCTCTCCCCAGACACCGCAGCCCTGACTCCAGTATCCTGAGCGTCTCCATCCTCTCCAAGATGCCTTCCGGGCACTGGGGAGAATCAGGCCGGGCCCCGAGCCCAGGCCCCCGAGCCCCATCCTGACCACCCAATCCTGACCGCCCACTCCCCAGCTCATATCCCTCTCCCTGGCTGATCACGGCCAACCTTCTCCACCGAGGCACTGGATTGAACCAACATATTCTTCTGCCATTCTCCTTTTCTCGTTTCATCCTCTTTGTAAATGGACTGTTTGCTGTGGATCTTGCTTGACTGCCTGGATGTGCCAGAAGCACTGGAAGGTTTCTGGAAAGAAAGATGGGCACCCAAGTCACCATGAGGGTGTTTCCCTTCCCCATAGGGGACCAGAGACCAGAGGAAGATGATAAAAGAGCGGCACTCCCAAGCCCCCGCAGTAGGTACACTGGCCTGGGAAAAGCAGCGCTCAGTGGATCCCGGAAACCTCCACTTTAAGCTCCCAGCAATTTTGCTAGAGCAAAATTGGGGCAGAGACTTGAGTTTGCCTCTGGGGAAGATGCTTCCTTTGTCCTGGAAGAGACCATCCTGGTTAAAAATGAGGATAAAGGTCGGTCGTGGTGGTTCACACCTGTAATTCCAGCACTTTGGGAGGCTGAGGCGGGCAGATAATTTCAGGCCAGGAGTCTGAGACCAGCCTGGCCAACATGGTGAAACCCCGTCTCCAATAAAAATACAAAAAATTTAGCCAGGCATAGTTGTGCACACCTGTAATCCCAGCTACTAGGGAAGCTGAGGCAGGAGAATTGCTTGAACCCAGGAGACAGAGGTTGCACTGAGCGAAGACCACGCCACTGCACTCTAGCCTGGGTGACAGAGTGAGACTCCATCTCAAAAAATAAAAATAAAAATAAGGATAGAGGGGCAAATATACCTATGCACCCATTTCCCTAGAAGATTTGAAAACAGTGGTGTAACCTCTGATAACTCAAAGATGGTATGAATGTCTTATGGTCAAGTGTACACGTCTTACAGCAAAATTATATCCTAGCAGACCATGTTGGATTTAGGTCTAGACTGCCCTATGCCTAGCAATTATTGTGTGTTTGGGGACGGTGGTGTTTCTCACTCAAGCCTCAGCTCCCAGGAATGGAAATCAGATTTTGACTACGAGAACAATCTCACTGGTTCCTCCTGCCCCATACAAGAGATTATTGCACTGATTGTTGGAATACTGTACTCACTGCTGAAAGTTCAAAGGCAAGCCATCCCCTGCAAGTAGGGAAACAGTAACTCCTCCTGCTCTTTCTCCCTACTCCCCGCAAAATAGAACTGTCAGCCATTCTTGGAAGGGCTAGTCCTGGGGCAGAGATGAGGCTCAGAGGAGGAGGAAAGTGGTTTGTCTGTGTCTGGGTCTCAGACTCTTACAGCCTGGTCTCCAAGCAGGTGAGACCCCATGGCTCCCTCTGCACCTGGGCCAAGGTCAGGTGACTTGCCCTTGAGGACTGAGAATGCAGCCCAGGATCTAACATCCAATTTTAGGTTTTCAGGGTTGTGTTCTCTTTGGGTCCTGCCTTTCAGCTTTCAGACTTTTAGGGCTGGTATTAGCCATGCCCTGGAAAGGGACCTAGCCCCAGCTCCAGGATAGATACATTGGGACTAAAACCAGAGGGTGCCCTGCCCAGGCCCACAATGCTCAAAACAAGTGAGTTGAGGGACCTAAAGGCACTTTGGAAAAAGTACATCCCAATAAGAAAACACACACACAGACGGTGTGTGAACGCCGGCGGCTAGAGAGTGAGGGTAGCCTTCTGGTTGGGCTCTCGCTCCCACCTGCTGGGGCACAGGCCTGTCTGGCTCCTTGTCTCTCGGGCACCGCATCACTGGGGGAGCCGACACCAGGCTCCGCCTCAGGTTGGTATTGGCCACAGACTCGGGGCTGAGACTGGAGAGCTTCCTGGAGGTCTTGTATGTCCACTTCTCCCGCTCCACATAGGGTCTGCTGGGCCTGTGGCTCTCAGCCAGGCAGTTGTTCACATCTTGCACCTGTACCAAGAAGAAAGCAGCCCCTAAGGCACTGCAATGTCGTAGAGGTAAATTCAGGACTGCCCCAGATCAATGCCAACACCACAGGGCCCTCCAGCCCCCCAGGGCTTGCTTCCCAGAAACCTAGCCCCCTTAAAGGCATCAGACCAGAGCTTCTAACCCCATTCCTGGCCAGCTGCAATGCCCTGAGTACCCACAGGCAGGACACTGCTCCCATGAGGAACTCAAGTCTTCTCATCTGTAAAATGGACAGTGGTTTCCAAATATTTTTGAGGCTACCTTTAATCTCAATGGAAGCTCCAAAGCATAAAACAGATAAAAAGCTGAGCTATTCTGGGGGAAACCCCACCTACCAGAGCCCCCCTGCAGTAGCTTCCAAGCATCTCTCTCCAGTACATTTGGAAAACCCCTGGATGAGGCGGCCCCTAAGGTCCCTTCCTGCTTTGATCTGCTGAGATATGGGAATTTGGAGACTGTATGGGTTTCCTAAGTCCCTGCTGGGGAGCCCACAGTGGTAATGTGTAGTAGCAATGGGAAAGGAGCGAGTAATCTACTAAAGATGGAGGACCAGCACTGCCAGCCTCTGAAGTCAGACTGCCTGGGTTTGGGTCTACTCCTTCTTGGCTGTGTGACCTTAGGCAAGGTGCTTCATCTCCGTGTGCCTCCATTTTCTCATCTGTCCAATGAGGATAATTACAGAAACTACCACCTACCTAACCAAGCTCCCCACCCCATCCAGAACAAGTCGCCATCATCCCTCCTGCTTCCCAGGGTGCTCCCCACCCTCCCTGCCCCACAGGATTCTGGTTCACAGCTGAGAGAAGGGTGGGAGGAGAGTGTGCTCCTGTTAACATACCCTCTTGGGCTGCAAGGGCGAGGGGCTCCTAGAGGCATTGAAGTTGAAGATGGGCTTGAGTGTGCCGGTGTTCCAGAAGAGGATGTCCCCACTGTAGGAGGAGGTCCCAAGGAACTGGTTCCGGTACTTGGCCATGCTCAGGATGTCCTCCGTGTGGTAGGTCTGCCAGTGGTAGCACAAGAGCACTGGCTTGGTCTTGTGGAACCTGTGCATATGGCCAGAGGCAGGAGGGCTGAGAGCTCAGCCTGTAATGCTCCATCCATTGGGGAAGCACTGGAGCCTTGAGGATTCTGGGAGCCGACTCAGAGGAGGATACTCTCAGGTGTCGGAGCTGGGCTGAAGCCATGTCCCATTGACCTCATTTACTAAGCGCTTACTACATGCTTTCTACAAAGGCCCTGTTGTAGGGGCTTTACATAAACTAATCTTACAGATAGTCAATGTGTAATACACCCCCAGTCAGACACCTAGGTAAGGATTAAGGTTTAAAGGGGGGGGGACATTGTGGCCTTACAGAGGTCCCTAAAAAGAAAGGGACCTTGAACATAGTGTGCCTTCTGCCTGGAATGCTCATCCTACCCTAAAGACTTCACAGAGACCCTTCCTTCTCACGCTTCAGATTGCACTCCACCCACAACACCCTCACTGAGCCTTTCCTGACCACCGCCCCCAAGAAGAAATCAGGTTTCCACCCATTCAACCCCCATAGAAACTCCTACTTTTTTTTCACAGCACTGAATATACTTTATAATTATAAATGAAAGTATTAATATTTGATTAGTACCTGCCTTCTTGATACAAACTGAATATTCATATTCTCCAAAAATTTATGTTAAAACCTAATCCTCAATGTGAGAGTATCTGAAGGTGTGGCCTTTGGAAGGTTATTAGGACAGAAGGGCAAAACCCTCATAAATGGAATCAGTGCCTTTATAAAAGAGGTCCTAGGCTAGGCATGGTGGCTCATGCCTATAATCCCAGCACTTTGAGGGGCCAAGGAAGGAAAATCGTTTGAGGCCAGGAGTTCAAGACCAGCTTGGGCAACAGAGCAAGACCACATCTCTACAAAAAAAAATTTTAATTAGCCAGGCATAGTGACACACACTTGTAGTCCTAGCTATTCAGGAGGCTGAGGCAGGAGGATCACTTGAGCCCAGGAGTTCAAGGCTGCAGTGAGCTGTAATTATGCCACTGCACTCCAGCCTAGGCAATAGAGCAAGATCCTGTCTCTTAAAAAAACTAAAACAAAAATAAGAGGCCCAGAGAGATCCCTTGTCCTCTCTACCATGTGAGAAAATGGCCATCTATGAACCAGGAAGTGGCCCTCACCAGTCACTGAATTTGCCAGTGCTTTAATCTAAGAACTTCCTCCAGAACTATAAGAAATAATTTTCTGTTGTTATAAGCCACCTACTCTATGGTATTCTGTTATAACAGCCTGAGTGAACAAAGACAGAAACTGGTACCAGGAGTGGGGTGTTATTGTAACAAATACCTAAAAATGTGGGAAGTGGCTTTAGAACTAGGTAACAGCAGCTGGGCAGGGTGGCTCATGCCTGTAATCCCAGCACTTTGGGAACTGAGACAGGTGGATCACTTGAGGCCAGGAGTTCAAGACCAGCCTGGCCAACATGATGAAACCCTGTCTCTACTAAAAATACAAAAAATTAGCCAGGTGTGGTGGCACACACTTATAATCCCAGCTACCCGGGAAGCAGAAGCATGAGAATCACTTGAACCCGGGACGCGGAGGCTGCAGTGAGCCAAGACTGCACCACTGCACTCCAGCCTGGGCCATAAAACAAGACTCTGTCTTAAAAAAAAAAAAAAAAAGTAGGTAATAGGTAGAGGATGGATGGTCCATGCTAGAAAAAGCTTGCATTGCTATGCATAGACCATTAAGGGTGATTCCAGTGAGGGCCTAGAAAGAAAAGAGGACAGATGCAGAGAAAGCCTCAATATTCTTAGAGAATACCTAAGTAATCCTGAACAGAATTTTGGTAGAAATATGGATGTTAAAGACCATTCTGGTGAAGTCTCTGGTGAAGAAATGAGAAACATGTTATCGGAAACTAGAGGAAAGGTCATACTTGTTACAAAATGGCAAAGAACTTGCTGAATTATATTTGTGTTCTAGTGTTTTGAGACAGGTAGAACTTGCAAGATAAGAAATTGGATATTTGACTGAGCAAATTTCTATGTAACATATTGAAGGAGTTCCTGGTTTCTCCTGACAACTTATAATAAAATGCAACAAGAGACAAATGGTTTAAAGACCAAACTGTTAATCAAAAAGGAAGCAGAATCCAGGAGCAGTGGTACATGCCTGTAACCCAGTACTTTGGGAGGCCAAGACAGGAGGATTGCTTGAAACCAAGAGTTTAAGACCAGCCTGGGCAACATAGCAAGACCCCATCTCTATAAAAAAATTTTTTTTTTAATTAGCAAGGCATGGTGGCATGTGCCTGTAGTTCTAGCTACTCTGGAGGCTGGGGTGGGAGGATCTCTTGAGCCTAGGAGCTGAGGCTGCAGTGAGCGATAATCGCATGACTACAGTCCAGCCTGGGTGACAGAGTGAGATCCCATGTCTTAAAGAAAAAAAAAATGGAAGCAGAACTTAAAAGATTCATCCTATCCATATAGAAAGGAATGAGAAAGGCTGTTCAGGAAAGAACATTGATATGGTTTGGCTCTGTGTCCCCACCCAAACCTCATCTTGAATTGTAATCCCCATATGTTGAGGGAGGGACCTGGTAGGAGGTGAGTGGATCATGGGGGCAGTTTCCCTCATGCTGTTCTCGTGATAGTGAGTGAGTTCTCACAAGACCTGATGATTTAAAAGTGGCAGTTTCCCTTGCACTCTCTCTCCTGCCACCATGTAAGATGTGCCTTGCTTCCCCTTCACCTTTAACTATGATTGTAAGTTTCCTGAGGCCCCCTCCTAGCCATGCACAACTGTGAGTCAATTAAACCCTTTTTTGTCATAAATTATCCAGTCTCAGGCATTCTTTATAGCAGTGTGAAAACAAACTAATACAATCATTAAAGACATAGCCAAGCACTGTTTGATGAGATTAGTATGGATCAGCCAACCCAACAGAAGCCAGTGCTGTTCTCCAAGACAATGAAAGAATGACCCTGAAGGCAACTCAGAGATCATCAGGACTGTCCCTCCCATCACCAGCCCAGAGTACAAGGGCTCTGGGGGCAGAATGGTTTCAAGGGAATGGCCACCAGTGCCCATGGGACCACAGCACTCTACCATCATCGCTTAACTTCACAGGCACCATTCTTCATGCTCCTTGACCACTCTAGGTGTGGCTCCTGTGGACCATGGTACAGCATGGACTGCACTCAGCAGAGCTGGGAGGACATGGCTGCCTCCACCACCTAGATTTCAAAGGACAGGGTCTCCCAGCAGAGCCACAGCCTTGGAATTGCAGCCCCACAGGGCCAGGGGGCTCATGCAGGGAAGTGCCACAGGGGCAGGGCCCAGGCATAGAGCCACCATGGGGGCAAGGCTCCCCAAATCTGTAGGTGTAGGGCTGCCCAGAGTCTTAGGGTTCCAGTCACTTGCCAGGCAAAGCTGCAGGGGCAGAATTGCCACCCCAGCAGGCCTGAAGGGCAGGGCAGCAAGCCAAAGAGGATTATCTTTGAGATTTAAGGTCTACTAGCATTTGCCCTGATGGATTTTTGACTTGCTCAGGACCTGTCCCTCCTTTCTTCTTTCCTATCTCTCCCTTGTGTCTATCCTATGCCTGCCCCACCATTCTATTTTGGAAGTACATAACGTGTTAGCATCACAGGTTCACAGCTAGAGGGGCATTTGCTTCAGAATGAATTGTAGCTTGAGACTCACCCATATTTTATTTAGGTGATATTTAGATGATATTTTGGACTTAGACATTAAAGTTGATACTGGAACAAGTTAAGACTTTTGGGCTATTGGGATGAAATGAATATATTTTGCATGAGAGAAGGACATGAATTTTGGGAAGTCAGGGACGGAATGCCATAGACTGAATTTTGCTCCCAAAATTCATATATTGAAACGTAATCCCTAAGGCGAGGAAATTTGGAGGTGGGGCCTTGGGAGGCGATGAGGTCACAAAAATGGAGCCCTCATGAATGGGATTAGTGCCCTTATAAAGGAGGCCCCAGAGAGATTTCTTAACCCTTCCACCATGTAAGTTTACAGTAAGAAGACAGCTGTCTATGAATCAGGAAGTAGGCCCTCACCAGGCACCAAATCTGCTGGCACCTTGTCTGGAACTTCCCCCATCTCCAGAACTCTGATAAATAAATTTATGTTGTTTATAAGCAACTCAGTCTATGATATTCTGTTACAGCAGCCCGAATGGACTAAGACATTCCCCCACTGAAATAGATACTCCAGGAGGATGAAGACTCCAATATTCTTGTTTATACCCATCCCAGGCACCTAGCAAAAGGCCAAGAATATATTAGCCTCAATGAATAATGAATAAATGGATGGATGAGCAGATGAAGCAATAGTCATTAACCACCACTAACTTCCTGCATGGTGTTCCAACCACCAGGAAAGCCAGGAATGGAGGAACCCATCTG
Organism: Homo sapiens; assembly: GCF_000001405.40. Taxonomy (NCBI): domain Eukaryota; kingdom Metazoa; phylum Chordata; class Mammalia; order Primates; family Hominidae; genus Homo; species Homo sapiens. Next base: position 32,912,918 of record NC_000020.11, on the reverse strand, counting down.
GAGAGAGAACACGCAGCTACTGGAACCTACTCACCATACATGCTTTCTACTCACAGGAAATGAGTGATTCTCTTACTCCATCCTGTCACATAGAACACTTTGTTCATATGGATAATCCCACTAATCTGTTGAAGATGAAAGAAAACAGAACTAGAAAACTTATCAGAGAAAATGGCTCTGGGCCCTAAATGTCTTCCTAAAGGTGCCAAGCAAGAAGTCAAATCTCTGGATGACGAAAATCACCTACAGGTGATACCACCATGTATTTGTCATCATGTTCTCACATCCTATTCCCTCATTTGATGGACTTAGGGGAGTGAGATAGGGTAGGCATCCATGTCCATTTTACAGAGAGGATAGCTGGGAAATGGGCAAGTGACCTGGCTAAGGTCAAGTCACTACTGAGTGATAGGATCTGGAGCAGTACTCAACCCCTGGCATCTTGGCTAAGTACACTTTCTTTCTTCTTCTTCTTTTTTTTTTTTTTTGACAGAGTTTCACTCTTGCTGCCCAGGCTGGAGTGCGATGGCGGGATCTCGGCTCACTGCAGCCTCCACCTCCCGGCTTGTCCTGCCTCAGCTTCCCGAGTAGCTGGGATTACAGGCAGCCACCACCACGCCTGGCTAATTTTTTTTGTATTTTTGGCAGAGACGGGAGTTTCACCATATTAGCCAGGCTGGTCTCGAACTCCTGGCCTCAGGTGATCCCCCTGCCTCGACCTCCCAAAGTGCTGAGATTACAGGCGTGAGCCACTGCCTGGCCAGCTAAGTACACTTTCTGAGTTGGTTAAAGGACTGTGTCACAGAAGTTAGGGTGGAACTGCTGGCTTTGCCCTATGCCACTCCCATGGACTGGCCCTATAATACCATCAGGCATTTCCCAAATAGGGGTGACCATGGGTGGCTGTGAATTAACTGATCCCACTGCTAGAAATGCAATCCAAAGCTCCAGTATGTGGAATGAGAAGTGCTAGCAAATTTAAAGAGCAACAGTAGCTAACCTTAGTGGAAACCCATTAGTCCAGGCACTGTTACCTGTCTTCATTTCATGCATGAGGACACAGAGGCTCAGGGAGGTTTGAAGCCAGGCCACCTGACTATGATGAACACCCTTTCAGAGAGGTACAAAAAATAGTGCATCCCAGGGTCAAAGGAGCTGTGCTTTGCTTCCCAAGAGGCCGTCCCTGGCTGTAATTGACAAGCAAGACTGACCTCCAGCTGTTCCGGACTGGGAAAGGTCAACAGGCATTTGCCAATGTTGTAGTTCCACATCTTCATTGTGCCATCCCGCAAACCTGTGAGCAGGCACCGCTCTGACTCATCCAGGGCCATGGCGGTCATCTCCACGTGCTGGCCCCCAGACACAGCAAACTCCATCGTCTTCCTGCCCGTCACGACCTCCCACACACTCACTGTGCCGCGCAGGCAGCCACTCACCACCTGTAGGGAGCACACAGCTGGGGGCTGCTGGAGAGGCCGGGGCCTCCACTCCCAAGGGTGGTCTCCAGCCTGCCTTGGCCCCTCCCCTCCATCCACTGAGAAAACAGACGTTCAGGGCCCCCTGCTACAGCATAAGCCACTTTTGAAAACAGGACCTCCTCTGCCCTGTATCACAGGGCAGTGCAAACTGGAACGCACTGGAACGTTTGGTGAAGACCTGTTAACTCAGAAATGGCACTTATCAGGATCTAGCCAAAGAAAATAATCCCTATATGGAAAAGACATTACTGAAACAACATTAATCATGACCACCCCGTCAAAAAAATAAGAAATAAACTAACTGCCCCCTAAGTAGGGAACTGTTGAGAATAAGGACAGCCATGCCACTCAATGAAACATTTTGCCACCATGACCATTGTTATAATGCAAGAGTAGCAGGTAAGGCTGGGCACAGTGGCTCACGCCTGTAATCCTAAAACTTTGGGAGGCTGAGGAGGGTGGATCACTTGAGGTCAGAAGTTTGAGACCAGCCTGGCCAAAATGCTGAAACCCTGTCTCTACTAAAAATACAAAAATTAGCTGGGGGTGGTGGTGCATGCCTGTAGTCCCAGCTACTCGGGAGGCTGAGGCAGGAGAATCGCTTGAACCCGGAAGGCAGAGACTGCAGTGAGCCAAGGTCCCATTGCACTCCAGCCTGGGCGACAGAGCGAGACCCTGGCAAAAAAAAAAAAAAAAAAAAAAGTAGCAAGTGAGGTGGTTTCAGACCAACCCTCCCTACTGAGAAGATCTAGAAAAGTTGATAATTTTTTTAAATTTTAAACAAACTTTTTTAAGGTACTGAAGAGCCCTGAGGCAGTGAGAGAGGGTGGTGGCAGGAGCCAGGATGGGAGAGAAGCCCAGAATGGTGAGCTCCAGCCTTGTGCAGCCCAAGGCCACCTCTGCAGCCGATGCGGCGCACCTGTCCAGAGCCTGGGCCAGACAAGAGGTCCCAGTGGGTGGGAGTGAGCAGAGGGCCTCAGGCAGCAGCCCCTCCTATCCTCACACCTCAGAAGCAACTCCTCATGCCCAGCTGCCCTGCCCAACCCAGAGACTCCACGCAGGACCAAGGTGCTGCCTGCTGCCTGGGCCTCCGTCCCTTCCTACAATGAAAAAAGCCAAGTTATGGCTTCCCTGCAAAGAGATGCCCAAGAACAGCACCCACTCTGGGAACCTAGGAAAGCGCCCCACAACTAGCACTCTGTCTCATACTCCACATCAAGAAGGCCCAGTCCAGAGCTGACCCAAGGCGCTCAGCCAAGGGCATGAGGCTCAGAGGAGTTAGGCGATCCCATGGCTAACGGATGGAGCTCTGAGCTGATCCCACGCCAGCCCATCTGTAGAGCTGCTTTCTGTGTCTATCCCGCTGCCCCAGCACCACCATCAAGGCTGTAAGAGTTCCCAATGTGCCATGGGAGCTGACTACAGACCCAGGCACACAGGGAGGTCTGGTTCTGCCCCGTGTCACCTGGTGTTCCCGCCAGCCTCAGAGGCGAGCCCTGGGCCACTCACCTGCTTAAAGATCTTGCTGTAGAGGACAGCACACAGGGGTGAGCAATGAGTGGTCCTCTTCCTTGCTTTGATAAGCCCCTGGGCCTCTAAGTACCCTTTTAGGATCCCGATCTGTAGGTGAGGAAAGGGGCAGAGAGCTTGTCTGTCAGAAGGGCTCTGCTCACAGTGATGGGCTGCCGGGAAAAACTTCCAATAAATCACGACATCAAGACGTCCTGACCACACGCAGGCCTGATTCCAGCAAGACTCCAGGTTCCTCAGCAGGCCTGCAGATACCCCCACCCTACTCCATGGCCCCCGCTCCCCGAGACTGAGCCTTCCAAACCCTAGTGTTCCTAGAACCCCAAATTCCAAGTCCAAGGTCCCTTTCACCTTATAACTTCTGAGAAGCTGAAGCCTCAATCAGGTGTTCCCTCCGGGAAGCCCTCCCTGCCTCCCCCTTGCCCCAGGCGAGGCTAAGGATTCCTCTGTGCTCCAAAAAGCACAACTCTACCATAACACATAGCACTTTCTACCGAAATTATCTGTTTTTCTTCTACCCTGTAGGTTCCTAGAGAGATGGGACAGTGTCTTTGTCATATATTCTCTGTTCATGACAAAAGGCAGGGGGTTGATAAGGTTTGGTGCTCTGAAATGAACTTCAAAGGCCTATTTAATTCAGCAAATGCTGACCACCTGTCTGGCACTCAGCAAGGAGATAAAGGAACCCACTACCTTCTCAAGAAAACTGCTGTCTAGGGGAGGGCCAGCCAAGTGCGTAAGGATGACACACATGTCACCGACCAGGGTGGCCCAGCCCACGGAGCGTGGGAGGCCTTGGTGGAGCTCAAGCACGAGCGGCCCCCGCATCTCTTTTCTGGGCTTCTGCTCCCATCTGTGGGTTGTGGCTCAGCCTTGCAGCTCCCCAAGCCTCCACCTTCTTGTGGGCCCCCTTACCCCCATCCTCCACAGGAAGCCCCTCGTGCTTGTCCCAATCTTTCCTGTCCTCCAGGGTCAGGACAGACCTCACAGGGGTTCCAGCTGAGTCCTGAGTCACAGATGGCCTTCCTATCTGTGACTCAGTTTCCCACAGGGTCTCTCCTGCAGAGATGCTGCTCGGACGTGGCCCCTGTTTCCCAAAGTTCATGACTTAGCAGGAAAAACAGTCATGTAATAGCGACAGGACAGAGTTATGAGGCTCATGACTGAGACAAGGAACGGGGCCAAGAAAACATGGAGGAAGGGCTCCTAACAAGCCTGACGTTCAGGGTGGCTCCCAGAGGGAGAGGCTGAGGACGCCTGAGTGGGGACAGTGCAGACAGCAGCAGCAGCTGCAGAGAGGGTGACAGGCTGGGGGCCTAGAAACAGGATTTCAGGAAATCCCAAGACACGGCCCCTCACAGGCCAGGCCACAGAGTCTAGCCGCTTCAGCAGTCCCAGGAGGGACAGGACGTGGCCACCCCTTGGGTGTCCCATGGGATTCAGACCCTGGCCCTCCACCTGCGGCCTTGACCCCACTCCCTCCTGGGACAGCACTCACTGAGTAGGTGCTGCAGATGAGGGTATTGTCCTTCTCGAAGAAGTAGGCACTGGTGATGGGGCAGTTTCCCAGAGCAAAAAACTTCCCACAGAAGGACTGGAGGCATATGTAGTCCAGCATGTCCCACACGCGAATATTCTGGGGGATGGGAAAAAGGCAAGACGCTGAGCATGGGTCTCGGGGATGTAGCCGGCTCCTGAAGCCTCGGGGGTGCCTCCGGCGAACAAGGCCAGGGCACATCGTCCGTCCAAGCACTTCTAACACACACACATGGTGTTGGCACCGTCACACCCAGCAGCAGAGAGGCTACTCTTGTGCTCAGATAACCCAGGTACACAGTGAGTGAGGGCCGGGCACAGCTCCACCCCCAGCCTGCCCCCAGGCCTCCACCCTGTTGGAGCAGCTGAATTCACTGGCTGGGTACAAAAGCCAAGCCAGGCAGCACATGCTGGCCCCAGGCCCTCCCTTGCTGCCACTCCAGCCTGGGACACAGTCCGGTAGTGGCTACCAACATAGTTGCCACAGTGGCCTGCCTGTCCCCAGAGGGGCCCCTCCCATTCCTCCCAGGTGGAGGAACTTTCCCTAGAGGGCCCCACAGAAGTCCCTCCAAGACCCTGACTTCTTGGAGGCATCCTCTGCCCATGGCCGACTGGGGACCTCAGCGAGACTGTCCCTGTCCCCATGCCCCAGACTCAGACCCTTCATCAGAGGCGATGATCCCAGCTCCCAGGGCTTCTGGGAAAATTCCAGACAGGAGGGTGTGTGGATATGTTGGAGAGGGTGCTCCAGGTGACCCTGAGGGCCCTGACAATTCTCCATCTCCAGAGTTCCAGAAAACGTAACCTGTCCCCTAAAGGAGGGCCCCCAGCACTGTGGGCCCACAGCCCAGCAGACGGGGCAGTATCCTGAGCCTACAGCTGCAGAGGAGCACAGTGGCGGGTCCCAAGTGGGAGCCCTGGCATGTGGGAAAGGCCAAGCCCAGCCCTCATGGCCAGGCAGCCGAGGAGGGGTCACTAGAGCAACTGAGAGGTGCAGATCGAGGGCAGGGGCAGCGCAGGGGAACGGCTGCCATGCATTGCACAACTCCCCTGTGCCAGACACTGCACTGCTGTTTTGCTGCTGGTTCTCTAAACCACTCAACAGCCCATTCTATGGATAGGGAGACTGAGGACTGAGGCTCAGAAAAGGGAAGGACTTGCCAGGGTCACAAAGTTAGAAGCCAGGCTGGGCTACCTGGGAACCCAGCTCTGGGGACATGCTCAGAGGTCCATGGCCACCCTCACCTTCCTCCCACCCGGGGCCCCTCCTGCTAGGCCTTTGGCCAGATGTGGGGCCGTGGGCAGGGAGGTCATGCCATTTCTCTGGCCAGTGTGTTTCCCTGAGGAACAGAAGGAGTCAGGCGGACCGTCGGGGCGGACCTTGTCCTTGGAGACACTGATGAGGATGCTGTTGTTCCTGCTATCCACAAGGATGTGCGTCACTGAGGTCTGGTGTCCCTTCATCAGCCACACGGGCCTCTTTGAGACAAAGGGGTTCCACAGGCGGATGAAGGCATCGTAGCCACCAGTCACTGTGGTCAAGACGTGGGTGTCAGTCCCAGGGGCCTCCACTGGGGACCTTCACCCACTGGTGAAGGTGGTGCCCAGAAGTGGGGACAAGAGCAGCAGGAGAGGAAGCCAGACAGAGGCCAGATGCTGTGCAGCCCTCTCCTGAGCTCTGGTGGTCCCCCCATCCCCAGCAGCCCTCCCCCCAGCAGCTTCTGGGTGACATGAAGGTGACTTACCCAGGAAGTTCCTGTCTGGGCAGTAATCAAAGCAAAGAATCCCTTTCCTTAAACGCAGCACTGACAACCTACAATATCAAAGGAGTGAGGGCTGCAGGGCCGGGAGCAGTGGCCCCAAGAGAGCGTCTGAGACTGAGCCTGGGGTGGGAGGAGCTAGAGGCAGAGCCTCCCAGGAGGCCTAGGGAGGAGTCACTACCTCTCCATCCTAGGAGAGGAGTAGCCCCAGAGACCACCCAGGGTTCACCCTGCAGCCAAGTCAGGGCTCAGCACCACAGGCAAAGCAGCAGCCCAGTCCTGGCCCCAAACCAACAGCCCACAGGCCAGATGCCACCTTCCAGGTAGAGACAGCTCCCAGGCAGGAGCGACTCCTGACATTTGTAAAGCATTTGGCCTCATTCCAAGGGCAAATTTGATTTTCACATCAACTGTACTGGGACAGGCATCTTCCCATCCATGATACAAATCAAGAAAAAAGCGGGGTTCCAAGGGAGGGACAGAAAGGAAGCTCCCGGGTGCCCCACCCTGGCTACGTGTGGTCCCCATGCAGGGTGCTGTCTCCTGCATCATCTGGACATCTCATACAATGCCCAAGAATAGAACTGCCCTGCGCTAGGGATAGAGACACCAAAAGGAAAAGTCAAGGAGCTTCCCCAAGGTCACACAGGTTGCAAACAATGGGGGTTATGGGGTTTAGGACATGCTACCCCAAAATATGGCATCTTGGCATTTGAGACAACAGCAGAAGCAGCAGGAGGGCCACGCTTGCCTTCCCCTAGCCTTCTCCCTGAAGCAGGTCATAGAACACTGATTCCATAGGTGCCCACTCTATACCTATACCTAGGGGAAAGGAATGTCCTTTTTTTTTTTTTTGAGATGGAGTCTCACTCTGTCGCCCAGGCTGGAGTGCAGTGGTGCGATCTTGGCTCACTGCAACCTCCACCTCCCAGGTTCAAGTGATTCTCCTGCTTCAGCCTCCAGAGTAGCTGGGATTACAGGTACACACCACCACGCCTGGCTAATTTTTGTATTTTTAGAAGAGATGGGCTTTTACCATGTTGGCCAGGCTGGTCTGGAACTCCTGACCTCAGGTGAGCCACCCATGGCCTCCCAAAGTGCTGGGATTACAGGCATGAGCCACCAAACCCAGCCCCAATGTCCTTATTTCTGAAGACACAGGGACACAGAGGGGGATCTGGACAAACAGTTTACTGCCATCAGATGGTACTAGTCCAGTCGTCCTGCATGACCGTCCATTCTTCATCAAACTTCACATGAAACTACACAGGCGTCCCTGTCTCTTTGGGTTTTTTTCTGAAGGCTCCCATGTCACATGAAACTTAAATGTGCATGCTTTTCTCTTGTTCATCTGCCTTTTGTTATCAGGGTCTCAGCCATAAACCTTACAATGGGTGAAGAAAAAATATTACTCCTCCCGCACAGGGGTCAGGATTCAGACCTAGGGTGGATATGGCAGGAGGTGGCAGGAAGCTCAGTAAGCAGCGATCCAGGAGAGGAGAGGCTCATTAGGGCCGGGTGAGGCTCAGAGGGCTGGAGAGGCCCAGACAGGAGTTCCAGGAAGGCCAGGGCCCTGCAGCCCTCACAGGCCTAAGAACCGCAGATGCTCTGTGCCTATGCCCATGCCTCTCATCCACAACATCCTGCCCCGCCAGCTCCTTCTACTACACTCTTCAAAACTCCATTCTGGCCAGGCACAGTAGCTCACGCCTGTAATCCCAGCACTTTGGGAGACCAAGGCGGCCGGATCACCTGAGGTCAGGAGTTCCAGACCAGCCTGGCCAACAGGGTAAAACCTCGCCTCTACTAAAAATACAAAAATTAGCCAGGCATAGTGGTATGTGCCTGTAATCCCAGCTACTCAGGAGGCTGACGCAGGAGAATCACCTGGACCTGGGAGGTGGAGGTTGCAGTGAGCCAAGATTGTACCACTGCACTCCCAGCCTGGGTGACAGAGAAAGACTCAGTACCCCCACCCCGCCACCGCCTTAAAAAAAAAAAAAAAAAAAAAGCTCCATTCAGGTGTGGTGGCTCACACCTGCAATCCCAGCACTTTGGCAGGCACAGGCAGGAGGATCCCTTGAGGCCAGGAGTTCAAGACCAGCCTGGGCAACACAGCAAGATCCCATCTGTACAAAAAAAACAAAAATTAGCTGGGCGTGATGGTGCACCTGCAGTCCCAAATACTTGCAAGGCTGAGGTGGGAGGATTGCTAGAACCCAGGAGGTTGAGGCTGCAGTGAGCTGTGATCATGCCACTGCACTCCAGCCTGGGGGACAGAGCAAGAACCTGTCCACGAAAAAAACAAAAAGACTCTATTCAGGCCAGACACAGTGGCTCACGCCTGTAATCCCAGCACTTTGGCAGGTCGAGGCAGGAGGATCCCTTGAGGCCAGGAGTTCAAGACCAGCCTGGGCAACACAGCAAGATCCCATCTGTACAAAAAAATTAAAAATTAGCTGGGCATGGTGGTGCACCTGCAGTCCCAGCTACTTAGGAAAGTGAGGCAGGAGGATCACTTGAGCCTGGGAGTTTGAGGTTACAGTGAGCTCCAGCCTGGGCAACAGAACGACACCCTGCCTCAGAAAAAAAAAACCCAAAAAATCCATTCAAAGGCATCTGTAGTAGGGCACCCGACCCCCTGACACAGTATGCCCTCCACTGAAGTCACCCCTGACCCGGCTCCTCCACCACTCCCGGGGGGCCTAAGCCAGGTGCCTGGGCATCAACCTGGACAACACTGTGGCTCCCATTATCCAGCCTGGCCCCAAGTCCTCCTTGCCTACTTCCCTCCACTCCCATGGCCACTGCTAGCCCAGGCCCCTGACTTTGCCGTATCAGCCTCCCAGCCAGTTCCTTCATCTCCAGCCTTGCTCCCCTTTAAATCATCTGTCCAGAGACACAAGGATTCCTCTAAAAATCAAAGCTTCAAAGAGAACAGATGGCAGTACACATATTTCATTTATTGCCAAACCAGATATTCCTCCCTCCACACGTATATGTGCTGCCGAAAAATGTTCTGGAAGAATGGTCACCAAAATGTTAGTAGAAATTATTTCAGGCCGATTTCACGTATTGATCAACAAAGATTTCCTGGCTCCTACTCCTGCCAGGATTACCAGGGGCACAGACACGAGGCTTCTGCCATAGGGGGTTTTCCTTCTAGAGGGAAACAACAGGAGGAAGTGGACACACAGAAGGGAGATGGACATTTACAAATCATGGCGAGTCCTGCAAGGGACATAAGCACATGGCTTTGACGGAGGACAACAGAAGGAGGCTCACTTCTGCCGGCCTCTCTGAGGAGGGTCCAGGGCAGCGGAGACCTGAAGGGTGAGAAGGAGTCAGCCCCGGGGAGCCCAGGGGAGGGGTGAGGCTTCAGCCGGAGGGAGCAGCCTATGCAAGGCCGGTGTGGTGGGCACCAGGTGGGCCAGGAGGAGAGGGCATGAGAGGACATGGGCGAGATGGGCAGGGCCCAATCCACAGCCCTGGCCAGGAGCCGTTGAAGGCTCCATACAGGGCCCTGGCTGGATCAGATTTGTTGATGGCCGTGGGTCAGGAAATGTGGCCTGAGGGGACACGGTGAGGCTGCTAAGAGGGCCAGGGCAAGCAGTTCAGGTGGGAGATGACGGTGGCTTCAACTAGGTGGTGGTGGCAGAAGTGAAGGAAGAGGGGACAGTCGGGGAGACGCCGGGGGTCAGTCCACACACTCAGCACCGGCTCCTGCTACCACACCCGCTCCGTCAGATTTGCTCCTGGCTCGAACCATCTGAGAACTCAGGTGAGGCTGGCTGCAAGGAAGCCAGACCCTCAGGCCCACACTGCCTTGGAGGCTGAGGCTGACTCCAGAGGCAGAGGTTGGGGTGCCAATGCCAGGCCCCACCCGCAGAGGATATGCCCTAAGATGGCATCGCCAAAACGGGAGACCAGCAAGTGGTCAATTGTGCCACCTGCCGGCCTGTACATTGCACTGCATGCAGACAAGAATGCATGGGGTGTGCCAACACTCCCAGCTAATTTTTAAATATTTTGTGTAGATGGGATCTTGCTGTATTGCCCAGGCCGGTCTTGAACTCCTGGCCTCAAGGGATCCTCCTGCCTTGGCCTCCCTAAGTGCTAGGATTACAGAAGTGAGCCACCGTGTCTGACCTGAATGGAGTCTTTTGTTTTTTTTGAAGACAGGGTCTTGCTCTGTCACCCAGGCTGAAGGAAGGGAACATGTGTCTCTGTGTTTGTGTGTGTAAATATATTCTCTACCCTACCCCAAAAATACATCTCCAGTCCCTCCATCCCACAACACAGCCCAGCTCCAGGCCACCATCCTATGCAGCCTCAACTATTGCAATGGCCTCCTCACTGGTGTGTTCACCACCACCCCTGCCCATGGACACTCCACCTGCAACATATAAGCCAGACCACACCAGTTCTCTGCTCAAAACCATCCCAGAACCGTGCTTATATCTAGTTCCAAATATTGTAAGAAGATACTCTGAGGTACTTAGAGAAATATTAACGTGGACTAGCTACTAGGTGATATGGAAGAATTATACCATTTTATCTATTTTTGTGTGTGTTTGAAACATTTTATAATGAAAATATTAATTTAAAATTAATTAATTTAAAAAACAAGGCCAGGAGCGGTGGCTCACGCCTGTAATCCCAGCACTTTGGGAGGCCGAGGCGGGCGAATCATGAGGTCAAGAGATGAAGACCATCCTGGCCAACATGGTGAAACCCCGTCTCTACTAAAAATGCAAATATTAGCCGGGCATGATGGCGCGTGCCTGTAATCCCAGCTACTTGGGAGGCTGAGGCAGGAGAATCGCTTGAACCCGGGAGGTGGAGGTTGCAGTGAGCTAAGATTACACCACCGCACTCCAGCCTGGGCACTGCAGCAAGACTCTGTCTCAATCAATCAATCAATCAATCAGTCAATCAATAACAAGAGCATACCACAGACAGCGGAGCTGTGCAAAGGCCCTGGCGCAGGAGCACGCCTGAGCCTGAAGGCCAGTGGAGCTGAGTGGGCAGGTGGAGGCAATGAGGTCAGGAAGGCAGCAGGCCCGGCCCACAGAGGCCCTCCTGGCCCTGGTGAGGTGACCCCCTGATATCCTCCTGCCATCAGGACTCAATAAAACAAGATCTGAATGAAACACATATCTTATACACCAAGCTTGTCCAACTCACAGCCCATGGGCCTCATACAACCCAGGACAGCTCTGAATGTGGCCCAACACAAATTCATAAACTTTCTTATAACATTATGAGACTTTTTTGTGATTTTTATTTAGCTCATCAGCTATTGTTAGTGTCAGTGTATTTTATGTGTGACTCAAGACAATTCTTCTTCTTCCTATGTGGCCCAGGGAAGCCAAAAGATTGGACACCCCAATATACACTAAGTGATACCACCACCAATGCAGACAGATAGCCTCAGCAAACAGCTCCAAGCAAACTTCTGCCACACGGCCCCATTCAAAGCACTGAACCCAAGACTGAAACTTCCCCTTCACGTCAGACATTCCCGGAGGCCCCTTTTTCCGGCCTGCAGGGAGCTCCAGGACTTGTCTAGAAATGTACACAGTGCACTGTTTGGTTAAAAAGGCACTGGACGGCCGGGCGCGGTGGCTCATGCCTGTAATCCCAGCACTTTGGGAGGCCGAGGTGGGCGGATCACGAGGTCAAGAGATCGAGACCATCCTGGCCAACATGGTGAAACCCCATCTCTACTAAAAATACAAAAATTAAGCCGGGCATGGTGGCTCACGCCTGTAATCCCAGTACTTTGGGAGGCCAAGGTGGGTGGATCACAAGGTTGGGAGATCGAGACCATCCTGGACAACATGGTGAAACCCCGTCTCTACTAAAATATGAAAAAAAATTAACCGGGCATGGTGGCGCACACCTGTAGTCCCAACTACCTGGGAGGCTGAGGCAGGGGAACTGCTTGAACCCGAGAGGCGGAGGTTGCAGTGAGCCGAGATTGTGCCACTGCACTCCAGCTTGGCAACACAGTGAGACTCCGTCACAAAAAAACAAAAAATAAAAATAATAAAAATTAAAAAATGAAAAATAAAAATACAAAAATTAGCTGAGCACGGGGGCACGTGCCTGTAGTCCCAGCTACTAGGGAGGCTGAGGCAGGAGAGTCACTTGAACCTGGAAGGCGGAGGTTACAGTGAGCCGAGATTGCGCCACTGCACTCCAGCCTGGTGACACAACAAGATTCCGTCTCAAAAACAAAACAAAACAAAAAAAGGCACTGGACATATAATGAGGCCCAAGATAAAACTCCAGCTCAAGTGTCTGCTCTAAGACAGTCACTTCCCCTCCCTAAGCTTCGGGTTTCCCATCTGTAAAATGAGGAGTTGGACGAAATTAGCCTTATCATCTCAGGATTGAAATTTCCCCTGAAAAACAACCAGGACAGAAAGGGACAGACATGGGTCTAAATGGCCCTCTGTTTCTGCCCCAACCCCACCCTGGCCTCACCCAGTCTCTCCCCAATACAGGCCTTAAATCTCCTGCTGTTCCCCCAAAAAGACTCTCCTGGGGCTCAATCTTCAGCCTGTGCAGAAGCAAAATGTCAGAGCCCCAAAGGCTCAAGGTAAAGACTAGGGGCCGGAGGAAAACTGCAGGGGCAAGAGCCACCCAGCAGGAAGACTCCGCGAGAGAACATACCTACCAGTTTATCCACAGTAAACGGCACAGTAGAAGCCACACAGTAAAAGAACAGAAGTGGGCCAGGCGCGGTGGCTCGTGCCTGCAATCCCAGCACTTTGGGAGGCCGAGGCGGGCTGATAACCTGAGATCAGGAGTTCGAGACCAGCCTGACCAACACAGAGAAACCCCGTCTCTACTAAAAATACAAAATTAGCCGAGCATGGTGGTGCGTGCCTGTAATCCCAGGTACTCGGGAGGCTGAGGCAGGAGAATCACTTGAACCCGGGAGGCAGAGGTTGTGGCGAGCCGAGATCGCACCATTACACTCCAGCCTGGGCAACAAGAGTGAAACTCTGTCACAAAAAGAAAAAAAGAAAAAAAACCAGAAGTGGTGGCTTTTGATAACTGGGTCAGGGAATGGCGATTGAATAAGGAGGGGGCCCCTCAGGACTCCAACCTTCTTTATAATGTTTTCATTTTTTACATGGACAATGCATTTAATACATACTTGTGTGATTAATTGGTTTTTCTTTTTTTTTTTTTTTTTGAGACGGAGTCTCACTGTGTCCCCCAGGCTGGAGTGCAGTGGCGCAATCTCGGCTCACTGCAAGCTCCACCTCCTGGGTTCACACCATTCTCCTGCCTCAGCCTCCCGAGTAGCTGGGACTACAGGTGCTTACCACCACGCCCGGCTAATTATTATTATTATTATTATTATTATTGTATTTTTAGTAGAGACGGGGTTTCGCCATGTTAGCCAGGATGGTCTCGATCTCCTGACCTCATGATCCACCCACCTCGGCTTCCCAAAGTGCTGGGATTACTGGCGTGAGCCACCGCGCCCGGTGACTAACTAGTTTTTCAAAAGAAAAGAAAAAACTTCACTCTAGGGTAGAGGAATCTAGACTGAAGGAAACAGATTGGAACCATCTGCAAAGAACCAATGCTGCCAGTTACTGAACACATACCACAGAGGATTCCCTCATGCAACCCTTCAGGAAGTGAGGTACGTGCTTTCACACCCTTTCACAGATGAGGGAACTGAGGGTCACAGAGGAGAAAGTAACTCACAGTCATCCCTTCATTCAGAAAACATTTCACTGACTGCCAATCACTCTGTGCTGGCTTCTATGCTGAGTTTTGCATATAGATTGGGAGATAAAAGAGGCTGCTGTGTTCTCACCGTGCTGCTGCTGGCAATGCTGGAAAAACTAAACCCCAGAGTCCATACACCAACCACCATCTGCCACTGTCAGCCCCCATGGTCCACTCACCACCCCCCTCCCTTCCAGCCCCACCGCCTTAGCCAGGAGAGAAGCACTTCTTACCTGGGTTTCTTAGAGGCTTTGGCTGGCAATATTGTCAGCACCAGAGAGGACTTCTCGATGGCTGAACAGGAGACTACCACATTCATCTGGGGGATGAACTTGACCTGCTCACACCAGTTGGGATGGAGAGCCTGGGAAGACAGTAGCAATGGTGGGAGACTCCACCCAAGGACAACTTTCTAGGCCCAGCCCCCAGAACATGACCAGGTGCTGGGACTGGAGGTGCCCAGAGATCACGGAGTCTAATGCCCTTCTCCTAGTGATCACAAAGTGATGTGGCCCCGCAATCCTAGCCCAGGTCCTATGACCAGCACTGGCCATCTCTCGTCACTGAAAATTTTTAAAAGCACACAAGCCTACTTTCATTTGAAATCTTGTGAGTTAGAGGATGGGGAAGGTCAGGCCCATACTAATCATCTCCCACGAGGAGAGAAAGGATGAATTCAAGTCTGTCCAGGCCACAATCTAGTTATCCACAGGGAGCCCCCTCTACAGATGGGCTGTGCTCCCAGCCCACTGCCACCCTCCATGTTTGTCATAGCGTGGAGTGCTCAAGGAAGCGCGGAGGGCATGAGAATGTGCATTTCACGGCAACTTGAACCACAAAAGATGACGCGCAGTCGAAGGGGCTGGCTGGGCTCTGAATTCTCCGGCGCCAACTCTGTGACCTGGACCAGTGCTTGGCCTCCCAATCTAGAGATTTTCCTCTCTGTGACGAGAATGGAAAAGGCGGGTTGGAGAGATTGGCTCATCAAATATTTCTTTGGTGCTTTCTACATGCAAGACCCTGAGCTGGGTTTTACACACACTGTCACCAAGCATCTGTCGCAATGAAGGCACCGAATCCAAGACACTGAGTGAGACCTGGAGGGAAAACCAAGCCCAAGATGAGCTTCCCACAGAAGACAGAAGAGCGGGTGCAGTGGCTCACACCTGTAAACCCAGCACTTTGGGAGGCCAAGGTAGGTAGACCAGCCTGGGCAACATAGTGAGGCCCCGTCTCAAAAAAAGAATTAAAAAATTAGCTGGGTGTGGTGCTTGTATTCCCAGCTACTCGGGGGCCTGAGGTGGGAGGATCACCTAAGCCCGGGAGGTCAAGGCTGCAGTGAGCCATGATCGCACCACTGCATGCCAGCCAGGGCAGCAGAGTAAGGCCCTGACTCAACCAAAAAAAAAAAAAAAAAGTCAGTGCAGGCCTGTTGGATCACCCAGACCGCCCTGAGTGCGTCATTCATTCATTCATTTGTGCAGCAAATGTATTGGGAGCCCACCAAGCGCAGGGTACTATTTTAGGCACTGGAGACAACCGAGAGCACGAAGCCGCTGCCGTTGAGGAGCTGTCGATCTCGTGAAGGTGACAGCATGAGGAATCAATGGTCGGACCACACAAAGCTGGGAGCTGGTAAACACTGCGGGTGAAGGGATGAAAGCAGAGGTGGGCACAGGGTTGTCCTAGGAGGGCTGCTTGGGACCACAGGAAGTAGATAGGGGGAATACAGGTACCTTAGGGGAGAGCCCCGCGGCCTGAAGGCGCAGCACATGCCGAGGCACAGAGGCGGGAAGGGGCTGAGCCCATTCAGGGAACAGCAGAGGAGCCTGCGTCTCTGCAGGAGAGCAGATGGGGAGAAGGAAGGTTGAAAACAAGCCCAGAGCTTGCAAGCAGGAGCCAGATCACCTCACGTCCTGACGGCCATGGTAAGGACTTGAGATTTTGTTCCAAATGTGATGAGAAGCTACCGGGGTGACTCAACTGTATTTCTAACTCATCATTCCTCTGGCCCTGAATGGAGACAGTGCTGCATGAAGAAAGGAAGTGGGGAACCCAGCTAGAGGCCACTGCAGCCATCCAGGAGCGAGGCGGTGTCGGCCAGGACCAGGGCTTAGCAATGGCGGTAGTGAGAGGGGCATGGCCACAGAGATGTGGTCTGCAGATAGAGCTGACGGGATCCAACAGCTGCCGCAACCTGTTTCCAGAGACCAAACCCCAAGGGCTAAGACTGAACCCAGGGAGTAAATCCACTTTTTGCATTTATTTTGAGTGGTGTGTGTGTACAGATAATTACCATTGTAACAGGCCAAGGAAAGAAAAAACTCACCTTCAGCCGGTAGCTTCTATGCAAAGCAGACTTCTCATTTAAGAGTTTCTGCAAGGAAACTTTGATCCAGTGATCTGATAGGGGAAAAAACCAAGGTCCACATCAGCAGCTTTCCCCCTTCGCTTGGCAAGCAAAGCCTCAGAAGACGTCTTGAGTTGGCTTGCAACTCCTGTGCTTCTCAAAAGGCTTTTCCACCCAAACCCTCACTGGCACCTCACTGTGTCCTGGTGAGCTGAGCGGAGTGCCCCCACCCCAGGAAAAAGACTCAGGCAGATCACTGCTGCCTCCCAGAGTGCCCCTGCCAGTGCATGGCAGAACTAGAACCAGATTTCAGGGCACCTCACGCTTCCTAGGTGCTGCAATCTAAACAAGCTAATTCTTCATTAGGGAGCTCCATCTTTGCTGGAGTGGAGAAGGAATTGAGACTCTAGGCTCTTTTTGTTCTGAAAAGTAATCACTTGGGAGTTTGCCATCATGCCTCAAACTACATGCACCCCTTGTCCAGAAAGCACAGGTTCCAAAAAGTAGAAGTTCCAGGCATGCATCATAAAATAAGCATGTCTGGGCCAGGCGCAGTGGCTCACACCTGTAATCCCAGCACTTTAGGAGGCTCAGGTGGGAAGGTCACTTGAGGCCAGGAGTTAAGAGACCAGCCTGGGCCAGGCACGGTGGCTCACGCCTGTAATCCCAGCACTTTGGGAGGGCGAGACGGGCAGATGACCTGGGGTCAGGAGTTCAAGACCAGCCTGGCCAGCATAGTGAAACCCTGTCTTTACAAAAATACAAAAATTAGCCGGGCATGGTGGTGTGTGCCTGTAATCACAGCTACTCAGGAGCCTGAGGCGGGAGAATCACTTGAACCCGAAAGGCAGAGGTGGCAGTGAGCCAAGATCGCACCATTGCACTCCAGCCTGGGCAATAGAGCAAGACTCTGCCTTAAAAAAAAAAAAAAGAAAGAAAGAAAGAAAAAAGATACCAGTCTGGACAACACAGTGAGAACCCATCTCTACAAAAAAAAATCAAAAAAATAAAAAATTAGCCAGAAGTGGTGGTGGCGTGCCTGTGGTCCCAGCTACTTGGGAGGCTAAGGTGGGAGGATCACTTGAGCCCAAGAGATTAAAGCTGTAGTGAGCCATGATCATACCACTACACTCCAGCCTGGGCAACAGAGTATGACCTTGTCTCAAAATGTAAAAAAAAAAAAAAAAAAAAAATCTTAAATAAAATAAAACAAGCCTGTCTGGAGGAATTCAGGCAAGCCAGGTGCAGCCCTCATGGGGCTTAGCATCTCCCGGCTGCTGAAACCATTCAAGGCCAGCAGTTGATGGATCTTCAGGGAAAGCAAAGCCAGTCTGACACAGACGAGTAGAGCCAGCACCGTCAGGGACAAACATGGGTCCTCCGTCAGAGCAGTTTAAGGAGGCGGTCACAAATGCTGGGGCAGTCTAGGCTCAGGTTCCCTCCCAGGGATGGAGGAGGGAAGAGACAGCAAGGATGGATCTGGCGGCTCATGCCAAACATTGTACTGCTGCAAAGTCACCAGCCCCATCTTGCAAGGGCAGGAGGAAGCTTGCAAAGTAAGTCCCAGGGAGGGGTGGAAAGTTGCCCAAGACTGCCAGAGTGGGGCTGGTTGTGCACAGGCACAGGCAGAAGTCAGCTTTATGATGCGCTGTGGTTTAATCATCAGTTTACCTGCCTGTCTCTCCTACTAGGCTGTGAGGGAGGGCAGGGAAGAAGTCATAGCATAGTCACTGTGCACTTACTAGGTGCCTAACGTTCCACGTTTCTTATACCAAAGCTATCAGGGAAGTAGGGCCATCCCTATTTGAATAAGGGAACTGAGGCACAGAAAGGTTAAGCAACTGGCTCCAGGTCACACAGAGCTGGGGTACATACCTGGGTCTGTCCATCTCCTCCCAAGTCCATACACTGGGCCCACCTCATCGTCATGTTTGTCCCTAGCCTTCAATCACTTGTTGGCATGGAAGGACTCCTGCCCAAACAGTATCATCTGCCTCTCTCAATATCCCATTCACCATGTGGCTCAAAGACCACCACAACCTCCCGTGCCAGTTCCCACGGTGGCGCAGAGTGACTAGGCTCAAGCAGCTAAGTGGGCAGCTCAGGGCAGGGCAGGCACCCGAGGCCAATGAGGCAAGCAGGGTGCCAGCCCACTGCTGTGTCCAGGACAGGATCTGTCCCTGCTCTGCCAGCAGGGGACGCTGCCCCAACAAGCCTGCCAGGGGCCTGTTACCAAGGCCTGGGAACCCCTGGAGTGTCCTGCTTAGTAACTCTGGCTGGAAGAGGGGGTTGGTGGCCCTGCATGGGGCCCCTGGTGGCCTGGGCCTCCTGGTGGATGTGAGGCAACCTGGAGAGCCAGCACTGTGCATGCAAGGCTGGATTCTAGACAGGCTCCAGTTCAGATGAGTTCCCTAGGCGGCCCTGAGCCGTATCCTCTGGGGATCTAGCGACCTGGGCAGAACAGCTCCAATGACTTCCTCCTGCTATTAATCAGTGTGGGATGCAGCCCAGCAAAAGGCTAAAAGCACAGACTCCAGGGCAGGCAGCCGGACTTCAGATCTTAGCCCCCACTCACCAGGCAGGGGCGTGTACAGGTGACCTTACCCTTTCTGCCTCTTATTATGGGCTGCAGCAGCGGCTCCTCCCTCCTGACAGTAGGGGCGGATTATGGGAGGTGATGCATGCAAAGCGCTCAGCAAGGGGTGCTCCAGACTCAGCTGTGCCCACTCACCCATGCCAGCCAGGCCATGCCCAGGCTCCACAGAGCCCACATCCAGGACAGCCCCTGCCCACCCAAAGGCAGCACTAGAGCCAAGGAGAGCACATGCCTCCTCGCCACCATCCGAGGAAGTTAGTTAGCATCAGTGCTCTCACCCAGGATCAGAGTGGATGAAGGACTTCCCCAGGGTCCCACCACTGGCATCATGCTGGGGTGAGAAGTGTCCTGCACCCCCAGACCGCACCCGCACAGCCTCCCATCCTCAGAGAGGCCACCCCTCTCCCCAGCCCTCGTGGTCTTCTGCTGCCCCCCATCGCCTCTCCCTCTGTGCTGAGCTGAGCGGCATGCACCCTGCGCTTGGAAGCAGACGCCTTCCCAGAGACTCCAGAGCAGAGGCAGGGAGTGGGGGGCTCGGGGACCAGGATGACCTCAGCACCCACATCTAGGCCATGCCCAGGCCTCTGCCCCCTTCCCCAGCATCTTAGCTACCCCACTTGGAGGCCCTGGGGAGGATACGGGGGTTGAACAGCCCACTGGTCATGTTTTCGGAGGTGAAGACAATGACGTTGCCTTTGGCGTCTCCATAGCAGAACACACCTCTGTGATAGTCAGACCTGCAGAAAGATGGAGACGGAAGAGGTTGTGTGGGCTGGGCGCGGTGGCTCACACCTGTAAGACCAGCACTCTGGGAGGCCAAGGTAGGTTAATCACCTGAGGTCAGGAGTTCGAGACCAGCCTGGCCAACGTGGTGAAACCTCATCTCTACTAAAAATACAAAAATTAGCCAAGCGTGGTGGCGGGCACCAGTAATCCCAGCTACTCAGGAGGCTGAGGCAGGAGAATCACTTGAACCCGGCAGGTGGAGGCTGCAGTGAGCTAAGATGGCACCACTGCACTCCAGCCTGGGACACAGAGTGAGACTCTGAGTCATAAAAAAAAGAAAAAAAAAAAAAAAAGAGGCTGTGGAGCCTCCACTCCCTCCCTGGCCCCCCAACAGCTTCCCTCCTCCTTGGAAGCAAGGGCAGTTCCAACAACACTTTCCGGCCTTGCCCAGACACCTGAGGAGCCAACAAACACGGGCCCAGGAGACCAGGTCCAGCCCATCACTGAACCAGAATTCAACTTTTTTCTCAATCAAAATAAATGAATCCCTAGTCCTCCAGCTGCCCTTTGTTAAGTCACCCCTCGCAATAGACTGTGATGTCCCCAGAGTCCTCAGCCACAGCCAGACAAGCCTCTGCTGGGATTTGGTGGCTGTCTTGGGTGGGGGAGTGACAATGACTCCAAGCTCTGAGTGACCATGAGAGGTGACCCTGAGAGAGAAGCAGCCTGGTGGGGAGGAAGACACAGGGGCCTTGGAGCCAGTGGGGAGATATTTCCAGATCTTTCCAAGGAGGCTTTCTGGGGGCCCCAACCCTAGTCAGTGATGCGGCTGCTGCAGGAGGCCTGGGCCTCCTGGTTCATGTGAGGAACACCCAGTGGAGACTCACCAGTAGTCCATGACCAGAGCACAGCTGTCCAGATCAACAAAGGTGAAGGCCCGGACACATTTGTGGTCACTAATATCAAAGAAATCTGGGGGAAAGACAGAAGGCCACATAGAGCCCACAGCCATGCCTGGGAGGTCTTCAGTCACAGTGAGCAGCCTCATTGCTATCCCAAGGAATCTCTGGCCCCTTCAGCCCTTTTTCCCCCATGGCAACCACAGACAGCTGTTCACAGAGTAAACCCACCCACCGGGAACCCCACTGAAAATCCCCAAAGGCTTCCAACTGCAGCTGGAATAAAATCCCAGGCCAGGTGCAGTGGCTCATGCCCATGATCCCAGCACTTAGGGAGGCTAAGGCAAGAGGACTGCTTGAGCCTAGGAGTTTGAGACTGCAGTGAGCAGTGATTGTACCACTGCACTACAGCCTGGGTGACAGAGCAAGACCCTGTCTCAATTAAAAAAAAAAAAAAACTGACTCCTTCCAACAGATCCAGCCTCACTTCCAGCCTCTGATGAGCAACAGCCTCACCGTCATGTTGTCTCCCGCATCTGAACGGCAGCCTCTCGCCCTCCTCTGCCTCTCTACGTGGCCGGCCACCCCAGAGGGCTGTAGGTCACAAAAGGAGCACTGGCTGGACTGGGCTGGGGCCACAAAGGCCGGGGATCACACTGTTGCCACTTCCACCTCTGCTTTTGGCCTTGTCTGAGTACCTCCGAGCAGATGACAGCTGCTCCATCAGGACAGCAGTGATGACATAATTATCTCTAAAATGGGGTTCTAGGCTGGCTGCAATGGCTCACACCTGTAATCCCAGCACTGTGGGAGGCTGAGGCAGGTGGATCACCTGAGGTCAGGAGATGGAGACTAGCCTGGCCAACATGGTGAAACCCCATCTCTACTAAAAATACAAAAATTTGCTGGGTGTGGTAGCGCGCACCTGTAATCCCAGACACCTGATGAGCCAACAAACACGGGCCCAGCAGACCAGGTCCAGCCCATCATCGAACCAGAATTCAATATTTTTTTTTCAACCAAAATAAATGAATCCCTAGTTCAGCTACTCAGGAGGCTGAGGCAGGAGAATCTCTTGAACCCGGGAGGCAGAGGTTGCAGTGAGCCGAGATTGTGCCACTGCACTCCAGCCTGGGTGACAGAGTGAGACTGTCTCAAAAAAATAAAAAATAAATGGGGTTTTAACACCAAATTCTCAGGGCTGTCTGAGGATAAAGGGTGAGGAAGCCTGGGACAGCACTGGGTCCCCAGGAAACAGATGTTGCAGTGGAAAGCCCAGGCGGGTCACAGATAGATTGCTCTAGCCCTTGCTGACGGCTGACCACTTTCTCTGTATCACACAATTTAGCCTCATAATGATGTCAGTGTTGATTAACTGCCCACTATGTGCCAGGCACTATGCCAGCAGCTTCACACACCTAACTACTAAGCCACACTCACCCTGGAGTCATGTATCATAGGCCCCATTTTACCTCTGGGTAAAGCGAGGCACTGGGAGGTAAAGCAATTGCTCATAGGCAGACATCTACAGAGCAGTGGGACCAGGCCCTGAACCCAGGTCCTTTTTATTCCAGTCCCTGCTTGTTCCAGAACAGCCACTCTCTCTCCTCCCATTCAGCCTCACATCACCAGCTGTCATTTCATGTACTAATTCCCTCTCCCTGACCACCTTACAGGTCTGCTCAGTCAGAGGCCTCATTCATCATCCATCCATTCAATAGTCATCGAGCATCCAGAAGGTACCAGGCACTGAGACACTGAGTTGAGCAGAACAGATGCAGTCCCTGACCTTCCAGTCTGGAGGAGGAGACATGTGCTAAACAGAAGCAAACTAATACATGTGAGATGACACTGAAAGGGGACCTTGAAGGGAAGAGGTACAATCTCATGGGGTCTTTTTAACAGAGGATCTTGGACTAGAGGGTCAGGGAGGGCTTCCTGGAGGAAGTAACTTCTGAGATGAGAGCCAAAAGAAAAGCAGAGGCTGTTGGGGCAGAGAGAGGGGCAGGAGGGATGGCAGAGCACAGAGACCCAGGCCACAGCACCTACCAGAGGAGACCACAGTGGCCTCAGCACCACAGGGAGGGGACAGGTGGAGACTACTGGAGGCGGCAGGGCTCAGACCTCTGAAGGCCTCACAGACCACACTGAGGATCCCACCTCCATCCTAAGAACACTGGGGTAGGGTGAAGGCTTTCTGCAGAGGGCACTGTAATGCACATCCTGCCTTTGGGGGCATCAGGGAAGCGCGGCATGCAGGAGAGGCTTTTTTTTTTTTTTTTTTTAAGACTGAGTCTCTCTCTGTCGCCCATGCTGGAGTGCAATGGCGCGATCTCAGCTTACTGCAACCTCCACCTCCAGGTTCAAGCGATTCTCCTGCCTCAGCCTCCTGAGTAGCTGGGATTACAGGCGTGTGCCACCACTCCCAGGTAACTTTTGTATTTTTAGTAGAGGCGGGGTTTCACCATGTTGGCCAGGCTGGTCTTGAACTCCTGACCTCAGGTGATCCGCCTGCCTCGGCCTCCTGAAGTGCTGGTATTACAGGAGTGAGCCACCACACCCGGCCAGGAGAGGCTATTTAAGTGACAGTGAAGGGGGCCTGGACTAGGAGTGGCAAGAGGCAGGAGGTAGAATCAGGACCAGAGATGGACCAGTATGGCCTCTGGCTTGTAAATTTGGGTCTGTTCAACATCACTGTATTCATTCGAGCATTCACCGACCACCCCCTGCCTACTTGGCACTAAGGCCTCTCCACCTGGCTATCCTCCCAGGGGGCTCTGATCCATGTTCACAGTTGCTCAGCCAACAGACTTCTCCCAGGCACAAATGCATGGCTCCCAGTGGCTGAGAGCAGAGCTGGGAAGCCCCCAGGGACTCACCTATCTTTTGCCTGGTAGACGCAACTGCAACGAGGTTCATATTGTGCAGACATACCATGTCAATGACCCACATCGGCTGGTTGTAGAGCTGCTGGGTCTGGTTAAGCTGGCCAGAGGAAGAGCAGAGGAGATGGGCTGGGACGCATACTCAGGCCAGTGCAGCTCCCCATGAACCTCTCCTGCCACACAAGGCCTGGAGCCACCACAGACCTGGCATGGAGCCTAGCACTACCACTAAGTCTAGTGATAGGGGCCTTGGATAAACTCCCTAGCCTCCCTGGGTCTCAGTTTCCACATTCGTAAAATGGGCTTAAAGAACACCTTCTTTAAAACCCCTTTCTGGAGCAGTCTCACAGTTCTATCAAAGTCTTGCCGCAGTGAGCCGTGAACACACCACTGCACTCAAGCCTGGGCAAGAGTGAGACCCTGTCCGCCCCCCGCCCCCCACAAAAAAAACCAACCAAACTCTTGAATATGCATAGCTCATGATCCAGGGATCTGTTTCCAAGACATTTCTATGGGTGTGTTTGCACCTACTCAAAGGGGACACTGCAGCTGCTATTAGAGCAACAGGCCAGAAGCCACCTGGAAAGCACAGCTGATTATCAACCCACACCATGGACACCACCCAGACATTAAGAACAAAGGAACTGTGCCCATGCCAATAAAGAGCTGCCAAGAGACATGATTAAGTGACAAACCAAGGTAAAAAGCAACATTATAATATGCTTCCATTATCGCATTTAAAAAGAAAAGGGCACAGTGGCTCACGCCTGTAATCTCAGCACTTTCAGAGGCCAAGGTGGGAGGATCACTTGAGCCCAGGAGTTCGAGACCAGCCTGGGCAACATAGGGAGACCCCATCTCTACAAAATTAACAAAAAAGGCTGGGCGCAGTGGCTCACACCTGTAATCCCAGCACTTTGGGAGGCCAAGGTGGGCAGATCACTAGGTCAGGAGTTCGAGACCAGCCTGGCCAATGTTGAAACCCCGTCTGTACTAAAAATACAAAAGTTAGCTGGGCGTGGTGGTGCTCACCTGTAATTCCAGCTACTCGGGAGGCTGAGGCAGAAGAATCACCTGAACCCGGGAGGCAGAGGCTGCAGTGAGCTGAGATCACACCACTGCACTCCAGCCCGGGTGACAGAGCAAGACTCCATCTCAAAAAAGAAAAAATTAGCTGGACACGGTGGTGCATGCCTGTAGTCCCAGCTACTTGGGAGGCTGAGGTGGAAAGATCCCTTGACCCCAGGAGGTTGAGGCTGCAGTGAGCCGTGATTGCACCACTCCACTCCAGCCTGGGTGACAGAGCAAGACCCAGTCTCAAAAAAAAAAAGAAAGAAAAGGGGGATATGTAGAGAGGATAGCCATGGAAGAGCACCCCAAAACTGGTCATAGCATTTGCCTGCAGGGAGAGGAAGTAGGAACTCAGGGAAGGAAGACTGACTTCCCCTGTCTGCCCCTCCATAGGTCTGAATCCTATTTTCCATCTGCAGATGTCACCTGGTCAAATTGGCTTACTAACCGATAATTTGTTCTGCAAAGTTGCGAGGAATGAATGGAATAATGAAAGTTGAAGCATTGAGGGTGGTGCCCAGCACTCAGTAGGAGCTCAGCACTGGTGCATCCTGCACTCGTGTAGCATGTGCACAGACAGAATGTGAGCTGGCACTCCAGGCAGGGAAAGCCACGAGCAGAGCCAGGTCAGCAGAAATGAGCTGCTGTGTCCTGGGGAAGAGGGAGGCCAGCCCACTCGGCTTAGAGTTGGAGAGGAACCAGAGATGAGGTAGGTGTGGCCACCTAAGGAATCTGTATTTTACTCTCTTTTTATTGAGACGGAGTCTCGCTCTGTCGCCCAGGCTAGAGCACAGTGGTGCGATCTCGGCTCACTGGAACCTCTGCCTCCGGGTTCCAGTGATTCTCGTGCCTCAGCCTCCCAAGTAGCTGGGATTACAGGGGTGCGCCACTACGCCTGGCTAATTTTTGTATTTTCAGTAGAGACGGGGTTTCACCATGGTGGCCAGTCTGGTCTCAAACTCCTGACCTCAAGTGATCCGCCTGCCTCAGCCTCCCAAAGTGCTGGGATTACAGGCGTGAGCCTCCGCGCCTGGCGCTGTATTTTACTCTTTGAATGACACCACAGGCTCTGAACTGAAGAAAGCAGAAAGAAGTACGATCTGAAAAGCTGGGAGGAAGGAGCAGGGAGGAGCGTAAACCAATTCCTCTAGATGGATAATCAGAAGGGATAGGGAAGGCAGGGGCAGAGAGGAGCCTGTTCCATCAGAACTCAGAGAGCACCAAGAGCACAGAGGACTGCGCTCTCGGGCTCCCCAGGTGGTTCTGGCGGTGAAGACAATGGACCAGAACCCTCCTAAGCCCCTCTCTCCTGCCCAGGGCTGGAGTCTAACCCCCACACACCAGTAGCTTGGTAACTCCCAACCCTTGCACTATTCAGAGAAACCAAGAGCCCTAGGGAGTTTCAGTGACCTGCACCCAAGATCACATAGCTCTTGAGTGGAACTCAGGCCCCGCCTCAAACTTGAGGTGTCTCCATCTGCATGACAGTGGGTGTGTGGTCCTGGGAGGCCTACTCCTGCCAAAGCGGCCCCTCCAGGAAGAATCCAGGCCTGCTGCGCCTTCCCAGAGAGCCTTCCTCTGTCCCCTTCAGCCTTTGGAGGTGCTTTGGTGACCATGTAGCAGCCACAAGCAGGAGCTCTGTCTGCAACACACCCTGCCCCAGTCCACACACAGAAAGGTAAGGTGGATGGCTATGGAAGCCACAGCCTCAGGATGGTGATCGTGACTCCCCCTTGGTGCACCAAGGAGAGCCATGGGACCCCACAGACCCTAGTTCCACCCAGGCCTCTTCTTCCCCAAAGGATGAGCCCTGATGCAACTGTGAATCACTCTGCAGTTACACAGGCTCAGAAAGCCCTTCATCTGGGGGCTGTGTTCTCAATCAACCTTTCTGTAGAGCCCTGGAGAGCAGTGCTTTCCTCGTCTGCTGGAGGATTCTGGACGGCCCTGGCGACCAAGTACACAGTGGGTTCTCCTGAGCATCTTCTCACTTACTACTCTCAGCCAAGAGCTGGCAGCACAAAGACAATATATCCAGCAGGGACTTGCTGCGTGCCCTGCCCTGCCCCAAGCACTACACATGTATTATGTCATCATGTGTTCCCAAAAGGACTGTAAAGAAGCACTGTAACTAGCCCCATTTGACAGATGGGAAAACTGAGGCACAGGGAGTATATAGTACCTTGTCCAGGTCACAGAGCTTGCAGGTGGTACAGTTAGGACTCTGACCCTGGGATTTGGGCTCCAGAGCCCATGCTCATAACCACTATGATTTCCTGCCTGGACTAGGCAAAAGGCCTGAATCGGTAGGACGTGGGGACAGCGTGGGAGTGGCTGACCCCTAGCACAGGAGTCTTGGGGATGACAATGCCATTCACTGAGATGGGGACGCAAGAGAAGGAAACCTGGTGGGCAGGGACAGCTAAAGGGACACCTGTTTGGGCTAATGGATTTGAGGGGCCTGTGAGACACCCACAGGGAATGGACATCCAGGTGGAATCCTGCTTAGCAGAAGGGAAATGTGTGGCTCCCACAGTGAAGCCAAGTCAGGACCCAGGTGCTGTGACTGCAAGTCCAGGCTGCTTAGACCATGAATCTGCCTGGCTCCAGGTCACCTTCACCATGGGGGTGCTAAGGCAGAGGCTCTCCAATCACCCATGTGTGCACCATGTGTAGGGGCCCCACTCACCCTAAAGGAGCTCATCAGCGAGAAGGACTCAGACCAGAACTGCAGGATCCCGTCTTTGGTGACAGTCAGGAAACACCCGATCTTCTTGAACCGGTGGATTAAAAACACCACCTTCACCACCTCACAGCCATGGTTCCTGTGGGAGGCGATGAAAGAGAGAAGAGCCCAAGCAAAAACAGCTCAGGGAGGGGGCACCTGCGGCAGAACAGAGAGCCACCGAGGAGGAGGGACAAAAGCCGGCGGAGCGTCACGCACACGCACGCACATGCGCACGCCATAAACCCATAGCTGGCTCTTCCAAGCGGGTTTCTACTGGATCATCAACAGTGGCCAAAAGAAAAAGGGCCCCACGTAGAAGCTGATATGAGGCGGGGCTCCAGAAGTGAGAAGCAGCAGGCTTATCCTGCGAAGTAGCCAGCCAGCCTCCTCGCGACGTGATGGGACAGAGGAGACAGAACGGAGGTTGTTCGCAAAGCTTCTATCATAGGAAAAACTGCCCAGGAGAGGGTGAGCAGAGTGGAGCCTGAGGCTGAAAACTGAGAAACAGCACTTTCTAGCAACTGCTCTAGTGCTCTGGGGTAGAGGGGGGAACAGAACCGAAGGATGAAATCAAAGTGGACAAGGAGCAGTGGGGAATTAGGGTCCCACACACCAAACCTACAGCCAACAGCTCCGGGGGCAGGCCTGGCCTCGCAGGAGGCCGCCCTTGAGCATTCATACAGGCTTTGATGCTCCCCTCTGTGGGTTGCTTCCCTGCACCCAAGTGGGCTAAGCCAGCTATCTGGCCATTGAGAGTCCCTGCCACTCCAGCTTCCCAACATGGCATGGCATGGCACACACTCTCCTACTTGATCTGCCCAATCTTTGAGCCCTGGCAGAGCAGGTGATATTACCTCATCCTACAGGGGCCCAGGGAATAATCATTTGCCTGGAGTTATGTCCTATTTACTAGCAGGGCTGGAACTAGAACCTAGGCACTGTGACCCCTCCTCCAGGGCCCTTTCCAAATCCGGTAGGCCTGGTCTGACCCTGGGCTTAAGGATAACCCAAGCCACTGTGAAAATTCAACTGCCATTACCATCTCTGCAGAAGAGCAAGGGAAACGTGTCTGGACACGGTTCTCCTCTCTCCTATCCTCAGCCCATGGCTCTGGGTAGATTGTGATGAATATTCTCAGTTGCCCTCTCATCTCTTCCAACCCTGCCACTTCTGTCAGGGCCAAAGACTGTGCAGAATGGGATGATAGGTGACAGCTAGGAAAAGGGAAGACAGCCCTAAGGACAGGCCATCTCAGGGAGGACTTGGTTTCCTCACCTGCATGATGACAGCACCTGCACCTCCTAGGGCTGTGATGGGATCAGATGAGAGGCTGCATTTGGTGCACCCGGCCCAGGCTCAGTAAAGGTAAGCCAATGTTTTAAGTTACTCTTTCATGAAGGTAATTAAATATTACTCATTTATTTTCCCCACCAAGTTGGAAATGCTCTCCGGGTTTGTAGGTTGAACAAATAAATAGGAGAATATAGGAACAAGCCTCTTGACATTCTGTTTCAGGACCTTTAAACACCCTTGAGATCTAAATGGCCCAAAGAAATAGAAAGACCTGACCGGGCAGAGTGGCTCACGCCTGTAATCCCAGCACTTTGGAAGGCTGAGGTGAGTGGATCACTTGAGGTCAGGAGGATTACTTGAGGTCAGGAGGCGGGCAGACCACTTGAGGTCAGGAGTTCAAGACCAGCCCGGCCAACGTGGTGAAACCCCATCTCTACTAAAAATACAAAAATTAGCCAGGTGTGGTAGCACACGCCTGTAGTCCCAGCTACTCAGGAGGCTGAGGCAGGAGAATCGCTTGAACCCGGGAGACAGAGGTTGCACTGAGCCAAGATTGCGCCACTGCACTCCAGCCTGGGTGACAGAGTGAGACTCCGTCTCCAAAAAAAAAAAGAAATAGACCAGTGAAGGCTTGACCTTATTAAGCAATGTGTTCATGCCAAAATGTACAGTTATGTATTTGAACATACTTCATGTTCAAATGGTTGCTTTTATCTGATTGTATCATGGGAATGAACACTATATCTAATTAGGGAATGTCTCCCCTTCCTACTGCTATAAAACAGAGGTATGTAAATCGCCATTCAAGCTATATGAACTGGACATGCTACATGGGAACCAGTAAGATTGCCCAGGCCCACACAGTGCAGAGTAGAAGCTAGAGAGCTGGCAGGGACAAATTCTCCACTGGATAGCCCTCTGTGGAGCATTTCCTGGGGCTTACGACAAAAGCCTGTAAGCGCCTCCCGGCAACAGCTACTGGGACTTTGGACTAGGGAATGTCCTCTTGAGGGGCATTTACTACCTTGTTATGGGACATTAACTGAAGCTACCCCTACGACTGAAGGATATAAAATTATCTTGAAACCTGAAATACCCAGATGTCTTGGGTGATATCAGAGAAATGCTCTAATGGGGCCTACAGAGGCCAGAAATTCCATAATAAAATGGAAATGGTTGGCCAGGCGCAATGACTCACACCTGTAATACCAGCACTTTGGGAGGCCAAGGCAGGTGGATCACCTGAGATCAGGAGTTCAAGATCAGCCTGGCCAATACGGTGAAATCCCGTCTCTATTAAAAATACAAAAACTAGGCCAGGCGCGGTGGCTTACGCTTGTAATCCCAGCACTTTGGGAGGCCGAGGCGGGCAGATCATGAGGTCAGGAGATTGAGACTATCCTGGCTAACATGGTGAAACCCCGTCTCTACTAAAAATGCAAAAAAATCGCTGGGCATGGTGGTGGGCGCCTGTAGTCCCAGCTACTCGGGAGGCTGAGGCAGGAGAACGGCATGAACCCGGGAGGCAGAGCTTGCAGTGAGCCGAGATTGCACCACTGCACTCCAGCCTGGGCGACCGAGCAAGGCTCTGTCTCAAAACAACAACAACAACAACAAAAAATCGGCCAGGCGTGGTGGCGGCCACCTGTAATCCCAGTTACTCGGGAGGCTGAGGCAAAAGAATCACTTGAACCCAGGAAGTGGAGGTTGCAGTGACCTGAGATGATGCCACTGCATTCTAGCCTGGGCCACAGAGCAAGACCTTGTCTCAAAAATAAAATCCCAAAAAATAAATACAATAAAATGGAAATGGTTTACTCAGCATCTTGCTACCTGGGGAATGCAAGCAAGAGATACTCACAGGCTATGAGCCTCTTTACCCCAGGACTGATTCCGGAACTGTGTGAGGTGCTGCTGGGTTCTGTCGACACTTGGACAGTGTGCCGTGAACAGCTATCAAGTGACCAACGAGGAAATGCTGGGTTTACAGTTTCAAAGTGAATGGACGATATTCTGTTTGGAGGGCTGCCACTTGCAGCAAAGAAGGTAGAAACTGATCAGCCTCAGTGGGCTGAATTGCATTTGCATGCTGTTTTTTTTTTTCTTTTTGAGACGGAGTTTTCATTCTTGTTGCCCAGGCTGGACAGCAATGGCGCAATCTCGGCTCACTGCAACCTCTGCCTCCTGGGTTCAAGCAATTCTCCTGTCTCAGCCTCCCGAGTAGCTGGGATTACAGGTGCCTGCCACCACATCCAGCTAATTTTTGTATTTTTAGTAGAGACAGGGTTTCACCATGTTGGCCAGGACTCCTGACCTCAGGTAAGCCACCCACCTTGGCCTCCCAAAGTGCTGGGATTACAGGTGTGAGCCACCATGCCTGGGCAGGGATAATTTCTAAGCAAGAAACAGTCACCATGTTTTAAAACGTTGTCAGAATTCCCTAAGGGCCTGATGGGGGTGGATTGCGCCTTCATCCCATCTGGCAAAATGGGGGTTAAAAATAAATACAGCTATATTGTCTCATGGTAAAAATGGCTCGCGAGTTTGGAACTCGTGTAACCCTATTCTCTATGAATGAGAATGGACTGAGGGGAGGCACTCGCTACAGTAGCTTTGCTACCAATGATCCAGATAGGCACAGTGGCTGAACCCGATGTCCCTTGCAAAGGAGGAAAAGTTTGGGTAAAAATAAATGACAAATGGAGAAAAGGAGGAATACTAGCTGAGGGTAAAGATTAATAAATGGATTAAATGGAGAGAAATCCAGTATTACACCAACAACTCGAAGGAGTTCTCAGAGCAAGAGATGACTGGCTGGATGCGGTGGCTCACGCCTGTAATCCCAACACTTTGGGAGGCCGAAGTGGATGGATCACTTGAGGTCAGGAGTTCGAGACCAGCCTGGTCAACATGGTGAAACTCCATCTCTACTAAAAACATAGAAATTAGCTAGGCATGGTAGCAGGTGCCTGTAATCCCAGCTACTTGGGAGGCTGAGGCAGAAGAATCACTTGAACCCGGGAGGCAGAGGTTGCAGTGAGCTAAGACCGCACCACTGCATTCCATCCTGGGCAACAAGAGCAAAACTCCATCTCAAAAAAGAAAAAAAGAAAAGAGAGATGACATTGTCTCTTAGCTCAATGATTCCAGATGCCTGAGAGGTTTATTTGCCAAGCCAACTCCGGCTTTTGGAACCTGACAAGATTGAAAGGAAGCCTACAAACCTGAATGGCCTCAGCCTGGGAGACATTCATATACTATGATGGATGGGATGAATTATTAATGACTAAATGGGACTCTAGGAATGTGCCAGTATCTTTTGAGTTGTGTATTCTTTTGCTATAAGGGAGCTGTGTTCTCTATGTTCAAAAACCAGGAGTGGGGGCCTGTGGTGTTTTATATATATATATGTTTTGCCCACAGTTCCTAACTCCCACAGCCCCAGAGTCCTGCCCTATGCCCTAGGGGCAGGAATGCTGATGTCATGAAGCTTCCACTAAAAACCCCAGAGGACTGGGTTCTGAGAGCTTCCCTATGGCTGAACACACGGAGGTTCCTGAAGCTTGTGCATCCCTCTCCCCATACCTCGCCCTACACATCTGTTCATCTGTATCCTTTGTAATATTCTTTATAATAAACCAGTAAATGTTTAAAAAATACAGTTATGAAATCTCTTATCATTCATATTTATTGGTTATTTCTCAATTAAATCCCAACCAAAATTTTGTTTTAAGTTATTGCCGGGTACAGTGGCTCACACCTATAATCCTAGCAGTTTGGGAGGCCAAGGTGAGCGGATTACTTGAGGCCCCAAGTTCACAAACAGCCCAGCCAACACAGTGAAACCCCATCTCTATTAAAAATACAAAAAAATTAGTCAGGCATGGTGGCAGGCGTTCGTAATCCCAGCTACTTGGGACGCTGAGGCGGGAGAATCGCTTGAACCCGGGGGGCGGAGGTTGCAGTGAGCCAAGATCAAGCCATTGCACTCCAACCTGGGCAACTGAGTGAGACTCTGTCTCAAAAAAAAAAAAAAGTTACCCTTGGGTGACTTTCATTCAAGCCGCCTTCTCTATTAAACCCCAGGCTGCCTGAGGACCGGGGCTGCCTTCCAGCTCTTTGACTTCCCCGTGGCCTGGTCTGGGTCTGGTCCTCTTAGGACAGACCCACCCACAGCTCCCTCCTGACCTGGTCACAAATGTAGGCTGCCACACCTTGTATCTCAGGACCCAGCTCCCTGCCTGGCCACCTGCCCCAGGCAGCAGTGCTCCAGGGTGGACTGCAGGAAGGGATCCAGTGACCCGGGCAGCCCAGGCCCAGCAGGTCAGAGCCCCTGCAATGCTCCTCATGCTTAGGGAGTCCAGGGGGAGGAACACACAGCGAGGCAGATCAACCCCTGGCACAGACAGAAGAGGTTGAGGGGTCTGAGAGATGCTACCCCCAAATAGGGCACCGCAGCATACTGAGTCTGTTAAACTAAAGGAATTTGAGAAGCAGTATGTTCAGGAAGGACTGTCTGACCTTCCCCTGAAGCCGGTCATAAGACTCATGTGAGGGGTGCCCAAAGACACAGGGACACGGACAAGAATCTGAACTAACGTCCTTGCTATTTCCGCCATGTATTACGCTTGGCTCATCGCCCCTCTGTCCTATCTTATTTTTCCACAGCTTTCCACCCTCCATTGAACCTAGCATGAAAACCCTCAGGTTATCTGTTTCTTAGGGGCTTCATTTCCTACAGAGGCTCCCGTGTCATGTAAAACTTATATTAAATAAACTTGTATGCTTGTCCTTGTGACTCTGTCTTCGCTTAGAGAGGTCCCTGCCAATGAACCTCAGATGGGTAGAGGGAAAAGACAGTTTTCCTCCCCTGCAAAGCAAGGGTTCAGTGGGCACAGCGGGTGGAGGAGCCACGAGGAGGAGGAGTGAGCAGAGCGGTCAGGCAGAAGCCAAGGCAGGGTGGTGCCACCAGCTCCAGGAGTAACAGAGGGACCTACTCCCGGGGCCAGCCACTCTGAGGCCTCCAGGGCCTGGCTGGGGGCTTGAGGAGCAATTCCCTTCCTGTTGCCTGGGAGGAAACTCCTATTCCTGCCTGTGCTGGCCACCTGTGCCACCTGTGCCCCTATGATGAAACTGCCAGACCCACTCTGCACCAACTAGCACAGGAAGCAGGTGAAGCAATGCTGTATACTGGGGAATGGGGGCTGAGAGGGCCAAACACAGCAGCCCGCCACTTTCTACCTATTGGCCTGGGGCCAGCCATTTGACCTCTCCAGACCTCAGTGGCCTCATCTATAAAATGGGGACAAATCACGTACCTTAGTCCTAACACTTACAGGGCTGTGAGGTTGAAATGAGCCAAAGGACATCAGGCAGCAGGCTGATGCCAGCCCCTGGTCAGCACCAGCAAGGTCACGGATTGAGGGAGGGGCTCACTGCAGGCTGGCACCAGCACTTGTCCAGTCACCCCACCCACCAAGGCCCAGGAAGAGGCTCCTTACAGGGGGACGACCGTCATGGGAAGGTAGAAGTGCAGGCGGTACTGGCTCTTTCGCATGTCCTCTTTTCCCTGGAACTCACGCATCATGTAATCCACATACTTTTGCTGCCTCGAAAGAAAGCACAAGGGAGGCAGGGTATTGGCAAAATGGTCTCAGCCTTCAGTTTCAAGAACTCGGCAGGAGAATGGCGTGAACCCGGGAAGCGGAGCTTGCAGTGAGCCGAGATTGCGCCACTGCAGTCCGCAGTCCGACCTGGGCGACAGAGCGAGACTCCGTCTCAAAAAAAAAAAAAAAAAAAAGAACTCAAGCCTGATTCCCAGGGTCCCCCTCACCACCCCATCTCTCCCAGGCCCTTCCGATAGGCTCTGGTGGCTGCTTCCCAAGTACTGGCCAGGGCAGGTGGCCAAGCAACAGACCTGCTCTTTCTCTGTTTGTCACTCAGGCTGGAGTGCAGTGGTGTGATCACAGTTTATTGCTCAGCCTCCCAAAGTGCTGGGATTATAACCATGAGCCACCACACCCGGCCTTTTTTTTTTCCTTTTGGGACAGGGCCTTGCTCTGTCACCCAGGCTGGAGTGCAATGGTGTGATCACAGCTTACTGCAGCCTCAATCTCCCAGGCTCAAGTGATCCTCCCACCTCAGCCTCCTGAGTAGCTGGGACCACAAATGCATGCCACAATTCCCAGCTAATTTTTGTATTTTTTGTAGAGATGGGGTTTCGCCATGTTGCCCAGGCTGGTCTCGAACTCCTGGGCTCAAGTGGTCTGCCAAAGTTCTAGGATTAAAGGTGTGAGCCACTGCGCTTGGACAGCAGACCTGTTCTTGAATCCTGAGTATGGGAAGGGCCTACTCGCAGCATTCACTGAAAGAGCACAGCAGCGTCTCCCTCGCCGTCCTGAGGCGCTAAGTGCATCCTCAGATCACCCCCACAACTGGCATCACCCTGGGAGCTCTTTATTCACTCTCCCCTATGGATAATAAAACTCAGGCCCCTGTAAGGATGTGAGATGCCCATGCTCAAACATCAAGTTAACAGCAGGGAGCACCCACACCAGGGCCACTGGCGCAACTCCAGACTCCATTCCACTGCCCAGCTGCTGGAAAACATGGCCAAGGCCCAAAGCAGCCACCATATGAAGCTGTAACAAGAAACGGGGTTGTAAACAAGGACCACTGGGTAAAGCCCTGAGAATGCTAGGAATGCGAGGGGGTTAAATTGCTTTTTATTCTTTTTCTTTCAGTTGGCCTCATTGTTCTAAAGGAAATGTTTATTATAGAACATTAAGAGAAATAAAAACCGCCAAGTGCAATGGCTCACACCTGTAATCCCAGCACTTTGGGAGGCTGAGGCAGGTGGATTACCTGAGGTCAGGAGTTCCAGGCCAGCCTGGCCAACATGGTGAAACCCCGTTTCTACTAAAAATACAAAAATTAGCCAGGTGTGGTGGTGGGTGCCTGTAATCCCAGCTACTCGGGAGGCTGAGGCAGGAGAATCACTTGAACCTGGGAGGCAGAGGTTGCAAAGAGCCAAGATCGTGCCATTGCACTCCAGCCTGGGCGACAGAGCAAGACTCCATCTCAAAAAAAAAAAAAAAAAAAGAAAGAAATAAATAAAAACAAGAAAATTGAGAAGAAGAAAACCCAGAATGTATACCTATGCTGAGGAGAGCTATGAGACGGCAGTTAACGCAGGGACTCTCAAGGCACCCTCCCTGGTTTGAATACTGGCTCCAGTGCTGATGAGTCTGAAGCCCTGGGCAAACTCCTAACTTCCCCATGCCTCAGTTTCCCAATCTGTCAAATGGAGGTAAGTTTTTTGTTTTGTTTTGTTTTTTTCCTGAGACATGGTCTCACTTTGTCACCCAGGCTGGAGTACAGTGGTGCAATCTCAGCTCACTGCAGCCTCAACCTCCTGGGCTCAAACAATCCTCCCAGCTCAGCTCCACAAATAGCTGGGACTATAGGCGTGCACCACCACACCCGTTTAATTTTTGGTATTTTTTGTAGAGACAGGGTTTTACCACGTTACCCAGGCTGGTCTTGAACTCCTGAGCTCAAGCGATCCACCCCCCTTGGCCTCCCAAAGTGCTAGGATTACAGGCATGAGCCACTGTGCCCGGCCGAAATAGAGGTAAGTAATAGCACCTACCCCATAGGATTCCTATGAGGTTTAAGTAAAATAATACATAGAGAGCTTAGCACAGTGCTTGGTGTAAATGCTAGTTATCATTGTCATCTTTGCTACATCAATTTGTCAGACTATCCTTGGTACTTTTCTGTATGCTTAAAAAGCTGTATATTCCCATTGTCGAACGTTTAGAACCAGAAAAACATGAAAGCATTATTATTATGATGCTGTAAAAGCCTGACACTTTTAGATGTAACAGCCACAGGCTGGCCTATTCCTGAGTGACAGTGAAGGGTCATGAGATGGTCGTGGTACCAGCTTGAATCCCCCAAGCCAAATGGGAGGTTGGTGGGCACCACAGCCGCGTGGCAGGTGGGGTCACCGCTGCACACTCAGTAGGTCTCACACAGGGGCCAACGACACTTGTCCCTGGGGAATGAGCTGCCAGGAACTCAGCTCACACAGGTCTTAGGAGGGACGTCTCCACCAGGCAAGTCCCCCGACTGGGGCCAGAATCCACAGGGAGGCTTTCCCACATCGTGATGGCCTCCCATCTTCAGCCCCACCAACTGGTCAAGGACTGGACCCTCCAGCCTCCCTCCAGCACCTGAGGAAGCAGGGGCACCCTCCTCACCCAGGTGACAAAGCCTTCACAGTCCGAGTCCACCTTCAAAAACAGCTCCTTTAGCATCTCGTCCGACACACTGCTCAGAACCTTCTTCATGGCCTTGATGAAGGCGTCCATGCCCAGGGCTTCAAAGAGAGAACAGAGAGCATCATCCCCTTCCTCACAAGTCCCTCGGCCCATCACTGCCACGGAGTTCTCAAGTGTCTGGGTGCTGAGGGGGACACACTGAAGACCACATCTACGGCCAGGCGCGGTGGCTCATGCTTGTAATTCCAGCACTTTGGGAGGCTGAGGCAGGTGGATCACTTGAGGTCAGGAGTTCAAGACCAGCCTGATCCACATGGTGAAACCCTGTCTCTACTAAAAATACAAAAATAAATTGGCTGGGCACAGTGGTGGGTACCTGCAATCCCAGCTACTTGGGAGGCTGAGGCAGGAGAATCCCTTGAACTCAGGAGGCAGAGGTTGCAGTGAGCTGAGATCGCACCACTGCACTCCAGCCTGGGCAACAAGAGAGAAAACTCTGTCTCAAAAAAAAAAAAAAAAAACCACCATGTTTACCAGGTGTGCTCAGTTCAAGGCAGTCTTGGTGCTGCCTCCCCTACGGTCCTCAGCTGGTCCACTGCAGGGGGCACAGAAGGGAGATGGCTCCAGCCAAAGACGGGGCCCTTAGGAGGCTGCCTCCTCCAGCCCCTCAAACCTCAAATCCAGCCCCTCTTGGCCCTGTCTCCCCTCCTCACATCTCAGCATCCACCCCAGCCACCCCAGGCTAGGCCAATTCCGGACGCTTCTGTCCTCACATGGTTATCTTTTGCATCTTATCTGCTCAACATTCAACCACCCCACAAGTCCTGGCTGAAAACCCGCCATATGGGAGCACTGTGTTGGTCCCACAGCAGTGTGGGGAGGGGAGGCACTAAAAAAGACCAACTCCCATTTCCATACAATTAACAAAGAGGAAGGATTGAGACAAAGAAAACTCTCCAAAGAAAAGGAGAACCAGGCCAGGCACGGTGGCTCACGCCTGTAATCCCAGCACTCTGGGAGGCAGAGGCGGGAAGATCACCTGAGGCTAGGAGTTCGAGACCAGCCTGACCAACATGGCAAAACCCTGCCTCTACTAAAAAATACAAAAAGTTAGCCAGGCATGGTGGCACATGCCTGTAATCCCAGCTACTTGGGAGGTTGAGGCAGGAGAATCGCTTGAATCCAGGAGGCAGAGGTTGCAGTGAGCCGAGATCACACCAACGCACTCCAGCCTGGGCAACAGAGCCAGACTCTGTCAGAAAGAAAGGAAGAAAGAAAATAAATATTTAAATATTTTTAAAAACAAAAACAAAAATTAGCCATGTTTGGTGGCGTGTGCCTGTAATCCCAGCTACTTGGGAGGCTGAGGCACAAGAATCACTTGAACCCAGGAGGCAGAGGTTGCAGTGAACCGAGATTGCACCACTGCACTCCAGCCTGAGCGACCGAGTGAGACTGTCTCAAAAAAAGAAAAAGGAAAGAAAATAAAAGTAGAAGCAAGGCCAGGCACAGTGGCTCATGTCTGTAATTCCAGTGCTTTGGGAGGCTGAGGTATGAGGATCACTTGAGATCAGGAGTTCAAGACCAGGCTGGGAAACATAAGGAGACCCAATCTACAAAAAAAATTTTTTAAATTAGCCAGGTGTAGTGGCGTGAGCCTGTAGTCCCAGCTGGTCGAGAGACTGAGGTGGGAGGATGGCTTGAACCCGGGAGGCAGAGGCTGAAGTTGGCCATGATCTTGCCACTGTACTGTAGCCTAGGTGATGGAGACAGACCTTGTCTCTAAAAAATAAATAAAATAAAGGCTGGAAGCAAGTGTTCACACCTATAATCCCAGTACTTTGGGAGGCTGAGGTGGGCAGAAGGCTTGAGCCCAGGAGTTTGAGACCAGGCTGGGCAACATGGTGAAACCGCATCTTCACAGAAAATACAAAAATTAGCCAGGCATGGTGGCACATGCCTGTAGTCCCAACTACTGGGGAGGTTGAGCTGGGAGGATTGCTTGAGCCTGAGAGGCGGAGGTTGCAGTGAGCAGAGATTTCACCACTGCACTCCAGCCTGGATAACAGAGTAAGACCCTGTCTCAATAAATAAATAAATAAAATAAAAACGAAGAAAAGAAGCAGCAGAACAAAAGTATATAATGGCAACAAATAGACATTAATAAATTCAGACATCTAGAAGGAGAGGTGAACTGCATTTTTTTTTTTTTTGGACAGAGTCTCGCTCTGTTGCCCAGGCTGGAGTACAGTGGCACAATCTCAGCTCACTGCAACCTCTGCCTCCTGGGTTCAAGCTACTTCCTGCTAATTTTTGTATTTTTAGTAGAGATGGGGTTTCATCATGTTGGCCAGGCTGCTCTCAAACTCCTGACCTCAAGTGATCCGCCCTCTCCAGCCTCCCAAAGTGCTGGGATTACAGGTGTGAGCCTACCACACCCAGCCAAACTGCATCTTCTAAAAGCAATTATCAAAATATAAACTTTGGCTGAAGGAAAAGATGGGGAGAAGAAAGGAGGAACAGGCAAGGATAGAAAATTCTCCACGTGCTGGCTGGGTCTATAAGGGGATCTGTCTGCAAATGGGTCAATAACCCCTGTCTACAACTTTTTTTTTAATAATCACAATCTTTAAAAAGTGCTTCTGGGCTGGGCACAGTGGCTCACACCTGTAATCCCAGCACTTTGGGAGGCCGAGGCAGGTGGATCACGAGGTCAAGAGATGGAGACCATCCTGGCCAACATCCTCAGAGTTCAGGGGGCTCCTTCCATAGGGAAGCCTTCCTAGGGTCTGTCTAAGGAGGCCACCCCCGCCATTGCCCAGTTCCATGGTTCTTGCTGACATTATCAGCTGACACACTGGCTTTCACTGTTTTGTGTTTTGTTTTTGTTTTTTGTTTTTAGTATTCTGTTTTGTTTTGTTTTGCTCTTTGAGATGGAGTTTTGCTCTTATTGCCCAGGCTGGAGTGCAATGGCACGATCTCGGCTCACTGCAACCTCCGCATCCTGGGTTCAAGCAATTCTCCCTGCCTCGGCCTCCCAAGTAGCTGGGATTACAGGCGCCCACCATCACACTCGGCTAATTTTTGTATTTTTAGTAGAGACAGGGTTTCGCCATGTTGGCCAGGCTGGTCTCGAACTCCTGACCACAGGCGATCCGCCCACCTCGGCCTCCCAAAATGCTGGGATTACAGGCATGAGCCACTGCACCCGGCCTTTTGTTTTTGTTTTTGAGATGGAGTCTCGCTCTGTTGCCCAGGCTGGAGTGTGGTGGCATGATCTTGGCTCACTACAACCTCCACCTCCTGGGTTCAAGAAATTCTCCTGGCTCAGCCTCCCAAGTAGCTGGAACTACAGGCACCCACCACCATGCCCAGCTAATTTTTGTATTTTTAGTAGGGACAGGGTTTCACCATGTTGGCCAGGCTGGTCTCGAACCCTTGACCTCTTGATCCACCCACCTCAGCTCGCTGGGATCCCAAAGTGCAGGGATTACAGGCATGAGCCACCGTGCCCAGCTCGCTTTCACTCTTGTCTGTCTGTCTTCTATCTCCCACTC
Source organism: Homo sapiens (assembly GCF_000001405.40). NCBI lineage: Eukaryota > Metazoa > Chordata > Mammalia > Primates > Hominidae > Homo > Homo sapiens. The sequence continues at coordinate 32,872,466 of NC_000020.11, read as the reverse complement.
CAGCCTGAGAGCTCTGGGATGGCAGGCATGAGCCTGTTGCCCCAGGGCTGGGTCCTGGCTTCAACAAACATTGGTCCCCTGAGGGTTTCTGTGGGCACTGAGATGTGCCGGTGATGGCACTTCATGCCAGGCATTGTTCTCTGTGCCTTATGCACCCTGACTACCTACATAAGGAAGAAAATGTGGCACAGAGAGGCGTGGTTGCTTGCCCAAGGTCACACAGCTGGTAAGTGGTAGCACCAGATACTAACCCTAGCAATCTGGCTCCAGAACTCATGCTCTTAACCCCATTCTATTCTCCTTATACAACACCCAGCACAATGATACAACAGTAATTATTATTATATTTGTTGCTGGATCAAGGAATAAATGGAAAGCCTGAAGAAATCATGCCTTGCTAAAAGAGGGACCCATCTTGTTTATCTGGAGTTACAGCCAAGGTGCTTAAGCACTTAATGGTCCTTCCAGGTAGAAGATAGATGCCAGGGGGCAGGCCATGAGCCCTGCGGCCTCCTTCCAGACAGAGCTGGGAGTCAAACTGCCTTTGTGTGCTTTCAAAACCTCCTGGGGAGACTGAAAGGCACTCTTTCCTCTTTAAGAACCACTGACTTCCCTCAAAGATCTGGCACAACCTGGACTGAAGCTAGGAAAAGGGAACTTACAGAACAGGAAGAAGGACACTGGCATGTCCCCTCTTCCCTCCAAGGCACGCAGTGACAGTTGGGGTGCCTAAGACACGGTATGGAGCCCGCACTCATAATCCACCTCCTTAAAAGACTTTCAAAAGAGAAAAATGATCCTATTTTCCTTTATCCTACATCAACAAAAGGTGAATTTTCTTTTCTCCCATTTAAAGCCAAAGTTGGTTTTTTAAAATGAGAAAGGGTTTTTAATATTGATATGAAAATATCTGCAAGATACATTCAGTAAAAAGCAAGAGGTAAACTTGTTAAAATTAATTTTTTAAAAAAGCAAGGAATACAGCATAGCAAGACACCATCTCTACAGAAAATAAAAATGAAAAAATTAGCTGGATGTGGTAGCATGCACCTGTAGTCCTAGCTACTCTGGAGGCTGAGTCAGGAGGATTGCTTGAGCCCAGGAGGTCGAGGCTTCAGTGAACTATCATCACACCACTGCACTCCACCCTGGGCTACACAGGAAAACCCTATCTCTAAAAGAAATTTAAAAGAATAAAAATTAAAAAAAATAAAAGCAAAGAATAGAACAGTGTGGACAATAGGCTGCCACTGCATATAAAAAAAGGGAGGAAACTGATGACTGGACACTAAAATTTAAAAGAAGAAGTAGAGAGGGCCGGGCACGGTGGCTCACACCTGAAATCCCAGAACTTTGGGAGGCGAGACAGGTGGATCACCTGAGGTCAGGAGTTCAAGACTAGCCTGACCAACATGGTGAAACCCTGTCTCTACTGAAAATACCAAAATTAGCCAGTGGTGCGTGCCTGTAGTCCCAGCTACTCGGGAGGCTGAGACAGGCGAATCACTTGAACCTGGGAGGCAGAGGTTGCAGTGAGCCGAGATCGCACCACTGCACTCTAGCCTGGGTGACAGAGTGAGACTCCATTTCAGGAAAAAAAAAAAAAAGAAGAAGAAGTAGAAATGACTAAAGATACTTCTGTATTTATTTCCAAAGGTCATAGGAGGCTGGGTGCAGTGGCTAACGCTTGTAATCCCAACACTTTGGGAGGCAGAGGCAGAAGGATTGCTTGAAGCCAGGAGTTTGAGACTAGCCTGGGCAACATAGCAAGACCCCATCTCTACCAAAAAGTTTTTAAAAATTACCCAGGTATTGTGGCACATGCCTCTAATTCTAGCTACTCCAGAGGCTGAGACAGGAGGATCACTTGAGCCCAGGAGTTCAAGGCTGCAGTGAGTTATGATCACACCACTCCACTCCAGCCTGGGCAACCAAGCGAGACCCTGTCCCTAAAAAAATTAAAAATAAAGATCACAGGAAACAGAAAACAGTAATAACTTAAAGGGACATACCTGGGCACATGGGTGGTGGGGGAGAAAAACATTTTCTCTGTATATCAAAAAAGTATCATGAAAAAAGTACCTTTTGGATTTTGAACCGTTTGGATATATTGAACTGTGTGGGTATATTACCTATTCAAAACATACACAAACACAATAAAAACGATGGCCAAGGTCAGTACCAATGGAGTCCTCCCAGACACAGTGGTGGCACTTCCTGGCTGCAAACAATGACATTGAAGACCACCACCCAGGAATCACCCTATCTTCAGACCAGACACAAATTGTCCCTCCTAGGTCTCACTTTACTCGTTCGTAAACTGGAGATTTCTTATCCTTTCCTGCCCACATCACAGTGTGGTTGTAAATCTCAAAAGAAATTCACAGGGCAGGTAAATAGGACCCTAGCATGGTCTAGTGGATATAAAGAAAGATGCCTTTAAGTATTCCTATTATTTGACTTACAGGAGTATTATCTCAGGGGGAAAAATCAAGCTCTAAACAGAGAAAAGGCTTGAGGCACAAAGGATATCTTTACAACATTCAACTCAATAAAACCTAAACGTCTGAAAACAGAGGAATAGCTTAGCCAGTGAAACAACTGCCTCTGTTAGTAATGATGACTTGGAAGATTATGTAGCAATATGGAAAATTCCTTAGGATATTAGCATTAAGTGAAAAGTAGTCTGAAATTACATATATAGTATGATTAAAGACATATGAAAACATACACAGTCATCTGCAGTAGAGAGACTTAAGCAGCCCCCATACTGTGTGCCTCCTGGTGCTCAGTCCCTCCTTCGATCCCCTCCCCTGGAGTGTGGTGGGACCTGTGACTTGCTTCTAACCAACAGAATATGGCACAGGTGACAGGGTGTGCAGGACTATGTGCACATGATTACATGATTTGTTATATAAGATTGCAACACCTGGCCAGGCACAGCAGCTCACGCCTGTAATCCCAGCACTTTGGGAGGCTAAGGCAGGCGGATCACCTGAGGTCGGGAGCTCGAGACCAGCCTGCCCAACATGGAGAAACCCCGTCTCTACTAAAAATACAAAATACAGCCAGGCGTGGTGGCACATACCAGTAATCCCAGCTACTTGGGAGGCTGAGACAGGAGAATCGCTTGAACCAGAGGCGGAGGTTGCAGTGAGCCAAGATCGTGCCATTGCACTCCAGCCTGGGCAACAAGAGTGAAACTCCGTCTCAAAAAAAAAAAAAAATTGCAACACCCATCTTGCTGGAGTTTTTCTCCCTGTTGTTGGCTTGAGCCTTGCAAACAGCTCTGTTGGTGAATCCTGCGTGGCCAGGAACTGTAGGTAGCCTCCCACCAACAGTCAGGAAGAAACAGAAGCCCTCAGTCACACAGGGGCAAGGAACTGAATTCTGCCAACAACCTGAGTGAGCTTGGAAGTGGGTTCTTCCCCAGTCAACCCCAAGATGATTCCACAGCCCCAGCTGACGACTTTTTTTTTTTTGAGATGGAGTCTCACTCTGTGGTCTAGGCTGGAGTAAAGTGGCATGACCTTGGCTCACTGCAACCTCTGCTTCCCAGATTCAAGCGATTCTCTTGCCTCAGCCTCCCAAGTAGCTGGAATTAGAGGCCCGTGCCACCACGCCCAGCTAATTTTTGTATTTTTAGTAGAGACGGGGTTTCACCATGTTGGCCAGGCTGCTCTTGAACTCCTGACCTTAAGTGATCTGCCCGCCTTGGCCTCTCAAACTGTTGGGATTAGAGGTGTGAGCCACCACACCGGTCCCAGCCAACAACTTGATTGCAGCCTTGTGAGAGCCTGAACAGAGAAGCCAGCTAAGCCATGCCCAGACTCCTGCCCCACCAGAACTGTGAGGTGATAAACGTGCATTGGTTTAAGCCACTAAGACTGTGGTATTATCACACAGCAACAGATAATAAACCATACATATGAAACTGGAAGAAAATACATACACCAAAATGCTAACAGTGGTTACATGTGGGTATTTGGACTAGGGGTATTTTTAAAAATTTTCTAGATCCCAAATAGCCTCCAATATGCTTGCAATACCTACATAATGCTTGAAAGTTTTACAGGAGACACTAGATGCAAAGATGCTGATCAGGGTTGGGCACAGTGGCTCACACCTGTAATCCCAGCACTTTGGGAGGCCAAGGCAGAAGGCGCTGCTTGAGCCCAGGAGTTTGAGACCAGCCTGGGCAACATAGCAAGACCTCGTCTCTACAATTATTATTTTTTTAATTAGCCAGGCATGGTGGCATGTGCCTGTAGTTTCAGCTACTCCGGGGGCCAAGGCAGGAGGATCACTTGAGCCCAGTAGTCCCAGACGAGCCTGGACCACATATCACATTGGTGCAAAAGCAATTGTGATTTCTGCCATTACTTTTAATAGCAAAACTGCAATTACTTTTGCACCAACCTAATAGCAAGCCCTTGTTTCTAAAAAAAAAAGAAAAATTTTAATTAGCCAGGAGTGGTGGTATGTGCATGTAGTCCCAGCTACTCTGGGGGCTGAGACAGGAGGATCGCTTGAGCATGGGAGGTTGAGGCTGCCGTGGTGATCACACCACTGCACTCCAGACTGGGTGACAGAGCAATATCCTGTCTCAAAAACAAAAAAAAAATGCTTATTATGTCTGAACCCTCCACACACCCCAGGTACTCGGTCCTGCCCTGTTGCAGAACTCACACAAAAACCGAGCCTACAGAGCGGCCTTACCTCCAGTCGAGTTGATGTCCTCCTCAAACATTTTCTCTATCTTGGCCAGGTGTATCTCAGTAAACAGCTGGGACCCAGGCTGGAGGTCAGGCACCTGGCTAAGGGTGATGGATGGTGTTGGGGAGCTAGCAGCCTCCTTGTTCTGGAAGCCATGTGGGATGGACAGCTGGAACGAATATAACAAGAACCAGGGACTGAGCGTTTCAATTTCCTGAGCCAAACATTTTCAGCACATGATTTAAAGAGAGACTCTTTGAGAAAGAACAAGGTAAGTAGTGTTATGATGTCACTGACAGAAATACAGAATTCTTAACCATTTTTACACCTAAGAAGATAAAGAAAAACCTAGACTCTTCCGACTTTGGAGAGGGAACCATTGTTCCCTTTTTACAGATGCCACAGCTGAGGCTCAGGGAGGATACAGCCAAGTCCTACCTTACTCATAATGGGGTGTTCATTTATAAGGGACCTCAGTTCAGTAACTATATCATTTCAAATCTTCAGTGGTCAGAATTCAGAACCCCAGGGGGCTGGGCATGGTGGCTCATGCCCATAATCCCAGCACTTCGGGAGGCCGAGGAGGGCGGATCATTTGAGGTCAGGAGTTTGAGACCAGCCTGACCAACATGGTAGAAACCCACGTCTACTAAAAATACAAAAACATTAGCTGGGTGTGGTGGCATGTGCCTGTAGTCCCAGCTACTCAGGAGGCTGAGGCAGGAGAATCACTCGAACCCAGGAGGTGGAGGTTGCAGTGAGCTGAGATTGTGCCGCTGCATTCCAGCCTGGGCAACAGAGCAAGACTTCAAAAAAAAAAGAAACGAAAGAAACGAAAGAAAGAAAGAGAGAGAGAGAAAGAAAGGAAGGAAGGAAGGAAAGAAAGAAAGAGAGAGAGAAAGAAAGGAAGGAAGGAAGGAGGGAAGGAAGGAAGGAAGAGAGGGAGGGAGGGAGGGAAGGAAGGAAGGAAGAAAGGGAGGAAGGGAAGAAGGGGGAGGGAGGGAAGGAAGGAAGGAAGGAAGGAAGAAAACCCCAGGGAATCCAGCTCCATTTTCCCTAATTTGACCTGGTCCTGACCAGCCCAGATGTCCCATCTCGGTCAGATGAGCTCACCTGCCCCACCCCTGGCCTCCCTGCCAACACACCAATGCTCATACAGACCCCTCCACTGGGGGTTCTCCCTCACTTCCCCCTTCTACTCATCCTTCCCAAATCCCCCCAGAAGCCTTCCCCACCCCTCCAGGCCTCATGATGCTTCCTCTCCTCACCCCTCCATGAGACTGATACAGATACTTAGCATAATGTGTCAGGTCACCAAAGCTCAGGCCATCAAAGGCTGCCTTCCCTAAAAGACTCTAACGTGGATAATTAGATGACCTGAGTGGCAGGCAGGCAGTCCTGCTCACTGAGACACATTGCTTTGGGCCTTGGGAAGTTGAAAACACTTTAGTTCAAAAAGCCAAAAGACAAGGGATTAAATTGCTCACTCTCCCCCACTTAGCCCCAACTAAAGAGCAAATGTGCTCATCCTCCTGTGACCTTTCATTCATTAGCCCAGCGTCTACACACATTGACTGAGTGCTAGGCACTGTGGATACAGCACTGTGGATACACCGTGAACATAGTGAGGGTCCCTGCCTCCACGGAGCCCAACAGAGGAGCACGTGAAGGCTCTCACTACACACCCAGACTCCAAATTAGAAATCTCAGCACCGCCTTCAGCTCTTCCCTCTTCTTCCTATGCATTCTACCGTCCCTCCAGTTAATTATTCCTGGGATCCATCTCCTACATATAAGCCTCCTCTCCCACACCCCTGCTCGCCCCAAACTGTAGTCTTTTGCTGGGACAAGTACAATGACCACCACTAAGACCAGAGTTTGACCCTCTCTTCCCATCCACCTCCCAACACTGGCACCAGTCATCTTTCTAGGCAGCAAATTTTTTTTTTTTTTTTTGAGACAGAGTCTCACTCTGTCACCCAGCTGGAGCGTGGTGCGATCTCAGCTCACTGCAACCTCTGCCTCCTGGGTTCAAGTGATTCTCGTGAACCAGCTTCCCAAGTAGCTGGGACTACAGGCATGAGTCACCACGCCTGGCTAATTTTTTGTATTTTTAGTAGAGACAGGGTTTCACCATGTTGACCAGGCTGGCCTCGAACTCCTGACCTCAGGTGATCCTCCTGCCTTGGCCTCCCAAAGTGCTGGGATTACAGATATGGGCCACTGCGCCTGGCTTCTAGGCAGCAAATCTGATCAATGACTTTACCCTGCTTCTGACACTCTTCACCCCAACTCCGGAGTGTAGCATTCAAAGTACTTCCTAACCAGCTCTGACCTATCTTTCTAGTTTCAAGCATGCACCATGTTCCAGGCACACCACCTGCTCCCCACCATCCCCAAGCCCAGCAAGCATTCGGTGCTTACTCACGTGTGTCTCCCATACACAGTCCAACCCATCTCCCCTAGAGGTGAACCCCTACCCACTCTTCAGACTCTCGCTCAAATGGAACCTCCCCCAAGGAGCTCTTCCATAACTTTCAGATGACAGTCATCACTGCCACCTCCATATTCCCAGGTCTTTGTTCATATCTGCCCCTCAAGGCATAGTAAGTGTGCTTGTCTGTCCATACATGTGGGCAGCAAGGCATGAGGGGAAGCACACGGCTGCAGAGCCCCAGAGCTCTGGGTTGGAATTCTGTCTGGCTCCCTCACTTACAGGCTATTTTAACTTAGGCATATCACATCACTTCCCTGAGCCACAGGTTTCCTCATCTGCAAAACAGAGAGCCACAGTCCCTACCCTGCAGGGCTGTGGTTGAGACCTAAATGACACCTGAATACATGTGAAGCCCCAGTAAACTGTAATTACACAATAAATGACAGCTCTTGTTATTACTCCTTGTCTCATAGTGAGCTCTTCAAAGACAAAGGCATGTTTAACTTAACTTAATCTAATTTGTATTAATTATCTCTATACTCCCCAGCCCCAAGCACATAACAGACAATTGATACATACCTGGCTTGATAAAAACTCTTACAGCCCATCCCACTATTATCACAACCTGCTGGACAAAATTAAGTAGAGAAGTGGAGTCCACGTACAGACCGTACATCAGGGGGCTCGGGTGTGTTGCATTTGACTCATGTAGCTTTTTTGTTTTGTTTTTTTAGAGACAGGGTCTCGCTCTGTTGCCCAGGATAAGTGCAATGGCGAGATCATGGCTGACTGTAGCCTCGACATCCCAGGCTCAAGCAATCCCCCCACCTCAGCCTCTGGAGTAGCGGGGACCACAGGCATGTGCCACCATGCCTAATTTATTTTTTACTTTTTGTAGAGATGGGGTTTCACTATGTTGCCCAGGCAGGTCTCAAACTCCTGGGCTCAGCGATCCTCCTGCCTTCACCTCACAAAGTGCTGGGACTACAGGTGTGAGCCACCATACCCAGTCTCAGGCAGCCCTTTAAAAGTACACTTAGGTCAGGTGTGGTGGCTCACGCCTGTAGTCCCAGCACTTTGGGAGGCTGAGGCGGGCAGATCATGAGGTCAGGAGTTTGAGACCAGCCTGGCCAACATGGTAAAACCCCATCTCTACTAAAAATATAAAAATTAGCTGGGCATGGTGGCACATGCCTGTAATCCTAGCTACTCAGGAGGCTGAGGCAAGAGAATTGCTTGAACCCAGGAGGCAGAGGTTTCAGTGAGCCAAGATGATGCCACTGCACTCCAGCCTGGGCGACAGAGCGAGACTCTGTCTCAAAAAAAAAAAATACACTTAAGTTACCTGCCCAGTAAATATCTGAGTATGCAACCCCCTCCCCGATGCAGAAACACCTATACTTCCATGCTGGTAAGTGAGGTTTTGGGTGACTCTGGAATGCCCCACCCTTTATTAGTTCAGATAATTGTCTTTCTTACCTTTTGGAGTTGAGGGATCTCTGCTAAGTCTTCAGAAGACATTAGCCTTGACCTAGAATAGGGAATCATAGTCAACTTAACTCCAGTCGTTGTAAGGACCACGTGGAAGGCTGACTTAGCCAGGTCACAGAAAGGTGGAAAAGAAGTCAAGGTCAAGGGAGAGGGTGGCTTCCCCTTGCCCATGGACACTCCCAGCGAGCAGTGGATGAGCATTCCTTTTCCCAGAGATTTCTCCAGCAAAAAGCTTTTGCCAAGCTTGCACTTGAGCCTTTCTTCCCCTGATAGAGAGGAGTTGTCCTGCAGAAGCCATGGGGTTTCACAAGTTTCTTTACTCCTGACTTAATGCCAGAGGCTTCCTAAAGGGGATCACACTTTCTACAGAAGTAGAAGAATCTTAGGAGGCCATGTGGTAGTCCAAGTACAATAAACAGATTAGAAAAATGAGGGCTCCTCATTTCCACTGCATATACCCTCCCCACCCACCTTCCAGTGCCCTTGCAAGCCAGGACTTCGGGAGAGCAGACAGAACAGAGCTCTGCTCTGGGAATATAAAGAGAACGTTTCTATTGGGTCAGCAAGGCCTCCATATGAGATGGATGACAGCGTTTTGTTAGGGTCTTTGGAGCACCAATCCACCTCGTCAGCAAGTCCCACCAGGCAAGAGTCCAGAGGGCACTCTAGGATGGCAGGGGGACAGCCAAGAAATAGTTAAGCCCAAGACACGCACAGGGGGCAGACCAACTGAGCCAGCTTGGCTTGATCTGAAGGGTCCTGGAGGCAGAGGGGAGGGAGGAATCATGGCAGAGAAGGAAAAAAAAAAAAATTGGCAGCAAAAAGTAGAATCTTGAATACCTGGCCAGACAGTCTGAACAAAATGAAGGGCAACTATGAAAGTCATCAGTGGCCAGGTGCAGTGGCTCATACCTGTAATCCCAGCACTTTGGGAGGCCAAGGCGGAAGGATTGCCTGAGGTCAACAGTTCAAATGAGACCAGCCTGGCCAACATATTGAAACCCTGTCTCTACTAAAAATATAAAAAATTAGCCGGGTTTGGTGGCAGGTTCCTGTAATCCCAGCTACTTGGGAGGCTGAGGCAGGAGGATTGCTTGAACCTGGGAGGCAGAGGTTGCCATGAGCCGAGATCGAGCCATTGTACTCTAGCCTGGGCAACAAGAGCAAGACTCTGTCCCAAAAAAATAAAAAATAAAATTCATCAGTACAAGCTGGAGGGAGAAGACTGAACGGTACCCAAGAATGCTCTAATCTAGCAGTGTCTTGGCAACAGCTCACACCTAAGGACCAAAGGAGAGAGGACAGCCTAAGGGAAGGAGATTTGGAAGCCAAGAAGCAAGCTAACAGAAATGCCAGAACCACTTTCAGAAAAAGGAGCAAAGAGGGAAAGTGGTTTTAATGCATGTGATACTAGGCTGTCCAATTAGGAATAAAAAATAGGCCGAGGCGGGAGGATCGCTTGCATCCAGGAGTTTGAGACCAGCCTGGGCAACATTGAGACCCCACATCTACAAAAAATCCAAAATTAGCCAGGTGTGGTGGCACATGCCTATACACCCAGCTACTCAGGAGGCTGAGGTGGGAGAATTACTTGAGCCCAGGAGGTTGAGGCTGCAGAGAGCTGAGATCATACCACTACACTCCAGCCTGGATGACAGAGTGAGACCCTGTCTCAAAAAAAAAAAAAAGAAAAGAAATAATAAAAACAAGTATCTGGAAATCTGGGGACTGAAACTTGAGGAGTGGCTACATTTAGAGGACAGAAAGAGGGAGAAACACACAAGACAGCTAGGAGAATGGGACGCTACAAAGTGACCTAAGGTGATAAGGGAAAGAAACAGCCACTGAAAAAGGCAATTAAGAGGTTACCAGTGAAAAAACTAAAGTGTATGTAAAATGTTAAGTTCATTTCTGTTAAGAATATATGCATGTGCATATTGGCACATGCATAAAAAAGAGCCTGGAAACATATACTCCAAAATTAATAGCAGTCATCTCTGGTAGGTGAGATTATGGAAGATGTTTATAGCCTAAATCATGCAATTCTCTGATTTTTATTTTAATTAAAAAAGGGTTCATGGCGATCTTTTGAGATGGGGTCTTGCAATGTTGCCCAGGCTGGTTTTGCACTCCTGGGCTCAGGTGATCCTCCCATCTCAGCCTCCCAAGTAGCTGGGACAACAGGCACATGCCACCACACCAGGCTCATGGCAATCTTTAACATGTGTTTCAACGGCTAGGCGCGGTGGCTCACATCTGTACTTCTAGCACTTTGGGAGGCCGAGGCAGACGGATCACCTGATGTCAGGAGTTCAAGACCAGCCTGGCCAGCATGGAGAAATCCCATCTCCACTAAAAATACAAACGTTAGCTGGGTGTGGTGGTGGATGCCTGTAATCCCAGCTACTCAGGAGGCTGAGGCAGGAGAACTGCTTGAATCCAGGAGGCGGAGGTTGCGGTGAGCCGAGATTGTGCCATTGCACTCCAGCCTGGGCAACAAGAACGCAACTCCGTCTCAAAAAAATAAAATAAAATGTGTTTCAGTGGAGTGGGTAGGATGGTGGGTAGTAATTTAAATGACTCCTTTGTGAAAGGCCACTGTTGAAGAGTGATTGCTGCAGCATCATTCATAGGAGCAAAAACCAAAAGTGAACCATTATAGACACAGAAATGAACAAATCAGTGCATCTGCACCTAGGACGTCACCCAAACATCAGAAGGATGAATCTGACTTCCAGCAGCTAAGAGAGATTTCCATGAAGTACTAATAAGAAAAGCACGATGCAGGCCAGGCACAGTGGCTCATACCTGTAATGCCAACACTTGAGGCCAAGGTGGGAAGATCGCTTGAGCCCAGGAATTTGAGACCAGCCTGGGCAACATGGTGAAACCCCATCTGTACAAAACATACAAAAAATTATCTGGGTATGGTGACACTCCCCTGTAGTCCCAGCTACTCAAGAGGGTGAGATGGGAGGATTACCTGCATCCAGAAGTTTGAGGCCGTAGTGAACTGTAATCACAACACTGCACTCCAGGGCCTGGGTGAGAGAATGAGACCTTGTCTCAAAAAAATAAATAAATAAAAAAACCAAGATGCAGAAAAGGGTGCACACTATGATGCCAATTTTTATAAAAGAATGAAAAAATAGCCTGGGCACAATGGCTGACGTCTGTAATCCCAGCTACTCGGGAGACTGAGGCACGAGAATCGCTTGAACCCAGGAGGTGGAGGTTGCAGTGAACTAAGACTGTGCCATTGCACTCCAGCCTAGGCAAAAGAGTAAGACTCCATCTCAAAAAAAAAAAAAAAAAAAAAAAAAAAAAAAGTTACCACCATCAGCGATGGAACAAAATGACATCCATCACACACCTCCTGATCCGATACATGCAGGGCACAATGCTTCAGTAGTATTATTGCCAAAAAAATACATGATCTGAATCTAATCATAAGGAAACAGACAAACCCACATTACAGGATATTCTACAAAATAACTGGGTTTTTTTTTGCTTTTATTTTTGAGAGTCTCACTCTGTCACAGGCTGGAATGCAGTGGCTCAATCTCAGCTCACCGCAACCTCCACCTCCCAGATTCTGATGATTCTCATGCCTCAGCCTCCTCAGTAGCTGGGATTATAGGTGCACGCCACCATGCCCAGCTAACTTTCGTATTTTTAGTAGAAACAGGATTTCTCCATGTTGGCCAGGCTGGTCTCAAACTCCTTGGCCTCAAGTGCTTTCCGCCCGCCTTGGCTTCCCAAAGTGCTGGGATTACAGGCGTGAGTCACCGCGCCTGGCCAAAATAAAATGCCATGTAAACCAAAGAAAGGCTAAGGAACTGTTAGAGATGAAAGGTGACTCAAGAGACCCAACAACTAAAGGCAATGCACGATTCTGAATTGAATCCGATTGGGAAAAAACAAAAATGCTGCAAGGGCTGTTATTTGGTGAAATTATGTAAAATTTGAACATGGACTCTATATTATTAGATAGCATATTAATGTTTTCTGCTTTTGATAACTGTATTGTGGTTATGAGAATGTCCTTGTTTCAGGAAATGTACACTGAAAAGTATTTAGGGGTAAAAGGGCATGATGTCTGTAATTCTCAAATGGTTTAACAAGTAACATGTATAATAACACAAATGTGGCAAAATGTTCACAATTAGTCTATCTGGACAAAGGGAAGTTCTTTGTAGTAGTCTTACAACTATTTATATATTTTTAATTATTTCAAAACTAAATATTTTGTAAGATAAATGTCTTTCACCAGGAGAAAGTGGTTCTATGTATGTTCATGAACAGAGGTAAAACGCCAAATGGGAAAAAAAGTGCTGGTTGCTGCCAACAGAGACCACCCAAAAGAAAAGGGCAAAAGCAAGAGGGGAGAGGCCAAGACAAGTACCATTCCTCCAACTCTGAAGGGAAGGAAGGGAAGGCTGAGATGTAAAACTCGGTTGATATTTAGAATTGGAGAACAGGTCAGATCAGAAGTCACATCCATCTGCCTCAATCTATTCCCTAAAGTTGACCTGTCCGGAGCTGACGGAAGAGGGGCAGGGCAAGGCAGGTGGGAGAGTACCATCCAGAACAGGGGTGAGAATTCAGAGCAGCCACTAGGGGAACATGCTAGGGATGAGAGGGGAACGAGTGGTTTGTACGAATTTGTAGAGGCAGATGACTTAAGGATACATGCATTGAAAGCCAGCCAGGACACAGATAAGAGCTGCTCTCCAGCCTTGGAGGTCAGGCAGAGGTCTTCAGCAGAGGTATCCAATCTTTTGGAGAGCAACTTTCACCTAAAACCCTCACTCACCCTGACTCAATTTGATCTCCTCAGTTAATCTTGCTGGCAAAGTCTGGCAAAGTGCTAACACTTTCCAACTCCCATCTCAACAAAGACATTGGCAGCTGTTCCCAGTCCAAGACAGCTCCTTTATGAAGTCGAGATGGAACTCTGGGTCTGCTGGTCATATTTAGAACTAGGGAAATGAGACAGAATTCCGTATGAAGAACATAAATGAAGCATCAGAACCCGTCCCACAAACCATAATCACAGAACCATTTTTCATCCAATTTGAAACATTTCTTTTATTGAAGAAGTTGAACTTACAGCAGACAGTGAAAGGAGTTACAGCACTCCAGGACAAACACAGACATAAAATAATACATAAAACAAGTAGCGGGAAACTGGAAGATGCCAGGGAGTCCTCTTATAAAAGCAGGGTTCACCAAAACCAGAAGGCCAACTGGCTCCAGGACAGCGAAAGGCACAGTGGCTCCTCTGCTCCTCTGCCTTCTGCCCCATTTGAAATGGGGGACTTACAAATCCAGACTTCAGGGCAGGCCTAGACTTGATGCAGCCACTGCAATCTTGGTCCATGGTGCAATTTGGCAGACAAGTTGGTGAAAGGTAAGTTGTCTCCAGAGATTTCAATCAGGGACGTGGCTTCCAGATGTTAAAAGATACCCAGCTAAGTCACAAGGAAGTGGATGTTTTCAAATGCTAAGTGACCACCAAACAAAACATTCTCCCTGGGCCTTCACCACTCAGAGAACACCAACATACAAAAACAAAAGTCTGTTCCCATTTCATCAATAATGGAGTTTTAAGGATTTTGTCATAGTGTAGAATATTAAGAATGGATGAATAAAAAGTCAAAAAAGGTGCAGAGGTCCTATAAATCAGGGTTTATTAGACTAGATATTAATAAATTGGAAGGGTTTAAAAAAAAAAAGGCTGTTGGCCCTACATATGACAGTTTCCCATTGTTTCTTAGCTTAGTATATTTATTTTCCAACACAATGTTAGCAATTCTTACAGCAGTTCTTGCATTTTTCCAATAACATTTTTATTAATCAAATGGTATATATTTTTCACTATAACCTATTTTCACTGATTAATACATTTATCAGTATTTTAATGTGGCCTAAAATATGCTAAATTCTGTCACAATAAATATGTTTTTCCCTCCCTGGGGAGAAACACAAGTAAAAAAAGGAAAATATTAAGATGCATTCCACTTTTTAGTTAAGGAAAAGTTCAGAAAACTCCCATCTTTTTAAAAAAGAATGAAAATATGATCCTAAGTAACTCAGGTTAGAAAAACAGTAACAGAGCCAGGCGCAATGGCTCACGCCTATAATCCCAGCACTTTGGGAAGCTGAGGCAGGAGGATCACTTGAGCCCAGGAGTCTGAGATCAGCCCAGGCAACATAGTGAGACCATGTCTCTATTAAAAAAAAAAAAAAATTAAAGAGAGAAAAAAACAGTAATAATAAAACAAGTGGGGAGGAGGACATTTAGAAGAAAAATCTAGATAAACCTCTGCACAAAAATAATTTTGGAAAAAAGTTAGAAGTCCTACCTGAGATTAATTCAGGCGTCACTGGCTAATGCTAAGGGAATTCTGATTGGAAGGCAGCAACTCAGGGGCCCAAGGACCACATTAACAGATGCAATTACCTGCCCTAGAGAAGGCGCTTCCTCACACTCCCACTTAGCTGCAATGCCAATACTGTCCTTTCAAGCTTCAACCCTGTGATTTTAAGATATCAAAACTTGTATCCTTCTTCAGCTCTATGTAATTTGTCAAAAATTTCAAGATGCAACTCTATAGCCAAAAAGAGAGCCTTTTACTTTTTCAAACAAAAATAAACAAGAGAAGTCACTGACTGCTAAAACTAGAAGGGACCCTCAAGATTGGTATCACAGGATCACACCTTCATCTGGCAGTAGGTTGAGGTCAGTAACTCAGCTCACATGACATTTAAAACCACACAACACTACCAGAGAGAGCTACAGGTTCAGATGCCAATGGTTTCAAAAAACCATGATTCAGGCCGGGTGCAGTGGTTCACGCCTGTAAACCCAGCACTTTGGGAGGCCGAGGCAGGTGGATCACAAGGTCAGGAGTTTGAGACCAGCCTGGCCAACATGGTGAAATCCTGTTTCTACTAAAAACACAAAAATTAGCCAGGCACGGTGGTGCGTGCCTGTAATCTCAGCTACTCGGGAGGCTGAGGCAGGACAATCGCTTGAATCTGGGAGGCGGAGGTTGCAATTAGCCAAGATCGCACCACAGCACTCCAGCCCGGGCGACAACAGCAACACTCCGTCTTGAAAAAAAAAAAAACAAAAAAACCACGATTCAAGAAAAAGGCAGATTCTCCTGTGTTCAGCAGCTACTTTAAAAAAAAAAAAAAAAAAAAAGGCACTTCTTGGCCAGGAGTGGTGGAGGACTGCTTGAGCCCAGGAGTTTGAGACCAGCCTGGGGAACATAGCCAGACCCTGTCTCTACAAAAATAAAATTAGCTGAGCAGTTCCAGCTCCTTGGGAGGCTGAGGTGGGAGAATCACTTGAGCCCGGGAAGTCAAGGCTGCAGTGAGCCGTGACCATGCCACTGCACTCCAGCCTGGGTGACAGAGCGAGACCCTGCCTGGAAAAAAAACAACAACAACAACAAAAAAGCACTTCCTAATGATTGGGGAAAATATTAAATATTAGGTCAGAGAGTTAAACACTCTTAGAAATTTTTAAGAATACATTTATTTCACTCAACACTGAATCTTAAAATTATTACTTCTTCAGACCAGGCACGGTGGCTCAGGCCTGTAATCCCAGCACTTTGGGAGGCGGAGGAGGGCGGATCACTTGAGCTTAGGAGTTGCAGACCAACCTGCACAGCATAGTCAAACCCCATCCCTACCAAAAAAAAAAAAAAAAAAGAAAATTATTACTTCCTCTCTCAGGCTTCAAAATTAAGGAGGAGGGAGGGACAAATTGGGATATCCCATAGCTGCCTGCAAAAAACACAATAGCTTATTCCATTCTCCCAAGCAGGATTTAAAATTTCAAAGTGAAAACAGCAGTCATATGTAATTATACATGCTTAACTCTCTCACATTTTGTAGAAAAACATACAAAATACAAAAAAAAAAAAAAAGACTGTATCAAGTTAGAAAACTTAAATAGAACACCAAAATCCAGATGACCTTGAAGTTTTGCTGGATCTTAAAATCACTAGAACTACTTCAAAATATATAAATAGGCCCCATTATGAAAAATATAAATATGAACATGATAAATAAGCAAGAGAGGAAAGGAAACTGGTCACTCAGATAAACCATGACAGGTCCTGGGTAAAATACATTTAGACGATTCGGGGATGGAGGTACTAGAATTAGCAAGGCCCTCCCTGCAGCTTGCAACCTGTGGGGAAAAAGCCAAACAGGTGGTAGGCCACGTGTATTATTGCTCCTGCCAAAGCCTCCTCTTTCAGAATCAAAAACCACAAGTAGTTGAGACACTGTGCTTTTCTATCAAAATCGCCCTTCACTGGTGAAAATTAGCCTCCACTGGCAATGTTCGCTGGGAACTGTACACTCTCCCACTCTTTCTTGTTCCGGTATCCTACTGACTTTTACAGACCTCGGTAACTTTTTCTGAACCAGGACTCAACTCCTCACTGAGCCAATGAAAAGCCATGCTCTGCAGACTTCAGATGCAGGGCCTAGCAGAGGACTCTGGTCTTAACTCCTGGTCCGTGGCATTCCACTTACAGCACCGTCTTCCTCATTTATTTCAGTAAAGGTCAGAGGTGGGTGCCAGCCACACACCCATTTCATATGTTCAGTTTTACCCACTTGTGTGCTTGACCTTGGACTTAACTTCAATACTCTGCATTGCAATTTGTGAATCATCCATTAAGGCTAAATCTTAAAAACTAATCTTTGTCTCCACTGGAGACACAGTAACTAGTAACTAAACCACAAATCCAGCTTTTTAAGATTTACCCTGACAGATTGACTCTCACCCAACAAAAGCTTCCGACATCCCACTCTACTGCTAAAACAGAAAGTAAATGAAAGGCTCAGTAGATGGAATAAATTACTCTTCCTCCTCTGCCTCATACCTACACCCAGCCGCACCAACAATCTCCTCCGACTACAAAAAAACACTCAAAGTAAACCAGGAAAAAACTAAGGTAGAAATTTTTAAAAAGCAAATAAGGCAAGACAAATAGAATTCCAAACTGCATATATATATATAAGATATATATGATCATATATATATATATTATATATATGATCATATATATCTTATATATATTATATATGATCATATATATATATAAAATCTTTTAAATAGAGACAGGGTCTCTTGCTATGTTGCCCAGGCTAGTTTCAAACTCCTGGGCTCAAGCAATCCTTCTGCACTGGCCTCCCAAAGTGCTGGGATTACAGGCATGAGCCATGACACCCAGCCCCAAACTGCTGATAGGTTATTTTACAATTATAAATTTATATCTTGATGCCACTTACAAAGTTCTAGGCATTGGTGGGTAACCTGGTTTGCTTTCAAATGGTCACAGGACAAAGAACTGCCTCCTCACACTCAGAAACGTGTCTATGAAGGCTATTTCCATTTCACATTTCAGAACCTGAGAGCCTCCAATACAAGGAAACGAGAGTTATTTACAATTTTGATACACACACGCACCTCAAGATTTAAGGTTCTAGATTGAGGAGCCTAGAAATTTGACTCTAAGGCTTGACCTGCTCACCTAGATAACCAAATTAATGAAGCTACTGGATACAACCTCAATAGAGTACAGAGAAAGCTTCTGCACTCCAAGGACTAAGGTAACATTACTTCCCAAATCAGATTAAACCAAAGGGGGAACAGACCTTCACAAGTCACGGCTATATAGCAATTTGGGCCAGGCACAGTGACTCACACCTCCCAGCATTTGGGGAGGAAGAGATGGGTAAATTGTTTGAGCCCAGGGGTTCAAGACCAGCCTGCAATATAGCAAACCCCGTCTCTACAAAAAATACCAAAAAATTGGCCGGGCATGGTGGCTCACGCCTGTAATCCCAGCACTTTGGGAGGCCGAGGCAGGTGGATCACCTGAGGTCAGGAGTTCCAGACCAGCCTGGCTAACATGGCAAAACCCCGTCTCTACTAAAAACACAAAAATTAGCTGGGTGTGGTGGTGGGCGCCTGTAATCCCAGCTACTCTCGAGGTTGAGGCAGGAGACTCGCTTGAACCCAGGAGGCGGAGGTTGCAGTGAGCCAAGATGGCACCACTGTACTCCAACCTGGGCAACAAGAATGAAACTCTGTCTCAAAAAAAAAAAAAAAAAAAAAATTAGCCAGCCAGGCATGGTGGTGTGCACTACAGTCCCAGCTACTATGGAGGTTGAGGTGGGAGGACAGCTGAAGCCCAGGAAGTTGAGGCTGTCATGAGCCATGACTGTGCCACTGCACTCCAGCCTGGGTGACAGGAGACCCTGTCTCAAAAAAACAAAAACAAAAACAATACATAATTTGGCTGAAGTCATCTAGGTTAATGGTTCTAACTGCAGTCAAGTTCAATGTAAAAGTACACAATCCCTTCAGGCTTTCAGAGAAAACCCTGAACACTCAGTTATACCCTCGCATGTGAAAATGAAGAGAAAAAAAGCAGCAAGCGTCATGAAGATACAGAAATAAATATGAACTCATCTGGTTTTGACATTTTACAAACTAAATGTGTGAATCCAAAAGTATGATATCAAGCAGGGAGTGGTGGCTCACACCTGTAATCCCAGCACTTTGGGAGGCCAAGACAGGTGGATCACTTGAGGCCAGGAGTTCGAGACTACCTTGGGCAACATGGCAAAACTCCATCTCTACTGAAAATACAAAAATTAGCCAGGCATAGTGGCACAGGCCTGTAATCCCAGCTACTCAGGAGGCTGAGGTACGGGAACTGCTTCAGCCTGGGAGGTGGAGGTTGCAGTGAGCCAAGATCGTGCCACTGCACTCCAGCCTGGGTGACAGAGCAAGACTGTCTGGGGAAAAAAAAAAAAAAAAAAAAAAGACATATTACAACAGTGCCAGACCAGAAAAATGACGGGTGGTTCACAACACTGATCACAGACTGAGGTTCAGCTTGTTTCAAAGCAATGTTCTCTGTTGTCAACAATCAGATTTGGGTCACCCACATGCTAGCAAGCTAATCTGACTAGGCTGATCAGGCCTAAAGCTTGGATTTTTATTTGTGGACTTTGCAATGAACTATGGTCAACATCACAAAAGGAGTCCTTTATACTCAATCTTCTAAAACAATCCTTAAAAGAAAAACTACAGAGGATCACCTTGGCTAGGGCAAAAGAAAAATGCTTCCTTTTCAAAACCCTTCACATTCTAGAGAGTAAATCTTGAAGAAAATATGGGTTTTTAATCAATGAATCTGAGACATTGAATCTTCATTTAAAAGAAAACAAAAACAGGATAAACATAAGAGCCTGAAGACATAAGGGAGTTCTACTTGTCCATATACCATGCTGAAAAGGAAATACTTTGGGTGTATTTTACAAAACACCCAAAGCCTGTCTGAAGGAATGCCCTTCCGAATTCTGAGGATACAAAAGCCCTGTCCTAAGCTTTTTCTAATCTATAAACAGAATTTCAGACCAGATCTGAAGAACTTGTGCCATAAATAATGCCTCTTGTCTGTACAGAGCTTTTTAGCTTTGTGGTGCTGTTTTTTTTTGGTCCATCAGCTCCTTCTAATCCCAACAAGTACCCAGTGAGGGAGGCACGTCAGCCAAAATCATCATCTCTGTCTTGCATGTAAGAACAAGAGAGGTCAAATAGCTCAAAACTCACAAAGCAGGAGAGACCTGCAAGAGGACTCAAGTCTGATGTTCCCCTTGCCAGAATTATTATTTAAAATTGCAGACATGTAGATAAGGCCCAAATTAAAATGCAGGTTTTCAACCTCCAAACTCAGAATCTCTGGTGATGAATTTTTATAAATACATTATGTCAAACAAGTTCCCCATGTGATTCTGAAGCCCATCAGTTTGAGAATCATCAGCATGAACAATGATCCAAATTGAGCCAGAGAACCCATTTGTTTACCTATCCTTCATGAAACACAGAACCTGCCAAGCAAACCAAGCAGCAAAGACTGTATGTGCTTCAAATTCAAGAGCCAGGTCAATGCACTTGGTCAGATACCCACAGTTTTGGCTTCTCTCTTTACCAAGGTAACTTCTCAATTGACAGTAGCCAACAGTATCTTCACAAACTCCTTGCACTCCTGGAAGGTATCTTCTTGTAGATGACCAATACATATGGTGTCAAATTCCTTCTGAAGGTATTTAACACTTTAAGGGAGGTATCATACCATTAACTATGGGTGCAACCCTTGTCAAGATCATCAGGTTGGGTTTATAGAGCATCCATAACCATGACTCTACATATCCTACAACACACTATCTCTGCCCATTTAACTTTATTTCTGACAGAAAATGGCAGCAAGTCTCCTTTTGAACTCATTTCTAATAGCATATAATTTTATAAGGGAGAAAAAAATGGTGACAATTTTAGATTATTTTATAGATTAAGATCATGTTAACTGACTTTGAAACATACTTTCAGGGCTGGGTGCAGTGGCTCACACCTGTAATCCCAGCACTTTAGGAGGTCAAGGTGGGAGGATCACTTGAGCCCAGGAGTTCAAGACAAGCCTGGGCAACATAAGGGGACCCCATCTCTACAAAAAATACAAAGTTTAGCTGGGCATGGTGGTGCATGCCTGTAGTCCCCACTACTCACGAGGCTGAGGTGGGAGGATCGCTTGAACCCAAGAGGGCAAGGCTGCAGTGAGCCAAGATCATGCCACTGCACTCCAGACTGGGCAACAGAGGGAGACCCTGTCTCAAAAAAGAAAGGAAGAAAGAATCACACCTTCAGAAAAAAAAAAAAAAAAAATCTCCCCACAGTCATCTGCCAAGCACTGTCCTGCTATATTTCTCAGAAGGAAATGCCCTGAAAAGGCTTCACAGCAGATAGGCCAGGCCTTGGACTTCCGAGAGGAAAAACCTCTTACAGCAACGAGAATTTTAAAAAGCAGGAGGCTGTACAATATAATGTGAATGAAGAAAAAAGAAGTCAGCTTAGAAATAAGCACATCTGACCGAGCACGGTGGCTTACGCCTGTAATCCCAGCACTTTGGGAGGCTGAGGTGGGTGGACCACGAGGTCAGGAGTTCAAGATCAGCCTGGCCAAGATGGTGAAACCCCATCTCTACTAAAAATACACAAAAATTAGCCGGGCGTGGTGGTGGGTGCCTATAATCCCAGCTACTTGGGAGGCTGAGGCAGAGAACTGTTTGAACCTGGGAGGCAGAGGTTGCAGTGAGCCGAGATCATGCCACTGCACTCCAGCCTGGGCGACAGACCAAGACTCCATCTCAAAAAAAAAAAAAAAAAAAAGAAGAAGAAGAAGAAATAAGCACATCTGAAAAATCAGTAAAGGATGTGAAAAGATCAGTCCTCACTGAAGAAAGAAGCACTGGTTTCCCATCACTTGAACCTAACAGCATATACCCAGGGCAAGACAAATTTCAGAAGACATGATACTCTTGAAATACAGAATTTTATTTAGAAACTGTTTAAAGTAGAAAAAAACCCTGTCAAGAAAGACCAGGTGGAAAATGGGTTCCCAATAAAATGGAATTTTAGGGCAACAAAAGTCTAAAAGGCCACAAAAGAGAAATAGCACCACTGTCATTTGAACAATGGCTAGTTACTTGCATTTTTTGGCATTGTTAATCACTGAATCTGGGTTTTCCTCTGAATTCCACACAGAGCATGCACTACACAACATTTTTATCATAAAATACTTGCTTTCTACACACATTTCAGGACAAGCTACCACCAGAAACAAATCAATACAAATACATCAGGGGCTGAACAATCTCAGTAGTGGGTGAGACACATTTTGCAGAATCCTGCCAAACAAAGGAACTGAATAGGCTGTGGGCAAAGCAAATGAGGGAGAGTTAAGGAATGAAGTATTTTAAATATTAATAATTAATTCAGACACGGTACTGTATTTTCCGCAAAAGAAAATTAACATTTAGTAACACACTAATGAATTTTATCTCCAAAGAGATTAGTGCACTGGCAAAGTATTCGGATTACAGTGGAGAGCTGTGAACAGCAGATACCGAAAACACCCCAGCCTGGCAGATCCCAAGGTAACGATGGCCTTCACTGACCACTCCCTTTGCCAGAGGTCCAGAAAGAACTTGCAGCATGATCACCTGCCTGCTGCACTTCCAACTCTAAGCAGCAAACTTCAAGGAGCCAAAGAGGAGTCCCCAGTGGGCAAGGGGAGCAGAGAAGAGAAACGTGGTAAATGTAAACCTAAAAGACAGTAAAATGGGATACAATCCCCATTCAAATCCCAGAGATGTGGGCAAGTCCCCAAAAGTAGTTGTTAGATTAAAAAACTGGGCACACCTCACTTCCCCAAAAAATATAATACATAGAAATTTCGGGGATAACTGGAAAAATAGAGAAATGCTCAATGAAAACCAAGCTCTTCAACTGTAACATCTCAGGGCTGAAACACATCCTCTATTATCCAGGCAACGATGCCTCTTGCTTTTTAGCTGGGATGCAATTGGTCAATGACACCAAATAACTTTACAGGGCAACTTTTTAAATGTTCCTTTTAGACCAAAGCCTAGGCCTATGAGGGTTCAAGCAGCCCTGTAAGACCTGTTGACAGCAGGTTCCAAAGGTTCCAAGGTCTGGCCCTTCCTTCCCAGACACAATGTCAAACGCAAAATCTCTTGTCATGTTACATTTTATATTTTGAAATGTGGAAGCATATTTTAAATACTCTTAAGGCATTTACTTATTACAACATTCTCTGATTTCACATTAGCTTAAAATTCAATTCAGTCTTTACATTTCTCCACTGAGGTCGCCACCTCAGCATATTACATAACATCTCTCCAGCATTCAGTGTGACCCGCATCCGCATGGTGAGCCCCACGGTCAGCCTCTCTGTTTTCCAGGTGAACCAACTAGGTGTTAATACTGCTCTGCTACAAGGTAAAAGCTCCTAACTCAAACTTATTGGAAAAGGAGTGAAACGTCTGCAAAGTGCACTTTAAGAAGAGGTACTTTTTGCTTATGAAAAGAAACCAGTGAGTCCTCTAAGGATAACAAAAGGGAGTATTTTACAGTTAAGCACATGATTTGGAGTGAAGAATTCCGATGTTGCTCTGCTGGTCCAGGCTGTTAATACTCTTCTTGCTCCTCCTGTGGGCCCCCTTCATCAGGTATCACAAAGCCTTCCTGAAATAGGAAAATGAGAGGGGAAAGCCACTGAAAGATCCATTTCTACTGTGAGTTCACTTTCCTCATACTTACAGCCTCTTAAAAACAATGGTTCTTCCTGGCTCTATACAGGCCAGGTGACTGCTATTTTATTTCTTGGGTAGTAGAATTGCATCTCACCAAAGACAAAAACTGAGCACAGTCAAATTTACCCTCAAACTTTTGAAAGTGATGCATATTTACATTGTCTTCATTATGGTGGTAATTTCACCCATGTCATCAAAGGTACATTTTAAATATGTGCAGTTTATTATGTCAGTTATACTTCAATAAAACTGTTTTTTAAAGAAGAAAGAAGGCCAGGTGTGATGGCTCATGCCTGTAATCCTAGCACTTTGGAAGGCCAAGGCTTGAGCCCAGAAGTTCAAGACCAGCCTGGGTAACACAGTGAGACAATGTCTCGAAAAAAAAAAAAACTAGCCAAGCCTGGTGGGACATGCCTGTAGTCCCAGCTACTCCCCAGCGGGGTCGAGGCAGGACTGCTTGACCCAGGAGGTCAAAGCTGCAGTGAGCCATGATCGCACCACCAGGCACTCCAGCCTGGGCAATAAAGTGAGATCCCCGTCACTAAAAAAAAAAAAAAATTTCCCTCAAAAATTCCTGAAGTCCCCTGTAAAGTTCAGTACTCTAACATCTTCTCTCAATAAACTGTCTATGCAGCCAGCTTTCCTTTTATGCCTTCCTTTTGTTATACTTAGGAGCCATGCTTTACCCAAAATATTCACAACAGCAAGACTGACCCAACATCAGTGGCAGAAAAATTGAGTGCACAAGGAAAAAGCAGATTCATGACTCCCACACACCTCATTCTCACTACAGGGCATTCTGGCATGGACTCAGAGCAGGAAATTACTATACTATTCTGCTGTAAAATCAGACTTCTCTTTCAACCACCATCTTATTTCTATTAACTAAATCTCTATAGCTGAACTTACTTAAGATGTGGCTCCACTAAAATAATACTCAGACTAAACCAAGGACCCCCTATATCTTCGTTGTCTTTTTTTCATTACATAGCACAGAGCAAGCTCTAAATTAAAGATTTATTCAACAGATTATCAACTTTTCAGTCATCTGTCTTAATCCCCTGAAATTCACAAGATATGTCTCAAGGACAGTGACAGTAACAGCATTATTACTACCTTGTATTTGCATAGTGCTACACATACTACCAGAAGTTTGTAGTTTGATCCTACAGACCTTGCTAGGCACACAGAATTACAAACATCACCATTAAACAGTGGACACAGCCGGATAACAATCCTAAATCTAGAAAAAAATGAGTCTTCCCTGATCAACTAACATGTCGTGATTAATATCAACAGATTTGACTGTGCAATAAACATGGATCCAAAGAAACTTGATCATAGAGTACTTTGAGGGAGTGAGAACCAGGCAAACTCCTAGGAGGGAGGAGAAAGGCATACCCAGACATGACGTGATATGTGGGCACGCCGTGAAAAAGGGAGCATGTGCCTGCTTTTCCGGGCATGCCCCGGGCCCTGATAAAATGGAGGCAGCAACTGAAGCTGAGGGATCCAAGCAATAGGAGGTGGGGTGGAGTGAGGACATGGGTTGCTTCTGGCTAAGAGCAGTTTGTGGCACTCATCACCTATCAGTGGCCACATACTACAGATGCTGGGCAAGCCAGCCACCTCCTTGTCCTATTCCTTCTTCAAAAGCTCACAGACCTCAGGCAGAAGCTAAAGCTGGGCAGAGATGCCCTCTGGCTGACTTTGAGGGGTTAAAGATGAAGTCTTTTGATGAATGCAACACTGGAATACAACAAGCATCAGCACAGAGTTCACCAACCCTTCTATGTAAAATGGAAAGAAAATATCCTCATGTCAAACACATACATCTGTGGCATACAGAATGTCTACAATCCTCTGCAATACAGGGTCGTTTTCCCCCTCGTTCTCCTGGCAAATCAATTCAATGTTCCGTAGCTTTCCGAAGTAGAAATCCCTCTCTTTCTCCAAGTCTTCAACAGTAAGTTTCAATACGTTGACCTGCACAAGACATTAAAAAGGGTGAGATGCTTGGCATTAGTATGGCAATAAAATATCAGGCAGACTTCTAACCCAAAAGGAGATGTGGTCTTTGATCAAACCCCAACACAGACAAAAACCACATCAGTTTAATGTCAATTTTCTTCAGCCTCAGATAAACAACATGGATTTGTTTATAGCAACCTTGACGGTAACAGCTCCCAGAAAGAGCAGACTACCCCTTGAAACATGTAGAAGCTTCTCAGGGACTGAAAAAGGATTAAGGAGAAAAAACTAGGGAAGCCTGAGACAATTACAGCCTAGCAAGGTAGCTGACAATCATAAACTGAGTCCTTACCAAGGGACTGGACAATCAAGTCCAGGTCTGATTGCATGAGGGGGTCAATAGAAAGGACCCTGGAAAGGGCTCAATGGAACTCTTTGGAAGCCCAATGGAAAGTGCTCTGACCCTCCATGAGCCCCACTGAGGGTCTCTGATTCCCATTAAGAGGCTATGAAGAAATCTGTCTCAGTCCTTAGGCCAGGACTCTATCTAGCCAAGACCAATAAAAGTTATAACACTCATAGTCCTGTGTGTACTTTAACCATGGGGCATCTTCATTCCAGTGTACTGTATTCACATCTATGACAAGTGAATTCCATTTAACTGTCAATGAATGCAAGTTGCAAAAACCTGTATTTACAGGTCAGGGCCACAGAGCAGCATGGAAAGTAAAGCAACAAAATCAAAGGTACAGCCACTGAGAACGACCTCGGCAGAAGGGAATTCTACAAGCCAGAAGGGACCAGAGAAATCATCTAGTCCAGCCTTCTGAACTCACAGCCACAAAAACTGAAGCATGTCAGGTGGAGTGGCGCACGCGTCTCAGCTACTCTAGAGGCTGAGTCGGGAGAATTGCTTGAGCCCAAGAGTTAAAAGCCAGTTGTGACAACATAGCAAGGCTCCATCTTTTTAAAAAATAAATAATAAAAATTTAAAAACAGAAATAAACAGCTTATCTAGCTTCCCCACAGCCTGATGAAGACACCAAACACAACAGAGGAGATCAAGTCTCATCCCAGGAGAAAGGACCCTCTTTATAACCTGCAGTCAAAAAGCATCCAGAGATGAGGATCAGGTGACACCACCAGGACAATTTTATCAAAACGAATTTCAAAGTTCATCATCAAAGTCTTGTTAGACCAAACCAGAATCACAGTTCTAGACAGCCTTTCACTATTCCTTTACCAGCCGCAGAAATAAAAAATAATTGAAAGTTTCAATAAAGTACTAGAGGGGCCAGCTGCCGTGGCTCACATCTGCAATCCCAAAGCTTTGGGAGGTCAAGGTGAGAGGATCGCTTGAGGCCAGGAACTTGAGACCAGCCTGGGCAACATGGCAAAACCTGTCTCTACAAAAAAATCTAAAAATTAGCCAGGTAGGGTGGTGTATGCCTATAGTACCAGATACTTAAGAGGCTGAAGCAGGAACATTGTCTGAGCCCAGGAGTTCAAGGCTGCAGTAAGCTATCAATGGACCATTACACTCTAGTCTGGGAGACACAGCAAGACCCTGTCTCATTCAATCATTCATTCATTCATTCATACATACATACATACATACATACATACATACATACATACATACAGTACAGCTACTGCCTGGTGGCCGGCAAAGCTAAATCATCCATTTTCCCTCACTGTCCCCACCTCTGCTTTTGCTGCAGTTTGCTGCCTTTCCTGAAACCAACAGCCCCAAAGAGCAGGGGATACACAGGCCAAGAGCCGACCAGCCCCAGCGGGAAGCAGACTCAGAGCTACAGCTCCACAATCCAAAAGGCAGGGAAGGGGCCTTCTAATCACATGCCTGGTGGCATTAATGACCAAGGAAGAAAGGAAGTCGAAAGAGCTT
The DNA here is from genome assembly GCF_000001405.40 of Homo sapiens. NCBI lineage: Eukaryota > Metazoa > Chordata > Mammalia > Primates > Hominidae > Homo > Homo sapiens. The sequence continues at coordinate 32,844,726 of NC_000020.11, read as the reverse complement.
ATGAAAAGGAATGCTGGCCAGGCGCAGTGGCTCACGCCTGTAATCCCAGCACTTTGGGAGGCCAAGGCAGGCGGATCACGAGGTCAAGAGATCAAGACCATCCTGGCCAACATGGTGAATCCCCGTCTCTATAAAAATATAAAAATTAGCTGGGCATGGTGGTGTGCACCTGTAGTCCCACCTACTCAGGAGGTTGAGGCAGGGGAATCACTTGAACCCGGGAGGCGGAAGTTGCAGTGAGCTGAGATCACGCCACAAAAAAAAAAAAAAAAAAAAAAAAAAAAAAAGGAATGCTAGCTTGGTATCCACCTAGTTTCACTAGTTTCACTAATGCTACCCTCTCAAACCCTTTAAAACCTTCTCTGTCCAACAAATTATCAAGGCCAAACCAGATACCCAGCCTTCTGGGTCCCACCTATAAAGGCCAAAAGTTGCATCTGTCCATGATATTGCTCATAACTATACACACATAACAAACACTAAATCACTAAAAAAATATATACTAAGACACTGGCTTTCACGTGGCACTCCTTTCAAGTCTGTATTCATGAGGTTATTAAAAATCTGTGGCTTGGCCAGGTGCAGTGGCTCACATCTGTAATCCCAGCACCTTGGGAGGCCAAGACGGCCAGATCACCTGAGGTCAGGAGTTCGAGACCGGCCTGGCCAACATGGTGAAACCCTGTCTCTACTAAAAATACAAGAATTAGCTGGGCGTGGAGGCAGGCACCTATAATCCTAGCTACTTGGGAGGCTGGGGCAGGAGTATCATTTGAACCTGAGAGACAGAGGTTGCAGTGAGCTGAGCTCACGCCACTGCACTCCAGCCTGTGTGACAGAGCAAAACTCCATCTCCAAAAGAAAAAAAAAAAAAAAACCTGTAGCTAGTAATTAAGGTCACTCTTAGAACCTTATCTTGAGGTAAAGCAATAGTTATAACCTAAGAAGCCCCAAGTCAGTGTTTCAGGCCTGCACTGGCCACAGTAGCCATCAACCACATGTGTCTATATAAACACTTAAACGTGGCCAGTGCCACTGAGATGAGCTACAAGTATCACATACACACCTGATTTCAAAGACCTAGCAGAGTCTTCAAATGTAAAACAGCTCATTGATCATTATTTATATTTGATTATATGCTGGAGTATTATTTTTTACATATTAGATGATGTGTTGCTAAAATTAATTTTACCTATTTCTTTTTATTCTTTTTAATGTAGCTACTAGACCATGTAAATCAGGTAGCTCACACTTCTGACTCACCTTCTACCTTCATTGGACAGCACTGCTTTGGACTAAAATCAACTAAAAGTAAATTTCTCCAGGACGACTTAGGAATGTAGAATCTTTGCAGATCTCCCAAGGATACGAATACCACAAGGTAGTGTGTGCAGATACACTGTTTTTCCCACAGCCTGACAAGCCCACGTGGCTCCATTTTCCATATTTACAAAGGGCTGCAAATGCAAAAACTTTCAGGAGGGGCCAGATAATGTAAATGAGCCAAGAGAGGTGGTAACAGGTAAGGGAAGGACTTTGACAACCTGGAGACAAATCCTTTATATTTAATAAATAAATAAATAAATAAATAAAACTCTGTGCAGGCCAAACACAGTACTTCTATGTCAGGGTTGAACCAGCTGGGTATGAGCATTTGATCCCAGCCTTCCAGGATCAACAAAGCACCTGGTTAGTGACCTTCAGCCTCTGCAAACTTAGCCTCTCAATGTTCCCCAGCACCGATGGACATGCAACAGAGTTATAAGCCTCTTCAAGACCACAATCCCTCCCAACCTCGACTGTTGAAGTTCTACAACACCGACCATCCAAAGCAGCTAATTCTGGTCACCCTCTCAGGGAAGGAAGCCTCCTCAGACCCCAATCACACTCTCCCCCATAAGAGTTGTGGTTCTTGCCTTCCGTAACCCTCATCTGGGACTTGAACACAGGCAGGCACCAAGTCCATCTTCTCCAAGTGTATCAAACCTGTCTAGGTCTAGGACAGATCTCCCATGCCTTGGTACTCTCATCAACGCTTAGCAGCAATTTGCCCAGAGTCATTATCTGGTGAGTACTTACAGTTTCCAAAGGTGGGTGCAAGGAAAAGAAACATCTGTATACCTTAGATAAATCAAATAACCTCTTCCTCAATTCCCCATTCAGCAGGGACTGACTGATCTAGGTTCTGGAGACAGGTATACCTGGGTTCAAATCCTAGCTCAAGTTATTTAACCTCTCCAAGCCTTATTATCCTTATGTGTAAAACCTCACAGGGTTGCTGCGAAAGTGAAATTAAGTGCTTACACTGTGCATGACATAAGCACTTTTAAAATGTTAGCTATGGCTGGGCACTGTGGCTCACGCCTGTAATGCTAGCACTTTAGGAGGCTGAGGCAGATGGATCACAAGGCCAGAAGATCGAGACCATCCTGGCTAACACGGTGAAACCTCGTCTCTACTAAAAATACAAAAACTTAGCCAGGCGTGGTGGCGGGTGCCTGTAGTCCCAGCTACTGGGGAGGCCGAAGCAGGAGAATGGCGTGAACCCAGGAGGCGGAGCTTGCAGTGAGCAAAGATCGCGCCACTGCACTCCAGCCTGGGCGACAGAGTGAGATTCCGTGTCAAAAAAATAAAAATAAAAATAAATAAATAAATAAATAAAATGTTGGCTACTTTTGTTATGACCATTTACGCATATTATTTCACACAAGCCAAAAAAAAAAACTGGTTCCTGTGAACTTTTAAAGAACATTATTCTACTCTATCAAGACCATGAACAAGAACCATAATCATCACAGTCTTTTATCCACTGACATTTATCCCAGTGGTATTGGCAACAAACACCATTCCAGGCACTTAACATTCAGCTCATATAATCTGCTCAACTGCTGTGAGCAAGTGTCAGCCCCACTTCACACGTGAGGCAGTAAGTTCAGAGAGGCTGACTTGTCCAGATAGAAGTTAACTGACAGAGACACTCCTACTTCTCCCTCAATCTATGGAACCCCAAGCCTGGGCTCCATCACCCAGGATAAGAGCTGAGCGGATGAGAACACATGGACACAGGAAGGGGAACATCACACTCTGGGGACTGTTGTGCGGTGGGGGGAGGGGGGAGGGATAGCATTGGGAGATATACCTAATGCTAGATGACGAGTTAGTGGGTGCAGTGCACCAGCATGGCACATGTATACATATGTAACTAACCTGCACGTTGTACACATGTACCCTAAAACTTAAAGTATAATAATAATAATAATTAAAAAAAAAAAAGAGCTGAGCAGAGAGCAGCCACACTGCAGAACCTGGCACGCTCTCTCGGAGAGCACAGATCAAGTCGCTGCTACCCAGCCTCAACATTAACCACTCTTTACTCTCTCGTATTTCTTTCTGAAACTGCTTCCTGTGTTTGAAATCCATGTCTTGAAATAGTTACAGGAAGTCTCTCCTTGTTCTCCGAGGCTTCTGTACTTCAAAGTAACAGCCCCAGCGGGTGCTCAAGTCAGCCACACCCACTCCAAGGATGAGGACGGTGACCCAGTCACCTGGACACTCCCAAGGCACCTAAGACCACGGGGCACACACAAATGAAAGAACGAAAAAGTGAAATGTGGGCCAGGCGCAGTGGTTCATGCCTGTAATCCCAGCACTGGGAGGCCAAGGCAGGTGGATCATCTGAGGTCAGGAGTTGGAGACCAGCCTGGCCAATATGGTGAAACCCTGTCTCTACTAAAAATACAAAAATCAGCCAGGCGTGGTGGCGCACGACTGTAGTCCCAGCTACTCGGGAGGCTGAGGCGGAAGAATCCCTTGAACCTGGGAGGCGGAGGTTGCAGTGAGCTGAGATCACGCCACTGCACTCCAGCCTGGGCGACACAGCAAGACTCCGTCTCAAAAAAAGAAAATAAAAAATAAAAAAGTGAAATGTGATTTTTGGGCAGGTTCTCACTGTCCTGATCTCTTAGAAGTCTGAGTGTGGGTCATGAGAGGTTCTGCATTAGAAATCAATTCCCTCAAGTTTCAGGACTTGGCTTTTAGAAAAGTAAAAGGATGCAATCCCAAACTCACTGGAATCACAGAGCATCCCAGATTTTTTCAATGGAGCCAGGCGTGGTGACTCACACCTGTAACTCCAGCACTTTGGGAGGCTCAGGCAGGGGGATCACTTGAGCTCAGGAGTTAGAGACCAGCCTTGGCACCATAGTGAGACCCTATCTCTATTTTATTAAAAAAACTTTTTTAATAAAACAAAATTTAAAAAATAGAATTAACAAAAAGAATCATCTGAAAGCAAGCAAACCAACCAATTACAAGGATTAGTGGGAAAATGTCTAAAAGTCTAAAACTTGTTTTGATCCACAGAGACCTCTGACAGGTGCCTTAAGGACATTTACTCCTGAAGAAGACATTTCGAATCACCCAATTACTAAGAACAGAACTAGAAGAGCCACAGGCTTTTCATACCAGTTCCACTCTGAATTCCAATCTCCAGTGACCCCAGTCTAGGACTCAGCAGAGAGACTGCGGAATCCTTTTTATTAAATTATTCAAAAAGGAGACCTCCTTTATCTTTCATTCTCCAAATCCCAGGTCCCTGGCAGCATTCCAGAAACATTCAACAGGATTCTAGTCTAAGCACTGGCTTCCGAGCACAGGCTTCTGCCACACTAAGAGAGCCCAGGCACACCTGATCTCTCTCTTACATCTCCACGTTCATGCTCCCCGCACAGCACCTGAGGCTCACACGTGTCACATGCTCTGGCAAGCAAACAAGGCAGGTGTTCATTTAAGAACACGGATAAGGCACCCTGGCCACCGCAAGGATCCTATCCCCCGAGGTGACTCACGTGCTAAACACAGGGGTGCCCACCTGCTGCATCAACTCAGCTGCCTCGTCGTCTCCGTTGCCCACACCAGGGTTCTTTCGCACCACACCAGGGCCAGCCTTAGGAGCCGCAGCGGTTCTCTGTGTTGAGATGGGCCTCTGGGGAGCTGAAAAAGAGAGCACAGGTTTTTGAAAAGGAGTAATTCCAGCCCAAACAAACAAAAAATCCACAAGACAACATGGAGAAGCTGTGACCATCTGCCTTGCACAGGTGTTCAGTGAAGGGAACCAATGCTAGAGAGCCCCCGCATGCAAGACAACGCTCCCACATTTGCCTACTGAGTGGTTTCTATCCTGGCAGCAGAGTTAAGTACCAATTTCTGTCATGATGTTTCATGCTGGGAATAAGTCCTTCAGTGAGGTCTTTTCTCCACTGCGGTGAACAGGACTACCATCTGAAAGGGGTACAGTCATTCTGGTGCACAGAGATGATCCACCTTAACCCAGCTCTGACCAAATCCACAAACAGGTTGTTTCATGTTGGTTACAACAGCTAAGATTTAGTTAACACATCTACAAACCAAATCCAGCTTCGTAGAGCAAAGGCAAACTTCACGCTAGACATGAGCACACAGTCTCGGCTGTTGCCAGGTGCCCACTGCTCCCCATCTGGAAAGTTAGGTCCCTCCTAACTCCTCACCTCAGACTCCTTGGAGTGGAAGAGGGAGGGAATCCATAAGAGCAGGAGAGCCTGCTCTTCCCATGAATTGCTTTAAAATCTTCATCTCTGCTTACCTTTTAGAAGGAGTTTAGAAGAGTGAGGAGAGAAAAGCATCACACTGACTAGTATTTATAGACGTCTCTCAGTATTTACAGCCAAAAGCAGACAAAGACAAGAAAAAAGGAGTAAAGGAGCCAACCTATCTACAAGTAAAATTAATCAAGAATGGGCTAAACCTCAAGGTATATATATCACTGATGATTCACCTACTTAGCAATTATTTTGTAAAGTTTGCATATTACATGCCAGGTTTGAAAATATCTCATCTTCCTAACACCCCAAACTATAATCACAAGGCCTGTCACCCACAGTAATAGGCATTTCCTCTGGATGACTCTCTCTAGCACGTTTATCCCAAAGACTAAATGCTTAATGCACGTCTCCACTCAACTGGTAGCAGCATCTGAAATATGAAATGCACGGGGTTATCTATGTAGTTTCCCATTCTAAACAGGTAAAGAATAAAAAGTACTCAATATCTAGAGAAACGGGAACCCTGCTGATGGGAATGTAAAGAGCTGAGGCACTTTGGAAAACAGGTAGTTCTGCAAAAGGTTAAATACAGAGTTAACACATGGCACAGCAATTAGCAATTCTGCTCCCAGAGTATATACTCTTGGGTCTGTAACTGAGAGAAATCAAAACTTGTAGGTCCACACAGAAGCCGTATATGAACGTTCACAGCAGCATTATTCCTATCTGCCATAAAGTGGGAAACAACGCAAAAGACCATGAACTGCTGAATCAAATGAGGTATAGGCATGCAATGGAATATTATTCCACAATAAAAAAGAATGAAGGACTGATACATGCTAGGGCATGGATGAACCTTGAAAACAGCAGGCTGAGCAAAAGAAGCCAGACACAAAAGATCACATACTCTATGACTCCATGTATAGGAAAAGTTTAGAACTGGCAAATCCAGAGACAGAAAGCAGATAAGTGGTTGCTTAGGGCTGGAGGGAGGGGGTAAAGCTGGGGAAAGTGGGAAGTGACAACTATTAACTATGTACAAGGTTTCTTTCTATTTTTTTTCTTGAGACAGCGTCTGTCTCTCTCACCCAGGCTGCAGTGTAGTGGTGCGATCTTGGCTCACTGCAACCTCCACCTCCTGGGTTCAAGCGATTCTCCTGCCTCAGCCTCCTGAGTAGCTGGGATTACAGGCATGCACCACCATGCCCAGATAATTTTTGTATTTCAGTAGAGATGGGTTTTCACCATGTTGGCCAGACTGGTCTCAAACTCCTGACCTCAAGTGATCTGCCTGCCTCAGCCTCCCAAAGCGCTGGGATTTACAGGCATGAGCCACTGCGCCCAGCACAGGGTTTCTTTTCAGAGTGATGAAAATGTTCTAAAATTGATTGTGGTGATAGTTACACAATTCTTTGGATATATTAAAAACCGTTTAACTTTATACTTTAAATATAAAAATATAATTATATGGCATGCGAATTGTCTCTCCATTAAGCTATTTAGAAAGCACTCAACCTACCCTCTCTATCAGATGAACAAGCCTCTCTCTAGGTATTATGAAACCTTAACTAATATTCTTGCCATCCTCTGGAAAAGAAGAAATTAGCATCTGTAGAGTATCTACCCTGCCCCAAAATATACACATTCTATACTAATGTAAACACATCTTGGGAAAGCTACCAAGCCCATACCCTTTTGAGAAGGTATGTAAAATCAGCCTCTCCCCTACCCCCGCCCCTGACTCTGCTAGCACCATGGCAAGCCAAAGTCACCTAGCAGCTAAAGTTCTAGGGCAGGTAGGGAAGCTGTGAGTATACACAGGAAGCTGGTCTACAGAGAGAATAACACAGACAGCCAAGAGCAGTCCCTGAGAGACCTACACACTTCCTTCAAGGAGTTCAGCTCTGGTATAACTTCCCATCCTAGGGCTCTGTAAAAATGCCCTTGTTTTGGAACAAACTAATGCTCTCTTACATGAGCTAGCCTGATGGATTTCTAGAGCTTTGGCAAAACTGCATACAGTAACTTGTTCAAGTTTCAAAAACCCTCTGGGGCAAGTATTAAAATTCCCATTTTATAGAGGAGGAAACTGTGGGGCAGAGTTGAAGTTGCTTACACAGGGCTACAGACACCTAAGGACACACACCGTTATCTGCCTGATGCCAAAATCCATACTCTGGCCACATGCCTGGGATTATATTTCTTAAGATCCCTAAGCCTATGGCTACTGAAAAAAATTCTAGTTGAACGCTGAATGAATATCTGGAACGCTATTTTTTGGAAACGTTTTGGGGTTGTTTTTTTACCTGCACTGCTAGAAGTGAGAGGTTTCTTCGGTTTATTCAGAGCTGGAGCAACAAGGGAAGGAGCCACTGCAGTTTCTTGACCTTGTCTGGCAGCCACAGGGTCATAGTCTTTTCCATCATAGTTTGCATCGAAAAACTTCTTGAACCACTGAACGAATTCAAAATTGTCCTGAAACTTTCCTTTTACTAATTTGTCCACAGGAATTATCTGCAGAGAAAAACAACTGTTTAGCCCCAAAAAAGAGGCTTTTGGCAAGCATCAAACTAGTCCATGCATCAATTCATTATAAAGCTCTGCCAAAAGGAGAAAAAAATATTTTAGAGACCTTAGGGCTAAGCCCCTAAATTTATAAAGCAAGTTTCATGCAGTTTGCCTTCAAGAGTACCTACACTTCCCAACCCCTCCCCACTCTCTCAAATGTATGAAAAGGAATCAGAAACAAAAAAGGAACAAGTACCATATAAGTCACATACACACATCCATCCAAGCACATCGTAAGACGTGATACAAAAGTGCATTATGCTATAAAGAGTAGGTCCGCTATATAACTTGCATGGCCACAATGCCTATCACAAAGCATGAAATCCACTGCACAGGCCAGGCACAGTGGCTCATGCCTGTAAACCCAGCACTTTGGGAGGCCAAGGCGGGCAAGAGTTTGAGACCAGCCTGGGCAACATGGTGACACCTAGGCTCTACCAAAAATACAAAAAAATTAGGCAGGTGTGGTGGCATGCGCCTATGGTCCCAGCTCCTTGGGAGGCTGAGATTGGACTGCTTGAGCCCAGGAGACAGAGGTTGCAGTGAGTCGAGACTGTGCCACTGCACTCCAGCCTGGGTGACAGAGAGAGACCCCATTTAAGAAAAGGGAAGAAAAATCCATTGCACAAACCAACCAAAGGCATCTACAATGAACTGTGTTCAAGAAAATTCTGGGCCGGGCGTGGTGGCTCACACCTGTAATCCCAACACTTTGGGAGGTCAAGGCAGGTAGATCACTTGAGGTCAGGAGTTCGAGACCAGCCTGGCCAATATGGTGAAACCCTGTCTCTACTAAAAATACAAAAATTAGCCGGGTGTGGTGGCGGGCGTCTGTAATCCCAGCTACTCAGGAGGCTGAGGCACGAGAATCACTTGAACCCGGGAGGTGGAGGTTGCAGTGAGCTGAGATTGCACCACTGCACTCCAGCCTGGGCAACAGAGTGAGACTCTGTCTCAAAAAAAAAGAAAGAAAAGAAAAGAAAAGAAAAAAGAATAATTCTAACCTGAAAATAGATCAAGATGCAGAATCAGTCTCAGGATAAATTTTTACAAAATGACATGTTTTCCAAGTAATTCCAAATCCTATTAAAACATGCTTGCTGGGGGCAGGGCTGCCCACCTGCAATCCTAGCTATCTTGAGGACTGCTTGAGTCCAGGAATTTAGACCAGCACTGGCAACACAGCAAGACCTCATCTCAAAAAAAAAAAAAAAACACCAATAAAAACACACACACAAAAAATAACAAATATACATAAGGACCCTGTAAGTATTTCTATTATACAAGAATACTGTGTTTTCAAGTATTCAAATCACTGAAGTGTTGGCCACAACTTAACTTTTTAATCTTTTTTAGAGATGGGGTCTTGCTCTGTTGCCCAGGCTGGAGTCTTATGCTGCAATCATAGCTCACTGCTGCCTCAAACTCCTGAGTTCAAATGATGCTCCTGCCTCAACCTCCAGAGTAGCTAGGACTACAGGCATGAGCCACCATGCCTGGCTTTTAACTATCTTTTAATCTCCAAAGATTCCAGTTGCAATGTATTATAAAAAGAATATATCCAATAATATATCCACCCCTCTGACAAATATAATTTTTAAAAGTTACTTTGCTTGATACTGAAACATTCACAAATATTACCTCTGTACTCACTTCAATAACCCAGAATACATAGGATAGGATAGAATTAGATATAAAACAAAATTGGCCATGCTAACCATTGAGTTACATGAGGGATCATTACACTATTTACTATTTATTGTTTATACACTATTATTACTTTTATATACTTTAGACATTTTCCATATTCAAAAAATAAAATTCCATAATAATGAATGCAAAATTACTGTATATGAACTCTATTTAAACTATGCCTGGAAAGTTAAGTGATATTCTTATACTATAAATGCCTATTTTATATATTGTAGAGACAAAACTAAAATTAAAAAAAAACCCTGATTTCAAAATAAATAAAAACCAGACACCAGCAAGATAATTGGGGGTGTTACTACCTTTGCCATAAAAAAAAAAAGTTATCCCCCCAAAAATGGCTTAAAAGGATAAACCCTTCACAAGGGTGGGGGAAGGGATAAACTACTTAATCTATTATCTACTAAAACAGAGGTAATATTTGTGCTAAACATTAAATGTTTGTGCTAAACCATGCCTGGTGGACCATGTTTCTGTTACCTTCAAAAACCTTTGGGGGCAGAAAGGAGTTTTCCAGCACCCACCACGGAGCCTCCTTGTAACCTTCTATAAAAAGCAAGTATTTCTAGAATCTTCTCCACCTCAGCCTCCAAAGTGCTGGGATTACGGGTGTGAGCCACCACGCCTGGCCTAGAATCTTCTCTACTGGAACTATTCTACATACAGTATGCTTTTACAGAAGTAAATCCAGATTAAGAGAGTTAGATTCCAGACTACTAGAGATTACACAGGAATTTTTTAAAAATAAAAATCACTGTACAAATTTACAGGCTGACTCCTCTAAACAGTTACTAACTTCACAGACGATGAAGAAAGAAACAAGCAAGGGGAATAGGGGCAAGAAGGTAGGGGCAAACTGCTCCCAGTAAATTCTGTGTTAACTGAGAAAAGTTAACTAGATAAATTAAGAAAAAAAAGAAAATGTCCAAAGTCATAAGCTAGCATCTACCTCCTTAGTAACGATCATTAAGGAACATTAACCACAATAAAAGATAACGTTTACTTACTTTGTCAACACCCATTCTCTTAAAACCTGCTTGTAGTATTTTGAAGTTCTGGATGTACTCGTGTTCTAGCTTAGCTTGGAATTTCACTTTCTTCAAGGCAATGGAGCCAGGGAACAGCATGTCCATAAACTGACAATACGCAGCCCCTGAAAGAACAACGGCAACAGAAAAATACAATTAAAGAAGCAGGGTGAACTTCTTCCCAGACCCACTTAAACCAAATACAATTTTTAAAATTGTGAAGTAGACCTACAAAAACCAAAAGCTTCACTAACTTCATGTGAAGTCAATTTCTAAAACCTGTAACAAGACTGTGGTTTTCACCCCATATATTCTACAACATACTTGCAACCCAGAAGCCTATAACAAGGAGAAAAGGAGTGTTTCTACAAAATTTTAAAACTCCTGTTCTTTATTGGTAATCATCATGACAATAAAATGACCACTAGAAACAAAAATGAATGCCTAAAATACAGAAAAGAAAATAACAAAAGTGACATTTTCTGATTTTTCACAAAGATATACCCTCCTCTTCAGGAGGCAATTTCCAAGATCCATCCTTGATCTAGATTAAAAAACATTTTTTTCCCTAAGACGTCTGTCTCCCTGGGCTTTTTACATCTCTAAATACATTTAACCTATCATTTCTTTTCTTTTCTTTTCGAAACAGGGTCTCACTGTCGCCCAGGCTGGAGTGCAGTGGCACAATCTCAGCTCACTGCAACTTCTGCCTCCCAGGCTCAAGTGATCCTCCCACCTCAGCCTCTGGAGTAGCGGGACTATAGGCACGTGCCACCAACGCCCAACTAGTTTTTTATTCTTTTTGTAGAGCACCCAGCCAACCCGTCATTTAATTAACAAAGTTGAATAGAAGACATTTTTGTGTTCCTCTATTAATTTTTTATTTATTTATTTTTTTTGAGACAGAGTCTCGCTCTGTTGCCAAGCTGGAGTGCAGTGGCGTGATCTCGGCTCACCGCAACCTCTACTTCCTGAGTTCAAGCGATTCTCTCAGGCCACTGCACTGTCTCAAAAAAAAAAAAAAAAAAAAAAAAGCGAAACTCTGGCTCAAAAATAAATAAATAAAGACTACTATGATAAGGCCAGGCACCGTAGCTCACGCCTGTAATCTCAACACTTAGGGAAGCAGGTGGATCACTTGAGTCCAGCAGTTCGAGAACAGCCTGGGCAACATGGTGAAACCCTGTCTCTACAAAAAATACCAAAATTAGCTTGGCGTGTTGGCATGCCCTTGTGGTTCCAGTTACTCAGGAGGCTGAAGAAGGAGGATCACTTGAGCCCAAGAGGTCAAGGACTGCAGTGAGCCATGATCACATCACTGCACTCCAGCCTGGGGGACAGAGAGAGACCTCGTCTCAAAAAAAAAAAAAAAAAAGAGACTACTGTAATAAATTATTGCAATATTTCATCCCATTTCATTCCTTCCCCCACTTGCCCATTTTTTTTTTCCAAAAAGTGTTTTATTACTGCTTAAACTTTCCAGGAAGATTATTTCTCTAATGCCGACAAACTGAACTCTCCTAATTCACAGCAGGCTTCACTGTGTACTTTACTGCCCTTCCAGGGCTAATTTGCCAAAGGAACAAGCTTGGGAAGCTAAACCAGTGGTTAAGTAATAAGTAATCTGCAGAATTCAAGACTGCCATAAAATGCATATTCAACTTACTTGAGGTCAGGCCGAACCAGTTCTCTGCTGGTTCCAGCATGTTCGGTTACCGTTATTTTTGGAAAGTCAACATAAACGAGAGCAGGGGCACTTCAGTGACCAGGGTGACATTCTTAATTAAGAAAGGATCTTCAGAAGGTTAAGGCCTTGATTTCTGAGGTGACTGATTTATTTACTCATCCAACAAAAGTACACTGAGGGCATTCTTTTGTTTTTTTTTTTTTTTTTGAAACGGACGAACTTTTTTTAAAAACCCAAATAGAAGACAATCTATTCAGCAACTATATCCACAGTGGTATTTTACCCAGTACTATTTTACACAATTAAAAAAAAGAAAAATTGGCCAAGCGCGGTGGCTCACACCTGTAATCCCAACACTTTGGAAGGCCAAGGCGGGCAGATCACCTGAAGTCAGGAGATCGAGACCAGCCTGACCAACATGATGAAATCCCGTCTCTATTAAAAATACAAAAAAATTGGCCAGGCGTGGTGGCGTATGCCTGTAGTCCCAGCTGCTTGGGAACCCGAGGCAGGAGAATCGCTTTAACCCGAGAGGCGATGGTTGCAGTGAGCTGAGATCGCACCATTCATTGCACTCCAGCCTGGGAGACAGAGCAAGACTCCGTCTCAAAAAAAAAACAACAAAAAAGAGACAATGACTTATGAATGAAACTGGTTACCAAAATTGCACAGGAGTTAAAAAAAAAAAAAGTCAACAACTTATGCATGAAACTGGTTACCAAAATTGTACAGGAATAAAAAAAAAAGAAAGAAACATTCTTATTTATTTCCCTATTTCTAAAAAGAGAAAGAATCAATTACATAAATATTGGCATCCAGTCCTCCTGATAGACTTTTATGCGAGTATGATTCTCTTCATGTTTCTTTTTCTTTTTTAGAGACAAGGTTTTGTCATGTTGCCCAGGCTGATCTCAAATTCCTGGGCTCAGGTGATCCTCTCACTTCGGCCTCCCAAAGTGCTGGATTACAGGCATGAACTACCACACCTGGCCTTTAATTTTTTTTAATGAAGACCTAACTATTCATAATCAGAAGAAAATGAGCTTCCTATCTTCTGTTTTGGTTTGCTTTATGTAAAGCAAGGGAAAAATCAAGGAGGTGCTTGAAGACTTAGGCAAAAATGTTTGAAGAGGCTGGGCGCGGTGGCTCACACCTGTAATCCCAGCACTTTGGGAGGCCGACGCAGGCGGATCACGAGGTCAGGAGATCGAGACCATCCTGGCAAACACGGTGAAACCCCGTCTCTACTAAAAATACAAAAAAATTAGCCGGGTGTGGTGGCGGGCGCCTGTAGTCCCAGCTACTTGGGAGGCTGAGGCAGAGAATGGTGAGAACCTGGGAGGTGGAGCTTGCAGTGAGCGGAGATCTCCAGCCTGGGCAACAGAGCGAGACTCCGCCTCAAAAAAAAAAAAAAAGTTTGAAGAGATACTTCCTTGATCAGAAATGTGACTTGATAAAACCAGTCCCTCAGAAAGGCTGCAGACTTATGCAATATAACAAAAGGGAAGGTGGGGGCTGGGAACTTAGAGGGAACTTAGTGTTCAGTCAGGAGGCCACTGCAGCAGCAGTGAGCAATCTGAGAAGGGGCTGGATCTAGAAGCTCTTTCAGAAGACAAATAAAACTGTGAATTAGCCTCAAAAGATGCTTCTCAGGCCTGGGACACTGGAAGAAAGATGGAATCATGGCCCCAAATGGAGTACCTGGAAAAGGGAGCTAGCCTGAGGAGAAAACAAAGCTGAGATTTTAAGTAATGACAGGTAGGGCAAAAGTATCCCATAAACAGAAATATCAGACCAGATCTGAGCTGGGAGAGGCCTGGTTACAGGTGTGATAACACACTCCCAGAGCAGGAGGACCATGTCATTAGCAGTGCAGCAGAAGCAAGATCGCCAAGCTGTCTTACATGAACTCAAGGGCTGTCGGGGCCCCACATTAAGCTGAGGAGAAAGGAATCTACCATTTGCCTGGGAACATCAACACCTTTGCTGCGAAGGAACCCATAAAGGAAGCCAGGCTGGAGGGAGAAGACAAGGAGGAGAAGGGGAGAGCCGAATACATTCAGTGAGACCCCTCTACATGTGCAGAGGACCAAGCTGTGCTCTTGAGAAAATGCAGAGGGGCCTGAATATGGAATGCAACACAGGAACAATTCACAAAAGCAACCAGTACTCCCTTTCTGACAAAAAAAAGCTCTCATAAAAATCATTCTCTTTGACCAGGTTTTTCCTCATGATGACTATCTTTCCAAAATACTTGATGACTAGCTCTCCAAACTACGGAGACTACAGAATGTATTAATGAATCTTGAAACAACCTGCCAAATCTTTCACTGAAAGTTATCCTTGCCTAATCTCCCTCTACCAGAGCCAAGCAAAGGCTCAGCTCACTGTTGGGGGTAGGAGAGCCCACTGCTGACAAAATTTGGCCACTTCACAGGCAGCAGGCAGATTAACAAAGGACCTCAGCACTTTGCCCTCTCAAGGAAGAAATGTATTCCTACTTTGTAAAGCTGTGTTTAGTGGAGAACTCTGGTCTGCTAGATCCTCTGCTCATCAGAGATGAGGTTAGGAAGGATCTGGCACCAGCATCAAAAGCTCCTGGAATTCTCCTTGGGCCTCAGTAAGCACAAGGAGTTGAGGAGCCTCACTTTCTCTGACTCCAAACCCCTGGCAGCGGGCCTTCTTCAGAGAGACAATGTCTGTGTCTCATCCTGTCTGCTCTCATACTGGAAGCAAGACCTCATTTTCTAAACACCAATGTGAAACACAATGCAACCATCTACATACTCCAAGAGACATCTTATACGGCTTTCAAGAAGACTAGTTATGAATGAACAAGTTTGTTTACAAATCACAGTTAAGTGTCCTGCACTTACCCTTTTCTAGGGAGAAAAAGCACTTTATTTGGGAAAAGTAGCAGACATGAGACAAAACTGACATACCACCCAGGCGCGGTGGCTCACACCTGTAATCCTAGCACTTTGGGAGGCCGAGGTGGGCGGATCACAAGGTCAGGAGTTCAAGACCAGCCTGACCACCACGGTGAAACCCCGTCTCTAGTAAAAATACAAAAATTACAGGTGGCACGCACCTGTAATCCCAGCTCCTCAGGAGTCTGAGGCAGGAGAATCGCTTGAACCTGGGAGGCGGAGGTTGCAGTGAGCCGAGATCACGCCACTGCACTCCAGCCTCCAGTCTCAAAAAGAAAAAAAAAACAACTGACAAACCTCACAGACTTTATAGTGAAACAGTATCACTATAATTAACTATATGTAATTTACATTTGTAATTTACATTTGTTTAATCCCCTCCAAATGTTTCTATAAAAGATATAACAAGTATGCAGCAGGATGCATGTGGGCTGTGTGCTCAGAAAGATCTGGTTCAAAACCAGGTTCTGTAATACATAAGCTGTGCCCCAGGGTTAGTCTCCTCATCTGTAAAAGGAGGATGTGCCCCCATCAAATGACCTGCACTCATTTCCAGGGTCTGGCACACAGTCAGTTATCTGAAAGCTGTTATTATAGGTGATTCTCACACTGGCCAACAAGTGGGCCAGGTATCGCTGCCCCAGTTCACAGATGAAGAACTAAGACATTAAGGGTCTTGTCAAAAGTCACATGGCTCAGAGCAGACTGAAGCCTCTTTATGCCCAGTCCTGTCTACAACAGCTCTCTGCCTGAATGAGATAAACCTAGAGCCCGATCAGCACATATACAACTTATCTAAACATTAAAGATCACATTTTCCAATTAACTAAGTGAAATAGACTTTGGAATATATTTACAGAAAAAGGTAAATTTTAGAGGGAATTGCTGGTAAAAAGCTGGCTCCAGTGAAAACTAGGATGACCTCATCCTCACATTAGTCACAGAACACAGGTCAAACAAGTGCTTTAAAAGCCTCACACAAATGGGGATAGGGAAATGAATAATGAGGAAACTAATAGAAAATGGTGGGGGGGACACAGCACAGATCTAAGGCTAACAGCCTGTTGTCTATGATCAGCAAAGTAATTAATGCTGAATAAACACAACTCTTGGGCACCACTGTGTTACTGTACAGCTTCACACGTAGCCTCCATCTGACCATCCGTAAAACCAAGATTAAATACACCTCACCAAGGAAATAACAAGACAAGTCAATGAAACTAAGACCGAGACTAGGACCCAGCTATAAAATAAGGAAGGGCAGAAGCTGAACTCAAAAAAAAAAAAGAAAAAATCCTATAAGCAACGGCAATAAATTTTTTTTTTTTTTGAGACAGAGCCTCGCTCTGTCACCCAGGCTGGAGTGCAGTGGCATGATCTCGGCTCACTGCAACCTCCACCTCCCAGGTTCAAGCGATTCTCCTGCCTCAGCCTCCCGGGTAGCTGGACTACAGGTGCGTGCCACCAAGCCTGGCTAATTTTTTGTATTTTTAGCAGAGACGGGGCTTCACTATGTTGGCCAGGCTGGTCTCAAACTCCTGACCTCATGATCCACCCGCCTCGGCCTCCCAAAGTGCTGAGATTACAGGCACGAGCCACCACACCCGGCCAAGCAATGGCAGTAATTTAAGATCGATCCAGGGCAGGCACAGTGGCTCATGATTAGTGAGTGAACAGTAGCCGGCTTGAATAGTGGAATTATAAGGCATTTTTTTGTTTTCTTCTTTCTAGTTTCCCACGTCATACGATTAGCATACATAGAAAGAGACCATGTTTTTGTTCTTCTTTTAAATCACTACTTATTTTTCATTTTTTTGAGACGGAGTCTCGCTCTTATCACCCAGGCTGGAGTGCAGTGGTGCGATCTTGGCTCACTGTAACCTCCACCTCCCGGGCTCAAGCGTTTCTCCTGCCTCAGCCTCCAGAGCAGCTGGGATTACAGGCGCCTGCCACCACCCCCGGCTAATTTTTTTGTACTTTTAGTAGAGACGGGGTTTCACCATGTCGGCCAAGCTGGTCTTGAACTCCTGACCTCAGGTGATCTGCCTGCCTCAGCCTCCCAAAGTGCTGGGATTATAGGCGTGAGCCACCACACCGAGACTTTAAATCATTACATCTTTGCCAAATTATTGTTAAACAGTAGTTCCATAAAATTGTGGCTGAAATGATATTTGCTAGACTTTGATCTTGTACTTCTTGGGAATAAGAAATGCCACTGATGAACATAAAACTAGAACAGCAGACAGTAGTTAATACAATTACTGTCCTCAAATAAAACATGCAATCTGGATGCACAATAATAGACACCAAGAAGTCGGGGCTGAGCTTCAGGCCTCAGAATGCAGTCTCTAGAGCAGAAGATGGTGGACCTGCAGGCCAGAGCACACTCTTTATTTAAGTATAGTTCCAACCAGGCATGGTGGCTCATGCCTGTAATCCCAGCACTTTGGGAGGCTGAGGCAGGCAGATCATTTGAGGTCACGAGTTCGACCTCATGGTGAAACCCCGTCTCCACTAAAAATACAAAAAAATTAGCCAGGTGTGGTGATGCACGCCTGTAGTCCCAGGTACTTTGGAGGCTAAAGTAGGAGAATCGCTTGAACCCGGGAGGCGAAGGTTGCAGTGAGCCAAGACTGCACCACTGCACTCCAGCCTGGGCAATAGCGCCAGACCCCATCTCAAAAAAAAAAAAAAAAAAAAAAAAAGGCCGGGCGTGGTGGCTCACACCTGTAATCTCAGCACGTTGGGAGACCGAGGCAGGCAGATCATGAGGTCAGGAGATCAAGACCATCCTGGCTAACACGGTGAAACCCCATCTCCACTAAAAAAAATACAAAAAAATTAGCCAGGCGTGGTGGCAGGCGCCTGTAGTCCCAGCTACTCAGGAGACTGAGGCAGGAGAATGGTGTGAACCCGGGAAGCGGAGCTTGAAGTGAGCCGAGATCGCGCCACTGCACTCCAGCCTGGGCAACAGAGCGAGACTCTGTCAAAAAAAAAAAAAAAAAAAAAAGTTCCTTTGGAAGCAGAAGCAAAGGCAGGGCTGAGAGGAAGAAACAGGGTGGCCCTAACAAAGACCCTGAACCTCTGTGTGTGGCTTTGCAGTCAGATACAGGCCTTCACATTCCTGAAAAACCTACAGGCTTTCCTAGAAAAATGATCCAGCAGATTTCTCTTACCTGAGCACAACTGTTCGATCTTTGTCAGATTCAACTGCAGAGACTCATTGATCCAGGCCAGCATGTCATGTCGACTTAGGTTATCACTGGTCACTGACGTTGAGTATACGTTCACTGCCATCTTCTAAAGCATGGGAAGAAAAGAGAAGGGCCTGTGTTACATTAGGCATGCAAGTAAGGTCAAGTGTTTCCTAGAGAGTCACCAAAAGCAAACCTGTAGGAACACTCAATTTTATTTTATTTTATTTTATTTTATTTTGAGACAGAGTCTCACTCTGTCGCCCAGGCTGGAGTGCAGTGGCACGACCTCGACTCAACTGCAACCTCCCAAGTTCAAGTAATTCTCCTGCCTCAGCCTCCCGAGTAGCTGGGATTACAGGCGTGTACCACCACACCCAGCTAATTTTTGTATTTTTAGTAGAGATGGGGTTTCACCATGTTGGCCAGGCTGGTCTTGAACTACTGGCCTCAGGTGATCCACTCACCTTGGCCTCCCAAAGTTCTGGGATTACAGGTGTGAGCCACTGCGCCCAGCCTAGGTACATTGACTTTTTAAGCCTCACCTTCTTCCCCATGAGGCCAAACGAGAGACACTAAGATTCCAGCCACAGAATCTGGATTTCCACATACAAACATGACCTGAAATGAACTGCCCAACACCAGCCAGACTAAAATTGAGGCCCCATTTTAATGTGATTAATATACAATTCTAAACTATAAGAGGCACTAAATAAAGGGATGAGTAAGTGCTTTTATGATGGGAGGCAGATGCATAAACGAGAATGCTTTCTGTTTAGAAAACATCAGCCCAAAGTTACCCATAAAGATATCAAAATGTTACAATTTTCTTCAGATAATGGTTTTTTGTTTGTTTGTTTCTTTCTTTTTTTTTTTTTTTTGAGACAGTCTTGCTCTGGTGCCCAGACTGGAGTGCAATGGCACGATCTCAACTCACTGCAACCTCCGCCTCCCAGGTTCAAGTGATTTTCCTGCCTCAGCTTCTCAAGTACCTGGGATTACAGGCGCATGCCACCATGCCTGGCTAATTTTTGTATTTTTAGTAGAGACAGGATTTCAGCATGTTAGCCAGGCTGGTCTAGAACTCCTGACCTCAGGTGATCCACCCACCTAGGCCTCCCAAAGTGCTGGGATTACAGGCGTGAGCCACCACGCCTGGCCCGATGGGTTTTTATTAATTCCTATTTATAGTTTTCACTACTTCCCAAATTTTCCTTAAAGACTATACCTAGGCCAGGCACACTGGCACATGCCTGTAATACCAGCACTTTGGGAGGCTGACGTGGGAGGAGCGCCTGAGTCCAAGAGGTTGAGGCAGTGAGATCCTATTTCCAAAAAAAAAAAAAAAACTATAAATTCTTTCATAATTGAAAAAGTAAATCAGCTTTTCAATACCTAGATATTAAAAAGGCAGTATCAAATGACCTTACAGGTGAAGAATCCTTGTAGTTAATTCTCTGCAGAGCTACCTGGCAATGGTAGGGCATCTGTGGGCCTAAGTGCCAGATACTTCACAGACACTTGTTGTTTAACCCTGACAGCCCTCTGCAAGGTTCACTTCATGTCCCTCATTTTACAGGTGAGGACAAGAGAGGCCCTGGGGTTGGCAGGCAAGCCTGCCCAGCCCCAGCCTCCACATTCTCTTCCCTCCCTTTTCTGCTAGGCTTTCAAATTCAAAACAATAAACACACAGCAATGAGTCTAATTTTCAAATGCTAGTAAATGTGGGCGTTATTGTCTATGAGCACCAGTGTAGTCAACCGTCACTCATTCTACAAATGTTTACTAGCTCTACCGCGTGCTAGGCACTGTTCTAGGGACCAGGATACAGAAAAGCAAGAGACAAGGTGCCTGTCCACAGGGAGTTCACATTCTAGTGGTGCAAAGTCTGACACTGACCAAATACACCAACAAACATCATTTCATACCAACCACTTATGCAACGGGGTTTACGGAATGTGGTCAGAGGAAGCCTCTCTGAGATGAACAGTTGAGCTTAAGGATCAGAGAAAGAAGCAACCACATGAAGCTCTAGAGATAGGGCTCTCCAGCCCAGTGAGCAAGGAGAGCAGAGCCTGAGGTGGGAACAGAAGGAGTTAGGATTTTATTCTATTAAGAAATCCACTGTTGGGTTTGTTTTTTGAGGCAGGGTGTCACTCTGTCACCCAGGCTGGAGTGCAATGCCACAATCACGGCTCACTGCAGCCCTGACTTCCCAGGCTCAAGCCATCCTCTTGACTCATCTTCCCAAGTAGCTGGGACTACAGATGGTCACCACCAAGCCCAGCTAATTTTTTAATTTTTTGTAGAGACCAGGTCTCATTTTGCGGCCCAGCCTCAAACAATCCTCCGCCTCAGCCTCCCAAGGTGCTGGGATTACAGGCATGAGCCACCACACCCAGGCACTTTCAGGTTTTAAGTGCGGTAGAATCTTGCTCTCATTACAGTTTGAAAAAGATCACATTGACTACTAGTAGAGAACAGACAGTAGGGAGGGAAGACTCAAGATAAAGGCAGGCTAATCCAGATCTAAATCAAATCCCTGAGCAGTCACCATGAGGACACACTATGAAATACCAGAGACTTCATAGTGACCTAGACACTTAACAATTTTCTTCATTTCATAAGACAGCAACATTACCAGTGGGGAGGGGCAGGGGAAAGATGCAGAGCAATCTGGAACAATCCTGAGATCCCAGCCCCTTGCTCTCTTACGGTACTTCGTTCCCTCCACCTAGTGACTAGAGTTGGTCTTTCCACATCAGTCTCCTGCACTAAGCTGCTGCAAGCCTCCTGACTCACCAAGCCACAGAATGTGACAGCCAGAAGAGGCAAATCCACCCATCCAGTCCCCTTTTTATGGGGTGACTGAGGTCTGTAGAGGTCAATAACTTGCCAGGTCTGCGTGCCCTCACATCTCCCAGGCACCTCATAGTATCTTGCACATAGCAAGCACTCACTACTTATTTTCAGGTTGGCAGAACAGCGTCAAAGAGAGAAAAATGTGTCTATATAAACTTGTCAGAAAGCAAATCATCAACACTGTTACACTCCCCAAATCAGCTGATAAAACCATGTTATGCAAGACACCAACACAATTTAGTTACTGACTCCACTGGGAAATTAATCCCTATGTTTCCAGAGCAATTCATTCAAACCTTTATGATAGGAAGTCCCACAATGAATTGTCATTATCTCGTTATTTCTGAACCATTCTCGAGCCAGATTTGGGCCAGGAAGCAATCCACTCGATGCAAACAGCTGAGGATTTCAAGCCAGGAGGACATGGGTTTGAATGTGAGGCAGTCACTCATTAGTTGTGTGATCTTAGGCAAGTTACTTAAACTCAATGTACCTCAGTTCCCTTACAAGTTAAAGCCACCTATCTGAAAAGGGTCATAGAAGGGTTTAAATTAGATAAGGTACATAAAATATTTGGCATGGCATCAAATTTAAGAGGTATTTAACAAACAAGATGTAGGGTAGGGACCTTGTCTCACTCATCCTCCTATCTCCAATGCCAAAAACAGTGCGCCTGAGACCTGCCAGCACCATCTTGCACGGAGATGCACTGCAACAGTCTTCAAATTTGTCTGTGTCAATCTGTTCTTACACAGCAAACCAGAGAGAATTTCCTGAATCACAAATCACAGCAAGTGCCTCCCTTGTTTAAAATCCTTGAATGAACAAAATACTGTGCGCAAAATCAGGTACCAGAGACATTCAAACAAAAAAGACATGGTCCCAGCTGAGCAATTGTAATCTATTATGGCGACATTCCTATATATACTGTATCGTGTGCATCATGCTGCTATAAAATCTAAGCAGCTGGTAAAGCCATGTGTGTCTCCTGACCACACCCCAGCTCAAAAAACATTAATGGCCTTTCATCATCATATAATTTAAAACTTTCATTAGCAGTACATTAATACCTGGTCCCACGTGCTCCACAAACGCTGCAGCCACTAAATACATGGATTAGGCACCCTGTGGATGTACAATGAACATCCACCGACTCAATCAATTAATTGGCTCCTCCTGACAATCAAAACAGAGCTCCAGCTCACCCTTCCTTCACAATTCCATCATTGGCAGCCATGGAAGACCCATGACTACCACACAAATCTCACCCTTACAAGGCTTCCTGATCCAGGTTTCCACCACCACCATGAAAAAGCTCCCTCAAACCTACCCAGGAATCTCTCTTCCTTCAGCAGCTCTCCTAGCAAGATCCCAAACCTATACAAATTCAACGCTGGCTCTAAAGCACTCTATTACTTTCAAGGCACCACAATAAGCCCTATGTAAAGTGGGGGAAGGAGGTGCCACCAGAAAGGACCTATGTGACCGTGGGCAAGTCACTTAATCTTCCTGCATCACAAATGGCTCATCCTGTAAAATGGGTAAAACAGTATCTCTGCACAAAGTGGTGGTAAGGATTAAACAAAAATCTACATGAAAACACTTAAGCAAAAGGCACATCACGTCCTAAGCTTCCCTCTGTGCCAAAAACTGTGCTAGGCACTTTGACGCACCACCACAAAGGGCACATCTGGATGTGTAGCTCTGGACCTCAGGGAGAAAGTGTAATAAAGAGGTTAAGAGCCTAGACACTGAAGTCCCAGGTGGGGGTTCAGCCACTTGCTGGGCTGCATAAGACACTCCGCCTCTCAGAGTCTCAGACCCCTTATTTGTAAAATGAAAGTAATCTCTCTTGCCAGGCGCGGTGGCTCACACCTGTAATCCCAACACTTTGGAGGCCGAGGCGGACAGATCACTTGAGGTCAGGAGTTCGACAACAGCCTGGCCAACATGGCGAAACCTCGTCTCTACTAAAAAATACAACAATTAGCCGGGCTTGGTGGCGCGCGCCTGTAATCCCGACTACTCGGGAGGCTGAGGCACGAGAATCGCTTGAACCCGGGAGGCGGAGGTTGCAGTGAGCGATGGTGCCACTGCACGCCTGGGCAACAGAATAAAACTCTGTCTCAAAAAAAAAAAAAAAAGGAAGAAGAGAATCTCTCTTAAAGACAGTGTTAGTATTAAAAGACACAAAGCCACATGGAGCACTTAACAGTGCTTGACACAAAACAAGTGCCCAACTAACAAAGAGCTGCTATTATCATTACTACTGTTAGAGACATGCCATCGGAGAAGCGGATGCCCGGCCTAGCATAACCTCCCTCAATGGGCCCCAGGATCCTCATCCCCAAAATGGGGCAGAGGTCAAGCTCTGCCCTGCAGCATCCGAGGGCAACTGTGAAGTAGGGACTGAACTAGCACTGTTGATACCATCCCGTTATACTGTCCTCCTGCTCATCATAATGTGGATTCCTGGAGAGCAAATCTTTGTTCCCGGGAAAACAGCCAGGGTTTAGCACGGTGCCCAACACCTAGTGGGCATTCAATAAACACACACTGAAGAAAGGAGGGAGTCCAAGAGCTGGCTTACTTTCTGCCATACATCGCGCTAAGAGTTTAATGTGGGTAGTATTACTGTCCCCGTTTTACAGATGAGGAAGCTGAGATCCACAGCGGTTAAAGCACCTGTCCAAGGTCACACCGCACGGAACCCAACCCAGGTCTGACTCCACCACCCGATCTCTCGGCCCTCAGGCAACACGGCCTCCCACAATGTGCGTCCCCAGAGCTCCCAGGACGGCCCACCTCGCCCACACCCTCCCAGGGCCCAACCACCCTGGGACCTCCAGTCGCTGCAGCGCAGGGACCACACCTCAGCGGCGGCCCAGAAACCCCCACCCCGCGTAGCAGCAGCCCACTTCCGGCCCGAGACCCCGCCCCCTGAGCAGAGCGCAGCGCGCGCCCCCAGGCCCAGCCCGCGCGCGCCGGGTGACGGCCCCGCCCTTCCCCCACCCGGCTCGAACAGCACCGCCGTGTGGAACGGCCCTGGCGCTGCCCGTAGGGCCTGCCCGCGCACGCCCGGCCTTGGCCCACGCGGCCGCCCCCCCAGCCGCACCCCCCGGGCCCGCTAGCCGGCTCACCGGCTCTCGGCAGAACCGCGTCCACTGCCCGCAACCGGCTCCGGTTCCGTCTTCGTCTCGTTCAAACCGCCAGACCCCGCCCGCCCGCCCGCGCGATGACCTCACACGCACCCCCTCGTTACGCGCCGACGTAAAGGCTCGCCATCCTCCGCCGGCTCCTTTTATAGAGAGGGTCTCAGCCGCGCGCCGGGGGCGGAGCTCGGCCCCTGATCCACAGAACGGTAGCCGAGGGGCGGGGCCCCGACCGCCGGGGCGACTGCGGCACGTGGTCGGTCGCAGCCAATGAGGTCCCGCCTCGGCCCGGTGTGACTCAGTTACAAAATCCCTATGGCAGTAACCAAAAAGAAAATTGCTTTTACAATGAATTTTTTTTTTTTTTTGCTTAGAGATGTATGGAGGTCTCGCTGTGTTGCCCAGGGTGGTCTCGAACTCTTGGCCTCAAGCGATCCTCCCGCCTTAGCCTCCCAAAGCGCTGGGATAACAGGCGTGAGCCACCGCTCCCAGGCTTACAATTAATTTCTGTAAGAATGGGTTATTGAATCATAAAGATACCTAATAGACACTTTGGGGAAACGCTTAGAAGTCAACTTTCTGGGCCGGGTGCAGTGGCTCACGCCTTTAATCCCAGCACTTTGGGAGGCCCAGGTGGGAGGATCACCTGAGGTCAGGAGTTTGAGACCAGCCTGGCCAACATAGTGAAACCCCATCTCTACTAAAAATACAAAAATTAGCCTGGCGTGGTGGTGGGCGCCTGTAATTCCAGCTACTTGGGAAGCTGAGGCAGGAGAATCACTTGAACCCAGGAGACGGAGGTGGCAGTGAGGCGAGACTGCACCACTGCACTCCAGTCTGGGCGACAGAGCAAGACTCTGTCTCAAAAAAAAAAAAAAAAAGTCACGTTCTGTGACGCCCCCGCCCCCCCATCTGCAATATCATGCGGCATATTTTCTTCTTAGTACCATAAGAAGGCATCTTGTGCCTTTACTGTCTGTCTCCTGTAAAGTCCACAGGAGCAAGGACCTCCTGAGTCCTGTTCCGGGTTGTTTCCCAATGGCTGTACATACATTCTCTCTTGCCCACTCCCTCTTTTTTTTTTTTTTTTTTTTAAGAGATGGGGTCTTGCCATGTTGCCCAGGCTGGGCTGGTCTCCTGGGCTCGAGAGATCCACCCGCATCGGCCTCCCAAAGTGCTGGGATTACAGGCGTGAGCCACCACACCTGGCCCTTACATTCTCAAGAGAGCCTTGGCTGAAGGAGGAACTGGGCTGGGCGTGGTGGCTCACACCTGTAATCCCAACACTTTGGGAGGCCAAGGCGGATGAATTACCTGAGGTCAGGAGTTGGAAACCAGCCTGTCCAACATGGCGAAACCCCATCTCTACTAAAAATGCAAAACTTAGCCGGGCATGGTGGTGGGCGCCTGTAATCCCAGCTACTTGGGAGGCTGAGGCAGGAGAATCACTTGAACCTGGGAGGCAGAGGTTGCAGTCAGACTTCGTCTAAAAAAGAAAAAAAGAGGAACTGCACCACTTTACAGCAGAAAGAAACTGAGGGACAAAGAGGCCAATTGACTCACTCAGTGTCAGAGGTAGATCCAGATTTCAAGCTGACTTTTTTTGTCTG
Organism: Homo sapiens; assembly: GCF_000001405.40. NCBI lineage: Eukaryota > Metazoa > Chordata > Mammalia > Primates > Hominidae > Homo > Homo sapiens. Next base: position 32,818,406 of record NC_000020.11, on the reverse strand, counting down.
GGTATCATTTATTCAAGTATTCAACAAATATTTTCCCTGACCAATCAGGCCCTGGTGAAAAAAAGACACAATCTGATCATGGTGGTACGTGCCTTTAGTTCCAGCTACTGGGAAGGCTGGGGCAGGAGGATCGCTTGAGCCCAGGAGTTCGAGGCTGCAGTGAGCAAAGATCACGCCACTGCACTCCAGGCCTGGGAAACAGAGTGAAACTCCATCTCTAAGAGATAAAAACGAAAACTAGACACAGCTTCTGACCTCTTAAAGTTTCCAGACTGGCAGGGGAGGCAAAGGGGACACAACTAATGACACAAATCCTTGTTAAATTACAAATCAGGCTCAATGCTAGGCAGGGACATTATGTGGTGGGCTGATGGTACTTCCACTGTGTGGAGCAGGGGCCTAGAGGTCCCTCTAGGCCAAATCTCACCCAGTTAGTTGCTGAAACCCAGTAAGACGTTCAGGGAAGAATGGGTGGGGAAGCTGGGGCAGGAGCTGTTTATCAGCAGGTCTAGAGGCATTTCAATACTTCGGTCTCGAGTACTGCTCCAAGAGCACACCACAAGAGACATGACCTCTCCTAGGTAGTGTGGAAAAGCTTCCCAGAAATGACACTTACCATGAAAGATGAGGAGTTACCTTGGCAAAAGAGTTTGAGCAAGGCCAGTTGTGGTGGCTCATGCCTGTAATCCCAGCACTTTGGGAGGCCGAGGTGGGCGGATCACGAGGTCAAGAGTCTGAGACTAGCCTGACCAACGTGGTGAAACCCCGTCTCTACTAAAAATGCAAAAATTAGTTGGGCGTGGTGGCGCGCGCCTGTAATCCCAGCTACTTGGGAGGATGGAGCAGGAGAATTGGTTGAACCCAGGAGGTGGAGGTTGCAGTGAGCTGAGATCGTGCCACTGCACTCCCGCCTGGGTGATAGAGCAAGACTCTGTCTCAAAGAAAAAAAAAAAACAGAGTTTGAGCAAAAAAAGGCAAGAAAAGCCAGGCGCGGTGGCTCGTGCCTGTAATTCCAGCACTTCGGAAGGCTGAGGTCGGCAAATCACGAGGTCAGGAGTTGGAGAACAGCCTGGCCAACATGGTGAAACCCCGTCTCTACTAAAAATACAAAAATTAGCTGGGCATGGTGGCGGACACCTATAATCCCAACTACTCGAGAGGCTCAGGCAGGAGAATTGCTTGAACCCAGGAGGTGGACGTTGCAATGAGCCGAGATGGCACCATTGCACTCCAGCCTGGGCAAAAGAGCAAGACTCCAACTCAAAAAAAAAAAAAAAAGAAAAGAAAAAGAAAAAAAAAGAGGCAACAATAAAGAATAAAAAACCATGTAACAAATGATTATAGCGACAGCAGTAATATGAACATTATGGTGAGCTGATGTCAAGCATAGATAATCAACTAAAGATATTTATAAGTGCTTTGATGCAACATCTGTTACCTGTATTTTATTTATTTATATTCTTTTTAAAAAACGAAGAAACAGAGACACTCTGTCGCCCAGGCTGGAGTGGAATTGTGTGATCTCGGCTCACTGCAACCTCCGCCTCCTGGGTTCAAGCCATTCTCCTGCCTCAGCCTCCTGAGTAGATGGGATTCCAGGCACACACCACCATGCCCGGCTAATTTTTGTATTTTTAGTAGAGACAGGGTTTCACCATATTGGCCAGGCTGGTCTCAAACTCCTGACCTCGTGATCCGCCCACCTTGGCCTCCTAAAGTGCTGGGATTACAAGCGTGAGCCACCACACCCAGCCACCTCTGTTTTATCCACAAAGACATTAACTTTTCATTAGGCTAAATAATAAACGGCGAAGCCAGTATGTCTGGGTTCAAATTCTGTTAGAATTAAATGGGAAGTGTATAAAGTTATCAGACTGCGCCTAGCACATAGTATGTGCTCAATAAATGTGATTTCTGAGTCCTTTCGTCTAAAGTCAGTTATTAAATTATGTCAATTAATTGGTATCAGCATTACCTGCAGGCCATTTTGGTCTGGAGTGAGGACATTAGTATGGGGGATGAGATCAGTGTAGAAAACCAAATCAGGAAAAGCCTCTAGGCCGGGTGCAGTGGCATGATGGCTCTGTAATCCCAGCACTTTGGGAGGCCAAGGTGGGCGGATCACTTGAGGTCAGGAGTTCGAGACCAGCCTGGCCAATATGGTGAAACCCCATCTCTACTAAAAATACAAAAATTAGCAGGGCATGGTGGCATGCGTCTGTAATCCCAGCTACTCAGGAGGCTAAGGCAGGAGAATCGCTTGAACCAGGGAGGCAGAGGTTGCAGTGAGCTGAGATCACACCACGGCACTCCAGCCTGGGCGACAGAGTGAGATTCTGTCTCCAGGTGGGGAAAAAAAAAAAGCCAGCCTAGAAAGTTTGGACCTAATTCTGGAGACACAGGAAGTTACAGGAGATAACTCTATTTTAGAGGAGCAAGGCCCTCTAAAGTACAACTCATCTACCCTCCCAAGACAGCTCCCAAAAAACTGACATTGGGCCAGGTAACCTGCTAGCATCCACTCTTCTCACTGAGGAAAAAGCTGGCCAAGGTTATCTGGGTCAGATTAAGCCTTGACAGCAAAAGGCCAGAGGGTAAAAAGAAAAAAGAATCTCCATCCTGTAAGAGAAATGGCTCCGGAGATGTAATATGTATCTTAAAGCAACTGTTTTAATATGTGAAGCAATCTCATTATCACAGATAGAAATTATGACTCTCCTGTCCAAAAACAAAACAAACAAAATAATTGTACTTCAAGGCCTGAGTTTTACAAATGTATGACAACTTTATTGAACTAAATAATGATGTTGGGAGATCAAGCTGCTTTGAGAATCTCACAAACTCATGGAGGAGAAGACTACAAAAATAAGAAGTTATAGGCCAGATGTGGTGGCTCATGCCTGTAATCCCAGCACTTTGGGAGGCCAAGGAGAGACAGCATGGCAAGATTCAAACTCCACAAAAAAATTTTAAAATCAGCCAAGCGTGGTGGCATGCACCTGAAGTCCCAGCTACTCTGGAGGCTCAGGTGGGAGGATCAATGGATCCTGGGAGGTCGAGGCTGCAGTGAGCCTGTGATCACCACACTGCATTCAAGCCTAGGCAACAGAGCAAGACGCTGCCTAAAAAAAAAAAAAAAAAAAAAAAATCAGAAATTATAATACATAGTGCTTTGTGGTGAGATAGATTCTTCTTGTGTTTTGTTTTGTTTTTGAGACGGTGTTTCGCTCTGTCAACCAGGCTGGAGTGCAGTGGTGTGATCTCTGCTCACTGCAACCTCCGCTTCCTGAGTTCAAGCAATTCTCCCGCTTCAGCCTCCCAAGTAGCTGGGATTACAGGCCTGCACCACCACACCCGGCTAATTTTTGTATTTTCAGTAGAGACAGGTAGTAGCCTGTTGGCTAGGCTAGTCTCAAACTCCTGACTTCAAATGATCTGCCCACCTCAGCGTCCCAAAGTGCTGGGATTACAGGTGTGAGCCACAGCGCCCAGCCAATTCTTCTTCTTTTTTTTTTTTTGAGATGGAGTATCACTCCTGTTGCCCAGGCTGGAGTGCAATGGCGCCATCCAGGCTCACTGCAACCTCTGCCTTCCAGGTTCAAGCGATTCTCTTGCCTCAGCCTCCCAAGTAGCTGGGATCACAGGCATGTGCCACCACACCCGGCTAATTTTGTATTTTTAGTAGAGACAAGTTTTCATCATGTTGGCCAGGCTGGTCTTGTACTCCTGACCTCAGGTGATCTGCCCACCTCAGCCTCCCAAAGTGCTGGGATTACAGACATAAGCCATTGCACCCAGCCCGATTCTTCTATCTATACATAGGGAAGGAGGATTCAGATTGGAGAAGGGCTCCTAATTCTGCTCAGAATAGGTGCAAAGAAATTTTCCTGGAAGAGGCAAGAACTGGAGGACCAGCCTGGAAAGGGGAGAAGGCTGTTACAGGTGGAGAACAGCATGTGCAAAGACTCAGAATGAGCAGTTACCAACTCCAGTAACGCCAACCTCTGTTTTCTTTCAGCAATGCTCAGACCTTGGGATGAACCAAAGCTTAGAGAACAAAGATAGGTTACAAAGCCTAAAGCACCAGGCTTTATGCACTGTTCTGTTTGCATATTTCACAATTAATTGGGAGCCTTAAAAATAAAAACAGGCCGGACATGATGGCTCACGCCTGTAATCCTAGCACTTTGGGAGGCTGAGGTGGGCGGATCACCTGAGGTCGGGAGTTCGAGACCAGCCTGACCAACATGGAGACACCCCGTTTCTACTAAAAAATACAAAAAAATTAGCCGGGCATGGTGGCTCACGCCTGTAATCCCAGCACTTTGGGAGGCTGAGGCGGGCAAATCACCTGAGGTCAGGAGTTCCAGACCAGCCTGGCTAACATGGAGAAACTCCGTCTCTAATAAAAATAGAAAAATTAGTCAGGCACGGTGGCAGTCACCTGTAATCCCAGCTAATTGGGAGGCTGCGGCAAGAGAATCGCTTGAACCCAGGAGGCAGAGGTTGCAGTGAGCCGAGATCAGAAAAATGTTATTAATATATAGAGAAGATGACAAAGGAAATGTGACAATATGTTAATATCTGGGGAATTTGGGTTATGAGTATTTAGGAATTCTTTCTACTATTCTTGCAAGTTTTCTGTAAGTCCAAAATTACCAATTTTTAGTAATTTTTTTAGAGACAGAGTCTTGCTCTGTCACCCAGGCTGGAGTCAATGGCAGGAACACAGCTCACTGCAGCCTCAAACTCATAAGCTCAAGTAATCCTCCCACCTCAGCCTCCCAAGTAGCCAGGACTACAGGCGTGTGCCACCACACTTGGCCTGCGTATTTTTTAGTTAAAAGTTGTGGGGTTTTTGTTTTTTTTTTTTTGAGATGGAGTCTCGCTCTGTCACCCAGGCTGGAGTGCAGTGGCATGATCTCGGCTCACTGCAAGCTCCGCCTCCCAGGTTCATGCCATTCTCCTGCCTCGGCCTCCCCAGTAGCTGGGACTACAGGCGCCCGCCACCACACCCAGCTAATTTTTTGTATTTTTAGTAGAGACGGGGTTTCACCGTGTTAGCCAGGATGGTCTCGATCTCCTGACCTCGTGATCCGCCCGCCTTGCCTCCCAAAGTGCTGGGATTACAGGTGTGAGCCACCGTGCCTGGCATAATTTAAAGTTTTTAAAAATCAATAAAGTTACGTGGCCGGGCGCGGTGGATCAGTGGCCAGGCACGGTGGCTCACGCCTGTAATCCCAGCACTTTGGGAGGCCAAGGCGGGCAGATCACGAGGTCAGGAGATCGAGACCATCCTGGCTAACACGGTGAAACTCCGTCTCCACTAAAAAATAAAAAAAAATTAGCCGGGCGTGGTGGCGGGCGCCTATAGTTCCAGCTACTCAGGAGGCTGAGGCAGGAGAATGGCATGAACCCAGGAGGCAGAGCTTGCAGTGAGCCGACATCACGTCACTGCACTCCAGCCTGGGCGACAAGCGATACTCCGTCTCAAAAAAAAAACCAATAAAGTTACACAAAAAGGAAAGAAAGAAAGGGGAGAAGTAGGCAGGATAAAAGGAAGGGAAGGAAGCTAGGAAGGAGGGCAAAATGCTACAAAGGGCAGCAGGTAATTTCAAGCTCCAGCAAAACAACAAACAAGAACAAAGATGCAGGTGAGACCAAGGAGAAAAAGTAGACTGGCTTCCCAGAGCAGATTCCAATGCACAACTCCTTTTGCTGCTAGCTGGGTGACCTTGGGTATGTGATGAGACCTCCTTGGAGTCAGTTCTCTTACTTATAATCATGGTAATCAGGCCTCACAGGGTTGCCAGAATTCTCTAACAGTAATAAAAAAGCATTTTTGGGTCATTTGTCACTGTCATTTACTCAGCATTCAGTCCCCATCCCATGTGCCTCACATATACTGAATTGTTTGATCCGCGCATCAGCTCTGTGATGTTGATATTATCCCTATTTTATAGTTGGGTAAACAAGGCCCAAGCACGCCCAAGGTCACAAATTAGCAGGGAAGTGGAGACAGGATGGGAACCCTCGCAAGGAGCATTGGGATCTCTACAGGATGTGGGGGGTGGTGAGGGGCACAAGTTCCACACCCGATGCCACTGTTGCTACAGTTGACACCAGTCAGCCTAGCTGCTGACAACATCTGGGGAAATATTACCCTGCCTTTTAAAAAGTATTACTATTATTGTATGAGGCAGGGTCTCACTGTTGCCCAGGCTGGAATGCAGTGGCGCAATCTCGGCTCACTGCAACCTCCACCTCCTGAGGTCAAGTGGTCCTCTCACTTCAGCCTCCCGAGTAGCTGGACTACAGGGGCGTGCCACCATACCTGGCTAATTTTAAAATTTTTTTGTAGAGGGGGGTGTGAAACCCTCTCCGTGCTGCCCAGGCTGGTCTCAAATCCTGAACTCAAGTGATCTGCCTACTTCAGCCTCCCAAAGTGCTGGGATTGCAAGGTGTGTGCCAGCGTGCCTGGCCTATGGCTATTATTATTGATAAACATTGTGTGTTACTATCACTACGTGCATCCAGTCTTCATTGTCATTAGCACTGCATTGATTAATAGGTCTCATTTTTACAATAATGCCATCTCATATATGTGAAGTTTATTGCCTGCCAGGTGTCAGGCAAAGCACTTTACCTAGATCTGGCCTTTGAACTTCAGTAACCCTATGAAGTAGGTAGGATTTATTATTTCCATTTTATCACTTTTTTTTGTTGTTGAGACAGAGTCTCACTCTGTCGCCCAAGCTGGAGTGCAGTGGTGCGATCTCAGCTCACAGCGACAACCTCCATTTCCCGGGTTCAAGCCATTCTCCCACCTCAGCCACACCCAGTAGCTGGGATGACAGGTGCATGCCACCACGCCCAGCTAATTTTTGTCTTTTTTGGTCGAGATGGGGTTTCACCATGTTGACCGGGCTGGTATCTCCACCTTTTAGGTGAGAGATGAAAAACCCCAAGAGGTTAAGTCATCTGCTTGCTCCAAGTGACACAGAAACATGCCAGACCCCAGACACAAATCCAAGCAAACCCAAAGACTGCTTCAGCAAAGGCCCACATAGGATTCAAACTCCAACCTCTTTCCCCAGATCAGAACACTCACTGCATTCTCCCCCTGCCTCAACACCTGGGATCACTCAGATACCAGCCTAACCTCATCTTGAGAAAACACAAGAATTACCCCCATACTCCCTCTGAGTCCCCCAACTCCAACAAGCAGGCCAGGACGCCAAGGACCCCTCATCTGGAGGGCTTGCCCGTCTGTCTTAGGGTTTCGAGGCCAGGGCTGTTTAGCTGGCTTCATCCTGTCCTGGTATTTGGTGCAGCATTGTACACAAGATGGCTTAATTGGGTGGCCCAGGTCCCTGGGGTCTCAATACCCGGGGAGGCAGGGGAGGTTGTGTGGGGCTAGCTTGCTAATTGCCAGTTATCTCACCATGGCAACCTGCACGTGGGCTGTTCTAGTCCTGAAGCACCTTTCTAATAACATGTTCATCCTTCCACTCTGGAAGCTTCTTCCCTCCCCAAACCCTGGGCCAGGCCCTTTAGAAACCTGACCTTATTTAAGAGATGGCCATGATTATAGCCCAACTCACACATGGCCTGGGAGGCTCAGAGGTGCTCGGTCTGACTGGTGTTCAGTGGGTGAACCCCAAGTGCACCACCCTATTCCCTCTCTAAATGCGCTAGCTAACCAGCATTAACCTTTTTCCCTGACCAAAGGCTGGAGATGAGTGTGGCCCGATGGGCTCTGGCCTTGGGACTTCTGCCTGGGGAACCCCATGTAAAGTAAAATGGGATTACTGGTGTTGCAATATTAGGCTTAGAAGGGCAACCGACATCGTGAGTGCTCATTGAAGGCCAGGATTTTAGTTGGGGGCATGCTGAGAATCACACTCCAAAGGGTAGAGGACACGGGCTAGGCTGGGACCACAGGGCCACTCCCAATTAGCCCCCTCACGGAAGGTGGTTGACCTGCAACACATCAACTTGGGAGCTGTGGAATAAGGTATAGAATCCCACCGAAGCGCGACAAACTGTGAGAATCATCATTAGGATCTTTTGCTAGAGGTGATTATCACCTTGATCAGTTCCCCAATATCTGTATGTCTGGAAACAGGTGTCCCACACATGGAGCTTTTAAATGAATTCAGACACTCAAGCCATATTTGGGAACCATGAGTTAGATACCCATTCACTAGTCCGGTGTGTTCCCTGGATAGTGGCATCAAATTCCTAGGGTCAGGCTGGGTGTGGTGGTGCATGCCTGTGGTACCAGCTACTTGGAGGCTGACAGAGGAGGATCACTTGAGTCCGGGAAGTCCAGGCTGCAATGAGCAGTAATTGTGCCACCGTGTGACTGAAAATTCCTAGGGTCCACTTGGAGTCAGAAACTCTGGAGGTTGGGCCAGCAACCACAGCCCTGACAAGCCCTCCAAGGGAAGCAGATGTGCTGGATTCTTTTTTTTTTTTTTTCTGGAGACGGAGTCTTGCTCTGTTGCCCAGGCTGGAGTGCAGTGGCACGGTCTAGGTTCACTGCAAGCTCCGCCTCCTGGGTTCACGACATTCTTCTGCCTCAGCCTCCTGAGAGTAGCTGGGACTACCACACCTGGCTAATTTGTATTTTTAGTAGAGACAGGGTTTCCAGGGTTAGCCAGAATGGTCTCGATCTCCTGACCTTGTGATCTGCCCGCCTTGGCCTCCCAAAGTGCTTAGATTACAGGCATGAGCCACCGTGCCCAGCCTGGATTATTGGTTTTTTTTTTGTACGGACGGGGTTTTGCCATGTTGGCAAGGCTGGTTTCGAACTCCTGGACTGAAAAGATCCGCCCACCCTGGCTAGGATTACAGGCGTGAGCCAATGGTGCAGAACCAGTGTATTACACTGTAAGTAAGCTCCAGTCAGCTTGGGGTCACATTGCGTTTGAATACATGAATGAATGAATCACCTACTTCCAAACTCCCACCCTGACATGTTAGCCAGGCCCTCCCCCATGTCCCATCCATCTGACCTGCAGAAGAAAAGGGACATCAGACAGTTATAGACAAATACTGATTTTAATTAAACATAAGGTAAACTCTAGGCATCCGTCATCTTTCAGCCTAAAAATTAGCAAAAACTGTTGAAACAAGGCACAGTTTTTTCCCCATATTTGTTACGTCGTGGCTCCAGTTACAAAAAAAATTTTAATGAAAACGTTAAACATAAAAATAGAAGTTTGAGATTTTAAAAAGTGTATAAAAAGCCCCACAAAACTTGTCAACGTTGTTCCTTATTCTACAAAATAGCACCAGTAAGAAGAGTAAAAGGTGTTAAAAACCATTATGACAGCATTTCTGAAATGCAGCTTGTCTGAATTCCCGTTCTCCCTAAAAACGACTTCTTATGGAATAAAAAAGGATTAAAAAATCTCCAAAGGGAGCACCGAGCTTTGCAGTTTTCCCTGTCATCTCTCAGATGTGGGGAAGGTATGAGAAATGTATGTCTGTCCCTGACTGCTGTCACTGCCTCTGAGTTTAGTAAAAAGATGAGAAATGAGGGTAGCAGACTTCTCATCTGGGGACCTGTGCCTGTGGAGGGTAGGTCTCCTGGAGAGGGAATGGGTTTGAGGGGGTGTCTTATCTAAGCTCCTTGCTTCACACTCCTCTCCTAGGGAAGAGGGAGATATGGAGGAGCCATACTTGTCTACAAAATATATGGCAGCTTATATTATAGAACTCAGCACACCCCTTCCTGAGCTCCCCAGAGGGTTCTATTGCAGTCACGGGGAGGGATTTAGCTAAGAGTGGCCCCTGCCCTTGGGTTTGTGGGGGAAAAAATAGCCCTGAATGTGATGATGACGTCATCCCTGCTGAAATCATCATCATTGTGGAAAATACTCTAATAGGTCCCGTGCAGACTCCAGCCCTTGTATTTAGGCAAGGGGAATGTGCCGGGTAAAAGACATATACAACATTTTCTCTTCTGCTTGCCCTGGGAAAAAACGATCCTGGGCCCTTAAAAATGTCCTGTAGCTACATGCCTACAACTGCACACGTCTGTAAACACAGAGCAGTAGCCAGTTTTCAAAAATTAAACTCTTGCAATAACTGTCTTGGATGATTTTTCAGCATTAACCTGAGTATTGGAGAGCTGTCGGCACTGTGGTTTTGGTATCTTAGCCATTGTTTCTCTGAGTGGTAGACCCAGGAAGGGAAAAAAAAAAAGCCACGTTGCTACCTACTTCAAGTTTTAAAGTTTTAGGAGAAGAAAAAATGAGCACCGTGTTAGGCTGCTCCAAGCAGCCAGGTCTGATTTGTGCACAAGGAGGCGGCACCTCAGGCTACCCCTGCAAGAGTCAGGTGGCTCTGCCCCCACTGAGCAAGAGGGAACTGAGGTACACGGTATGACCCACACAGCTGAGGAAGAGCAGGGCCTGGGGATGCCTTCAGGAATCACACCTCCTGGGTCCTGGCTCTGCCACACACCCCAGTGGGCTTGGGGCCTGGCTGGAACTATTCACATGCAAAGTAGTCCTTCAGAGGGGCGAAGAGGTGTCGGATGACAGGCACGCTCCAGGACCTTCCCAGCAGCTTCTGGCGGGCACCACGGCCCATGTTGGACACGTCTGTGTAGTGCACAGGAAAGCCAAAGATCCTGGGGGTACCGGAGTGAAAAGACAGCAAGTCAGAAGTGCCTCCAGGATGTTGACAGCCTCAACCAGCCAGGTCCCACTCTTTCTGCCCTCGCCATCCCTCAGTCCCATCAGTAAGGTCCCCAAGGACCTAAATTCAGAGCCCTTAATTCAGAACACTTGCTTACAAATTGCTCACAAATGAAAGTCCCCCGTTTTGTGCAGGCCTAGCACCATACTCTTGGCATAGAGTTGGTGCTCAGAGGACCTTCCTAGAATAAATGCATGCATACTAAATCAGCCAGCCAGCAATGTATCCATTTTCAAAACACTATGATGGGAGAAGTTAAGCAATTTCCTTAATAAGGAACAAGGTCACTCAAAAACAGCCTAGATTTTCAGTCATCACAGGCTCAGGCAACCAGAGTTTTCCTTCCCTCTTCAAACCCAGCTGCCGGATGAAGGACCATGCTAGATGACTCCAGGCAGATGGCATCAAATATACCAAAAGCTTCCTCTATAGGATTCTACCAGGCCTGGAAAGAGGCTACAGAGGCTGAGCCTCAGTGTTACTCAGGTATACAATCCAATACTAAAAGTCATCCCAACAGGCCAATGGCTGCGTGGGTTATTCAGAAACATGCCAAAGATGTGATACCTCAGGCCTGTGTCTTGCTTGGTCTTAGCGTCTACACAATGTCAGCCATCTGCACCAACCATTTTAGGTTTAGGTCCATACAGAATAATCTACAGCATAAATACTAATCAGAAGTTACTTTTATACTCAGAAAACTGTTGGTAAGTCAAAGAAGAAATTAAATGAGTTATAGAAGTGAAATATCTGGAATGAAAATACTCTATATCAAAGCCTTCAGAATACAGAATACATGTAAAGAGGAATGTTCAAAGCCATAATCACTATAGCAAATAATGATTTTTAAAAAATAGTATAAGCAAAATGAACAAACAATAGAGGAGTGAAAGAAAACAGAACAGAACAGAACTGAAATCCAAGAGATGGTTATTTGCATCAAAACAGACAAACTTAGCCCAAAGAAAGGGAAGGAGAGGATAAACTGTGGCTAAGAAGGAATCATTTATAGAATGAGCAAACTGAAGTCTTCAAGAATGGCATGTCTGTGGGGTTTTCTTTCACTGGCTTCTCACACATCGTAGTGTCCCAGCATGTTGGGACAGGCAGATGTCACGGCAGTGCAGCCAACAGACAGATGGTGTGGCCTAATGACCTCATGTCTCAGATTCCTCACCACCACCACACCCCCTCCGCCATTTTTGTCAGGAAATAAGGGCGAACTATGAAAAGGTATTATTACTCCTCGCCCCAGTAACACCAAAGGGCAGTGAGGCCATCAAGAATGAAGGTAAGCACCTGCCCATGTCTGCCCATTTGTGTTTTGATCTACACAGTTTCCCTCTCCAAGTGCAGCCTTGCTCACCTTTCGAGCTCAGTGCACCACAAAACATCTTCTTTGCCATTCATGACAACAGGGAAAAGTTGGTTTTTCCCCTGTTTGATCGAGTTCGACTTGGTGGTTATTGTCTGTACTTTCTTTAACTGGAGAACAAAATGACATCATGGAGTGAGCACAGAATGAAGGGACCTGGGGAGTCAAGGCTCAAAAGTACCTGGGAAAGATGGAGGGGAGAGCGCAGGTGCGGCAGAAGAGTGGCAGGGCTGGGAGAGAAAAGTACCTGGGAAAGATGGAAGGGAGAGGGCAGGCGCGGGAGAGGAATGGCAGGGCAGGGAGCGAAAAGCAGAGTTGGAGAGACAAGAACATTTTGTGCTTCCCACAAATGCCAAGACGTTAACAGGAAGGACCAGCCTCAGAGAAAATGAGATAAACAAAAAAGTGACCATGAACGAGATCACGTGGGGGGCCAAGAAGACACCAGAGTTCCTGATCAAGCAAGATTAAGTAAAAAAGTAAAAACCACCCAGATACAGAGAATGCTCAATTGGAGTTTAGAAAATGGATCTTAGCTTGATGCAAACATTGAGATTTAGGTTTATGGAGGTCTTCATATTCTATGACTTGACAGCAAATTAATTTTTTGGCAAAAGGATTAATGATTCCTTTCTCCCTGAGAGGGCCAGCTGAAACTCTTTGTCTTTATGTATCCAGTACTAAAATTAAAAAGACTAGTTGCCTTTTCTCGTCGTGATTACTTATCACGAATGTCTCCTAGTCTCTGTATTTGAGGATGGGACAGAACAATCATGTGGGAGAGGGAAGCCCAACACCAGGAAGTCACGTGGGGGGAGGAGTAGGAACCAATCAAACACCAAGGTCATCTCCCAAGTCCCCACTTGGAGGTCACCAAGTGCATTTTTCCAGAGGGCCACAGCTCGTCTTACCTTGGCTATCCTATTGTATTCCAAGCAGTCCTGCAGCTCGAGTTTATCATTCTTTGATGCTATCACGGGCCTGGGAACAGCCAAAACCCATTACTTCTTACTAGCTATAGAGGGTCCTCTGCTAGGCACAAGGTGGGAGTGAGGGTCTATGTTGCAGAGATGTGCCCTGGCAGTGAACTTGGCTACAAATAAATGATGAAAATGATCCTGGCATGAGCACAAGCCTGTGTGCCAAAGCCAAGGATGGGCTAGAGGGGACAGCCCAGCATCCAGGAGGTAATGCTCCCCTGCCTGGACTTCAAAGTCAGGTTCCCATTGAGCAGGAACACTGCATGGGGTAGGGCAGGAGAAACCTCAGGTCCCAGCTCCACACTGCTCACTGACTGAGCTTGAGCGAGTCACACTACCCCTTTGGGCTTCCTGTCTATTTTAAAGTGAGGAGCTTGGAATAGATTTTTGTGGGTCTACCTGATACAATTATCATATCACACCCACGGTTTGGTGGCTCACTGCTGGGGATACAGCCTCAGGAGGCTTTAAAAGTGAATGGCAACCGCCTGCAGTGGTTCCTACCCTTAATCCCAGCAATTTGGGAGTTCAAAGCAGGAGGATCGCTTAAGCCTAGGAGTTGGAGGCTACAGTGAGTTATGATTACAACACTGCACTCCAGCCTGGGAGACAGACCCTGTCTCTTAAGGTTCCAAAAAAAAAAAAAAAAAAAAAGACTAAGCACCCTTTTAACTTTCACCCTTGAAAATTATTTTGCAAATGCAGAGAGAGGCAAACAGATGACTAAGAAGGGCAAGGGCTAGAACTGAAAGTAGTTGAGCAGCTCCAGAACAGAAACTGGTGCAAGAGGACTGGACGCAGGGACGGCCATAGTAACCTGTGTTAGGAACGTCAAGGCCAAACAACTCAGACATGAGAACGGGAACCGTGCCTACAAGAGGGGCTGAGGAAATCACAACACATATTTCCCCTAGACTGATAGATTTCCTTGACCTCACCTGCCAGGCTTCAAATGCTACCTCTATCCCCATTCCTACCTCCGACATGGACCCAGGGGAGCTGAGGGCCCAGAAGAAAAGGACACTGCACAGCCCCGCCTTGTGCTGACTATAAGATTAAGCTCTAAACAAGCCAGATGACTTGGGTCTGTCCCCTAAATGATGCCTGACACACCCATCCTATAAGCCTGCAGAGCTTAGTCACAGCATCAGATCTGCATCAGGTCTCACTGCTCTTTCCACCTCATAGCCTACACATCCAATGCATCAGCAAATGTCCTACCCTCCACATATGTTGAATCTGATCCGTCCTTGCTAAGTCACAGGATTGCTGTGCTGCAAACCCCAGGGGCCACCACTCACACTGTGTTCTCTATGGATGGCACCTCCTGGGGCATAACATCATAATCAGTCATCTCTCCTTCTTTGAGCAGTCTAGTCCCTTCACTTGTCTCCCCATTCCCGCCTCCATCCTGTTATTGTCTATAATCCACCCAGAAACTACCATGAACCAAAGCACAATTCATCTCATCTGTAACTTCCCATGCCAAAGTGATTTCAGCGGTACCACATTAAGGCCCAAGTTACTTGGTCCTTCTCTCCCAGCCACCCCACCTAGGGTGCTCTGAGCTGGTCTGGGGATGTTTCCCATCATCCCAGACCCTCTTCCCACCTGGAGTACTCTAATAACTGCATGGGTCCATCCCTTCACTTAGGACCTTCGCTAGAATGAGAAGCCTTCCCCATCAACCCTTCCAATGTCCATCCGCCAGCAATAAACCCCAAATCATTGTCTTCTCTCCCTCCCCCTTCGGCATGTCACTATCGACATGATGTGTTTAACCATGAAAATGGCAACAGCGTAACAGTGCCTGGCCTACTGGGAGTTCAAATGTTGAAAGCATTAACCCATTTAATTCCAGACACAGACATGGCACCCTAAGACTGGCTGCTTAGCCAAGTACACGGGCAAGGTGACCAACAAAAATCCTCCAAGCTACCCCAGGACCCTCACCTCTGTCCACACTTCACTAAGTGGCAGAAGGTTATTATGTTTCCATGCCTCCTTCTACAGGAGAATGTTTTAAGCTCAACTCATTTGCAAGTCTGGGATGTCACATTACCATAACATTTTACATCTTAATTAGCAAGTTCTTCTCCTTGAAACCACATATAGAAGAAATAATTAATCCTCAGCAAAGCTGCTTTGTGGCTTTCAGAGTGTCTGAAGAAGACTGTTTTTAGTATACGATAACAAAATATGAAATGCTCCTGGTGATGAGAATCTGAGGGACATAGTCTTTGGGCTATTGTTTGTCATAGCAGCTCTGCCACCTGGTTGGTCACCATGAGCCTGGCCAAGATCGCTTCATCTCCAGGGCAGGAGGAAAGGCACCGGTAACAACAATCTACTTCCATTTCCAGACGGCTGTCACTACATCAACGGGGAGGAGAGGTGAAGGGCAGGAGCATCAACAAGCTCAAGTCTTGAGAGATCCCTGGCAGGAAGGAGGTACACAGTCTGGCCACAGCTCATGAGACTTGTATTTTTCTTTATTTTTTTGTAGAGACGGGGTCTCACTTTGTTGCCCAGGCTAGTCTAGAACTCCTGGGCTCAAGCGATCCTCCAGCCTCGGCCTCCCAAAGTGCTGGGATTACAGGCGTGAGCCACCACACCCAGCCACGTGGGACTTTTAGGATCAGGTCCATCAGCAGCTTACAACAGGTAAGAGTGGGACTCCTACAGAGATTCCCAGGTACTTGCTGAACATCTTAACAGAGATCAACCCGCACGACCACAGGTGGTCTGAAATCCAAGTATAACTATTTCTCAGCAGAGCCAGGTCTTTCTAGGAAGGCTTGAATGTCAGAGCTTGTTATCACATATTTAACTTGGCTGTTACCTGACCCACTAAGAGCCCTTTGTTACCTGTTCATCCCGGGTAGGTTGCCCCAGAAGTATCGGGCCCTGTGAGCAGCAGAAACTTTGATGGCATCAATCATCACTGGATTACACTGTGGGGAGAAAGAAGGTTACTGTTAGGAGCCTATTATTAGAGTTTCAGTGTCAACCAGACCTTTGCAGGTGACAGGGCTATTCCCTGACTATGGATGAGGCACGGATCCTCCAAAACAGGAAAGACCTACTGCCATCAGGAGGCTGGCTAGAGGACATGGTAAATGCCCTCATACTATGCTAATGGTAGCTAAAGAGATAAGGTCAAACCTGCAGATTCTGAGACGGTATCCCCTGGGATACGCCAGATTATTACAAAATATGATACACCGTGGGCTCAAGTGATCCTCCAACCTCAGCCTCCCAAAATGCTAGGACTGCAGACATGAGCCACTGTGCCTGGTCTAAAGCAGTTTTCATATCAAAAATGAGAAAACTCTCTAGAGTAAAAAATTGAGTCAAATCTCATGAGTCCTTAACAGCAGATGATGGTTTGTTTCATCATTTCTGACTTCAAAGAGTTGGGCTGAGATTAGAGATCAATTATTTTCCTTGTACTGGCAGGGGATGGTGGCTCACATCTCTATCTCCAATCCCAACACGTTGGGAGGTGGGCGGATTGCTTGAGCCCAGGAGTTCAAGACTAGGGTGTGCAACATACCAAGACCCTGTCTCTACCAAAAATACAAAAATTGGCTGGGCACGGTGGTGTGCCCCTGTAGTCCCAGCCATTTGGGAGGCTGAGGTAGGAGGATTGCCTGAGCCCAGCTGTTTGAGGCTCCAGTGAGCTGTAATAATGCCACTGTACTTCAGCCTGGGTGACAGAGCAAGACCCTGTCTCAAAAAAAATATTTTCCATGTACTAAGAGAACCCACTGAATCCCTCACTATTGGATCTAGCCAGACCAAGAACGGGAAAGTCATTCCCAATGTTGGCAACACCCACCAATCATCACTGCCAGCAGCGCTTTCCCTGCCCTGGCTGTCTGTGACAATCAGGTCCCCAGATTCCCTCACCTCCAGGAACCGTGAGATGTCCCTCTTGTCGCCAACCTTCATGGCTACAACATTCTCAAACATCCAGAAGAACGGCCGGTCATCACCCTCCTTGGGGCGTGAGTAATTCAGCAGGTGGTAAAATTCGAAGAAGAGCCGGCCTGTACCCTCTGTGCTCAGAAAAGATGACAGCGCAGGGTTCATTTGAAACCTCCAGCCCAACCCACCTTATTCCCTGAGACCAGCAGGTTCCCAATGGCCTCCTGACAGTTCAGGGTGATGCCTACCAGTCTATGTCCACCTGAATGACAGCAGGGACACAGGCAGCAGCAGGGCACTATTTACTAGGGTATTTCCCTTGTGGGCTGAGGATTTACTATGGAGCGTAGGCAGCACCAACAGGCCCCTGATGCTGCCAGTAACTTGGCCAGAAGCAAGTGGCTCCTTCTCAGGCTGCTGCACCTGGGCCAGTGGTCAGGTGACATAGGCTCTCCAGGGACTGCCAGAGAGAAGGATGCTCACCATACAGGCCTTTCCTGGCTGGATTCACATTTGAGAGATCGTTGCATGGGCTTCCGCCAATCACCAAGTCAAATGGGCCCCATTCTTCAATCTGAAAGAGAGAGACAGAGTCAGGATGAGGGTGTGGACAGAGGGAAAGAGAGCTGGACCCACTTCTAGAATCTTGCGTGGGGCTGGACGAGGTGGCTCACACCTGTAATCCCAGGAAGGCTGACGGCGGGGGTGGATTACCTGAGGTCAGGAGTTCGAGACCAGCTTGGCCAACATGGAGAAACCCCAACTCTACTAGAAATATAAAAATTAGCCCAGCATGGTGGCAGGTGCCTGTAATCCCAGCACTTTGGGAGGCTGAGGCAAGAGAATCGCTTAAACCCGGGAGGCAGAGGTTACAGTGAGCTGAGATCATGCCACTGCACTCCAGAGGGAGACTGTCTCCAGAAAAAAATAGAATCTTGCTTGGTCACCAACTCCACTTCTGACCCTAACCTAATGCTTAAGATTCCCACAGGATTTCAATCCTTTTTTCTGGGGTCTCAGGGATGGGGCCTACATGTGGGTTTCAGGGTGTGGAGGACTGGGGAAAAAGACAGGAAGAGATGAGGCCCGCAAGGTACAGACTGCCCTCACATTTTTCTTTGTGATGTTCCTCACGTCGTTCACGTATTTGATATTCCCCTCGTGCTTCACGGTTCCAACAGCAATGGACTCCTCACACACTTCAGAAGCGACGTACTTTCCTACCTTTATGCCCAACTCTTTGAGGACTAGGTAGCCTGTGGGGGCCAGAGAGACACAGAAGCATAAATGATGCTGAGCACACAGCAGCTCATTTCCTCCACTCCCTGCTATGGTAAAATGAACAGTTCCTCATGACTGTATCACATGCGTTCAATCCAGCAAAGGCTGTACACGCACCACACATATTGGCTGTGTAAACTCCATATAGGAGGAAAAGAAGGGAACCAAAACCAGAGGTAGCAGTAGTTGTTAACTAGTTTATCTCCAATTATACTTATGCATGTGGAATGAAAATCAAGTTCAAGATAACTGCACATAAAAAATAAAGTGTAACAGCTAAGATGTATGTCCTTTTAAAATGACCAAGACTGCCCAGGCACGGTGGTTCATGTCTCTAATCCCAGCGGTTTGGGATGCCAAGGTGGGCAGATCACTTGAGGTCAGGAATTCGAGACCAACCTGACCAACGTGGAGAAACCCCGTCTCTACGAAAAATATAAAAATTAGCTGGGCGTGGTGGTGAGCACCTGTAATCCCAGCTACTTGGGAGGCTGAGGAGAGAATCACTTGAACCTCGGAGATGGGGGCTGCAGTGAGCACAGATCACGCCATTGCACTCTAACCTGGGTGACAAAGGGAGACTCCATCTCGAAAAAATAAATAAATAAAACTCAATGACCAAGACTGCAAGGTGGTTGAGAAGGTGGAGAGAAACAAGGAGACAGGGTTTTTTTCAGGGCTGGTAATCCCCAGGGACCTTTCTTGCCACTGATGTCAGACACCTTAACCATGCCTTCTGACTCCCTGGCTACCCTGTTGTGACACGATAGCAGTGTCTCCAGGTGTTCCCCGAACTCACCTGTCGCGATGCCATCAAACAATGACAGGACTCGAATGGGCCGCCTTCGGGCTGCGGGAATGGCAGGGTACAGCTTGGGGGCTTCCTGCCAGGTAAGGAAGGAGGTCATGGTGGTGAAGGCACAGGGCAAAGACTCAAGCTCTGAGGGAGGGGCAGGCTGACCCTGCTCAGAGGGCTTCAAACCTTGCCGTAGCCACTGCAAAAAGCCCACTGAAGGCTTGATGGGGATTGGGGAGACAAGTGTGTACCACACGAGCCTGCATTTGGCAAGGAATGGTCAATTTATCCTTGGACATGAGCCAGATATGTATGCACAGAGGCACACATGAAAAGGTATCACCCCAGACAGGAATGACCTAGGGCTTCCCTCTAAGAACTAGAAAATTCATTTCTACTGTTTCCTTCCCTCTCAGCTCTGCTAACTCAGAAGGCTACATACAACCATTTCTTCATCAGGCCCCTGAAAATCCATACGCTGAGAAGCCGGCAAGGAGGGAGTGAATGAACCCTGGCACGGCTGAAAACCGTGCAGAGGAGCTGGCAATTCGCCAGGTCTCTCAGCCATTGAGGCTCCAAGAGGTACAACGTGTCTTTACTTCTATTACTCTTTCTGAGAATTCCAGAGCTTTCCAACACCCTGTGCCCCTGGGATCTGTGGTGGTAGAGGCGGGAGCCTGTGGCTTACATATTCAAGCCCCGTGTCACTGGTGAAGAAGGCCTGCAGGCGCACGTTCCAGTCCTTCCGGCGCCGCAGGACGCCATGACAGCGCTGCGGGAGACACATGTAACAGCTCCAGGGCTCCTGAAGCTTGGCCTCGGCCGCTGTGCCTGTGCCCACCAGCACCTCCAGGCACTCCACACAGAAACACCTGGACCCAGTGGCAGGGAGAAGGGATGCCTTTGTCAGAGCTGGTCTCCTGTGCCACCCCCTTACCACTTCCACAGGGAAATGCCAACCCCCTCCTGAAAGCTTACCTAGGATCGGCTGCTTAACAGCATAGCCTGCGGGGCCCTGTGCAGTACGGGCTTCCCTGACGTCTTCCTTGGATGCCCCAACCCCCTTAATCCCACAGGCTCTCTGATCAGAAATGCTCTCCCGACAACCTACTTCATTCCATGGACACTTTGGATTACAGGCCAACTGGCAAACCAGGGAATTAGCCTTCCCTGACACCCTACTCATCCCCTTCCCTCATGCTCTTGGCCTATTAAGAGCACTTCTAGCTGGGTGTGGTGGCTCACACCTACAACTCTGGGGCTTTGGGAGGCTGAGGTAGGAGAATGGCTTGACCCCAGGGATTTGAGACCAGCCGAGGCAGCGTTTATTACACTTTTTATTTATTACAAAAAATAGGCCAGGCACGGTGGATCATGACTGTAATCCCAGAACTTTGGGAGTGCTGGGATTTGAGAGGCTGGGGCAGGTGGATCACCTGAGGTCAGGAGTTCGAGACAAGCCTGGTCAACATGGTGAAACCCTGTCTGTACTAAAAACACAAAAATTATCTGGGCGTGGTGCTCCGCACTTATAATTCCAGCTACTTGGGAGGCTGAGGCACGAGAATTGCTTGTACCCTGGAGGCAGAGGTTGCAGTGAGCCAAGATTGTGCCACTGCATTCCAGCCTGGGTGACAGAGCAAGACTCCACCTCAAAAAAAAAAAAGAATAACTAGCTGGGTGTGATGGCATGTGCCTATAATCAAGCTGTTCAGGAGGCTGAGGTGGGAGGATTGCTTGAGCACAGGAATTGGAGGCTGCAGTGACCTATGATCATGTCACTGTACACCCTGGGCAACACAGGGAGACCCTGTCTCAAAAAAAAGAGCCGTTCCCTATACATGAGTTCTACTCCAATTATGCTACAACCACAGCCACCACAAAATATAAACCCTGTGTGCTGCTTCCAGGGCAAATTAGCTCCCTATTCCCATGCCTAGGATTCCATTCAACAGACAGCTGTCTGCAGACTGCAGGAACGTAGGAGCCTTGGGGGCCCACCCACATCCACCCCACAGGGCCCAGTGCTCACCGGCAGCAGCTCGTGTTGCTGCAAAGCAGCAGCTCTCGGCCCTCGCAGCACACAGTGCAGTAAGACTGATAGCCATCGTCATCATACATGTAAAACAGCTCAAGGAAGCGATCCTGGCAGCCAGAGAGAAACACCAGTGAAATCGGAGACCAGAGAAGGGCAGGCCCTGCCGGCTTGCTGGTGGAGGCCCTAGGATACAGCTGCAGAACACACTGCTGGTGGCTTGGTGTCCTTTAAAAGGACAACTGGCTGTGACCTGCGTGCCATTGGCCTCTGTGACAGCTGTCCCCCATCCTGCCCCAGAGGCAGAGTGCAAGGCAGCTGGGATGAGTGGGCTTCACTGAGTCTCCACACAGGTGCTGTTGGGAAGGAGAGGGGAGTTAGAGGAGGCAAGGGGAGGAAGGTCCAGGGCAGTAGTAGGAGGACTTACCCGGCATGTCTGACAGAGCCCCCCCTCAAAGAGAGGGTGGAAGGACACGGGGTTTTTCCTGCCACAAGACAAACAGCCATCTGTAAGAAAAACAGGGTTGTGGCTTTTGGCAGTTGAGGCCCTGACACCAGCTGCTAAAGCCTGGGGTCTCTCAGTTCCTAAGATTTCCCTCCAGGCCAGCAGCTTGCCAAGGACTCTTTGCACCTCAGGCCATGCCTCACAGCTTCTACCACTCAACAATGCTTCCAGGTGGCATCCCTACTTCACAGATGGGGAACATCAAGATGGGCAAGGGGCTGCCCCAGTAGGATGATGTCAGGCAGAACGCTGAGCAGGGGGACCTCCCTGGTGTGACAATCCTTGAGAAGCTTTAAATACTGGGACACTAAGGATTTTGTGGTGACTCCAATTGGCTTGTTGTCTCATGATAGGACTTGCCCATGCCCACACCCTGTAAACAGCAAATGGCTGTAATTTCAGAATCCAGGTCCTTTAACCAGTAGGCAACCCTGCCTTCCCTTCATATCACCAGGTCAGCATGGAGTTGCATCCCTGGCTGGGTAGATAGGACCTTTATAAAACCCACAAACAAGCATCCCTACCTAGCCAGATGGGGGAGTGAGTCTTGGGGAATAGGATTTCTAAACCGAAGCTCTTCCCCGGGTTCTCTGGGTCAGGGATGTGGTGTTTTCCTATTCAACATTGAGTAACTAGGGGTTAAGGAAGCAAGGGAGACTTCATCCTCACACATTCTGTATTCCATGAGGTATATTCTGATCAGAGTATCCAATCCAGTGGCAATCCCCAGCCAGGGCAAGCAGAGTATTTAGCCTGACAGTAGGCAAGTGACTAAAAGCTTGTTAGTTGCAGTTCTTCTTTGGGAAGGTTCATGATACCAGTAATCTTGGTTTTAGGTTATGGCTCTCCCGGCCAAAATGGCCCAGCTTCCCTTGTTCCTCACCATACCCTTCCTGTACCTTTCTCTTAAGGGGCACAATTGGCAACTCATTCCATAAACTAGCAACTAAGATGCAGGGTCCAGAAATAGGCCTTGGCCTGAGGTTAAGGAACAGAGCTCTGGGTTAAACCCTGACAGGGTGGATGAGCCAGGACAAGGCAGGCCTAGAGCCCTAGCCAGGGTGTGAGGGGGATGACTGGGAGGGAGAGAACGTTACCTTCCAGGCTGCTCTTGTTGTTGGCAACATCTGAAGCCATTTGTTCTATTGAGAAAAGAAGAAGGCATGAGATGAGGTCAGGGAGCCGGGTACAGATCAATTCCTGATCTGCAGCGTCCTCCTCCCATCTGTCCCATGATCCCAGGTACCCAACAATCACCTCGGCTCTGATCTTCATCCCCTCGGTCTTTGCCGTTGTTATAGCAATTTGTCTTGAGGCGCTTGGGTGCGGGGCAGTAGTCAGAGGTGGCTGAGTCGTCAGCTGTGCGTCTTCGAGTCTTGTTCTCTGTGAAAGGTAATTAGACTGCAGCCGTGGCTTGGTAGGAGGGTCCAGAGAGAATGCGGGCCCAGGACAAGACCATGCTATGCCTGGGTACCAGCTGCAATTGGGGCATGACAGGGGGTCCACACTGAATGTATATGGCCCCTTGATGGGCAACTCACAACAGGAGCTCATTCAAAACCCCTTGCACCCAGGATCCTTAACACATGTTTACAAGGTTTTAAATGGCTACAACTAGGATGTAAAAATGACTCAGCTCAGAGAGCAAAGCTCGATTCAAAGCTAAAAGCCTGGCATACCCATGTCTGTGATATCTGACATGCTGGGCAGTAGGCATAGGGGGTGGCTACTGAGAACTTGAAACTGTTGAGGAAATGAATTCTGCATTTAAGGTTAATTAAAACACTGACAAGTAAGTCAACTAACTGGCTCATTAAGACTAGCCTAGACATATGAGTCTGCTTTCTCAAATGCACGTTTTATGAATTTAGTTAATTTGTGTTTAACCATCTACATCTGTATTTAGTCAAGAATCTGTATATAGTTAATACAGATCAAGTATTTTCATTGCAAATTTAGCATCAAAATTGAGATCTGTAAAATATGTAATATGTAAAATATATAAAATAAGTGAAATTTTGAAACCAGCACTATAAATGTAGACTATCTCAGTTTTTATAATAGCTGGATATTAAAATGCTAACATCTTGGAAATTTAGCGCTAAAAAAATCATGATTTGTATTAATTTCACCTGTTCCTTTCTTGTTGCCCAGGCTGGAGGGCAATGACGTGGATCTTGGCTCACTGCAACCTCCGCCTCCTGGATTCAAGAAATTCTCCTGCCTCAGCCTGTTACAGGCATGCAGCACCACACCTGGCTAATTTTTGTATTTTAGTAGAGACGGGGTTTCATCATGCTGGCCAGGCTGGTGAACTCCCGACCACAAGGGATCTGCCTGCCTCAGCCTCCCAAAGTGCTGGGATTACAGGCATGAGCCACTGCACCTGGCCTCGTTTTTTTCTTTCTTTTTTGTTTCTGTTTTGGTTTTTTTTTTTTTTTTTTTTTTTGAGACAGGTTCTCAGTGTGTCACCCAGGCTGGAGTGCAGTGGCATGATCTTAGCAAACTGCAGCCTGACTTCCTGGGCTCAGGTGATCCTCCCACCTCAGCCTCCACAGGCACACACCACCTCACCCAGCTAATTTTGTATTTCTCTTAGAAACAGGGTTACATCCTGTTGCCCAGGCTGGTCTTGGAACTCCTGAGCTCAAGCAATCTGCCCACCTCAGCGTCCCAAAATGCTGGGAAATCCAAGAGATGGTTATTTGCATCCCAAAATGCTGGGATTATAAGCGTGAGCCACTGAGCCCAGCACTTTTTAATTTTACATAATATGGCTCCCATTCTATAAATGGGATTTTGTAAAACCCATTTGTATTTCTATTCCATCTACACAGAAAATCTTAATGGACATGGTTAAATTTGACTCTGACCCTAGGAAAGAAAATTGTACAGCCATTAAAAATCTTAAGGACCCTTTAGTGACAAAATGACATCAGACAGTGCTTACAGTATTAATATTAATAAAGGGGAAAGCAGGAATCCAACTAGTGTTCAGAAAAATCTGGAAGGATGTGCAACCCAACGTTAACCTGGAGGGTATTTGTGAGGGTGGGATGTGAGGGGAGAGTGGGGAGGGAGTTCAGATTGACTTTTCAAGAAATTTGATTCTTTTCCAGTGACCATTTTATATGCAAAGAAATCAGAAGAAAGTGCATAGAAAACAGGGCACAGTCAAAAGACAGGAAGGAAATACCGTATTTCCTTGATTCTAATTTCCTACTGCCTGCACGACGCACCTTCGACTTATTAACCACTTTTGAGGGGAAAACAAAACAAAACAGAAAAAACATTACATTAAATGTATGGACTGTTTTCTTTTTTGAGACAAGGTCTTGCTCTGTCACCCAGGCTTGAATGCAGTGGTGCGATCTCGGCGCACTGCAACCTCTGCCTCCTGGGCTCAAGCCAATTCTCCCACCTCAGCCTCCCGGGTAGCTGGGACCACAGGCACATGCCAAGCACACCAGGCTAATTTTTCTATTTTTCACCATGTTGTCCAGGTGATCGCCTCAAGTGATCCACTCGCCTCAGCCTCCCAGAGTGCTGCGATTACAGGCATGAGCCACTAGGCCTGGCCTTTAAATCTATGGATTGTAAGACAAGTCCTGGATTTCTAGAAACCAGAGTTATCTTATAATGGGAGAAATATGGTACTGGTCAAAATGTTAGCAGGTGGCATATTCTTCTTTAACACTTTCCAATTTTCTCAAATGAGCATAGCTTAACTATTTTTTCCTTTAATAAAAAAGGTGCTAGTCAACACTGCATCCTGACTTCAAGACAGATGTCAGATTCAATACAAATTATATGCACGTGACCATCAGCAAGAAAGTGGCCGGGGAAGCCAGATAGAGCTGGCACAGCCTTCGTATGCCTGCTCCTATTTTTCCAACATTCAGAGTTGAGACCAGCTGCTAGAAAGCTGGGTGGGGTGTGGGGCAGCAGGGGTGGCTGACTCTCCCAAGAAGTGGTCCCACCAGCAGAGGCAGCGGGTGCTGCCATGGGGACTCATTCCCACCTGGTTGCGTGTTGTTGGGTTTGAGGCCCTCGATCCCAGTGGGCTTGAAGCCCCCGTGGGCCCACTCCAACATGGGCTTCAGCTGGTCCTCCAATGAGTCTCCAGGGCTGCTGGGGAAGGTCTTGCCAGCTCGCACCCTAGCTTTCTGCAAAGGCAGAGTCTGTGATGAATGGGGGGGTGGGGAGGAGGTGCTCGCCAGGCCACACCCAGGGATTCCCCCAGCCAGGGCCTACATTCCCCTTCACACTGGGCCCTTTCATAGCCAGACAGCTGTCCTGGGCTGTGGTATGTGACAGAGGAAGGAGGGGCCTGTGCAGGGAGAGGCCTCGGAAGGGGGGTTGTGGTTAAATCTTTTCATGCAGGCACCAAATAGGATCTCTTCCCCCTAGGGAATGTCAGTGGTCACCTCCCACTCAAAAGGCAGACATATCAGAATTAACTCTACCACCAAGATATAGAAGCCCCAGCCAGCACTATCTCATCTCCTCTGTATCTTATATAAGGCGGCACTAGATTTCTTGTTTTATCTCCCTAAAGATGGGGACATTAACTTGTGTCCTACATGAAGGACCAAGGATTTCAGTGTCTAATGAAGCCTTTAGCAATGAGAAGAGGTTGGCTCTTAAATGCTGAACAAAGGTGGGGGGAAAAAATCAAGGTGAAGGGAGAAACAGGGTATAATGGTTCATAGGGGATAAGACGGCCCACAGATAGAAGACAGCTGGCCTCCACTGCTGTCTTGCTGTGAACTCCAACCCTCATAAGAAGGCTCTGAGGTCTCTGGAAAAGCACATTCACTGATACGAATATTGCACCCCTAACTGCCCGTGCTCTTTCCTTCTGATTCAGTTAGTGGTCCCAATAAGTGGCAGCTGGGATGTCTCAAATCCCTTTGTTGGGAGGCCCAATCCGGTGGCCATCATGTTATGTTGTCATTTACCTCCTCCCTGGCCACCCTGTCCCCTCCAAACCACCCTTGGCAACACTGAGCTAGGTTTCTGTGGGTCTCTTGCTTCATCCCTGCTCTCAGGGCTTAGCCCTCATTCCCTCATCCCATGTTACCTCCAGAGCATGGTACATGGCTTTTCGATAGGAGACGAGCTTATTGAAGGTGGCCAAATTAAAGTGCTGGCTGAACAGCCCCAGTGCCACCAGTTTGTCTGCAGAGACCTAAAAGAGAAAGACATCATCAACATCCACCTACAGGTGTGTCCCAGGTGCCATGTCTATCACAATGTTGTCCATCAGATGCAGAAGATTTTCACACACTTTAACCAAGAGACCATTCCTGGGGATAAAGTCCACAGACATCTATTTGAAAGGAAGGAAAGAAAAAAGCAGAAAAATAGAAATGGCAGAGTCTCAACACACAGATATCCAGAACCTTGTTAGGTACGACACTTCCACTGTGGAAAAGGAGGATACTCTGAATGAAGGCAATTAGGCGAACCCTGTGTTTGTATACATTTTCCAAGCAGGTGTCCCTGGTGTGGACCCCTGAGGCTCAGTCCTAATATTCTCTGTGGCTGCTCCAGCATTGAGGGTTTGCACATATTCCTTCTTTCCTAAGCATGATAATTGTTTACTCTTTACCCTTTTATTAAAATGAGTTCACCTAATGAATGTGTTTAGAAAACAGTGCTCGACACAGCACCTTTCACTTGTTGTGATTATTTAACTTTAGTTCTTGTGATTTAATCCATATTCCACAAGTCTCCTGATGTACCAAGTCCCTGGACCAAGCATGAACTGACTGAGTTGCCAGTGAGAGAGAAAATGGCCATTCAGGGATGCTAATCAGAACTGAAAGGCCAGACGTAGTGGCTCAGGCCTATATTCCCAGCACTTTGGGAGTGGGAGTTGAGAGGATCGCTTGAGCCCAGGAGTTCGACTAGCCTGGACAACACAGCAAGACCCCATCTCTACAAAAACTTTTAAGAGCCAAACACAGTGGTGTGCACCTGCAGTCTCAGCTGCTCTGTTAAGGCAGAAGGATTGCTTGAGCCCAGGTGATTGAGGCTGCAGTGAGCCAAGACAGTGCCACTGCACTCCAGCCTGGGTGACAGTGAGGACCTCATCTCTTAAAAAAAAAAAGGAACTGAAAGACACAGGGAATGTTCTAGTCTCCGTAAAGAGTGCTCACACTCATGCAAACCTCCATTTTATCACGGAATGCCTGATTTCCTATATGGGGGTGTGACCACCACTGGGGAGAAAACACTGTGGCTCTGGTGGGGGGAAACCGCTCCAACACAAGTGCTGGTTCCAGCGCCCAATAGCTCCAATACAACCCAAACAGCGTACACATGCTGAGCAGGCACTTGCCCAGGCCAGACCCAGGTCCCATATTGTCATCTCATCCCCTAATGCTGACAGCCCCACACTGCATTGTATTAGCCTCAGACTCTATCTTGCAAAGTGCATTTTATGTCTCGATGGGGCAAAGCAATTGCAAACAATCCATCTTCCTTCACTTGAGTTACTGCTCTCCCATCCCTGGAAGCAGCTGCCTCACTGCCAGCATGGGCCCAGGACTTGTCCTCCCTCTGCTGGTCACAGCAGGCAACTGCATGCAGGGGCTCTCCTACAAAGGAGACTCCACACCCAATATATTATTGTAGCCCTTGGGAAACTTCAATTAGCTCATGGCAAATGGCCCCATGGTAGCTCAATTCCTGGGAAAAACAGAATCTCTGCTTGAGCTGAATCCCAGGAATGTACAGTCCTTCCTTCAATCCTGCCTGGCTTGCTTCTGCTGCAACTTGCCCAATGACCTTAGGCACCTAACTTAGCCTCTCTCAGGGCTCTGAGGGTAGGACTAACATTTACTTCTAAGAGACCATCACAGGATAGGTCTGTCTGATTAAAATCTTTGTTGAGGCCAGGCGTGGTGGCTCCCGCCTGTAATCCCAGCACTGGGAGGCCGAGGCGGGTGGATCATCTGAGGTCAGGAGTTGGAGACCAGCCTGGCCAACATGGTGAAACCCAGTCTGTACTAAAAATGCAAATATTAGCAGGGTGCGGTGGCAGGTGCCTGTAACCCCAGCCACTCAGGAGGCTGAGGCAGGAGAATTGTTTGAACCTGGGAGGCGGAGGTTGCAGTGAGCCAAGATCGCACCACTGCACTCCAGTCTGGGCAACAGAGTGAGACTCCATTCTCACCGCCCCCAAAAAAATCTTTGTTGAAAGAGTGTAAGAATCAAAACAGCCTAGTTATGCCCAACACAGCTCTTCCCCAGCTAAATGTCATTACCAAGAAAGATTTTAAAAGGCTAGAATCAATCATCAAGAGACTCTGAAATACCCAATTCTACTAAAAACCCTTTTCACAACTGATACCAGGTGACCCTAAACCCAACTCCATGCCTTTCTCTCCCCAGGGCTAAATGACAAGAGGCCGCGGCCATGCTTCCGGTCTCTTCCAGGCTTCTCCACTGAACACTTTTGGGTACTTGCTCACGTGGCCACTCCTGGCCCCTCAGAGTCCACACTGATGATTCTGCCCCCAAAAGATAAATCTAAGAAATAACATAAAATCCAACTGCCCATGGATCCAGAACTTTCTAGCACTTTTGTCCCCCGTGTGAGTGGAATCTGCTGTAGCTGGTTAACACAGGAAGTTTTGTCCTTCCTCCCAGACAGTGTGAAGGCATAGGCTCACACATCTGCAGAATACAATCCCAGGCCTTTGTCTTCAAAGGGAGGCAGGCAGGCACAGCCTCAGGCCTGCAGAACCCCTTGCCCTTCCCCGGACTCACCTCGGAGAACTTGCCATCGCCAAACCACTGGACCCACCGCATGCCAGACATAGCCTGTCGCTTGGAGGTGGCCTTCCAAGACACCACCATGGCGGGCCACCAGGAGAAGCCCTTGATCTTTCCCCACACGAGGTCCCCTATTCCAAACTCCTTCCCATCCTGGAAGAAAACCCACATGAAGAAATCCCAGTGAGGAGAGGCCATCCTGGGCCAAGTCCTGTCCACTCCACTGTCCCTGAGGGCAACAAAAAGCTTGCCATAAAATGCAAGATGTAGCCAGACACCGTGGTTCATGCCTGTAATTCTCAGTACTTTGGGAGACCGAGGCAGGGGGATCGCTTGAGGCCAGGAGTTGGATACCAGCCCGGGCAACACAGCAAGACTCCATTTCCACAAAAGAATTTATAAAGTAGCTGGGCTTGGTGGTGCACGCCTGTAGTCCTAGCTACTCAGGAGGCTGAGATAGGAGGATCGCTTGAGGCCAGGAGTTTGAGACTAGCCTGGGCACCATAGTGAGATCCCTTCTATACAAAGTAAAATGTAATAATGGACATAGAAAAAAGGGATCCTAACAACACATAAATACATACATGTGTAAGGAGTCTTCGTGCAGCAATGCTTGAATAAGCATAAACAACCTGAATCGGTTAATTAAGCTATGACCCAGACCACTGGATTTATTATCCAGACATGAACCTCAGGCAACTCTAGTTCTTAATAGAAGAAAAAAGCAAGTCTACAAAGGTATCATACGTACAATATATACAGTATGTGCACTCTGATGAACAGAATCACAATATGTATTGTCAGGCCTCTGAGCCCAAGCCAAGCCATCGCATCCCCTGTGACTTGCACGCATCCCCTGTGACTTGCACGTTTAAGCCCAGATGGCCTGAAGTAACTGAAGAATCACAAAAGAAGTGAATATGCCCTGCCCCACCTTAACTGATGACATTCCACCATAAAAGAAGTATAAATGGCCGGTCCTTGCCTTAAGTGATGACATTACCTTGTGAAATCCCTTTTCCTGGCTCCTCGTGGCTCAAAAAACTCCCCCACTGAGCACCTTGAGACCCCCACTCCTGCCCGCCAGAGAACAAACCCCCTTTGACTGTAATTTTCCTTTACCTACCCAAATCTTAGAAAATGGCCCCACCCCTATCTCCCTTCGCTGACTCTCTTTTGGACTCAGCCCACCTGCACTCAGGTGAAATAAACAGCTTTATTGCTCACACAAAGCCTGTTTGGTGGTCTCTTCACACGGGCGTACATGAAATGTATAACGTACGCAGTTGCAGTCCTTACATAAATGTCATGTTGGGAAAAACCACAGTATTCACGTGGTAAATACTGGCATTTGACTTATGTCTGGGAGAGGATTAAGGTAAAGAAAGGTCCGTGGTGCATATGGAAGATACTTAGAATTCAAACATGTCAATTATTACAATTACGAAACTTCTAACAACTGTTGTCGCTCTGTTACCAACAGTAGCAGGTAACTGGTTTTTCCCCGTGTTCAGGGTCCTCAGTCACCCTGGGCAGGAGCCCCTCTCGGCCATACCTGATACTCTGAACTGTCTCCATCTCCACTGTCTGCCTCCACCTGCGGGGACTCCATGCCCCCCTGCTGGCTGTCCTGGGCTAGGCGGGCGTAGGGGGTACTGCTGCTCTGGGGCGTCCCATGTGTGTCCTCTGTGTCGTCTGTGAGGTCGATGGTAAGGTAAGAGCTGGGAGGGGACGGCCATGGCGTTCCTGCCGATGCTGTTGCCCGCCGTCTCAGGGACTGTGGACAGAAGGACACATAGTTTGGGCCAGAGCAAAGGATGTCGGTGACCAGAGACCAACGGCACCCCCATATGGCTCCTAGGCAAAAAGAAAGAGGAAAGACTGAAGTTAAAGAGAACAGAGACCGCTGAAGAAACTTTTCCAGGAACACGTATCCCTTAAGGGGGGAGAAAGTCATTGTAACTGTCCCAGAGACAGAAAGATGACAAAGGCACAAATGATGGGTAATGACGAGGGACTCTCAGAGAGTGAAATGTTGCCATACCCGCTAGGGTTGCCTCAAGACAGGTGAAGAAGACATGAGGGAGAAGACAGTTCTGGATGTCAGTGTTTTCTACCTTGTTTCCAAGTTAGAGCAAGAACCAAGTCAACAGGGAAAGCTTCCATTCCCAACAGAGTGTCATCTGAGATCAGACCAGGAGAGAAGCCAACAGGCTTACGGGAAGCTTACCCAGGAGAGAAAAGAAAAAGCAAGAACCTGAAAAGCAGTGTGAAAAAAGGACACAGATTATCTACCAGCCACAACCAGTAGTGCAGTGAGTGAGGCATATCTCCCAGTTAGAGACTGCGGGCAGGGGTCTGGGCATCTGGGGAACCAACCCTGGTAGCCGGGAACTCCACGGGGGACTCGTCCACATGGTTGCGGCCCTGCCGGCCTCGGGTGGAACGTGGGGAAGGCCTGTGCCTCTCCCGGCTGGAGACACTGTTGTTATTTCGAGTTCGGACCTAGAAGCAAGAGAGGACACTCACTGGGCCTTAGGTGACTGGAGGCCTGGGGTCTGGCGGGGCCAGAAGGATTAGGCCTTCAGGTGGCCAAGGAGACCTGGTAGCCAGCTTCAGGACAACTGGAAGTGAACAGGTGATGAGGTGGGACTCTGGACTGAGTCCAGCCAGAATTCCCCAGTTCTTGGAATAGAGGTGGTAGGGTGGCCAGCTAGGATGCCCGACAATTCCCAGCAGGTCCTGCTCTGCCTGTCACAGCAGACAGACATGGCCAGCTGAAATGGCACCTGCCAATTGGGATTGAAAAATAAAAATCTGGCCAAGCGCAGTGGCTCGCTCATGCCTGTGATCCCAGCACTTTGGGAGGCCAAGGCGGGCAGATCACTTGCAATCAGAAATTCAGGATCATCCTGGATAAAATGGTGAAACCCCATCTCTACTAAAAATGCAAAAATTAGCCAGGCATGGTGGTGGGTGCCTGTAGTCACAGCTACTCAGGAGGCTGAGGCAGGAGAATCACTTGGACCAGGGAGGCAGAGGTTGCAGTGTGCTGAGATCACGTCACTGCACTCCAGCCTGGGCAACACAGTGAGACTGCATCTCAAAAAAAAAGAAAAAAAAAGAAAGAAAGAAAGAAAGAAAAATTCGTGTTCACTCTAAAATAAACTTTTATGTCAAAGAAGCATAAGGCCAATTACTGGGTTCAGGAAGGCACCAGATCATCAAGATGGAATAGAATTCCTTAGGCTCCATGTTCATTGTCAAAAATGGCATGAATTTGGTTGTTGCAGAACCTGTGTCCAAATTATGCATAGAAGAGTTGATGTTTAACCTCAGTTAAGTTGCTGGAATCTTCTCTCATCTCCACAAAGGGGATGATACAGACCATATCCTGGGAAGGGAAGACTGTAACCCACACCTGGGATAGTAACTGTCAGTCTGGTCTCTAAAGGGCTGGGTGACCATAAGCAATAACTGCCTTCCCATTGCCATACCTCAAAACTCTGAGGCACAAAATCCACCCACAGAAATGGTGGACTCCCTAGGTCATTAGCAGCTGAGCCATCCACCCTGCAAACTCTATCACCCCTAGGCACCTCCAAGAGTGTTACAAGAAAGAACTTAAAAACCACCTGAAAGAAATGGCACATAGAGAAAACCTTCCAGCCGGGCGCAGTGGCTCACACCTGAAATCCCAGCACTTTAGGAGGCCAAGGTGGGTGGATCACCTGAGGTCAAGAGTTCGAGACCAGCCTGGCCAACATGGTAAAACTTCATCTCTACTGAAAATACAAAAACTGGCCGGGTGTGGTGGTAGGTGCGTGTAGTCCCAGCTACTTGGGAGGCTGTGGCAGGAGAATCACTTGGACCAAGGAGGCAGAGGTTGTTGCAGTGAGCTAAGATCACGCCATTGCACGCCAGCCTGGGCAACACAGTGAGACTCCGTCTCAGAAAAAAAAAAAGAAAAAAGAAAACCCTCCAACAATAGTCCAAGAGCCTTGCTTATATTTTCTAGTTTCAAAACATTTTTTCATCACTTTCTCTTAAAAGCTCCCCTAAGGAGCTATGCTATGTATGTAGCATGCTATGTATGCTATGTAGAGTGTTGGCCACAAGTGCTTTGGCTCGAGGTGTGGCTACTTACAGCTGGGCTTTCTGAACGAGTCCTGGTTTCCCGGAAGAGCTTTGGCATGACTGGGGTGTCAGAGCCATCCCCATCTTCCCCGTCGCCATCGCCTGTCAAGTCCTTTATAAGGAAACATGATGAACATGATGAAGACCCCAGGGTATCAGCAAGTCAAAGAAACAAGGCACCTGCAATATGAAAGACTGATCGCCTGTGCCTGGCAGGGAGACCGGGTCACTCATCACAACACACTGCATATGGGTGCAGACACAGACCAACCACGACAGATGCCCCGGAAGCAATGGCATGAAACCTGCACCATGTCATCAGGGCTTCCTCG
Organism: Homo sapiens; assembly: GCF_000001405.40. Taxonomy (NCBI): domain Eukaryota; kingdom Metazoa; phylum Chordata; class Mammalia; order Primates; family Hominidae; genus Homo; species Homo sapiens. Next base: position 32,784,537 of record NC_000020.11, on the reverse strand, counting down.
TGCAGGCCTCACACCTCACACCAAAACCCAGCATAAGCCAAACACAAAAGCTGAAGCAGCGAGCAGCTAGGTCTGGCTGGAGTGTTAAGCACTTGCCTTCACTCACCAACTGTGTGGCTTTGAGTCCATTTCCCTCATTTTAAAATTGGAATAACAGTACTTCCCTCATAGCACAACAGGGTTACATCAAGAATCAAATAATATGCAGGGTGTGGTGGCTCATACCTGTAATCCCAACACTTTGGGAGTCTGGGGCAGACTGAGGTCACCTGAGGTCACCAGACCAGCCTGGCCAAGATGGTGAAACCCCATCTCTACTAAGAATACAAAAATTAGGCCAGGCGTGTAATCCCAACACTTTGGGAGGCCGACGCGGGTGGATCACCTGAGGTCAGGAGTTCAAGACCAGCCTGGCCAATATGGCGAAACCCTGTCTCTACTAAAAATACAAAAATTAGCAGGGCATGGTGGCATGTGCCTGTAATTCCAGCTACTCATACTCAGGAGGCTGAGGCAGGAGTACCGCTTAAACCTGGGAGGTGGAGGTTACAGCGAGCCGAGATCGCGCCACCGCACTCTAGCTTGGGGAACAAGAGTAAGACTCCATCTCAAAAAAAAAAAAAAATACAAATACAAATACAAAAGTTAGCTGGGCATGGTGGTGCACGCCTGTAAGCCCAGCTACTTGGGAGGCTGAGGCAGGAAAATTACTTGAACCTGGGAGGCGGAGGTTGCAGTGAGCCGAGATCGTGCCATTGCACTCCAGCCTGGGCGACAGACTGGAGACTCTGTCTCAAAACAAAACAAACAAACAAAAAGAAACGTGTGGGCAAGAGATTTCATTACTGTTTCTGGTAACTAGCTACCAGAAACAAAACAGCAGTGCTGAGCCTCTGATCCTGCAGCTGCCCTAATTCCTCCCAGGGCTTAGGTTCCCCACCTTCTGAGTCCCCTAAGTAGGTTGGCCACCACCAAGAGAATGGAAGCTGAGGGTGAGTTTTCATTGCCCAGGACTTTTATGACTGATACTGGCTCTGAGCAAAACCAACCCAATTGACAAACTCTACTAAGAATAATTAGGAAACAGACGGTGTCAGTAAAGGAAGGAACACAAAACAAGATGGGAAAGATCCAACCTTGGAAAAGTAAATGAAGTAGAAAGCTTGATAATGTAGCAAGTCTTAGAAGATATAATTGTTTGAAATTCATTAAAATAAGCTTAGACAAGTTTCTTCCAGCTTGTAAAAAAAATTCCTTGAGCCCACCTAATCCTAACATCAAAACCATAGATATATTTAAAGAAATAAAATGGGCCAGGTATGGTGGCTCACACTTGTAATCCCAGCACTTTGGGAGGCCGGGACAGGTGGCTCACTTGAGGCCAGGAGTTCGAGACCAGCCTGGCCAACATGGTGAAACCCCATCTCTACTAAAAATACAAAAAAATTGGCTGGGTATGGTGGTCCATTGCCTGTAGTCCCAGCTACTCGGGAGCCTGAGGCAGGGGAATCGCTTGGGCCTGGGAGGCAGTAAGTTGCAGTGAGCAGAGATCATGCCATTGCACTCCAGCCTGGGCAACAGACTTCATCTCAAAAATAAATGAATAAAAAAAAATACCCATTTCATTCATGAATACATGAATAAAATCAACTTCAAAATGCACCATAACCAAGTTGGACTCATTCCAGGAATAAAAAGACAGTTTGCTATACAGTAGTCTCCCCTTATCCAGGGGGGATACATGCAAGACCCCCCATGGCTGCCTGACACCTTGGAAGATGGAACCCTATATGTGCTCTGTTTTTGTCTATATCTACATACCTATGATAAAGTTTAATTTATAAATTAGGCACAGATTAACAACTAATAATAAAATAGAGCAATTACAATATACTGTTAATAAAAGCCATATGAATGTGGTTTCTCTCTCAAAATATCTTCTTGTACTCTATTCAGGGTTAATCTGTCCTTCCATGGTTTATGACCTAGTGTCTTCCTCCTTTGCACTTTTATGAAGGTAGGTTCTATTAGACATCATCTTCTGGAGGAGTCTGGTTTCACTGCAGTCTTAGTTTTGGATTGTTTCCTTTCTCAATCAACTTCAACTCTTCTGAAAATGTAGCAGCAGGTTTTTCATTGGCAAATGCAGCCTCTCCAGTCATTTTTATAGTTTTCAGTAGAAACCTATTCTTGAATCTATGTAACCATCCCTTACTTGAAGTAAATGGTTTGGTGTCAGGGGATCCCTTGCTATAGGCTCAATGCTCCCTGGCACAAAGCACTGCTGTCAATCAGAACATATTTCTGTTCATGTCTTCCACCTACAAATTTAATGCCTTTCCCATCTTAACTACACACTTATCACACAACATGGCCATAACTTTTGCAGTTTGAGGTGCAACAGTAAAACTAGCATGCATTTATTTTTCCTTCTTCATGATTTCACGGCTGGAAGATTTGTTCTTACCACAGATCTAACAACTTCAGCATATGATTTCTTCTTTCCTTTTTGAGAACTTTCACTTTTTCACTTAAAGGAAACACTTCATGGCTTCTCTTTGGCATAACTGAATTGCCAGCGTCATCACTCCTGCACTTTGGAGCCGTTATTAAGTAAAACAAGCACTACTTGAACACAACCACTGTGATACTGCAACTGATCTGATCACGGAGACGGCTACAAGTGACTAACAGGCAGGTAGCACCTAAGCATAGAGATGTTGGACAAAGACAGGACTGATCCTGGGCAGGACGGAGCAGGACAGTGCAAGATTCCATCATGCTACCAGAATGGCACTCAATTTAAAATGTATAAATTGTTTATTTCTGGGATTTACCATTTAATATTTTCCATTTAATACTTTCAGACGGCAGTTGACTGCAAGCAACTGAAATCGTGGAAAGCAAAATGACAGATAAGAGGGGACTACCATATTAGAGATTTAGCAATGTAACTGATCGTCCAGATTGAAAAAATAATGCCAAATATATGCAGAAAGCATCTAGCTCGGCAACCCTCCATACATTTGCAGATGCCAGTTTTTATGGGCCTCAGGCAGCCCACGTGATGAAAGCCAAAGACAAAGTCCCTGAGCCCTGAAAAAGGGAGAGCAGAGACCATACCTGTGTGTAGCTTAGCAGACTGGACACCTCCCTCTTGGAGAGTCGCGAGCTTGATCTTCGGCCTGTAGAGGAAACAGCCAGGAGTCTGTTTTGTGGGGGCAGGCACCAGTCTGGGGAACGGCCTTGCTAATAGGGGCTTTTCTCCGTGGCGTGGCCTGGGATCTCCCCTACACTATTGTCAGCCACAGGGATTTGCTCTCAGTCCGTCAGTATCGTTCATCTTCTCCACTGATTTTATTCCTAAGACAACAGAGCCCTGGGCCAGGCACGTGACAGGACCCAAACCAACACTGAAGTTACCAAGGGGAGCCCTCCGATTCCTTCCAGCAGGGTGCTGCCCATCCAGGGACCACTAACTACATTTCCAGGAACAATTCACTGCCTGCTGTGTCAGCCGCTTCTCAAGTGCTCCCATGTAGAGTGTGGCTATTGTGGGGAACAATGCAGAAATAGAACCCTTTCACGCTCGCAGGAAGTTCCATGGGATGGCACAGCTGAGAGGACAATGCAGGGCTTTCCAACCCAGCTGGGGCGGGATCCCAAGTGAGCTGGCTGGAGCTGCTCAGGGCAGGGTGGAAAGGAAGCACACTCCAGACCTCCCCCTCCCAACCCCAGCCCAGCTCTGAGTGGGGAGAGGGTCCCACTGCAGAAGGGCTCTCCAAGGGCCCATGCTGAGACCACCCCTGTCATGACTGGCAGAGGACAGGGAACCATCACCCTTGTGTCACGCTCAGAGTCCCAGCTGAGATGAGAGTCCCAAAGGGGAGGCCAAGGGCTGCGGGCAGGTGTGAAGGGCTCGACCCTGCATCCCTCCTTGCTAGAGCTCTCTTCCCTCCCGGGGAATTGTGGTGGAGGTTGTCAGAGACTCTCCCCAAAGCCTCCAGTTGTCTGCAGTGACCGCTCACTATGTCAGCGCCTGACACCACCCCAGTCCCCACTGCCCAGCCACCTCTGATCTCCGGGGTGCGGATAGCCTCCAGGATTGGGGGCGAGTCGGAGGACTGGTCGCTGCAGGCCCCGTTGACGAGGATCGAGTCTTCCCTCCCGCCGGCGTCCTCCTCTCCATTGAGATGCCTGGTGTCTCCCTTCATGCTTTCCTGTGGGAGAAGCCAGAATGGGTGGGGTGAAAGGGAAGCAGGGACATGAGAGGGACAGTGTTCCCCCGCCATGGGCTCTGTGTTCTCAGGCCAAGGCCCCAGGATGCATTCTTAGGGTGATGCTCTTGCCCAAGTACCCCACCCAGGCTGCCCCCCATAGCCTCCCCCTCACCAAGCTTGGAGGCTCAGGACTTGGTTCCATGTGGACAGGCTGTCCCGAAGGCTCAGACGCCAGCACCCAGGACAGAGTGGGGAGGCCAGGGCTGGGGTCTCAGGCTCAGACTGCTCTGTGCAATTAGCCGGCCCCTTCAAACAATGCCATTTAGGACCTGCCTGTCCCGGCCCGTCTGCCGCCAGCCTCTGTCCCCTCTGGCCCTGGCCCCCTCTCCCTGCTCAGCCTCTGCAGGGGCTCAGGAAGCCAGTGCATTATTTTCCCTCCTGACCCCTTTGTTTGCTCTCTCCCTTCCCCTCAATCTCCAGGTCCTCTTCCCACCCACCCCCTCCTCCCCCACAGAACCGCTTCTCTCCTCTCCATGGCAGCACAAGCCCCGCCTCACCCCATCCTCCAGGGCCCATTGGTCTGCTGGCCTGTCGCTCACTCCCCTCCTCCCTCACCAGCTGGGGCTCAGAGTCCCAAGTTCCCAAGGAGGGAAGGATGGAGGCACAGGCAGAAAGCCTGGGGGCAGTTACCAGGAGGGGGACTCCCCAGATCCATTGTAGCCTCACCCTCACCTCTGGGACTTGGCCTCCCCACTGCTGCCCCTCCTGGTCAGGTAAATCAGCTAACACACAGGGCCAGGGCCATACGGATGGGTTGGCAGGCTATAACCTCTGGGCTGGCCCATTGCCTGCAACATTATGGGCACACAGATTTTGTTGGATGCAACAACCTGTATCTCCCCCTAGGGAGACTGGGGAGCTCACCTTCTAGAAAAAGAAAACTGACATCCAGACTAGGTTATTCTCCAAGGTCATATAGCCCATCTAAGAGGTAGGGCCAGGATTAGATAGAGAACGAGTAAAAAACTTCAGGGCATAAATCCCCGCTGAAACCGAGTTTTCCAAGTCACTTGCCTTTGCTTTTTGTTCCACCTTTGGTTGGCAAAAATATTATAAAAGCCTAGGCATAATGAGACCTCCAGGCCCCCATCCCTGAACCACAAACAGCTCCAGGTCACTCACACCACACCCTTGTGTCCTGGAACCGTGCCTGGGAAAAGCTTCCCCAATAAGCTGCTGCCATATGCACCGGGCCTCCCTGCCTCGGGCTCCATCGTGGAGACATACCAGCCCCTGCCAGACAACCCGTGCTAGCCTCGCAGTTTATCTTCTATCTGTCCATCCATCCATCCATCCATCCATCCATCCATCCATCTATCTTAGAGACAGGGTCTCACTTGGTCACCCAGGCTGGAGTGCAGTGGCGTGATCACGGCTCCCTGTAGGCTTCAACTCCCAGGGCTTCAGTGATCCTCCAGCTGGGCCCACAGGTGTGTGCCACCAGGTGTGGCTAATTTTTTGTAGAAACAGAGTCTGGCTATGTTGCCCAGGCTGGCCTCAAACTCCTGGCCTCAAGGGATCCTCCCACCTCAGCATCTCAAACCAGGGTACCTTCTAGAAGCCACACCTTGTATTGCGGGCTCCAAGCTGCACTGGCGCCACTGGCATCGCCCACCAGGGGGCACCGTGAGCTCAGTCTGATGAGCCCAGTGGCGCCCCCAGGCAGAGGTGCAATCTGTGGTGAGAGCTCCCAATTCCAGACCCTGCACCTGCCCATGGCATGGGGCAACTGGACCTCTGCTGCTACTCCCTGTGTGGCCCAGGAGCCACGCAGGCTACAGTACCATGAACTGAGAGCTGCTTGGAAGAACTGTTGGAAGTGGGAGCTGGCTGGAGAAATCTCCACCACTAAGCTAGATGTCCTGAAGCAGGGTTTTCATTTTTTTTTTTTTTGAGACAGAGTCTCCCTCTGTCGCCAGGCTGCAGTGCAGTGGTGCGACCTCCGCCAGGCTGGAATGCAATGGCACGATCTCAGCTCACCGCAACCTCTGCCTCCCAGGTTCAAGCGATTCTCCTGCCTCAGCCTCCTGAGTAGCTGGGATTACAGGCATGCGCCACCACGCCCAGCTGATTTTTGTATTTTTAGTAGAGACAGGTTTCACCATGTTGGCCAGGATGGTCTCGATGTCTTGTCCTCGTGATCTGCCCACCTCAGCCTACCAAAGTGCTGGGATTACAGGCGTGAGCCACCACACCCGGCCTGAAGCGGGATTTTCACAAGACATTTTAACACACACAAGTCATGCCTAGGTGATTAATATGCATGTTAAAGCAGCATTGTTCAGATTATAAACATGTGCGCTGATACATAACACATAGGCTTTCTGTGCTTCACATGATCCAGAGTGTGTATCAGCACCTGTTAAGGAATTTCCCCTACCAAGGACAAGGGACGTGCCTGAATCAGACCAATCAGCTGCTTCTCAGCCCTTTTTCTCCCAAGCCCTGACCCGGAAGAACAGGCTGGCTGACCTATGGCCAGTTCCTATGAGACAAAGCAGTCAGAATCCCAGGAAAGCTGCTGCGGTGTCGGTTCAGAATAATCATTAATTTCAAGCGTTTCACCTCAGGCCAAATCAGTGAACTAAGTAACCTAGTGGGCCTGGCATAGAGTGGGAGGTGGGGCTACCTGGTGTACCTGGTGTCTCCAGGAGGGTCCACCTCCCCAAAGTGCTCTGGGGGGAGGACACACAGGGTTTGTTTGTGGCCAGGAGCTGGTAGCAGACCAGAGGCCTGGAGTGAAGGATGTGACCTCCTTCGCCTTCATCCAGGGCCTGGGGTTCTAATGTGTGCTGGGTTTCGCAGGCAACATTGAACCCCATTCCTCAGACAGGCCCTAACTGGGTCAACAAGAAGCCAGACAGGAGTCTCACCTCCTAGACAGACCCAGGCTGACAATGATTAACCACCCTGGGCCTTCCCCCAGGGCCTCAGCAGTGCCAACTGGCCACCAGCCTACCCAACGTGTGGGCAGCACACCTTCCAAAACCCATATCTCAACATTCAGGAAAAGCCTCAAGCCCCTAGAACAAGACCTGTGGGTACTGGAGAGACAGTCCAGGAAGAAAACCCACAATAAATGGCACTAGCTACCTGGGTGTCCCCCAGGAGCAAGCTGAGCACTTATATATGCTTTCTTCTCGTTGCATAATTCAATGTGATTTCATTTAAAATTCCTTCTGTTTTTATCACGACCCTACGTTTGTAGTGAAATTAACTACCCTCATTGCCTTATAGCCACAGCTGTGTAGACAGCGCACACCAACTTCAGAACCTGCACCCATGACTAAAGATGCCCAGCTCAGTTCCTCCCCCACCCCGCTTCAGTCTACACGCAGGCCAAGACAATCTAGCCTCGAGGCATGTGCTGCTGTGTTCTCTCAGCCTGGAAGCCCTCCCCAACTCCCTACACCTCCTGCTTCCTTTCTCAGACCTCAAAACCCACAGCTCAAAATCCAGGAATAAAAGCTTCTCTCCTAGGCCTTTCTTCCCACATATATAAATATATAAAAATCCCCCCAATAAGGTCATCTTTTTTTCAGTGTTACTATGTGTCAGGCACTGTTTTGGCTTTACTTATCTTAACTCATTTAACCTTTAAATGTGGTAAGTACTGTTATTCCTGTTTTGCAGATGGAGAAACCAAGACAGAGACTGACATACTACCTCCTTGATCAATATATAGGGAAAGTAAATAACATACAAATTTAACTACATGTTCTTAGAATCAGGACAAGAGAAATTAAATTAGCATCAGGTGTGTACCAGTGGATACAAATCTCCCCCACCTCTTTTCTATGTATCTCACTGACTTCATGATTCAAGGCTGGCATTTCCAGATAACATGGCCCCCATCACAAGCCAACTGCTTTATCTAATATGACCTATCCAGAGTGGCAGACATGCTGGATTTAGAACTGCATCATCCCACACTGCCACTGTAACATTAAGTAGCTAACAGTTCCCAGGGCCCTACTTACTGTAGGCTGAACACTGTCTACCACCATGGATTTTTTTTTTTTTTTCTTTTTTTAAGATCAAGTCTCTGTCACCTGGGCTGGAGTGCAGTGGCGCGATCTCGGCTCACTGCAACCTCCACCTCCCGGGTTCAAGCGATTCTCCTGCCTCAGCCTCCCGAGTAGCTGGGATTACAGACTTGCACCACCATGCCTGGCTAATTTTTGTATTTTTAGAAGAGACGTGGTTTCACCATGTTGGCCAGGCTGGTCTCAAACTCCTGACCTCAGGTGATCTACTCGCCTTGGCCTGGGATTACAGGCGTGAGCCACTGCACCCAGCCTGTCTGCCACCTCCTTTAACCCCCACCCCATCCTGGGGCAGGTCTTATTATCCCCCTGCCTTCAACAGACTCAGATGAGTTAAGTCACCCAGAGAAGTGGCAGTGCCAAATCTCATGCCCAGGCAATCCAGGGCACGTGCCTGGAATTGCCGTAACTGAGACAAGACAGACAAGAATTACAGAAGTTATGAACAATGAATGCATCACCCATCCCAGGGATGAAGGGAGCTTCGTGGCTGGGACATGATATACCAGCTGAGCGTTTCCCTTCACAGGAGGTGGCTGCCTAACCTTGTGATGAGAGGTGAACTCTGACCCTTTCCCAGAGGCTGGGGTCCAGCGTGTGATTCAGAGTGGGCAGCAGTGCTGGGTGGGCCCACCCACAAGCTTCTCCCCGAGGGGCCTTCCTCATTAGTGCAGCAGGGTGCCTGTGCCCCGACTGAACCAGGTCAGATGTACTCAAATGCAATGTGGCAGACAGAGGGGTAGGTGGCAACCCCCAATTAGACTCAGAGGAGGCTCAGGGACTCGCCCCAACCCAGCAGTAATGCTGAGAACTGATGTCACTCACTTCCTCCAGGCTGATACCAGCAGCAGAGCTGTTTCAGAGCACTTCGTAAATGTTAATTGCATTAATTAAACCTCACAATGCAGGAAGGGGGGTCACTTTGGTATCTGCCCCAACCCCTGGGGTGCAGTAAAAAATTAAAAACTAAAATCCTACATTCAGTGGAGAGTATTGATTTAAAGAAAAAATAAATAAAAATTCCACCTCCACAGCCTATGTTAGAGAAATCTAGGGCCAGGTGCAGTGGCTCAAGCCTGTAATCCCAGCACTTCGGGAGGCTGAGGCAGGTGGACCACCCGAGGTCAGGAGTTCAAGACCAGCCTGGCCAACATGGTGAAACCCCATCTCTACTAAAAATAAAAAAATTAGGCCAGGCGCGGTGGCTCACGCTTGTAATCCCAGCACTTTGGGAGGCTGAAGCGGGTTGATCACTTGAGGCCAGGAGTTCGAGACCAGCCTGACCAACATGGTGTAACCAGTCTCTACTAAAAATACAAAAAAAAATTAGCCGGTCGTGGTGGTGGGCGCATGTAATCCCAGCTACTCAGGAGGCTGGGCAGGATAATCACTTGAACCCGGGAGGCGGGGGTTGCAGTGAGGTTGAGATCGTGCCACTGTACTCCAGCCTGGGCGACAAGGGGGAGACTCCATCTCAAAATAGAAAAGAAAAAAGACAAGACAAGACAAGACAAGACATGGGAGACCCCAAAAAGACGGGAGGATGGGAAGGAGCAAGGGTTGAAAAATCACCTATCAGGTACAACGTTCACTCTTTCGGTAATGGATACACCAGAAGCCCAATCCCCACCAGTAAGTAATAAACCCATGCAACAAACAAGCACATGTACTTCTTGAATCTAAAAAAAAAAAAAAAAAAAAAAGGCCAGGCGCGGTGGCTCAGGTCTGTAATCCCAGCACTTTGGGAGGCCGACGTGGGCAGATCACGAGGTCAGGAGCTCGAGACCATCCTGGCTAACATGATGAAACCCCGTCTCTACTAAAAACACAAAAAATTAGCCGGGCATGGTGGTGAGCACCTGTAGTCCCAGCTACTCCGGAGGCTGAGGCAGGAGAATGGTGTGAACCTGGGAGGCAGAGCTTGCAGTGAGCGGAGATAGCACCACTGCACTCCAGCCTAGGTGACAGAGCGAGACTCCGTCTCAAAAAAAAAAGAAAAAAAAGACACCATAAAACAATGCAGTAAGTAAGCCCAGGGAGGGACACCACACCTAGGTGAAGTAGAGAGCGGGAAGGATCCAGGCAGCAGGGACAGCACATCCAAAGGAAAGGGGGCCAGACTCAGGCTGTCCACACTGGCGGCGGCAGCAGAACACATGACAGAACACAAGGTCCCAGTACTGTGCTTTTGCTCTGTCTGATAAGGAACTTACCCTAAATTCCAGAAAACATCAGATTTACAGGAAAGCGTAAAAAAAAAAAAAAAAAAAAAAAAAACCACTGCCGGGCGCAGTGGCTCATGCCTGTTAATACCACCACTTTAGGAGGCCAAGGCTTGAGCTTGGGCTCAGGAGTTCAACGCCAGCCTGGGCAACACAGCAAAACCTCTTCTCTATTAAAATATTTCTTAAAATTAGCTGAATGTGTCGGCCTGCCCCTGTAGTCCTAGCTACTCGCCTGTAGTCCCACCTCCTCGGAGGCTGATGGGGAATGATCACCTAAGCCTCGGAAGTTGAGGCTGCAGTAAAGCTATCGTCATGCCACTGCACTCTAGGCCCAGTGACAGCACAAGACCCTGTTATAAAAAAAAAAAAAAAAAGCCCAATATTTCTCTCAAACCCCAGTTTTATAATCTGTGAAATAAAGTAACCCACCCAATTCACTGGGAAGTTGGTACCAAGGACCCCTACATAGATGACACAGTCATGATACCTGAAGTCACTTATTCTCATGTGCCATCTGGCTACCCACCACAGCACCACACCACAGGGCCAATCAAGAAGTATCCACCCCATCACCCTCCACAATTCAGAATGCGTTTGGGGAATTGCTCAGTGCCTCTAGGTCATGAGTACATGTACCACTGTCATCCTACAGTAGAAGCTGGGCCCTTGGCATAGTAAGCAGAATTATCAGAAGAGTGTGTCCATACAAAAAATAAACTAGGCGTGGTGGCACACACCTATAGTCCCAGCTACTCAGGAGGCTGAGGCAGGAGAATCGCTTGAACCCGGGAGGTGGACGTCGCAGTGAGCCACTGCACTCCAGCCTGGGCAACAGTACAGGCTCAGGCTCCCTCTCAAAAAAAAAAAAAGCCAGGCACAGTGGCTCACGTCTGTGATCCCAGCACTTTGGGAGGCCGAGGAGGGCGGATTACATGAGGTCGGGAGTTCAAGACCAGCCTGACCAACATGGAGAAACCCCGCTCTCTACTAAAAATACAAAATTAGCCGGGGTGGTGGCACATGCCTGTAATCCCAGCTACTCGGGATCGTGCCATTGCACTCTAGCCTGGGCAACAAGAGCGAAACTCCATCTCAAAAAAAAAAAAAAAAAATGTGTCCAAACAGGGAAAAACCAGACAAGTGGCTATCTGCAGACTGTGCATGACACCAAAATATACTCAGATGTTTGTCAACGCACTGGAATAAAATAATGTCATTACCTTTTAGATAAGTAACAGGAAAAAAAAAACTAGGACCATAAAGATCTGAAAAGATATGACAGTAACTTTAGAGTCTAAACTTTTTGCCCTTTATACAGAAATCACAAACACCCAGCCCCTTCCCCTATATCCACTTTGAGAACCCCTTGAAGGGTGTGGCAGCCCCAAGGAGTGGTCAATGGTAACTCAGAGAATGAGGGGCAGCATTGGAGCAGAATCCTAGGCACTGCTATGCCCAATTCCTGTGGCCACCTACCCCTTGGCAAAATCAGAGCCAACAGCCCTGTCCCCTCCCAAGGGGGCAAAGGAGGTCAATATTCTGGAAAGAGACCCCCTCAACCTTGGCCCCTCCCTCACAGCAGGCTGCACCTGTGGCTTCAACTAAGAACGCCTTAAATCTCAAGTCTACCTATCTACACAGTATTTAGTCATCTTAAGCCTAAATACCTACACAGCAGGGATACTGGTTCAGTCTTTGGGATAGTAATCTTCACTGTGTCATCTAAAATGCCTAATGTCTATATCCTGTTACACAGGATTCTACTGCTCAGAAACCACCCAGTTCAAAGCTCTCGCCAAGGCCTCTGTGCAAGGGGGTTGCTGCAGTCCCATTTGTCATAGCAAACACTGCAATCAAATCACGGTCAAGAGGACTGGTTGACTAAATTACCTGCTTCCACAATAGGGGGCAAAGAGTGCAGTACTTATTGTTAGACAAAGTTATGTAAAGTGAAAACAAGAAACCTGCATAATGCAACATCAATTATTGATGTTTAAGCCATTTCTCTGCAGCATTTCTTCTCTAACTATAAAAATTCATACTCAGAAGGAAGGTTTGGGGGGTAACTACCTTAAGCCCATGTAACTTTTACAATCGGAAAACATAACTCGCCTGTCTGAGAAACATTTATTTGAATTAGGCCACTCAGGTTTAATCAACATAATTATTTGATTATTTGTATATGGTATGAGATAGGGACCTAATATTTTTCCCCGTAAGTAAAGCCAGACACCTATGAATACATCCCAACTCTATCTCTTATTTGAACTTCCCATATATATGTAATATGTTTTGAGGCTCACTTTTGTTTGGTATTTATCCTTTACCACTCCTTTTTTTTTTTTTTTTTTGAGATGCGGTCTTGCTCTGTTGCCCAGGCTGGAGTGCAATGGCATGATCTCGGGTCACTGTAACCCCTCCACCTCCTGGGTTCAAGTGATTCTCCTGCCTCAGCTTCCTTGGGATTACAGGCACATGCCACCACGCCCGGCTAATTTTTGTATTTTTAGTAGAGATAGGGTTTCAGTATGCTGGCCAGGCTGGTCTCGAACTCCTGACCTCAGGCGATCCGCCCACCTCAGCCTCCCAAAGTGCTGGGATTACAGGTGTGAGCCACTGCACCCAGCCATTGCCACTACTTTTAATCACTACAACTGCTAGAGCAAGCCTGCAAGCCTTATTGAAAAGTTCATTTTCTCCCTTTAGTTTGTGGTCTCTCATTTCCTGTTCTCTTCTGCTCTCTAGATTTCTTTAAGGGAGCTTAGTTCTTCTACCAACAGATAAAGGCACAGCATTTTTAGTTGTTTCAACATGGATAGACTTTCAAATAAATTATTTCTATCGTAACCAGAAAATATGTCCTTGCACACTATGTATTGAAAAGGTAAAAATCACAACACAAAGAAAAGCTAGAAATGTTATATTCACAGCAAAAAAAAAGATGCCAGGGACAGTGGCTCATGCCTGTAACCCCAGCAATGTGGGAGGCCTAGGCAGGAGGATTGCTTGAGCCCAGGAGTTCAAGATCAGCCTGGGCAACAAAGTGAGACCCCAACATTACAAAAAAAAAATTTAGGCCGGGCATGGTGGCTCATGCCTGTAATCCCAGCACTTTGGGAGGCTGAGGCAGGCAGATCACCCGAGGTCAGGGGTTCAAGACCAGCCTGACCAACACGGAGAAACCCCGTTTCCACTAAAAATACAAAATTAGCCGGGCATGGTGGCACATGCCTGTAATCCCAGCTACTCAGGAGGCTGAGGCAAGAGAATCACTTGAACCCGGGAGGCGGAGGTTGTGGTGAACCAAGATCATGCCATTGCACTCCAGCCTGGGCAAAGAGCGAAACTCTGTCTCAAAAGGAAAAAAAAAAAAAAAGTAAGGCGGAGCATGGTGGCTCAAGCCTATAATTCCAGCACTTTGGGAGGCCAAGGTGGGCGGCTCACCTGAGGTCGGGAGTTCGAGACCAGCCTGATCAACATGGAGAAACCCCATCTCTACTAAAACAACAACAACAAACAAACCAACAAAAATTAGCTGGTGGTGGTGGCACATGCCTGTAATCCCAGCTACTTGGGAGGCTGAGGCAGGAGAATCGCTTGAACCTGGGAGGCAGAGGTTGCGGTGAGCTGAGATCACACCATTGCATTCCAGCCTAGGCAACAAGAGTGAAAAACTCTGCCTCAGAAAAAAAAAAAAATTACAAAAACTAGCCTGATGAGGTGGCGGGCACCTGTAATTCCAGCTACTCAGGAGGCTGATGCAGAAGAATCGTTTGAACCCAGGAGGTGGAGGTTGCAGTGAGCTGAGATCATGCCATTGCACTCTAGCCTGAGTGACAGAGCAAGACCCTGTCTCAAAAATAATTTTTTTTTAAATTAACTGAGCATAGTGGTGCACAAGTGCCTGTAGTCGAAGCTACTGGGCAGTGGGGGCTGCAGTGGGAGGACTGCTGGAGCATTGGAGTTGAGGCTACAGTGAGCTGTGATTGTAGTACTGAACTCCAGAGACCTGTCTTAAAAAATTTTTTAAAAAGTAAGAAATAACTGCTAGTACGTGTCATAACACAAATAAATCTCAAATATCTCACAATAAGTAAAAGAACCCAGACTCGAAGGGCTATATAATGTATGGTTCCTGCTTGAATTCAGGAGGCGGAAGTTGCAATGTGCCAAATCGTGCCACTGCACTCCAGCCTGGGCAACAGAGTGAGATGCTGTCTCAAAAATAATAATAATGTATGATTCCATTTATATGACATTCTGGAAAAAGCAGTACTGCAGGGACAGAAAACAAATCTCGAGAAGGAAAACAGAAATGTCAAAATTAAGGCCTGCAGATAAGGGAACTGCATATATACAAATGGCTTTAAAAGAAGCCCATGATCTCACATAAAAACCACTTTTCAAAAACTGTCCACAATTACCTAGTGGGGGCTCAGATCTGCCCACCCCAACGGTCAAGAAGCAGGCCTGTAAAACAGTCAGCTGAACCCACAGAGAGCACCAAAGCATCTTAACCCAGCGCATCTTGTGTGTCCTGCCAGTTCTGTGGGTTCAGCCATGTGCTGGCAGAGGTTTTGGAAAGAAATTTGCAACAGTGGGCCCGGCATGGTGGCTCACGCCTGTAATCCCAGTACTTTGGGAGGCCGAGGCGGGCAGATCACGAGGTCAGGAGATCAAGACCATCCTGGCGAACATGGTGAAACCCCGTCTCTACTAAAAATACAAAAAATTAGCCGGGCAAGGTGGCGGGCGCCTGTAGTCCCAGCTACTACTAGGGAGGCTGAGGCAGGAGAATGGCGTGAACCCGGAAGGCAGAGCTTGCAGTGAGCCGAGATCTCGCCACTGCACTCCAGCCTGGGCGACAGAGCAAGACTCCGTCTCAAAAAATAAAAAAATTTGCAACAGTGTTTTAATGCAGTTCTACTCCTTGCTAGTTTTGTGGTTGTAGTAACAATCATATTTAGTACTGAGCAATTCCCCTAATTCAGCATCCTGCTTACAGCTCAGCATGTAACATCCTAGGGCAACATGAGGACACAGGTGAGGTTTGCAAATTCACCCAAGGACTTGGGAAAGCCAGTGCCTAAGCTTGAGGCTCTTCCTCCAGTGCCATTGTCGGGGTAGGGCTTCCTTACCCATGGTGCCAAACAACTCCCAGAGTCAGAGAAAATGGCTTGCCTGGAATATAATGAACACTTAAGTCTTCATCACAACCATCTTTTCACAAAAGAGCGGGGGCCTGTAGCTGGCTCAGTGGGACCCTAGTTAGTGCCTCCCCATTCCCATCTCCAGAGCCTCCTGTATCCATTCAGATGAGTTCTACTAGGCTTCAGGAACCATGATAGTAATTAGGAATCAAAGGCAGGCAAGGGACCAGGCATGGTGGCTCACACCTGTAATCCCAGCACTTTGGGATTACACTTGAGCCTAGGAATTTGAGACCAGCCTGGGCAACATACCGAGAGCCTATCTCTATAAAAAATTTTAAAATTAGCCAGGCACAGAGGCTCATGCCTGTAATCCTAGCACTTTGGTAGGCCGAGGCGGGTGGATCACCTGAGGTGGGGAATTCGAGACCAGCCTGACCAACATGGAGAAACACCATCTCTACTAAAAATACAAAATTAGTCGGGAATGGTGGTGCATGCCTGTAATCCCAGCTACTCGGGAGGCTGAGTCAGAATTGCTTGAACCCGGGAAGCGGGGGTTGTGGTGAGCCGAGATCCCGCCATTGCACTCCAGCCTGGGCGACAAGAGTGAAACTCCATCTCCAAAAAAAAAAAAAAAAAAATTAAAATTAGCCAAGCCTGGTGGCTCTCACCTGTAGTCCTAGCTACTCAGGAGGTGACTGAGGTGAGAGGATCACTTGACCCAGGAGTTCAAGGCTGCAGTAAGCTGTGATCGCACCACTGCACTCCAGCCTAAGCAACAGAGTGAGCCATGTTGCCATGCTGCCAGGGCCCATCACTGTTCTGGCTGCAGCAAACGCCCTACAAAGGCATCAGCACTTCTGCAGGAGCTGGGGCCCAGTGGCAGCCTGGGTTCCAGCCCCAGCTCTGGCCCCAGAACACACACATACAACAGGACATAAATGCTGCTGGAATCCAGAAAAGCCTACTAAGAGAGAGGCCTTCTTCCAAAGGAAGAGTTAGACCCTTGACTCCCAAGTCCCCTCCCTCAGCCTGCTGCTCTGGAGACAACCACTCTTCTTCAGACATGCAGGCTGAGGCTCTGGACAAGAACATGAGACAGCTGGGCGCACAGGCTCACACCTGTAGTCCCAGCACTTTCGGAGACTGAGGCAGGATTGCTTGAGCCGAGGAGTTTGAGACCAGCTGGGGCAACATAGTGAGACTTTAATGTTTCTACAAACAATTTTAAAAATTAGATGGGCGTGGTGGCACGTGACTAAGGTCCCAGCTACTTTGGAGACTGAAGTGGGAGGATACTGGAATGAGCCCAGGAGTTCAAGGCTGCAGTGAGCTATGATCGCACCACTGCACTCCAGCCTGGGTGACAATGCGAGACTTGTCTCAAAAGAAATAATTAAAAAAAAAACACACACAAGAGCTTACAGACTGGGACAAGTGGAGGAACAGATACCAGACTGAGACCTCACCAGTCTCCTGGCCCTGTAGCCAGACCTACAGGGCAAGGTACTGGAAAATTGAGTATCCCTTAATATTGGCGGGAACACGAGGGAACACTAAACCCTACAATATTCTCAGGCAGATAAATGATGTTGTACCCATAAAACAAGACAAGGACCCCATTAAAAATTGAATTTGGGCCAGGCACGGTGGCTCACGCCTATAATCCCAGCACTTTGGGAGGGAGGCTGAGGTGGGCAGATCACCTGAGGTTGGGAGTTCGAGACCAGCCTGACCAACATGGAGAAACCCCATCTCTACTAAAAAAATACAGAATTAGCCGGGCATGCACCACCACGCCCGTAGTCCCAGGTACTCAGGAGGCTGACGCAGGAGAATCACTTGAACTCGGGAAGCAAAGGTTGCAGTGAGCCGAGACCACGCCATTGCACTCCAACCTGGGCGACAAGAGCGAAACTCCATCTCAAAAAATAAAAATAATTAAAAAAAAATTGAATTTGGGTGTGTTGGCTCATGTCTATAATCCCAGCACTTTGAGAGGATGAGGAGGATAGATTGCTTGAGCCCAGGAGACTAGCTTGGGCAATGAGGTGAAACCCCATCTTTACAAAACAAAAATTGGCCAGGCATGGTGGTGCATGCCTGTAGTCTCAGCTACTCGGGAAGTTGAGGCATGAGAATTGCTTGAACCTGGGAGGCAGAGGTTGCAGTGAGCAACCGCCACTGCGCTCCAACCTGGGCAACAGAGCGAGACTGTCTCAAAATATAAATAAATAAGTAAATAAAAAATAAACTAGAGCAGAGGTCATACCTATGCTATTTTGTTTGAATGAATGAAAAAATCTGAGTGAAAAGTGACCTAGAGGCCATGTGTGGTAGCTCACACCTGTAATCCCAAGCCTTTGGAAGGCTGAGGCAGAAGGATCGTTGGACCCAGGCTTTCAAGGTTAGCCTTGGCAACACAGCAAGACCTTGTCCTTATAAAAAAAAAAACTTAAGCTATCTATATCTACGTAGATATATACACATAGAGACAGGGTCTCGGTCTGTCGCCCAGGCTGGAGAACAGTGGCAGGATCTCAGCTCACTGCAACCTCCACCTCCTAGGTTCAAGCAATTCTCGTGCCTCAGCCTCCCAGTAGCACGGATTACAGGCATGCACAAACACGCCTGGCTACTTTTTGTATTTTTTGTAGAGTCACGGTTTTATCACGTTGGCCAGGCTGGTCTTGAACTCCTGGCCTTAAGTGATCCTCCAGCCTCAGTCTCCCATGTGCTGGGATTATGGGTGTGAGGCAGCACCCATATAAAAGCATAGCCAGGCACAGTGGCTCACGCCTGTAATCTCAGCACTTTGGGAGGCCAAGGCGGGTGGATCAGGAGGTCAGGAGATTGAGACCATCCTGGCGAACACGGTGAAACCCCGTCTCTACTAAAAATACAAAAAAAATTAGCCAGGCATGGTGGCCGGCGCCTGTAGTCCCAGCTACTTGGGAGGCTGAGGCAGGAGAATGGCATGAACCCGAGGGGCGGAGCTTGCAGTGAGCGGAGATCGCGCCACTGCACTCCAGCCTGGGAGACAGAGCCAGACTCCGTCTCAAAAAAAAAAAAAAAGAAAAAAAGAAAAAATAAATAAATAAATAAATAAAAAGCAGCCGGGTGTAACAGCCACGCCTACAATCCCAACACTTTGGGAAGCCGAGGCGGGTGAATCACTTGAGGTCAGGAGTTTGAGACCGGCCTTGCCAACATGATGAAACCCCGTCTCAATTAAAAATACAAAAATTAGCCAGGCGTGGTGGTGTGCGCATGTAATCCCAGCTACTCGGAAGGTTGAGGCAGGAGAATTGCTTGAACCCGGGAGGCAGAGGTTGCAGTGAGCTGAGATCACACCACTGCACTCCAGCCTGGGTGACAAAGCAAAACTGTCTCAAAAAAAAAAAAAAGAAAGAAAAAAAGAGAAAGAAAATGCTCACCACCAAGACGTAATAGTACCTGTATCTTCCAGAGCCTCAGTTCTATCACCTGTAAAAGGGTCCCAGTGAGAACATGAGCCCCCCAACAAAGGGGAGACATATCTGCTCAGTCTCTTTTTACAAGAGTGGCCTGCACATGAAATGAATTCCATACTTCACCAGCCCTGGTCCTCCGTGAAACTGGAAATCATCCTGAAAATTCATGATTTAAAAGAAAAAACTCCACTCAATTAGTAGTATGTGCCTGGGCTAAGGACTGGTGTGTGAGGAAGAGCACACAACCTCATACCTCTGAAAAGTTTCACATTTAGCTGAAACTGGAAAAGGCGTCTGAGCCTGGAGGTGAGGCAGCCGGCATAAGAGCTGGTCTAGGAAAAGGAATCCCAAGGTAAGTTTTCCTTGAAGAACTTGCCCAAGCCCCCACTGGCAGCAGGTCCATGGGGCTGCAATAATGAGGGGCGACAGGCGCCTCTGGATCACAGGCCCCACGTGGCTGGAGGAAGGGAAGGAAGCAGCCTCTCAACCCCACCTCCCTTGCTCCTCCCTTAGACCCCTGCAGCTCCCAGCTACCGTCTTCCCCTCCCCCCATCCTTTGCAAGGGGTGGGGGTTATGTCTATGACTTTAAGAGCAGGATGCCACTGGCCCCAGTCCTTGTCCCTTTGTCTCAGCACTCTCCACCCCAATGGGAAAAGGTAAAGGATCTCACTTAGTTCTGCAATTACACCTTTGCAGTAGGCCCCCATGCGTGGCCGGGAGGGCTTTAAAAACGGCCCCAACCCTTATAAAACAAAACCAAGACTCCGTTCGAAAGGGAACAAAGGCGGTTCTTCCTGCCAACTCCCTAATCGTGGACAATGATTGAGAAAAGCTTTCAGAGCTGCCTTCATGAAGGCAGGAAAAGGAGAGGCTGGCAGGGGTGCCTCCCTCCATCCCCAAATCTCAGGAATGGCCACCCTAAAATGAGGGGCTATTCGTTATTAAGTACAGACATCAACACTCACCATGTGCTGACCCTACACAGGCACTATCCCACTGCCTCTTTACCCAGGCCCAATGTGGTAGAGGCTATTATGCCTAAACATCTGAGGAAGATCAAGGGCTGAAGAGGTTAATTCACGCATAAGACTGGTTTCATCCTTACACAACCCTATTAGTAGGACTATTGCTAATTCACAGATGTAATAATTAAGGCACGGAGAGCAATGAACTTGGCGAGACAGGGTTTAAACACATGATGAACTAAGAACTATGCTTCCTTAAGGAAGGAAGCTTGCTTAGCCCGTGTGCTAGCTAGTGATTCCAACAATGGCAAACATGTATTGAGTGCTTACTGTATACCAACCCTATAAACTAAGTACCATCATCTCAACTCTGGAAAAATCAAGTCCGCACCTGGCGTTTCCAAGGTGGGTGAACAAGAAGCCCCAGCAGGCCTGGTAGAGGAGATAACAGCTGTTTCCCAAAAACTGCCACCCGTCTGCCACAACCCACCGCATCCAGAACTCAGGAGGCAACTCAAAGTTCATACTCTGCCCTTAATTCCCTTTAATTCAAACACTTCCCAGCTTCGGGGGAGGGTGGAAACACGGAGGCCCAGCGAGCCTCTCTCCTAGACCAGGGGAGGAAAAGGGAGCAGGGAAAGCTGGAGGCGCGGGCAAGACCTGGGCTCGGAACTCCATCCACAGGTGAGATCCTCCAGCGGGAAGCCTGGGCCCAAGGGCAGCGCAGTCTTACAACTTGTTAGGTCTTTCTCCGCTTCCACTTTCTCCCCGATAAAGTGGAGCTCAATACACCCTCCCCATGCAACCACGAGCCGGGAAGCTTATCTTCCAGGAGCTGGTGCTAGAGGTTTTGAGGCCTTAGTGTGCGAGTCTGGGAAGTGGGGCCAGCCGCACACGGGAGTTAGGCTAAGAATGGAAGGTAAGACCCCAGGGTAGGCGGCGTGGCCGGGACAGGGAGGCGCCGCCCCTCCGGCCGGCTCCTCCCGGGCCAGGTGTGCACAGGCAGAGGGCAGCCCCGCTGCTCCCCGCGCTTGATGGCTCAGCTCAGGAGCACCCCGGGAGGTCGCCCTCTGCCTCACGCCCTCCACGGCGCACACCCCAGCCCGCGCGAGTCTAAGCCCACACTCACGAGCTCTTTCCTAAAGCTGGGATTGGGGGAAGGGACAGCGCCTCGCCTGAAGACCCCACATCCCAGTTGCAAGGGGCGGACGCCCACCTGCATGGCAGAAACCCCTCCTCACCTCCTCTGCCCCTTAACTTTTCCCAAGGCAGAGGCCAGGTAATTACACCCCCTGCCCATGAGCAAAGCCCCTGTTCATGCTCTCGACGGGCACCTCCTCCTCCTCGAGTCTGGACCCCGGGAAGCCAGCGCGTCCCCCTCCCTGCGAGCAAGCTTCTCTCCTCTTCGGGCTCCTGGAGGCAGCAGACGCGTCCCTTCCTCTAGTATCTCCGGTCCCCGTCAGACGTATGTCCCCCGCGTCCCACCCGCTGTCCCCGTTCCACCCCAAGCAGGGTCCGTGGACGTTTCCTCACCCCGCAAACCCAGCCGGGTCTCCAACCCGGCGAGAGCCCCTCCTCGGGAGGTCCCTGGAGAGGGTCTCTCCCCGGCAGCTTCGGGAGCCCCCGCCGTCCCCTCCCCTAGCAGCCCTCGAAGCAGCTGGCGGCCGAGCCTCCCCGGGGCCCCGGGGCGCTCACCTGCCGCAGGGCTGGCTGGGGCGCGGCTGGGCGGCGGAGCCGCGGGTCGGGGCTGGCTGGCGGGAGGCCGGCTGGCGGCCGTGCAGGGCGCTGGGCTCGCGAATCTCCGGCGCCGATCGCCGAGCTAGGTTTACTTGGGCCACTTAACCCCAGCGCTGCCGGCCGGGCAGCGTTGCCGCCCGCTCGCCCGACCGCCAGGGAGCCGGTCCCGTCCGTCGGGGGGCGCTCGGAGCGTCCACGCGGGCTGCGGCCGCGGAGCCGGGAGCAGCTGCTGCGAGGAAGCGGCGCGGGCCGGACGGGGCAGCGGGAGTGGGTGGGGAGGGGGCGGTGCCGACTCCCCTTGTAGCCCCGGCCCGGCTCTTGCCCCGCCCCCGCCCGGGGGTGCCCCCGCCGCAGCCACTCAGATCCCCGCCCGGGCGCGGGGGGAACGGGGGGGCGGGGACGAGGGAAATTTGAAATCGCTCGGAGCCTCCCCTCCGCCCCTCTCCGCGGGCTCCGCCCCCTGGCCCCCTGCCCTCCCAACCCCGGGCCAGTGAAATCACCCTGGGGGATCAGAAGCCCTAAGCGGGAGGGGTGGGGTCAGACGTCCAAAACCAGACTCCTTCTGGGGCCTTTTTCCCGGGCTCCTTTCAACCCGAACGGAGACACACACACAGGCCTGGAGGCGGGGGCTCAGAGAGGGCAGGGCCCCCACTGTAGTCACACAGCACCAGAGTCTCCGCTTTAACCCCCACCTCCAGCCGCAGTGCCACCGGGGCGCCGCGGTGCCCCTGCCTGTCATCCTGCTTTGGACCCTCTGCCTCGCCCTTCCTCCCTTCCTTCCACCCAGCCCGGCCTTTGTCAGCCATCTTGAAGGGAGGGGAGGGCAGGGGAGGGGAAAGAAGACCAGCGGGTCTCTGGCTACCTGGGTTCCAGACCCTGCAGGCATGGACTGACTGAGGGAGAAGCCGCCCTCAGCAGGTCTCCCCACCTCTGCCCTGGGATGACCATTGAACCACTGGAAAACAGCACTTCCTAAAATTTATCTGACCTGGGACTTACATATTTGCTTGTTTACCTGCTTGTGGTCTGTCTCCACGCAGTAAACTAAGGACAGGATCTCAGTAGATGCTCAATAAATATGTGTTGAATGAATGAATGATTTATATCGCCTGTAAGCCCCTATAGGAGCCTCCCCTTTCAAGGTATATGCTACCTTAACCCCTCTCTGCCTTCACTCCAACTTCTCTGCTGCTCCTCAATACACCAAGCGTTTCCTTGTGATGGTGACTTTGACCTCGCTGTTCCCTACACCTGGACATTTCTTGCCCAGATCTTTGCAGGACCAGATTCTTACCCCTCGGTTTTCTCCCAGAAGGTCACTTTATGGAGAGGCTTTTCCCGATGACTCCACCTGAAGTCTCCCCTGTCCATCACTCCTATCCTATTTCATTCTGTTCCTAGCACTTACCGCGATCTGAAATTGTTTTGCATATCTGTTTTCCTGTTTACATTCCCCTACACACACACACACACACACACACACACACACACACACACACACACACACTATGGGAGCAGAAACCACATCTGTGTGGGTCTCCAAGTGCTTATAGTGGATGGGGGATGCATCAAAAAGGAGCTCAATACAAGTTTGTTGAATGAATGGGCATGGGTTTCCTGCCTTATGGGCTCCAGCTCCCTGAGTTACTCCACAGCTTTCTCCCTGTATCTCTTACCAGGTGAGTAAATGAGTGAAGGGTTAATTCTTTGGATGCCGCAAAAGTGTCTATACTTACTGGATCTTATTCTACCTAAGAGCTTGGGGAGAGGCTAGGGAGATACCAGAGAGAAATGGGCTCAGCTCAGCGCCCTGCCTGGCGCCCAGCAGGGCCTCTTGTGAATGAACAGCAGGACTCCTTGGCTTTCTGGCACAAACATACAAATTGGTGTCCAGTCCATTGGTGCAGGAAGAAGGGGGTCTCTCTGGAGAGGGCCTGTAGCTTGTCTCCACCATCTGGGGCACATCTTTTGTTTTGTTTTGTTTTGTTTTGTTTTGTTTTGTTTTGAGACAGAGTCTCAATCTGTCACCCAGGCTGAGTGCAATGGCGCGATCTCGGCTCACTGCAACCTCTGCCTCCTGGGTTCAGTCTCCTGCCTCAGCCTCCCAAGTAGCTCGGATTACAAGCGCCTGCCACCATGCCCGGCTAATTTTTTGTATTTTTAGTAGAGACGGGGTTTCGCCATGTTGGCCAGGCTGGTGTGGAACTCCTGACCTCAGGTGATCTACCCACCTCAGCCTCCCAAAGTGCTGGGATTACAAGCATGAGCCACCATGCCCAGCCTGGGGCATATTGTTGTTGGAAAGAAAACAGCATATATAAACAGGCCTGAAGCTGGGCGTGGTGGCCCACGCCTGTAATCCCAGCACTTTGGGAGGCTGAGGCAGGCAAATCACAAGGTCGGGAGTTCGAGACCAGCCTGGCCAACATGGCGAAACCCCATCTCTACTAAAAATACAAAAAATTAGCCGGGCGTAGTGGCGGGCGCCTGTAATCTCAGCTACTCGGGAGGCTGAGGCAGGAGAATAGCTTGAACCTGGGATGTGGAGGTTGCAGTGAGCCGAGATCACTCCACTGCACTCCAGCCTGGGCAACAGAGGGAGACTCCATCTCATAAAAATAAAAATAAAAATAAAATAAATAAACAGGTCTATGGGGAGGGCTCCTGGGCCTCTGTGTCTGAACCCTAAGCTAGGAACCCACAGCTAAACCCTGTGTCCTGAATTGTGGCAGAGGATGCCTGTGCCACCAGTGGGAACTCCGGGGAGGCCCAGTTCAGATGCCAAAGGGCTGGATTTTCTGGGACCACCTAAACCCAGGAAGAAAAAGCAGAAGGTTGGGTGAGCAGGTTGTCTCAGTCCCATCACTTGGGAAGGAGCAGGAATGTTGGGAGAATGGGTAGAAAAATGGCCTGATATCTCCCCAGGGCATAGAACTTCTTTTTTTTTTTTTGAAACAGAGTCTCATTCTGTTGCCCAGGCTGGTGTGCAATGGCTCAATTTTGGCTCACTGCAAGCTCCGCCTCCCGGGTTCACACCATTCTCCTGCCTCAGCCTCCCGATTAGGTGGGACCACAGGCGCCCACCACCACGCCTGGCTAATTTTTTTGTATTTTTAGTAGAGACAGGGTTTCACCGTGTTAGCCAGGATGGTCTCGATCTCCTGACCTCGTGATCCGCCCACCTCGGCCTCCCAAAGTGCTGGGATTACAGGCATGAGCCACCACGCCCGGCCCCCACAGAACTTCTTTACAGTTCTTTTTTTGAGACAGAGTCTTGCTCTGCCACCCAGGCTGGAGTGCAGTGGTGTGATCTCAGCTCACTGCAACTTCCGCCTCCCAAGTTCAAGCAATTCTCCTGCCTCAGCCTCGTGAGTAGCTGGGATTACAGGCATGTGCCACCATGC
Organism: Homo sapiens; assembly: GCF_000001405.40. Lineage (NCBI taxonomy): Eukaryota > Metazoa > Chordata > Mammalia > Primates > Hominidae > Homo > Homo sapiens. Next base: position 32,759,253 of record NC_000020.11, on the reverse strand, counting down.
CTGGCTAAATTTTGTTTGTTTGTTTGTTTGTTTTTGACTAGAGACAGGTTTTCACCACATTGGCCAGGCTGGTCTGGAACTCCTGACCTCATGATCCACCCGCCTTGGCCTCCCAAAGTGATGGGATTACAGGCTACTGCCGTCCAGCCTTTCTTTACAATTTTAAAAGTGCATTGATCAAATTCATCATCTCACCTAAGCCTCACTGCCACCCATGAGGATGTGAGGCAAGGAGAACTGGGGGCCCCATTTCAGATGAGACTGAGGCCCAGAGAAGGAAGGGATTACACAGAGTGAGTCAGCTGTGTAATCAAACCTTGACTGAGCACCTACTGTGTGGTCACCTTGCAATGTTTACTTAAAATTGTATTTTAGGCTGGGTGTGGTGGCTCACACCTGTAATCCCAGCACTCTGGGAGGCCAATGTGGGCAGATCACGAGGTCAGGAGATTGAGACCATCCTGGCTAACACTGTGAAACACCGTCTCTACTAAAAAATACAAAAAATTAGCCGGGCACAGTGGCAGGCGCCTGTAGTCCCAGCTACTCAGGAGGCTGAGGCAGGAGAATGGCGTGAACCCAGGAGGCGGAGCTTGCAGTGAGCCGATATCGTGCCACTGCACTCCAGCACTCCAGCCTGGGCGACAGAGCGAGACTCCGTCTCAAAAAAAAAAAATTGTGTTTTAACAGATCACAATCATTATAATCATGAAGGTGAGGAATATTCATTAAGGGGATACATATTCTGTGATTACAGACCATTTGTTTCATCACCCAAAGCAACAACACATAGATAAGAGAGTGTCCTTGCTCTTAGGAGATGAACACCAAATTATTTAGAAGAGGCAGCCGGGCATTGTGGCTCACGCCTGTAATTCCAGAACTTTGAAAGGCCAAGGCAGGAGGATCCTTTGAGTTAAGTTCAGAAGCAGCCTGGGCAACAAAGTGTTGCCTGTCTTTACTAAAGATCAAAAAAATTAGCCAGGCATGGTAGCCTGTGCCTGTAGTCCCAGCTACTCAGGAGGCTAAGGTGGGAGGATCCCTTGAGCCTGGGAGATGGAGGCTACAAGTGAACCATGATCCTGCCACTGCACTCCAGCCTGGGCGACAGAGCAAGGCCCTGTCTCAAAGAAAAAAAATAAAAAAAGACACAGTATCACCAATTTACTCTTAAATAATTCAGAAAAATAATATGCATATGTATGGGTCAGGGAGATTGCTAAAGCAAAGAGGACAAAATATGAACCAAATAGATAATGTGGTTTAAAAGACATCCAGGAGTTCCTTGAACTAGACTTACAACTCTTCTATAAATTAGATATTATATTAAATAAAAATTTATTCTTCAGAAAATTAAGGGCCAGGCACGGTGACTCCTGTCTGGAATCCTAGCACTTTGAGAGGCCAAGGTAGGAGTATCGCTTGAGCCCAAGCGTTTGAGACCAGACTGGGCAACACAGTGTGACCCCCATCTCTAAAATAAAATAACATTATAAAGAAAAGCCACATGTACATATATAGATCCTAGACACTCTTATGCTAATAAATCAACACACTGATGGGCTGACACACATGTTATAGTTAACTTACATTTCTGTTAAATTATACCATGACCTTTCAGTTCTTAGAGCAGCTACAGGTTTTTAATAACAAATGTAAAGTGCTTAGCACAGTGCCTGCTGCATACTAGACACTTAATGTATGATAGAAATTTTTGTGAGCATGTGTTATTACCTCTTTATGCCACAATTTCTTCATCTTTATTTTTATTTTATTTTATTATTTTTTTGAGACAGAGTCTCACTCTGTTGCCCAGGCTGGAGTTCAGTGGTGCGACCTTGACTCACTGCAAACTCTGCCTCCCAGGTTCAAGTGATTCTTCTTCCTTCCTCAGCCTCCCGCGTAGTTGGAATTACAGGCGCGGGCCACCACACTGGGCTAATTTTCGTCTTTTTAGTGGAGACAGGGTTTCACCATGTTGGCCAGGCTGGTCTCAAACTCCTGACCCTAAGTGATCCTCCCACCTCAGACTACCAAAGCGCATCTTTAAAATAGAGATCATTTTTCCTACTTCCTAGGGGTTTCCTGAGAATTATGAGTTAATACATGTAAGGCATTTTGAACAGTGCCTACCACATGGAAAATACCATAAAAATGCTTGTTAAATTTTATATATATATATACACATTTTTTTTTTTGAGACAGGGTCTCACTCCGTCACCAGAGCTGGAGTGCAGTGGTGCGATCTCGGCTCACTGCAACCTCTGCCTCCCCGTTTCAAGAGATTCCCCTGCCTCAGCCTCCCGAGTAGCTGGGATTACAGGCGGGTGCCACTACGCCGAGCTAATTTTTTTTTTGTACTTTAGTAGAGAGGGGGTTTCACCATGTTGGCCAGGATAGTCTCGATCTCCTGACCTCATGATCCGCCCGCCTCGGCTTCCCAAAGTGCTGGGATTACAGGTGTGAGCCACTGCGCCTGGCCTATATATTATTATTAATGAGTATATGCTGCACTGCTTTCCTGGCTGCCTCAGCTCTTGGCAGGTGTGGGATAAATGTTCTCCTTCCATCCTCAGTGTCTGCCAAATAGTCCTGTCTGTCCCTTGGTCTCCCAGCCTCTCAGGCAAGCCCAGTCCACCTCTAGTATCTAGTATCTAGTGCCTCTCCTTATAGTGAAGGAAAATGAGGTTCAGAAAAGTGAAGTGGTTTGCCTGGGGCCTACAGCTGGCAGAGCTGGGACTAGATCCTCCACTCGACCCCCATCTCCCTGTGACCCCCACTCTGTGTGTGCTATGCTAAGGAGTTCGAGCCTCAAGCATCTCCCTTGTCTAATTGGAGTAATAATAATAATAATAGCCATGCCTACTTCCCAGAATGACTGTGGGGATTCGCAGAGCCCATGTATGTGAAAGAACCCCATTGTAAGGTATTCAGTCCTAATGGTAGTGCCATTAGAGGCCACGTTCATTTGCAAAGTGGGTTCCTCACCTTTCACTTTCAACAGGAACACCCAGACTCCTATTCTCCTTTTTTTAACCCCAAAACGGGTCATTGAAATATTTTCCTTAAATGTACCTAGCTAGACAAGTACACAGAGCCTGGCCAGGTCATATTCATTATTTATTATTGTTATTATTATTATTATTATTATTATTGAGACAGTCTTGCTCTGTCACCCAGGCTGGAGTGCAGTGGTGCGATCTCAGCTCATAGCAACCTCCGCCTCCCAGGTTCAAGCGATTCTCCTGCCTCAGCCTCCCAAGTAGCTGGGACTACAGGCACCCGCCACCATTCCTGGCTAATTTTTGTATTTTTTAGTAGAGACGAGATTTCACCGTGTTGGCCCGGCTGGATCCATGCGCTTCGGCCTCCCAAAGTGCTGGGATTAGAGGTGTGAGCCACCGCACCCAGCCATTCATTAATTATTATTAAATAAGCAATTTCATAATAGCTGCTGAGAGCCTACCATGTGCTCAGGCACTTGAGCTAAACATTTTATGTGTATTACACTTTGACTCTCACAACACCCTTGTGAAGTAGGAAGGAGTCTAATCTCCATTTCACACGTGGGATAAACAAGGCCCAAACGGGATTGGGATGGAGGGAGTTCATCCATCTCTCTCTATCCCCTGCAGAACCAGCACGGAATTTCCTTCCCTGTTTCTGTCATTGGTGGAGGAGGGGTGTGCATATTTCTTTAATTTTTTTTGAGACAGAGTTTCGCTCTTGTTGCCCAGACTGGAGTGCAATAGCGCGATCTCAGCTCACCTCAACCTCTGCCTCCTGGATTCAAGTGATTCTCCTGCCTCAGCCTCCCCAGTAGCTGGGATTACAGGCATGAGCCACCAAGCCTGGCTAACTTTGTATTTTTAGCAGAGACAACATTTCTCTGTGTTGGTCAGGCTAGTCTCAAACTCCCGACCTCAGGTGATCCACCCGCCTTTGCCTCCCAAAGTGTTGGGATTATAGGCGTGAGCCACCACGCCTGGCCAGGGTGTGCATATTTATTGAATTATTGAATTCACTGAACTCTGTGCCAGGCACTGTGGTAAGGAATAAAGCTGAGAAGAAAAATGCAAAGTCCTTTTACTGCCCTCCCGGAACTACAACTGAGTAGAGGAAACAGACATTCATCAAATTTATCTCACTAATAGTTGTAAGATTACAATTGTACTTTTTTTTTTTTTTTTTTTTTTGGAGACAGAGTCTTGTTCTATCCCCTAGGCTGGAGTGCAGTGGCTCGATCTTGGCTCACCGCAACCTCTGCCTCCCGGGTTCAAGTGATTCTCCTGCCTCAGCCTCCCAAGTAGCTGGGATTACAGGCGTGTGCCACCACTCCTGGCTAATCTTGTATTTTTAGTAGAGATGGGGTGTCTCCATGTTGATCAGGCTGGTCTCAAACTCCTGACCTTGTGATCCACCCGCCTTGGCCTCCCAAAGTGCTGGGATTACAGGTGTGAGCCACCACACCTGGCCGGCCTACAATTGTATTAAATGCTATGACGAGTACAGGGTATTATAAAATGAAAATTAATTAGGTCATGGGGCCTGAGAAAACTTTCCTGAAGAAGTAAGTCACGTTTTGGGAGGCTGAGGCGGCAGATCACTTGAGGTCAGGAGTTCAAGACAAGCCTGGCCAACATGGTGAAACCCCATCTCTACACAAATACAAAAATTAGCTGGGCATGATGGTGGGTGCCTGTAATCCCAGCTACTTGGGAGGCTGAGGTGTGAGAATTGCTTGAACTTGGGAAGCGGAGGTTGCAGTGAGCCAAGATCACGCCACTGCACTCCAGCCTGGGTGACAGCGAGACTCCATCTCAAAAAAAAAAAAATCAGCAGGACGTGGTGGCATGCTCCTCTAATCTCAGCTACTCGGGAGGCTGAAGCAGGAGAATCACTTGAACCTGGGAGGCAGAGGTTGCAGTGAGTCAAGATCCTGCCACTGCACTCCAGCCTGGGTGACACAGCGAGACAGTCTCAAAAAAAAAAAGAAAAAAGAAAAGAAGCAATGCTCATGCAGGGATCTGAGGGGATGCAATGGTTAAGTAAGCAGCAGGCTAAGGGGTGAGGGAAACGTGTTCTGGGATTTGGGAACAGCACTTGCTAAGCTCCTGAGGCACAAGGAGCACGGCTTGGGCAAGGAACAGAGGGGAGGCCCACATGGCTAGAGCACACAGCTGAAGAGGAAGGCAGACTCAGGTGAAGAAGACAGGAATCAGAGCATCCACGCTTTCAGCAATTGGAGCCTTTGCAGGGTTTTCAGTGACGTGATCAGGTCAGAGTGAAATATTCTGCACCATGCCTAGCACAGTGGTAGTTAATAGAAGACAGGATGCCAGGCATGGTGACTCAGGCCTGTAATCCTAGAACTTTTGGAAGCCGAGGCAGGAATATCATTTGAGCCCAGGGGTTCAAGACCAGCCTGAGCAACATAGTGAGACCCCATCAGAAAAAAAAAAGAAAAGAAAACAGGAAAGCCCTCCCTTCATTCTGCAACAGTCTCTATGTCTGTGGATAATGTTTTATCCCGTTTCTCCAGACAAGACATCAAATGAATGAATGCTTGTTATTTATCATAATAGTAGCAGTTATTATTATTGGATGCCGTACAGTGGCCCTCGTGAGAAAAGGCTTAACTGCAAATCAAAATCTGTGATTTGTCTTTCTGGCTTTTGACTTGGGGTCCAGAGCTGAATCCACTGATTTCTTTCTCCATCCTGGCCCTTGAAAGAGATGCCATGCCTCACTCTGTTGGACATCACCTGTTTTTGCCCCTTGGAGAATACCCCATGGCCCCCTCCAAATTTGATGTTGTTCATGAAATGAAGTAACATTGACTTTATTTTGTTGTTGTTGTTGTTTGTGTTGTTTTATTTATTTATTTTTTTTGAGATGAAGTCTCACTCTGTAGCCCAAGCTGGAGTGCAGTGGCGCGATCTCAGCTCACTGCAACTTCTGCCTTCTGGATTCAAGCGATTCTCCTGCCTCAGCCTCCTGAGTAGCTGGGATTACAGGCGCCCACCACCACACCTGGCTAATTTTTGTATTTTTAGGTGAGATGGGGTTTCACCATGTTCACCAGGCTGGTCTTGAACTCCTGACCTCAGGTGATCTGCCTGCCTCGGCCTCCCAAAGTGCTGGGATTTTAGGCATGAGCCACCGCGCCTGGTCACATTGACTTTAATTCATTCACACTTTGAGCTTTCTGAGAGCAGGGACCACATCTACCCCCACATTAGGTAATCAGTAAATGTTCGTTTCCCTGAAGCCCTGACTCATCATTATCTCATCCCTCACCCTCAGACAAAACAGAAAGTTTCCCTGGACCTGAGTTCCTTCATTTTTGGAAGCTCAGGCTTGACTTCTGAGGAGGGTAAGATGGTTAAGGGGAAAAGTTCAGCGGTCTAGGTTCTGTTCTCATTCTCCTATTAACCCACTGTGTGACCTCAGACAGGTGTCTTCCCTTCTCTGGGCGTCTGCTTCCTTCACTGTCAAATGGGGCAGATAGTGTAGCATGGAATGAAGCCCAAAACCTTAGTGTCATTCTTGATTCATCTCTCTGCTTCTTGGATTCTACTTCCTGGATTTGTTCTGGGTCCAGACTCAGCCTGCTCTACCGTTTTGAGATAAACATAGAGGGGATGGATTCTTCTTGTCCAAACCTGTTCTTATCTCCTCTGGTCAGGGCCCTCAGCCTCCAATCTTCACGACGTCCATATACACAGCATGCTGATAACCCTGGCTGCAGGCCAGGAAATGATTACCAAGTTATGCTGACCTGCAGAGTAGAGGGAGAAGGTAGGGGTGACATGCCCAAGACCCCAGGGCTTCCCCCTCAATTGCTCCTTTCCTAAGGCCCCACAGAGGCTAACTGCTCCATCTGCTTACCTTCCCTCCGCCGGACAGGTTTACCCCCATTACACCTGTTGACAGCCCCCCACTCTCCTTCCTAGCATTTTTCTCCTTTGCAATGTCTTTCCGTGACTCTTCATATAAGGTGTGCCTCCCTCATTAGATTTTGAGCAGTGTAGAGGCAGAGCAGTCATCTATCTTATTCATTGCTGTGTCCCTGACACCCAACACAGGACCTGGAATATAGTAGGTGCTCAACAAATACCTACTACTGGAATGAATGAAGCGACTCCTCTATCTTTCAGATGATAAAAATAGTCCAGAAAAGAAAGTTCTAGAGGTCAGTCCCCCAAGATTACACCCCGGATTGTGTTCACAGCACCCAGCAGTGATATGCATTGCTGGCCTAAAGCAGGGCAGGCCAGGCATTCACTTTATAATGGTTCTGCAGAGAAAAACAAAGCGGACAATAGAGATCCAGGCCTCATTTTCTCAGGCAAAGTGATTCCTACCATGAATTTGAAATGAGGGGTGAGATTCCCAAAAGGTAGAGACATTGTCACCCACACCCTCAAAGTAGGAACTGCCAAAGGGCTCTTTAAAAAGCAAATTTCTAGAGGGACAGCTTAAACATCCATTGGAGCTTAGGCCAGAGGATCTTAAAAAGGCTTAAACTTTACCCCAGAAATCCTGCCATTTGAAGGAAGATTTTTGAACAGGTAAACAAATTCATCACCATGTCCTAGATAAAAATTGGAGAATTGGAACTCTCCTGTAAGTCCAACAAGAGAAATTTATCTACATTAATTTACCTGTGTAAGGATGAAAAACTAGAGGTGAAATTGACTTATCTCCCTCTGGCTTCCAGCATGCTCAGAGCCAATTTAGAAATTAATCAGTGATCTCCACATTACCACATGTGTTGGCTCATTTTTTTCCCTGAACCATTTTATCCACTTTTACCTTGAGTACTTTGAGCATGCATTTCTTAAGAACAAAGACATTTTCCCATAACCAAATTACATTTATCAAGTTCAGGAAATTGAACATTGATACAATATTATTATCTAATCTACAGTGGGTGTTCAGACTTCAATTGTCACAATAATGTATTTTTTTAATTGTGGTTTTAAAAAAGCACATAAAATTTACCATTTTAACTATTTATTCTTATTTATTTGAGGACAAGTTCTCACTATGTTGCCCAGGCCTAGAACTCATAGACGCAAGGGATCCTCCTACTTCAGCCTATCAGATAGCTGGGACTACAGGAAAGAGCAACCATCTTAACTATTTCTAAGTGCAGAGTTCAGTAGTGTTAAGTACATTTATTTTGTGCCAATGTCTTTTATAGCAATTGTTTACCTCCATCCAGAATTACACATTGCATTGTTATCTTGTCTTTTTTATTTATTTTAATCTAGAGCAATTCTCCAGCCTTCCTTTGTCAATGACTTTCATGACATAGATGTCAGGAATCTAGGTCAACTGTATTTTTACATTTTTGTTACGTGCTTTTTTTTTTTCTTTTTTTTTTGAGACAGAATTTCGCTCTTGTTGTCCAGGCTGGAGTGCAATGGTGTGATCTCGGCTCACTGCAACCTCCACCTCCCGGGTGCAAGCGATTCTCCTGCCTCAGCCTCCGGAGTAGGTGGGATTACAGACATGCGCCCCCACGACTGGGTAATTTTTGTACTTTTAGTAGAGACGGGGTTTCGCCATGTTGGCTAGGCTGGTCTCGAACTCCTGACCTCAGGTGATCTGCCGGCCTCGGCCTCCCAAAGTACTGGGATTACAGGCATGTGCCACTATGCCCGGCCCAGTTTTTTTTTTTTAACCTGAAAATGTTCATAGTATTTTCTTCTAGTTTTTGTTAGAGGATCTAGCACTTGTCCCTTCTGTTAAAATGCCATTGGGCAACATGGGAGATCGTTGCTGCCATGGAAATGTTCTGCGTCTTGACTGTATCAATGTCAATATCCTGGTGATGACACTGTGGGATCTGTGCATCGAGGGAAACCGGGTAAAGGCCACAAGGAATGTCTCTGTATCATTTCTTAAAACTGTATGTGAGTCTACAATGATCTCAAAATTAAAAGTTTAATTTAAAAAAAAATGCCCTTTGGCATTTCAGAGTGTGAAGGGTTAGACCTTTCTCCTAGGGAAAACCTGGCCCCTTGGTGAAACTCCCAGCAGGAATCCTCCCTGCCTGAGAAACTACTTCTTAATGAACTCCTTTCACTTGCAGGCGCGGGGGAGGGGAGAGGGAGTGAGGACTTTCGTTGCCCTCCACAGGGACATTTTAAAGTGAATGAAGGGAGTAGGGTCCCTCATTAAGGCTGAAATGGGGGCAGGAGGTTCTCTAGAAGAGAGTCCTGGCTCCGGCCTGCATTTCCTGCTGCAAAGTTATCACATTAACAGTAATCACTGCTCCTTCCTTCCTCTAAGAGTGGATTGTGAAGGAGAAAATTGGAAAGACTTTTTTTATCTATTGCCTTTGTTAGTTACAAAGTTCTTAATGAGAAAGAAAAGTCAGAGAGTTCTAAATAGGCAACCACAAGGATTAGTTATGAGCATTTAATTCTTGCTCCATAGAATATTATGCAGCATTTTTGGACGATGTTTAGGTAGCATTTTATCATTGAAGCCAAAAATGAGATTTGAGATTTGGAGGCTAATTTAGAGGACTTGGATGTCTCCTCTTTGGGATGTAGGGGATGTGGGTTGGAAGGCGGGCAGGGCCTGGACCCGGAGCCTCATCAGGGAACTGCACCAGGTGCCTGTTCAGGCAGAAATGCTAATTTCTGGGTGTTTTCAGAGAGATGGTTCATGGGTAATGGTTTAGTTTCTGCTTACCTTGAAAATTCATCCGTCCTTGTGATATTAAAAAAATATATTGATACATAATATTTGTACATAGTTATGGGGTATATGTGATATTTTGTTGCTTTCATAGAATGTGTAATAATCAAGTCAGGGAATTTAGGGTATCCTTCACCTGAAGTATTTGTCATTTCTTTTCTTCCTTTTTTTTTTTTAATTGAAATGGAGTCTCACTCTGTCACCCAAGCTGGAGTGCAGTGGCGCAATCTCAGCTCACTGCAACCTCTGCCTCCCGGGTTCAAGCAATTCTCCTGCCTCAGCCTCCTGAGTAGCTGGGATTACAGGTGCCTACCAGCAAGCCTGGCTAATTTTTGTATTTTTAGTAAGGACAGTGTTTCACCATGTTGATCAGGCTGGTCTCCAACTCCTGACCTTGTGATCTGCCTGCCTCAGCCTCCCAAAGTGCTGGGATTGCAGGCATGAGCCTCCTCGGCCGGCCTTTTTTTTTTTTTTTTTTTTTTTTTTTTTTTTTTTTGAGATAGAGTTTTGCTCTTATTGCTCAGGCTGGAGTGCAATGGCACAATCTTGGCTCACTGCAACCTCCTTCTCTTGGGTTCAAGCTATTCTCTTGCCTCAACCTCCCAAGTAGCTGGGATTACAGGCACCTGCCACCATGCCCAGCTAATTTTTGTATTTTTAGTAGAGTTGGAGGTTCACCATGTTGGCCAGGCTGGTCTTGAACTCCTGACCTCAAGTGATCCACTTGCCTCGGCCTCCCAAAGTGCTAGGATTACAGATGTGAGCCACCGCCCCCGGCCCTTGTTCATTCATTCTCTCTCTCTCTCTCTGTTTTTTTTTTTTTTTTTTTTTTTTTGAGATGGAGTTTCGCTCTTGTTGCCAAGGCTGGAGTGCAATGGCGTGATCTCAGCTCACCACAACCTCCGCTTCCTGGGTTCAAGCAACTCTTCTGCCTCAGCCTCCTGAGTAACTGGGATTACAGGCATGCACCACCAGGCCCGGCTAATTTTTTGTATTTTTAGTAGAGACGGTGTTTTTCCATATTGGTCAGGCTGGTCTAGAACTCCTGACCTCAGGTGATCTGCCCGCCTTGGCCTCCCAAAGTGCTGGGATTACAGGTGTGAGCCACCGCGCCCAGCCTATTCATTCTTTATAACTACTTTTTGTGGTATCCATTAGACATCCTCATCTCTACCCCATCCCCATGACATTTAGAGCCCAGAAGGACTGAACATAATATTCCTTGCCTTCCTAGAAATTTTTCCTAAAGAAATAATCAGATGTGGAAAAGAATTGTGTACAGGAATGTTTATTGCCATATTCTTTTTATAAGATTGAAAAATTGAAATGATAATAATACCAAGCAGTTACTGAGCTCTTACCATAGTCCAGTTGCTGTGCTAAATGCTTTATAAGCATTGTCTTGTTTCATCTTTCCAAGAAGGTTATATTATCATTTCCATTTTATAAATAAAAACAGAAATAGAAGCACTGAAAGGTTAGTAATTTGCCTGAGACAAAATAATTAGTAAGTGGAGGAGACAGATGTATAAACGACAGCAATAACACATTGTGGTAAACATTAAAATAGAAATAATGGTTCATTCCTGGGTTTCAGCACACACAAAAAAGAAAAAGTAATATGAGCGACAATCAGTAGACAATGCAAAGTATTATTATCATTATACACGGTGTGTATTCAAATGCTTAAAATAAAGTCCTGCACAAAGTGAGCACTTAAAGTGGTTGTTATTATTTGCACTTCAAACTTTAATGTGCCCACAAATCACTTGGGAATCTTGTTAAAATTCAGATCCTGAATCAGCAGGTCTAGTAGACCTGAGATTCGGTATTTATTTTATTTATTCATTTGTTTTTGAGACAAAGTCTCACTCTGTCACCCAAGCTTGTGTGCAGTGGAGTGATCTAAGCTCACTGCAACCTCCACCTCCCAAATTCAAGCGATTCTCCTGCCTCAGCCTGCGGAATAGCTGGGATTGCAGGCATGTGCCACCACACCTGGCTAATTTTTGTATTTTTAGTAGAGACAGGATTTCTCCACGTTGGCCAGGCTGGTCTCGAACTCCCGACCTCAGGTGATCTGCCTGCTTCGGCCTCCCAAAGGGCTGGAATGAGATTCAGCATTTCTTTTTCTTTCTTTCTTTCTTTTTTTTTTTTTTTTGTGAGATATAGTCTCACTCTGTCATCAGGCTAGAGTGTAGTGGCCCGATCTCGGCCCACTGCAACTTCCGCCTCCCGGGTTCAAGCTATTCTCCTACCTCAGCCTCCCTAGTAGCTGGGACTACAGGCGCTTGCCATGACGCCCGGCCAATTTTTGTATTTCTAGTAGAGACGGGGTTTCACCATGTTGGCCAGGATGGTCTCAATCTCTTGACCTTGTGATCCGCCCGCCTCGAGCCTCCCAAAGTGCTGGGATTACAGGCGAGAGCCACCGCACCCAGCCTGAGATTCAGCATTTCTAACAAGCTTCCAGGTAACGCCTGCACTGCTGGTCCAAGGAACCACACGTGGAGTATGAGGGATTATTAAATAACTTGGTGAAATGCGAGAGTCCTGTGTATGTAAAACGAAAACAAATCACACAACCCCAGTGACCTGCGATGTGGAAAAAGACTGGAAAAAGGCCGGGCGCGGTGGCTCACGCCCGTAATCCCAGCACTTTGGGAGGCCGAGGCGGGTGAATCACGAGGTCAGGAGATGGAGACCATCCTGGCTAACACGGTGAAACCCCGTCTCTACTAAAAATACAAAAAATTAGCCAAGCGTGATAGCGGGCACCTGTAGTCCCAGCTACTCGGGAGGCTGAGGCCGGAGAATGGCGTGAACCCGGGAGGCGGAGCTTGCAGTGAGCCGAGATAGCACCACTGCACTCCAGCCTGGGCGACAGAGAGAGACTCCGTCTCAAAAAAAAAAAAAAAGACTGGAAAAGAAGAGTCACCATATTCCTATAGTATTGGGTGTCAGTTTCAAGTGAATTCCTTTCCTTTTCTGTATTTTCTGTCACATGAGCTAATTCCGTTCCACAAATACAGTATTTATCAAGTGACTCAGCACCAGTCACTGTGGAAGCAGAAATGAAAAGAAATCCAGTGGTTTTCTCCAGGATGTTAAAAACAAAACAAAACTTAAAACAGGTTCATTTTATTTTTTATACCTAAACAGTTGATTTAACACTTAAAGATATGAAGAAATGTAATGCCCTGATGGGGATCTTCTTTTTTTTTTCCCCCAACTATTTATTTATTTATTTTTGAACAGAGTCTTGCTCTGTCGCTCAGGCTGGAGTGCAGTGGTGGGATTTCGGCTCACTGCAATCTCTGCCTACTGGGTTCAAGCGATTTTCCTGCCTCAGCCTCTAGAGTAGCCGGGATTACAGGCATGAACCACCATGCCCGGCTAATTTTTGTATTTTTAGTAGAACCAGGGTTTCACTATGTTGGCTAGGCTGGTCTTGAACTCCGGACCTCAGGTGATCCACCGGCCTCAGCCTCCCAGAGTGCTAGGATTACAGGCATGCGTCACTGCGCCCAGCCCAGATCTTCTTTTTTAACAAGGTTAAAAATATTTAAAAATAAAAATTCCGGGCCAGGTGCAGTGGCTCACGCCTGTAATGCCAGCACTTTGGGAGGCTGACGCAGGTGGATCACTTGAGGTCAGGAGTATGAGACCAGCCTGGCCAATGCGGTGAAAACCCATCTCTAGTAAGAAGACAAAAGTTGGGCCAGGTGCGGTGGCTCGCGCCTGTAAACCCAGCACTTTGGGAGGCCGAGGCAGGCGGATCACCTGAGGTGGGGAGTTCAAGACCAGCCTGACCAACATGGAGAAACCCGTCTCTACTAAAAGTACAAAATTAGCCGGGGTGGTGGCACATGCCTGTAATCCCAGCTACTTGGGAGGCTGAGACAGGAGAATCACTTGAACCCGGGAGGCGGAGGTTGCAGTGAGCCGAGATCTCGCCATTGCACTCCAGCCTGGACAAAAAGAGCAAAACTCCGTTTCCAAAAAAAAAAAAAAAAGACAAAAGTTAGCTGGGTTTGGTGGTGGCCACCTGCATTCCCAGCTATTCGGGAGGCTGAGGCTGGAGAATCACTAGAACCCGGGAAGCAGAAATTGCAGTGAGCCGAGATTGTGCCACTGCACTCCAGCCTGGGTGACAGAGCCAGAATCTGTCTCAAAAAAAAAAAAAAAAAAAATTCTTGCACGGTGAGTAGGGCCTCTGAGTTCCTGTCTGTTTGTCACCCGAAGGTTTATTCTCTTCCAGGTACTCCAAACTCGGACTGTGTCCTGTACACATTCTCAAAGCACCTCCTACTTTTTGGCATCCCTTAATACTTTCACACACACTTGCGTCTGCCCCCTGGGTCAATTCTGACTTCTCAGAGGCCAGGCACTGCATCTGGTTCATCTGGTTGTGTCACTGTGGAATCCCCACCCCCTATCATGTCATGGTATCTGCCTCACAGCAGACCTTCTTTTTTTTTTATGGAGATGTGGTCTTGCTCTGTCGCCCAGGCTGGAGTGCAGTGGCGCCATCTGGGTTCACTGCAGTCTCGATCTCAAGATCTCAAGTGATCCTCTTGCCTCAGCCTCCGAGTAGCTGGGACCACAGGCATGTGCCACTCAATATTTGTTGAATGAATGTATGAATGATATAATGACTGAAGGGGATGGGCTTGGCCTTTGGGTAGAAGACTTTTTTGTTTTTTCTTTGAGACGGAGTTTCGCTCTTGTTGCCCAGGCTGGAGTGCAATGGCGCGATCTCGGCTTACCGCAACCTATGCCTCCCGGGTTCAGGGAATTCTCCTGCCTCAGCCTCCCGAGTAGCTGAGATTACAGACATGCACCACTACGCCCGGCTAATTTTGTATTTTTAGTAGAGACGGAGTTTCTCCATGTTGAGGCTGGTCTCAAACTCCTGACCTCAAGTGATCCGCCCGCCTCAGCCTCCCAAAGTGCTGGGATTACAGGAGTGAGCCACCGCGCCGGGCCGGGTAGAAGACATTTTGTTTATACTTTTACAGAAGGGATTTTCAGGAAAGGGTAGAGGAGAGGAGGAGGGCTGGTGAGGAAGGCCAGCCAAACCCCCCACATTTCCCTGCTCCAGGTTTCTCGGCATTACCTCTTTACCCTCAAGGCTGGACTTAGGGGCTAGGTGAAGCCCTTAGGCTTGGCGTTCAGTTCCTAGATTCTGGGTAGCATGTCTCTATTTTCTCATGTTTCCAGTGGGGATTAGGGTAATATTCACCTGGGAACTGTGAGGAGCCCCTGGGAAGAGAGGGCATGGGGGTTAGAGTGTTTGAGGGGCTGCAGTGATGATCACGGTCTCAGTAACCTCCCCTCACCCACCTCACCACCACCCTCCCTGCCCCGCACAGTCAAAGCCCTCGCACTATTTTGAGGAAACTTTGGTAAGTCAGTTTCTTCCACTCCAGAAGGTCTCAAAGTGTAGTCCCTGGGTGCTTATTGGAAATGCAAATTCTCAGGCTCCACCCTGGCCTTTCGAATCAGATCCTCTGGGGGCGGGGCCCGGCAATACCAGGTGATGCTGGGGTGATGCTGATGCCCTTCCAAGGTTGAGACCTAGTCTCTACTCTGATGTCAGCTCTCCGAGAGACACTCTGGCCTGCTTTGTTCCCTTCCCTGTCCCCAGTGTCTGGCATCGAGTAGGCTGCCATAAATATCTCTGGAGTGCATAGTAACAGTGATGATGATAATAGCAGCTAGCCATTGATTGAAGACCTCTTGTGTGCCGGTCTCTGCGTTAAACATTTCTGGAGGCTTAACTCATTTAAGGAGCTACCCCAGCCATCATTTTCTCAGATGGTGAAACTGAGGTTCAGAGAGGCCAAGCGCCGTACCCAAAGGTCACTCAGCGGGAGAGCTGGCAGGAAACCTCGCGTCTGCCGGTGCCGGCGCCGCCCCTGCCCCTCCCCGGAGCCCGGCGGCCGCGCGTGTCCGCGGCCCTGCGAGGGCTCCCCGGCTCCGGACAGCCCAGGGCGGCCGGGGGAGGAGTGCGCTGCGACGGCCGTGGCGAAAGTGCGGTTGTGGATGCGCGGAGAGGCCGGCAGCGGTGGCAGCGGCAGCGGAGGAGGAAGCTGAGCAGGGCGGCGGCGGCGGTGGAACCTGCGGGGCTGGGGCGCGCGCCATGGGCCGCCTGCACTGCACTGAGGACCCGGTGCCGGAGGCCGTGGGCGGCGACATGCAGCAGCTGAACCAGCTGGGCGCGCAGGTGGGCCCGGCGGCGGGGCGTGGGGCGCGGGGCCCAGGTGATTCCAGGATCCGGGCCTGGGGTGGGGGGGACGTCCGGGGGTGCGCGGGAGTTGGGAGAGACTAGACAGAGCGGCGTCTTGTGGGCGTTTGGGGTGTGTGAGGTGGGTTCGGGGCGAGGCTAAGGTGAGCTGGGGTCTGAGGAGAGTGTGGGGAGCCAAGGGATCTCCGGAGGCCTAAGGGCCACCTGAGGGGTCCGAAAGGCTTTGTGGGGTCTCAGAGATGGGACTACGGGACCTCTGCGGGGTCCTGGGGCCGAGGAGAGCTTTTGGGGTCCTAGAAGAGGGACGGAGGGGAGTCTAGATGAGGCTGAAGGAGTTTGGGGAACTGAAGGAACAGACTAAGGGCGTGGGGAGTTTTGGGGAGCAGTGGGGTCCAAAGGGAGATAGATGTTTGGCAGGGAGGCCGAGGAAGCCTGAGGGGAGTGGGAGGGCCCGAGAATCTGAGGGGGCCCGGGGAAGCTTGGCCTGGGCTGCCGTCTTACATCTCAGTGTGACATGAGTGTCAGTAATAGCCAGGCCCCACTGGGGCTCTGTGGGCCTGAGGGGCTCGATCTGGGACAAGGCTGATGACACCTTCCACCTCCACCCAGTTAAGGAGAGTCACTGGGATTCACATGGAAAGAAACCTTATACACTGTGTACAGTGGGGGTCTTCATCCTCGATGGTAGGGGAGCTAGCAAAGCCTTTTTCTCCCCCTTCAGGCTGCAGGTGCCAACCAAGGCAGTCTTGGAGGCATCCTGCTTCTGTGCTGGTTGGGATGCCTTTTCATACCACCAAGGCTGCTGAAATAGGTGAGAATGACACTTCTCACCCCCACTGGGAAGATACATCTATTTCCCCCGCTAGGTTGTCACTTCCCAGGAGGTAGCGCCCCTCTTCTTTCATCTCCATACCCCCCACAACTTCCCACACAGTAGTGCTGCTTGCGAGATAAAAACCAAACTTAGAACTTGTAACGACAGGAAGGTTCTAAGCTTGAGCTATGCAATAGAAAAATTTGCAAGCCACATTTCTAACTTTGCATTTTGTAGTAGCCACATTTAAAAATTAAATAGAAATGGAAATTAATTTTTTTTTTTTGAGACGTAGTCTCATTCTGTCACCCAGGCTGGAGTGCAGTGGCGCGATCTCGGGTCACTGCAACCTCCGCCTCCCAGGTTCAACCAGTTCTCTGTCTCAGTCTCCCGAGTAACTGGGACTACAGGCACACGCCACCATGCCCAGCTAATTTTTGTATTTTTAGTAGAGATGGGGTTTGACCATGTTGGCCAGGCTGGTCTTGAACACCTGACCTCAGGTGATCTGCCCACCTCAGCCTCCCAGAGTGTTGGGATTACAGGCGTGAGCCACTGTGCCCAGCCCTGAGTTTATCTTATGCAAGCATCCTAGAGTTTATTTACACAAACCTACTGCACCCTAGGATATATGGTATAGCGCATTGCTCCTAGGCTACAAACCTATACAGCATGTGACTGTACTGAATACCATAGGCAACTGGACTATAATGGTAAATATTTGTGTGTTTAGACAAATCTAAATAGAAAAGGTACAGTACAAATACAGTATAAAAGATAAAAAATAGGCCGGGCACGGTGGCTCACACCTACCCTAGGACTTTGGGAGGCCAAGGTGGGCGGATCACAAGGTCAGGAGATCGAGACCATCCTGGCCAACATGATGAAACCCTGTCTCTACTAAAAATACAAAAATTAGCTGGGTGTAGTGGCGGGCACTTGTAGTCCCGGCTACTCTGGAGGCTAAGGCAGGAGAATCGCCTGAACCTGAGAGGTGGAGGTTGCAGTAAGCTGCGATTGCACCACTGCATTCCAGCCTGGGCAATAGAGTGAGACTTCATCTCAAAAAAAAAAAAACAACTTTCTAGTTGGGTACGGTGGCACAGCTACCACAGTAGTCCCAGCTACTTGGGAGGCTGAGACAGGAGGATCACTTGAGCCCAGGATTTCAAGGCTGTAGTGCATGGTGATTCCACCTGTGAATAGCCATTGCACTCCAGCCTGGGCAGCATAGTGAGACCCCCATCCCTAAAAAAAAATTTTTTTTTTTCTGTTTTTGATAAGTTGACCTTAGCCTACTGTCAGTTTTTTTTTGTTTGTTTGTTTGTTTTAGACGGAGTCTTCCTCTGTCACCCAGGCTGGAGTGCAGTGGCGTGATCTTGGCTCACTGCAAACTTCACCTCCTGGGCTCAAGTGATTCTTTTGCCTCAGGCTCCCAAGTAGCTGGGACTACAGGCGTGCACCACCATGCCTGGCTAATTTTTGTATTTTTAGTAGAGACAGCGTTTCACCATGTTGGCCAGGCTGGTCACGAACTCCTGACCTCAAGTGATCTGCCTGCCTCAACCTCCCAAAGTGCTGGGATTACAGGCGTAAGCCATGCACCCTGCCAACTGTAACTTTTTACTTCATGAATGCTTACCTTTTTTTTTTTTTTTTGAGGCAGGGTCTCGCTCTGTCACCCATTGCTCACTGTAGCCTTGATCTCCTGGGTTCAAGCAATCCTTCCACCTCAGCCTCCCAAATAGCTGGGACTATAGGCACGCGCCACCATACCTGGCTAATTTTTGTATTTTTTGTAAAGACAGAGTTTTGCCATGTTGCCCAGGCTGGTTTTGTTAAACTTTTTGGCACTTTTGTAGTAACACATAGCTTAAAACACAAACATGGCTGGGCGCGGATTTCTGTGACAATCACTAGGTAACAGGGGATCTTTTACCTCCATTATAATGTTATGGGACCATCATTTTATATATGGTCCATCATTGATCAAAATGCCATGCATGCTTAAATCCACAATATCAAAATATTTTTCAATATCTTACCCATATACAAATATCAATGACATTTTACTTTTTGGTACAAAGTTTTCTAAATCTGGTGTTTTACACTTACGGCACATCTTAAAGTAGTTTAGCCCTTTTCTTTTTTTTTTTGAGACAGTGTCTGGCCCTGTTGCCCAGGCTGGAGTGCAGTGGCGTGATCTCGGCTCACTGCAAGCTCCGCCTCCCGGGTTCACGCCATTTTCCTGCCTCAGCCTCCCAAGTAGCTGGGACTACAGCTGCCTGCGACCATGCCCGGCTGATTTTTTATATTTTTAATAGAGATGGGGTTTCACCGTGTTAGCCAGGATGGTCTCGATCTCCTGACTTCATGATCTGCCCACCTCGGCCTCCCAAAGTTTTGGGATTACAGGTGTGAGCCACCGCATCCGGCCAGCCCTTTTCTTTTTAAAGACAGTCTCGCTTTGTTGCCCAGGCTAGAGTGCGGGGATGTGATCTCGGCTCACTGAAACCTCCGCCTACAGGGTTCAAGTGAGTCTCATGCTGCAGCCACTCAAGTAGCTGAGATTACAGGTGTTCACCACCATGCCCATCTAATTTTTTCTTGTATTTTTAGTAGAGATGGGCTTTCGCCATGTTGGTCAGGGTAGTCTCGAACTCCTGACCTCAAGTGATCCACCCACCTTGGCCCCCCAAAGTGCTGGGATTACAGGAGTGAGCCACCACCCCTGGTCAGATTAGCCCTTTTCAAGCGCTTATGTGGCAAGTGGCCACTGGACAATAGGGATCTAAGTGCTTTTATGTATTTTTTTTTTTTTTTTTTTTGATACAGAGCCTTGCTCTGTCACCGAGGCTGGAGTACAGTGGTGCAATCTCGACTCACTGCAAGCTCCACCTCCCGGGTTCACGCCATTCTCCTGCCTCAGCCTTCCGAGTAGCTGGGAGTACAGGCACCCGCCACTACTCCCTGCTAATTTTTTGTATTTTTAGTAGAGATGGGGTTTCACCGCTTTAGTGAGGATGGTCTTTATCTCCTGACCTCGTGATCCGCCCGCCTCAGCCTCCCAAAGTGCTGGGATTACAGGCGTGAGACACCGCGCCCAGCTTATGTATGTTAACTAATTGAGTCCTTGCAATCACTTTTATAGGTAGTTGCTGTTATTATTTTAAATTGAGACAGGGTCTCCCTATGTTGTCTAGGCTTGTCTTGAACTCATGGTCTCTGGTGATCCATCTTGGCCTCCCAAGGTGATGGAATTACAGGCATGAGCCACTGCACCCAGCCACTTATTATTATTCACATTTTACAGACGAAGAAACTGAATCACAGAGCAGTGAAATGAACATAGCTATTATACGATATTAATATATTGAGCATGCACCATGTGGCCAGGCACCATTTTAAATGTATGCATAACAACTCTAAAAGGAAGGCACTATTATTATTCCCATTTTACAGTTAAGAAAGATGGTTCAGAGAAATAAATTGACCTGTTTAAAGTCATGTAGACAGGAGTTCAAGACTAGCCTAAGCAACGTAGCAAGACTCCATCTCTACAATAAGATAAAAAATTAGCCAGGCATGGTGGCACACACCTGTAGTCCCAGCTACTCCAGAGGCTTAGGTGGGAGGATCACTTGAGTCAGAAATTGGAGGCTGCGGTTAGCTATGATTATGCCACTGCACTCCAGCCCAGAGAACAGACCAGACCCTGTTTCAAATAAATAAGTAAATAAAATCATGCAGAAAGCCAGGCAAGGTGGCTCATGCCTGTAATCAAGCACTTTGGGAGGTAGAGGTAGGGGGATCACTTGAGGCCAGGAGTTCAAGACTAGCCTGAGCAACATAGCAAGACCCCATCTCTAGGAAAACATTTTTTTTCCTTTGAGATAGTCTCAATATTGCCCAGGCTGTAGTGCAATGGCATGATCTTGGCTTACTGCAACCTCCGCCTCCTAGGTTCAAGTGATTCTCCTGCCTCAGCCTCCCAAGTAGCTGGGACTACAGGCGTGCACCACCATGCCCGGCTCATGTTTGTATTCTTAATAGAGATGAGGTTTCACCATGTTGGCTAAGCTGGTCTCCAACTCCTGACCTTGTAACCTGCCCACCTCGGCCTCCCAAAGTGTTGGGATTATAGGCGTGAGCCACCGTACCTGGCCAAAAGTTTTAAAAATTAGCTGAGAGTGGTGGTATGTGCCTGTAGTTCTAGCTACTTAAGTGGCTGAGGCAGGAGAATCCCTTAAGCCCAGAAGTTTGAGGCTGCAGTGAGCTATGACCATGGCATTG
The DNA here is from genome assembly GCF_000001405.40 of Homo sapiens. Taxonomy (NCBI): domain Eukaryota; kingdom Metazoa; phylum Chordata; class Mammalia; order Primates; family Hominidae; genus Homo; species Homo sapiens. Next base: position 32,738,179 of record NC_000020.11, on the reverse strand, counting down.
CACTCCAGCCTGGGTCAGAAAATGCGACCCTGTCTCAAGAAAATAAATAAATAATGTCAGGCAGCCAGGAAGTGATGGAGCCAGGAATTTAGGATCACGTGTTTGGCTTCAAAGCCTATGGTGGTAGCTTAGCTTTTACTTGTTAATGTATCAGTGTTCTCTGGAAGATATCCATTTGGAGAATAAAAAAAGATTCTGCTACTAACAAAGTTTTTTTCTTTTTTTTTTTTTTAAGATACTGGATTGTATGATCTGTAAAATTACCTCCAGCTTGGTATTCGTAGAAAATACAAACCACTTCCTTTGAGATCAGCACTTGACTCATTTTCTTTTTTTTTTTTTAAGACAGGACCTCACTCTGTTGCCAAGGCTGGAGAGCAGTGTTACAATAATGGCTCACTGCAGTCTTGAACTCCTGGGCTCAAGGAGTCCTCCTGCCTCAGCCTCTTGAGTAGCTGGAACCACAGGCATGTGCCACCACACCAGGCTAATTTTTTATTTTTTAATTTTTTTTATAGCAACACGGTCACTGTTTGTTGCCTAGGTTGGTCTGGGCCTCCTGGCCTTAAGGGATCCTCCCACCTCAGCCTCCCAAAGTGCTGGGATTATAGGTGTGAGCCATTACACCCAGAGTTGACTCATTTTCTTTTCTTTCTTTCGTTTTTTTAAATTTGAGACAGGGTCTCATTCTATCACCCAGGCTGGAGTGCAGCCTCGACCTCCCAGGCTCAAGTGATCCTCCTACCTCAGCCTTTCTAGTAGCTGGGACTATAGGCATGTACCACCGTGCCTGGCTTATCTTTTTTTTTTGAGACGGAGTCTTGCTCTGTTGCCCAGGCTGGAGTGCAATGGCACGATCTCGGCTCACTGCAACCTCTGTCTCCCAGGTTCAAGCAATTCTCCTGCCTCAGCCTCCCGAGTAGCTGAGATTACAGGTGCCCTCCCTCACACCCAGCTAAACTTTATATATATGTATATGTATATATTTCTTTTTTTTTGAGATGGAGTCTCGCTCTGTCACCCAGGCTGGAATGCAGTGGCGCGATCTCGGCTCACTGCAAGCTCTGCCTCCTGGGTTCACACCATTCTCCTGCCTCAGCCTCCAGAGTGGCTGGGACTACAGGTGCCCGCCACTACGCCTGGCTAATTTTTTGTATTTTTAGTAGAGACGGGGTTTCACCATGTTGGTCAGGCTACTCTCGAACTCCTGACCTTAGGTGATCCACCTGCCTCAGCCTCCTAAAGTGCTGGGATTATAGGCATGAGCCATGGTGCCCAGCTCTGGCTAATTTTTGTAATTTTTGAAGAAATGGGGTTGTGCCATGTTGCCCAGGCTGGTCTAGAACTTCGGGCTCAAGTGATATACCCACTGTGGCTTCCCAAATTGCTGGGATTACAGGTGTGAGCCATCACCCCCAGGAACTGACTCATTTTCTAACCTTGAAACATACTGTAAACCTTTACCTTTATTGGTTTTTTTTGTTGTTGTTGTTTGTTTGTTTGTTTGTTTGAGTCAGAGTCTCGCTGTATCACCCAGGCTGAAGTGCAGTGGCATGATCTCAGCTCACTGCAACCTCTGCCTCCTGGGTTCAAGCGATTCTCCTGCCTCAGGCTCCTGAGTAGCTGGGATTACAGGCATGTGCCACCATGCCTGGCTAATTTTTTGTATTTTTAGTAGAGACGGGGTTTCACCGTGTTAGCCAGGATGGTCTCAATCGCCTGACCTTGTGATCCGCCGGCCTCAGCCTCCCAAAGTGCTGGGATTACAGGTGTGAGCCACCAGGCCCAGCTACCTTTATTGTTAATACAGAAACCTTAAACCTTTCTCCTAATAAGCAACTTACCTGAGTCGTTTGGCCCATTTCTCTGTCTTTTGTTGGATAATCAGACTTCTCCAAGTACCCACTCTGTTAGCTGAATTTATTTTGAATTCTAAGGTGTAGGCCTCAAGTAGTAAAACGAATCATTGTGTGAACCTTGTCTTTAACATTTATTGCTCGTTCGGTGGGTGTTTACCTGAATGCCTACATAAACCAAATAGCCACTAAACCTGGTAGGACTTAGGAATATTTGATGGTCAAGGCCTTTTGTCCTGGGGAAGTTGTGATCTTCTACAGCAGGTCATAAAATGAAGAAGCAGATAGTACCAAATTGCACATAGATGTGCCCTTTGATGCCCGTGGCCAGTCCCAGGCAATGTGGAGTCTGAGAATAGGCAGGATTTTAAGTTAATCATTTTAGAATGAGAGTAAACTCAGAAAAATATAAAGGATAATACAAGCAAGTGGCCCACAGTCCTCTTACCAAGCTGGAAATGAAAGTAATAGACAGGAAATTCAAACAGTATACAAAGATATCAAAGTGAAATAAGCTAGGTATGGTACAGCATGTCTGTAATCCCAGAGCAACCCAGGAGGCTGAGGCAGGAGCCTAGGAGTTGGAAGCTGCAGTGAGCTATGATGATCACCCACTGTACTCCAGCCTGAAAGAGTGAGACCCCCATCTCTTAAAAATAAAATGTTTATTTTTCTTATCTCCAGAAATCATTTTAATAGTTTCTTATAGCTGGTCACAGTGGCTCACGCCTGTAATCCAACCACTTTGGGAAGCCGAGGCAGGTGGATCACTTCAGGCCAGCAGTCTAAGACCAGTCTGGCCAACATGGTGAAACCCTGTCTCCACTAAAAATACAAAAATTAGCCGGGCATGGTAGTGCACGCTTATAATCCCAGCTACTCAGGAGGCTGAGGAGGATAATCACTTGTACCCAGGAGGCGGAGGTTGCAGTGAGCCATGATCGCACCACTGCACTCCAGCCTGGGTGACACAGAGAGACTCTGTCTCAAAAAACAAACAAAAAATAGTTTCTTAGTTATTTTTATAGAAATAAAAGTCTTAATTTGCCAGCATATATATGAGTATCCTTTAAAAAAAAATTTTTTTTTTTTGAGTCTCGCGCTGTTGCCCAGGCTGGAGTGCAATGGCGCAATCTTGGCTCACTGCAACCTCTGCCTCCCGGGTTCAAGCAGTTCTCCTGCCTCAGCCTCCCAAGTAGCTGGGATTACAGGTGCTCACCATTATGCCCAGCTAATTTTTTATGTTTTTAGTAGAATGGGGTTTCACCATGTTTGCCAGTCTGGTCTTGAACTCCTGACCAAAGGTGATCCACCTTCCTCAGACTCGCAAAGTGCTAGGATTACAGGCATGAGCCACCGTGCCTGGGCATGTTTTCTTATTTTTATTTTATTTTATTTTTGAGATGGAGTCTCACTGTGTTGCCCAAGCTGGACTGCAATGGTACAATCTTGGCTCACTGCAACCTTTGCCTCCTGGGTTTAAGCCATCCTCCTGCCTCAGCCTCCCGAGTAGCTGGGACTACAGCTACCACCACACCTGGCTAATTTTTGTATTTTTAGTAGACATGGGGTTTCATTATGTTGGCCAGGATGGTCTTGAACTCCTGACCTTAGGTGATCTGCCATCCTCGGCCTCCCGAAGTGCTGGGATTACAGGCGTGAGCCGCTGTGCCTGGCCTTATTTTTATTTTTTAGAGATGAGGTCTTACTATGCTGCCTATGGTGATCTTGAACATCTAGGCTCAAGTGATCCTCCCATTTCTGGCTTTGAATTTTTATATATATATAGAAAATGGTTCATTCTGTATATATTTTTTCTTCATCTTGCTGGGGTTTTTTTTTGGTTGGTTTTGAGACGGAGTCAAGCTCTGTCACCCAGGCTGGAGTGCAGTGGCATGATCTGGGCTCACTGCAACCTCCACCTCCCGGGTTCAAGCAATTCTCTGCCTCAGCCTCCCGAGTAGCTGGGATTACAGGCGCATGCCACCATGCCCGGCTAATTTTTGTATTTTTAGTAGAGACGGGGTTTCACCATCTTGGCCAGGCTGGTCTTGAACTCCTGACCTTGTGATCCACCCGCCTTGGCCTCCCAAAGTGCTGGGATTACAAGCGTGAGGCACGGCACTTTTTTTTTTTTTTTTTTGTGACGGAGTCTCGCTCTGTTGCCCAGGCTGGAGTGCAGTGGTGTGATCTGGGCTCACCACAAGCTCTGCCTTCCAGGTTCACACCATTCTCCTGCCTCAGCCTCCCCTGTAGCTGGGACTATAGGCGCCCCCTACCACGCTTGGCTAATTTTTTTATTTTTTATTTTTAGTAGAGATGGGGTTTCACCGTAGCCAGGATGGTCTCTGTCTCCTGACCTCATGATCTGCGCGCCTCGGCCTCCCTAAGTATTGGGATTACAGGTGTGAGCCACCGCACCCGGCCTTCTTTTTTTTTTTTGAGAAGGAGTTCCACTCCGCCCAGGCTGGAGTGCAATCGTGCAATCTCGGCTCACTGCAACCTCTGCCTCCCAGGTTCAAGCAATTCTCCTGCCTCAGCCTCCTGAGTAGCTGGGATTATAGACGCACACCACCACGCCTGGCTAATTTTTTTTTTTTTTTTTTTGAGATGGAGTCTTGCCCTGTCGCCCAGGTTGGAGTGCAATGGTGCAATCTCGGCTCACTGCAACCTCCACCTCCCAGGTTCAAGCAATTCTGCCTCAGCCTCCCAAGTAGCTGGGATTATAGGCACGTGCCACCACACTCGGCTAATTTTTTGTTTCTTTAGTCGAGATGGGGTTTCACCATGTTAGCTAGGCTGGTCTCAAACTCCTGACCTCAGGTGATCTGCCCGCCTCGGCCTCCCAAAGTGCTGGGATTACAGGCGTGAGCCACCGCTCCAGGCCATTTTTGAATTTTTAGTAGAGACGGGGTTTGTTTGGCTAAGTTGGCCAGGCTGGTCTCAAACTCCTAACCTCTGGTTATCCCCCCGCCTCAACCTCCCAAAGTGCTGGGATTACAGGCGTGAGCCACCGCGCGTGGCCTGTTTTGTTGTTGTTTTTTAAACTGAGCAATGTATCCTATTTTCTCCCTTCAATACAAATAGATCTACTGCATTCTTTTTTTTTGAGATGGAGTCTTACTCTGTTGCCCAGGCTGGAGTGCAGTGGCACAATCTCAGCTTGCTGTAGCCTCCGCCTCCTGGGTTGAAGTAATTCTGCTGGGATTACAGGCGCCCGCCACCATGCCCAGCTAATTTTTGTATTTTTAGTAGAGACGGGGTTTCGCCATGTTGGCCAGGCTGATCTCAAACTCCTGACCTCAGGTGATCCGCCCGCCTCAGCCACCAAAGTGCTGGGATTACAGATGTGAGCCACCGCGTCCGACCTTCTTTTTTCTTTTTTTTTGAGATGGAATCTCACTCTGTCGCCCAGGCTGGAGTGCAGTGGCGCGATCTCGGCTCACTGCAAGCTCCACCTCCCAGGTTCATGCCATTCTCCTGCCTCAGCCTCCCGAGTAGCTGGGACTACAGGCGCCCACTTCCAAGACCGGCTAATTTTTTTGTATTTTTAGTAGAGGGTTTAGAGACAGGGTTTCACCGTGTTAGCCAGGATGGTCTAGATCTCATGACCTCGTGATCCACCCACCTCCGCCTCCCAAAGTGCTGGGATTACAGGCTTGAGCCATGGTGCCAGGCCTCTTTTTTTCTTTTTAAATTTAAATGTATTATTATGATTTGTAGAGATGGGCTCTCACTATGTTGCCTGAACATAATGCTTGTCTCCTGGGATCAAGCGGTCCTCCTGCCTCAGCCTCCCAAAGTGCTGGCATTACAGGCATGAGCCACTGTGACTTGCCAAAACATTTACTTTTTGGAACATACCTAAAGGATATACTTCATGGAATGGAATTACTAGGTCGAGGGGTATAATCACTTTAAAAATTTGATGCCGGTTGGGTGTGGTTGGTCAAACCTATAATCCCAGTTCTTAGGGAGGGTGAGGCAGGAGGATTGCTTGAGCCCAGGAGTTCCAGATGAGCTGGGGCAACATTGTGAGACCCTGTCTCTACAAAATATAAAAAAATTAGCCCAATGTGGATGTGGTGGCATGTGCCTGTAATCTCAGCTACTCAGCAGACTGAGGTGGGAGGATTGCTTTGAACCCAAGAGGTTGGAGGCTCCAGCGAGCCGTGATTGCGCCACTGCACTCCAGTCTGGGCGACAGAGCCAGACTCTGCCTCAAAAAAATACAAGTTAGATGCACATTGTGAAATTGCCCCTAGAAAGGTCACCCCAGTGTATCCTATTATCAGTCATGCAGGAACCTGTCTGCTTCCTTGTACTTTCACCAGCACTGGTGTCCTAGTCAAACTTTTGGGTTTGCAGATCTGATAAGTGAAAAATAGTATATTCTGGTTTTACTGATTTGCATTTCTCTAGTCTGGAATGACCTTGTGCATCTCTTCCTAAGTTTACTGGGGAGAATCCTTAAGATTTTGAGATGCATGCATAGATAGCCATGGGTGGGTGAGCATTCCAGAGGGAGGCACCTATGCAATTGCAAAGGCAAAGCATTGCGGGGAGTGTTTAGGAAAGATTTATTCAGCAAATACTGTGCACTTACAGTATTTAAGTTGCTGTGAAGCTGCAATGCCATATAAGGAAACTTCTCTTCTAAGACATGTTTGTGTTCCTTATCAGAGTTGAAAATTGTAGGTGGCCCCAGGGAGCCTCAGAAGTTGAGAATCTGGGTAGGTCCCTTTCTTGTTGGGAGTGTCATGGTTTCTTGGCAGGGCTTTGGAGGATAAGGAGGGCTTGGGAAGGGAGAGATAGGGACGAGGGATCAATAACACATTCTTGCACTGTCGCTCAGGCTGGATTGCAGTGGCGCAATCATAGTTTGCTGCAGCCTCAAGCTCCTGGGCTCAAGCAATCCTTCCACCTCAGCCTCCAGAGTAGCTAGAACTACAGGTGCATACCACCATGCTTGACTAATTTATTTTTATTTTTTATTTTTATTTTTTGAGCTAGGATCTTGTTCTGTCACTCAGGCTGGAGTTCAGTGGTGTGATCATGACTCACTGCAGCTTGGAATGCCTGGGCTGAAGCAATCCTCCTGCCTCAGCCTCCTGAGTAGCTAGGACTACAGGAGCATGCCACCTTGCCTGGCTAATTTTTAAATTTTTTTATGCAGATTGCCCAAGCTGGTCTCGAACTCCTGGCCTCAAGCAATCCTCTCACTTTGGCCTCCCAGAGTGCTGGGATTACAGGCATGAGCCACCACACCCAGTTTCGTTTTCTTTTAAAATAGAATACATTTTTGAATAAAATAATACAGAGTCCTGACAGATGTGTAGAGTTTAATGTGTCATAGCAGAAGGGATAGGTGCATTTAACATACTACACATACAACTTTGGGGGTTTTAAGCTGAAGTATCTGCCTATAATCTTTTTCTTTTTTTATATATTGCTTCTAGAAGGTGGATCAAATGGTATAGTGACTCTAATTATGACTCTAACTGTAGCTACCATTTGTTTAGCGTCCAGCCTGGCTCTGTGCTAGAGGCTCTGCATGTGTTACTGTTAGTATTGGAAGCTGTGTATTCTTACCTTTGTTTTCCTCGTGGGGACTGGGACACAGATGCTAAACGGCTTGACCAAATTCACAAGAGTAGTCAACGGAGAACACTGATTGAACTGGGTCTTTTAAACCCTGGCATCCTGGTTTTCCCCACTATGCCATACACAGTGGGCTTTTTGTTGTTGTTGTTGTTGTTGTTGTTTTTTGAAACGGAGTCTCGCTCTGTCACCCAGGCTGGAGTGCAGTGGCATGATCTCCACTCACTGCAACCTCCGCCTCCCAGGTTCAAGCAATTCTTCTGCCTCAGCCTCCTGAGTAGCTAGGATTACAGGCACGCACCACCACGCCTGGCTAATTTTTGTATTCTTAGTAGAGACGGGGTTTCACCATGTTGGTCAGGCTGGTCTTGAACTCCCGACCTCAAATGATCCGCCAACCTCAGCCTCTGAAAGTGCTGGGATTACATGCGTGAGCCACCGCGTCCAGCCCATACACACTGTTCACAGGGAGGGACATGAGAAAGTAATGATCTGTGTCTCAGTCAGCTCAGGCCAGGGAGGGACATGAGAAAGTAATGATCTGTGTCTCAGTCAGCTCAGGCCAGGGAGGGACATGATAAAGTAATGATCTGTGTCTCAGTCAGCTCAGGCTGCCATAACAAAATACCTGGGCAGCTGGTATTTTGTTAAGGCAAAATATCATAGACTGGTTGGCTCCAACAGCAGACATTTCTTTCTTTCTTTTTTTTGAGACAGAGTCTCAATCTGTCGTCCAGGCTGGTGTACAGTGGCATGATCACAGCTCACTGCAACCCCTGCCTCCTGGATTCAAGTGAGTCTCCTGCCACAGCCTCCCAAGTAGCTGGGATTACAAGTACACGCCACCACGCCTGGCTAATTTTTTTTTGTTTTTTGTTTTAGTAGAGACGGGGTTTCACTATGCTGGCCAGGCTGGTCTCAAACTCCTGACCTCGTGATCCACTCACTTCAGCCTCCCAAAGTGCTGGGATTACAGGTGTGAGCCACTATGCCCAGCCCAGACATTTATTTCTAACAGTTCTGCTTGCTCGGAAGTACAAGATCAAGTGCCAGCCAGTGTGATTCCTGGCTTGTAGATGACTCCCTCCTTCCTTTTTTTTTTTTTTAAGAGGTGGGGTCTTGCTGTGTTGCCCAGGCAGATCTCAAACTCACAGCCTCAAGCAATCCTCCCATCTTGGTCTCCCAAAATGCTGGGATTACAGGCGTGAGCCACTGCACCTGGCCTCTTCCTCTTCTTATAAGGGCCCCAGCCCTAGGCTGGGCACGGTGGGTCATACCTATAATCCCAGCACTTTGGGAGGCTGAGGCAGGTGGATCACTTGAGGTGAGGAGTTCGAGACCAGCCTGGCCAATATGGTGAAACCCGTCTCTACTAAAAATACAAAAATTATCCAGGTGTGGTGGCAGGCACCTGTAATCCCAGCTGCTCGGGAGGCTGAGGCAGGAGAATTGCTTGAACTCAGAAGGTGGAGGTTGCAGTGAGCCAACATCACACCACTGCACTCCAGCCTGGGCAACAGAGTGAGACTCCATCTAAAAAAAAAAAAAAAAAAAATCAAAATAAGCGCCCCCAGCCCTATGGGGCTAGCATCTCACTCTTATGACCTCATTTAACCTTTATCATCTAACAGGCCCTGTCTTCAAATATTGTCACAATGGAAGTTAGGGCTTCAATATATGAATTTTGGGGAGACACAAACATTCAGTTCCTAACAACACATTACCAGTAAAGAGAAAAGATTAAGACACACAAAACTGTAAGAGTCTGTTCTAGGTGTATAATAAAGTGTTACAGTTTATTGTTGTCTTACACAAGTAACGAGATGTTTATGGGTGGGGGGAACCCAAGAAAATATGAGGCCAGGTGCATGGCTTATGCCTATAATTCCAGCACTTTGGGAGGCTGACGTGGGTAGATCACTTGAGCCCAGGAGTTTGAGACCATCCTGGGCAACAAAGTGAGACCCTGTCTCTACATTAAAAAAAAAATTAGTCGGGTATGGTGGCATGTGCCTGTAGTCCCAGCTACTCTGGAGGCTGAGGTGGGAGGATTGCTTGAGCCCAGGAGGCAGAGGTTGCAGTGAGCCGAGATTGCATCACTGCATTCCAGCCTGGGTGACAGAGAGACCCTGTCTCAGGGAAAGAAAAAAAAAGAAAAGAAAGAAAATATGGATAGGTAAAACAGAAGAAAATAAAAATCATCCAAAGTGGTAACCGCTTTTAATTTTCTGATGATTTCCCCCTTGTGCGTGCGTGTGTGTGTGTGTGTGTGTGTATGTCTGTCTGTGTGTGTCTGTGTCCTAGAGATATATGTGTGCATCTGAGTGCATATGCTTACAGTCTCTCAATACATGTCTGCTAAGTATCCCAATAAACGTGTTTTTCAGATGATGTAGCGACACAGGTATATTGACACTGGTGGTGGGTATTGTGAACATTTGTAACTATAGGATGATCAGAACAGGCATAACACCTGGCTGTTACTGTTCTTCCCTCTCAAGGCTATGCAGTTGCCTGGGGTGGGGCATGCTGACCCAGTAGTAGAAATTGTACTGATGTTCTGTGTTGTTTTCTTCACAGCAGTTCTCAGCCCTGACAGAGGTGCTTTTCCACTTCCTAACTGAGCCAAAAGAGGTAAATAAAACATTCTGTGTTAGGGAGTGGGTCCGTGCTCCCTGAGATGCTTAGAAAGTGAAGGCCCGGGTTTTCACTGTTCTCTCTCTGCAGGTGGAAAGATTTCTGGCTCAGCTCTCTGAATTTGCCACCACCAATCAGATCAGTCTTGGCTCCCTCAGAAGCATCGTGAAAAGCCTCCTTCTGGTTCCAAATGGTGAGTAACCTCTCTTAGCAGCTGTGGCCAGAGACATTAACTTGAACATTCCTTTAGTCCATGGAGTCATTGAAGCATGCTCCGTGGGCCAAGCCAGAGCGTTTGGTAATGAGCCAGACGTGGGTGGGACTCTGTCTCTGGAGGGAGCCCACGTAACAGGTGAACATAGTATAGTTGAATAGTAGTGTGCTGTGGTGCAGCACAGCTGGAAAGTTCAGTGTGCATCTTGGGTTATGTCCTCAGAATGTCCTCTTGTCCTCTCTATAATAAGGACAGAAATTGAGAATAAGCATTTGGAACCTTTTATAGCAATTTGACAATGTCCCTTGAATCTAATACTTTTTTTTTTTTTTTTTTTGAGACAGAATCTTTCTCTGTCGCCAGGCTGAAGTGCAGTGGTGCAATCTTAGCTCACTGTAACCTCTGCCATCCGAGTTCAAGTGATTCTCCTACTCAGCTTCCCGAGTAGCTGGGATTACAGGCACGCACCACCACGCCCAGCTAATTTTTTTATTTTTAGTAGAGACCATGTTGGCCAAGATGGTCATGATCCCTTGACCTCATGATCTGTCTGCCTCAGCCTCCCATAGTGCTGGGATTACAGGCGTGAGCCACCGTACCCGGCCTGAATCTAATAATTTTTTTAAATGGAGCATTTTTTTTTTTTTGACAGGGTCTTGCTCTGTTGCCCAAGCTGGAATACAGTGGTGCAATCATAGCACACTTCAGCCTCAAACTCCTAGGCTCAAGTGATCCTCCCGCCTCAACCCCCAAGTAGCTGGGACCACAGGTGTGCACCACCCTGCCTGGCTAATGTTTTTTGTGTGTAGAGATAGAGTCTCTCTATGTTACCCAGGCTAGTCTCAAACTCCTAGCTCAAGCTGTCCTCCTGCCTTGGCCTCCCAAAGTGCTAGGATTACAGGTATAAGCCACCATGCCCAGGTTCAGTTCAAGTGTATTAGAAGTTGGGGGTTTAATTTGTTTGCTTCTGTTCAGCACTTTCCTATATCTTAGTGAAGGTTCTTTCCTTTGCCCTGTATTGTGCTCCTGAGGTTCTGGGGGCTTGAACCAGAATATTCCAGAGATTTTCAACTGAAATTTTCTGAGCCTCGTGTTTTTGTGATTCTTGCCTTCTTTGCTGTCATGACTTGATAAGAATTTGAGGGTTTTTTTGTTTTGTTTTGCTTTTGAGACAGAGTTTCAATCTTTTTGCCCAGGCTGGAGTGCAATGGCGTGGTCTTGGCTCACCGCAACCTCCACTTCCTGGGTTCAAGTGATTCTCCTGCCTCAGCCTCCCAAGTAACTGGGATTACAAGTGCCCGCCACCACACCCAGCTAATTTTTTGTATTTTTAGTAGAGACAGGGTTTCACCATGTTGGACAGGCTGGTCTCAAACTCCTGACCTTAGGTGATCCACCCACCTCAGTCTCCCAAAGTGTTAGGATTACAGGAGTGAGTCCCTGTGCCTGGGCTTGAAGTCTTTTGTTTGTTTTTTTGAGACGGAGTCTCGCTCTGTCACCTAGGCTGGAGTGCAGTGCAGAATCTTGGCTCACTGCAACCTCTGCCTCCCAGGTTCAAGTGATTCTCCTGCCTCAGCCTCCCGAGTAGCTGGGATTACAGGCACAGGCAAGCGCCACCATGCCCAGCTAATTTTTGAATTTTTAGTAGAGATGGGGTTTCACTGTTTTGGCCAGGCTGGTGGTCTTGAACTCCTGACCTCGTGATCCACCCGCCTTGGCTCCCCAAAGTGCTGGATTACAGACATGAGCCACTGTACTCAGCCAAAGTCTTTTTATATAGGAATACTTTTTTTTTTTTTTTTTTTTTTTGAGACAGGCTTTTGCTCTGTTGCCCACACTGGAGTGCAGTGGCATGATCTCAGCTTACTGCAACCTCCGCCTCCCGGGCTTAAGTGATCCTCCCGTATCAGCCTCCGGAGTAGCTGGGACTACAGACATGCACCACCATGCCTGGCTATTTTTTGTATTATTATTATTATTATTTGTAGAGATGGGGTTTTGCCATGCTGGCCAGGCTGGTTTCAAATTCCCGAGCTCAAGCGATCTGCCCGCCTCAGCCTCCCAGAGTGTTAGGATTACAGGTGTGAGCCATTTCACCAGCAGGAATAAATTTTCATTTTAAACTTTCAAAAACAGTACAGAGCGGCCAGGTGTGGTGGCTCACGCCTGTAATCCCAGCACTTTGGGAGGCCAAGATGGGCGGATCACGAGGTCAGGAGATCGAGACCATCCTGGCTAACACGGTGAAACCCTGTCTCTACTAAAAATACAAAAAATTAGCCGGGTGTGGTGGCTGGCACCTGTAGTCTCAGCTACTCAGGAGGCTGAGGCAGGAGAATGGCGTGATCCCGGGAGGCGGAGTTTGCAGTGAGCTGAGACCGTGCCACTGCACTCCAGCCTGGGCGACGGAGCAACACTCCGTCTCAAAAAAAAAAAAAAACAAAACACAGTATAGAGCTATAGAGAGTCAAAAGTAAAAATCCTCTTTTACTCTCCTCCTACTTTTGTCCCTAGAGATAATCACAATATAATTTTGGACTATGGCCTTTTATATTTTTATGTACACTAATGAACATATTCATGTAGCTTTGTTTTTCATAAATGGTAGCAAACCATAAAAAGTGTCCTGGAACTCACATTTTTTCATCATACCTGGTATATCATGGAGCTCTTTCCACATCACCTTCATTCTTTAGATGGATATAATATCCCATAGACTGAATATATCTCCTTTTAGTTAATCTATATCCTGTTGTTGGATATTTCTGTTGTTCCCATATCTCACCCTTACAAACAATGCCACAGTGAACATCCTTACAACCTCTTCTTACTCACAAATGTGAGTATTTTGAGACCAGCCTGACCAACATGGTGCCTAAAGTGCAGAACCACAAGTCTTTTTTTTTTTTTTTTTTTTTTTAAATTTATTTTTTTATTGATAATTCTTGGGTGTTTCTCACAGAGGGGGATTTGGCAGGGTCATGGGACAATAGTGGAGGGAAGGTCAGCAGATAAACAAGTGAACAAAGGTCTCTGGTTTTCCTAGGCAGAGGACCCTGCGGCCTTCCGCAGTGTTTGTGTCCCTGATTACTTGAGATTAGGGATTGGTGATGACTCTTAACGAGCATGCTGCCTTCAAGCATCTGTTTAACAAAGCACATCTTGCACCGCCCTTAATCCATTTAACCCTGAGTGGACACAGCACATGTTTCAGAGAGCACAGGGTTGGGGGTAAGGTCACAGATCAACAGGATCCCAAGGCAGAGGAATTTTTCTTAGTGCAGAACAAAATGAAAAGTCTCCCATGTCTACTTCTTTCTACACAGACACGGCAACCATCCGATTTCTCAATCTTTTCCCCACCTTTCCCGCCTTTCTATTCCACAAAGCCGCCATTGTCATCCTGGCCCGTTCTCAATGAGCTGTTGGGCACACCTCCCAGACGGGGTGGTGGCCGGGCAGAGGGGCTCCTCACTTCCCAGTAGGGGCGGCCGGGCAGAGGCGCCCCTCACCTCCTGGGCGGGGCGGCTGGCCGGGCGGGGGGCTGACCCCCCCACCTCCCTCCCGGACGGGGCGGCTGGCCGGTCGGGGGGCTGACCCCCCACCTCCCTCCCGGACGGGGCGGCTGGCCAGGCAGAGGGGCTCCTCACTTCCCAGTAGGGGCGGCCGGGCAGAGGCGCCCCTCACCTCCCGGACCGGGCGGCTGGCCGGGCGGGGGGCTGACCCCCCCACCTCCCTCCTGGATGGCACGGCTGGCCGGGCGGGGGGCTGACCCCCCACCTCCCTCCCGGATGGGGCGGCTGGCCGGGCGGGGGGCTGACCCCCCCTCACCTCCCTCCCGGACAGGGTGGCTGCCGGGCGGAGATGCTCCTCACTTCCCAGATGGGGTGGCTGCTGGGCGGAGAGGCTCCTCACTTCTCAGACGGGGCAGCTGCCGGGCGGAGGGGCTCCTCACTTCTCAGACGGGGTGGTTGCCAGGCAGAGGGTCTCCTCACTTCTCAGACGGGGCGGCCGGGCAGAGACGCTCCTCACCTCCCAGACGGGGTCTCGGCCGGGCAGAGGCGCTCCTCACATCCCAGATGGGGCGGTGGGGCAGAGGCGCTCCCCACATCTCAGACGATGGGCGGCCGGGCAGAGACGCTCCTCACTTCCTAGATGTGATGGCGGCTGGGAAGAGGCGCTCCTCACTTCCTAGATGGGATGGCGGCCGGGCGGAGACGCTCCTCACTTCCCAGACTGGGCGGCCGGGCAGAGGGGCTCCTCACATCCCAGACGATGGGCGGCCAGGCAGAGACACTCCTCACTTCCCAGACGGGGTGGCGGCCGGGCAGAGGCTGCAATCTCGGCACTTTGGGAGGCCAAGGCAGGCGGCTGGGAGGTGGAGGTTGTAGTGAGCCGAGATCACGCCACTGCACTCCAGCCTGGGCACCATTGAGCACTGAGTGAACCAGACTCCGTCTGCAATCCCGGCACCTCGGGAGGCCGAGGTTGGCGGATCACTCGCGGTTAGGGGCTGGAGACCGGCCCGGCCAACACAGCGAAACCCCGTCTCCACCAAAACCAGTCAGGCGTGGCGGCGCGTGCCTGCAATCGCAGGCACTCGGCAGGCTGAGGCAGGAGAATCAGGCAGGGAGGTTGCAGTGAGCCGAGATGGCAGCAGTACAGTCCAGCTTCGGCTCCGCATGAGAGGGAGACCGTGGGGAGAGGGAGAGGGAGACGGAGACGGAGACGGAGACGGAGAGGGAGGGAGAGGGAGAGGGAGAGGGAGACGGAGAGGGAGAGGGAGAGGGAGAGGATCACAAGTCTTTATTATTATTATTATTATTTATTTATTTATTTATTTATTTATTTTTGAGATGGAGTCTTGCTCTGTCACCCAGGCTGGAGTGCAGTGGCGTGATCTCAGCTCACTGCAAGCTCTGCCTACCAGGTTCACGCCATTCTGCCTCAGCCTCCCGAGTAGCTGGGACTACAGGTGCCCACCACCACGCCCGGCTAATTTTTTGTATTTTTTAGTAGAGATGGGGTTTCACCGTGTTAGCCAGGATGGTCTCGATCTCTTGACCTCGTGATCCACCCGCCTCAGCCTCCCAAAGTGCTGGGATTACAGGTGTGAGCCACTGGGCTCGGCCAAGTCTTTTTTTTTTTTTTCCTGAGTCTCACTCTGTCACCCAGGCTGGAGTGCAGTGGCACGATCTCGGCTCACTGCAACCTCCACCTCCCGGGTTCAAGTGATTCTTCTGACTCAGCCTTCTGGGTAGCTGGGATTGCAGGCGCCCACCACCATGCCTGGCTAATTTTTGTATTTTTAGTAGAGACCAAGTTTCACCATGTTGGCCAGGCTGGTCTTGAACTCCTGACCTCAGGTGATCTGCCGGCCACGCCTCCCACAGCGCTGGGATTACAGGCATGAGCCATCACACCCGGCCAGAACGATAAATCATTATTCTCATTCTCTGGCCTTCATCTTTGGAAATGGGTTTGTCTGAGGGCTGAGACCTGTCTACCAAACACCTGTTATGGGCACTAATTTTCAGGAGACCTCTGTCTAGTGTCCCTGTCCCCAGTCTTCCCTGTCTTCCTCACCCCACCACACTGTATCCTTTTTTTTTTTTTTTTTTTTTTCGAGACAGAGTTTTGCTCTTGTCACCCAGGCTGGAGTACAGGGGCAAGATCTCGGCTCACTGCAAATTCCGTCGACAAGGTTCAAGCAATTCTCCTTCCTCAGCCTCCCGAGTAGCTGGAACTACAGGCATGCACCACCACACCTGGCTAATTTTTTGTAGTTGTATTTTTATTTTTATTATTTATGAGATGGATTCTCACTCTGTTGCCCAGGCTGGAGTGCAGTGACGTGATCTCGGCTCACTGCAACCTCCACCTCCCGGGTTCAAGCGATTCTCCTGCCTCAGCCTCCCAAATAGCTGGGACTACAGATGCATGCCACCACACTCGGCTAATTTTTTTTTTTTTTTGAGACAACGTCTTGCTCTGTCGCCCAGGCTGGAGCGCAGTAGCATGATTTCAGCTCACTGCAAACCTCCATCTCCCGGATTCAAGCAATTCTCCTGCCTTAGCCTCCCGAGTAGCTGGCATTACAGGCACCCACCACCACGCCCGCCTAATTTTTTGTTTGTTTGTTTTTTGTATTTTTAGTAGAGATGATGTTTCTCCATGTTGGTCAGGCTGGTCTCGAACTCCTGACCTCAGGTTATCTGCCTGCCTTGGCCTCCCAAAGTGCTGGGATTACAGGCATGAGCCACTGTGCTCAGCTGATTTTTTTATTTTTAGTAGAGATGGAGTTTTGCCATGTTGGCCAGGCTGGTCTTGAACTTTTGACCCCAAGTGATCCGCCCACCTCAGCCTCCCAAAGTGCTGGGATTACAGGCGTAAGCCGTCCTGCCCAGCAATTTTTTGTACTTTTAGTAGAGATGGGGTTTCACCATGCTGGCCTGGCTGGTCTTGAACTCCTGACCTCAGGTGATCCGCCTGCCTTGGCCTCCCAAAGTCCTGAGATTATAGATGTGAGCCACTGTGCCCGGCCTATTATTTAAAAAATAAATAGAGTCAGGATCTTCCTATGTTGCCCAGGCTGGTCTCCAGCGATCCTGGGCCCAAGCAGTCCTCCTGCCTTGGAGTTTGAAAGTGCTGGGATTACAGGCATGAGCCACCGCACTTGGCCCCCCACTGTATCCTGTTAGATTGCCTTCAGCCTTGAGCTGCAACCCTGTGCTGCCTCAGAAAGCCTTCCCAAATCGCTTGAGTTCACAGTAACCTCCCCTTCCAGCATCTGAGATATGTTTTTTATCTGTAACTATCATTTTGGTCAGTACTAATTTACAGGTTTCTATTGTTCCTGCTGATTTGTTTGTATCTGATGTATCTGTCTCATGGCTCTAATAGATAGTTCCTCAAACTCAGGGGCGAGTCTTGTTCTTTCCTAAGCCATAGTTAGAAGCAAGGTAATGGCATAAAGCAGGTGCTCAGTACGTGCAGAGCGAATTGAATAGAATTTAGGAGATGCTGTGACCCTCCCAGGGGATGTTGAGTCTGTATTTTCCTTCTTTTTATGTATTTATTTATTTTGGGACAAGGTCCCACCCAGACTGATTCTCATAGCTCACTGCAACCTCCAACTCCAGGGCTTAAGTGATTCTTCTGCTTCAGCCTCCTGAGTAGCTGGGACTACGGTGCACCAACACACCTGGCTAATTTTTGTATTTTTTGTAGAGACGAGGTTTTACCATGTTGCCCTGGCTGGTCTTGATTCTTGGGCTTAAGCGATCTGTCTGCCTTGGCCTCCCAAAATGCTGGGATTACAGGCATGAACCACCATGCCCGGCCTAGTCTATATTTTTCTTTCTTTTTCTTTTTCTGAGACGGAGTTTCACTCTTGTCTCCCAGGCTGGAGTGCAATGGCTCGATCTCGGCTCACTGCAATCTCTGCTTCCCGGGTTCAAGCGATTCTCCTGCCTCAGCCTCCCGAGTAGCTGGGATTACAGGCATGTGCCACCATGCCCGGCTAATTTTTGTATTTTTAGTACAGACGGGGTTTCACCATGTTGGCCAGGCTGGTCTCGAACTCCTGATCTCAATTGATCTGCCCACCTCAGCCTCCCAAAGTGATGGGATTATAGGCGTGAGCCACTGTGCCCGGCGTATAGCAGATCATTTTCTATAGATACAGAGAAAATTGAGGAACTCAGCATACCAGTGAAGAGATGGGCTTTTCAGGCTCACTCTGATTTGAGTTTTGGTCCCATCACTGAATGTAGCCATTTGGTTCTGGACAAATCAGCCTTGTAGAACCTCAGTTTCTTTTCTGAAAAGTAGAATAATAATAGCAGCTTATTGCGGTGTTAGGAATGAAGAGATGAATGCCTGTAAAGTACTTAACACAGTGCTTGCTCAACTGTAACCTTTGTTTTGTTGAGGCTTTTGTTGAGCCAGGGTCTTGCTATGTTGCCCAGGCTGGTCTGGAAGTCCTTGGCTGAAATGATTCTCCTGTCTTAACCTCCCAAGTAGCTGGGATTATAGGCATGTTACTGTGCCAGGCTGTTATGGCCTTTATTTATTGATAGAGCTGCTAGTGTTCAGTCCTATTCCTTTATGTCAAATTATGGGATAAAACTTTTACCTAATAATGAGTATGTGAATGTATGTCTGGGCTAGTTAATGTCCCAAAGCCTCCTAAGTTTTATTATTTTATTATATTTTTTTTTAGATGGAGTTTTGCTCTTGTTGCCCAGTCTGGAGTGCAAAGGTGCCATCTTGGCTCACTGCCAGCTCCGCCTCCCAGGTTCAAGCAATTCTCCTGCCTCAGCCTCCTGAGTAGCTGGGATTACAGGCACCCGCCACCATGCCTGGCTAATTTTTTGTATTTTTATTAGAGACGGGGTTTCACCTTGTTGGCCAGGCTGGTCTCGAACTCCTGACCTCAGGTGATCCACCCCACCTTGGCCTCCCAAAGTGCTGGGATTACAGGTGTGAGCCACTGCTCCCGGCCTTCCTGTCCCCTTCTTATCCTTTGTCCTTGTGCATCCCTTCTTTCTAGTCCCAAAGGCTGCCATCCCAGAACAGTTTCTTAGCCCTACATGCCTAGTTATGGCAGTTACATCTCCACCTCCATTCTCCCATCCAGACTCCAGTTTGCCCTGGAGCACACTTAACTACAGCACAACTTGGATCATCCTGCTTCTCTCAACTGTTTACCTTGCGTAATGAAGTCTGTAGGCCTCAGTTTGGCATTCAAGGCCTTTCCTAATCTAATCTGCAACGTAAGAGCCTCCAGGCCCTCATCAGTGTCCTCTTCCTTTGACCTGGTCCTGCCTGTGCAAGAAGCTCTTATTGTAGAAGTACAGTTTGTTAGAGCTGAAGTGGCCTTAAGAAACCACCAGATCAGTCTTCCTCAAATTGGTGTGTCCAGAGTCAGAAATACTCTCCCCGCAACCCCAGCCTTGGAACCCTGGAGATTCAAGCACACATTGACACATCTCAGGTTCTGAAAAGTCCTACAGTAAAGAAACTTGCTTAACCAGTATCTGTGAAGCACAGTTAATGATGGAACTTTTTGGTTTCTTTTTTTTTTTTTGGCAGGGGGAGAGTCAAGTAAAAGCTTTGTAAAGTACTGATCTTTTTTGGCATTTTATTTTATTTTATTAATGTATTTATTTGAGACAGAGTCTCGCTCTGTCACCCAGGCTGGAGTGCAATGGCACAGTCTCTGCTCACTGCAACCTCCGCCTCCTGAGTTCAAGCGATTCTCCTGTCTCAGCCTCCCAAGTAGCTGGGATTACAGGCCCATGCCGTCACGCCCAGCTGATTTTTTGTATTTTAGTAGAAACGGGGTTTCACTGTGTTGCCCAGGCTGGTCTCGAACTCCTGAGCTCAGGCAGTCCACCCGCCTTGGCCTCTCAAAGTGCTGTGATTACAGGCGTGAGCCACTGCGTCCGGCCCCCCTTTTTTTTTTAGATGGAGTTTCGCTCTGTAGCCCAGGCTGGAGTGCAGTGGCGCAAACTCGGTTCACTGCAAGCTCTGCCTCCCGGGTTCACGCCATTCTCCTGGCTCAACCTCCCGAGTAGCTGGGACCACAGGCGCCCGCCACCACGCCCGGCCAATTTTTTGTATTTTTAGTAGAGACGGGGTTTCACCGTGTTAGCCAGGATGGTCTCGATCTCCTGACCTTGTGATCTGCCCGCCTCAGCCTCCCAAAGTGCTGGGATTACAGGCGTGAGCCACCGCACCCGGCTCCCCTTTTTATTTTATTGATTTTTTTTTTTTTTTGAGAGGCAGTCTCGCTCTGTCGCCGAGGCTCGAGTGCAGTGGCACGATCTCGGCTCGCTGCAACCTCCACCTCCTGGGTTCAAATGATTCTCCTGCCTCAGCTTCCTGAGTAGCTGGGATTACAGGCACACACTACCACGCCAGGCTCTTTTTTTTTTTCTTTTTTGGTCAAGAGGGGGTTTTACCATGTCAGCCAGGGTGGTCTCAAACTCCTGACAAAGTGCTGAGATTACAAGCATGAGCCACTGTACCTGGCCTTTTTTGCCTTTTTTAAAAAATGTTTTTCTTGTACTATTTAGTATGTAATTCTTTGAAACACCTGACTTCAGCCAGGCACAATGACTCATGCCTGTAATCTCAGCACTTTGGGAAGTCAAAGGGGGAGAATCTCTTGAGGCCAGGAGTTGAAGAACAGCCTGGGCAACATAATGAGACACTACCTCTACAAAAAATAAAAAAAATTGGCCAGGTATGGTGGCTCACGCCTGTAATCCCAGCACTTTGGGAGGCTGAGGTGGGCGGATCGCTTGAGGTCAAGAGTTTGAGACCAGCCTGGCCAACATGGCAAAACCCTGTCTCTACTAAAAATACAAAAATGAACTGGGCGTGGTGGCACATGCCTGTAATCCCAGCTACTTGGGAGGATGAGGCATGAAAATCACTTGAACCTGGGAGGCAGATGTTGCAGTGAGCTGGGATTACACCACTGCACTCCAGCCTGGGTGACAGAGTGAGACTCTGTCTTAAAAAAAAAAAAAAAAAAAAAATTAACTGGGCATGGTGGTGCACACCTGTAGTCTCAACTACTTCAGAGGCTGAGACAGGAAGATACCTTGAGCCCAGGAGTCCAGGCTGCAGTGAGCCATGATTACACCACTGCCCTCCAGTTTGCACAACGGAGGAAGACCCTGTCTCTAAAAAACAAACCAAAGAAAATCCTTCAAAAGTTATTAACCCGGGCTGGGCACGGTGGCTCACACCTGTAATCCCAGCACTTTGGGAGGCCGAGGCATGTGGATCACGAGGTCAGGAGATCAAGACCATTCTGGCTGATACGGTGAAACCACATCTCTACTACAAATACAAAAAATTAGTCGAGCATGTTGGTGGGCACCTGTAGTCCCAGCTACATTGGAGGCTGAACCCGGGAGGCGGGGAGCAGAGTTCCTGACACTGCGCTCTGGCCTGGACGACAGAGCTAGAGTCCATATTATGAAAAAAAAAAAAAAGTTACTAACCCATGGCCAGATTGATTCATGTGGACCCCACCCATGGCTCCTTACTGCTCTCTGAACTGGATTACTTTAGTTTAGTTTAGTTTTAGAGATGTGGGGGTCTTGCTTTGTTGCTTGGGCTAGTCTCAAACTCCTGGCCTCAAGCAGTCCTCCCACCTCAGTCTGCTGAGTAGCTGGGATTACAGGTGTGGGCAACATGCCCAGTGCAAACTGGATTATGTTTTGTTTTTTTTGTTTTTGAGACGGAGTCTCACTCTGTCACCCAGGCTGGAGTGCAGTGGCACGATCTTGGCTCACTGCAAGCTCCGCCTCCCGGGTTCACGCCATTCTCCTGCCTCAGCCTCCCAAGTAGCTGGGACTACAGGCGCCTGCCACCACGCCTGGCTAATTTTTTGTATTTTTAGTAGAGACAGGGTTTCACCGTGTTAGCCAGGATGGTCTAGATCTCCTGACCTCGTGATCCGCCCGCCTCGGCCTCCCAAAGTGCTGGGATTACAGGTGTGAGCCACTGCGCCCGGCCCAAACTGGATTATGTTAAAGGCAATATCAGACATACTTTATTCCTGAATACCTAGTTGTCTATCTCTAAAAGAAAAAAAGGAATTTCCCCCTTATCAAACTACAATGCCATTATCATATCTAAAAGGAAAATACAAGGTCAGTATTAATTTCCCCATTGTCTCCTGTATTTTGTTTGTTTGGAATGGGTTCCCATCAGGATCTAGATAGGACTCCAGTCCAGCACGTGGCTGCTGGGTGGCCCTTCTGTGCTTGCTTACTCACCAGGGATTTAACAGCTCTGAGACCCAATGGTACCTGAGAACTAATAGTAGACTCATACTTTTATTATAAGGATAAAGATAATAAATGTAATAAGGTGCTCACTTCACTAAGTGGTAGCACACTGCTGCTAATATTATGATTGTCATTATTATTATGTGTTATCTCCTAGCTGAGATTACAGATAACTTGGCAGTAGGGCCACTATTTAAGCCTGTTTTTAATTAATTTATTAATTTATTTATTTTTGATTAATTTATTTTTTTTGAGACAGAATCTCGCTCTGTCACCCAGGTTGGAGTTCAGTGGCATGATCACAGTTCACTGCAGCCTTGTCTACCTGAGCTCCAGTAAGCCTCCGACCTCAGCCTCCCGAGTAGCTGGGACCACAGGTGGATGCCACCACTCCTGGCTGATTTTTGTATTTTTGGTAGAGACAGGGTTTCGCCATGTTTCCTAGGCTGGTCTTGAACTCCTGAGTTCAAGCAGTCCACCTGCCTCAGCCTCCCAAAGTGCTGAGATATAGGCATGAGCCATCACGCCTGGCCGCCTGTTTTTTTATTTTATTTTATTCTTTTTGTTTGTTTTTTTGAGACTGGGTCCGGCTGTGTTGCCCAGGCTGGAGTGCAGTGGCACAGTCTCTGCTCACTGTATCCTTGACTTCCTGAGCTTCAGTGAGCCTCCCACCTCAGCCTCCCGAGTAGCTGGGACCACAAGTGCATGCCACCACTCCCGGCTAATTTTTGTATTTTTGGTAGAGACAGGGTTTTGCCATGTTTCCTAGGCTGGTCTTGAACTCCTGAGTTCAAGCAGTCCACCTGCCTCAGCCTCCCAGAGTGCTGGGATATAGGCATGAGCCACCTAGCCTGGCTGCCTGTTTTTTTATTATTATTATTATTATTTTTTGAGACTAGGTCTGGCTGTGTTGCCCAGGCTGGAGTGCAGTGGCACAATCTCTGCTTACTGCAGCCTCGATCTCCCCAGGCTCAGCCACCCTGCTTGGTCACCTATTTTTATTTCATTTATTTATTTATTTATTTATTTATTTTTATTTTTATTTTTTTGAGACAGAGTCCCACTCCGTTGCCCAGGCTGGAGTGCAGTGGTGCAGTCTCGGCTCACTGCAACCACTGCCTCCTGGGTTCAAGCGATTCTCCTGCCTCTCAACCTCCTGAGTAGCTGGGATTACAGGCATGCGCACTACACCTGGCTAATTTTTGTTGTTGTTGTTGTTGTTGTTGTTGTTGTTTGAGATGGAGTCTCACTCTGTTGCCCAGGCTGGAGTGCAGTGGTACGATCTCGGCTCACTACAACCTCCACCTCCCAGGTTCAAGCGATTATTCTACCTTAGCCGCCTGAGTAGCTGGGACTACAGCCATGCACCACCGTGCCCGGCTAATTTTTGTATTTTTAGTAGAGACGAGGTTTCACCGTATTGGCCAGGCTGGCCTCGAACTCCTGCCCTCGTGATCTGCCCATCTCAGCCTCCCAAGGTGCTGGGACTACAGGTATGAGCCACCGTGCCTGGCCTTAATTTTTTGTATTATTAGTAGAGACGGGGTTTCACCATATTGGCCAGGCTGGTCTCGAACTCCTGACCTCAGGTGATCCGCTTGCCTCGGCCTCCCAAAGTGCTGGGATTACAACCACCGTGCCCGGCCCTATTTTTATTTTAATACTTAGCAAGATATCTGGCCCCTGTGGGTGATCCGTAACTGATTTTTATTTTATTTTATTTTTTTATGAAAAGGAGGTAACTCCCCTTCCCCACTCCCCAACGAGTTCTTTTTAGCAACATACACACAAAAAAGAATAATCAGCAATGAAATGTAGTCATAAGTGGCATTTAATCAAACATTGAACTAAATTCCCCAGGACCGCCAGCCTCATGCACCACCCTACTATTTTTCTCCATGGCACTTTCCCCCTTCTTTTTTGGGGGTTTTTTTGTTTTTGTTTTTAAGACAGAGTCACACTCTATTGCCCAGGCTGGAGTGCAGTGGCACGATCTCGGCTCACTGCAGCCTCCACCTCCTGGGTTCAAGCGATTCTCCTGCCTCAGCCTCCCAAGTAGCTGCGATTACAGGCGCTCACCACCACGCTCAGCTAATTTTTGTATTTTAGTAGAGATGGGGTTTCACCATGTTGGCCAGGCTGGTCTTGAACTCCTGACCTTGAGATCCACCTGCCTCGGCCTCCCAAAGTGCTAAGATTACAGGCGTGAGCCACCATGCCCAGCCTCCCCCTTCTTATACCCTGTATGGCTTATGTTTTACGTTATTGCTGTGGTCTTTCTCCTGCCAGTAGAATGGAAGCCTCATAAGGGCAGAGATTGTTGTCTGTTCAGTTCATTGATGTTTCCCAGCATCTAGCACAGTGCAGGCACATGGCAGTGCTCAGTAAATGTGCGTGTGTGACTACGGACCTCTGTTCTCTGTGAGCCTCACAGGGTGGCTTCAGCTGGTCAGCCTTCAGGGTCAGTACTGACTGGATGAAAGCAGCTCTCCATCCTCTCCCATCTGCTTCCAGGAGTTTTCACCAAGCCTGTGTCCATTCCTTGGGCTCCCATTTGTACACTGAATAAGAACAATGTTTGCTGTTTTTCCAACCGTCTTGGCAAAACTGAAGTCGTCACCCTCACTTCCCTTTGTTTTGTCCTTCATATTGTTTGACAGCTTTGAGGGTTTGGCTAAGGCAGCAGTTCTGGTGAAAATTGGTGCCTGTTGCCAGGCGCATTGGCGCACGCCTGTAGTCCCAGCACTTTAGGAAGCCGAGGCGGGTGGATCACCTGAGGTCAGGAGTTCACAACCAGCCTGACTAACGTGGTGAAAGCCCATCTCTACTAAATACAAAAAAAAATAGCCAGGCATGGTGGCACATGCCTGTAATCCCAGCTACTTGGGAGGCTGAGACAGGAGAATCTCTTGCACCTGGGAGGCGGAGGTTGCAGTGAGCTGAGATTGCACCATTGTGCTCCAGCCTGGGCAACAAAAGTGAAACTCTGTCTCAAAAAAAAAAAAAAAAGAAATTAAAAAAGAAAGAGGACGGGCACAGTGGCTCACGCCTGTAATCCCAGCACTTTGGGAAGCCAAGGCAGGCGGATCACGAGGTCAGGAGATCGAGACCATCCTGGTCTCTACTAAAAATACAAAAAATTAGCCGGGCATGGTGGTGCGTGCCTATAGTCCCAGCTGCTTGGGAGGGTGAGGCAGGAGAATCACTTGAACCTGGGAGGCAGAGGTTGCAGTGAGCCAAGATTGCACCACTGCATTCCAGTCTGGGGGACAGAGTGAGACTCTGTCTCGAAAAAAAAAAAAAAAAAAGTCTCCGTGTCAAAAAAAAAAAAGGGACCATCTCAAAGTTATCTGTGTTTGAAGAAGGATGTTCTTAAATTTCCCCACGTGTCATGTTCTGCTGACTGCAGCTGTTGGAGTTTACACAATTTTCTTTTTTTTTTTTTTAAAGGTCTGGGGTACATGTGCAGGGTGTGCAGATTTGTTACATAGTATGCCATGGTGGTTTGCTGCACCTGTCAACCCATCACCTAGGTTTTTTTTTTTTTAATTTGAGACGGAATCTTGCTCTGTCACCAGGCTAGAGTGCAGTGGCGCGATCTTGGCTCACTTCAACCTCTGCCTCCTGGGTTCAAGCAATTCTCCTGCCTCAGCCTCCTAAGTAGCTGGGACTACAGATGCATGCCACCATGCCCAGCTAATTTTTATACTTTTTAGTAGATACGGAGTTTCACTACATTGTCCAGGATGGTCTCGATCTCTCTCTTTTTTTTTTTTTTTTTTTTTTTTTGAGACGGAGTCTTGCTCTGTGGCCCAGGCTGGAGTGCAATGGCACGATCTCGGCTCACTGCAACCTCTGCCTCCCGGGTGCAAGCAATTCTCCTGTCTCAGCCTCCTGAGTAGCTGGGATTACAGGCGCCTGCCACCACGCCCGGCTAATTTTTGTATTTTTAGTAGAGATGGGGTTTCATCATGTTGGTCAGGCTGGTCTCGAACTCCTGACCTCATGATCTGCCCACCTCGGACTCCCAAAGTGCTGGGATTACAGGCATGAGCCATCGTGCCCAGCCCTCAGTCTCGATCTCTTGACCTTGTGATCCACCCGCCTCGGCCTCCGAAAGTGCTGGGATTACAGGCACGAGCCACCACGCCCAGCCCATCACCTAAGTATTAAGCCCAGCATGGAATAACTATTTTTCCTAATGCTATCCCTCCCCCCACCCCACCCTCCAAGAGGCCCCACACAATTTTCATTCTGTCTGACATAAGGTCAAATGTTGCAGGTCTGTCTTGTGGCTGGCATTTGCTTAGGACAAAGGAATCACCACAGGAAAAAGCTGAAAAAGAAGTTAAGAGCTTGAGGCCTAGCATGATGCCAATCCATGTTTCAAGTCTGGCCTCTGCCCTCCAGAGGTAACTTCAGGATGGAGAGCTTGCTCTTCCATCCCTGCAGCTTTGTTGACTTCATTGTCAGCAACTGTCAAGGCATTGCCTGATACCGCAGCACCAAGATAGCGTCTGAGAATGACCTGGTGTAGAAAGAACTTGGTGTGGGGACCCTCTGGCCTATAAGCCACTTGGCTCTGTCAGTTGCTGACTGTTGTGGCCTTGTTCCTTTAACTGTTTCCTTTTTTTTTTTTTTTTAAGTAACATTTTTTTTTTTTAGACAGAGTCTCACTCCGTCGTCCAGGCTGGAGTGCAGTGGTGTGATCTCGGCTCACTGCAACCTCTGCCTCCCAGGTTTAAGCGATTCTCCTACCTCAGCCTCCCAAGTAGCTGGGACTACAGGCGTGTGCCACCACGCCCAGCTAATTTTTGTATTTTTAGTGGAGACGGGGTTTCACCACGTTGACCAGGCTGGTCTCAAACTCCTGACCTCAAGTGATCCACCCGCCTCAGCCTCCCAAAGTGCTGGGATTATGGGCGTGAGCCACCACCCCCGGCCAAAGTAACACTTATTTTTATTTATTTATTTTTAGAGATAGAGTCTTGCTCTGTCACCCAGGCTGGAGTGAAGTGGTGCCATCATGGCTCACTGCAGCCTCAAACTTCTGGGCTCAAGCGATCCTCCTATTTTAGCCTCCTGAGCAGCTGGATTACAGGTGTGCACCTCCACACCCAAGTAATTTTTTATTTTTATTTTTGTAGAGGCAGGGTTTTGCTATGATGCCCAGGCTAGTCTCAAATTCCTAGCCTCAAGCAATCCTCTCACCTCAGCTTCCCAAAGTGCTGGGATTATAGGTGCCTTTCCTTTTTTTCTTGACATTATATTATGCAGATTGGTCCATCAACAGCTACTGAGCTACATCTATTTTTTTTTTTTTTTTTTTTGAGATGAGGTCTCACCCTGTTACATAGGCTGGAGTGCAGTGATGCAATTATGGTTCACTGTAGCCTCAACCTCCTGGGCTCAAGCCATCCTCCCACCTCAGCCTCCTGAGTAGCTGGGACCACAGGCCTGTGCCACTATACCTTGCTAATTTTTTTATTTTGTAGAGATGGGGTCTCCCTGTATTGCCCAGACTGGTCTTGAACCCCTGGGCTCAGGTATCCTCCCACCTCAGCCTCCCAAAGTGCTGGGATGACAGCACTTGGCCTTACATAATTTTTTTTAAGCCTGGATAGCAATCCATTGTAAGGATTCTTGCATTCAACGTGCTTTTATTGAGTGCCAACCAATAAACTTTGCCAGGCATTTCTCTCAGAGCTTGGGACACAGCAGTAGGCAAAATGAGCCTAGTCTTTGTTCTTATCAAGCTGGTGTTCTAGTGGAAAAATTGATAATAAATATATAACATAAAGTTGGGTAGTTATAAATGCAATGCAGAATATCCCACAGCATTATACGAGTATGAGTAAAGGGCAGTGCTATTTAAATTAGAATGAGGCTGGGATTGGCAGCTCATGCCTGTAATCCCAGCATTTTGAGAGGCCAAGGTGGGAGTATTGCTTGAGTGCGGGAGTTTGAGCTGGCAAGATAGTGAGACTCTATCTCTAGAAAAAAAAATTAAAAATTAGTCAAGCATTGTGGAGCATGCCTGTAGTCCCAGCTACTTAGGAGCCTGAGGTGGGAGGATCCATTAAGCCCAGGAGGTCAAGGCTGTAATGAGCCGTGATTACACCACCGCACTCCAGCCTGGGTGACAGAATGAGATTAAAAAAAAAAAAAAGTAAAAAAAGAAAAAATGTGAAATAGAATGGTCGGGGATCCTTTCTGAGGAGGTAAGAGTCAGGCAGAACCCTGAATGAAGCGAAGGGATGAGCTATGTGCAGAGAACTGCAAGGGCAAATGGCCAGGGGTAGAAAGCTGTCTGGCATATTCTAAAAATAGCACAGTAAGCAAGGGAGAGAGCCTAGGGGTTCTAAGAGGAGGCCAGAGCATGCAGGGTGTTGTACAACCTTTGGATTTTACTGTGAGTGAAATAGGAGATAGTAGAGGGTTTTGAGCAGAAAAAATAGCATGGTCTGACCTGAGGTTTTTGTTTGTTGTTTTTGTCATCGTTTGTTTTTGAGACGGAGTCTCGCTCTGTCGCCCAGGCTTGAGTGCAGTGGCAGATCTCGGCTCACGGCAACCTCCACCTGCCAGGCTCAGATGATTCTCCTGCCTCACCCTCCTGGCTAATTTTGTAACAGGCGCCCAGCCTGTTTTTTTTTTTTTTTGAGACAGAGTTGCTCTGTTGCCAGGCTGTAATGCAGTGGTGCCGTCTCTGCTCACTGCACCCTCAGCCTCCCAAGTAGCTGGGACTACAGGCGCATGCCACCACACCCGGCTAATTTTTGTACTTTTAGTAGAGACGGGGTTTTGCCACGTTGGCCAGGCTGGTCTCGAACTACTGACCTCAAGTGATCCACCCCCTCAGCCTCCCAAAGTGCTGGCATTACAGGCATGAGCCACCGTGCCTGGTCTCTCCATGACCTTTCATCCCTACTATCCACATTGCTAAAGAGCTTCCCCTGTATATCTCAGCGTGCTTTTGGGTGCAGCTTGGTTGGGTGAATTCTTGGCAGTGCAATTCTTGACTATCTGCATTTGCCAAATTTTCTCCCAAAAATGCTTAATGTTTCCTGGTAAACTAAGTTAAAATAATAGCTGGGCATGGTGGCTCATGTCTGTAATCCCAGCACTTTGGGAGGCCAAGGTGGGTGGATTGCTTGAGGTCAGGAGTTTGAGACCAGCCTGGGCAACATGGCAAGACCCTGTCCCTACAAAAATTCAAAAAATTAGCTGGGCATCATGGCACACGCCTGTAGTCCCAGCTATGTGGGAGGCTGAGGTGGGAGGATTGCTTGAGCCCCACCCACCCACCCCGGTGTGGTAGGAGGTGAGCTGAGATTGCCCAACTGCACTCCAGCCTGGGCGATAGAGTGAAACCGTGTCTCACTGTCTCAAAAAAAAAAAAAAAGTTACAATAATAAAGCCCAGTGTTTGGGGATTGTCAAATAAAGCATTGGGTTTGAATTGGATATAAACTAAGACACTGTATTCATGGTAGTTAGGAGTTATTTGGATTGGCTGGGAAGTAGCCACCTTCTCAGAGGGCCTTTATGGCTAAGGTTTCCCGGGGTCTTGCCTTTTTTATTCCGTGTGGCTTCCTTGCTCAGTCTGATTTTGGAGATAAAAGATTTCCTCCCTTTGTTTATATGGTTGATTTTACCGGTACAACAGCCTTTAGGATTGTTTTTCTGGAGTGAGTTGGGGGTGGGGACTTGGGTTTAGGGTATAGGTTCAGGGCCTTCCCTTGATGGTGGTTGGCATCTTCCTATTCTTTAATTAGTCATTTTCTGGTGAACTAAAAAGTGGAAAATTTGAGAGTGGTTGCCAAATTGTGACTGGGGATGTAGCCTGCAGGTTAAACATTGAGAAGCCCAGATTGCTGGCTTTGTTTTCAGGAATTGGAGCCTAGCAAAACAAGGTGACCACCACAGGGAAGTGTTCCTAGGGCTTCTGAGAAGTTTTGACAGCCCCTCTGGAAGTGACTTGTGAATTGTAGAGGTTAGTCTGTTTAGTCCATCTTGGTGTACTGTGTGAAAGCTAACTTCTTAGGACAATGCCATCCAATAGAACTTTCTTTGCAGATGTAAATGGTCTGTAATCTTCAGTGTTCAGTATAATGGTCACTGGCCTTGTGTGACTGTTTGACACAGGAAATAGCTAGTGAGACTGAGGAATGGAATTTTAAATTTTATTTAATTAAAATTTGCATAACCACATGCAATAGTGGCTACATAATGCATTGTGGAGCTCTAGGTGGTTGCCCCCTGTGCCCAACCTGACATTACACTCCCCTGCCTCTTGCTCCAGGAATTCGTATCCTTACTCATTCCTCAGACCAGTTGCTCCATCCCCAAGTCCGTGAAGTCTTTTCTGTTGTCTCTGACTTCTCTCACACTGGTTGGAGGGATAAATAATTGTGTTGTACAATTAAAAAAAAAATATGTGCCAGGCATGGTGGCTCTCACCCCTTTAATCCTAGCACTTTGGGAGGCCAAGGTGAGCAGATCACTTGAGGTCAATAGTTCAAGACCAGCCTGGTCAACATGGTAAAACCCAGTCTCTACTAAAAATACAAAAATTGGTTTGGTGTGGTGGCGCACGCCTGTAGTCCCAGCTGTTCAGGAGGCTGAGGCATGAAAATCACTTGAACCCAGGAGGTGTAGGTTGCAGTGAGCCGAGATCACGCCACTGCACTCCAGCCTGGGCAACAGAGCGAGACTCCGTCTCAAAAAATATATATATATTTTGAGATAAGTATATATATATATATTTTTTTTTTTTGAGACGGAGTCTCGCTCTGTTGCCCAGGCTGGAGTGCAGTGGCGTGATCTCGGCTCACTGCAAGCTCCGCCTCCCGGGTTCACGCCATTCTCCTGCCTCAGCCTCCCGAGTAGCTGGGACTATAGGTGCCTGCCACCATGCCTGGCTAATTTTTTTTTTTTTTTTTGTATTTTTAATAGAGACAGGGTTTCACCATGTTAGCCAGGATGGTCTCGATCTCCTGATGTCGTGATCCACCTGCCTCGGCCTCCCAAAGTGCTGGGATTACAGGCTTGAGCTACCGTGCCCGGCAAAAATAAATATATTTTTTAAATAAAATAAATAAATTGTAAAATGTACTGTCTTTCTTGTTTTCTGGTCATTTCGGATGCTATTTCCCCATGGCTGGATTGAGATCTTGGAGCTGGCCAGTCTTTGGGTGTTCCTTTTGTCCTTTAGGTCACATAGGTTGTGCCCATTAAATACTTATTGCCGACTAATTCACTGGTCTGCCTTTCTAACTGATTTCTCCCCTGCCTCCCAGGTGCTTTGAAGAAGAGTCTCACAGCCAAGCAGGTCCAGGCGGATTTCATAACTCTGGGTAGGTCATTGGCCAGGGTTGCTCAGGGTGACTGGCTTCTGAGGCTTTTTATTATGTTAATATCTCCTTCTGTTCTCTTATAGGTCTTAGTGAGGAGAAAGCCACTTACTTTTCTGAAAAGGTATAATTCCTCTTAATCAAGGTTAATGGCTGATTAAGATCCCTTGCTTTTCTTTCTTTTTTTTTTTTTTGAGATGGAGTCGCATTCTGTCCAGGCTGGAGTGCAGTGGCAGTGTGATCTCGGCTCACCACAACCTCTGCCTCTCGGGTTCAAGTGATTCTTCTGCCTCAGCCTCCCCAGTAGCTGGGACTACAGGCACATGCCACCATGCCCAGCTAATTTTTTGTATTTTTAGTAGAGACGGGGTTTCGCTGTGTTAGCCAGGCTGGTCTCGAACTCCTGACATTGTGATCCACCCACCTTGGCCTCCCAAAGTGCTGGGATTACAGGCATGAGCTACTGTGCTCGACCTCTTTCTTTCTTTCTTTCTTTTTTTTTTTTTTTGAGACAGAGTTTCGCTCTCGTTGCCCAGGCTAGAGTGCAATGGCACAATCTCGGCTCACTGCAACCTCCACCTCCTTGGTTCAAGCAATTCTCCTGCCCCAGCCTTCCAAGTAGCTGGGATTACAGGCATGTGCCACCATGCCTGGCTAATTTTGCATTTTTAGTAGAGACGGGGTTTCACCATGTTGGTCAGGCTGGTCTTGAACTCCCGACCTCAGGTGATCCACCTGCCTCAGCCTCTGAAAGTGCTGGGATTACAGTCGTGAACCACCACCGCCAGCCCCTTGCTTTTATATCATGAAGAGAGAAAACAATGGGAAATGCCAAGTAAGGCCAAACCACCTATCAGTATCATCATTTCCCCAGCCTAAGGTTTTCATCTGGCTTCAAGCGCATGTCATACACACAGCTTTAACCAGCACTATTCAGTGTATCTCTAATCATTTCTCCTGATTTGACCCAGTCAAAAATCTGCCCATTTTCATGGATCAGGAGAGGACTTACTTGTAAAAATATACCTCCTACTGGCCAGGCCCGGTGGCTCACGCCTGTAATCCCAACACTTTGGGAGGCCAAGGCGGGCGGATCACGAGGTCAGGAGATCGAGATCATCCTGCCTAACATGGTGAAACCCCATCTCTACTAAAAATATAAAAAATTAGCTGGGCATGGTGGTGGGCGCCTGTGGTCCCAGCTACTTGGGAGGCTGAGGCAGGAGAGTGGCGTGAACCCAGGAGGTGGAGCTTGCAGCGAGCCAAGATCATGCCACTGCACTCTAGCCTGGGCAACAGAGCGAGACTCCATCTCAAAGAAAAAAAAAAATATATATATATATATATACACACACACATATATATATACATATATATGTATGTATATATATACACATATATATGCCTCCTTTCTCCAATTCACTGCTCTCAGATGTCACTGTGACAAAAATAGAGAAAAATAACAAGTGACTGATTGAGAACTTACCCTGAAGACCCCATCTTGCAATTGTCTAGTAGAAGCCATGTGGGGGCCAGTATGATGGCAGCACTGTTTTTTTTCCAAGATGGATTAAATCTTGGAATGAAAAATACAACATTAATGTTGTGGTCTGCCACTCTGTGCCCTCCTCCATCCCTAGGTATGTGCATATAGACTGAGCCCTTCGTTCTGCACCCTCCCCACTATCTTCTGCACCCTCCCCACTATCTGTGTCAATGCTAAATATTGCAATGTTTAGGGCAGGATGGAGAGGGGGAGATTTTCCTATTGTAATTGACTTTGTCTTTTGCTTTTGTTCCAGTGGAAGCAGAATGCTCCCACCCTTGCTCGATGGGCCATAGGTCAGACTCTGATGATTAACCAGCTCATAGATATGGAGTGGAAATTTGGAGGTAACTAGTTACAACCAGTCCTGGGTTATTTGGGTGGTACAGGGTTGGGGTGCAGAGGCTGTGACACAGCCACTATGGGGAAGGCATGACCTAGTCCCTAGCACTGTTGGGGCAGCAGCTGCTGTTTTGTATTCTGTCCACATTCAGTAGCTGTTTCATGGCTCTGGATAAGTTGACTTTCCAAAAGCACACCTTGCTGCCCTCATACTTGCCCCCACATGGCTTCTGCTGGACAGCTGCAAAACTGGGGTCTTCAGGGTCAGTCCTCAATCAGTCACTTGTTATTTCTCTCTCTCTCTCTCTTTTTTTTTTTTTTTGTCACAGTGACATCTGGGAGCAGCGAATTGGAGAAAGTGGGAAGTATATTTTTACAAGTAAGTCTTCTCCTGATCCTTGAAAATGGGTAGATTTTTGACTTGGTTAAAAATTATATCTACATTGGGTTAAATGGATATTTAAATGGATGTTTTACTGAAGTACCTTATATATCTCAGAGCAGTGTGGCCAGCTAAAGATGTAGTCACTAACATGCCTACTTTTAGATGAATAGATCCTAGTGTTATTCATTGATGCGTGATTGTTCCTGTAATCATGGGAATTGTTAGAATTTTCGGTGGTGGATGATCCAGACTGCTCCTGTATGACTCTCAGGTTGGAAGCTTAATTAAGTCAAAGGGTTTTAAGAATTTCTTTGCCCAGTTGTCATCATTTTAATTTAAATTATTTCTTTTTCTTTCATCAGCTAAAGTTGGTGGTTAAGAAAGGAAATCAAACCGAAAATGTGTATATAGGTGAGTCTGAATTCCCACTTGAGCCTCTTCACCTTTTTTGTGTTCTCTGCAATCAGGGGCTGGTGACGCTCACCACAAATCATGTCTTCTATAAAAACAGTCATTGCCAGCTGTGGAGTAGCTGTTCCACTGCCTTTCCTCTCCTGAAAGATGGCACAAGGAGTGTTAGAAAGCCACTGGCAGGTTGGAGCCCCCACAGTTGAAGAGCCGTTTTGAAAAAGGGAAAGGGTGGGAACGGAATGGCTGGGATTGAAGAAGAAGGTTGACGAGCAAGAAGCTCTTGCCATAGAAGTCACATTGAACATCCCGAATGATACCCTTTCATCTCTTTGTGCCATGGAGCTGTGCCATTTGAACACTCACTCCCCTTTTTTTTCCTTTGGAGCAGAGAACCTTCTGCATTCAAGTCTCTCAGTTCTTTATTATGATCAGTTACCCATCAAGAGCTGCTTAGATGTATTAAGCCAAAAAAGAAAAAAAAAATCCTCCGGGTGGAAATTAATTTTCTTGGATGATTCTGTGGAGTTGGAAACATTTATCTGAAGCTGAATTTTCTCTCCCCAGAATTAACCTTGCCTCAGTTCTACAGCTTCCTGCACGAGATGGAGCGAGTCAGAACCAGCATGGAGTGTTTCTGCTGATTTCTGTCCCTGCATCTCCCCTGGCCCCGTTCCCTGCCCTCCTCCCTTCCCTGGGTGACTGCTCTGAGAGGCACTTCACTCACAGGCCTGTGGGATGCTCCATGGGGCCCTGCTGGCTCCATGGGGCCCAGGTGCAAAGGGTTTCTGAAAAACAGCAGGATTAAGTACTGAAAGAGCCCAACACAATTACCCTGTAAACTCTCTGTTAGGGCAACCACCACCACCTGTCTTCCAGGACACATTTTTAGATACTCTGACAGGCCACTGCATCTCAGATTCAGGGGAGAAAATAAGTTGTCACCTCCCCTTCAAAGTTCCAGAGTAAACAAATGGTGCCATCATTCAAGATAACATGCTGATCACCCTCCTCCCAAAAAGCAAGAGCTTGTTTATGGCTGAGGAATCGGCGGATTGTCTGAATGACACATATACAGAGCCCCCACGGATTTCTGCACACTCTGGGTCTGTGCTGGTGGAACATTGCCAATCAGTTCTTAATGAGGCACCTGTGTGTAAATACATGCTTGGTCTTCTCTGCAGAGAACTGAGGCTAAACTCTGTCCCTACTTCTGGTTTTGCCCTGTCATGTCGTAACGAGGTGGGCCTTTTGAGGCCATTTTAGTTTGAGTTCGAGCCAACCACCTCTGTTGGTTAGATGATGAATAAAAAGGTTCTGAAGAAAAGGTCTGGATCCAGTTGTCTTTCTGCATGGATTAAAGAGTCGTGTACCTTGCAGAGAGCTAGTGCTTGCTCTTGTCTTTAAAAATTATCTTCCTGGTTTTGTGACGATCCTGGGTCTCCAGTGAAATTGGGTCTGTTCCAAAGTTGGAATTTGTAAGAGCAATTCCGGGGAAACTCAGGTTAAAAGCCACAGGAAAAAGCATAACATGTGAAATGCTTTGTGTACAGATGACTTTTCCTGCTCCTCCTCCTCCACTACCCTCCTCCTCAGAATTTTTTTTTTTTTTTTTTGAGACGGAGTCTCACTCTGTCACCCAGGCTGGAGTGCAATGGCGGCATCTCGGCTCCCTGCAGGCTCCGCCTCCCGGGTTCACGCCATTCTCCTGCCTCAGCCTCCTGAGTAGTTGGGACTACAGGCACCCGCCACCACGCCCAGCTAATTTTTTGTATTTTTAGTAGAAAGGGGGTTTCACCATGTTAGCCAGGATGATCTCGATTTCTTGACCTCGTGATCTGCCCGCCTTGGCCTCCCAAAGTGCTGGGATCACAGGCGTGAGCCACCGCGCCTGGCAAATACCTCCTCAGAAATTTTATAAAGTTTTGAATAGCTAAAAGATGCCCATGATTAAAAGGTACAGTGTAAGGTAATAACCCCTCCCCACCACCGTTTCCCAGTTACCCAGTTCTCTTCCCCAGAGGTAGCCACTGTTATTAGTTTATTCTGTGTTCTGAAGACATTAACTGCATTTGCAAACGGATATGCATATAGTTTCACTTTTCTTCCCACACAAATGGTAGCATTATGTACCCACCGTCCTGCACCTTTCTTTTTTCCATTCAACTTGGAAATCGTTCCATATCAGAACACAGAGAACTGCGTCATTCTTGGTAACAAATGCACCGTTTTACTTCAAATGGATGATTTATTTAATCAGTTTCTTGCTGATGGGTGTCTAGGTTGTTCCCATTCTTTTTCTCTTACAAATAATGCCACAACAGAATATCCTTGTATATATGTCGTTTTGCACATATGGAAGTATGTTTATAAGGTAATTACATGGGTATGGAACTGCTGGGTGATAGAATATGTACATTTATCAAAGAGTATAAAAAAGAGTAAAACAAAAGGTTTCTTCTCCCTTGTCTCCCATTTACTTAATTCTCCCACTGGCCTGTTCCAATAGATAACCTCTGTTGTTAGTTTCTTAGGTACCCTTCCACAGGTTTTTATTTTTCCCCACATAGAAACAATAGGGTCAGTCATGGTGGCTCACACCTGTAATCCCAGCATTTTTGGAGGCCGAGGCAGGAGGATTGCTTGAGGCCAGGAGTTTGAAACCAGCCTGGGCAACATGGGGAGACCCTGTCTCTACAAAAAATTTAAAAGTTTGCTGAACGTGGCTGGGCACAGTGGCTCACACCTGTAATCCCAGCACTTTGGCAGGCTGAGGCAGGTGGATCACGAGGTCAGGAGTTCAAGACCAGTCTGGCCAACATGGCGAAACTGCATCTCTACTAAAAATACAAAAATTAGCCAGTTGTAGTGGCAGGCACCTGTAATCCCACCTACTCAGGAGTCTGAGGTAGGAGAATTGCTTGAACCTGGGAGGCAGAAGTTGCAGTGAGCCGATATCGTACCACTGCACTCCAGCCTGGGCAACAGGCAAAACTCCATATCGGGAAAAAAAAAAATAATTGCTGAACTTGATGGTGTATGTCTGTTGTCCCAGCCACTTGAGAGGCTGGGGCAGAAGGATTAGTTGATCCTAGGAGTTAGAGGCTGCAGTGAGCTGTGATCAGTCATACCACTGCACTGCAGCCTGGGCGACAGAGTGAGACCCTGTCTCAAAAAATGAAAAAATAAACAACGTGAATTTTTATTTTTACACCCTTTTTTGTTTACACAGATAATTGCACACTCTACATACTTTTGTTAATACATCTAGGAGATCTTTCCATATCATTTTATAAAGAGTCTGCATCCCCTCCCTGTGGCTGTAGCATATTCAGTTTTGTGGATGGATTGTAACCAGCACGAGCAGTGTTTTTTTGTTGTTGTTGTGGTTTTTGTTGTTTTTTTAGATGGAGTCTCACTCTGTCACCCAGGCTGGAGTGAAGCGGCGCAATCTTGGCTCACTGCAGCCTCTGCCTCTTGGGTTCAGGCGATTCTCCTGCTTCAGTCTTCTGAGTAGCTGGGATTACGGGTGCATGCCAACACACCTGGCTAATTTTTTTGTATTTTTAGTAGAGACGGGGTTTTGCCATGTTGGCCAGGCTGGTCTCGAACTCCTGACCTCAGGTGATCCACCCGCCTTGGCCTCCCAAAGTGCTGGGATTACAGGCATGAGCCACTGCGCCTGGTCCAGTATGAGCAGTTTTGATAAATGGTGCCAGTGTTAATCACAGTTCTCAGAGAACAAAATCAACAGGATGTATGTGTACATATGTATATGTATATGTATTGGGGAGAGAGATTTTTATTTTAAAAGATTGGCTCACATGATTACAGTGACATGGTCAGTCTTCAGAGTAGACCAGCAGGCTGCATATGCAGGAAGAGTTGCAGTTCAAAGGGTATCTACTAGCCAGGCACTGTGGCACACACCTGTACCCCCAGCTTCTTGGGAGGCCAAGGCAGGAGGATCACTTGAGCCCAGGAGTTCAAGACCAGTCTGAGCAATGGCGTGAGACCTTGTCTCTAAAAAAAATAGGAAAATAAAGGCTGTCTGCTATCAGAATTCCTTGCTGGGGAGGAAGGGATAGGATGCCAGGCTTTTTTTTTTTTTTTTTAAGGCTTTAACTGATTGGATGAGGCCCACCCACATTATGGAGAAGAATTTGCTATACAATAGGTCCCCCTGTATCCATGTTTTCATTTTCCCTGGTTTCATTTACTCACAGTCTGAAAATATTAAGTGGAAAATTCCAGAAATAATTTATAAGCTTTCAATTGCCTACCATCCTGAGTAGCATGATGAAATCTCGTGCTGGCCCACTCCATCCTGGACACGAATTCATGTTGTGGTATGGGAATCAATCCTTTCTCCAGGGTACCCATGCTATATATGCTGTTAATCATTTAGTAGCAGGTACTGTTGTCAGATTGAGAAAAACATATGTATAGGGCTCGGGACTATCTGTGGGTTTAGGAATCTGCTAGGGGTCTTGGAACATATCCCACATGGATAAGGGGGGGCTGCTGTACTTAAAAGTCCACTAATTTTTTATTTTTTTGAGATGGAATCCCACTCTGTCGCCCAGGCTGGAGTGCAATGGCACAATCTCAGCTCAATGCAACCTCCGCCTCCCAGGTTCAAGCGATTCTCCTGCCTCAGCCTCCTGAGTAGCTGGGATTACAGGTGTGTACTACCACGCCCGGCTAATTTTTGTATTTTTTTTTTTTTTTTAGTAGAGATGGGGTTTCACCATGTTGGTCAGGCTGGTCTCGAACTCCTGACCTCGTGATCTGCCCACCTCAGCTTCCCAAAGTACTGGGATTACAGGCGTGAGCCATCGCACCTGGCAAAAGTCCACTGATTTAAATGTTAGTGTCGGCCGGGCAAGGTGGCTCACGTCTGTAATCCCAGCCCTTTGGGAGGCTGAGACAGGTGGATCATGAGGTCAGGAGTTCAAGACCAGCCTGGCCAAGATGGTGAAACCCTGTCTCTACTAAAAATGCAAAAATTAGCTGGGCGCTGTGGCAGGTGCCTATATTCCCAGCT
The DNA here is from genome assembly GCF_000001405.40 of Homo sapiens. Lineage (NCBI taxonomy): Eukaryota > Metazoa > Chordata > Mammalia > Primates > Hominidae > Homo > Homo sapiens. Next base: position 32,698,978 of record NC_000020.11, on the reverse strand, counting down.
ACTTGGGAGGCTGAGGCAAGAGAATCTAATTGCTTGAACCCGGGGGGCAGAGGTTGCAGTGAGCCGAGATTGTGCCACTGCACTTCAGCCTGGGTGAGAGTGAGACTCCATCTCAAAAAAAAAAAAAATTTAGTGTCATCCATAAACACCTTCAGAAAAACATCTAGAATAGTGTTCAACCAACTCTCTAAGCACTGTGGTCCAGCCAAGTTGACACAAAATTAATCCTCACAGTGCCAAGTTGATCTCTACCTTCTTTCAATTTCTGCTTCCACCAGCAAGTTTACTGTCCAAAAGTTCCAAAGAGGAACAGATGAGTGCCTTTGAACAGTGTCCAGATATATTCATGAGTTTTCAGAGAGCCTCATGTAGCTTGAGACCATGAGAATCTAATGTATTAATAAAAAGAATTCACAAAAAAGGAAGTAAAAATAAAAAATTAGAAAAAAAAGTTCACAGAAAGTCAGAACGGGAAGGTACCTAAAATACTATCAATTTATTTATTATTATTATTTTTTGAGATGGGGTCTTGCTCTGTTGCCCAGGCTAGAGTGCAGTGGTGTGATCTTCGCTCACTGCAACCTCTGCTTCCTGGGTTTAAGTGATTCTCCTGCCTCAGCCTCCCGAGTAGCTGGGACTACAGGCGCATTCCACCATGCCCGGCTAGATTTGTATTTTTAGTAGAGACAGGGTTTCGCTATATTGGCCAGGCTGGTCTTGAACTCCTGACCTTAGGTGATCTGCCTGCCTCGGCCTCCCAAAGTGCTGGGATTACAGGTGTGAACCACTATGCCCGGCCAATACAATCTGTTTAAAACTCACTCATATTACAGATGGGGAAACTGAGGCCTGGAGACTGAAACTGTGGTCACTGGCCAGGGGTCAGACAGTGCTGTCCTGTGATCCATGGGGTCCTGCTTGATTCAGAAATGGGCTCCTGACACTAGAAGGGCTTCCAGCACGCCAAGCCATCTGGTGCAGGTCCAAGTCCGGGTGCTGTGTAAGAGTTGCACCCAGCTGGCCACCGGACAGATTCTGACCAGGGAGCTCCTTGCCCTGCCCAATTCAGCCGCTGCTGCCCCACCTGGATCACAACATTGGCTTTCTGATGGCCCCCCTGGAGTCTTCAGCCTCACAGCTTCCACAGTCCAGCCCATTTCCTGTGTGACCATTCTTATGCACAAGTCTCATGTCACCCAACAGATCCACTGCTCAGGGTTCTGCCAGGTGTCCAGAGGAAAGTCAGAACTCCTAACTTAGAACACTCAGCCCTGACAACCTGGCCCTGCTGACCTCCTCCAGTGCTCCATCTCCACTGCCTCATGGCAGGCATCCTACTGGAGCATCTAGACTACCAGGCTGCTTACAGCCACCAAGCCATGGTGCCATCTGCCTCTTCTCCCCTTGGGCTCACAGTGCTGCCCCACATTTCTAAAGGCCTCTCCTGATAGTTCTTGGCCATAATAAACACACCTTGGGCCCTCATTCCTCTGCTTCAGGGGTTAGGAGTGCAAGCTCTGAAGTCAGACTGCCTGGGGTTTCTTTTTTCGCTTTGTAGAGAGCGGGGTGGGGGGAGGGGGGGCTGTCTCACTGTATTGCCCAGGCTGGTCTCAAACTCTTTGACTCAAGTGATTCTCCCGCCTCGGGCCTCCCAAAGCATCAAGATTACAGGTGTGAGCCACCACACCCAGCCCTGCTTGGGTTTCAATACTGGCCTTTCTGCTTATTAACTGTGTGACCTTGGGCAAACTCCTTAACATCTGAGAACCTTAGTTTCCCCGTTTGTAACAGGGTTATAATTCTCAGCTCACAAGGTTATTGGGGTAGATCACTTCACACAGAGCATGCTTAACTAACCAGTGAGCTACTTATTATCAAATCGTAATTATTTGTTCCCAGGATTCTCTTTCCCACTAGCCCCTGAGTTTCTTTCTTTCTTTTGTGCGTGTGTGTGTGTGTGTGTGTGTGTGTGTGTTTTGTTTTGTCTTGTTTTTGAGACAGAGTCTTGCTCTCTTGCCCAGACTGGAGTCCAGTGGCACCATCTTGGCTCACTGCAACCCCCACCTCCGGGGTTCAAGCGATTCCTGTGCCTCAGCCACCTAAGTAGCTGGGATTACAGGCACCTGCCACCACACCCAACTAATTTTCATATTTTTAGTAGAGAAGGGTTTTGCCATGTTGGCCAGGCTGTTCTCAAACTCCTGTGCTCAAGCGATCTGCCTGACTCGGCCTCCCAAAGTGCTAGAATTACAGGCGTGAGCCACCATGCCCAGCCCATGAGCTTCGTGATAGGAGACTTGCTTTTCAGCTCAATCACCCCTACAATCAGCATCATTCAGCCCCGCTCCTCCTCCCCAAGCCAGCCTTGGAACAGGTCCTGCCCTTTGTTGAAATGAAATGAGGCTGAGTGTAGAGCCTCCATGGAAGCAATGTTAACAAACCTCCCTGACTTTAGAAGAAGAAATCCAGGCCAGGTGTGGTGGCTCACACCCGTAATCCCTGCACTTTGGGAGGCCGAGGCAGGCGGATCACCTGAGGTCAGGAGTTCGAGACCAGCCTGGCCAACATGGTGAAACCCCATCTCTACTAAAAATACAAAAACTTAGCCAGGTATGGTGGCTCGTGCCTGTAGTCCCAGCTACTCCAGAGGCTGAGACACAAGAATTGCTTGAACCCGGGAGGTGAAGGTTGCAGTGAATTGAGATCCCGCCACTGCACTCCAGCCTGGGCGACAGAGTGAGGCTCTGTCTGAAAAAAAAAAAAAAAAAAAAAAAAAAAAAAAGGCCAGGGAAGTTGTTTTCATTGTGGGTCAGTTTTAACATAGATCACAGATAGCTCCACAGTGTAAGGGGGCCCTCTTCCCAGAGCAGTTGACTATCCTGCTCCATGACTCCACCAACATTCTTGGAGCGCCTCATATGGGCAAAGGCTTTGCTAGGCCCTGGGGGAGGGAGTGATAAGCCCTGAACACAGATAACTGACAAGTTGTTTTTTCTTTTTTTCTTTCTTTCTTTCTTTTTTTTTTTTTTTTGAGACGGAGTCTTGCTCTGTCACCAGGCTGATGTGGCGCGATCTCGGCTCACTGCAACCTCTGACTCCCTGATTCAAGCGATTCTCCTGCCTCAGCCTCCCCAGTAGCTGGGATTACAGGCATGCGTCACACCACACCCAGCTAATTTTTGTATTTTTAGTAGAGGTGGAGTTTCACCGTGTTCGCCAGGATGGTCTCAATCTCCTGACCTCGTGGTCCACCTGCCTGGGCCTCCCAAAGTACTGGGATTACAGGCGTGAGCCACCGCACCTGGCCAGGTTGTTTTTTCTATGTAAGAGTAGATTATATCCTCACTCCCATTTACAATAGTTCAGAGCCCATTATGAACTCCAGAACTACTACAGTTCCTTTGCTGGATTGGAATTTTGTCACGAATATACTCTGTTGAATAAGGGGCATTGATCAGGCTCTGCAGACTGTCAAGGGGGATTTTGCTGCAATGCTGGGGGATTTGGGCAGGATTTTTCTTACTGTTAGCACTGCACCTTTGCATTGATTCACTGTTCTTCCAATTCTGTTTAGAAATCTGCTGTCTGGTAATCTCACTTTTGATTGCAGTTTATTTGCTTTTGGAGTATAGTGTTCATTAGGATGGTAATAGTCTGGCCCAAGAGGAGATGAGCCAGAAATACCTGTATTCTTTCCCTGGAGGGAAGAGGACTGGCTTGGCTGGGATGGGAAGATCAAGTGGGGGGAGGGGGTGTTGATTGTTCAGTTCTTTTTTTTTTTCTTTCATTTTTTCACTTTTTGGCCTATCATTCTTGTTTCCTATAACTGTTCAGTTCTGACACTATTGTTTATTTTTACTATAGTGGCATTAAAAAAAGAACCTGGGGGCCGGGCACGGTGGCTTACGCTTGTAATCCCAGCACTTTGGGAGGCCGAGGCAGGTGGATCACAAGGTCAGGAGATCGAGAGCATCCTGGCTAACACAGGTGAAACCCCGTCTCTACTAAAAATATAAAAAATTAGCCGGGCGTGGTGGCAGGTGCCTGTAGTCCCAGTTACTTGGGAGGCTGAGGCAGGAGAATGGCGTGAACCCAGGAGGCGGAGCTTGCAGTGAGCAGAGATCACACCACTGTGCTGCAGCCTGGGCGACAGAGCTAGACTTCGTCTCAAAAAAAAAAAAAAAAAAAAAAAAGAAGCTGGGCCTGGCACAGTGGCTCACATCTGTAATCTCAGCCCTTTAGGAGGCCAAGGCAGGAGGATCATGTGAGGCCAGGAGTTCCAGACCAGCCTGGTCAACATAGCAAAACCCTGTCTCTACAAAAAACTTAAAAATTAGCCAGGTGTGGTGGCATGTGACTGTAGTCCCAGTTGCTCTGGAGGCTGAAGTGGGAGGATTGCTTGAGCCGGAGTTAGAGGCTGCAGTAAGCCATGATCTGTGCCACTACACTCCAGCCTCATATTTTAAAAATAAAAAAGCTGATGATGTTGTGGAAAGTCCTCAAATAGCCCAAGTGGTCAACTGCTCTCTTGTGGGACCAGCAACCTGACACATGAGCATTTGCCAGAGTGGAAAATGGCCTTTCTGAAAGACAGAACACTCAACAACAAATATTTTTCTAAAGGATACTTGATCTTTTCCAAGTTGCTTTATTTTTTTTTTTTGAGACAGAGTCTCATTCTATTGCCCGGGCTGGAGTGCAGTGGTGTGACCACGACCCACCGCAGCCTCGACCTCCTGGGCTCAGGTAATTCTCCCTGGTAGCTGGGATTACAGGCATGCACCACTATGCCCAGCTAATTTTTTTTTTTTTTTTTGTATTTTTTGTAGAGACAGGTTCTCACTCTGTTGCCAGGGTTGGTCTCAAACTCCTGGGCTCAAGGGATCCTCCTGCCTTGGTCTCCCAAAATGTTGAGATTATAGGCATGAGCCACCACGCCTGGCTGGGGTTTTGTTTTTGTTTTTTTAACATTTGTCACATTTCACAAAGGTATTTCAGAATCTCTGAGAAAAGTGCTATAATGTCTAATGATACTTTATATTTGGACAGCACTTTCGTTTGTTTTTTTTGGCGGGGGGGGTGGGAGAAGTCAAGTAACTTACATATAGTGAAATTTACCCTTCTTGAGTATGCAGTTCAGTGAGTTTTGATAAATGTGTAATGGTAGTGTAATCACTACCACAGTCAAGACATGGACAATTTTCATTACCCCACGAAGTGCCCTCATGTGTGGTTAGAGTCAGCCCTCCCATCAGCACAGTCCTGGCAGCCACTGACCTGGTTTCTGTCCCTACTGTTTTGCCTTTTCCAGAATGTCATTTAAGTGACATCATTCATTATGGAGACTTGTTTTATTTTTTATTTTTTATTTTTTGAGAAGGAGTCTCGCTCTTGTTGCCCAGGCTAGAGTGCAATGCTGTGATTTCGGCTCACTGCAACCTCCGCCTCCCGGGTTCAAGTGATTCTCCTGCCTCAGCCTCCCGAGTAGTTGGGACCACAGGCGTACACCACCATGCCCAGCTAATTTTTTTTTTTTTTTGAGATGGAGTCTCGCCCTGTCACCCAGGCTAGAGTGCAGTGGCATGATCTCGGCTCACTGCAAGCTCCGCCTCCCGGGTTCACGCCATTCCCCTGCCTCAGCCTCCCGAGTATGCCCGGCTAATTTTTGTATTTTTAGTAGAGACGGGGTTTCCCCATGTTGGCCAGGCTAGTCTCAAACTCCTGACCTCAAGTAATCCGCCTGCCTTGGCCTCCCAAAGTGCTGGGATTACAGGTGTGAGCCACCGCGCCCAGCCCATTATGTAGCTTTTTGTGCCCCACTTCTCCCACTTAGCATAATGTTTTTGAGATTCATCTGTATTACTAGTGCATCTGTAGTTCTTTCCTTTTTATGGCTGGGTTGTTTTTTGTTTTTGTTTTTGTTTTGTTTTTGAGATAGGGTCTCACTCTGTTGCCCAGGGTGGAGTGCACTATCGCAGCTCTCCGCAACCTCCACCTCCCAGGCTCAAGATATCCTCCCACCTCAGCCTCCTGAGTAGCTGGAAATACAAGTGTGTGTGCCACCATGCCGGTTAATTTTTTTTTCTTTTTTTTTTTTTTTTTTCAATTTTTGTTGGAAGCACCATGGAGCCGCCTGAGCCTGGCTGAGCCTAAAAGCCCTGTGGTGCATGCCTGGCCAATTTTTGTATTTTTTAGTAGAGACGGGATTTTGCCATGTCGCCCAGGCTGGTCTGGAACTCCTGGTCTCAGGTGATTCTCCTGCTTCGGCCTCCCAAGTAGCTGGGGTTACAGGCATGTGCCACCATGCTCAGCCCTCCCGTCAGCACAGTCCTGGCAGCCACTGGCCTGGTTTCTGTCCCTACTGTTTTGCCTTTTACTGGTCTCCATGCTCACCTAAATTTTTTTGTATTTTTTGTAGAGACAGATTCTCGCAATGTTGCTCAGGCTAGTCTCGAACTCCCGGCTTCAAGCAATCCTCCCACCTCAGTCCTCCAAAGTTCTGGAATTACAGGCATGAATCACTGTGCCAGTGTTGCATTCCAAAGCATGGATACATCACAGTTTTTAAAATGTTTACCAATGTAAATGGCCCGTTTTAATATGAGAATAACTAATGTTGAAGAGAGTGCTACAAAGAGGATCATGGTCGTGATGTGTAGACACAAAAATGAGGTTAGAAGACAGTAAGGTGAGGGCCGGGCACAGTGGCTCATGCTTGTAATCCTAGCACTTTGGGAGGTGCAGGTGGGAGGATTGCTTGAGCCCAGGAGCTGGAGACAAGTCCAGGCAACACAGCGAGTCCCTGCCTTTATAAAAAATTAGAAATTAAAAAAGCCTTGGCGTGGTGGCTCACGCCTGTAATCCCAGCACTTTGGGAGGCCGAGACGGGTGGATCACGAAGTCAGGAGTTCAAGACCAGCTTGGCCAAGATGGTGAAACCCTGTCTCTACTAAAAATAAAAAAAAAAAATTAGCCAGTCGTGGTGGTGGCACCTGTAATCCCAGCTACTCAGGAGGCTGAGGCAGGAGAATCGCTTGAACCCAGGAGGCGGAGTTTGCAGTAAGCCAAGGTCGCGCCACTGCACTCCAGCCTGGGCAACAGAGTAAGACTCTGTCTCAAAAAAAAACAAAAAACAAAAAAACAAAAAAAAAACAGGCCGGCGCAGTGGCTCATGCCTATAATCCAAGTACTTTGGGAGGCCAAGGCAGGCGGATCGCAAAGTCAGGAGTTCGAGACCAGCCTGGCCAATATGGTGAAACCCTGTTTCTGCTAAAAATACAAAAAATAGCCAGGTGTGGTGGCAAGCGCCTGTAGTCCCAGCTACTCAGGAGGCTGAGGCAGGAGAATCGCTTGAACCCGGGAGGCAGAAGTTGCAGTGAGCTGAGATTGCGCCACTGCACTCCAGCCTGGGCAACAGAGCGAGACTCCATCTCAAAGAAAAAAAAGCCAAAACATAGTAAGGTGAGGGTGAAACTTCTCTTTTAAAAAAATGTTTACATAGAAACAAACTAAATGGACAAAATGGATATAAACAAAAATGTTATCGGTGGTTATTTTTGGGCAGTAGAATTATAGGTTTTTAATTTCTTTTGCTTATTTATAGTTTCAAAAATTTTCAATTTTAATATAAATTAATGTGCTCTATTTATAGAGACAATACATGAAATATACTTAATAAAAATTCAAATGTTATAGAACTGAAAAAGATGAAAAGTAAAAACAACCTATTCCCCAGAGGTAGCCACTGTCCATAGTTTCTATTTTAGATTCTTTCCTTTATACAAGATTATTATAGCTTCTATTTTTTGGTGTATGAACTGTAGTCCTAGAGGATTTTATTAGTTATGAGTTCTATAACTAAGATCCATCATCTTAGTTGCTAAGAACGTAGATACTGAGAACATCATTTAAAAAAACATTTTTGGCTGGCACCTCTATGATCACTGGAGTCTCGCGGGTCCCTCAGGCTGCACAGGGACAAGTAAAGGCTACATCCAGATGCTGGGAATGCACTGACGCCCATTCCTGGAAACTGGGCTCCCACTCAGCCCCTGGGAGCAGCAGCCGCCAGCCCCTCGGGACCTCCATCTCCACCCTGCTGAGCCACCCGGGTTGGGCCAGGATCCCGGCAGGCTGATCCCGTCCTCCACTGAGACCTGAAAAATGGCCTCGGGGCAAGGCCCAGGTCCTCCCAGGCAGGAGTGCGGAGAGCCTGCCCTGCCCTCTGCTTCTGAGGAGCAGGTAGCCCAGGACACAGAGGAGGTTTTCCGCAGCTACGTTTTTTACCACCATCAGCAGGAACAGGAGGCTGAAGGGGCGGCTGCCCCTGCCGACCCAGAGATGGTCACCTTACCTCTGCAACCTAGCAGCACCATGGGGCAGGTGGGACGGCAGCTCGCCATCATTGGGGACGACATCAACCGACGCTATGACTCAGAGTTCCAGACCATGTTGCAGCACCTGCAGCCCACGGCAGAGAATGCCTATGAGTACTTCACCAAGATTGCCTCCAGCCTGTTTGAGAGTGGCATCAATTGGGGCCGTGTGGTGGCTCTTCTGGGCTTCAGCTACCGTCTGGCCCTACACATCTACCAGCGTGGCCTGACTGGCTTCCTGGGCCAGGTGACCCGCTTTGTGGTGGACTTCATGCTGCATCACTGCATTGCCCGGTGGATTGCACAGAGGGGTGGCTGGGTGGCAGCCCTGAACTTGGGCAATGGTCCCATCCTGAACGTGCTGGTGGTTCTGGGTGTGGTTCTGTTGGGCCAGTTTGTGGTACGAAGATTCTTCAAATCATGACTCCCAAGGGTGCCCTTTGGGGTCCCAGTTCAGACCCCTGCCTGGACTTAAGCGAAGTCTTTGCCTTCTCTGCTCCCTTGCAGGGGTCCCCTCTCAAGAGTACAGAAGCTTTAGCAAGTGTGCACTCCAGCTTCGGAGGGCCCCTGTGTGGGGGCCAGTCAGGCTGCAGAGGCACCTCAACATTCCATGGTGCTAGTGGGCCCTCTCTCTGGGCCCAGGGGCTGTGGCCGTCTCCTCCCTCAGCTCTCTGGGACCTCCTTAGCCCTGTCTGCTAGGCGCTGGGGAGACTGATAACTTGGGGAGGCAAGAGACTGGGAGCCACTTCTCCCCAGAAAGTGTTTAATGGTTTTAGCTTTTTATAATACCCTTGTGAGAGCCCATTCCCACCATTCTACCTGAGGCCAGGACGTCTGGGGTGTGGGGATTGGTGTGTCTATGTTCCCCAGGATTCAGCTATTCTGGAAGATCAGCACCCTAAGAGATGGGACTAGGACCTGAGCCTGGTCCTGGCCGTCCCTAAGCATGTGTCCCAGGAGCAGGACCTACTAGGAGAGGGGGGCCAAGGTCCTGCTCAACTCTACCCCTGCTCCCATTCCTCCCTCCGGCCATACTGCCTTTGCAGTTGGACTCTCAGGGATTCTGGGCTTGGGGTGTGGGGTGGGGTGGAGTCGCAGACCAGAGCTGTCTGAACTCATGTGTCAGAAGCCTCCAAGCCTGCCTCCCAGGGTCCTCTCAGTTCTCTCCCTTCCTCTCTCCTTATAGACACTTGCTCCCAACCCATTCACTACAGGTGAAGGCTCTCACCCCCATCCCTGGGGGCCTTGGGTGAGTGGCCTGCTAAGGCCCCTCCTTGCCCAGACTACAGGGCTTAGGACTTGGTTTGTTATTTCAGGGAAAAGGAGTAGGGAGTTCATCTGGAGGGTTCTAAGTGGGAGAAGGACTATCAACACCACTAGGAATCCCAGAGGTGGGATCCTCCCTCATGGCTCTGGCACAGTGTAATCCAGGGGTGTAGATGGGGGAACTGTGAATACTTGAACTCTGTTCCCCCACCCTCCATGCTCCTCACCTGTCTAGGTCTCCTCAGGGTGGGGGGTGAGAGTGCCTTCTCTATTGGGCACAGCCTAGGGTCTTGGGGGTCGGGGGGAGAAGTTCTTGATTCAGCCAAATGCAGGGAGGGGAGGCAGATGGAGCCCATAGGCCACCTCCTATCCTCTGAGTGTTTGGAAATAAACTGTGCAATCCCCTCAAAAAAATAAAAATAAAAAAAATAAAAATAAAAAAACATTTTTTTCAAGCAGGGAGTGGTGGCTCCCGCCTGTAATCCCAGCACTTTGGGAGGCCAAGGCGGGCAGATTGCTTCAGTTCAGGAGTTCAAGACCAGCCTGGGAAACATGGTGAAACCCCATCTCTACTAAAAATAAAAAATTAGCCAGGCATAGTGTCGCGCACCTGTACTCCCAGCTATTTGGGAGGCTGAGGTAGGAGAATTGCTTGAACCCAGGAGGTGGAGGTTGCAGTGAGCTGAGATCAGGCCACTGCACTCCAACGTAGGTGACAGAGATAGCCTCCTTCTAAAAAAACAACCTTTTTTCCAGCCAAAACAACTGAACTTCCTCCCCACTGACCACCTCAATTATTTCTAGATGCCTTGTTGCTGTCCAGACTGCGGTGATTCCCTGGGCTGATCTGAGCCCGTGGCCTGAGTCATTTGCAGTTCCTCTAGCAGGTGGTCCCCCATGTCATGGCCCCTGTGAAACCAGTTCCTTACCATCTCTGTTCATCGCTGCTCCCTAAGTTAGGCCCTGCATGTCTTGAGGGTAGGTTAGATTCAGAAAAGCTTTGGTCGCATCACTGCTTTCATAAACTCAAATGAGAGGGAGGGAGGGAAGGCAGGAAGAAGGGAGGGAGTCCTTTCTCTCCCACAGTGTGCATTACCTCATGTAACACTTCTTGCTAATGTGGTAGAATGTGTTTGACTTTGAATGAGACTTGGGTTTATTTTTATTTATTTATTTATTTATTTATTTATTTATTTATTTATTTATTTATTTATTTTGAGATGGAGTTTCACTCTTGTTGCCCAGGCTGGAGTGTAGTGGCACGATCTCTACTCATTGCACCCTCCGCCTTCCAGGTTCAAACGATTCTCCTGCCTCAGCCTCCCAAGTAGCTGGGATTACAGGGGCATGCCACCATGCCCAGCTAATTTTTGTATTTTTAGTAGGGACGGGGTTTCACCATGTTGACCAGGCTGGTCTGGAACTCCTGATCTCAGGTGATCCACCTGCCTCGGCCTCCCAAAGTGTTGGGATTACAGGCGTGAGCCACCGTGCCTGGCCTGAGACTTAAATCCATCTCTTTTTTCTTCTTCTTTTTGAGACAGAGCCTCATTCTGTTTCCCATGCTGGAGTTCAGTGGCGTGATTTTGGCTCACTGCAACCTTGGCCATCTGGGTTTGAGCAATTCTCGTGCCTCAGCCTCCTGAGTAGCTGGCACTATAGTCACATGCCACCACGCCCGGCTAACTTTTTTGTATTTTTAGTAGAGACAGGGTTTCACTATGTTAGCCAGGCTGGTCTCGAATTCCTGACCTCAGGTGATCTGCCCACCTTGGCCTCCCAAAGTGCTGGGATTACAGGCATGAGCCACCGCGCCCAGCCCACCACCTCCTTTTTTTAAATTAATTAATTAATTTTCTAAAGATAGGGTCTCACTCTGTCACTGAGGCTGGAGTGCAGTGGCACAATCATAACTCACTGCAGCCTCGAACTCCTGGGCTCAAGAGCTCCTCCCACCTCAGCCACCAGAGTAGCTAGGACTACAGGTGCACACCACCATGACTGGCTAATTTTTAAATTTTTTGCAATGATGAAGTCTCACTCTGTTGTCCCGGCTGGTCTCAAACTCGGGTTCAAGTGATCCTCCCGCCTCAGCCTCCCGAAGTGTTGGGATGACAGGCGTGAGCCACCATGCTCGACCTAAATCCACCTATTATTGTTTATATTCATGGATGCACCAGTTCAGTGAGAATATGTTAGCCGCCCACTGTGTACCAGCCCTGGTGCTAAGCAGTGCGTAACCTGGAGGCTTGTGTCACCTGTCCATACCTTTGAGGTTCATCTATAAAATGGAGATAGTGTATCCTCTGAAGGTGATTCTGAGGACTGAATGCAGTGCCTGCTTCAGAGTTGTACATCATCACCTCTATCACTCATCATTGGGTGCTTAGTACTAAGCCTAAGCCATAGTACTGAGTACTTTTGGAGAAAATGATAAACCAAGCAAATTTATTGGTGGTAGGTAGCTACCCGATCCCCCTGCAAGTTCTACCCAAGACTAAATGAATGGCTAGACCAATGGTTCTCTTTAAAAAAAAAATTCTATTGGCTGGGCACCGTGGCTCACACCTGTAACCCCCGCACTTTGGGAGGTCAAGGCGGGTGGATCACCTGAGGTCAGGAGTTCGAGACCAGCCTGACCAACACAATGAAACCCTGTCTCTACTAATAATACAAAAATTAGCTGGGCGTGGTGGCAGGCACCTGTAGGTCCAGCTATTTGGGAGGCTGAGGCAGGAGGATCGCTTGAACCCCATCTCAAAAAACAAAACAAAAAAAAACCACTTGGGGCTGGGCACGGTGGCTCACACCTATAACCCCAGTACTTTGGGAGACTGAATTGGGCAGATCACTTGAGCCCAGGAGTTCAAGACCAGTCCGGGCAACATAGTGAGACCCTGTCTCAACAAAAAATACAAAAATTAGCCAGGTGTGGCGGCACACACCTGTGGTCCCAGCTATGTGGGAGGCTGAAGGGAGGATTGCTTGAGCCTGGGAGGTCAAGGCTGCAGTGAGTCATGATCACACCACTGCACTCCAACCTGGGTGACAGAACAAGACCCTGTCCCCCACCAAAAAAAAGGAACTCTTAGGCAACATACAGGAAATCGTAAATCTATGTAGCAAGGCTGTGAGTTATGGAGGAGGACGCTGGGTTACAGTGCCTGGGGAGGAGAGTTAGTGAGTCGCCAGAGGAGGTCCCTCTGCGTGGCTGAGCCCCACAGCGCTGGGTCAGGGCTAGGGAGTGGTCTGCTTTGCCCTGCTAGGCCCAAAGACGGGGAGTCTCAGTGTCTCCAGGCAGGCGTTTGGGCCACACTTTCCCTTCACATGGACTTTGTGTAGCAGGAGATCAATATGCTGCCTCTGGCCTCTTTGGAGAGGCCCGTTTACCTGCTGTTGACTAAATAAAGGCTTAGAGAGGCTTATGGAATAAGGCGGCTTTCACATCAAAGGGCTCTTACAAAACAGCCCGGTGATGAGTTAAGTACGAATGAATCAGAAACAGATGGACTCAATTTCCTAGAAAATACCCCTGGGCTTCAACAAGAAGAGGGAAAGTGCTCGGCCAAAGGCATTGTGGGTTTTTGCTGATCCTAAAATATGCTCGATGATTTTGCCTGAAATGAGCTGAGATGCTGGGAATATGTCGGCTCCAAGTCATGAGAAACTCTGGGCTGGAGCTCTGCCAGCACATCAGCTGATTTCCAGCAGCTCTCCAGCTCGCCTTGTGGGGCCTGAAGGAGACCCCACTGACTTGGGGCCACTCTGGGTTTGCAAGGCCTGGACAGAAGGTACTGGCAAGACCTTTCTTTCTCTCTCTCTCTTTTTTTTTTTTTTGGTGAGACGGAGATTTACTCTTGTTGCCCAGGCTGGAGTGCAATGGCGTGATCTCGGCTCACTGCATCCTCCGCCTCCCAGGTTCAAGCAATTCTCCTGCCTCAGCCTCCCGAGTAGCTGGGATTACAGGCATGTGTCACCATGCCCAGCTAATTTTGTATTTTTAGTAGAGACGGGGTTTCACTGTGTTGCCCAGGCTGATCTCGAACTCCTGACCTCAGGTGATCTGCCCGCCCCGGCCTCCCAAAGTGCTGGGATTACAGGCGTGAGCCACCGCACCCGGCAAGACCTTTTTTTTTTTTTCCTGCATCAGTTTCCTGATGATAAAATGCAGGAATCGTTTTCCTTTGTTTGTTTTTTTCTTTTGAGACTGCATCTCATTTTCTTGCCCAGGCTGGAGTGCAGTGGTACGATCTCGGCTCGTTGCAACCTCCACTTCCTGGGTTCAAGCAATCCTCCTGCCTCAGCCTCCTGAGTAGCTGGGACTATGGGTGCTTGCCACCACACCCGGCTAATTTTTGTATTTTTAGTAGAGACAGGGTCTCAGCATGTTGACCAGGCTGGTCTTGAACTCCCGACCTCAAGTGATCCCCCCCACCCCCCACCCTGGCTGCACAACAGCATTTGAGGAATGCTTGAAAAATTTCACTGTTAGGTCTCCAGCCCAGGCTCTTTAAGATGAGGATCTCTGATAGCAGAGGGGCCTGGCATCCTTGTTTGCAGAAGCTCCTCAGGGAGTTCCCCTGCATGGCCAGGGGTTCTCAGTGTTTGGTGCACATCACAATCCCCTGGGAGCTCTCCTTGCCCCAGCCTGGACCTGTGAAATCAAAATAGGATGGAATGGGTAGTGATTAGGACATCTGTGGTTTTTTTTTTTTTTTTTTTTTTGAGATGGGGCCTTGCTCTGTCGCCCAGGCTGGAGTGCAGTGGCGCAATCTCAACTCACTGCAACCTCTGCCTCCTGGGTTCAAGTGATTCTCCTGCCTTAGCCTCCTGAGTAGCTGGGACTACAGGCGTGTGCCACCACGCCTGGCTAAGTTTTTGTATTTTTAGTAGAGATGGGGTTTCACCCTGTTAGCCAGGATGGTCTCGATCTCCTGACCTCGTGATCCGCCCACCTTGGCCTCCCAACGTGCTGGGATTACAGGCGTGAGCCACTGTGCCCATCTGTGCTTTTAACAGGCTCCCTGGGTGACTCTGATGTGCACGTACGTGTTGAGAACCCTAGATCATACACTTTGGTTATATTTGCCTGGGCTTCTAATGGAGGTCTGGGTCCTGGTGGCTGCTTTGTAAATGCTGATTAGAGATTGGTAAGAAGGGGGAGACCCTCCTTATGAAGCAGCAAGTGTTTGAGGACCTCTGACACTCTTGGCTGTCCTCTTCACAGAGGAGAACAAAAATGATGGCAAGGCCGGGCGCGGTGGCTCACGCCTCTAATCCCAGCACTTTGGGAGGCCGAGCGGGCAGATCACTTGAGGTCAGGAGTTTGAGACCAGCCTGGCCAACTTGGCAAAACACCATCTCTACTAAAAATACAAAAATTAGCCAGGCGTGGTGGTGTGTGCCTGTAATCCCAGCTACTTGGGAGCTTGGGAGGCTGAGGCAGGAGAATCACTGGAACCTGGGAGGCAGAGGGTGTAGTGAGCTGAGATCACGCCACGGCACTCCAGCTTGGGCGACAGAGTAAGACTCTGTCTCAGAAAAAAAAAAAAGGCAACAGTTTATGGAATGTTTTACTGAATGTTCCCATCCACCATCAACAGGCCCCTGCCCTCTGGGAGTTCACCTGTGTGGTGGGTGGAACAGCCCTGCACCTGTGTTCCAAACTCCTAGCTCCAGCCTCACCCTGCAGTGCTCTTCTGAGCCTCTCTCTACTGAACATCATAAGAAGGAACAAATGAAGAAGAGGTGTTCTGATCGTGTAACTGGTTAACTTTGTGGTATGGTCAAGAGGATAGAAGGTGCTTGAGTGCTAGCCTAAGTGGTGCCAATTGCTTACAGTGAGAAGTCATTTAATTATTCATTTAACAAATATTTTCTGAGGATCTACTTTGTACCAGGCCTTGGGAACACCAGGGTGAGCAAAATCAACCTTGTGGGTTGACTCTGCCTGGGGAGACAGACAGTAGCTGGGTAAAGAAGTCCATAATGAACTTGTTCTGTGAGTTAGGATGGGAGCTGTCTTCATGCAGGGATAGGGAATAATGTGTGTGTGTGTGTGTGTGTGTGTGTGTGTGTGTGTGTGTGTGTGTTGTGGGAGGCGGATTCTTTTTTTTTTTGAGATGAAGTCTCACTCTGTGGCCTAGGCTGGAATGCAGTGGTGCGATCTCAGCTCATGGCAACCTGTGTCTCCCAGGTTCAAGTGACTCTCCTGCCTCAGCCTCCTGAGTAGTGGGGACTACAGGTGCGTGCCACCACGCCTGGCTAATTTTGAGACGGGGTTTCACCCAATTGGCCAGGCTGGCCTCGAACTCCTGACCTTGTGATCCACCCACCTTGGCCTCCCAAAGTACTGGGATTACAGGCATGAGCCACCGCACCCGGCCAGGGGGAGGCAGATTCTTAAAGTGGTCAGGGAAGGTCTCTGAGAAGCTGACAGGTGACCTAGTCCTGCAGGATGCAGAGGAGCCTGACATGTAATGATGGAAGACAGAAGGGAAGGCACGTGCAAAGGCCCTGAGGTGACAGCATGTTTTGTGAGTTTGAGAAACGACAAGGCCAGGGCGGCTGGTGAAGGAGATCAAGGGGGAGCGATATGAGGGCCGAGATCGCAGGCCCAGACATGCAGGGCTGTGATTAGGATGTAACATCTTCAGCAGGAGAGCAGCCTGCATTTTATCTCCCAGATAAGAGAGTGCATCAGGGTTTGAACGAAGGGAAGTAAGAATGACAATATGGGCCAGGTGTGGTGACTCATTCCTGTAACCCCAGCTACTCGGGAGGCTGAGGCGGGAGGATCACTTGAGCCCAGGAGATTGAGGCTGCAGTGAGCTGTGATGGCACCGCTGCACTCCAGCCTGGGTGACAGAGCAAGACCCTGTCTCTGAAAAAAAGAAAGAACAAGATGGAATGTTGTCTACATTTTAGGGACATGGACTTAAAGTTTTTTTTTGTTTTTTGTTTTTGTTTTGAGACAGAGTCTCATTCTGTCACCCAGGCTGGAGTGCAGTGGCACAATCTCAGGCTCACTGCAACCTCTGCCTCCCGGGTCCAAGCGATTCTCCTGCCTCAGCCTCCCGAGTAGCTGGGGTTACAGGCGCGTGCCATCACGCCTGGCTAATTTTTTGTATTTTTAGTAGAGACAGGGTTTCACCATGTTAGCCAGGGTGGTCTCGATCTCCTGACCTCATGATCCGCCTGCCTCGGCCTCCCAAAGTGCTGGGATTACAGGCATGAGCCACCGCGACCGGCCTGACATGGACTTAAAGTTTGACCTCACGTGTGACCTGTGTAAGTCACCACTGCTCTACGGACCCCCTTTGTGGGAGGATTGGCCCAGTTATCTGTGTCTAGCTGTGTGTCTAAGGAGCCTCTGGTCATCCACACAGAAACTGAACGTAAAGAGTGTCCGCCACGCACGTGGCTGGGACAGTGAGAACCTCTGGAAGCTGTGTCGCAGATGTTTGTTCATCATTGAGTGAAGTGGTTGCTCTTCTTGACTCTACTATTGTCCCCAGGGCAGGCGACCCGTAAATACTGATTGACGAAGGCCGAGCTGGCCTTATTTCACATCAGTCTCATTATTCTTCTTCCCAGGAGAAAGAGAAAGAGAAAGAGGTCTGCCCTGTACAGTGGCTGGGAGGAGGTGGGAGGGAGGCGGCAGGAGGCAGTGTGGCTGTGTGGCTGGAGACTCTGGCTGGTGAGGCTGGGCGCTGGGCTCTGGGCAGGTGTCATTTTTATGAATGATTTCCTGCCAGGTAGAGGAGCTGACTCAGCCGGCGGCCTCCCATGGGCTGGTGTGGGCCTGCTTTTCCGGAGCCCAATGCTAATCTGCCTGGGGCAGCTGGCTCTGGGGAAGGAAGGGCCTCCCACAGAGGGGAGGGCAACTGTGCATCTTAGCAGCTTTTCTCCCCCCAGAGCTTTTCTTAGCTTGTCGGGGTGGGCCGTGGGGAAGGGAGTACGACTCACCCAGTCTCCCCTCCCCCTTTTCGCTCCCTTTCTCCCTCTCCCCTCTCCAGCCTGCTGTCAGCCAGTTGCAGCTCCACTGCCTGCCTCATGCCTGCCTGCACTGCTTTCAGCAGATGTGTCTGTGGGAGCAAGTGAAGGCTCCCTGAGAAAACCCCTCCACCTAGCAGGTCTCTGCAGCCACCCCTGGAAGCCAGGAGGCTCCTGGGGTGGGCAGTGTTGGGGGTGGCAGCAGTGGGGAGGAATTCCACCTTTCCACCCATGCACCAGCTCCTGGAGCGCTCTCCCCAGAGATTCCTAGTGCTGGCTCTGTCATCTCCTCCAGGTCAGAGCAATCATTCCAGAGAGAAGCTCTTCTGTGCTTGTAGACAGTGTGGGAGGGTTTTCAGGCCTGTCTCAAAGCCCAGGCAGAAGATGTGTCTCTGAGCTTGGGTGTATTTGGCATCAGAGAGGGAAAGAGGAAGGGGGATTTGTGGAATGCCTGATCACCTTTTAGCCTTCAGGAATGCCTGTCTTCAGTCCCTTGCCTGCCTGGGGCCTTTGCAGAGCTCTCCATCCTGTGGACACCTTAGTTCATTGAATTCTTACATTAAGAAGCAGTTATTATTTTCCCCATTTTACAGATTAGGAAACAGGCCCAGAGAGGGAAATTCATTTGCCCAAAGTTACACAGCAACCAAGTAGGGGGATGTGGCTCCAAACCAAGTCTGCCCAGCCCCAAAGCCATTCTGTACACTTCCCTGGCTCCTGGAGGCAAAGCCTATGAAGAAGGTGAATGTGTAGGAAACTACTCTCTTGTCAGGCACCAGAAGAGAAGTGGGGGATGGGGAGTCAGGGGCTTGGGTCTAACCTGCTAACAGTCTTGGGCAGACTCTGTTCATCCTCTGTTCCTCTATGACCCCATCTATAACACGAAAGGCTTACATTGGGTGCTTCTTTTGGTTTTTGTTTTTGAGACAGAGTCCCACTCTGCCACCCAGGCTGGAGTGCAGTGGCACCATCTTGACTCACTGTAACCTCTGCCTCCCATTTTCAAGCAATTCTCCTGCCTCAGCCTCTGGAATAGCTGGGATTGCAGGCGCATGCCACCATGCCTGGCTAAGGCTGATTTTTTTATTTTTAGTAGAGACAAGGTTTCAACATGTTGGCCAGGCTGATCTTGAACTCCTGACCTCCGTCTCCCAAAGTGCTGGGATTACAGGCATGAGCCAACGCACCTGGCCTACACTGGGTGCTTTTGAGATCCCTGTTAGTGCCAACGTTCTTTCCTTCTGAAATGACCTCACCAAGGCCCAGAGTTCTGCAGGGGGCTGGACACTGGCATGCGTGGGCAATCTGACCTGCCAGAGCACCTTCCGGTGGCTCCTCTTTCACTCGCCCTCTGAGGCTTGCTCAGCTCAGAAAAGGAAAAGCGCTACTGGTTATCGGTGGGTGCTGAGCTGAGCAGGAAAAGCTGAGCCCTAATCCCAGTATTCCCTGGAAGGGTCTGCATGACCTTGGGCAAGTCACTAGCCTGCTCAAGAGAACAGGGACCATGTCCCACCTCCTGCCTCCATCCTAGGGGATCAGGGGAGATGATGGATGTCAGTGGGCTCTGGGATAAGCTTACAGAAGGAGGACCCTCCAGTTTCCTCTCCCTCAGGTGTTGATGGGATTGGGCCTGCTGTAATTATCAACACTTCTAAGCAATTTGCAGGCGGCTGCAGGCAGTGGGAGCTAAGGGGAGGAGGTAGCCTCTGGAGGGCCTAGAAAATCTTTTTGCTAGATTTAGAGCAACTGGGTCCAGGTCTCCTCCTCCTACCAGTCTTGTCTGCAGGCCAAGCCATGCCTGCTCCTGCATCCTGGTCTTTGTCTCTGAGAAGAGCTCTCACCCTACTAGCCCAGAGGGGGAAGGAGCAGCAAGGTTGCTGGTGATGCTGAAAATCAAGTTGAACGTCCTTATATGACAGCAGTTTGAACAGATCAGCAAGTTCAACCACACAGAGGTGCCTGGAAGCCCCTCTCAGTGATACCTAAGAGGGAGGTCTCTGGAACCAGCCTGCCAGTTTCTTCCCTCCAGCCCTACTCTTACTGCCTGGGGGCCCATGGGCAAGTCTCCCTGCCACGGTTTCCCCATCTCTGAAATGGGAGCAGTGGCAACTCCGGGGCTGGAGGAGTAAATGCAGCAAAGCATGTGTGTTTGGCACTCACAGTGAACCACAGTCAACGACAGCCAGCACCACTGGGGGTGGTTGCTGTCATCGCTGGCATTATGCCTCACCCAGCCCATCTCTTGCACTATGTTGGACACTGTCCCAGGATGGCGGCAACCATCTCTGTCCCCGACACAGTGCCCTGACAGGCCTTCCCATCTGAGCACCAGTTGCCTGCACTGCACTTCTTTTTTTTTTTTTTGTACACAGAGTCTTGCTCTATCCCCCAGGCTGTAGTGCAGTGGTGCGATCTTGGCTCACTGCAACCTCCGCCTCCTGAGTTCAAGTGACTCTCCTGCCTCAGCCTCCTGAGTAGCTGGGATTACAGGCACCCACTACCATGCCTGGCTAATTTTTGTATTTTTAGTAGAGACAGGGTTTCACCATGTTGGCCAGGCTGGTCTCGAACCCCTGACCTCAGGGGATCCGCCCACCTTGGCCTCTCAAAGTGCTGGGATTATAGGCATGAGCCACCATGCCCGGCCACTTCTATTTATTGTTTTTGAGACCGAGTTTCACTCTTTTTGCCCAGGCTGGAGTACAATGGCGCCATCTCGGCTCACCGCAACCTCTGCCTCCCAGGTTCAAGCAATTCTCATGCCTCAGCCTCCTGAGTAGCTGGGATTACAGGCACGTGCCACCACGCCCTGCTAATTTTTGTATTTTTAGTAGAGATGGGGTTTCACTGTGTTGGCCAGGTTGGTCTTGAACTCCTGACCTCAGGTAATCTGCCTGCCTCAGCCTCCCAAAGTGCTGGGATTACAGGCATGAGCCACCGCGCCCAGCCACTTCTCTCTTTCTTTCTTTCTTTCTTTTTTCTTTTTTTTTAAATAGAGACAGTCACTATTGAGACTGTTGCTCAGGCTGGCCTTGAACTCCTGGGCTCAAGTGATCCTCCCACCTCGGCCTCCCAAAGTGCTGGGATTACAGGTGTGAGCCACTGCACCCAGCCTGTGCTGCACTTCTCTATGCATATGTCTCACCGTCTGGATGGCAAATTCCTGGACTTCTGGGCTTCCAGAATTCTGATGCACCCCACAGCTGACACTGGCTGACATTGCTGGAAGGACATGTTAACAGTCTTAGAAGGGTGTGGAGGGGAGGCAGGGCTCCTCCCTCTGCACTACTCTGTGCTTTCTCCTCTACCTCTGGTTTCTCCTCAGAAGAGTGAGGAGCTGTGGTCATTTCACAAACCCTGTAACACTGGGAGAGGTGGAATGTGACTCAGACTGCCCAGGGAAAGAGGGGCTGCCAACCACGCCCTTCCTCTTTCCTTCGCACCTGCACGTCCTGAGCCAGTGGTTTGTGCTCCTCTGTGAGAGCTGATAAACTGGCCTATGGGGAGGCCCAGAGCCATTCCCCATCGCACCTCCCCAAGTGGGGCTTTCTAAAAGATCCCGAACCTAGGAGGTGCTTGATAAGTGATTGCTTGATACATGCTTATGAGGTGGGGTTTGCTTCTCCCAGGCACTGACAAGGTAGATAGTGCTGACAAGTAATAGCCTCTGAATTGCCAAAGGCGATGTCAAGCTTTCGCCATTAAGGTTTGAGCTAGAGGGGTACAAATTAGAGGTGAAACCAATGTGGGGAGCTGAGAGTCAGAGCTCTTTGGGGGCACACAGTGCTCTCAGCACTGCTGAGAACTCACATTTCTGCACGGACTCTTAGCAGTGAGGGCCAGAAAATGCAGTGGGCCTGAATGAGATGCACGTGCTGCAAGACCAACTCTGCTGGTTCAGTTAACACTCAGGGAGCCATGTGGTCAAGGGCAGCATCGGGGCCTACATCCTGGAGATACCAAGATCCAATTAAGCAAGTGTTTATTAAACACCTACAATACACCCGGCCCTGGGCCTCTGAGATGGAGATGATGCCGTCTCTGCCCTGGGTAACCCCGGGTGGACACATGACAGACACTAGGTGATTAAGAACCATTTGAGGCCGGGCGCGGTGGCTTATGCCTCTAATCCAAGCACTTTGGGAGGCCGAGGCAGGTGGATCACTTGAGGTCAGGAGTTCGAGACCAGCCTGGCCAACATGGTGAAACCCCGTCTCTACTAAAAATACAAAAAATTAGCTGGGCATGGTGGTGGGCACCTGTAAATCCCAGCTACTCAGGAGGCTGAGGTAGGAAAATCGCTTGAACCCAGGAGGCGGAAGTTGCAGTCAGCCAAGATTATGCCATTGCACTCCAGTCTGGGCGACAAGAGCGAAACTTCGTCTCAAAACCAACAAAAAAAACGGGTTCCTTTGTTCCACTGCGAAGAAGAGCAGTGCAGGCATCCCATGCTCAGATGGGAAGGCCTGGTTCCTGGGGTGGGTGGCACTTAGGAAGCGAGCATCTAACTAGTTGCAGGGCCATGTGCAAGTCACCAGTTTCCATGCCTCGGTTTCCCCACCTATCATACAGTCCTGCATGATCCAGCCTCTGTTTCTCCTCTTGCCTCGTGTCTGGCCAGCCGCTCCATGCCTGCACTCCCTCTGCTGCTCCGGCCTCCAGTGGCCTCCCAGGCTAACACCTCCTCATTTGTCACATCTCAGCTCAAGCATCATCTCTAGGAGGCCTTCCCTGGCCACCTGGCTCTGCATCCTCTCACACCCCATCATGCCTTATGACACTTGACATCACGTGCAACCGTGTATTTATCTGTTGCTCTTTTTAGTGGCTTTCTCTTCTTGGCCCAAAGCCTGGCACTGAATAAATATTTGTTGAATGAATGAATAAACTAATGAATGAACAAATGAGCAGGTGTGCTGTGGGACTCAGATGACCCCACAGCTGGGACTCAGTGCCCTGGGAGTGGAGGGACACAATGTGTTCCTAAGCCCATGGGCCAGAGTCAGGGAATCCCACATAGAAACTGGCTTCCCCTGGGCTTCCAGAGGCTGCCAGGGAGCATCACTGCCTTAGGCCTCCCGCCCGGAACAAGAACAGGCCTTCCTGGAGCCACTATTGTGGTCAGCATTGTTGTGGTCCTTGCTGCCCTCGCAGCTGTGCTCCCTGGAATTCCCAGGTGGCTGTGTGTGTGTGTGTGTGTGTGTGTGTGTGTGTGTGTTAGTGGGGTGGGCGTGGGGGAAACCTGGAGCCCTGACCCTGAGGCCACCTGCCTCAGTGGGTTGGACAGGGAGGCTTCTTGAAGATTGACCCCCAACCTGAGTCTCCCCAGCGGAAGGGGAATTCGGCTGGTGGGGAAGGTGGGGGAATGGGCGTGGCGTATTCTAGGCTTAGGGATCCCAGGGCTGCGGGAGGACAGCCAAAGCTGGAGCGCCAGTCGTGCAGGCCAGAGCTGATGGGGCTTTGCCTACCATGCCAGGTGCTGCTTCTGGAGGGTGGGGCAGGGGGAAGGATTTGAAATGAGGTAGCAACAGCACAATCAGAATTGTGTTGTTCAAAGGCCTTCCTGTCACGGGGAGAGGATAGGCCACCACAGGTTCTTTCCTATCTCCCTCTTTCCCCTCCAGACCTTACCCCTTCTAAAATGGAGGCATTTTGTTTGTTTTCGCTCAGAACCCAGTTCCTCATGAACTGTCATTGTAAATAGACCGGAGGCCAGAACAAAGGAAGATTTTTTAAAATTATTTTTTCCTCCTTTAAAGACTAGCTTAATGAGAACTGCTGACATGGGGTAAAGTACAGCACGCCCAAGCTGAGAGAGGTGTGGGGGTACCCTAGACTGGGAAACTGAGGCCCAGGGAGAAGCACTGCTGGGCAAGGAGCATCCCTCTACATCCCAGGTGGGGTGGGCGCTCCACACACCAGTGTGATGGGAAAAGTGGAGGTGATGAGTGTCCTCACCTGGGCACAGCCTGGCCCTCATGAGATGGAACGTGCAGGGAGCCTTTTGGGGGAGGGTTCAGGAGGAGAACTGGGTGGTTTGCCCAGGAACTCAGAAGGAGTATTCCCTAGGCGGGTGGGTAGCGTGTGGAAGGACACCTGAGGCAGACAGAAGACACAGAGACCCAAGGGAGAAGGAAGAACGGCTGGGTTTAGAGACGTGGACGTAAGTGAAAGGGCAGAGCCAAGGATGCAGCAGGACAGGAGGGAGGGGGTTAATAACACACTTGAAGCCCACGGTCCAGGTTTGATTTCATTTAACTTAGTTTACTCTGGACCCCTGAGTCTCTCTCAAATTTGAATGGCCTTTTTTTCCTTTTGAAGGGGGATTCTTTAGGAGGAAGGGCAGAGAGGGCACCAAGCAAGTAGATACTGTCTCTAATAAAAGTTTTGGTCATGGCCAGGCGCAGTGGCTCACTCCTGTAATCCCAGAACTGGGAGGCCCGAGGCAGGAGGATTGCTTGAGCCCAGGAGTTCAAGACCAGCCTAGGCAAAATGGCAAGATCCCTATCTCTACAAAAAAAAAAATAATAATACAAAAATTAGCTAGGCATGGTGATGTGCACCTAGTCCCAGCTACCTAGGAAGCTGAGGTGGGAGGATTGCTTGAGTCTGGGAGGTCGACGCTGCAGTGAGCTGTGATTGCACCACTGCACTCCAGCCGTGGTGACAGAGTGAGACTCTGTCTAAAAAAAAAAAAAGGAAGTTTCGAGGGTGAGATGAAGTAAAAGACTGGAATGTTCTTGAGACATTGGGCTAGAGATTGTCATTTGTTTTTGCTACTTAAATCCAGGTGCTCTGGGCTAACCTGATTGGGCCCCTGATGCAAAAGCGCCTCCTGGTGGGTGGTTCTGAAAACACTGAATACTTTCCTCCCCCTGCCACCCAGTAACAATATTAATAATACAAATACAGCATTTTTTTTTCCCTGCAGAACAAAATTCCTAGAAGCTGAAGGGCTGAGTTGCTGAACATGAGCATTTTACTTTTAGGCAGATTACATCAAAGTCTCTTTCCAAAAAGTTGGCACCAATTGGCACCCCATTTTTGGTGCATTTAAATATTAAACACCAAGATGAGACTGGATGGATCCCTCTCCTGAAATGTCCTGTCCATAAATGAAAGAGCTGGGGCCAAGCTCACGGTGGCTCACGCCTGTAATCCCAGCACTTTGGGAGGCCAGGGTGGGAGGATTGCTTGAGCTCAGGAGTTCAAGACTAGCCTGGGAAATATAGGGAGACCCCTGTCTCTTAAACAAACTTAAAAAAAATGGCTGGATTAAACGACAACAACAGTTTCAGGGACCCAGTCTTTTCTGAACAGTGTCTCCCCCGCTCAGCTCTCACAGATCATTGAGGTGGGCGGGGTTAGACCCATTGACAGTTGGACCTGCAGGGCCAGGTCACATAGCCAGTGGGTCTGAGCTGACTTTTCTTCCCAAGCCTGTGTGATCCCCAAAACCCTTGGCTGCCCCCACTCTGCCCCCCGCCTCCCAGCCCTTCCAGCTGCAGCCTTTTCACTCATTCCACCACCACTCAGCTCTGAGTGGCTACGCTGGCGGGCTCTCTGCTTTGCGTCGGAGACATCACAGTGAGCAAAGGCAGATATGTTTTATGTGCCCTTGAAGAATCTCCCAGACAAACGTGTCATTGCAGTCGGAGCCAAATGGCCGGGGCAGGTGGCACAGATGAATGCCGGGCAGAGGAGCCTGCAGGTGGGTGGAATGCAGCCTGTCTGTGCTGAAAGTGTGGGGTGACCCTGGGGTTTTAAGCAGGGGATGGTGACCAAAAAAGCCAGCAGAAAGACCAGTGTGTGGTTTTGAAGCTGCTGCCCTAGACTCCCTGTGCCTCATGTGTCCCTTGGAGCTCCACCTGGGTCTCTGTGCCCACGGGGCTGCGGTGAGGCTCCCCGAATGTGGGGACCGTGTGGCCGTTGAGCCCATCTCCGGCAGCTATGGCTGAGGCGCCAGCCACTTCCGCCCTGTGCTCTCTCTGTGGTTGGCTACGGGGGCTGAGACACCTCCGGCCAGTCTTGAGGGGAGCAGGAGGAGGCTGCTGGACTGTCCCCCATGGCAGCCACAGGGCCTCTTCACTCCCTCCTGCCTCTGTGGCTCCAGGGGCCCAGCTCAGCCTCTTCCTGCCGTTTGTACCAGCCCTGGGGCTCCTCAGGAGGGCGGGCTTGTCGCTTGTTCCCCCAACCCTGCAACCCCTCCACTTCCTCTCCTCACCCGCCCCAGGGTGTGAGGTGGGACACAGAGAGATGCCCAGCCCTTACTACCAAGGAGTCTTGGGTCTTGAGGGGGCTTCTTTTATGGCCACTCATTTCAGCCCCTAGATCCTGCCAGTCCCATATTCTTCACTCCCTGAGGCCTTCTGGCTCTCAAAGCCCGAGTCTAGTGCCTTCCTACCAGCCATCTTCACCAGGCCCCTCTCCTATGCTGGGTCTGTTTAGATGCAGGGGCACAGGGAGTAGGAAAAGGTCTCTGCTGCCGGAGCCCACAGCCCTGTGGGAAGACAGCAGGGCCAGGTGGCAGTCAGGGAGAGAAGCACTTTTCTGGAACTGTGTGAAATGCTGTGAGCTTGGGGGAGGCAGGGGAGGGAGTGGGGAGGGTAGAGGAGGAAGAGTCCCAGAACAAAAAGGCCTGGTGTGGTGAGAAATTCAGGAGGGAATAAAAGGGAACAAGAGCAAGAAATAGAGACAGGCACACTGTGGTTCTTGGTTTTTCCCACAAAACTAAAGCTATTTAAATTGAAGAAGTATTTTTTTTTTTTTGGAGATATTGTCTTGCTCTGTCACCCAGACTGAAGTGTAATGATGCAATCATAGCTCATTGTAACCTTGACCTTCTAGGCTCAAGCAGTCCTCCTGCCTCAGCCTCTTGAGTAGCTAGGACTACAGGCATGCGCCACCACACCCAGCTAATACATATGTATGTATGTATGTATGTATAATATATATGTAATATATTTTATGTGTGTGTATTTATTTTATTTTATTTTATTTTTTTGAGACAGAGTCTTGCATTGTCACCTGGGCTGGTGTGCAGTGGTGGGATCTCGGCTCACTGCAACCTCCATCTCCTGGGTTCAAGCGATTCTCCTGCCTCAGCCTCCCAAGTAGCTAGGATTACAGCTAGCTACTGTAATAGCTACTGGGCGCCCACCACCATGCCCAGCTAATTTTTTGTATTATTAGTAGAGATGGGGTTTCACTGTGTTGGTCAGGCTGGTCTCGAACTCCTGACCTTGTGATCCGCCTGCCTTGGCCTCCCGGAGTGCTGGGATTACAGGCGTGAGCCACTGCCCCGGCTCCTCTTAAATTTTTAAGTGCACGCTACAGTATTGTTAACTATAACCACAATGTTGTGCAGAAGACCTCCGGACATTTTTATCTGTGTGACTGAAACTCTATACCCATTGAACAGCAACTCTCTGTTCCCCACTCCCCCTCAGCCCCTGGCAACCCAACCCCCATTCTACTATTTTTTTTTTTTTTTTTTTTTTTTGGAGACAGAGTTTCACTCTTGTTGCCCAGGCTGGAGTGCAATGGCACGATCTCGGCTCACCTTAACCTCCAACTCCTGGGTTCAAGCAATTCTCCTGCCTCAGCCTCCCGAGTAGCTGGGATTATAGGTGTGCGCCACCACGCCCGGCTAATTTTGTATTTTTAGTAGAGACAGGGTTTCTCCATGTTGGTCGGGCTGGTCTCAAACTGACCTGAGGTGATTTGCCCACCTCGGCCTCCCAAAGTGCTGGGATTATAGGCGTGAGCCACTGTGCCTGGCCCATTCTACTATTTTTTCCCTTTCTTTTTTCTACTTAAAATTTTTTTGTCTTTATTTTTTTTCTTTCTTCTACTTTCTGTTTCTTCTTTGGATTCCTCATATAAATGGAATCATGCATTATTTGTCCTTCTGTGACTGGTTTGTTTCATTTAGCATAAAGTCATCAAAGTTCATCCATATGGCAGCACATGACAGGCTTTCTTTATTTTGATGGCTAAATAATATTCCAATGTGTGTACACACCATATGTTGTTTATCCATTCATCTGTGGATGGACATTTAGGTTGTTTCTACCTCTTGGCTATTGTGAATAATGATGCAATCAATATGGGAGTTCACATATCTCTTGGAGATCCTGATTTCAATTCTTTTGGAAAAATACCTGCAAGTGGGATTCCTGGATCATATGGTAGTTCTATTTTTAATTTTTTGAGAAACCTCCATACTGTTTTCTGTAGCAGCTGCACCATTTAACATTCCCACTAACCATGCACAAGGGTTCAACTTCTCCACATCCTTGCCAACACTGTTGTTTTTTTTTTTTTTTTAAATAATGGCAGTTCTAACAGGTGTAAGTTGATGGCTCATTGTGGTTTTGATTTGCATTTCTCTGGTGATCAGTGAGGTTGAGCACTTTTTCATGTTCTTGTTGACCACTTGCATGTCATCTTTGGAGGGATGCCTATTCAAGTCCTTTGCCTATTTTTTATTTTTATTTTTATTTTATTTTTATTTTTTGAGACGGAGTCTCGCCCAGGCTGGAATGCAATGGTGAGATCTTGGCTCACTGCAACCTCTGCCTCCTGGGTTCAAATGATTCTCCTGCCTCAGCCTCCTGAGTAGCTGGGATTACAGGTGCCCACCACTACACTCAGCTAATTTTCATATTTTTAGTAGAGAGAGGGTTTCACTATGTTGACCAGGCTGGTCTTAAACTCCTGACCTCGTGATCCGCCCACCTCGGCTTCCCAAAGTGCTGGGATTACAGGTGTGAACCACTGTGCGTGGCCTATTTTTATTTATTTGTTTATTTTTTATTTATTTTTATTTTTTTTGAGACGGAGTCTTTCTCTGTCACCCAGGCTGGAGTGCAGTGGCGTGATCTCGGCTCACTGCAACCTCCACCTCCCAGGTTCAAGCAATTCTCCCTGCCTCAGCCTCCCAGGTAGCTGAGATTACAGGTGCCTGCCACCACACCTGGCTAATTTTTGTATTATTTAGTAGAGACAAGGTTTCACCATGTTGGCCAAGCTGGTCTTGAACTCCCAACCTCAGGTGATCCGCCCGCCTCAGGCTCCCAAAGTGCTGGGATTACAGGCGTGAGCCACCGAGCCCGGCCTATTTATTTTTTGAAACGCAGTTTCACTGTTGTTACCCAGGCTGGAGTGCAGTGGCTCAATCTCGGCTCATTGCAACCTCCGACTCCCGGGTTCAAGCGATTCTCCTGCCTCAGCCTCCTGAGTAGCTGGGATTATGGGATTACAGGCACACGCCACCATGCCCAGCTAAGTTTTGTATTTTTTAGTAGAGACGAGGTTTCAGCACATTGGCCAGGCTGGTCTCGATCTCCTGACCTCGTGAATCCACCCTCCTCAGCCTCCCAAAATGCTGGGATTACAGGCGTAAGCAACTGTGCCCGGCCGGATATTAACTTCTTATTACATATATGGTTTGCAAATATTTTCTCCCATTCAGTAGATTGCCTTTCACTCTTGTTTCCTTTGCTGGGCAGAAGCTTTTTAGGTTGATGTAGTCCCTCTTGTCTATTTTTGCTTTTCTTGCCTGTGCTTTTGGTGCCATATTCAAGAAATTATTACTAAGGCCAGTGCTATGAAACTTTTCCCCTATATTTTCTTCTGTAAGTTTTATAGTTTCAGGTCTTAAGTCTTCGATCCATTTTGAGTTGATTTTTGTGTTGTGTAAGGAAAGGGTCCAGTTTCATTCTTTCGCATGTGGATATCCAGTTTTTCCAGCACCATTTGTCGTTTGGTTCTAAGGGCCTTCCTTGGCAGAATAACAACTTTCAGTCCTTTGCAGGTTCCCCAGAGTTTCTTTGGAAATGTTACTGGTCTGTGAAATGGATGAACTAGACTCTCATGACTTTATTATAGTGACAAATTATATTTTAAAACCCAGGATGTGTGATCAAGTACACACATGGCTCTTACGAAGGGAGCAGGTCAGCCAGAAGTGTTCCAGGAAAATTCGGGCCATAGGATCTGTGTCCTCGGAGGCATATGCCTATAGTTCTAGCTACACCTCCCAGCCTGCCTGGGAATCGGCTGTGCATACTTTGGAGTCAGGGTCTGGGCCTAGAGTCCGCCCCCAGTTAACACAAGTTCAGCACACACAAGGGCACTGAGTCCCAGAGAGGCCAAGCCCCTTGCCTGCATCACAGAGCAAGTTGGGCAGAGGCTGGGGCACCCCAGGATCTCCTGGTTCTTCAACCAGTACTGTTTTAATTGCCCCGTTACCAGCACACGACTCTCTGCATGCACTAAGGCTTCCTCCCGCTGTGGCCAAGAGTGTTTGAGAAAGAGCTTTTCCTTCTGAACTGGAAAACTTCGATTTTGTAGAGATGAGTCTTGTACCATCTTAGTGTCTCCCCCAAGCTGTGGACGTGGCACCAGCACATGGCAAGAACATGGTCAATGTCTGGATGAAGGGACAACCAGCAAATTCAGTTGAGAGGCAGCTCTGAGTAAGAGCCAGAATTAAACATTTATTCATTTATTTATTTATTTAGAGACGGAGCCTTACTCTGTCACCCAGGCTGGACTACAGTGGGGCGATCTTGGCTCACTGCAACCTCCCGAGTTCAAGCAATTCTCCTACCTCAGCCTCCCTAGTAGCTGGGATTACAGGCATTACAGGCATGCACCACCACACCCAGCTATTTTTTTAATTTATTTTTATTTTTTTATTTATTTTTTTTTGAGACAGAGTCTCACTCTGTCACCTAGGCTGGAGTGCAGTGGCTCAATCTCGGCTCACTGCAACCTCCACCTCCCGGGTTCAAGCGATTCTCCTGCCTCACCCTCCCGAGTAGCTGGGACTGCAGGCACCCGCCACCACGCCCAGCTAATTTTTGTATTTTTAGTAGAGATGGGGTTTCACCATGTTGGCCAGGCAGGTCTCAAACTCCTGACCTCAAATGATCCACCCGCCTCGGCCTCCCAAAATGCTGAGATTACAGATGTGAGCCACCGTGCCCCACCTCAGAAGTTAAAAATTTAGATTCTGCTTCCTGCTGTGCTTCAGGTTTGCTGTGTAACATTGGATAGGTCCCTTCCTATCCCTGGGGCTCAATGTTCTTGTAGGTTAATAACAGTGGCAACATCAACAATAATAGATAACAGGAGTGCCCTTGGTGTAACCACTCTTACAGACCCATTTACCCCTCCCAGTCATCCCAAGAGATACAGATGATTAATGCTCTGGTGTCCGGATGAAGACATGGAAGTCCAGAAGAATTAAGTATTTTGTGCAAGGTCACACAGCTAGTTAGAGGGGCAGCAGGGATTCACTCCAGGCGGGCTAGCCCCAGAGACCACCTAATCACTGTATGATACTGAGTGGCTAGAAGATTTCTAGGCCTGGCGCCGTGGCTCATGCCTATAATCCCAGCACTTTTGGAGGCCAAGGCAGGCAGATCACGAGGTCAGGAGATCGAGACCATCCTGGCTAACATGGTGAAACCTGTCTCTACTAAAAATAGAAAAAATTAGCTGGGTGTGGTGGCACGCGCCTGTAGTCCCGGCTACTCAAGAGCCTGAGGCAAGAGAATTGCTTGAACCTGGGAGGTGGAGGTTGCAGTGAGCCGAGATTGCCCCACTGCACTCCAGCCTGGGTGATAGAGCAAGACTCTGTCTAAAAAAATAAAAGATTTCTTGCTCAGAAATACAGTGATTCTATGAGCTACAGAAGGTGGCAGATATTTCAATTCTAGCCCTTGGCAAAATTATTCTGGTTGGGTTCTTCTAGGCTTTGTTAAGTAGCAACTGCGCAGATCTCTTCCTGGAAGGAAGGCAGCTATAGGAACAGGGTTACATGGATGGAATTTTGGTCAAAGAGAGGGAGAGGAAAAGCAGACGGCCAGGCCTGCCTCCCTGTCTCACTGCCTGCCCACAGCCTTGTCAGTATTCCCTGAAGCTCTTCTGTGGCTGTCATCAACGCAGCTCTAGGCCACCTTCAGCCCACCTGGGCATCTCACTGGGCAGCCAATCTCACCTGCTCCGAAGCCCTCCAGGCAGCAGCCAGAGTCAGCTTCAAAGACAGTAAGTAGTCAGATCACATGATGCCCCTGCTTAAAGCCCTCCCACGACCTCGAAGCTCTTGGAATAAAATCCCAGGTGACCCTTTCCCACTGCTTCGACCTTACCTCATATCTCCTCCCCTTTACTCACTGTGCTCTGCCCCAGTGCAGCCCCAGCCAGTGGCCACTGACCATCTGTGGCTGCTGAGCACTTGAAATGTGGCCAGTCTATAAAATACACACCAGATCTCAAAGCCAGAGTGTCAAAAAAAAGGATGTAAATCATCTCATTAATTTTTGTATTGATTATATTAAAATGATAATATTTTAGTTACATTGGATTATATAAAATATATCAAATTGTACGTGGTGGCTCATGCCTGTAATCCCAGCACTTTGAGAGGCCGAGGTGGGAGGATTGCTTGAGGCCAGGAGTTCGGGCAACAAAGGAAGACCCCATCTCTAAAAAACAAAACAAAACTATATATATATATATATATATATATATAAATTAAAATTAATTTCATCTTTTTTTTTTTTTTTTGAGATGGAGTCTTGCTCTGTCACCCAGGCTGGAGTGCAGTGGTACAGTCTTGGCTCACTGCAACCTCCGCCTCCTGGGTTCAAGCAATTCTCCTGCCTCAGCCTCCTGAGTAGCTGGGACTACAGGCACATGCCACCACACCTGGCTAATTTTTTGTATTTTTAGTAGAGATGGGATTTCACTATGTTAGCCAGGATGGTCTCGATCTCCTGACCTAGTGATCTGCCCGCCTCAGCCTCCCAAAGTGCTGGGATTACAGGTATGAGCCACTGCGCCTGGACTTTTTTTTTTTTTTTGAGACAGAGTCTCACTTTGTTGCCCAAGCCGGAGTGCAGTGGCACGATCTTGGCTCACTGCAGCCTCAACCTCCTGAGCTCAAGTGATCCTCCCACCTCAGCCTCCTGAGTAGATGAGACTATAGGCATGTGGCACTATGCCTGGTTAATTTTTGTATTTTTTGTAGAGATGGGGTTTTGCCACATTGCCCAGGGTGGTCTTGAACTCCTGAGCTCAAGAGATCCTCCTGCCTCGGCCTCCCAAAATGCTGAGATTACACATGAGCCACCACACTCAACCAACTTTATCTTTTTTTTTTTTTTTTTTTTTTACTTTATTTATTTATTTTTTATTGAGACAGGGTCTCACCCTGTTATTCAGGCTGGAGTGCAGTGGTATGATCTCAGCTCACTACAACCTCTGCCTCCTGGGCTTAAGTGATCCTCCTGCCTCAGCCTCCTGAGTAGCTGGGACTACAGGCATGCGCCAGCACACCCGGCTAATTTCACTTCATCTTTTAAAAAAAGTGGTTTTGTTTGTTTGTTTGTTTTGAGAAGGAGTCTCACTCTGTCACCCAGGCTGGAGTGCAGTGGCATGATCTGGGCTCACTGCAAGCTCTGCCTCTCGGGTTCAAGCGATTTTCCTGCCTCAGCCTCTGGCTAATTAAAAAAAAAATTTTTTTTTAAGTAGAGACTGGATTTCACCATCTTGGCCAGGCTGGTCTCAAACTCCTGACCTCGTGATCCACCCTCCTTGGCCTCCCAAAGTGCTGGGATTACAGGCATGAGCCACCGCACCTGGCCTTAAAAAACCTTTTTGTCGTGGCTCCTGGAAAAATTCAAATTCCCTGTGTGGCTCACACTTGTGGTTTGCGTTGTTTTCCACTGGGCAGCGCTGTTCTAGCCACACCAGCTTCTGTCTGGTTCCTGGACCGCGCCTTGCTCTTCCCAGTCTTGGGCAGGGCCTTATCTCCCTCCCACCTCCTACAGTGTTTCCGGCCTGGTCACTGGGGCTCCCCAGCACTGTCTCCAAAAGCCCTTTCCTGTGCGTGTTTATGTCTTTCTTCCCTGGGTGGAGTGGAGGCTCCTGAGCACAGGCTCTCTGCTCTTGGTCTGGCACCTGGTTGGGGCTGGCCAAAAAGGCCACCTGCTCCCTGTCAGGTGTCTGGAGGAGGGTGGATGGGAACTGTCCCGCATTCTGCAGCTGGAGACTGGGGCAGCCTTCAGCCAGAGGGCCCCATCTGCTGCTACTTAGGATTTAGCCCAAACAGGAGTAGGTGATCAGAATCCTCTGAGCAGAACCCACGGGCCATCAGAGAGGGGCTTTGGGCCTTGCGTGGTCCTAGGAACCTGGGACCCTGCTGTGTGGGTAGAACCAGGGCACAAAGTCTCCCCCAAGCTCCATCAGGGGAACTTACTTGGCAGCTTGGATCAGGGACCAGACACCCAGTGGCCACCAAGGGCGGGGTCCTGGGTAAACACTAGTGCAGCCAGAATGGATTTGGGCTTTGCTGGGGCAGCTCCGGAGTCTGTCTCAGCCCTGCTGCACACTAGCACGGTGACCTTGGCCGATCACTCAGCTCTGCTCTAAATGAGGATCGACTCACTGCCTGGGGCTCGTGGAGACTGGATTGAGGGCCTTGTGTGCAGCACCCATGGGGCACAGTGTGGGGATGTGTGGGTGCTCAGGCACCCAACGCCCTGTGACTGGCTCTCCTCCCTGCTGTCAGCCACATCTGCAGGACCACTGGCTGGGATGGTGTGGGTGGCAGCGTGTGGCCTCAGTTCCTGAGAGAGGAGGGGCCCCACACTGTGGGGGACTGCCAAGCCACTGCCTGGTCCTCTCTTCTCACGCTGAGGAGCCTGCCTGTGGCTGCATCTAGAGGAGGGGGAGATACCACCAGCTCTGTAGAAAAGGCCTGTGGGTTTCCATCGACCTCAAGCTCACAGCAAGCCAACGGGTGACCTGATTGCTAAAATAGCCCAGGAGGAGGGCAGGAGCTTCCAGGACCCCAAGGTGGGGTGGCAGGGCTGGGGCTGGAAGGACGTGAGGGCAGTGTTCTTAAACTTGCCCAACTCTACGGCTGGCTCTGGCAAGCGGGGAGCCCCTTCTCTGGAAACCTGTGTGGGGATCCAGGCTGGAGACCACTGGCTTCTCACCCTGTGCTGAGAAAGAGGTGGGGGTATGAGGAGACCCCGGCAGGAGGCCGGCCTGGATCTCACTGTCAGTGCCTTTCCAACACTGCTTTTAAGTGAACTTGGTTGGCTTCCCTAAGGCGCAGATCAGCACCCAGGGCCCTCACCTCCCAGGTTAGAAGAAACCCAGAGCGCTGGGATCAGAAAGTCCAGGGAGACCAGAGCAGCTGGGTGCTCCACTCCCACATGGGGAGGCTGAGAGCCTGCGGGGCCACAGTGGGAGGGTGACAAAGGCCAGCTCTCCCTAGCCCACTTGCTGCACTCAGCCATCCCAAACAAAAACAAGGAACAAAGAAAATGGCTTCTCTCGTACAGCAGATAATGAATGTTCTGATTCTCAGCCCTGAGTGGTTCATTTCCCAGTGTCCCCAGCCAGGACATTTATGGCCTACAAGTGACCCTCCAGAGGGCCCCGGGCAGGGGTTGGATTCCTTGAGGGCAGTGTCCCATGGCTGGTCCCTCCGGGGACAGTGTGGTGCAGGCCGTCCTAGGCCTCCTGTGGCCTGGCTGGGCCAGCTGGTGAGGACAGAGCCCAGCGCCCAAGCAGCTCCATCCTGGCTGTGGAGGGGATGAACCTGGGCTGGTGAAGCCTCTACCCTGCCATCCAGCCCCAGCCCAACTCATGCTTTTTTGGTTTATGTCTAATTATAAATGCAATTTGTACTCATTGTAAAATTTGGAAACTACAAGAAGGTAGAAAGGAGAAAATGAAAATCATCTGTCATCCCACTCCCCGGAGGTAACTATGGTGCTATTTTGTTACATTTCTCTCCAGGCTTGTTTTTCCATATAGATCATATATATATGTATATATGTGTGCATTTTAATTGTAATCATACTCTGTAGCTGGCTTTCCCCCAACATTACATGGTGAATATTTTCTCAGCATTAACATTTTCTTTAAAGTTATTTAATGACTGTAAAATATTCTATTAATAATTTATTTAGCCATTCTTTTTTTTTTTTCTCATTCTCTTATTTTGACTCTCATTTCCACCAAGGGAATTCAGTAGTTTTTAAAATTCCACGTAAAAATATAAATCTAGCTGGGTGCGGGGGCTCGCACCTATAATCCCAGCACTTCGGGAGGCCGAGGTGGGTGGATCACAAGGTCAGGAGTTTAAGACCACCCTGGCCAACATGGTGAAACCCCGTCTCTACTACAAATACAAAAAATTAGCCGGGCATGGTGGTGGGCGCCTATAATCCCATCTACTCAGGAGGCTGAGGCACGAGAATCACTTGAACCTGGGAGGCAGAGGTTGCAGTGAGCCGAGATTGAGCCGCTGTACTCCAGCCTGAGTGACAGAGTGAGACTCTGTCTCAAAAAAAAAAAAAACTATATTTATATCTATCTATCTATATATATATATCTAGCTGTTCCTTTCTTGTTTTTTTTTTTTTTTTATAGAGACAGAGTCTCGCCTGTCACCCAAGCTAAAGTGCAGTGGCGCGATCATAGCTCAGTGCGGCCTTGAACTCCTGGGCTCAAGTGATTCTCCTGCCTCCTCTTCCCAAAGTGTTAGGGTTACAGGCATGAGCCACCATGCTTGGCAGAGCTGTTCCTTCCTGACTGCTGAGATGGGGGCAATTCTGGGATTTCCTGTCAGCCATTCACACTGAGAAGGACCCCTCAGTTGAACATCTCAGGGTGATTGCAAAGGTTTAACAGAGATTTGTTTGTTAATTTTTTTGAGACAGAGTCTCACTTTGTTGCTCAGGCTGGAGTGCAGTGGCGTGATCTTGGCTCACCGCAACTCCGTCTCGGGTTCAATCGATTCTCCTGCCTCAGCCTCCAGAGTAGCTGAGATTACAGGTGCCTGCCACCATGTCCAGCTAATTTTGTATTTTTAATAGAGACAGGATTTCACCATGTTGGCCAAGCTGGTCTTGAACTCTGGACCTCAGGTGATCTGCCTGCCCCCTTGACCTCCCAAAGTGCTGGGATTACAGGTGTGAGCCACTGTGCCCAGCCCGTTTATTTATTTTTAACTCTATAGCTCCTTGCAGAGCAGGGCTAACCTATAGGCAGTGTGCCCAGAGTCAGCCAGGTTTAGCATTTAGAACAAGCCCCCAAAACAAAGACTAAACCCCCATACCACCAGGGGAAGCTTAGGAAAAGAGTTTCCCTTTGTGCCCCTGGCTCGTGCTGCTCCCCAAGATTGGGTGCCATCATCCTGCGTCGCCTGTACCAGGCTGGATCTGCCATCCTGGGGCGTGAGCGGGTGGTGGAAAGTGCTGGGCAACTCCCAGTTCTGATTCTGCCTGTGTCTCCAGTGGGTGGTGCTCTTGGGCAAGTCCTTTTGTGGCTCTGTTTCTCCATTTCCTGGGGCTGGGAAATGGGCCTTACGCTGACATGGGCCTCCCCGGGGGCTAGGATGGAGTGAGCTAGTGCTACCTATGAGCTGATGCTTCTGTCTGTGGGGAGCACAGGTGTGGAGTGGGGGGCTTTGGGCAAGTCACCTCCCTTTTGTTAGAGCTGTGGCCCATCCTGACTGAGAGCCTCTGCTGGGTCTCCAACCCCATGGATCTGTGGCTGCATCCTGAATGGGTGGCCCTTGCTGACCGTCCAGTAGTCCAGATGACCCCTTTGCACAGCTCTGGCCTCTCAGGGCCCTGATTTAGTCCCCAGGAAAGGCACTAATCAGGGTCCCCTGCTCTCCCAGACAAATTCCTGCTCAGCACCCCAGAACCAGGCCCAAGGAAGATTCATGGAGAACCCCTAGATTTGCTGCTTCTCCCAGTCTTTCCAGAGAAATTCTGCCTTGTGTTCAGGGTTCAGGGGTCATGCAAGAAAGGTTTCTGGAGGGCCAGGGCTGGACACCACTGGAGCACATCCTTCAGAAAGGCAGGGGCCTTGAGCTTCTCACTGACTTGGTGCCTTCAGTGCCCAACACTGAGCCTGGCCTACTTAGACCTTTCATAAATACAGACCAAGTCAAGTGATGTCTGCCCATCTGTTTCCCTTTCCATTCTGCCCTGCTGTCATGAGCTTTGTGAGAACAGAGATGAGCCTGGTTCACCTCTGAGCCCTCAATGCCCGGCAAAGAGCCTGGCACCTGGAGAAGGCCCACAAATGTATGAATGAGTGGAGAACAGGTGGGCCGATGACTAAGTCGGGTCCTGAGAGAGTCAGAGCTGGTGACGCAGGCCCTCCTTTCTTGCCGCCTCCCGCACAGTGGGTCTCTTTCCTCCCTCTGAACACCTTGATTGTCCCTTCCTCTTTCCCTCCTTGATATGGTTTGGCTGTGTCCCCACACAAATATCATCTTGAATTATAGTTTCCATAATCCCCACATGTCGTGGGAGGGACCCAGTGGGAGGTAATCGAATCATGGAGGCAGTTACCCCCATGCGGTTCTCATGATAGTGAGTTCATTCTCACGAGATCTGATGATTTTTATAAGGGGCTTTCCCCGCTTTGCTTGGCACTTCTCTCTCCTGCCGCCGTGTGAAGAAGGACATGCTTGATTCCTCTTCTGCCATGATTGTAAGTTTGCTGAGGCCTTCCCAGTCATGCAGTACTGTGAGTCAATTAAACCTCTTTCCTTTATAAATTACCCAGTCTGAGGTATGTCCTTTTAACAGTGGGAGAATGGACTAATACACACACGTTCTTGGTGGAAACTGGCCACCAGGAAACTATGAGGCTTCCTGTCCATGTGACTTTGGACAAGTCACTTGACCTCCCTGAGCCTTCACTGTCTCCTCTGTAAAATAGGGCCATTGAAAGGGTTTTGTGAGGCTCAGTGCTGATGGCCTAGCACAGTCAGTGCCTGGCAGGTCATGGGCACTCAGGGAGAAGCAGCCCCTCTTTTCGGCAGCAGCGTGGCCTCTCGAAGGTGTGAGCTCCCTGGCATGAGCTGGCCAACCGATTGACCAGTGAAAGGGCATGGAGTAAGCTCGGGCCTGGACTGGCTGAGGAGGCAGTTACAGATCCCCTGAAACCCTGGTTGCTGTTCCTGGCACCTTGGCCCTTGGCTCTGTCATTCAGTGTCCTTTCTCCTGCTGGGAAGGGCACATCCTGTGGCTGGGTGGCTCGGCTGGGAGATGGACCCAGATCCTCTGGAGAGCTGCCCCCCAACCTCCCTGCAATGGGAAAGGTGCTTACCGCACAGCCTCAGAGAGCTTCCCACTGGGCTGCCCTGTACAGGACAGGAGTAGCAACTGTGCCCCAGAGGTGTAGTCCCCATGTGGTCTGCTCCCTGGGCCTTTAAAATGGGGGGAAATAAAGTCAGAATGAAGACTTATAGATCTGCTGAGAAGAGCAAATGCGCTGGCATACAGGACAGCACACTGGCCACTGACACACACTCCCCAGGTTACAACACAACTGTGTTGATGTGGATGATGATGATGATGATGATGTTAATATAATACATTTGATATAATTATATGTCATAATAATTATTGCTATTATCTATTATTATTAATTGATATTACTAGTGCCAGCCACGGAGGTGGGGAGCATGCCCATGGCCCCTCACAGGTGAAAGAGGCTGCCTGGTATGGCAGCTGAGAGCACAGGCTCTGGCTTGCACCTCTTCCTGCCACACAGTCACTGTGGGACATGGACAAGTGGCCTTCCCCTCTCATTCTCAGAGTCCTCATCTGGGAAATGAGGGAAGGCACCCTTCCTGGGATCCTGGCAGAATTCACTGAGGTCCACCCATGAGGGGTCCAGCCAGGTCCAGTCTCAAAGATAGTGGCTGCTGCAGGCACCTCCACTTTGAGCACCTGGGTCCACTCATGTAGGTTCCCTGAGCCTCAGTTTGCTCATCTGTACAATGAAGATGGTGGTCCCACCCATCACTTCAGGTCATCAGGAGGAGGAAATAAAATGAATCAGGTACATCACCTAGCAGGACTGCCTGATGCGTAGAGAGTGTTCATTGAGCTGCGATAATGTTTTTGTGCTGGTAGTAGGCAGGATGAGAACCTGCCCCTAGCCCCAGGCCTCCTGCCCAGGGCTTCTCCTCCTTGGTGAATTGTACGGCCAGAAACAGGGTGACCTTCATCAAGCCAGGATTACATTCCCAGTGTCTTTGGAGTGTGGGGCAAGGGGGTCGGCTGTGCAGCAGCTGCACCAGCTGCCCTGAAAGAGAAGGGGTCTTAGGCCGGGCACGGTGGCTCATGCCTGTAGTCCCAGCACTTTAGGAGGCCAAGGCAGGTGGATCACTTGAGTTTGGGAGTTTGAGACCAGCCTGACCAACATGGAGAAACCCCATCTCTACTAAAAATACAAAAAATTAGCCAGGCGTGGTGGTGCATGCCTGTAGTCCCAGCTACTCGGGAGGCTGAGGCAAGAGAATCATTTGAACCCAGGAGGCGAAGGTTGTGGTGAGCCGAGATCACGCCATTGTACTCCAGCCTGGGCAACAAGAGCGAAACTCTGTTTAAAAAAAAAAAAAGAGAAGTGGGTCTGAGTCTCTGGGAAGCCGCAGTGGGGTCTAGGCCTTGAATCAGCCCTGGACGCCAAGGCCGGAGGACGCTGAGCCTTGGTCTTCTCCTGCTCCATCTCCCTGTAGCTCCAGTGTCATTCCCCACCTACCCTTTGTGCTCACACAATGTCAGGGCCAAAGGAATGCCTGCAACACAGCAAAAAGCTTTATTGTTTTTTCTGTCTGTAGAAGTGATTATTATCCATTGCAGTAACAAAAATTGGAAAATTCAGTAAAATATAAATTAAGAGTATCATAGATTGGGTGTGGTAGTTCACTCCTGTAATCCCAGCCCTTTGGGAGGCTGAGGTGGGAGGATTGCTTGAGCCCAGGAGTTTGGGGCCAGCCTGGGCAATATAGCAAGACCCCAGCTCTAAAAGAAAAAATTCAAAAATTAGCTGGGCATGGTAGTGTACATCTGTA
Source organism: Homo sapiens (assembly GCF_000001405.40). Classification (NCBI taxonomy): domain Eukaryota; kingdom Metazoa; phylum Chordata; class Mammalia; order Primates; family Hominidae; genus Homo; species Homo sapiens. Next base: position 32,658,427 of record NC_000020.11, on the reverse strand, counting down.
GTCTCAGTTACTTGAGAGGATTCCTTGAGCCCAGGAGTTTGAGGCTGCAGTGAGCCGTGATCCTGCCACTGCACTCCAGCCTGGGTGAGAGTGAGCCCTGTTCTCCAAAAATAAAAAGAGTACCCTAAATCCTAAATTTCCAGGTATTTTTGTTATACACATATAGATACAGATTTTTTCATAAGAATGGAATCCTATTATGCTTGCTTCTTAAAAATCAGAATGCCAGGTGCCAGCTAATTTTTGTATTTTTGGTAGAGTTGGGGTTTCACCGTGTTGGCCAGGCTGGTCTTAAACTCCTGACCTCAGGTGATCCGCCCGTCTCGGCCTCCCAAAGTGCTGAGATACAGGCGTGAGCCACCGTGCCCAGCTGAAATTTTATCTTCTTAAAGTCTCTTAAGTACCTGTTTTAATCTGCATGCTTTCTTTTTCTTTCTTTCTTTCTTTTTTTTTTTTTAGGTTTGGGGGCGCACAGAGTCTAGCTCTGTTGCCCAGGCTGGAGTGCAGTGGCGCAATCTCAGCTGACTATAACCTCCACCTCCCAGGTTCAAGGGATTCTTCTGCCTCAGCCTCCTGAGTAACTGGGATTAGGGGTGCCCACCACCATGTCTGGCTAATTTTTATATTTTTAGTAGAGACGGGGTTTTGCCATATTGGCCAGGCTGGTCTCGAACTTCTGATATCAAGTGATCCTCCTGCCTTGGCCTCCCAAAGTGCTGGGATTACAGGCAGAAGCAACCTTGCCCAGCCTACAGGCTTATTTTTGAACCTGCTTTTTTTTTCTTTTGACTTGGTGGTATATCTTGGACCTCATCGATGTTAGTAAATGTGACGCCTTTTTATTTATTTTTAAAATTTTGTTTTAGAGATGAGGTCTCACTATGTTGCCCAGGCTGGTCTCAAACTCCTTTGTTGTTGTTGTTGTTGTTGTTGTTTTGGAGACAGAGTCTCGCTGTGTCGCCCAGGCTGTAGTGCAGTGGTGAGATCTCAGCTCACTGCAACCTCCTCTTCCTGAGTTCAAGTGATTCTCCTACCTCAGCCTCCCGAGTAGCTGGGATTACAGGTGCCTACCACCACGCCTGGCTAATTTTTGTATTTTTAGTAGAGACAGGGTATCACCATGTTGGCCAGCCTGGTCTGGAACTCTTGGCCTCAAGTGTTCCACTCGCCTCAGCCTCCCAAAGTGCTGGGATTACAGGTGTGAGCCACCATGGCCAGCCTCAGCTAATTTTTAATTTTTTTGTAGAGATGGGGTCTCACTGTGTTGCTCAGGCTGGTCCTGAACTCCTGGCCTCAGGTGATTCTCCCACCTCAGCCTCCCAAAGTGCTGGGATTACAGGTGTGAACCACTGTGTCTGGCCCCAGCATGATGTTTGTAAGGTTTATCTATGTTACAGCATGTGTCAGCACTTTAGTCCTCCTTTTTATTGCTGAATAATATTCCATTGTATGAATATACCACCTTTCATTTATCCATTCATCAGCTGATGGACATTTGGGTTGTGGTTGTTTCTATTTTGGGGGAATAATGCTGCTATGACTAGTCATGTAAGATTTTTTTTTTGAGATGGAGTCGTACTCTGTTGTCCAGGCTGGAGTGCAGTGGTGCGATCTTGGCTCACTGCAACCTCTGCCTCTGGGGCTCAAGCGATTCTCATGCCTCAGCCTCCTGAGTAGCTGGGACTACAGGTACATGCCACCACACCTGGCTATTTTTTTTCTATTTTTGGTAGAGACAGGGTTTCACCATGTTGCCCTGGGTGTTCTCGAACTGCTGAACTCCGAAAATCCACCTGCCTTGGCCTCCCAAAGTGCTGGGATTACAGGCATGAGCCACTGCGCCCGGCCTTATGTAAGTTTTTATGTGAATACATGTTTTCATTTCTCTTGGGTATATACCTTTTAGGTGCAGAATTGCTGGATCATGTAACTCTATATATAACCTTTTGAACTGCCAGGCTTTTTCCAAAACGTTTTACATTCTTACCAGCAGTGTATGAGGGTTCTGATTTCTCCATATTCTCATCAACACTTGTTATTATCTGTCTTTTTTATTATAACTAACCTAGTGGGTACAAAGTGCTATCTCATTGTGGTTTTGACTTGCATTTTCCTAATGACTAATGATGTTGAGTATCTTTTCATGTGCTTATTGGCCATTTGTATGTCTTCTTTGGAGAAATGTCTATTTACATCCTATGCCCATGCATTAGTCTGTTTGCATTGCTATAAAGGAATAGCTGAGACTGAGTAATTTGTAAAGAAAAGAGGTTTATTTGGCTCACAGTTCTACAGGCTGTACAGGACACATGGCACCAGCACCTGCTCCTGGAGTAGGCCTCAGGAAGCTTCCAATCATGGCAGAAGGCAAAGGGGAGCCAGTGTGAGCAAGAGAAAGGGTGGGCACTGCCAGCCTCCTTCAGACAACCAGCTCTCTTGTGAACTAACAGAGCAAGAACTCCCTCATTACTGTGAGGAGGGCACCAAGCCATTCATGAGGGAGTCACCTCCGTGACCCAAACATCTCCCAGCAGGCCCCACCTCCAGCGCTGGAGATCACATTTCAACATGAGATTTGGAGGAGACAAACATCCCAACCATATCTGCCTGTTTCTATTTTTATTTTTTAAATTTTGAGGTGGAGTCTTGCTCTGTCACCCAGGCTGGAGTGCAGTGGTGTGATCTTGGCTCACTGCAACCTCCACCTCCTGGGTTCAAGTGATTCTCCTGCCTCAGCCTTCTGAGTAGCTGGGATTACAGGCGTCTGCCACCACGCCGGGCTAATTTTTATATTTTTAGTAGAGATGGGGTTTCTCCATGTTGGCCAGGTTGGTCTTGAACTCATGACCTCAGGTGATCTGCCCACCTCAGCCTCCCAAAGTGCTGGGATTACAGGAGTGAGCACCACACTTGGCTCAGCCCATTTTTAAACTGGGCTATTTGTCTTTTATTATTGAGTTGTAAGGGTTCTTTATATATGCTGGTTAGAATCTGTTATCAGATATATGATTGTCAGTTATTTTCTCCTATCCTGTGGGTTGTCTTTTCACTTTTTTGATAGTGTCCAGTCTCAAGCGATCCTCCTGCCACAGCCTCCCAAAGTGCTGGGATTTCAGGTGTGAGCCACCATGCCTGATGCAAAATTTTAAATTCTGATGAAGCCTAGTCTATTTTTTCTTTGGTTGCTTGTGCTTTTGGTATCATATTTATGAAACTATTGCCTAATCCAAGGTCATGAAGATTTATGTCTATGTTCTCAGAGTTTTATAGTTTTAGCTCCTACATTTGTTTTCATCCACTTTAATTTTTGTGTATGGTGTGAGGCAGGGGTCTGACCTCTTTCTTTTGCAAGACTCTGTTTTCCCCATTGAACTCCACCATTAAATATGTTCGGCTCTTGCGGCTGAACCAAATGTGAGGGTTTATTTCTGGACTCTCAGGACTCTTATTTATATTTCATTGATCTCTATGTCTGTCCTTATGCCAGTACCACATTGTCCTGATTACTGTAGTTTATTATAGTAATTTTTGAAATTGGAAGTGTGTGCACTCCAACATTGTTCATTTTTTCTTCTTCTTTTTTTGGGGAAGGATCTTGCTGTGTCACACGGGCTGGAATGCAGTGGCACATTCTTGGTTCACTGCAATCTCTACCTCCCAGGTTCAAGTGATCCTCCCACCTCAGCCTCCTGAGTAGCTGGGACTACAGGCACATGCCACCACACCCAGCTAAATTTTTGTATTTTTTGTAGAGATGAGGTTTCACCATATCACCCAGGCTGGTCTCAAACTCCTGGACTCAAGTGATCTGCCCACCTCGGCCTCCCAAAGTGCTGGGATTACGGACATAAGCTACCACGCCTGGCCCACCATTATTCTTTTTCAGGACTGTTTTAGCTTTTCTGAGTCCCTTAAATTTCCATATGAATTTTAGGATCAGCTTGTCAATTTCTGTAAAGAACCAAGTTGGAATTTTGATGGAGATTGTGTTGAATCTGAAGATCAATTTGGGGAGTCTTGCCATCTTAATGGTATTGGGTCTTTAGATCTATGAACATTGGTATTTTTCCATTTATTTATGGCATCTTTAATTTCTTTAAACAATGTTTTGTAGTTTTCAGATTATAAGTTTTGTACTTCTTTTATTCCTAAGCATTTTATTCTCTTTGATGCTAGTATAAATTGAATTATTTTCATAATTACATTTTTGAAGTGTTCATTGCAAATGTGTAGAAGCTCAATTGATTTTTGTATATTGATCTTGTATCCTGCAACTTTGCCAAACCCAATTATTAGTTATAACTTTTTTTTAGTGGATTCTTTAGGATTTTCTCTTTTTTTTTTTTTCGCTCCATCACCCAGGCTGGAGTGCAGTGGCGTGATCTTGGCTCACTGCAAACTCTGCACCCCAAGTTCAAGCAATTCTTGTGCTTCAGCCTCCTGAGTAGCTGGGGTTACAGGCACACACCACCACGCCTGGCTAATTTTTGTATTTTTAGTGGAGACATGGTTTTGCCTTGCTGGCCAGGCTGGTCTTAAACTCCTGACCTTAGGTGATCCACCTGCCTTGGCCTCCCAAAGTGCTGAGATTACAGGCATGAGCCACTGCTCCCAACCAAGATTTTCTATATATAAGATCATGTCATCTGCAAGTAGGGATAGTTTTACTTCTTCTTTTGCAATCTGGATGACTTTATTTTCTTGCCATTGTACCCAGTACAGTGTTGAATACAAGTCGTGAATTCAACTTTGCCGTAAGAGTGGACATCCTTGTCTTGTTCCTGGTCTTGGGGAAAGCACCCAATCTCTCACCATGAAGTATGATACCAGCTGTAGGAACACTCTTCTTAGAACTCCCCGAAAGATTGGCTGGTTTACACCCTCAGTTCTAGCAGTGTGCAAGCAGGAGGCCTAGTCCCCCATCCCTTGCCAACACAGTAACCCCAGGCTTTAGAGGCAAAGAACCAAGCCTGGGAGGGAAGTGCTGCATGCTATGTCACACAGATACTCAGCGACCTACAGTTCAGCTGTCCATATGCACTGGGAGTGAGCCCTGGACACTCAGCCTTCCCTCCCCTAGGGTGGGATGTCTTGAGACCCCCTAAAAAAAAGCATTGGTACAGAGGAACTTCTGGGTTCTGTTCTTGTATTAGTCACTGGCTGTGCAACTGTAGGCAGGTCACTTCCCTCTGGGCCTTGGTTTTCCCATCTGTGTAGTGGAAAGAGTGGTCCACCTTGAAATCTTCCAACTCTGACCATCTCTGCCCCACCCACCCTTAAATTCACAGTGGCTTCAGCATCCACCACTGCCCAGAGGAGCCACCAGAGGGCGCCCCAGACCATCATTTGGCCCAGCTTGGGTGCAGGGTGCCCTGGGGAGGCTGAGAGCAGCGCCTATTTTCCAGGAGCTGCTGGCTGTGCTTGCACAGACTTCCTGTGGCTAGACCAGCCCGCTCCTCTGGCTGAGCTCTGATCTCCAGGAAGGGAGTGACGGAGGCACCATCCCCAAGGCCAGTGACCTAGCACTCACCCTGCCCGCTTTGGGTTGCCGCCTGAGGCTCAGGCTTTGCAACATCGGGGCCAGCAGCCTTGCATCTCTCAGCCTTGAGAGGCTTCCACCATCTCTGAGAGGGCCTCTCACTGGTGCTGCATCCTCTCCCCACCAAATTGCCCAGCAGCAGGAAGCCCCCCAAACTGGTGCGTGTCTGGCTACCTGGAAGGGGGCCCTCACTGTTTTTTGTGGACGTGAATGTATTCATGCTGGGGGTCTGGACAGTGTAGTCTCCAAAAACCACAGCATCCGGGACTCCTAGATACCTCCAGGATAGATCCCAGAACCTTCGAAGCAGGAATCACAGAGGTCAGGGACCACCCAGAACTTCCCAAAAAAGCCAGAGGAGGCTCCATCAGCACCCCCATGACCCCCAGGGCTGATTTTATCGTTCAAATAAAATCAAAACCTTTGCCTTGCAAATTGAGCTCCAAGACACAGCAGCATCTCCCCGCCATCCCAAGAGTCTCACCCCAGCCCCTTTGCATGGAGGGCTGCTGGGCCCCCTCTGATGCCAGGGGTATTTGCTTTTTTTTTTTTTTTTTTTTTTTTTTGAGATGGAGTCTTGCTCTGTCGCCCAGGCTGAAGTGCATGATCTCAGCTCACTGGCACGATCTCAGTTCACTGTAACCTCTGCCCCACCAGGTTCAAGTGATTCTCGTGCCTCAGTCTCCCAAGTAGTTGGTACTACAGGCGTGCACCACCACACCCAGCTAATTTTTGTATTTTTAGTAGAGACGAGGTTTTGTTGTGTTGGCCAGGCTGGTCTCGAACTCCTGATCTCAAGTGATCCTCCTGCCTAAGCCTCCCAAAGTGACAGGTGTGAGCCACTGCATCCAGCCACATTTGCTTTGCATTCTAGTTATTTGTATGTGTGTTTTCTCTCTCCTTCCAGACTGGGGTCCCCTTAAAGGCAGAGTGAATCTCAGATTCATCTTAGTCCCTTCCTGGGGTCTTGTTCAGGACCCTGCATCCAGTAGATGCTCAACAAATGTCAACATAGGAATCCAGGTCCCATCCTCTCCTCACTCAAGGGATCCAAGGCTGCCTCTTCCTCTTCCGTAGTGGTGTGGCTTTGCAGAAGTCACTTAAGCTCTCTAATCCTCCTCCTCAGAGTGCCAGACTGCAGCTGCCACATGAAGAGGTAAGACTCGGACAGGCTAGGTGCCAGGTCACCCCCCAGTTCCCCAGACCTTTCAGATGGCAGTGGCTGGCTATTCAGGTCAGACCAGTTGCTGTGCTGGACACTTCACCTTTGTTATCTCCTCCAGTCTTCTCAGAGACCCTTTGAGGTGGGCTCTGTTGCCATCCCCAGCCTTGCAAATGGGGAAACCCAGGCATGTGACAATGAGCTCCCTTGCCTGAGGTCACGTTGGTTGGTAAAGGTGTCTGAGCCTACAGCCCTGCTTTGAAGTGACTTGGGGCAGGGATGAGCAGCTTCAGGGGGTTTTCTTGTCCACCCTGTAAGAATCTTCAAGGCTCAGAGATCATTTGCTCCAATTTTCTCGTTTCTTTTCCTTTTTTTTTTTGAATAGGGTTTCGCTCTGTTGCCCACTTTGGAGTGTAGTGGGGCGATCATGGCTCACTACGGCCTCAACCTTCTGGGCTGAAGTGATCCTCCCACTTGAGTAGCTACCCCATGAGTAGCTGAACCCTCAGGCGCAAGCCAACACACCCAGCTAATTTTTTTTTTTTTTTTTTTTTTTTTAGAGAGAGGGTCTCCTATGTTTCCTAGGCCTGTCTTGAACTCCCGGGCTCAAGCGATTCTCCTGCCTCAGCCTCCCAACATGCTGGATCACAGGCAGTGGCCACCTCGCCTGGCCAGTTTTCCCTTTACAAAAACTGGAATGCTGAGCCGGGTAAGAAGTGCTGTCCCTGTCTCCCACACCTGGGCTGACACTGGGGACTGTTGGGAAATTAGGGAAGACCTAAAGCCCCTTGCGAGTCTCAGGTACTAAGATTCTATGATCTTCTTGGGGGCCTTGTTCCCAACAGGCCACATCAGTCTTGGCTGGACTCACTGCCCACCTCTGGGACCTTGGCGGTGGGGCGGGAAGGAGGACCTCAAAGGCTCAGCGAGTCCACCCCCAGCCCAGCCACCAGCGCCAGCCTCCTCCTCCGCAACACCCAGGCCCTTATCAGGAAAGGATTTGGGTTGGTGGGGAGGGGTGGGGGGAAGTTGGAGGCCTCAGGCTCAGCAAGGTGGGTCGGAGAGATAGGGAAGTGGGGAGGGGGCTGCGGGCCCCTGCTGGGCGGGGGAGGGCAATGGGAGGGATGCCCAGAATGGGCACGGTGGGGGACTTTGGCCAAGCTCTGTCCTCGCTGGCCTGGACCTCAACATGTTTCCAGGACTTCTGCCTCCCATCCTTGCCAGGCAAGTTGCCTGCACCTTTAATTAGCAAGCAGCAGTTTCTCTCCAATTCATCACGGTCGCTGTTTAATTAGCCGAGCCCAGGGCGCCCCCACCCCCAGCTCTGCCTGCCTGTCCTACCAAGGCCACCACCACCTCAGGGTGTCCCCTGTTACCACCCCCCACAATCATTCTGCTCCCCAGAGTGGGGGATGGGCCCGGCACGCCCAGCTGAAACCTCAAGGAGATTCTGGGCACCGGCGCTTGTATTCAAGGCATTCAGCAAACATGATTAGGGACCGAGGCTGTGCCAGGCTGGCTCTGGGTAGAACCCCGGCCGGACATGCGGGGCAGGCTCTGGTCCTGTCCAGCTGCTGGAGAATGGCTTCTCCCTTGGGAGGCGCTGGCACATCTCTCTGGCTTGGTCCCTGAGTGCTGGGAGGAGGCTGCAGTACTCCTGTGTGTCACTCCCACCCCACATCCGGAAAGGGACACCATGTCTTCCTCTTCCTCTCTCTTCCAGAGCCCAGAAAGCTCCTCTGAGAATGCTGGACCTCAGGACAGGGGCCCATGCTCTGCACCCGGCCCTCAGCAGCCAGATCCTAGAGGCCCAGTCCAAGCTGTGGGCCAAGGGAGCGGGGCGGGCTGAGGCCTGCTTTGTGTCGGCAGGGTCTGGGGAATTGGGAGCACTGGCGGGAGCCCATGGTCCGGGGCCGAACCAGCCCCCTTCTGTTTCCCTGAAGAAGGGTGAGGCTGAGGGCCCTCGGAACAGAGCCCCTGTGTCATTCTGTGCAGGGCCGGGATAGCCACTAGTCACTGTGGGCAGAAGCAAGAAGCAGAGGCTCAGGCTCCATCCCAAGCCTGTGCTCCTGCTGGGCTGTGGGAGGTGTGACCCTTCCACTGTTTCGTAGACTGAGAACATGGAGGGACTGGCATTTGCTGTGTTACCCTGTGGTGCCATCAGCGTGTTGTGACAGGGGCAGGAGGAGTGTGCTAGAACCCACCCACTCTGGTACTGCCCATCTCTGTGGCCTTGGGCCAGCCACCAAACCGTACCATGCCTTAGTTCCCCTATGATTCATAGCTGCTTCATGGGCTGATGTGAGGATTAAACAGCTTACTATGTGTTGGGTCTGGTTTTGTTTGGCTTTGTTTTGTTTTTTGAGACAAGGTCTCACTCTGCTGCTCAGGCTGGAGTGCAGTGGTGCAATCACAGCTCACAGCAGGCTCCACCTCTCAGGCTCAAGCGATCCTCCCATCTCAGCCTCCCTGGTAGGTGGGACTATAGGCACATGCCCCCATACCTGGCTAATTTTAAATTTTTTGTAGAGATAGGGTCTCACTATGTTGCCCAGGCTGGGGCTTACAGTGTTTAAAGCACTTAGGAACACTGTCTGGCAGGAGTCCTTGATAGTCATTGGCTGTTTTTGCCATTCTTTCCTCTCCTTTATCCAATCAGCACTCCTTGCCAGGTATGAGGAAATTGATGTCAGTGGGAGAGGCAACCTCCCTGCTTTTCAGAGTTTGCCTCCTCATGGGGGAGGCAGCTGAGAACAAATGAGTAAGGAAGAACACAGTTTCACCGGAGTAAAGCCTGCGGCTCATCAGTGTAATGTACCAATGTCACTTTCTTGGTTTTGACCACTTACCATGGTTAGGTAATAGGTTGACATAAGAAAAAACTTGGTGAAGGGCCAATAGGAACTCCCTGTACTATCTGTGCAATTTTTCTGTTGCAAAATAATTTCTAAGTTATTCCCTAAAGAAAGTTTATTGGCCCAGCGCAGTGGCTCACACCTGTAATCCCAGCGCTTTGAGAGGCCGAGGCAGGCGGATCACGAGGTCAGGAGATCAAGACCATCCTGGCTAACATGGTGAAACCCTGTCTCTACTAAAAACACACACACAAAAAAAAAAAATTAGCCAGATTTGGCAGCAGGCGCCTGTAGTCCCAGCTACTCGGGAGGCTGAGGCAGAAGAATGGCGTGAACCTGGGAGGCGGAGCTTGCAGTGAGCCACCGTCACACTACTGTACTCCAGCCTGGGCGACAGAGCGAGACTCTGTCTCAAAAAAAAAAAAAAAAAAAAAAAAAAAAAAGACAGTTTCAGGCAATGGTTAGTGCCATGAAGCAAACAATCAGGGGCAAGAGACAGAGAGAATAGGGATTGGGGCATTTCGGGAGGGGTGGTCCAGGAGAGCCTCTGAGGGAGGCAAAGCTGAGCAGAACCTGAATGATGGGAAGGGCAGGGAAGGAGGAGGGAATGGGGAGTGCAAAGGCCTGGAGGCAGGATGGGCTTAGGCTGTTTGAGGAAGCTGGGGAGCCTGGGCTCCAGATCCCACACCCCTGGCCACTGCACTGGACTGGGAGAAAGGACCCCAACTCTGGAGTCAGCTAGACCCGGGTGTGATACCCACTGCTGCCTCACTGTGTGGCCTTGGGCAAGTAGCCCAAGTAGCAGATCTCTGTTACCTGGATCTGCTGCCAGGGATGGAGGAAGAAAGCCTGCTCCTCAGAGGGCACAGAGGGTGAGAGAAGTGGGTAGGGGTTAGCTTGCCTAGGGTGCTGTAGGTGCCATCAATGGATTGGGGAGATACTATGAGGGACCTGACACCCTCTGAGCCTGGAAGGGTGGGGGAAGGCGACGCCCCCTGCCGTGGGTGGTGAGGCTGGGGAAGGAGCTGGGACCAACACTCCTGCACTCCAGGCTATGCACCTGACCCTGAGCAATTCCCCGACCCGTGGTAGTTTCACCCTTTCAACTCCGGGTGGGGAACTGTATCTGGCGCTTTCCACACATTAGTTCTCCATTTTACTTTTTTAGACATAGGGTCTTGCTCTGTCACCCAGGCTGGAGTGCAGTGGCATAATCTTGACTCACTACAGCCTCAATCTCCTGGGCTCAAGCAATCCTCTCACCTCAGCCTCCTGAGTAGTCGGGACTACAGGCGTGTGCTAAAATACCCAGCTAATTTTTTTAATATATTGTAGCAACAGGGTCTTACTATGTTGCCCAGGCTGGTTTGGAACTCCTGGCCTCAAGTGATCCTCCCACCTTAGCCTCCCAAAGTGCTGGGATTACAGGCATGAGCCACCAAGCCAAACCCTAGTTCTTCTTTTTTTTTTTTTTTTGAGACGGAGTTTCACTCTTGTCTCCCAGGCTGGAGTGCAATGGCAGGATCTCGGCTCACTGCAACCTCCGCCTCCCAGGTTCAAGCAGTTCTCCTGCCACAGCCTCCCCAGTAGATGGGATTATAGGCACACGTCACCACGCCTGGCTAATTTTTGTATTTTTAGTAGAGATGGGGTTTCACCATGTTGGCCAGACGGGTCTCAAACTCCTGACCTCAGGTGATCCATCCAGCTTGGCCTCCCAAAGTGCTGGGATTACAGGTGTGAGCCACTGCGCCCGGCCCTAGTTCTTTATTTTAATCCTTATAGTTACCCTGGGGGAGGCATGAGCCTCTCCACTTATGAGTGAGACAATGGAGGACAGAGACTCACATCAAGTGTCATGTGGTGAGTGACCAGTGTGTGCTAGATGGAGAGACCCTCCTGGCCCTCAAGGCTGTGCCATGGTCTTGCTGGGAGACATGGGGTAGTTGAAAAGGGCCTGGGTGAGGCATGGGTGTAGCTGTGGAGGGATGAGCCAAGCAAGTGGTAGGAGCTGGCCTGGGCACCCAAGGCATGCATGGGGCCTCTGGCTAGCATGAGTGCATGTGTCAGGCCAGGGGAGCAGCTCTGTGCAGTCATCATGTAATCAGCTGTGGTAACAGTAATAATGCGTGACTGCAATACACAATTCTGAAGGTGGCAGACAACCTATAGGGACAAGTTAGGGCTCCCACCCTTTCCCCAACTGTTTCCCTCCCCGGAGATGACCTCTGGGGCCTATTCCTTGTGTTTCCTTCTGGAGTCAGCCTAGACAGCCCCATCTTGACCACAACAGCAGGCCATCAGTGTGGGCCTTCTAGACACCACCTGCTAGGAAGCCCTTGACACACAGTTTAATCCTCATACTAGGCCAGACGTGGTAGCTCATGCCTGTAATCCCAGCACTTTGGGAGGCCAAGGCGGGTGGATCACTTGAGGCCAGGAGTTCGAGACCAGCCTGGGCAACATGGTGAAACCCCATCTCTACTAAAAATACAAAAATTAACAAGGCGTGGTGTCATGTGCCTGTAATCCCAGCTACTCGGGAGGTTGAGGTGGGAGAATCGCTTGAACCCAGGAGGCAGAGGTTGCAGTGAGCTGAGATTGAGCCAGACTCTGTCTCAAAAAATCGAGCGAGACTCTGTCTCAACAAAAAGATCGAGCGAGACTTTGTCTCAAAAAAAAAAAAAAAAAAAAAATTGGGATCAAGCAAGACTCTGTCTCAAAAAAAAAATCCTCATACTGACCCTTACCTTAAGGCCCACTCTGTTTTAAATTGGAGAAAGCAGAGACACAGACAGGTTAAGTGACTCACCCAAGGCCACACAACTTACACAGAATTTGAAGCCAGGGACTCTCTGATAGCACTGTGTAGATGGAGAAACTGGGGTACAGAGAAGTTGAGGTGTCTACCCCAAGTGACCCAGTGAGGAAGCTGGGGAGCCCAGGCTCCAGATCTCACACTAATAGTCTAACACTTCTCCATCCTCAACACTGCTGGCCACTGTACTGGACTGGGAAAAAGGTCCCCAACTCTGGAGTGAGTCAGACCCAGGTGTGATGCCCACTGCTGCCTCACTGTGTGGCCTTGGGCAAGTAGCTGCCCCTCTGTGACCTGGATCTGCTGCCAGGGATGAAGGAAAGAAAGCCTGCCTCTCAGACAGCCTGAAGATGGGTGGTATGGTGGAAAAGCTCGGAGGGCTTGAAGATGGGCAGTGTGGTGGGAAAGCTGGGAGGGCTTGGTGCTGGCTCTCTCTCCTCTCCAATGTCTGCTTCTGCGCTGGGCAGGAGGACGTGCAGCAGTGCAGGGGAGAGGTCTCGCAGGAGAGGAGTGGCCTGCAGCCACTCAGCCAGTCTGTTTGCTGACCCAGAAATTCTGGGAAGTCCCAGTTTGGGAGAATATCCCCCCAGGGGGGCAGGGTCATCAAGGAGAGGAATAGGGGTTTTGCAGAGAGGTTTGTATGATGGGCCCCCCTCCCCTCCATACACCCCCAGCCTGAGTGCCAGGATTCTGGAAGGTCAGTGAGCCGGGCGGGATGCCAGGCAGGAGGCTGCACCTGAGGGCAGCTGGGAATGATCACAGCATTCAAAGACTTAGGCATGGCCTTTGGCTTAGCATACCCAGAAAATGGATTTCTCTACCTGTCTTCCCTGAACAGATGATCAGAGTACTAGGGGCTGAAAGAGCTCGATTCTCCAGGACATCGAGCGACAAACCCAAGTGCCAGTTTCTCCATCCACAGTGTGGGCCAGGCTGTTAGGGGCCAGATCACATTAGCCCCCCAACCAATTCCTCTTATATCTGAGGCCCTGAGAACCTGGCTTAGGAATGGGAAGGGGGCCTGGAGAGCGAGGTGTGGCACAGGGTTTGGGGCGTGTGGTGGCACTGGGGCTGGCGAGCCAAACCCAATCTTGGAGCTTGAATCCTAGCCCTGCTGCATCCCTGGACATGTTAATTTACCACCGAGAGCCTCAGTTTCCCCCATCTGTGAAGAGGGATTATTATCAGAATTGAGATCTCACCATACAGGTACACGATGCATGACACATCACTGGTGCTCAATAAATGTCAGTCTCCTCCCTTGACTAGCTGATCAAGCTCATTTTCCAAACCTCGCAGGGCCTAGGGAAGAATTTTGGCCCTTGTCCTGTGTTCAAGAGGCCACTCTCTGGGAGATGTAATCTGGTTGCTGGATGTTAGATTTGCTGAGATGTTTACAGGGAGATGTGAGGGGCTACTTGAATGGGGCACTTTCCCAATTAATTAGGCTCAGGGTCACAGGGCCTCCCCTGCAGGTGCCCCCAGGGGACTCCTGATCCTTGACATCTCCCTTGCCTGAGGCTGGGCTGGCTCAACCCATAGGGCTTCTTTTTGGCAACTCCTTTTTCTTTTGTGTTTTGTTTTGTTTTGGTTTGTTTTGGTTTTAGAGATGGAGTCTCGCTCTGTCGCCCAGGCTGGAGTGCAGTGGTACGATCTCAGCTCACTGCAATCTTTTCCTCCAGGGTTCAAGCAATTCTCCTGCCTCAGCCTCCCGAGTAGCTGGGACTACAGGTGTACGCCACCACACCTGGCTTATTTTTTGTATTTTAGTAGAGACAGGGTTTCACCGTGTTGCCCAGGCTGGTCTTGAACCCCTGAGCTCAGGCAATCCACCCGCCTCGGCCTCCCAAAGTGCTAGGATTACAGGCGTAAGCCACGGTGCCTGGCTACAACTCCTTTTTCTAGAAGGCTCCTCGCAGACGCCACCTTCTGTCCTGACAACCTTCTGGGTATTCTGTCTGGTTTGGGGTAGCCAGAGGCAGCTGTGCGGGGTAGAAAGGGACCTGGGCCAGTCCTGGCTGGGCAGTCGTGGGCGTGGGGTATCCCTGGTGTGGCCTTCCCACTCTGACCCTCTCTGATCCCTGTGGCAGGGCTGAGAGTGCCCCACAGGGCCATGATGCTTTCATGGTGGTGAGTGTGAAAGGGTTTTAAAAACAGAAAGGCACTTCTCCTAGGTGATGATGATGATTTTTAGCAAATCTTCCCATCTTTTCTGTGATTCACGGAAGCTGCAAGATAGAAATGACCTTGACCATCATTGTTTTCTAGGAGGATGTTAAATCGACCTTGGGCAGAAAAGGGTGTTCATCGTCAAATAAATTTGAGAAACAACGCAAACATCCACAGAGCTCTTCACTGCAGGGTTTCGCAGAAACTTTCGTGTGTGTGTGTGTGTGTGTGTGTGTGTGTGTGTGTGTGTGTGTGTGTGGTTCCAGGAAGCGGCTGGGTCTACACTAGCACCCAGGCCTATGTGACAATGGTGCCCTTTTTTATTTTCCTAGAGCATCCCGTGAGTTAGAAGTCCATGGGATCCACTTTGGGAAATGCCAGAATAGTCTAACACTTTCCCGTCCTCCACACAGCCCAGCTGGATGAATCCGGGGGAATATGGGAGAATCTGGGGTTCAAAGAAGTTAAATGAATTCAGGAGATGCTCTGGGCTTTATTTTAAGGCTGAGATTTTAACTGGCATTTTACCTCTATTAACCCATTTAATCTTCACAGCCACCCTATAAAGTAAGCATGACTGTCATCTCTGTCTTCCAAAGGATAAACTGAGGCACAGAGAGGCCAAGTGCCTGCCCAAGGTTCACAGCTGGTAAAAGACAGAGTAGGACACTGATCCCAGGCTGCCTGAGTCAGAGGCTGCCCTGGCACCCCCTCCCAGCCTGTCTTTACCACACAGGTTCTTGGAGCTGCCTCCACCAGCAGCCACATTCTCACAGCACTGGGCCGAGGTGCACCTTCATGCGGCGGCTGGTCTCAGGAGAGTCTGTGACTCCATTTCACAAGGGGACAGGCTCTGAGTACAGGGTCTGGGGATGCCCTGTGGGTGAGCCCTCCTGCCCACTGTCTGTAGCCTCCCACCGGCAGCCTGGCCCCACCAAGACACAGCCTTAGGGTCTCATTTCGTTCTCACTCTGGTTGTCTCCATTCTACAGGTGAGGCTGTGAGTGAACTGAGGCTCAGAGATGGAGAGTAACTTGTCCATGGTTACACAGCAAGGAGATGGTAGGGCTGGGATTCAAACCCAGGTAGTCAGAATCCAGAGCTGGGTGTTCAAGATGCAGGCGCCCTTGGTGATGAAGCAGTGAGTTTCTGGGGCCAGAGGCTGGCAGGGACACACCCCACCAGTTCCCTGCCCGCCTCTGACCAGCTGCCCCCCTTACAAGCCCCTAGACAGATAGGCTTATGGGTTCCCTGCTAATCTCCCTGGCCTCTCCTTCCCAGCCTCAGACAGGCCAATAGTCAGTCACGTAAAAACAGGCCAGATAGATTACTGCCACCAAGGACACAAGAGGCAGTTGCCTGGTGGCCTCTCGCCGCGCCAAAAGTGTTATCTCTACCTCCTGGAGCTGGGCCTCAGCAGTTTCTTCCTCCTGGGGTGTGGACTTCTTGGTCTGTGTGTTTTTTCTTCCCCTTTGGCTTACTCGTTCCTAGAGATATACTTGTCTGTCTGTCCATCCATAGACATTCACTGGACACTTGTGGGCCAGGCCCCAGCAGGACTTACTCTTCCACCTGCTCAGAGCAGGGCCAAGTCTGCAGGGGGCTTCAAGATGTCCCTGGCGGTGGGGCATATGCCATGGGGGTGTGTGCAGTGTCCACCATTTGATAGTAAAGCAAGGGCCAGACCTGGCTCTAAATGCTACTTCCAACAACTTAATAATAAAGACACAAATAACCCAATTTTGGTTGGGCACAGTGGCTCACACCTGTAATCCCAGCACTTTGGGAGGCCAAGGCAGGAGGATTGCTTGAGTCCAGGAGTTTGAGACTAGCCTGGGTAACATGGAGAGAACCCGTCTCTACAAAAAATACAAAAATTAGGCGTGGTGGTGTGTGCCTGGTGCCTGTAGTCCCAACTACTCAAGAGGCTGAGGTGGAAGGATCACTTGAGCCTGGGAGGTGGAGGTTGCACTGAGCCGAGATCGTGTCACTGCACTCCTGCCTGGGCAACAGAGTGAGACTCTGTCTCAAAAAAACAAAAACAAAAACAGAAACAGAACAAAAACAAATAACTCAATTTTAAAAATGGCGATACGATCTAAACATATATTTCTCCAAAAAAGATGTATAAATGGCCAATCAGCAAATGAAAGGTGCTCAATATTATTGGCTATCAGAGAGATACAGATCAAAACCACAATGAGATACCACTTCACATTCACAGGATGGCTAGAATAAAAAAGACAAATAAGAACAAGTGTTGGTGAGGATATAGAGAAATTGCAACCCTCATACACCGCTGATGGTAATGTAAGATAGTGCAGTCATTTTGGAAAACAGTCTGGCACATTCTCAAAAGTTTAAACATAGAATTATCATTTGACCCAGAAATTCCACTCCTAGATATATAATTGAGAGAATTAAAACATATATCTACACACAGACTTACACAAATGTTAATAGCAGCGTTATTCCTAACAGCCAAAACGTGAAAACAGCCCAGTTGTCCTGAATGTCTGTTTCTTTCTTCCTTTTTTTTTTTTTTTTTTTTGAGTTTTTGAGTGCTCTGTCACCCAGGCTGGAGTGCAATAGCGTGATCACGGCTCACTGCAGCCTTAAACCCTCAGGCTCAAGTGATCCTTCCACCTCAGCCTCCCTAGTAGCTGGGACTAAAGGCTACTCCACACATGCACCACGACACCCAGATAATATTTTGTATTTTGTATTTTGTAGAGACAGGGTCTCACTATGTGTCCCAGGCTGGTCTCGAACTCCTGGCCTCAAGCAATCCGACCACCTCGGCCTCCCAAAGCGTTGGGATTACAAGCATGAGCCACCACACCCAGCCTGAATGTCTTTCAATATGATGAATTGACAGATATAATGTGGATATTATTGGCCATGAAAAGGAATAAAATACTGATCCATGCTACAATACGGATGAAGCTTGAGAACATTATGCCAAGTGAAAGGAGCCTGTCACAAAGATCACATACTGTGTGAATCCATTTGTATGAAATGTCCAGAAGAGGGAAATCCATAGAGACAGAATATGGTTGCCTAGGTCTGGAGAGGGGGGTTCTGGAAAATGGGGAGTGACTGCTAATGGGCAGGAGGTTTCTTTTGGGAATGATGAAAATACTCTAAAGTTTGTTGTTTTTGTTTTTTTTGTTTGTTTGTTTTTTGTTTTGAGACAGAGTCTCGCTCTTTTGCCCAGGCTGGATGGAGTGCAGTGGCGTGATCTCAGCTCGCTGCAACCTCCACCTTCCGGGTTCAAGTGATTCTCCTATCTCAGCCTCCTGAGTAGCTGGGATTACAGGTACGCCACCATGGCCGGCTAATTTTTGTACTTTTAGTAGAGATGGGGTTTCACGGTGTTGGCCAGGCTGGTCCCAAAACTCTTTACCTCAAGTGATCTGCCCACTTTGGCCTCCCAAAGTGGTGGGATTACAGGTGTGAGCCACTGTGCCCGGCCTGAGAATGCTCTAAAGTTGATTATGGTGATGGCTTCACAATTCTGTGAGTATGCTAGCAACCATTGAATTGCATGCATTAAACAGGGGAATTGTATGTGATGTGAATTATATCTCAACAAAGCTGTTATTAAAAAAATTAGAAAATATGGATAAGCAGAAAAAAAGAAAAGAATTGTAAGGCCCTTGATCCTATCACCTAGGGATAACTACTGTTAATATTTTAATGATACTCTCCCAAATTATACTCTGTTGGCCTATGGACTGCTTTTCATTTAATAATATGTGGTAAACATCTTTGATGTCAATAAATACACATCTACATAAAAACAAATTCTACTTCCACCACTCCCTGGCTGTGGGACCTCTTGGAGCCTCAGTCTCTCCATTTATAAATTGGGGTAACCGAGGACCCACCTCCACAGGAAGTCGTGAGAATGAAAGGAAGCAGGCCGCCCACGAACGGCACATGGTACAGACCCCAACCCTTGGAAAACACTCAGGAATCCAAGGGCCTGTTATGATTACGTGTGTGCCAGAGTGGAGTGCTCTGACCGGGCACAGCTCATTTCTGTGTGTTCTGTATGCTTCAAACATATCATGATTTACATAGCCATAGTTTCAAAGTAGGGGGGCAGTGGCCAAGGTGGCCTTGGGAGAGCCTGGAGGTGGCCATGGTGCTCGGTGGACAGATACACCCTCCCTGAGCACACCCACTGTGTGCCTGGCACCAGCTCTTGTTGTCTCCTTTAATCCTCACGGTGACTTTTTTTTTTTTTTTTTTACTATTTAAAAAAATATTGTTACAGGGTCTTGCTATGTTGCCCAGGCTGGCCTCAAACTCCTGTGCTCAAGCGATCCTCCAGCCCTCACCTCTTGAGTAGCTGGGACTACAGGCCAACACCACCATGCTCCTCATAATGACACTTATGAACCCCATATTACAGATGAGGAAACTGAGGCTCAGGGAGGTGCAGTGATTTGCAGGGTGGAACTGGGGTTCGTTTCCAGGTTGGCCTGGTTGGAAGCCCATGTTCTGCCCACTTCTTGGCCTTCCAAGGAGGGGCAGCTTTGAAAGGTGTTGGTACTGTCCAACTGAGACTGTTACTGTTTCCCAGACTTGGGTAGAGGGAGAAACATCCAAAGGAAGAAGTCACTGTTCCCATATCTCAAAGAGCAAGGATTGTTTTCAGCTGAGCCTGCTGTGTGCTGAGCCCTTTGCTGGACTGTGGAACACTGTGGGTGGTGTCTGCTGTCAGGGACTACACAGGCTCGTGGCGGAGAGCCAGGCCAGCCAGGGGAGCCAGGGCTCTGCATCCTGGGTAGGGGCTAGAGGCACAGGCTCTGGAGCCAGATAGTTGGGGCTTGTACCCTCCCTCTGCTGGTGGCTTGGGCAGCTACCTCGCTGCCTGAACTCTGTTTCCCTGTTGGAACTTGTTGGGTGTAAGAATTAAGTAAGTCAGAGCATCTTGAGTTGCACACCGCAGCTCCTGACACAGAATATACACTTGGTATCACCAGGTGAGTCAGGCCGACATTGCCGGGAGCGCAGGAGGAGGGGCCTGGGACAGGGGATGCTGCCCGCCCCCCCTTTCTGCTTCTCTCCAGGGCCAGTGCATGGCAGCCAGCCCATGTGGAGGCCTGGAGACAGGTGGTCCACGGCTTCTGTGGCCATTTTTCAGGAGAGAAGAGGAAGCAAGGACAGCTTTGCTGAGAAGTTGGCCTCCATCTCCCCAGTCAGACCCGGTCCCTCCTGTCCTCCAGTTTTGTGCAGCTGTTTTGCATTCAAGCACAGCTCCTGCCTGGCTCTGGGTCTCTGTCCTCTTCCCTTTGGTTACCCTCACCTCTTCCAGGGTGGCCACCAAGTGGGACCTCAGACTCCTCTGGTGTCCTGGACCTGCTGTAAATCTCAGCAGACCACCTCTGTGACCCTGGGCAAGTGACTTCACCTCACTGATCCTCCTTCCTCTTCTGCAAATGGAGTCTCCAGCACCAGGGTTAGCAGCACCCTCCAGAGTCTGACTGTGACCCCCACTTTCTTGCTGTGGTCCCCTGAGCAAGTCACTTAGGCTCCCCAGCCTCATCTGCAAAATGGGGACAATTACATGTCAGAGATTTGAGAATTAACTGAGAAAACATACATGAAGCACACAGAACAGTGCTTGGGACATAGCAAGTGTTCAATATATGTTGGCCATGGTTATTACAGTCCAGGCTTTCTTTTAAGGCTGTTGCAAAGAGCTCAGGGTCCTGCCCCAGAGAACCCACCCCCAAATGCCAGGTCCTTGGCTTCACATACAACCAGGCATGATGGCTCTTTGAGTCCTCACCCTGGCCTCTGCCCCTCCTGCCATCAGATTGGGCACTCTGCTTTGTATACACACACACACACACACAAGCACACATGCAAACAACAAGTACACAATGCACACACACGCACAGACACATGGGCGCACACACACGCCCATACATGCACCTGCACACACACAAACACAGGCACACACACAGGCACATGCACACACACCTACACCCACACACATGCATGCATGCACACACAGTGACGCAGAGGGCACTGATGTCTGTTGAACAAATTAAACAAAAGACCAAATGTGTGAGAAGGCCAGGAGGCTCCATCTTTTGCAGGAAAGCAAGGATTCATTCATTCAATGAATTCTTACTGAACACCTATTATTCTAAGCATCAGAAATACCTCAGTGATCAAAACAGATAAAAACCCCTGCCCATGTGGAGCTGACACTGTAGTCCAAGAGACGGACCCTAGTGAAAGTGAACAAATGACATGGAGAATGTCAGTCAGTGATACATGCTAGGGAAGCCTGTAAAGTGGGGGTGGGGAGTGGGGAGGCTATCATCTGAGATGGCAGTCAGGGAAGGCCTCATGGAGGAGGTGACATCTGAGCAGATTTGAAGGAGGCAAGATTACTGTTTCGTTGTCTACTCATTCGTTTCTTTTTCTTTCTTTCTTTCTTTTTATTTTGAGACAGTCTTGCTCTATCACCCAGGTTGGAGTGCAGCAGTGGCGTGATCTTGGCTCCCTGCAACCTCCTCTTCCTGGGTTCAAGCGGTTCTCCTGCCTCAGCCTCCCCAGTAACTGAGACTATAGGCGCCTGCCACCACGCCCAGCTAATTTTTGTATTTTTAGTAGAGATGGGGTTTCACCATGTTGGTCAGGCTGGTCTCAAGCTCCTGACCTCAGGAGATCCACTTGCCTTGCCCTTCTCCTAAAGTGCTGGGATTACAGGCGTGAGCCATTGCACCCAGCCCTGTGCTGGTTCATTTCTTCTTTCCTCTAGGCAGTGAGCCAGCGTCAGCAAGCCTGTCCTTGGGCCTCTTCTGTGGCCTGGCCTTGGCAGGGTTGGGGAGGTAGAGAGCAGCCCAGCCCCTGCCCCTGGTGACTCTCAGGCTGCTGTCTCCCGGCAGTGGGAGTGTGAACATGTCCTGCCCACCCAGTGAGAGTCAACAGAAGCCAGGGTGACCAGTCCTCTTGGTTTGCCCAGGCCTGAGGGGTTCCAGGACACTGGACTTTCATTGCTAAAACTGGGCAGTCCTGGGCAGACCAGGATGAATGGGTCACTCCAACAGAGGCTGCCCTTGGTGCCAAGGGGCAGAGGAAATATCAGGGAAGTCCTCCACTTCTCTGAGGATGTCAGGTTTGCAAGGGACATGGAAGAGATATATGCCCTCCCTGGGTGAGCGGGGAGGACAGAGGTTCCATGGCCCAAGTCCAGCAGCACATGGGGGGCGCAGGTGGGTGTGAGGACGAGGCTGTCTTCCAGGGCTCAGTGAGCGATGAGGCAGGAAGGGATGACAGGGGCCTTGCGTGTCTGCAGAGGGGCTGTGCTGACTGTTGGCAGCCAGCCTCCAAGTAGGTGGGCAGCTCCTCTGTGTTAGCATTTTAGAAAGGCCAGCGCTTTGCTGTGCAAGGTTATCCACTGGGGCCAAAGGCAGAGGGGAGCAGCGCCGTGTCCTTGCTCTCCCTTTCGTTGATTCCAGCAGGCGTTAAGCACCTTCCAAATCCCCAGCCCTGGCCAAGTGTTCAGATGTCTGCACTAGTTCAGCAAGACAAAGAGAGAGAGAAAAAGCAAATTGTGGCAAATCTAAGCGAAGGGTGTTCATTATACCATTATCTTTGGTTTGGACATTTTCGAAATAAGATATTGGAGGCGGGAAACAAATAGAAATAAATCCTGGGCCCTATAAAGCCCCTGGGGAAGAAAGAGGTAAGGCAGGTCCTTCCCCCAGCAGCTCACCATCCAGGCAAGTATCTGGGCATGCACACCCGTTGTTCAGTGGCAAGGGTGCTCGGTGTGCATGACCTCCCCAGTGGAAGGACCCTGAGGGGGGCCTGGGGGCTGGGGGAACTGTGCCAGATGGAGAGAGAAAGCAGAGGGCATTCAGACAGGAACGGCAGGAGTCAGAGCACGTGGGCTCACTGTACACGGGATGGGAGGACGACACGTCATTCCGGGTGGCTCCCTGGGGGTTTTTGCTGGGCTGGGAGGCATGGCTCAGGAGGATGCTGGAAAGAGAAGTTGTGGCCTCATGGAGTTGCCTCCTAGAATCTGTCTCTGAAAATGAAAATGTGAGACTGGCCCACCATTACAAAATCAGAGAACACAGGAATGTTTATTTTAGACAGGGTCTTGCTCTGTCACCTAGGCAAGCGATCCTCCCACCTCAGCCTCCCGAGTAGCTGGGACTACAGGCACACACCACCATGCCCAGCTAATTTTTGTATTTTGTAGAGACAAGGTATCCTCATGTCCAGGCTGGTCTTGAACTCCTGGGCTCAAGCAATCCCCCCACCTCAGCCTCCCAAAGTGCTGGGGTTACAGGCATGAGCCATGGTGCCCAGCCGAGGAAATGATTATTATTATTTATTTATTTTTCTTTCTGAGATGGAATCTCACTCTGTCACTCAGGCTGGAGTGCAGTGGTGCGATCTTGGCCTTCTGCAACCTCCATCTCCCGGGTTCAAGCAATTCTGCCTCAGCCTCCCGAGTAGCTGGGATTACAGGCATGTGCCACCATGCCTGGCTAATTTTTGTATTTTTTAGTAGAGATGGGGTTTCACCATGTTAGTCGGGCTGCTCTTGAACTCCTGACCTCATGATCTGCCTGCCTCGGCCTCCCAAAGTGTTGGGATTACAGGCATGAGCCACCGTGTCTGGCCCATTTTTATTTATTTATTTATTTTGAGACACGGTCTCACTCTATTCCCCAGACTGGAGTGCAGTGGCACAATCTTGTCTCACTGCAACCTCCGCCTCCCAGGTGATTCTCCTGCCTCAGCCTCCTGAGTAGCTGGGATTACAGGCATGCACCACCATGCCCGGCTAATTTTTGTATTTTTGGTAGAGACAGAGTTTTGCCACATGGGCCAGGCTGGTCTCAAATTCCTGGCCTCAAGTGATCCGCCCACCTTGGCCTCCCAAAGTGTTGGGATTACATGTGTGAGAGACCGCGTCTGGCTGAAATTATTTTTAAAAAGGAACTACAACCCCCAGGTTAGTCCATCACCAGAGATAACCACTGTGAAGCATTTGACACATTTCTTCCTAATATCATTTCATATATATATATATATGCATATGTAGGTCTCCTAATAAAAAATAGTTTGCCTCTTGCTGTCTTTTACCTACAGTTACATCAGATGCATTGTCTGGTGCCTTTAAGTAGTCTCTGAAATCTGACTCCTCAGCCTTTTGGATGACTCCAGCCGGTGGTGGCCCTTTGACAAGTGTGGCCCCTTCTCGTGGCTGGGCACAGAGGCTGTTTCACTCGTTTTCTGTGATAAAAACACCGCAGTAAACATCCTCCGTCCTGCGTAACTTCATGTCCACATTGCTGATTGTTTTGTTGTGTTTTTTTCTGATAAATTTCTGGACATGAAATTCTCGGAAGCCCTGCTGGGCCCGGAGCTGGCTAGGTACTCGGGAGGGTGCTGGGCTTCCTAGAGCCACGCGTCCACACCTGAGGACAGCTTGGACCCAGCTGTAAGGAACAACGTGCACTTCTTGAATGTCTCACGCTGTCTTCCACCGCTTTGTCCATGATGTCACAGTACCTCTCGCCTCCCCTCCCAATGCCTGTCTTGCTAATTCTTTCTTATCTTTCCAGACTCCAGCATAACCTTCTCCAGGAAGCTTTTCCAGAGCCCCCAGGCTAGGAACCTCCCCCCAACCCCTGAACTCAAGCCCCAGCAGCCCGTGCCTGCGCCATCTCCATCAGAGCTGCATCTCTCTGGGTCTCTGGGTAACAAGTGCCATTTCTTTGTTGTTTTCTGTGTCCCCCAAGGACAAAGCTCAGGCTGGATTCATCTCGGAATTCCCAACACCGGGGTAGAACTGGCTCATTTCAATTTCAGTCAATGTTTGTTGAGGAAAGGAGTGAAGAGTTGGACACATGAATGAACGCATGAAACAGTCCGGAGTGGGGAAGCTGAAGCTCAGGCATCAGGATCCGGGAGAAGCATCCAGTCCAGGCGGACGGGGTGGAAGGTTCAGAGCAGGGGCCCCAAGTCAGGAGTAGGGAGGCAGACGGCAAGACCTCCTTCCATGAAAGGAGGCTGGGACCAGGGGACCAGGTAGTGCAACGCGGTGAGGGGGCTGTCAGGGCGACTGGCCGGAGGAGTCAGAGGCAGGAGGCACCACCAGGTTACAGACAAGGACCTTCTACAAGAGGGAAACGTGTCATGGGCTCTGGAGCCCCTGTCCAGGTTCAAATTGTGACCCTGTGCCAGGGACAGCTTCTTTGTGCCTCAGTTTTTCCCATAAAATGAGGATAATAATACTTCATTCATGCCTTTTTTTCCCCTCAACAAACATTTGTTGTATGTCTGCTGTGGGCCCAGGACAGGAGGCTGAGAAGGAGCTGACCACAGTGGTCACACAGCCAAGCCCTGCTGCTGAGATCTGACCCCAGTTCGCCTGTCACAAGTTCTATCTGTGCCTCGTTGTCTGCCTCCTGGGGCTGTTATGAGGGCTGAAGAAGGGGCAGGCACAGAGGAGACACTTACTATATGATCATTGTCCTCCTAGAGTATCATCACCATCAGGTGGACTTCAGTGGCCATCCCAGGCCTCCACGGATCAACCACAAGATCTTGGAGAATGTCCTTACCCTCCAAGCCTCAGTTTACCTTTAGGGTGACCAACCATCCTGGTTTGTCCAAAACTGAGGGTTTTCCTGGCACAGTCCCAGGCAAACTGGGATGGTGAGTCACTGATATAGTTTGACTCTGTGTCCCCACCAAATCTCACCTTGAATTTTAATAATCCCTAGGTGTCAAGAGCAGGACCAAGTAGAGATAATTGAATAATGGTGGCAGTTTCCCCCATGCTGTTCTCATGATAGTGAGTGAGTTCTCACGAGATCTGATGGTTTTATAAGCAGCTTCCCCCTTTGCTCAGTATCACTCTCCCTCCTGCCGCCCTGTGAAGAGCTGCCTTCCACCATGATTGTAAGTTTCCTGAGGCCTCCCCAGCCACGCAGAACTGTGAGTCAATTAAACCTCTTTTCTTTATAAATTACCCCAGTCTCGGGCATTTCTTCACAGCAGCGTGAGAACAGACTAATCCCGTCACCCTGGTTTCCTCATCTCTAACACAGGGACCACCTGCCTCCCAGGGCTGTTGTGCAGAACAGAAATAAGCCTATGGAAAAGGCAGAAAACCATGGAGCCAGAATTCTAGATCTGGTTACATGAATACTAAAGACTTTTGCATGCCATGGAATTCTAGGCATGAAAAAGAACGAGGCGGTCCCGTGTACTGCTGTGGAAGAAGCTCTGAGATACATGTTTTTTTTGTGAAAAAGGCCAGATACAGCGCACTTTGTGGGGAGCGCTTCTGTTAGTACCAAGGAGGGGGCAGGAACACACGTGCATGTGCTCCAGTGCGCACATGGGTTCTCCCGGGCGGGGACTGGGGGCTGAGGAGAAAAGACTTGTTTTTCACTGTACATCCCTTTGCTTTGTTTGAATTATTTTACCCCTTTGTTTTCAGTAGCTGGCCGAAAAACTTCCCAAGCTTCCATGTGTCAAAAAGAACTCACTGAACGAGATTTAAAGGCCAAAGTTAGGGAGTAGGAAATGTGTCTAGCTCAGGGCCCAGCATCTAAGGAGTGCTCCATGAAAGGCCTTCTCCCCTCTCCCACTCCTGACCTTGCTGACTGCTGGGAGTGCAGGGGCACAGACGGGCTGTTGCCTCCCCCAGTGCGGTATTTGTGAGGCTCAAATGCAAGCCCAGGCTGGGGAGACTGCTCTGGGTTCCACGCGGCATCCTGCCTAAGCCCTGGGGGTCCTAGAGGTCACTGGCTCCCTTCTCTGCCTGCATGTCTCAGGTCGCCCTCTGGCCAATTCTGAAGTCCTGCCCTGCCTCAAGGAGCAGAGGTGGCAGAGGTGGGCCCACCGCACAGGGTAAATGTCCCGGTGTCACATACCTCCAGATTGCAGGGACCTGCGTATGCTACTGCTGCTGTGGAAACCAGCTCTCTCTGGCTCTGGCCTTGGGGAGAGGGAGCCACAGTGGATTTAGGAAGAGTCTCCAGATGTAGCTTGAGACTACCAAACAGGCCTGACCCCCACAGACCCTGCCTCTTATGAGCGCCCAGACTGAGCCCTGCTTCAGGCTCCCAGCCAT
The DNA here is from genome assembly GCF_000001405.40 of Homo sapiens. Taxonomy (NCBI): domain Eukaryota; kingdom Metazoa; phylum Chordata; class Mammalia; order Primates; family Hominidae; genus Homo; species Homo sapiens. Next base: position 32,631,748 of record NC_000020.11, on the reverse strand, counting down.
GTGGCCAGCTGCTTTTCTTCTTTAATTTTTAGCATCAGACGAATATTTCAGGAAAATATTCTCATTGTAAAATCTCAAACATTAATAAAATGTAGTGAATAAAAGGCCATGTAATTCCTCTTTACCTCCTGAGCCCCATTCTGTTTAAACCATTGTTGTCAGCTGGTCAGTGTATATACCTATACCTATGCCATGCCTATACCAATACCTATACCAATATCTGTAACTATACCTATGCCACTACCTATGCCTGTGTCGTGCCTGTACCAACACCTATACCTAGACTATCTATATTTATATCTGTTTAGATGTGCATATTGTGTTTAGGTATGCGTCTCACGTGAGTAGTAACATTCTGTATGTTTTGTTCTGCAAGATGCTTTCTTTTTCTTTTTCTTTTTTTCTTTTTTTTTTTTTTTTTTTTTTTTTAGATAGAGACTCATTCTGTTGCCCAGGCTGGAGTGCAGTGGCTCAATCTTGGCTCACTGCAACCCCTGCCTCCCAGGTTCAAGCGATTCTCATGCCTCAGCCTCCCAAGTCGCTGGGATTACAGGTGCACACCACCACACCCAGCTAATTTTTGTATTTTTAGTAGAGGCGGGGTTTCACCATGTTGGCCAGGCTGGTCATGAACTCCTGAGCTCAAATGATCCTTCTGCCTTGGCCTCCCAAAGTGCTGGGATTACAGGTGTGAGCCACCGCACCCGGGCTATTTTTTTTTCCCCTCCCTCCCTTCCTCCCTTCCTTCCTCCCTTCCTTCCTTCCTTTCCTCTTTTCTTTTTTTCAAACAGGGTCTCACTCTGTTCCCCAGGCTGGAGTGCAGTGGTGTGATCTCGGCTCACTGCACCCTTGCTTTCCCAGGCCCAAGTAATCTTTTTACCACAGCCTCCAGGTAGCTGGGACTACAGGCACACACCACCAGGCCTGGCTAATTTTTGTATTTTTTTTTTTTTGTAGAGATGGGGGGTCTCACCGTGTTGTCCAGGCTGGCCTCAAACTCCTGGGCTCAAGTGATCTGCCCGTCTCGGCCTCCCAAAGTGCTGGGATTACAGGCGTGAGCCACCGCGCCCGGCCAATGCCTTCTTTTTCACTGAACAACGTGTCATGGACATTTCTGAGTCAGTGCATACAGACCTGCCTCCTCCTCCGTGCTGTGCAGTGTTCTGTGTGTGAGCTGGTCCATCCTTTATTTGCCCTCTGGCCTATAAATGGACATTTCCATTATTTCACTCCCACACACAGCCCTGAACAGGCCTCACTGTGCACTCCAGCAGTTTCTCCAAGATAGGTACCCAGCTGAACCCCTGGCACTACTGAAGAGGACGGGTACCAAATTTGTGATCGGTATTATATAAAAACTTGCCTTCTGGGAAGTCCAAACTAAGCTCTCCTTACTCTTGGACTTCCAATCACTCTGTTGGGTTGGCTTTTAAAGCTGGGCCAAGGAGAACTTTTCAACCATCTTGGCTTGCCCTGTTGGTGGGTGGGAGACAGGGTCCCCGGCCTGGGGCAATTTCAGGGAGAAGGGGAAGAACTCCCCCAGTCCCCAAATTTCTCTCCCATCTAAATGCCCCCCGACCTGAAAATGGAGATAATAATAGACCTTCCCTCACAGAGTCTTTCTGGGGACGCTGTGAAAAACAGCCAGGATGGAGATCTGGTGCAGAGGGACAAGGACAATAACAGTCGTAGTGCGACGTCCGGAAGCCTCGCCACGCCGCCCGGAAGCTTCGCCACGCTCCAGGCACTCTTTGAAGGCCCCACCACCATCTTCTCCCTTATGGTGCCTGGCACCCACCATTGTGGTCACTTGCACTAATGCGAGTCCTACCAGTGGCTGGTGCTGGTTCTCACATGCTCCTCTGCATCACACCTGATCCACATCACTCTAACCCAGTGGCCTGTGAGTTCCCATGGCTGACATTAGCTGCAGGGCTGGCCCAGAGCTCTCTTCCAAATTTGCATTCAGAATCCTTCCCCAAAATACCCAATTAAAACCCCAGATGCTGTGTGGACAGCTGGATCCAAAAAGAGCTCTGGGATCAGTGGGACTTACTTACCCAGTCTCAGCTACTCCAAGATCTGGGAAACAGTGGGTTCTTTGGGCCTGGGCCAGGCCAGAGCCTCAGTTTCCCCATCTGTAAGATAGAGGTGGTTGCAGTCAGACTGGATAATTCCAAAGTGCAGTTTTGTTTGTCTCAGACCTCCTGCCCCACCCTCTCCAGCTTATATTCTCAGAAAACATGGTGCTAAAAGGAATGGCCCCGTCTTGGCTCCTATTAGCCTCTGTCTCAGGAGGACAGGGGAGCCCAGGACCAGGGAATCAGTCGGAAGTTCAAGTTCTACTCCTGACTTCAAGTTCTACTCTCCGCCTTCTAGCTGCAGCCCCAGGTGATGTTTGCAAAGGCCCCTGTAACTTAGTGGGTGCTTAGTCATGGTCCCTCCCCTTTCCATGCCTGGGCAGATCTCTGAGCCTCACTTCTCTGAGCCTCAGTTTCCTCACCTCTGCAATGGCTGTGCCTCCCTGCCTGGCCCAGTGCCAGGGCTGTTTGAAGCTAGCAGAGGATGCTGGATGGAAAGAGCTTTTCAGGTAGAAAACCGTGTGCTGTTGGGAAGATTTATTGCTGGGACTGAAAGTGGGAGGTCCAAAGGCCATTGAGGCTGAGACAGTCCCTACCCAGAAGGCTGTGCCAGGGACCAGGCTGCTCTCCCTCCACCCGCACTAGCTGAGCAGAAGGCCTTCTCCCCGAGGCCCTAATGTCTGGTGGTGAGCAGGGGCCGGGCTCTCTTTCAACAGATATTTACCCTTTTATTTTAGAGTGTCTGTCCCCCAAGCAGGGCCCTGGTCAGCGGCTCGATGACCAAGGTCTGGGGAGGGGCACAGGCAGCCTGAATCCTTCCCTTGCTCTCATCCCCCATGTCCTGTGGATTCTCCTTCATTTTCCTCTCTCACCTGCAGCTCCAGGGGACCCTTGCCTCGCCCGTGGCCCCTTGCTGCTCCCGCCACCTTGTCCCCCTCCTTTGTGCTGCCTCCACTTCCACTCTGGCCACCAGGATTCTCTCTGTGTGTGTGTGTGTGTGTGTGTGTGTGTGTGTGTGTGTGTGTGTGTGTGTGTGTTTGAGATGGAGTCTTGCTCTGTTGCCCAGGCTGGAGTGTAGTGGTGTGATCCCAGCTCACCGGGAGACTCTCCCGTGTTCAAGCGATTCTCCTGCCTCAGCCTCCCGAGTAGCTGGGATTACAGGCACATACTGCCACGCCCAACTAATTTTGTATTTTAGTAGAGATGGGGTTTTGCCATGTTGGCCAGGCTGGTCTCGAACTGACCTCAAGCGATCCACCCGCCTCGGCCTCCCAAAGTGTTGGGATTACAGGCGTGAGTCAGCGTGCCCGGCCTCGGGATTCTTTGGAAAATAACATCTGAGCGGTATCTCCTGCCGAGTGCCAGCCTGTGCAGGGCCCTGAGGGGCAGTGGAGCCAAAAGGAGAAGAGACGGCATCCCTGTGCTCTGCACCCTGCTGACCCCCGGCCACTGCTCCCTAGCCCATGTCCTGCTGGGGCGCACCCCACATTCTACCACACAAATCTGTTCCAGCGCCAGACCACACTTCCTCTCTCTCCCCTTGGTGCCTCCCCTCCCCAGCCTAGACCCCTTCCTTTCCCTCCCGCCCTGACGCATCCTGCTTCCAGGCTGGGCGAGGGGAGTCCTGGTCTGTGTTTTCTCGATCGAGTTAGCTACTCAAAATCATATCTGTGTGTCTCCTGAGGGGGTCCGCAAGCCCCACAGGCAGAGGCACACCTGCGTCACAGTGGGGGCCCTGAGCTCAGCCCTAAGTGGCTCCTGAAATGCTCTCTCGAGGCCTGAATGAATCTCCTCCCCCGGCCACCCGGGGCAGTTGGGAGTGTGAGACCTCAGGCTTGGCCCGGCAGAGCTATATTTAGACACCAGGGCCAAGGCGAGCTTCTGAGGCTGAGGAGGTGGCGGGGCCCACAGTGGGGCCCCAGGGGAACCGCCTCATCGAGGGGACCGTCCCTAGGTGACAGGCCAGAGCCCATTCTGGCTGCTTTGGCTTCCACTGCCCCCAAAACGGCAGAGGAAGGATTCTGTTTGAACAAAGGAGGTTCTCTGGCTGGTTTGGTGTGTGTATTATAGCTGGAAAAAATAAGTTCTGGGCCGGCCGGTCAGCTCCAAGGGTGGCCCAGGGCTGGGGGGCCAGGGCGAAAGTGGGGGTTTCCTGGCCAGCCCCTGGGCTGGCTCCTGTCTGCTGCAGCAGCCTGCATGGCTGTCCTCCCCACTGTACCTCGGGCAGGCATCGTGCCAGGCCAGGGTGCGGCTGCCCGGCGGGTGAGGAGGGGCTGCCCTGGCCCCGCTGCTCGCTGCCCGGCTCTTGGGGCGGGCTGGAGGCAGGATGGATGTTCGCAATAATTACCCAGCTGCAGCTTCCCCAGAGCTGCCGCCATAGCAACGGTGCCGGGCGCCCCAGCCGGCCAAGTGGCAGGAGGGGGATGTGGGCACTGTGGGCAGGTCGGGGAGTGGGGTGGCACGAGCCCCAGGCACAGCCCCACTGGCTCCCTTTGTCAGCTCCCTCACTGGCCCACCCCTTCCCCGGAGGCCGGGGGAGGGGGGCTTTGTCTGGGCATAGGGAGGTTGGCACAGCCCAGGAGAGGCTCCGGCAGACGCCCCATTCCCACTGCCAGGGCCCATGTGGCAAGGGGAAGCAGGTGTCAGGAGGGCTGGGAGCGCTCAGGGTCCCCATGGCTCAGGGTTCAGTGGAGGGTGTGCTGTGCCCCACCTGGTGGCCCCCACACACCCCGGGTCCCCTGGTCTCATTGTGCACAGTGCTGTCTTCTTTCTCTAGAAGGGAGTGTGTGGGCACTGGGCACTCCCCAGGGAGGACTCCACTCACCCTGCCTTGCAGGGGTCCTCTTGGAGCAGGCCTTGGGCAGAACTGGCTTTGGGTGGGGCTTTACCTGTGGGGGAGGCCCTGGGGACCCCCATAATCCTGCCCTCATGGTACCCGTCCCCTCTCTCTGTACTTGGAAGCCCTGACAGTCCCTCCCTCCTGTGAACATTCAGTCTGATGAAGAGACTGTGGTTAGCTCCATTTTCCAGATGGGGAGACTGAGGCCAGAAAGGTCTAGGACTTGTTTGGGATCACAGAGCTCAAGTCTGTGGAGCCCCAACCCCGTCCAGTGTTGCCACCATGGTCATCTGGCAGCACAGCCTAGTGGTGACCGAAGAGTGCAGGGCCTGCAACCCAGGGGCCTGGCCAGCCTTGCCCAGCTTCAGTTTTCTCCTCTGTAAGATGGGGATGGAACTGGAGCTCTCTGTATGGGGTTGTTGCGTGGATTCGAGGAAACTGCACGGAAGGCGAAACGCCTGGCACGTGGGCAGTGTTAGCTGCTGCTGTTGTTGTTGGAAATATTATTTTTTATTATTGTTGTTACAACACGTGGGGGCGGACCTCGATGCTCACCAAGGTCCCTTTTGGCTCTGGTCTCCTGGGGCGCTCCGGGTGGGCGCTAGTCACCACAGGCATGCTGGGAAGTGGGAAGCTCGCAGCCTACTGAGAAGGTGGGTGTTAATCCCCTGATCCCACAAGTGCGTCTGGGCGTGGGCTGGGTGAGAATGAGGTAGGAGACACAGGACTGAGGCGGAACCCGCGCTGTGGGGGTGAGACCCTGTTTATACAGAGTGATAGGGGCCTGTCCTGGGGGTCGTCCTGGAAAGGTCAGAAGAAGGGCGTTCTAGAAGGTGGTCTTGCTTGAGGAACCAAAGGGGAGCCAGAGTCCTGGAGCACAGGGAGGGACAGAAAGGGACAGGGAGACTGAGGGTGGAGCGGTCCACTGGGGAGGACTGGGTTCCTGGGGCTTCGAGGGCCACCCATGGAGGACAGGGTTGTTTTTGAGACAGTCTTCCTCTGTCACTTAGGCTGCAGTGCAGTGGCACGATCTCGGCTCACTGCAACCTCAACTTTCTGGGCTCAAGTGATCCTCCCGCCTCAGCCTCTCAGATAGCTGGGACTACAGGTGTGCGCCACCACACCTGGCTAATTTTTGTATTTTTTTTTGAAATGGGGTTTTGCCATGTTGCTCAGGCTGGTCTCGAACTCCCGGACTCAAGCGATCCTCCCACCTCGACCTCCCAAAATACTTGACTGCACCTGGCCGAGAGATTTTGGAGTGATTCTAGAAGCTGGGGAAAGCTAGCAAGGGGCTTTAAATAGAGTAGGTCAGTATGCATGTGTTGAATGAATGGGTGAATGAACAAATGATTGAATGAAAGCTTTATTCTGCCTTGGCCAACCACAGAGCCTCTCTCCCTCCACCTTTCCCTCCTTCCTGTCTCATACCCCTTCCCTCATCACCCCAGCCCTCCCTGGCTGGCTCAGTTTTGTCATTTATAGCCACTGCCCCTAGGAACCCACAGTCATATGGTGGAAGACTGACAAGTAAAGGGAAGAATTCTAGTGCAGCAATCTGGCCAATATGGAGGAGGGTTCTGAGAAAGGACAGCTGACACCAGGCCAGTCAGGGCATTGCCTGAGAGGGGTGTTGAAGGATTAATAGGAGTTCACTAGGCTGCCGAGGCAGAGGACGCAGCATCTGCATAGGCTCCGCAGAGTATGCTGTGGGAGATTTTTAGTCGTTTCATGGGGTAGTGACAAATAAGGATAGCTACATTTATTGAGCACCCACTGTATATCCTAGTCCAGTGCTACACACATGAGATTATTGGAATCGCACAATTGAAACCCTGCTCCCCTTGTGGCAGAGACCTATTTCACTTTCATGGATGAGAAATCAAGGTTCAGATAAGTTAAGTAACTTGCCCAAGGTCACACAGCAACTACAAAGCCTATGCTCTTAATGACCCAGGGGGTGGTAAGGGGTGGGTTGGAGAGACAGGCCAAGCTGGAACAGGAAGGATCCTGAAGGCCAGACTAGGGTGTCAAGACCTAATCCTGGGGCCACCAGAGGCCCATGGTAGGGTTTTGAGTAAGGGCAGGAGGTCTGGCCTGTGTTTGAGACAAAGACTCTGTGGCCTATTTGGAGGGTGTACAGGGTAGCTGAGACTAGCCTGGAGGCTACTGCAATAGTCCAGGCGAGGGCTGACCCCAAGGGGGACATGCTTGGTGAAGGGGAGGAAGGGATGTCTTTAGGGGAGACAGTGAGACAAATGCAAGACCAGGGGAGTGGGCTGAGGCCACTGGTTGAAGTGCAGATCAAGATCAGAGTTCGGGTCCGATAAGTCTAACAGGGAGTTCGGCTCCGATGAGTCTAATAGGGAGTTGATGCTCTTTCCTGCTTTCCAGCCAGTTACTATTTCCTTGATATGTAAAAGACCACATTTTCTGGTCGAGCATGGTGGCGGGTGCCTGTAATCCCAGGTACCCAGGAGGCTGAGGCAGGAGAATCGCTTGAACCCGGGAGGTGGGGGTGTAGTGAGCTAAGATCGTCCAAACTGCCCTCCAGCCTAGGGGAGAGAGGAAGACTCGGTCTCAAAAAAAAAAAAGACTTCACATTTTCTCCTTTGTAAAATTATAGGCATTTTTTAAAAGGTAAGTGGGAGAGGGAGGGTAGTTCTTAACCCACAGTAGAGGGAGGGTAGTTCTTAACCCACAGTGGCGACAATGGCGCTGGCTGCTGGTGGCTCTTGGGCCCAGTGGTGCCACTGGGGGTTTTCTCCAGAGTCTCCAAGGCCCCTAACAGGCCAAGGGCAGAAGGCCTTGCTCGTGGTGGCAGCGACCTTCAAGTGTGCATACGGGACCCGGCATTTGTGAGGGGTCCAGCAGGGGTCAGACTGCCCTAGATCCGTACCAAAAGTTGCTGGGACCGCAGAAATTGGAGAAGCTTCTGGAAGCCTGGCAGCAGCACACTTGACCTCTCTCTCTGGGCTTCCCGAGGCTGGGCCGGTGAACCGAGGCCCCCTAGCCTGCCCGCTGCTCGGGGAATATTGTCACCAGCAGGCCAGGCAGGTGGCGGCTCGTGCTGCAGGTGCTGTGTCACCTGAGCCGGGGTCATGGCCCCTCCACAGGGAGGAGGGAGCCAGGCTCACAGCACAGCCTGCCCGCCGGCCCTCTTCCCCACCGCCACAGAGGAACCATGGCCAGGAGCCTTTCCTGGCCCAGAATCTGGAATGAGGATGCTGTTTTCTCTACCCCACCCACACCCAAGCCCCTACCAGGAGTCAGGTGCCAGTGGGAACTGGGACTGGGGAGAAGGTCCAGCACCTATGAGGCGTGGTCCAGCCTGGCTCACTCTACTGCCCTCCTTTGCTGTTGCTCAGACATTTCAAGTACGAGCCCACTTCATGCCTTTGCACCTGCTGTTCCCTCTGCCTACAATGCCCTTGCCTCGGTGTCCCCAGGGCAAACTCCACACTGCTTTTTTCTTTTTTTCTTTTTTTGAGACAGGATCTCACTCTGTTGCCCAGGCTGAAGTGCAGTGGCACAGCCATGGCTCACTGCAGCCTTGACCTTCCCCTGGGCTCAAGCGATCCTCCCACCTCAGCCTCCAAGAGTAGCCCTGGATTTAACTTCTGGCTTTGCTACTTAACCCTCAAGTGGCCTTGGACAGTCACCATTTTCAGCCTCAGTTTCCCCACCTGTCAATGGGGACTGAGAAGACAGAATGAGATGGTGAGTGTTGGCCAGCCCAGAAAGAGTAGACAGGAAGCTTGAGCTCCTTTCTCCTCTCCCTTCCCTGACCTCTCCCTTCCCTAGGAGAGGAGTGGGGCCAAACCAAACCAAAACCAAACAAAATTGCTGGAAGCCTGACAGGTCTAACGATGGTTTGTAAGATGCCCTGCTCGAGCCGGATGTGCTGTCAGCTTGGCGTCCAGATGGGCACCCTAGAGCAGGGCACGCCTGGCCAGCGCAGTGCACAGATGGTGAAAGCACAGGAGGCCACAGCCAGGCCTCCGGAGCCAGAGCCAGGACTGCAGCGACGGGCAGTGGAGGTGGCGGTGGCCCCTCGGCCTCCAGGCCGTTGCTTCCTCCTGGTGGGCCTCAGCTGCCCGGGTCGGGCTCTGCCACTGGCAGTTGCACTGCGGGACACCAAGCATCGCCAGCCTTCAGGAATCCTTCTCCCTCCCTGACCCTGTCCCCCTGTGACAAGGCAGACAGCGGAGGTCCCAGGAGCAGTCTTGAGCTCTGCGCCTGGGAGGTGGTAGAGTCAGGACATGAACCCCAGGCTCTGTCTGCACTGCCAGGTCCCCTCCAGAACACCCAAGATCCTTGCAGGGTGGGGCAGTCCCTCTGGCCTCAGCACTCTGAGATTTTCTTCTCCCAGAATCTTGCAAGGCAGCCTGTGCAGCTTAGGCCGCCACGGTCCCCACGCCACAGATGGTACAGGGCGCAGCTTCATTCGCTTTAAACCTCGTTCGGAGCCTGTTAAGCCCCTGCTCAGAGCCCTCCATAGCCTTCTGCCATCCCCGGAGGAATCCAGCACCCACGAGGCATGGCCTAGCCTGGCTGCCTGTCCCCCTGGCTCACTCTACTGCCCCTCTTTGCTGTTGCTCAGACATTTCAAGCACGAGCCCACCTCATGCCTTTGCACCTGCTGTTCCCTCTGCCTACAATGGCCTTCCCCCAGTGTCCCCGGGGCAAACTCCACACCGCTTTTTTTTTCTTCTTTTTTTGAGACAAGATCTCACTCTGTTGCCCAGGCTGAAGTGCAGTGGCACAACCATGGCTCACTGCAGCCTCCACCTTCCTGGGTTCAAGTGATCCTCCCATCTCAGCCTCCAAGAGTAGCTGGGATCACAGCGTGCACTACCACACCCGGCTTTTTGGTAGATACGGAGTCTCTCTCTGTTACCCAGGAAGGTCTTGAACTCCTGGCCTCAACGGATCCTCCCACCTCAACCTCTCAAAGTGCTGGGATTACAGGCACCCAACCCACACTTCTTCAAGTCTCTACTGTCACATGCCCTCCTCCTCCGAGCCCTCCCTGACCATCTGAAGGCACCTCCCCTCTCAATTGGTCTGCTCTCTTCTTCTTAGTGCTCATATTATACATATCTTGATTGCCTGTCACACCCCTGCCCCCTGAGAATGTGAGCTCCAAAACGGTGGGAGCTTTCTCTTGTTCAAGGCTGAATCCCAGGGCCCTAGCACCATGCCTGGCACAGAGGAGTCACTGATACATTTGTTGAATGAATGAATGATCAAATGAGCAAATTCATCACTCAGCAAACATTTATGAGCACCTATTGTGGTCAAGATCTTGCTGTAGGTACGGGACCCAGGGAACCAAATCCCTCATACCGGGGCCTCAAGGGAACACATAGCAGAGAACAGAAGGGAGGTAATGAGGACCCTGATGGGCCTGGGTTCTCATCCAAGCCCATCCTCCATTTTCCAGCCGAAAGGTCTGCAGCTTGGCATTTGGCCTGTCTGAGCCTCACAGTCCTCATCTACACAGTGGAACTGAAAATATCTCCCCACCTCCCCACCCCAGCCTCCTCCCCACCCTAGTCTCCTCCCTACCCCAGCCTCCTCCCCACCAATCCAGCCTCCTCCCCACCCCAGCCTCCTTCCCACCAACCCACACCAGCCTCCTCTGCACTCCAGCTTCCTCCCCACTCTAGCCTCCTCCCCACCATCCCACCCCCAGCCTCCTCCCCACCCCAGCCTCCCCACCAACCTACCCCAGCCTCCTCCCCACCTCAGCCCCCTCCCCACTATCCCACCCCCAGCCTCATCCCCACCAACTCACTCAAGCCTCCTTCCCACCCCAGCCACCCTGGTGAATCTATAATCCATTATCCACACGGCAGCCAGAGGGGCCTTTCTTTTTCATTTTCTTTTTTCTTTTTTTCTTTACTTCCAAAAAGTATTTATTTATTTATTTTTGACTAGGTAACAAATTTGCATGGTTCAAAATTCAAAAGGTGCAAGAAAAAATGTAGAAATGATCCCTCCCACCCAGTCCAGCCAGCCAGGACTCCTCCTCACAGGCAGGCAGCTTCTCCTATTTTCATCTATCATGCCAGAGATAATTTTATGTATATACAATGCATACCTTTTTTTTTTTTAAAGCCGACAGTAGCATACTGTGCATGTGGTTCTGTCCTGTTCATTTTTCATTTGACAATTTAATCTGGAGACTTTTCAGAGGGTCTTTTATTTTTTATTTTTTTTGTAGAGACAGGGTCTTGCTCTGTCGCCCAGGCTGGAGTGCAGTGGTGTGACCATACTTCACTGCAGCCTCAACCTTCTGGGCTCAAGTGATCCTTCCCACTCAGCCTCTTGAATAGCTGGGACCGCAGGTGTGCACCATCACACATAGTTTTTTTTTTTTTTAATTTGAGACGGTGTCTCCTTCTGTCACCCAGGCAGGAGTGCAATGGTGCAATCTCGGCTCACTGCAACCTCCACCTCCTGGGTTCAAGCAATTCTCCTGCCTCAGCCTCCTGAGTAGTAGCTGGGAGTTCAGGCATGCACCACCAAGCCTGGCTAAGTCTTTTTTTTTTTGTATTTTTAGTAGAGATGAGCTCTCGCCATGTTGGCCAGGCTGGTCTCGAACTCCTGACCTCAGGTGATCCACCCGCCTTGGCCTCCCAAAGTGCTGGGATTACAGGCTTGAGCCACTGTGCCCGGTCTAAATTAAAAAACATATATATAGAGAGACAGGGTCTTGCTATTTTGTCCATGTTGGTCTCAAACTCTTACCCTCAAGTGATCCTCCCATCTCAGCCACTCAAAGCACTAGGATTACAGGCACAACCCACTGTGTCTGGCATTCAGGGGATCTTTTTAAAATAGATAACCAATCCAATAAATAGATAAACCAATAAAATAGATAACCAATCCATCCCCTGCAAACCAGCCCTGTGGCAGATCTTCATCATTCTTAGAATAAAATTCAAACGTCTACAGGGTCTCCCAGGAGCTGGCCGCTGCCGTCCTCTCTGACCTCTCCTCCCACCTCTCTCCCGCTGGCTCGCTGTGCTCCAGCCACGCTGGCCCCTCTCTGTTCCTCCAATACTGCAGGCAAAGCCCCTCCCAGGGCCCCTGCACTTGCGGTTCTCACCGCCCTCTTCTTCTGAAAGCCTCTCAGCTCCCTCTCTGTTTTTCCAGGTCTGTCATCAATTGCCACCTGCCCAGGGAGGCTCTCCTTGATTATCCTAACTGAAATCTCCCCCCTCCCCCCTGTCCCTTTACTCGTCTTTGTTTTCTAGATATACCGATTACCATTTTTGAGGAGATATATTTGGTCACTGTCTGACTCTTCCACCAGACCGAGTTCCATGAAGTGAGAGGACTGGGTCTGTTTCGGTTACCGTCCATCCTAACACCTGGATTTTGACAAATACTCCGGCTGGGCACAGTGGCTCATGCCTGTAATTCCAGCTCTTTGGGAGACCGAGGCAGGTGGATCACCTGAGGCCAGGAGTTCAAGACCAGCCTGGCCAATATGGCGAAACCCTGTCACTACTAAAAAATACAAAAATTAACCGGGCGTGGTGGCGGGCGCCTGTAATCCCAGCCACTCGGGAGGCTGAGGCAGGAGAATTGCTTGAACCTGGGAGGCGGAGGTTGCAGTGAGCCGAGATGTGCCACTGCACTCCAGCCTGGGCCACAGAGCGAGACTCCATCTCAAAAAACAAACAAAAAATCAAGTACTCCATAAATATTTGTTCTCTGAGCTAATACATGGGTCCCCATTTTACAGATGAGGAAACTGGAAGTGCAGAGAAGGGGAAACCCTTGCCCGGAGTCAGGGTGGAGTCATTGAAAGTCAACCTGGGTTCCCATTGGAGCTCCAGCCACCATTTCCTAGCTGTGTGGTCTGGGGCTGGACTTTTGCCCCCTCTGAGCCTGCCAGTCCTCACCGCCCATCCTGGGCTCTGCGAGGAAAATGAGATGGGTGTCCCTGGTGTTTTCCTGGGGGACCACCAGGAGCCCCACCCAGCTGGCCCATTAATGACAATGAGAAGGTTCCCGGCCATTAACAGTATTTTTAAGCAACAATCCCAAGGAAATATTTTTTAAATCCCGAGGAGTGCTATGGAACAGCTCTGAATTATTAACTGTCCGGCTGCCCTGCTGTATTTCTTGACAGAGTTTATTCTGACATGCACTATTTTCCTCCTGGTAATTTATGAAAAGCTCATTCTCTTCTTCAGGAAATTGCACCCCATTCTCCTGAGCATCCCACCCCAATTGGAATGTATACTGGGTAAATTCAACAAACTTTTATCCTTTTTATTTATTTTTCATTTTTTTATTTTATTATTATTTTTTTAAGAGACAAGATCTCACTTGGTTGCCCAGGCTGGAGTGCAGTGGCGTAATCATGGTTCACTGCAGGCTCAACCTCCTGTGTTCGAGTGATCCTCCTGCCTCAGCCTCCCAGGTAGCTGGGACTACAGGTATGCGCCACCACACCTGGTTGATTTATTTTATTTTATTGTTTTCTTTAGAGATGAGGTCTCGCTGTGTTGCCCAGGCTAGTCTTGAACTCCTGGGCTCAAGTGATCCTACTGCCTCAGCCTCCCAATGCGCTGGGATTATAGGCTTGAGCCACTGTCCCTGGCCCAACTTTTGTCTTTAAAGAGTGTCTGCTGTCCTGCATGATATCAGAGGACATTTCCCAGTGCACTGCAGCCATGTTTTCCAAAATGCACAGCCTGGGGCTTTTAAGGAATTCAATAGAACCTTGTCAATTAGGATGAATGAATCACTGGAATAATTTCACCTGCATCCCCAGCAATAACCGCCCCCCCGCTCCCCCAACTCTCATGCCTGGTGGGGAGATCTCTCATCTGCTTCATATCCAGGTGGTCCTGGGTTCGAGCCCCAATGGAGTGCTCATTTCCTGGGACCCAGCTGCTCTGGCCTCTTCGTTGCCCACCCTGTCCCAGGCTGAGGCCTGTCAGGGACACAGACAGAGTCAAATGAACTGAGATTTAGAGGCAGAGGCCCTAGGTTTCAGTCCTGTCAGCATCACAGGCTAAGCCGATCATCCTTGGGCTAAGTCACCCAACCTCTCTGATCCTGTTGGTTTGTTTGTTTGTTTGTTTTGAGATGGAGTCTCGCTGTGTCACCCAGGCTGAAGTGCAGTGGCACGACCTCGGCTCACTGCAACCTCTGCCTCCCGGGTTCAAGCGATTCTCCTGCCTCAGCCTCCCGAGTAGCTGGGATTACAGGTGCCCGCCACCATAGCCAGCTAATTTTTGTAATTTTAGTAGAGACGGAGTTTCACCATGTTGGCCAGGCTGGTTTTGAATTCCTGACCTCAGGCAATCTGACCACCTTGGCCTCCCAAAGTGCTGGGGTTACAGGGATGAGCCACCATGCCCAGCCTCCATTTTTTTTTCTTATTCAGTTTTTTCTTCCGTCAAACAGGGAGTGACAATCCGAATTCAAAGAGATAGGATCCAAATTCAGGAGATTAAGGCATCATCTCTGCAAACAGAGGGAGATCACCTTGTGCTGCCCCAGGGGAGATCCAAGCTAGGACTTGCCCTCAGGGAGCTCATTCTAGGTTGAGAGTCAGACCAACTGAACACACAAATAAATCAAAGAAATGGCAGATGCTGTTAGGAGCTATGGAGAAAATAAAGCTGGGAGCCAGGGTGGGAAGTGTTGGGGGTGCTATTTTCAGTAGGGGTCTAGGACAGAGGTCTCCTCCATCCCTCCTCTCCCTGCAGTAGGGAAGACTTTGTCGCCCAGGAGACCTTTGGTAGTATCTGAAGATTTTGGTGTCACCACTGGGAGTGGGTGCTACTGGCATCTAGTGGGTAGAGGCCAGAGATGCTGCTAAACGTCCTACAGTGCCCGGGACAGGCTGCACAACAGAGTCATCGGCCCAAGTGTCACTAGTGCTGGGGCTGAGAATCCCTGAGGTAGGGCCTGTGAACCATCACAAGGCCTTGAGCTTTTCCTCTGAGTGATCCAGAAGCCAGGAGAGGGCTTGAAGCAGAGGAAAGACACCACCTGTTTTAGAAGAACCCCTGTGACTGCTGGGCAGGAAATGGGTTGTATTGGGGAGCAGGGGTGGCAGATGTGTCCTCCGACGCCGGTGTAGAATCCACTCTGCCACTCACTGAACTCAGCACTAGGTGCATACACAACCACAAACAAGACACCAGGGCCTGCCCTCCCTGAACTTATGTTCTACTCAGGGGAGAAAGTCAGACAAAGTCTTGCTCTGTCCCAGGCCCTTGATTGGCTCCTCCTATCACCCTTGGGACCAGCCCCAGGGCCCAGGGGCTCTGCTGACCCCTTGCTGGCCTCTCCAGTACCCTGCTCCTCCTTGCTTACTCCTGCGTCCTTTGGTTGTACCAGATGTGTGCTGGCCCCAGGTGGGGCAGATCCTTGCAATGCCGTGTCCTCTGCCCCAGCGCTCACAAGGCCCCTCCCTCCTCCCCCTTGATGCTTTCTCTCTCTCTCTCTCTCTTTCAGACAGGGTATTGCTCTGTGGCCCAGGCTGGGGTGCAGTGGCACAATCATGGTTCACTGCAGCCTTGAACTCCTGGGCTCAAGTGATCCTCTTGCCTCAGCCTCCTGAGTATCTGGGACTACGGGTGTGCACCAGTACGACCAGCTAACTTTTTCATGTTTTGTAGAGGCAGGGTCTCACTATGTTGTCCAGCTGGTCTCTAACTACTGGCCTCCCACAATCCTCCTGCCTCAGCCTCCCAAAGTGCTGGGATTACAGGCGTGAGCCATAGCCCATGGCCCCCGATTCTTCTCAGATGTTACCTCCTTTGAGAATGGCTCCTCCACCTTCAGCCACCCTGTGAAAACAGCTTTTCCCTCACCCTCTCCCTCCTGGCTCCTTACTCTGCTTCTCTCCATCCATCCTTCACCCTCCCATTCATGCAGGCTTCCATCTATTCATTTGTTCATTCATTCACTCAACAAATACAGTGGCTCACACCTGTAATCCCAGCACTTTGGGAAGCCGAAGAGGGAGGATCTCTATCTTTTTTCTTTTTTTTGAGACAAGAATCTGGCTCTGTCACCCAGGCTGAAGTCCAGCGGTACGATCTTGGCTCACTGCAACCCCTGCCTCCCAAGTTCAAGTGATTCTCCTGCCTCAGCCTCCCGAGTAGCTGGGATTACAGGCGTGTGCCACTGTGCCTGGCTAATTTTTGTATTTTTAGTAGAGATGGGGTTTCGCCATGTTGACCAGGCTGGTCTTGAACTCCTGACCTCAGGTGATCTGCCTGCCTTGACCTCACAAAGTGCTGGGATTACAGGCATGAGCCACTGCACCCAGCCAAGGGAGGATCTCTTGAGCCCACGAGTTCAAGGCCAGTCTGAGCAACGTAGTGAGACCCTGTCTCTACAAAAAAAAAAAAAAAAAAAAAAAAAAGTAAAAAAATTAGCCAGGTATGATGGCATATGCCAGTAGTTCCAGCTACTTGGGGGGCTGAGACAGGAGAATTTCTTGAGCCCAGAAGTTTGAGGCTACAGTGAGCTATGATCACACTATTGCACTCCAGCCTGTGTGCAGTTTATTTAAAACCTTTATATTTAAAATAAATAAACTAATACTCAATGAGCTTGACTTAGTGCCAGATGCTATGCTAGGTACAGGGGCCTAGCGGGGAATGGGACAGACAGAGCCCCAGGCCCATGCTGGTTTGTGTCCTGGGGGACAGATGTTACTAACCATGCAAGCACATGCCTGCAGCTGTAAGAAGAGCTGTAAAATAAAAGTCCAGGCTGGGGGTCAAGGAGGGCTTCTTTGTGGAAGTGGCTGCTGACTTGAGATCTGAAGGGGAGTAGGAAGTAGGTGGGTGAAATGTGGGTATGTTGGCTCTGAGGCTGGGGATGGGTGGCAGAGGAGTGTTCTAAGTCTTGGAGTGGGTGAGAGCATGGTGCCTGTTGGAGACAGCAAGGAGACCACTTAATAGCAGAGCACAGAGGGATCGGAGATTGCGTGAAGGCAGTGGAAGATGAGGTCCAGAGGTAACTCAGTCCCAGTTAGGAGCTCCAGGAGAGCCAGTGGGAGATTTGAGGCGGTGGGAAGTAGGTGCTAATTTACATCATAACTCCTCCTACTGCCCTCAGAGAATGACCTGAAGTAGGGTTTGGAAGGCAGCAGGGAGCCTAGTGAGATGGGTGCTGCGGTGTCCAGGCTAGAGGGGGTAGTGGCCTTTGTTGGGAGGTGGTAGGGGAGTTGGAGAGAGAGTTAGAGGTAAAATAGATGGGCTCTGGGAGTAGAGTGGATATGAGAACTGAGAGCAAGGAAGGAGTGAAGGACTCATTTGCCCATTGAATTTCCCTTTACCTAAGTGGAATCAGGCAGAGCTCATGCTGGGCACTAAGGAGTCTACCAGTTCAGGGACCCTTCTCTCCATCCATCCATTCACCCATCCACCCTCCCATCCATCCTCCCATCCATCCATTCACCCATCCACCCTCCCATCCATCCATTCACCCATCCACCCTCCCATGCAGCCACCCATCCACCCTCCCATCCAGCCTCCCATCCATCCATTCAGCCATCCACCCTCCCATCCAGCCTCCCATCCATCCATTCACCCATCCACCCTCCCATTCAGCCTCCCATCCATCCATTCACCCATCCACCCTCCCATCCAGCCTCCTATCCATCCATTCACCCATCCACCCTCCCATCCATCCATTCACCCATCCACCTTCCCATCCAGCCTCCTATCCAGCCAGCCCACCAGCTGGCCAGCCAGTCAGCCTCTCATCCATCCATTTGTCCATTCATCCAGCCATTCCCCCATTAATCCATCTAGCCTCCCATCCATTCATCCGTCCATCCATCCATTAATCCATCCATCTGCCCATCCACCCATCTGCCCATTCATCCATCCATCCATCCATCCATCCATCCATCCATCCTCCCATCCATTCATCAGCCAGCCTCCTGTCCATCCATCCATCCACTTATTTATTCATTCATTCACTCATTCATTCATTAATTCATCCATTCATCCATCCATCCGTCCACCCACCTATCCATCCCAGCCTCCTATCCATTCATCCAGCCAGCCTCCTATGCACCCTCCTATCCATCCAGCCAAATGGCCAGCCAGTCAGCCTCTCATCCATCCATGCATTTGTCCATTCATCCAGCCAGCCATTCATCCATCCAGCTTCCCATCCTTTCATCTTTCCACCGATTCATCCATCCAGACTCCCATCTGTCCATCCATCCATCTATCCATCCATCCATTCATCCAGCCTCCCATCCATCCATCTATCCATCCATCTATCCATTCATCCAGCCTCCCATCCATCCATCTATCCATTCATCCATCCATCCACCCACCCTCCTGTCCATCCATTCATTCATTCATCCACCCATCCATCCAGCCAGCCTCTCATCCATCCATCCATCCATCCATCCATCCATCCATCCATCCACCCACCCATCCTCCCATCCATCCATCCATCCATCCATCCATCCATCCATCCATGCATGCATCTATCTGTCCATTTATTCATTCATCCATCCATCCATTGATTCATCCACCCACCCATCCATTCATCTATCCATCCATCCTCCCATCCACCCTCCCATTCATCCATCCATCCATCTTTCTACTGTGCATTCCTCAGCATCTACTCTATCAGGCTGAGTGTTGAGACCCAGGGACCAGAAGGCCTAGGATTCAGCCAGCTAAC
The DNA here is from genome assembly GCF_000001405.40 of Homo sapiens. Lineage (NCBI taxonomy): Eukaryota > Metazoa > Chordata > Mammalia > Primates > Hominidae > Homo > Homo sapiens. The sequence goes on along the minus strand of NC_000020.11, from coordinate 32,613,127 downwards.
ACTGGGAATCTGGAAGACTGGTTTCAGTCAGTGGATCTTAGCAAGGCTAGAAGGGGGCTTAGCAGTTGCAGAGGCCAGATGCCATTGTTCCAGGGACAGTAAGGCCTGGGAAAGCTCAGGGGCCCATCTGAGATTACATGACTAGGCAGCAGGAGGATCAAGCCTGGAGCCAGAGAGGCCTCATGCCTCCCACTGCAGCCCTTTCTCCATGTGTCTTGGTAACTGTGCCTGGCACCTATAGATCCCCAAGGAAGCCCTGCAGCTGGCAGAGGAGCAGCCTTCCTGTGCCCAGGCCCCTTCTCGCAGGCCTCCTTGTCCCACCCCCACCCTCACCCCAATAGCTGCAAGAGAGACCTGGCTGGGAAAATGCTTCTGTGTTGTCCAAAGGGCCCTGGGATGCTGATTCATGGCTCACAGGAGCTGCCTGTTAAATATGTGGAGCTTGGCTATAGCCTGTGCCTGTCTCTTTAAGGAGGCCTTGGGCCTCCTTGCTCAGCCAACATTCCCTAAGGAACTGGGCAGGCCTGGTGGCTCCTCTGGCATAGGCCTACTGACTTCAACTTGTTAAGGCAGCCTGAGGCGGGGCCCACAGGTCCTTGGGTGGGGGAGGGAGGACCAGGGGCTCAGAGGAGCCCTCCCTTATCCAAGATCCTAGTCTTTGGAAGGGAGGGAAATTGGATCCCAGACCAGGTAGCTGGACCCGAAAGCCTGGGCTTGTGGCACTTGGGAGGTCCTGAGTTAGGATGACCAGCTGTCCAGCTTGCCTGAGACTGAGGGGTATAAACTGTGATGGTCCCAGGCAAACTGGGATTCCATCAAGAGCGAAGTCATCCCCATGCCTGGGCAGGCAGTCTTCTCTGCTGACCGAGCTCTGTGGGGTGCAGAATTCCTGGGTTCCAGAGGCTGCCCCACCTGAGACATGGCTGTATGACCTTCGACAGGGCTCCTCATATCTCTGAGCTTTCATTTCTTCTGCTGTAACATGAGGGTGTGGTCACTGCCCTGCCCCTTTCAGGCCAATGGGAGATGCTGGGAGGTAATGGCTGCCAGAGTAACTTCATCCTTCGTTTGAATCTCTGTGCCCTGGGGCAAATGTCTTTTGAGCCTCTGGATAGCCCAATGTGGGGAAGAGGGTTCACTGATTCACTCAGCACAGGGCCCGGCGCCTGTGCTCAGTGCATATTGAATGAATGCATGCGTGGAAAGTTAAATGTGCATCCATGCCTCCTCTGTGAACAGAGCTGGAGAAACAGAAGAATAAGACCATCTTGGCTCTCAAGGGGTCATCTTTAGTGGGAGGGGGAAAGAAAAGGAGTCAGTGTCCAGAGTGGCCCTGTTTGGAGCTTCTGGGCTGTACTACTTCCCAGCCAGGAGAACTTGGGGAGCTCTCTTTACTGCTGCATGCCTCAATAATCTCCCAGTGAAAACAGCATTAAAAATGGCACCCTCCCTGTAGGTTGTTAAAGGAGTAAGCCGTGTGCACACAGCTCAGTGCCCGGCATGGTGTCAGTTATTATGACTGCAATTGTTATGTGAGGGAGGCAGATGGGAGGAGGGAAGTTGCCAGGAGAGGGGGCAGCAGCATGGGGAAGAGCCAGGAACCTGTGAGGGTGACCTTGGGGAGGGTGCCCGGCCTCTGTCTCACTGGTGGTTACAGAAGGAGTTGGAAGCCAGCATCTCTCGGGCCTCTGGGGTCTGCCAGCTTGCGAGTCTGTACTGAGCTTTCAGGAAGCTCAGCTGCCTACCATGGCGAGGCTGGAGGAGGTGGGGTGGAAGGGCTGGCCCTCCCGGGTGCAAGCCCCTCTGCCTGCCCACAGCTTGGCTGGGCAAGGGTTGGATCCAAGCACAAATCATGTAGCTGGTTACTGTGCCAAGCAATCTCCAGCCTTTCCACGGGACCACAGTCTAAATCCACGGCAGCTTAAGGTTCCCCACCCCCTGCTGAGCAAGGTTGGGGCAACCATTTCCTGTCCCAGAGCCACCTCTTCCCCAGGCCCTATCCAGACAGACCTCCTTCAGCTCTGCCAGGGAGGCCCTCTCATCCTCCATGAGCAGACGAGGAAGCTGAAGCATCCCTGCGAGCAGGCAGAGCCGAGAGGACAGGACGTGGGCAGTCGGTCTCCACCTGCTGCCTCCTGGGCTCTGGGGCATTCATGGCAGGGACAGATGACAGGGCTTCTCCCCTGGGGGAGGACACAGTGGCACCAGGGCATTATCTGAGCCCACCACCTGTGCCAGCAGGCCTACAGCCCACAGGCTCCGGTGCCCAGTGCTGCTGGTGTCTGCCCTGCTCCAGGATTCACGGGGGGCTCTGTAGCCAGGCTCACTCATGAAGCAAAGGCCAAAGTGGCCCCAGCTGACTCCTCTGCTAGCTCAGGAACTCAAGTCCAGGGCCAGGGGCTCCACAGTGAGCCAGTGGGTAAGGGGCCCACAGCCTGCCACTGCACTGGGCGGGCAAGGGTCCCGAGCCACTTCCGGGCACCCGCTCACTCGCTCGGCGGCGTTTGCCATAATTATCCAGCCATCCCCTTCAAGTGTATGGCAACCATAGCAACAGACAGATGTTCTGTCCCAGCCACGGTCCACAGCAAGGCAGGAGCCAAGCACAAAATTTAACCCTTTCCAGCTCAAGCAGGCAAGGATGAGACTGGACCATGGGCCCAGAGGCCCAGAGGCCCCAGGCCAGGAACCCAACCTTGCTGGAATCTGTTACATGGGACTACAGGAATCCTGAGCACCTGTTCACCTGTGATACTTAGTCTCCCTTGTTTGCCCCCTTCCACCTCTTCTACTTAGATTTTCTTTCTTCCCAGGACCGAAAGATGGGGATGAGGGATAAAGGTTGTATTTGAAAGGCTGGGGTGAGGCTGGTTGAACTCTGAGTGCTAGTTATGGTGTAGGCTGAAGAGCACTGGACGCAGAGTCAAGTGAGCTGAGCCAGGCTCCTGCTGTGGTTCTGCCTCTGGTTTGTTGTGTGACCTTGGGCAAGTGACTTACCCTCTCTGAACCTCAACTGCTGCTTTTATACAATAAGCGGGGTAGACGCTCATGTTCTCATTCCACAGATATTTATTAATCATCTACTGAGTGTCAGGCCCTGTGCTGGGCCCTGAGGAGACTTCAGGGAACAAGATCCATGGGGTGCTTACACCCCAGTGAAGGGAGAGGGCATTGACAATAGACAAGCCCACAATACATGTGATGCCTGATATTTTTGTTAAATACCATGAAAGACCTTAAAGGGCCCTCAGATGGAGAGTGAGGGGGGTGAGAGCAGGGCTGCTTGAGACAGGTGGTCGGGGGGCCTCTGAGGAGGTGACCCTTGAGCTGGGGCGCGAGTAGGAGCGGGAGCCAGCCACACAAGGATTAGGGGAAGAGTCCCTGGCAGAGGCACCAGCCAGGGCAAAAGGCCTGTGGAGGGAGGGAATGAGCATGGCCATCTGGGAGCAGCGGGAGTGACCCACAGGCAGTGAGCCGGGGAGGGGACAGGAGTAGTTGGAGTCCCAGCCGCAGAGAGCAGGGCATCACGGCCACCTGCTCTAGACTCTGGGAAGGTTCTAGCAGGGGCAACCTGGCCCAACTTCCCCGTGGGCTCTAGGCCCCCGGCGGGTAATGGCCCAGCCAGTCAGCCCCGACCCCAGCAAATCGGGCTTCCCCCAGATGCCAATGGCCCAGCTCTAGGGAGACCAGGGTTCCAGTTGTTCCCCAGCCGGCCCCATTCATGGGCTCACTCACTGGGCTTTGCCCTGGAGGTCACTGGGCTGAGCCTAAACCTGGGGCTCCTGACCCAGCGGGGCCCCACCTGGCTTAGCTATTAATAAGTAGAGCGTGGCTGAGTCCCAGGGTGCACAGAGAGGGCCCCTCAGACCAGCAGACCCAGGTCTAGCCTGTTTCTGCCTCTCCTTGTTTTGTGGCCTTGGACTTAGCACTTAGCTTCCCCGAGCCTCAGTTTACTCTCCTGGGAAAGGGTTTAGGAAAACTTCTCCCTAGCTCAGCCCCACCCACCCCGCTCTCCCCTGGTTCACTCAACTCTGGCCTCACTTACACACAGAGCTCAGCCCTGTCTCGGGGCCTTTGCCATTTACTGCTTCCTCCACCTGGAATACTCTTCCTCCACACACGCTCAGTCCTTCACATCACTGGGTCTCAGCTCAATGCCACCTACTCAGAGAGACCACCGGGATCACCGCAGTCAGAATGGAACCACCCCTCACTCCATGTGTCTGAACTGTGCTTTATGTCTCATAGAATGTCGATTTTATTTCTTTATTCAGCAATTATTTCCTCCATGCCTGGCACTGTCCTCGGTGCTGGGGACAGGGCAAGGAACAGAATAGCCAGCTCCTGCCTGCCCTTCCCAGAGGGCACATCCTCATGGATGAGACAGACAAAGAAAGCAGGGAGAGGGGTGAGGAACTGAGGGGACTATGGCAATTTTAGACTTGGTGGCAGGGAGGCTGCACAGAGCTGGTGACATCTGAGCAGGGATCTGAAGGAGAGAGGCAGAGTTTGGGGATCTGTGGAAGGAGTCTGGGGAGGAGGTATTTGCCTCCCTGGCTGGAAGCTGCCCTCCAGGGGTGAGGGCAAAGCATGTCTTCTTGTTCCATTCTTGTCCCCAGCACATAGTAGGTGCTTCATAACACAGTTGTCACTGCTGTTCCTGTGGGCCCTTGGAGGATTATACACTGCCCGAGGTCCTTCTCGCATGGGGCCTGTACAAGTGGGCCCCGGGAAGCACAGTGCTGTGAGGAGAGTCCGCCAGGCAGCCTGTGAGGGTGGCGTGGAGAACAGGCCACCTCCAGGGAGATGGGGGCAGATCTGCAGGGGAGGAAGAGACAGGGGAGGGGGCTGAGGCCGGGTCTCCAGGGGCCTTCACGCCACGCAGGGACTCTGGACATGATCCCGAGGGCCACCGGCAGCCACTGCAGGGCTCAGGGGAGGGGGTGACATAATTAGATCCAGGTTTTTAAAGGCCTTTCTGACATCCATTGTGGGGAATGGGGTGGGTCTGAGTGGGGCCACAGGCCGGAGGAAGGCAGGGCCAGTGAGAGCCGTGGACAGCAGTGAAGGCAGGGAGGCCACAGGCCCCGCCAAGGGACTGGCAGGCATAGGCTGCGTTGCCATAGCCGCGCCCAGGCCCTGAGAGCTCTCACCCTGCATGCCCTCACTGTGCCCCTCCTGGGCACTCTTTCACCAAGAGCGAGCAGCCTGGCTCCCGGCTGCAGGCCAGGCCCTATTCTAGGCCCGGGCAAGGCGGCGTGAACACAGGCCCAAAGCCCTGCCCTCCTGGGAGAACCTACGACAAACATGGTAAACAGATGAAATAGGTGGTGTGTGAGGACAGCACAGAAGAGAGAAGGGGACAGGTGGGGAAGGGCCAGGCAGTGGTCAGGATGGTAGACAGGGCACGGGCTGGGCCTCCCCAGAAGGAGACTCCTACTCCAGGCCCTGAAAGAAGGTAGGATGTTTCTGCTGTTGCTGCTAGGGGAAGAACTTTCCAGGAGGCAAACACCCCTGGCAGGAGCTACAGTGGGGTCAGCCTGGCAGGGGAGGGAGACTGGGCAGGAGAAGCCATGGTCGGGGGTGTGCAGGCTCAAAGAAGATCTCTATGAGGACTGGGCTTCTCCGAGTGACACAGGAGCCACTGCTGGGCCTGAGCAGAGGGACGGGCCTGACTCTCCTGGGACGGGGCCCCTCTGGCCGCCGGGTGGAGAGTAGACTGCAGGCGGCATGGGCAGAAGCCCCCAGAACAGGGAGGCAGTGGAGTGAAGATGCAGGTGAGATGGTGGAGGCTGGCCCAGGGGAGGCTGAGGGGTTGTGAGCAGCTCTGGGGACTGAGATGTGTTTGGGGTCAGAGTCCATGGGATTCACTGATGCAGTGATGTGGGATGTAAGACAGAGAGAGACACAGAGAGTCAGAGACAGAGACAGAGAGTCAGAAACAGAGAGAGACAGAGAGTCAGAGACAGAGACAGAGAATCAGAGACAGAGAGTCAGAGACAGAGACAGAAGGAGACAGAGGGACATAGAGTCAGAGACAGAAGGAGACAGAGAGGGACACAGTCAGAGACAGAGAGTCAGACAGAATCAGAGACAGAGGGAGACAGAGTCAGAGACAGAGTGTTAGAGACGGGGGAGACAGAGAGTCAAAGACAGAGACAGAGAGTCAGAGACAGAGGGACACAGAGTGTCTGAACCAAAGACAGTCAGAGACAGAGGGAGATAGAGAGTCAGAGACAGAGGGAGACAGAGACAGAGGGACAGAGAATCAGAGACAGAGAGTCAGACAGAATCAGAGACAGAGGGAGACAGAGAGTTAGAGACAGAGAGTCAGAGTGTCAGAGACGGAGGAGACAGAGAGTCAAAGTCAGAGACAGAGAGAGACAGAGGGAGACAGAGATTCAGAGACAGACACAGAGAGTCAGAGACAGGGACACAGAGAGTCAGAGACAAAGACAGAGACTCAGAGACAGAGTCAGAGACAGAGACAGAGAGTCAGAGACAGAGAGAGAGAGTCAGAGACAGAGACAGAGAGTCAGAGTCAGAGACAGAGAGAGAGACAGAGATAAGACAGAGGCAGAGTCAGAGTGACAGAGTCAGAGGGAGAGAGACAGAGAGACAAAGTCAGAAAGACAGAGGCAGAGAGGGAGACAGACGCAGAGAGAAAGAATTAGAGACAGATGAGAGAGAGTTAGAGATGGACGGGGTAAAGGGTTGAGGATGACAGCCAGTGTTCCGGCCTGGGCCAGGGGAGAATGCAGTCGCCATTCTCTGGGATGAGGAGGGTTGAGGGTGGAACCGATCTATGTGCAAATATCAGGAGATCCTGGAGAAGCCCGGAGGAGCTGTGCAGGAGGAAGTGGATGTGTGGCTTTGGAGCTCAGGGGGCATGTCCAGGTTGTTGATATCAGTGTGGAGGGCAGCAGAGAATCGGTCTTTAAAGTCAGCCAGGGAGGAAGGCAGATGGAAAGGGACAGCAGCCCAGGGATTGAGCCCACGGCCCCCAGCCTGAGAGGTGAGGGAGAGATTGGCGAAGAGGCAGAAAATGGACTGAGAAGGGGCAGCCAGGGAACTGGCAGGGAGGGTTCTTCTCACAACCAGGGGAGGACAGCGTTTGAAGGAGCAGCAGGTGTTAGCTGCATCTGATGCTACTGACAGGTCCAGATAGGGAGGTCTGAGAGATGGCATTGGGCAGGTTTAGAAACGCGAAGTTTCTTCATTTCCTCGGGAGGGGGAGGGGAGACCCTGTGGGGAGTGGATTGAAGGGAGAAGAGGGGAGAGAGACTCTGGAGACAGCGAGAATAGGTGTGTTTTCAGGGCGTTCCAGCGAAGGGCTGGAGAAAAACCGGACAGCTGGAGAAAAACGGGACAGCAGAGAAGGGAGGGGTGCTCAGAGAAGGGTTCTTTTAAAATTCAAGAAAAACTAGCACTTTGTATGGGGAGAGTTTCTGGAGCAAAGTCTCAGGCATGACAAGAGGGAGGGGGTCACTGAATCCTTACCACGTCCCTGGACAGTGAGCCATATTATCATCCCCACTTTATAGATATGGAAACCTCAGCCCAGCGAGGTGGGTTCTCCTGCCCAAGGTCACACAGCTGGGCAGTGGTGGCGAGTCCCTGCAACTCTTCCCGGGCCTGGGCTGTTATCCTGTTTGACAGATTACTAGTTACTAGTCTCAGTTCACAGAGCAGGTTAGTGGCTAAGTTAGGAGGTCGATTTAACAGGCTGTAGGGGGAGAGGCTGTGGGAGGAGCCAGGAGTGACTCCTGGTGCTCAGCACAGTGGTGCCTCTCCCCGGGCTGGGAACTGAGAGAGGAACAGGTTTTCAGAGCTGAGCTCAGTCACGGGTGTGCATGACATTCCCCAACTGTGAGATGAGGCCGATCGCAGAGCTGACCTCACGGAGATCCTGTGAGACTCGGGAGAGCTGTGGTCAGTCCCAGCACACAGCAAATGCCGGGCAGCGCGTGTTTGTTCTCATTTCTCAGTCTAGCTAGTTGAGTGCACAGTGGGACTTCCAGGCACCAGTGTGCACAAGCAGCTGACTCCTGGGTGAGACTGGTAGAATGAGAAGGTTGATGGGAAGTTCAGGAAGACATGGACCTTCGGAGGTCCTTCCTGGAGGAGCCACACAGCTCTGAGTTTAGTCCTGGGCTTGGAGGCCCAGCCTTCAGGGGACCTTCAGGAGCCCTTAAGTAGGTCCAAAGGTGGGGCCTCAGGTGGGTGAGAAAGGTCCTGGGAGAGCCTTCCCTTCTCAAAGCCTGAGGTCTTCATCTGTAGGATGGGTGTTCTGATTCTCGCTTTTGTGGAGATGCGGTGACTATGAAATGTGCTCACAGGTGTCCAGCAATTGCTCAGGGTAGATGGGCTGAATGAACCCTGGGACTGAAAGTCAGGAGGGCTGGGCACACTCCCTGCTCTGCCCTAATTTGCTGTGTGAACTTGGACACGTAGCCTAACCTCTCTGGGATTTAGCTGTAAAGCCTGGATGGTGTAAGGCCCCCTGCAGCATGTGCACTTCATCGTTATTTAGAGCTTCCTGATTCTATTAGGTGGTAACACCTTCCCTGCCCGCCCCGCTACACCTGAGTTTTTCTGCTACAAAGTCCTGCTTCTTGCCAGGGCAGGAGAGGGGCTGGAGAAAGTAGAATGCAGGTCACCTGGGCCTGAAGGGTTCCACTCTGGGGCAGCCCTGCCCCAGGCACATTCTGAGGTTCCTAGAGTGGCATCTTGGGTGATCCATTCATTGATCTGGGACAGAGAAGCTGTGGGTCCCATTTCTCATCCATCTTACAGATGAGCAAACTGAGATTCAGGGGAAACATGACTCACCTGCCCTCAGAGCCTCCTCTTGCCAAAACTCCAGGCCACCCCTGAGGAGCTGGCTGTCGGGAGGCAGGGATCAGACCCCTCAAGGGCATCCACAGGCCTCCGACCCTGGCTCCTTCACTAATTCATTTGGCCCATGGGTGGCACCTCCCATCCGCCAGGCTCTATCCTGGGCACTGGGGACACCAAGAAGACTCAGGTGGACTCCTGGCCTCCTCTAGTGGAAAAGACATATGTGAACAGAAACCAAAAGCAATTGAGAGGGGGCAGGATGGGAAGGTGGCTCACGCCAGTAATCCCAGCACTTTGGAAGGCCAAGGTGGGCAGATGGCTTGAGCCCAGGAGTTTGAGACCAGCCTGGGAAACATGGCAAAACCCCATTTTTACAAAAAATACAAAAAAAAAAAATTAGCTCGGCATGGTGGCACACTCCTGTAGTTCCAGCTATTCAGGAGGCTAAGGTGGGAGGATCACTTGAGCCTGGGAGGTCGGGGCCTCAGTAAGCTATGATTGCACCACTGCACTCCAGCCTTAGCAACAGGGTGAAACCCTGTCTCAAAAATAAATAAATAAATAAAATAGAAAGAAATTGAGAGGGGCTGGGGACACTGGGGAGGGAGTGATTCATTCTGATCTAAGGATCTGGGGGTGCTTCCTGGACGAGGAGCACCCACGATGGCTCTGCAACGCCAAGGGTAACTGTGACCATCCTGGGCTTCAGGGCACAGTCTCACCTTCCCAGTCCCCAGTGAGGCAAGTCCTACCCTTAGCCCCACTTTACAGATGAGAAGACTGAAGATCAGAGAGCTGAAGTGATGTGTCCAGGGTCACTTGGCTTGCGAGAGGGGCCTGAGCTCATTCCCAAGGTCCTGGCAGGGATCAGTCCCAAGACCAACTGTCCCCAGGCCAAGGAGGCAAGGAAAGACCCCCGCCCCGGGGGCCCCCAACCCAGGAGGCCCAGGCCTTCCTCCGGCCTGGCGTCCCCGATGCCCAGTTTCACTTCCCGAAACACAGGCCTATTTTGGATCCTGCTGACTTCCTTTCTCACCCGTGGCCGTTCAGGCTCTGAGGACTGGGCAACTGTAGGATGGATCTGGTGCCCCTGGGCCTTTCCCAACCTGCTCTTACACCACCCTGGAACGGGTGGAACTGCCAGGGCTGCCACCGCCTTCTCCCGGCCCAGCCCGCCATGGCCCCTCAGGGAGGGTACCAACCGCAGGGCACCTGGCAGGGCCCCTGCCACACGCCAGCTCAGAGGTCCTGCTCCCAGCCCATGCCAGCCTGAGCCGGACAGAGCAGGAGGCTCTGTCCAAACCCCAGCCCCAGAGTGTCCTGGCCTTGTGACCTCGAGCAATTTATTTTCCTCCATGAGCCTCAGTTTCCTTCTCTGTGACAGGAGATGAGGGTGATCTCCCACCTAGAATTGTTAGGAAAACCACTCAAGTTCAACAGCATGTCATTACCAAGCATCTACCATGCTCCAGGCCTGTTTTGGGCATGGGCCACTCAAAGAACCTTGTCCTCAGGAAGCTGAAATCCTAATGGGGGACAGAGCTGGAATAAACACTATGAATAAGTTCATTAAATGGTACATTGGAAAGTGACGCACATTTTGGAGAAAATGGAGCCGAGAAAGCATGTGTGTGTGACGGAAGGAGATGTGGGGCCATGTTAAACGGGGTGGTTAGGGAGGCCTCCTGGGAAGGTGGCATCTGACAACAGGAAGGAGAAGATGGAGCTGGCCCTGCAGACATCTGAGGAAGGGCACTCCAGGCAGGGGGCCCAGCATGTACAGACGCCCGCCCGGAGGCAGGAATGCCAAGAAGTTGTGAGTGTGCCGCAGCCAGGGGTTGGGCGAGAGCCTTGGGGACACATGGCCAGAATGGGCAGGGCGACCAGAGCATGAGGCCCTCCAGGGCCAGGCTCAGGACTTTATTCTGAGTGAGGTGGGGAGCCACAGGGGCTTTGGAGTAGGGGAGGGGTGCGATCTGACTCTTGTTTCAGCCGTTTCCCTCTGGCTGTGTTATGGAGGGTGGGTGGCAGGGCCAGGTTGGAAGTCAGGTGCAGGGAGAGGTTGCTAGGGGTGTCAGCAATGGGGCGGTGAGATGTGGTCAGATTCCGGTTATATTTTGAAGGTGGAGCCAAAGGGATTTGCTGATGGATCAGATGTAAGGGGTGAGAGAAAAGGGCCAGGGGCAGAGATGACTCCACGGCTTTTGGCCTGACCCTCCCAAGTCTCCTGACTCCCATCCCACGCTCCTGCAGGCCAGTCAGTCCCCAGTAGCCAGAGGGGTCTCTTGAGAACCCAAGCCAGATGGTGTCTAGACCTTTCCAATCCAGTGGCTCCCCATGGCTGTGGTCTGGAGTCCACGCTCCTTGCTTGGCCTGGCCCCAGCCCACCTCCCCAGTCGCTCTTAAGCCCACTGGCCTCAGCTCATACTGTGTGCCAGCCTCGGGGCCTTTCCATTTGCTACGCTGGGTTCCAGTCTGTTGCTCAACCACTCGGTGGCCCTGGAGATGACACATCTTTTGGGGCGCCCTCAGTTTCTCCGTATGTAAAAGGGTAAGTTTAGACCCCTTGAGCCCTAAAGAGAGTCCTTACGTTTGCACGCTTTGGGGATTTACAATCCATGAAGAAGCCGCCCTTCTCCGCCCTTCTCTTGCCTGGTGAGACCTTGGGCAAGGTGCTTCATGCTCCCTGCTCTCTGCAGTCTTATCCACCTTCTGGGGTCTCTCTCAGGTACTTCCGGCTGGAAAAGGAGATATGTGTTCCTGAGATCATGTTCCTGGAGGAGGGTAAAGAAAGATTCAGACAGGCTGGGCACAGTGGCTCATGCCCGTAATCCCAGCCACTCGGGAGGCTGAGGTGGGTGGATCACCTGACGTCAGGAGTTCAACACCAGCCTGGCCAACATGGTGAAACCCCACCTCTACTAAATACAAAAAAATTAGCTGGGCGTTGTGGCGCATGCCTGTAATCCCAGCTACTTGGGAGGCTGAAACAGGAGAATCACTTGAACCCGGGAGGCAGAGGTTTTAGTGAGCTGAGATTGCACCATTGCACTCCAGCCTGGGCAACAAGAGCGAAACTCCACCTCAAAACAAAAACAAAAGATTCAGACAGACCTGGGTGGGCTGGGAAAGTTCCCTTCCCCACCCTGAGCCTCAGTTTCCTCGTTTGTAGCATGGTGCTCATGATCACTGAGCAGTCTGGTGACCACAGAGTAGGATGCCTGGTCCACTCAGTCATTCAACAAGCATCCACTGAGTGCCTGCCAGTGGGCAGGGCCTGGGCTGGGTGCTGCATACAGTGGGGACCAAAGATTCAGCCTTGCCGTCACGGAGCTAGCCCCTACAGGCACCAGGCAAATGATGTGATTGACTAACAGGGCACACCTCAGGCCTGGTTTCCTGGGGAGACAGGGCTGTACCTGCACTTCCCACCTATGCCTGCTGTCCAAGTTCTCCCCAGCCCGCCAGCCCCAGCCCAGGACCTCTCTCCAGGACTCCACTCCCCAGGGCCAACTCAACTCTGTCTTCACCCTTTGGTTCCTGGGCTCTTCAGAGCAAGTGACCCCAAGAGCAGGCTCGGGCATGCGCCCTGTTTCTGCAAGTCACAGCCTGTGGGACTTAGACAAGACACTGGCCTTAGCCTTGGTTTTCACACTTGTAAAGTGGGAGAATAATAGAGCCTGCTTTTTTTTTTTTTTTTTTTTTTTTTTGACGGAGTCTCGTTCTGTCGCCCAGGCTAGAGTGCACTGGTGTGATCTTGGCTCACTGTAACCTCCGCCTCCTGGGTTCAAGCAATTCTCCTATCTCAGCCTCCCACGTAGCTGGGATTACAGGCACCCGCCACCACGTCCAACTAATTTTTGTATTTTTAGTAGACAAGGGGTTTCTCTACGTTGGCCAAACTGGTCTTAACTCCTGACCTCAAGTGATCTGCCCACCTCGACCTCCCAAAGTGCTGGAATTACAGGCATGAACCGCCATGCCCGGCCTTGAACCTGATTTTTATAGGGCACTTGTGAGGATTCAGTGGGTTGTGGAGTAGCAGTGGGCTCAAAGAACAGTCGCTGTGATCTTTGAAGCCCTTCTCTGACATTTTCTCCAGTGGCCCTGAGGGCACAAAGCTGAGAGCTGGTACTTCTTACGCCAGAGCCTTGGTACAGAGAGAGGACTTAGTCACTCCCCTTGTTCCTGGCCAGGTCAGCTCCAGAGTTCATGTTTATTAGAAACTGTCTCAGACCTTCCCTGCTCTGGGTACTTTGTTCTATTGACTAGTTAACCCAGAATTCCCCCATTTCACAGATGAGGAAACTGAGGTACAGAGAGGTTAAAAGCACCCGAGCAAGGTCACACAGCTGGTGAGTGGCAGAGCTGGGGTTCTAACCCAGACTGCCTGGCACTATCCTGCTACCCAAATCCTTAGAGTGCTTCTGCCAACATTATCCACTCCCACGGGTTGCCCTGTGGTGTGATCCATCATCTGAAGCCTCAGGGTCATCCAGGGTCAAGGCCAGGAATCCTCTGCCTCAGCCTAGCAGGAGAAAGGTATCAGAGTTCAAAAACTACAGATTCCCAGCCGAGTGCGGTCGTTCCCGCCTGTGATTACAGCTACTCAGGAGGCCAAGGCGGGAGGATCGCTTGAGCTTAGGAGTTCAAGACCAGCCTGGGCAACATAGCAAGGCCCTGTCTTTACAAAAAAATTTAAAAAATTATCCAGGCATGGTGGTGCATGCCTATAGCCCCAGCTACATGGGAGGCTGAGGCAGGAGGATCGCTTGAACCTGGAAGTTGGAGGTTGCAGTGAGCTGCGATCACACCACCCTGGGCAACAGAGCCAGAAACCATCCATTTATTTTATTTTATTTATTATTATTACTATTTTTGAGACGGAGTCTCGCTCTGTCGCCCAGGCTGGAGTGCAGTGGCACGATCTCGGCTTACTACAAGCTCCACCTCCCGGGTTCACGCCATTCTCCTGCCTCACCCTCCCGAGTAGCTGGGACTACAGGCGCCCGCCACCACGCCCGCCTAATTTTTTGTATTTTTAGTAGAGACGGAATTTCACCGTGTTAGCCAGGATGGTCTCGATCTCCTGACCTCGTGATCCGCCCGCCTCAGCCTCCCAAAGTGTTAGGATTACAGGCATGAGCCACTGTGCCTGGCCAAAACCATCAATTTAAAAAGAAAAAAGAATTATAGATTCCTATTGTCCCCACCTTGCTATTGACTGGCTGAGAACACCCTAGGCTGATCCCTGCCCTCTGTGCCTGTTCCTGCCTTTGTCAGATGGAGAGCAGAAAGCCCTTCCAGCTTCATCACCCCTGGGGTCATACCTCAGCCCTGTCCTGTGCCTGCCATGTGAGCCTTCCTCCAGCCAGCATCCCTCTGGGGCTGTTTTCCTTGTCTGGCAAATGGAGCTGACACTACCTGCCCCTGTGGAGCCCTCAGCTGGCTGGGAGAGCCCCCGAGAGAGAGCGCAGACGTGGGTGTGCACTGTAAACAGCACGCACCCCTCGGGGCTCCCCGTGTCTCCCAGCCCAACTTCTGAAGGCAGGGCCTCTCATCACCTCAGCTCCCAGGGAAGGGTGGAGCCCCTCAGGTCCTCAGCGGCCTCCCCTCTTCCTCACCACCAGGTCTGCTCTGCATAGGTGCCTGGAGGGAGGAGCTTTTGTGAGCAGAGACAGCCCTATACTGGTCCCAAAGAATGGGGAGGTCGTCTGCCCATCCATTCAACGGCTGAGCATCTCCTCTGTGCCAGGCCCAGTGCTGGGTGTCAGGGGCACCACAGGGACAAAGACAGATCCAGTCTCTGACCTCATAGAATTCACAGCCAGGGGTGCGGTGGACAGTTCTCAATCAAGGAACAACATAAATGTGAAATGCAGGGGTGGTTAAGTATTACAAAGGAGGGGCATAGGACTCTGTGAGAGTGCGTCCTGGAGGAGGGGTCTGGGGGTGTTCAGGAGGTGATGATGGAGCTGAGTGCTGTTAAGGATGAGTTGGAGCTAATCAGGTGAATTTGGCCGGGCGCAGTGGCTCACACCTGTGATCCCAGCAATTTGGGAGGTTGAAGCGGGTGGATCACTTGAGCTCAGGAATTCGACACCAGACTGGCCAACATGTGAAACCCCGTTTCTACTAAAAATACAAAAATTAGCCAGGCGAGGTGGTGGTGGGCGCCTGTAGTCCCAGCTACCTGGGAGGCTGAGGCAGGAGAATCGGTTGAACCCAGGAGGTGGAGGTTGCAGTGAGTCAAGATTACACCACTGCACTCCAGCCTGGGCAACAGAGCAAGACTCCATCTAAAAAAAAATAGGTGAATTTGTGGTAAGCGGGGCAAGGGCTTGTGCAAAGGTCCTGGGGTGGGAGGGAGCTGGAAAATTCCAGGAAGCAAAGGAAGGTCAGTGTATCTGAACTGCCCAGTGATGGCCAGGGAGGCGAGCAGGGGTCAGACCTCACTGGGCCGGTTGTGGATTTCACAGAGCCAAGAGAGAAGAATCTCAAAACCATCCAAACTCCTCATGGCACAGATGGGGAAACCGAGGCCCCGTTGGGTAAGGGACATGGCCAAAGTCAGAGAAAGTCGGGGGCAGACCCAGGGCTAGGACCCAGGCTTCCTAACTTCTGCCCAGGCCATTTTTTGCATCTGGGTAGTGGCCTGAGAAGAGGGGGAGAAAACCAACATGACTTAGTGCCTGCAGTGTGGCTGGAGTGCTGCGTGTACCTGCACATGCACACACTTCACCGCTGGGCCCCTGCACCTGAGACTAAGGCCTTGGCCCTAGAATCCCTTCTAAAAAGAGAGGACAGGGAACCTGCAGAGGTGATCTGATGCAGCCCCCTGCCACTGACTCAAGGCCTCACCCCATTGTTGCCTTTGAAATGCTCTGTAGCAAATAGGAATTATAATCCCCATTTTGTGGACGAGCAAACCGAGGGAGGGAAAAAATGAGGCAGTGACCCAAAGTCCCAAGGGATCTGTCAGTCAAAGCTGTCTTGACTCCTAGCTTAGTGCTCTTTCCTAGGCCAAGCACAGCCCAGGTTTTAGCCATCTGGCAGGGCAGAAGTCTCTCCTGCTGTCTAACTGAAATCTCTCTTGCTTTCATATGTTAGCTTCTTATTTGGCTTGCTGAAGATATGGAGAAGCTCCGTGTTCCACCTCTTGGTCCCTGACTATCCATCTTGAAGGGGACTGAGCTGGGGGTAGGAGACTCAGGGACTTCCCCCACCACAACACCACAAACCTGAACCCAGGGTGTGAGTTTGCTGGGGTGGGGTGGGGAAGGTGGCAGGCCATTTGCCAGTGAGCCTTTCCTCTGAGGGAAGGTTCTGGGAAACCTCTAGAAGAATTCCCCAGGGGTGAAGCCCTTCTGGATCACCCCAAGGACAGACACTCTCCCTGGGATGCAGCTGTCCAGGGGCTGAGCTCATGGCCAGTGGCTGGCAGAACTCAAGGCCTCAGATCCACCCCCATGGCTACAGGCAGCCTTGCGTCTCCTCCACATACATGCCTGTACAACTTGCTTGTCAGAAACCACTCAACAAAATCCAACTTATAGAGCCAATATGAAAATGCAGGGAAAATTCCTCTAAACAAAAACCACCTTTTTTTCAAGTCAGGGAGGAGGAAGGCCCAACATCTGGGCTTCCACAGGAGCAGGCCCCATGTGGGAGGTCAGCCCAGCCTGGACCTGGTATTTAATTGGCATCTTTCTCCAGAGAGAACCACAGCTCTCCAAGATGTCAAGGCTCAGTGTGTCTGCTATTTCCTGAGAAATCTAAGGTTATAGAGATGCTGGTGGCAATTTACCGGGGGCCTACTATGTGCCGGGCACTGTGCTAAGTGCTTTTTTTTTTTTTTGAGACGGAGTCTCGCTCTGTTGCCCAGGCTGGAGTACAGTGGCTCTTGGCTCACTGCACCCTGCGCCTCCTGGGTTCAAGCGATTCTCCTGCCTTAGCCTCCCAAGTAGCTGGGATTACAGGTGCCCACCACCATGCCTGGCTAATTTTTGTATTTTTAGTAGAGATGGGGGTTCACCATGTTGGCCAGGCTGGTTTCGAACTCCTGGCCTCAAGTGATCTTCCCACATCGGCCTCCCAAAGTGCTGGGATTACAGAAATGAGCTGCCGTCCCCAGCCTGTGCTAAGTGCTTTTATGTGGACCACTTCACTTAAACCCTGACAACAACCCCATAAAGGAGGTGCTGTTATTGTCAACACCTTATGGATGAGGACATTGAAACTCAGAGGGGCTAAGTCACTCAGTCAAGGTCACACAGCTGGTGAGAGCGGGCACAAGACTCAAATGCAGGCAGTCTGGCTCCAGAGCCCTCACTCTTAACGTTTTGGGCCTGAGGCAGTGGGATGTAGACAGGAGGGCACTGGGGGACACAAGGCTGGACTGAGGGCCCAGATCTGCCATCAAGTGCCTGGATGAGTCTCTGTCCCTTTCTGGGCCTCAGTTTCCCCATTCCTAAAATGGACCAGATGACCTCAAACCGTTGCCTAGGCCAGCTTTGGCATTCTCTCCCTTTCAGGGAGGGTTGAAGTGCTATTATTAGCACGTGAATGCCTCTGAGAAGTCCTGCAGTAAAGAAAACCCAGTGAGTGGTTAACTGGAAAAGGTGACCAGCAAAAATAGTTACCTAATGGTTTGCAAGGATTTCAGGAATATGAACTTGGATTGAGTGCCCTGTCGGTAAGTCAGTCAGTTGACAACTATTTATTAATAGGCCCTTTGGGAGATGAAAAATGAACAAGACATGACCCTGTCTTCGAGTAGCTCCTTGTCAGGGAAGAAGGTAGCCAGGTGGAAGAGAATAACCACATCAGGTGGTCACTGCATGAAGGAGACCAGCCAGGGAGCTTGAGGTGCCAGGAGAGAACAGATATCTTACCCTGCCTAGGGGTCAAGGGAAACATGGCAGACGGAGTGACAATCAAATGGGATCTTGAAGGATGAGTAGGAGTTTTTCAGGAAGAGAATTGGTGGGGAAGGGCAGTCCCAGTGATTGAGGGGAACTGCATATACAGGTGATCCCCAACTTAACAAGGGATCAACTCACAATTTTTCGACTTTACGATGGTGCCAAAGTGATATGCATTCAGCATACTCCTTGACTACAAAGGAGTTACATCCAGGTAAACCCACTGTTAGAATAAGTTGGAAATGCGGTAAGTTAAAAGCGTATTTTTGCTGGGTGCTGTGGCTCACACTTGTAATCATAGCACTTTGGGAGGCCAATGTGGGTGGATCGCTTGGGCCCAGGAATTTGAGACCAGCCTGGGCAACATGGCAAAACCCTATCTCTACAAAAAATACAAAAATTAGCCAGGCATGATGGCGCACACCTGTGGTCACAGCTACTTGGGAGGCTGAGGCAGGAGTATCGCTTGAGCTCAGGAGGTGGAGGCTGTAGTGAGCCGTGATCTCACCACTGCACTTCAGCCTGGGCAACAGAGTGAGACCCTATCTCAAAAAACAAAACAAAACAAACAAAACCAACCAACTGAACAAACAAACAAAAAAATGCACTTTTGACTGACTTACAATGATATTTTCAACTTACAATGGGTTTATCAGGACTTAGCCACATTGTAAGTCAAGGAGCATCCGAACAAGTCTGAACGCAGTCTTGCTGTTCAGGGGAATGGAAGGTTCAGTGTGGTTGGCACAGAGAGAAGTAGAGGCTGGAACAAGATAGTGAAAGGCCTTGAATGCCACACCAAGGAGTTTGAACTTTATTCTGGTGTACCAGAAGGGAAAACCTAGAGGCCAGGAGTGCAGAGAGGAGGCTGGTACAGCCATCTGGGCCAGACCAGAGGGGGTCTGACTGCACTGAACAAATGGTACATCCGTCAGGGCTCATGGGGTTGCAGGAAATCCAGCACTGAGAGACCTAAGTGAAGAAGAAAAGGGCCTTTAGGTGTGGTTGAATCCAGGGGCTCAAAGGGTGTTGTCAGAAATCTTTTTTTTTGAGATGGAGTCTCGCTCTGTCACCCAGCCTGGAGTACAATGGCGTGATCTTGGCTCACTGCAACCTCTGCCTCCCAGGTTCAGGTGATTCGCCTGCCTCAGCCTCCCGAGTGGCTGGGATTACAGGCATGCTCCACCACACCCGGCTAATTTTTGTATTTTTAGTAGAGACGGGGTTTTGCCATATTGGCCAGGCTGGTCTCGAACTCCTGACCTCAGGTGATCCGCCTGCCTCGGCCTCCCAAAGTGCTGGGATTACAGGCGTGAGCCACCGCACCCGGCCGGTGTTCTCAGAAATCTGGTCACACTCACGGTGGTTGGGGCATGGGATGGTTTCAGTGGCCTAGTCATTCAATGCTTTCAGTGGTCAGGTCAGTATGGCTCCAGCAACATGCTCTGAATATGAAGGAGGCGGTTTCTCAAAGGGATTTCAAGATGCTGTTACCAGGAGAAGAAAGTTGCTATGCAGGTAAAAGCAGCAGCCCATCTTGGTGGATGGCGAGTGCCGCGGACTTGAGAGGAGGATGGGCACTTTCCCAGCCCAGGCCCCCGGCGGTTCTGAGGCTGAGGCATGTAACTCAGGGCTGGTGTGGTCAGGGCAGGCTTCATGGAGGAAATGGCCTGGAAGGAAGACCTGAGCAATTAGGTAGGGTCTGGGTAGACAGAGCGGGCATTGCAGGAGAAGGGGCCAAGAGAACAGAGGTGCAGAGGTGAGAATGAGCCGTAAGTGTTTGGCTGCCTGTGACATGCCAGGTCCAGAGAGCTGGTAGAGGGAGGTGAGGCTGAAGCTAGATGTTAGAGGTTCTCGAAGGCCAGGCACACTCTGGCCTGACTAGCAGGCCTCTTACAATATATAGGTCAGGGGGAAACAGTGGCTTCATTGCTCAGCAGCCTCCCATGGCTCCCTCCCCATGTCCCACCAGGGAGGCCCAAGGCTTAGCCAAGCATTCAGAGCCCCAGCATGCCCACTGCTGGGCCCTGGTGCTCTCCCAGGTGGGCATGCCCACCACAGTGCAAACAGATCGCTCCCTTTTCCCTCCAGACCTCCACTCGGCTGCTTCTCTGGCCTAAAACACACTCACCCTTTGGTATCTCCATCTACCCGCTGAAGGCCGGTTAAAGGTCTCAGCCTTAAGGAAGCCTCCCATGGAAAGCACCTACTCTCAGTTTTCAACTCCCAGAGCTCTTCCTTTTTATTTTTATTTATTATTTATTTATTTATTTATTTTTGAGATGGGATCTCACTCTGTCACCCAGGCTGGAATGCAGTGGCCACTGAAAGCACTCCATGCCCCCCTGACCACTATGATTGTGACCAGATTTCTGACAATCGTAGCTCACTGCAGCCTCCAACTCCTGGGCTCAAGCAATCTTCCTGCCTCAGCCTCTTGAGTAGCTGGAACTACAGGTGCACACCACCACACCCCACTAATTTTTAAAATTTTTTGTAGAGATGGGGTCTCACTATGTTGCCCAGGCTGGTCTCAAGCTCCTGGCCTAAAGTAAACCTCCTACCTTGGCCTCCCAAAGCCATGAGATTATAGGTATGAGCCACGGTGCCCAGCCAAGAGCTTTTTTTTAGTGTTTTTTTTTTTCTTTTTTCTTTTTTTTTGAGACAAGACTGGAGTGCAATGGCATGATCTCAGCTCGCTGCAACCTCTGTTTCCCAGGCTCAAGCGATTCTCCTGCCTCAGCCTCCCGAGTAGCTGGGATTACAGGCGTGCACCACCACACCTGGCTAATTTTTGTATTTTTAGTAGAGATGGGGTTTCACCATGTTGGCCAGGCTGGTCTTAACTCCTGACCTGAAATGATCCACCCACCTCAGCCTCCCAAAGTGCTGGGATTACAGGTGTGAGCCACCGTGCCAGGCCCGTTTTTTTTTTTTTTTTTTTTTTAATGCCCATTGGCCCAGCCAGCCTGAGTGGGGCGGGATGGCAGTAATGTGCCCTGGCTTTAGAGCCAGGCAAATCTGGGTGCAAACCCTCCTCTTGCCCCACCACTAGCTGTGCGACCTCAGCACATTTAAGCCCTGTATGAGGCTTAAATGTGGTTATAGGTACGAAGTTCTTGGCACATAGTAGGCCCTCATGCAGCTCTCACCATTTTGGTTATTTGAAATATGTCCACTTCAACCCTCTATGAGCTCAGGCCAGGCAGGAACCACACTTGTTTTTTTTTCTGCCTGCACTGCCTGGCACACAGAAGGGGACTGACTTGTAAGGGCTGACCTATCAATTTTCCTGGGCTGGGCAGACCCAGGCTCCCCTCCCCTCCCTGCCTGGGTGAGGCTGGGGTAGGCCCGAGGGCCCTACACCTGCTCCCTGAGACTGACCCAGCAGGCTGCTGGGTGCCAGCATCCAGCATCAATAAATTACTGGTGAGTTCAGGTGACGGGACAGATCCAGTGTCAGCTTCCTTTGTGTCCTGCAGAGAGGCTCAGGCCCTGGGATCCCCCTTCACAGGCCTCCCCCAACAAGGGCTCCATCAAAATGACAGAGTTGCCCACCTACTGTGTGCCAGGCCCCACCTAGGCACTTTGCACCGTATTTGATTGACGCTTCACAAAGATTCTGCAAAGCAGGCACTAGCTCCGTTTTACAGATGAGGAAACCGAGGCTTAATGAAGGGAAGTGACTTGCCAAAGACAAAATGAATATAAGCAAAAAAGGCCCCTGCCTCTCCAATTCAGCAGAAATCTTCCTGGATCTCATTGCAGTGTATAGTCAAAATACACACACACACACACACACACACACACACACACACACACACACACACTCTCTCTCTCTCTCTCTCTCTCTCAGGGATTTTCATTCATTCATTTATTCAGTAAACACATATGGGACACCTACTACGTGTCAGGTATTGTTCTGGATGTTGGAGATACTGCAGTGAACAGGACAGAGCTCTGCCCTCTAGGAATGTACATTCCAGTAGGTGAGATGAACAGAGACAGGAAACAAATACATATGTATTATAAAGGAAGGTGGCACTGAGTCCATGAGGATGAATCAAGTAAGGAACGGGAATGGAGGGCCACTGGGGGACTTTTAAGAAGGGCAGTCAAGGAAGGCTCCTCAGGGGAGGTGACATTTGAATGAAATCCCTCGACAAATTAGTTCTCTTATCTCTTTATGCTTTAGTTTCTGGAAAAAAGGGGATGCTGGACTCGAGCGGGTCTCAAACTCTGCAAGGTGGACAGAATTTTTTCCCACTCAGTCGTAATTCCACAGGCAGTGTGGCGCGGGCCACTGCAGGAGTAGAGACACTTTTCTCCTCCCCTCCACTTTGCCCAGTGCTCCATCTTCTGGTCCAAAGGACCCTTAGGGCACTTAGAGTGGGACTTCTCGAAGGTGCTGATCTGGGCGCCCCGCTCCCCTGCCATGTGTTCTCATGGCAACTTTTTTTTTCTGAGACAGAGTCTCACTCTGTTGCCCAGGTTGGAGTGAAGTGGTATGATCTCGGATCACTGCAACCTCTGCCCGCTGGGTTCAAGCAATTCTCCTGCCTCAGCCTGCGGAGTAGCTGGGATTACCGGTGCCCACCACCACACCTGGCTAATTTTTGTATTTTTAGTGGGCGGGGGCGGGTTTCACCATATGGGCCAGGCTGGTCTCGAACTCCTGACCTCAGGTGATCTGCCCACCTTGGCCTCTCAAAATGTTGGGATTACAGGCGTGAGCCACCACACCCAGCCTCATGGCAACTTTTTGTTTTTAATTCTAAACCCATTTGTTATGATTTTTTTTTTCTTTTTTGAGACAGTCTCACTTTGTCTCCCAGGCTGGAGTGCAGTGGCACAATCATAGCTCACTGTAGCCTCTACCTCCAGGGCTCAGGCAATCCTTCCACCTCAGCCTCCCAAGTAGCTGGGACTACAGGTGCACACCACCACCGCTGGCTAATTTTTTTGTACTTTTTTGTAGACACGGGGTTTGGACATTTTGTCCAGGCTGGTCTTGAATTCCTGGGCTCAAGCAATCCACCCACCTTGGTCTCCCAAAGTGCTGGGATTACAGGGGTGAGCCACTGTGCCTGGCCTGTCATGATCTTTTGAAAGTCAGCTAGTCCCTGAGCTTCATGGGTCAGGTCCCTCTTGTTTATTACTGTATTCCAAACACCAAGCATGGTGGCTGACATACAGAAGATGCCCAAATAAACGTCTGAATGATGGATGGGCATAATGACAATAGGAGCTAGCATTTGTTGAGTGCTTATTCTCACGACAGCCCTGTGAGTTAGGGATAATTATTAATATTCCCATTTTATCGGCATTGAACACTGAGGCTTAGAGAGATTAAGGGACTCAGTCACTCAACAGCAGAGCCTGTTAGGAGAAGCACAATAAATGCTGATGGATGGATTGATTATGGAGGAAGCATAGTAGCATGGTGGAAAATGCTGTAGACTTCAGTCTAGCACCTGCTTTTTGAGGATAAGCCCATTCATTCATTCATTCATTCATTTGGTTGGTTGGTTGCTTATTTATCCATTTATTCAATAACGTTTAAGCCTTAGCTCCTGTGCTGGGCACTGGTCGACACAGGTAATGAGGCCATCGTGAAATGCTGTGGTCAGAGCTGGGAGGGGGAAAGCCCAAGGCTCTATGAGTGACCAGAGAAAGCCCCTGACCCAACCTGAGAGGTCAGGAGGCCTTTCTAGAGAGGTGGGCGTACAGCAGCGGCTCAGCATGGCTGGCAGACTGCAGGGGGATGCTATAGAATAGGGGGATGGCAGGTGGTGGCACAAGCCCTTGATAGAAGGGGCACCAGCACCCAGTGGTGGTAACTACCTCTCCCCAAGGCTCTGGGGCCTCTCTGCTCTTCCTGGCCCTTGCGTGGACAGGCCTCTGTGGGAGCCTGAGTCACTCTGCCCCACCCCAGGCCTGGAACTTCCTGTGGCACAGTCAGGGCCACCTCACTGTCAAGTTGCAGGCATCCCCGCTCATCTGGGCCCAGGGTCAGAGCTCAGTGAAAGGCAGGTGATCTGGGCCAAATCAGGCAAAGGCCAGGTACCTGGTTCTGTCCTGCGGCCCTGAGCCTCTTTGCTCCTGTGGGACTCAGTTTACCCATCTATCAGAGGCAGGGTTTGGACTGTATACTCTGAGAACCCTTCATCACCAAGCTCTTGTGACCCATTACATTACTATCTGTATTCAGAGTGGACGTGAGCCCTGGGGGCTTGGACTCCCTGTGCTTCAACTCCAGTCTCCCTTGGACACCTGGACGAAGTGTGGAAAAAAAAAAAAATCCAGAGGCCGGGCATGGTGGCTCATGCCTGTAATCCCAGCACTTTGGGAGTCCAAGGCGGGAGAATCACTTGAGCCCAGGAGTGATTACGTTACTATCTGTATTCAGAGAGGACGTGAGCCCTGGGGGCTTGGACTCCCTGTGCTTCAACTCCAGTCTCCCTTGGACACCTGGACGAAGTGTGGAAAAAAAAAAAAAAATCCAGAGGCCGGGCATAGTGGCTCATGCCTGTAATCCCAGCACTTTGGGAGCCCAAGGCGGGAGAATCACTTGAGTCCAGCCTGGGCAACAAAGAGAGACTCTGTCTCTACAAAAAATAATTAAAAAAAAAATAGCTGCGTGTGGTGGTGCATGCCTGTGGTCCCAGCTACTGAGGAGGCTGAGGTGGGAGGATCACTTGAGCCTGGGAGGTAGAGACTCCAGTGAGCAGCAATTGCACCACAGCACTCAGCCTGGGAGACAGAGCGAGACCCTGTCTCAAAATTTTTAAAAATGCAGAGGATCTCCTGGCCTTTGATTCATGGGGCAGCCTACTTTTTCCTTTGGCAGGTGTCTGGAATGGAAATCAAAAAAGAGCAGCTGCCCCCTGGGACCGTGATTGCATCCCCCCAGGAGTTGGGCATTGTGGGAGACTTACCCCACACCCCACCCAGCATGCCCCTCCTAAAGGACCCCAGTGACACGGATAGGCTGAAGACCCAGGGTCTGTTTCTGCAAAAGTGGGGATGGGCCGCAGTAGGCTGTTCTCACTCCTTGGCTGTTCCACTCTCCCAGGAGCCCTTGGGGCAAGAGGCTGGGACGTGCCTGGTGCAGTGAGCTGTCACACAGTAGGGACACCTCCAGGCCTCTGACCTCCAAGACCACAGACCTCTGGACCCCTGCAGCTGCCCTCCTCTCCTCACTTCTTCTCTACCCCACAGTCCTGCTCGTTTAAAACTCGCCAGTAGCTCCCATAGCAGCTGGAATGCCATCCAAAGTATTTCCCAGGGTCTTCAAGACTCCTGCCCTCCAACCCCTCCTCCCTCACTTCAGTCTCACCACACTGGACACCTTCCAGCTTCTAGAAAATGCCAATCTCCTTCCACCTTGGGGCTTTTGCCCTTGCTCTTCCCTCATCCTGGAATGCAGGAACAGCATGCCTTGGCACCTGTCATTTAAGTCACTGCTCAGATGCTACCTCCTTAGAGGGGCCTTCCCTGATCCCCCTAAGAAAAGCAGCCCCTTCTTTGCATTATTTGCTATCACAGCTCTCTCTTTCCTTCGTGGCCCATTCCCCGGGCTGTTGTGATCAATAGCTGGTTTGTTCAATAGCCATCTTCCATACCCATTGGTGCACTCCCGTAGGGCAGGGACCTTGGGGATCCCATGACCATATCCCAAGCCCCTGCTGCACAATGGCTGCTAAACAAATGTTTGTTGAATGAATGAAGCACAAAAAGTGCCAACAATGCCTGTCTTCCTCCTTGAATACTTCGAGGCCCCATGAGGGAGAAAATGGCACTTACTGGGCACCCGTCACAGCTCAGGCACTCTCATCCTGTTGAATCTCTACATCTGTGACATCCTGTCCCGCTATACAGATGATGAAGTAGGGGCTCAGTGACCTGCCTGAGGTTACCCAGCAAAGGGTGGAATGATGGCTTCATTCCATTGTGAAGTAGCCAAGTGGGACCTGTGAGCATGAAGAATGCCACGCCAAATAATCATCAGGATTCACTTCCAAATCTGACTCCACCCGAAGCCCATGTTCTTTTCATTATACTATACATTCTGCTGTGCCAGAACTCAGCCCAAGATTGACAACCAGGTTTTTAGCTTCTGAAAGGCAGGCAAAGACCCAGCCTGGGTGGAGAGGTGGTCCGGCTTAGTGGTTATTGAAGTGGGTCCTGGAACTGGACAGAGAGACCAGGGCTCACACAAGGACCCCACCACCCAGGCACAGGGCATATTTGCCACAGTTATCATTACCATTGCCAGGCTAGAGCATCTCTGCTCTCAGGAAGAGTGTGCTGGAAGGATAACCGTCAAGGGACACATGGAAAAAGTCAGGGTCTGAGCTTCTTAATCACAGAAGCCCCTGCGCCCCTGGGGCTGGCCTTTGGGTAGTGCCTTCCCCGCTCTGAGTGGTCACCTCTTAAAAACGGGCATGCATACCAGCATAGATCCAAAAAGAGCTCTTGAGAAGATAAAGAGGAAAAATGACTGTGGAGTTGTTGGTGTATATAAAGTAACATGAAATGTAAATTATCTAAAAATAATCTCCCATGTGAAATGCAGAGAGAGGTTGGGGCTTGGGAGACCTCTAGGGTTCTTTCAGCATTTACTGGCACCTACTGTGTGCCAGGTGTTGTGCTAGGGCCTGTGCATATGAGGATGGGTCAGATATGGCCCTGAGCATCTGGAGCTCCCTGTCTACTGGGGGAAGTGAGCCAGGTATACACAGCGTGGGGCTCTCTCCGAGCGCGGTGAAAGGGGAAGAGTTTGTGTGTGATATGGCAGCAGCAGCCAGATGCACATGAGCTGAAACCCACCCCTCCTTCCTGCATGACCTTGAGCAGGTCAGGCCACCTCTCCAAGCCCCAGGTCTTCGTCTGTAAAATGGAGCCATTCCCTCTGCCTCTCAGAGTTGCCAGGACATGGCACGTAGTAGGTCCTGGGGTGGGGGACTTTGGGATGGGAGTAGACAGTAGTTCCTACGCAGGAAACGGTCCTGCACTAGACAAAGTCTGGGCCTCAGGACTTGGATGGTGACTTGCCTGCAGGAGTGTCATGGGGACATGGGGTGGACCCCCGGGGACAGCTGGGAGAGAAGTGCAGCAATTCCTCATGACCTGTTAAGGAAGTGGGGGGTAGGGGCACAGAAATCCTGGGGAATTGGCCTGTGCCTTTATTTATGTTGGTAATTTCATTAAGGGGGAGGGGACCAGCTAGCTCTACCCAAGGTCAGATCTGCCCAGGTAGGAGGGGGGCGGTGGGGCTACCTGAGTTTACTCAGCAAGAGATTCTAGGTCAAGGCGCACTCAGGAAGGCAGGGTGTCTCAGGATGAGTTTGTGGATGTGTTGAGAGTTTTCTGAAGCGGAGGTGGGATTGGGCTGAGGCCACAGGCGACTTCCCAGGGGGCCTGGGCCTGTCCCAGAGCAGTGGGGCAGGCAAGCAGAGGCAAAGCTGGCCAAACTTCGGGGAATTCAGGGTGAGGCAAAAGGAGAGGAAGTTTGGGGGCCCCGAAGGGCGGCGATGTGGGGTTCCCCCAGGGGAACACTGCTCTTCTGGCTTCGGCTCACGGGAGAGGTCAAGTCACTTGCGGGAGCGAGGGAGGGGGAGCCTGCCCTACACCTTCCCGGCCTGGCTAAGTGGGGCGGGGCGGCCGGGAGGTCGGCGTCTGGGCTGGGGTCTGCGCCCTACTCCCCGCGGGACCGCCGCGTCCGGGAGGAGCGGGGCCTGCGAAGCTCCGGGCCCGGCCCGGCCAGACGGAACGCGGTTCCTGGGCTGGGCACTGCGCGCCTGTGGTTCCTGCCCTCCCGGCGGCTGCGGGCGCGGCTGCCCCCGCGCCCCCAGGGGCCGGGCCGGGCGGGGGCTGGGCCCGGCGGGCGGGCGCAGGAGGAAGGGGGGGGCGGGCGGCGGCGAAGGCTGCGCCGCTCTAACAGGTGGGATCCCGCGGCGTGGTGGAGGCGGGCGCGGGAGGAGGAGGAGGAGGAGGAGGAAGAGCCGCGGCAGCGGGAGCCTGAGCAAGAGCAGGATGAGCCGCGCAAGCTGACAGCCACTGCTGCCGCCCGCGCCCAGGCTCGGTCTCGCTCCCAGCGCTCGGGGCCGCTCCCCGCCTCCCGCCTCCCCCGGCCGCCCGCGGGGCGGCCCGCCCCCTCTGCACCTCCGGGCCCGGAGCTGCCTCCATCGCTCCTGCATCCCGGCCGGGGGGAGGAGGAGGCGGAGCAGGAGGCGAGCCGGAGCCGCCGCCGCCAACGCCGCCGCCGCCGCCCGAGCAGGACAGAGCGCGCCGCAGCCCCGCGCGTCCGGCCGCCGCCCGCGCCCATCCAGCAGCCTCGCCGGAGCCACACCGCGGGACAGACGCGGCCGCGGCGCGTCCCGGCCCGGTCCAGCCCAGCCCAGCCCAGTCCCGGCACCGGGCGGCCCGGCGGCCGGCCCGCCCCCGAGGGCGCCGGGCGCGGCGGGAGGATGCCGAAGCCGACGCTGCTGCTGCGCGGGGGCTGGGAGCGCGAGCGCAGCCCCGGGGACTCGGAGCTGGGCCGCCAGTTCCGGGACTGGTGCTTGCGCACCTACGGCGACTCGGCCAAAACCAAGACGGTGACACGCAGCAAATACCAGCGGATCGCCGAGGTCCTGCAGGGCGGCGGCGGGACTGGCGCGGGCAGCGGCCCCGCAGCCGGCGAGAAAGGCAAGTTCCAGTTCTGGGTGCGCTCCAAGGGCTTCCGCCTGGGCAGCGGCCGGGAACCCAAGATGGGCCAAGTGGTGTATGTGCCGGTCAAGACGGGCTCGGTGAGTGCGCGCGCGGCGGCCGCGGGCGGGTCCCGCCGCGGGGCTTGGGGCAGGCGGGCGGGGGCGGGGTGGGGGTGTGGATGTGTGTCCGAACGTGTGTCCCTGAGGTTGTCCGTGTGTCGGGCCCGCCGGAGGCGCACGCGTCCCTGCTCACCGGCCCTTCCCGGCTCGCCTGGGCAGCGCTCCGGGTTCGGGGCGTCCCTGCCCCCCTCCGCGCCGCTGCCCGGGCCGTGGCCGTGCCGGGCAGGCTGTCCCGGGCTGCTCACCCCAGCATGTTCCGTCCTCTTGTCCCCTCCCCCCGCCAGCAGGCGGCTGCTCTGGAGCCCGAGCCTCCCCCCGCCCGCCCCGGGGCTGCCTGTCCCGGGCGCCTCGCGCTCCCGCCCCCGGGCCGGCTGGGCGGTGTGTGTGTGTGTGTGTGTGTGTGTGTGTGTGTGTGCGCGCGCGGAGGGTGGTGCCGCGGGGTGGGGGGGGGGGAGGGAGGCAGGGGCAGCCGCGGGACGGGGAGTCCGCCGGGCCTCCCAGCGCCAGGGGAGGGGGCCCGCCCGGGCACTGTCGCCCCGACCCCACCCGGGGCTGGCCCGGGGAGGGGCGGCCGGAGCCGCAGCCTGGCGCAGGAGCAGCCTCCCGCGGGTGGGTGGGGCGCCCCCTCAGCCCCCCGGGCCCCTCGTTCCCCCTTCATGGGACGGGGGAGGCCTGACCTATCCATCCCCTCCCCTCCCCCGTCCCCCGGGCCGGCCCGGTCCGGGCGGGGTGGCGTGGGGGAGGGGGCGGGGAACCGCAGCCGCCTAAAGGGAGGAGGCGGGCGGCCGGGCGGGGGCGTCCCCTCTGGCCCGGGGCGCCCTGGAGAGGGCGTGCGGCGCGGGCCCCGCGGCTCCCCCGCCGGGACCTCATTGTTCTGCAGAGGGTGGGGGCTGGGGGGGGGGCGGCCGCTCCCGGGGCGCTGCTGAGCTTTGAACTTTCCGTCGCCGAGACCCTCCATTAGTGCGTTCCGCCCCCGGCCCGGTCGGGCCGCGCCGGCCTCCCCCCGCCCTCCTTGCTCCCTCCCCGGCCGGAGCGCGAGAGCCGGGCCGCCCCGCGCCGGCCTCCCTCCCTCCCCCGCTCCCCCGCTCCCCCCTCCGCGCTCCTCCCCCGGCCGGCCCGCCCGCCCCGCGCTCAGCCCCGTCCCCGGCCGGAGCGGGCTCTTCACACACAATTGATTCGGTCGTTACGAAAAGTGCACTTGTCCCCTCCCCCTCCCCCTCCGCGGCCGCCCGGGCCGGGCCCGCGGGGTGAGGGGGCCGCGAGGGAGGGAGGCGGGAGCCGGGGAGCAGATCCGGAGGCGCCTCCCCCCGCGCCCAGGGGACGGGGCTGCAGGCCGCGGGGAGTGGGAGCCGCGAGCGCGGAGGGCGGGCGGCCCATCTGCGAGGAGCGCTGATAACCGCGCTGCGGCCGCCAGCAGCCCATCTGCGCCGCTGCCGCCTCCGGCCGGACCGGGAACAGGGGGCCGGGCAGAGGGGCGCGCCGGGACCGGGCTCCCCGAGGGGGAAGCTGGGGCAGTGACCCAGCCCGCGCAAGGCTGGGACCCTCCCAGCCTAAATCAGCACTCTCGCTCAAACCCGGCGAGTCTGGGTCATTGTCCCCTCCCCCGATCGAGTCCAGGACCCCTCCCCCAGCCCAAATCAGTGCCACTTTCCCAGATGGGGAGTATGGGTCAGCCCTCCCCACCCTGCCAGGTCGGTCCCCTCCTCGGTTCTCCCATCTTGGGTCACTGCCCCCCGCCGGAGGGCGGTTTTTCTGAGGTCAGTGACCCACGAGATGGTTGGCTGGGTCTTGCCCCCTACCCTAGGTCAGTGCCCTCTGCCATCAGGGCTTCCCGGGTCGGTGCCCCACCCCACCCCCCCATCCTGGTTACACCTCCCTGAAGAGCTGGAAGCCTTGGCCCAACCTTCTTAGTCTGAGGCAGGAGCCCTGAGTCCACCCTCTCCTGGAGTTGGGGGGTGACCCCCCAGACCTGGCAGCTG
Organism: Homo sapiens; assembly: GCF_000001405.40. NCBI lineage: Eukaryota > Metazoa > Chordata > Mammalia > Primates > Hominidae > Homo > Homo sapiens. The sequence goes on along the minus strand of NC_000020.11, from coordinate 32,582,569 downwards.
GCTCACTGGCTTTCTGTGTGGCTCGACTTCTCCCTAGGGAGTGGGCATCTGGAGCAGTCGTCCACTCTTTATCCACACAGCTGTAGAGGCTGAGCACCCCCTCCCCCTATCCAGGCCACATGCAGAAACTGGGTGCTGGGCCTGGACCCCAGGTCCTGCCGGCCCAGCTGCTGGCTTCAGATGCTCCTTGAGACCCACGCTGACCCGCTCTGCCTGCCCCTGGCAGCGCGACCGTCCCCAGTCTCCACCCTGGCTCTCAGACCAATAATGAGCCCTCCCCAAGGGACCACCTGCCTGGGAGGCAGAGAAAGGGGACCCAGGCCTCCCAGTCCAGGCTGCCAGGAGATCGACAAACACAACAGACGTGCCCTCCCTCGACAGCCCGCCCCTCGGGCTCCCCACGCCCGCCTGCCTGGCCTGCTGGTCCCGAGAGCCCGTCAGTTACCTGCCACTCGCCCAGCCAGCCGGAGCCAGGCAGGAGATGCCACCCCCATCTCCAAGTTCTTTCCTGGGGCCCAGTTATTATTTTTATATTTCCATTTTCCTTTTCACTGATCCAAGAGGAACAAATCCTGCTGGGAATTCTGGGGCAGCCATTGGCCTCTTCCTGGGAGGGGCTGAATGGGACCTCCTTTGAAAGGTGCAAAGGACGTCTCCCTGGCCTACACACACACACACACACACCCCCTCACCCCTGGTGTCATTTGGGAGAGAGCCTGTAGTTTGGTCCTCGGTGGGTTTTTGTGAAGGTCATTGGGCCATAAACCTTTGTCAAAAGCATTTGTTTAGTACCCACAGTCCTTGTGCGGGCACTGGGGTGCTCGGGTGGGTGGGGCTGTGTGCCTGCTCCCAGGTCACCCAGCTGTCGGGGGTGGTGGGCATAGCTGAGGACAGGATAAAGAAGCCCATGGGGGCTTCAAGAGAGAGCAGGTAGAAAGATTCCAAGGAAGAAGGGAGGTGGGAGTTGGGTCATCCAGCAGACAGGCCCCATATAGCCTCTGTCCCCAGGGTGGCCATGGTGTGTCACCTCTCTTCCCCATTGCTCTCTGGCTGCCCCCACCCTGGGCCTCCCTTCCTCCTCCCACAGCCATATGCGGTGCTGTGGTCAGGGCCCTCTCCTAGTCCCGGCCAGCCTCGGGTCGATGATCTGACACCACTTGTCCTGTCCCATCTGGCCCTGAGCTTTTCTGGGTGTGTGTGACAAAGGCTTAATCTGTCCGGACGGGCCCAGGGCAGAGAGAGGGCGAGGGGAATTACACTCCACAGGGCCTCCTGCAGCTGGGGCCCAAGTGGGGGTGGGGCAGGGCGGGGGTCGAGGAGAAGCCTGGGCGTGGGGGAGAGGCAAGTTGGCCTCCAGTTTGCAGGTTGTCACAGGAAGTAGAAGGTGGAAGCAGGGTATGGAGGAGAGGAGGGCGGAGTCCTCCACGGGCAGCTAGGGGTGCTGGTGGGGATAAGATCTCTTTATGACAAGAGCCAGCTGGGGGCCTCCTGGCCGGGTGAAGCCTGGTGAGGATTTATTATTTCTTACGTTTGGCCTGCTCCAGGCCTGTGGGCTGCCAAGCGGGGGAAGCAAACCCCTTGGAGACAAGACCCTCCAATTCCGTTCCGGCATTGGCCACAAAGTAAAACAACCCCTTTCCTTTTCCTCTGGCCTCTCTGAGTGGAGCGCGTGGAGCCGTCCCCAGAGCCTGCGAGGGCCACAGGTTACGGCTGAGGTGGGGCCCTGGGCTGTCTGTCAGTTCCTAGGATCAGAGAGCCCCAAGTCTCCGTGGAGAGATAGAGGTTCTCAGCCCAACTGTACCATCTTCCAGATGGGAAAACTGAGGCCTAGAGAGAGGAAGTTTCCATTTGTTGAGAGCCAGGACTGGAACAGGGTTCTCTGTGCACTGCTGTAGCTTCTCCGTGGACCTGCCACATGCCAGGAATCCCACCGTTAGAGCCCCATTCCCCAAGGGAAACTTCGAGATTGCCAAACTCCACTCTCAAAACCAGGCTTTTGCAAGCTGGACCCCAGGTGTTCCACTACCCAAATTGACTAATGGTGGTCTTTTCCCAGTTTGCAACAACGTTCATTTAGTGGAAAGCATTTTGAGGCCTAAGTCTTTCTCCCCAGAGCTTTTGTGTAAACCTTTGGCACCTGCGGCCGCTGGTCTGGGCGGGAAATGGCCTCTGACTTAGCACCGCGTAATATGTGCTGTGACCTTTGGTTGAGTCCCTCAATATTTCCTGGTTTTCTCTGAATTATCAGTATAGCGGCTGTTTCGGGGGTCACCTACTGTGTGCCTGTCACTGGGCTGAGGCGCTGATACGCATCAGCTTGTGGAATTCTCACAGCAGCCTAGAGGCCAGTGCTGTGATTACTGCTACCTTCACATGAGTAAACTGAGGCTTAGGGAGGTTCAGAACTTCCCCTAGTCCACACCAATGCCAGGGCCTTGCATACATCTCCATTCTGACTTTGAAGGGTCTTGCAACCTGATCCAATTTGAAAGCACAGGTCCTTCATGTCAAGCTTTCAGTCCATTACACTTTAGTCTGAATTAGTTTCAAAGCATCCCTCTGGTCAAGAGGTCTGTATTCACAGGCTGCTGCCTGAGGCAGGACTGGCACAACATAAAGTCTGTGGGCTTTCCTAGGGCTCATGAAGATGGGTGTGGGGTGGGGAGGAGGGAGGATGCCTCTGTTGTCCTGGGTCCTGGGGGGGCTTTTGGAAGAAGGTTGACAGTGATGCCTGGCACAGGCTCCATTTGCATTTTTTGTGAGTGGCAGAGCGTGCGTTTTTGTCAGTTACACGTTGTGATTTGGGTGGCATGGTCCTGGGTAACTCTGGGGGGCTGCATTTCGGTGCCAGGGTGATGCAGACAGGTCAGGCTCTGCCTTCCTGGGGCCTCCCCTCTAAGTCCTGGGTCACTGTCTGCTGAGGGGTGGGGACACCGTGCACCCTTCTTCCCTGGGTAGGAGCTGGTAGGAAAACCCTCTGCTTTATGGCCCCTGCAGGCTGCTTTGTCGTCCCTGCACGTCTGGGAGGCTGGAAGGCCCATCTGGGACCTCAGAAATGCTGCTGGGAGGATTGGGGGGTGGGGAGCCTGTGGCTGGGGGTGTCTGGGGACCAAGTGGAGGGCCTCAGGCATACCTGGGCTTCTTCAAGCCAGATCTTAGCTCAGAGGTTGTGCGACTGAATCCTGAACATGTGTGTGCTCACGGGCTAGAACACGCATGTGCGTGCATGTGTGTGTGTGTAAAAGTGCAACTGTGTGGGTGTGAGTGTGCTGTTCCTATCTATGTGCAGGCTGGAAATGCTTGTGTGTGTGTGCGTGGAGTGTGTGCAGGGCACAGGTGGAGAGGCTCCTCTGCGTGTTTGTCGGCATCTATGTGAGCACCTGGGCTGTGGGCCTTGGCAGCTGCGGGTGTGACTGCGTGTGCTTGCACTCATGTGAGATCTGGATTGGACTCACCCTGTCTGTCTGCCAGTGTGGTGCTGTTGGGATGTCCTCCATCATCACCAAGTCACCTGAGCTGCTGCCCTGGCCCCTGCCATCCCCGGAGTCTCAGCAGCTGGCTGAAGCCAAGAGGTGGCCATAAGAGGTGGTGCCATACCCCCGTCCCCATGACTGCAGCCAAGGCATCTCCTTGTTCCAGCTTCCCACTGCCACCCCCTACCCGCCTCTTGCTATGGTCCTATAACAAAGCCCAAAGCCAAGCATGGGGCGGGAAGGTCCTGGGAGAAAAGGCTCTGAACTTGAAGTGAGGGGGCCAGGGCCTATGGGGTCCTAACTCAACTGTTTAATTCCCACATGACCACGGGCAAGTAGCCTGCCTGGCCTCTCTCAGTCTCAGTTTCCTTTTCTGGAAAATGGGCTCTAAAACTCCACTTCTTGGCAAACTGGAAAAGGCTCTGCTGTCATTTGAGGATGGTGGCTAAGGAATGTGCTTGAGGCCACCCTGCTCACTCATGTCAAAGCCAGGCCTACCAGCCTGGGGACATGGTGAGACCCCGTCTGTATGCAAAATTTTAAAAAACTCAGGCATGTTGGCACGCACCCGTAGTCCCAGCTACTCAGAAGGCTGAGGCAGGAGGATCACTTCAGCTCAGGAGTTAGAGGCTGCAGTGAGCTGTGATCATGCCACTGCACTCCAGCCTGGGTGACAGAGGGAGACTCTGTCTCAAAAAAAACAGAGAACGAGGCTAGGCCCATGGGCCCCAAAGCAGGTAAAGAAGCAGCTGGAAGTTGGTGACAGCACCCACCAGGGCCAGTGGCTTATTAGAACAAGAACTCTTGAGTCCACTTTGATGTAGAGAACAGGTAAAGGGCCTGGGCTTTAATGCTACAGGACCCTGGGTTCAAATCCCATCTCTGCCCTTTTATCAGTTTGGCCTTAATTTTCCTTCCTTCCCTCCCTCCCTCCCTCCCTCCCTCCCTCCCTCCCTCCTTCCTTCCTTCCTTCCTTCCTTCCTTCCTTTCTCTCTTTCTTTTTTGACGCAATATTGGCTTACTGCAACCTCCGCCTCCCATGGCCTTAATTTTCTCATCAGTAAAATGGAACTGTAATCATATTCCTCTTCTAGGAGTGATGTGGAAATTAATGCTTTCATGCACGTAGGGCCCCCAAATGTAGCAAATCTTAGGAAATGTTAGCTGCTATGTGATCTCACTGAGCCTCAATATTCCTCATCTGGAAAATGGGAATGGTGATGAAGGATGTTGTGAATATTAAATGGTACAGTGGAGACGAGGCACCCAGCCAAGTCCCCGGCATAGAGTAGGTAGGCAGCAACTATGAGTTCCCTAGAGGTTGTATCTGAGTCATTTCTGTGTCTCCAGTACTATCAGGGGCCTGAGAAATGTTGCATTGAATTGAACAGAGAAGGCTTTTTCTTTTCTTTTTTTTGAGACAGATTATCGCTTTGTTGCCCAGGCTGGTCTTAAACTCCTGAGCTCAAGTGATCCTCCTGCCTCAGCCTCCCAAGTAGTTGGGCTTACAGGCAGTGGGCACTGCACCTGGCACCAGAAGTCATGGTGAGGGATGGAGATGTGGCATGAGCCCCCAGAGCTGGGAACTTGCAGACTCAGGGTCTCTTGCTGCCCTGACTGGTTCCTGCCCTGCAGTGAGCCTCATTATGTTTAGTTATGACATACAGAAGGCTCCAGTGATCTCCCTGCCTCTGAATTCTTCCCAGGTGTCAGATCCCAGAGGTCAAGGAAGGGCGCTGGAGGGCTTTCCCAAGGCCTGGCAGGCACCTGCTGAGAAGAGGGACAAGCCTCTCGCCCTTCTCCTGTATGGACGCCACCCCCGCCCGGCCCCCTGGCTGGGAACCTGAGTTCCTGGGGTCTGGATTTGTGAGGAGAACACACAATGGCTGGCGTAATGACTGCCTCCCTCCGGCAGGGGTCTGAGCCCATCTCCCAATTTTTCAAGCCCCTGCCATGTGCCAGATACATTATTCCATTTAATCTCCCCTGGGTTCTGTGAAGTAGATGAGAACTTGGTACCAGACAGGCCAGGGAACCTCCTCAAGGCCCACAGTGAACACACAGCTGGGCTGGAGCTCCAGGGCTCTGTCTGACCCTCCAAACCCCAGAGCCTGGAGGCAGGGGCACGGGAGGACCCCCGGGAGTGAAGGCAGCAGGGGTGCCCTAGCTCTCCACCCACCCCTGGCTCATGGTGCCCTCTCGCCTTTAGTGAGGGCACCCCACGTAAGCTTTCTAGACCTCAAGGCTGCCCTCCCACCTGGCCAGACCCAGCCTTGTGGGAGACGGATGCCCCTGCTGCCTCTCGTCCATGCTCTTCCCCTCCGATTTCAACTGCAGCTGCAGGCCTGGCCTGGGCGGGCTGCTGGGCTAGCAGACGGGAGTCGTGGGGAGTGGGGAGACGGCAGAGCAGGTGGGAGGCTGGGCCCATCCTCTCACCCACGTGGTTGTGGATCCCGGAGCACTAGTCCTCTTGGCCACCCTGGACATGGAGCTCCTCCCCTGCAGATGGGGAAACTAAGGCAGAGTGGAGGGAACTCACTCAAGGTCCCAATGAGCTCCAGAGCTGAGTGTGAGCCACTGGTTCCCAAGCCCAGGTCATTCATTTATTCACTTCCTCGCTGCCCTTCCTGTACAGCAGCTGCAGCCTTCCCCTTCCTCGGCCACACCTGAGAGTCACTTCCGACCCCTTTCTCTGACCTCCTCTCCCTCCCAATCCAACCCATTTGCAAATCCTGTTGGTTCTACCTTCAAAGCACATCTCAAATTCTACCATGTCTCATGGCCTCCACTGCCTCTAGCCTGGTCCAAGCCTGGAGAGGTGGCTGCCTCTCCCCGGGGCCCCCTGTGTCTACCCTGTTCCCTGCCCACATAACCCCTTCTTCCCACAAACAGCCAGAGGAAACCTTGGAAACCCCAAGTCAGGTTCTCTCCCTCCTCTGTCCAGAACCCTCCAAGACTCCTGTCTCACTCAAAGCAAGAGCCAAGGCCTTCCCAGTAGCCTGCAGAGCCCTGCGCGATCTGGCCCTGGCTGCCCACTGCTCTCAATTCCCTCTCGCCTCGTTCATTTGGCCTCAGCCACACTGGCCTGTTTGCTATTCTCCAAACACGCCAAATACAGTCCTGCCCCAGGCCCCTTGCACTGGCCTTCCTCTAGCTTGGAATACTCTTTCTTCAGATCTCTGCATGGCCAGCTCTTCTCCCTCTTCAGGTCTTTGGTCAAATGTCACCTGCTCAGAGAGGGCCTCCTTGATCACCCAGTGAGGCCCACCTTAGATCCCTTGGACCATCTCCCATCTCTCTTTTCTACTTGATTTTTCCTCTGTGGCCCTTATCCCTGCCTGACATTATGTGTATTTCACTACTTTCTGTGCTTAGGATCTGTCTCCTCCAAGGCCATGAGCACTAGCAGGGCGGACTGCGTCTGTGTTTTTTTGCTGCCGTGTCCCCAGGACCCAGACCAGCCCCTGCCCTTAAGGGGCTCCCCACTGGGCAGGGTGGTTCAGCAGATGTCTCAGAGCCGGGTTCTGAGAACTGCCTAGTTCTACACAGAGGCCCTGAGCAGCCCCAGGGCGCAGACCCACCCTCCCACGGGACAGGGCCTGAGAAGTCCTTGGGAAAGTGACATTTCACCTGGACCTTGAAGTCCAAAAAGAACTTTTCAGCAAGAGCAGAGCATAGGGAAGCTCATTCCGGGGGGTGGGACTGGTTTTGGCGGGGTCAGCGTGGGCGTTGTACGACGGATCCCAGGGCCAATTTTCTTAGAGAAGCATGTTTGGAAGAACATTCTAGATGGAGTGGAGATGAGTAAATGGCCAAGTCAGCTTGAGAACCACAGTGGGGTCCTGAAGGGGTGAGCTGGCAAGATTGGTTGGGGCCAGATGGAGGAGAGAGATCTGAAGAGCCCATCGCATCAGGCACAGCAGGGAGCTCACAGGAGGGTTCTCACGTGGAGGGAGCTAAGGTCACGTTGGGGTTTTAGAAGGAACGCTCAGATTCTGTGGTGAGAGGCAAGAGGGCGATGGAGAAGGAAAACCAGGCAGAGGCATAGTGAGGTGAGGGGAGAAAGGCGTGACGGGTTTCCTCGACGGACCAGCGGTTGAGTGGCTGGGGCTAGGTGAGGTGGGAGTGGGGTGAGGGAGGCTAGAGGGTCGCAGGCAACCCTGGGATTCGTGGGTGGGAAGAGTGGTTTAGGAAACCGGGGTGCAGATCTGGGGTGAAGGCGCAGGGGCAGGATCTGGGGCACAGCATCCAAGGGTGTCCGGTAGGCTGGCAGCCTGTGGCGGTGGGAGGCCGTGGAGGGGACCCCGTGACTTAGGCCTCGGGGCCAGCGCGGGAGTCATCGTGTTACCCGGGCCCCCTCTCCAGCTTGGAGCCCTCCCCTCCCGGCTGGGACCCGACACAAGCTCCTGGGAGGCCTCTGCTTGGGTGGATGACTCATCGTTTTCTCGGCATCCCCGGGCTGAGGAAATGTTCAAGGAGACATGGGGCCCTTCCTTCAGCAGGCCAGGCCCTGACTGGATGCTGGCGAGTCGAGAAAAACACAATCGGGCCTCCGGCCTTGTCTGAGGACAGCCCTCAGGGGTGTTTCCGAGAGCCCCTGGCTTCCACAGCCTTGCACAGTCCTCAAGCACCCTGCAAGGCTGTGTTATGACCCCATTCTACAGGTTAGCAAACCAAGGCACAGGCTCTGCTGGGCCCCCAGCTAAGCAACCACTGGGTGCCTCAGTTTCTTCGTCTGTAAAATGGGTGTGATGATTGCCCCTCCCCTGCAGGTTGTTGGGAAAAACTAAAGGCAAGAATCCATGTGAAATGTTTAACTCGTGGGATTGTCATTGTCATGAGGATGTGAAGAGGGGTCTCCCCGGGCAACAGGGGCTCTTGACTGGGCAGAGCCACTGTAGGGACATCCAGAAGGCGGTATGGCCAAGGACAGTCCTGCATTTGGATCCCAACTCTGGCAACAGCTGTGTGGTTCTGGGCAAATGGCTTGCCTGCTTTGATCCCTGACCCCTTCTGTATAAGGGGGTGATAAAACCCGTACCCCAAGGGGTAGCTGGGAAGATGGCATAAAACCAAGCCTGCCCGGTGGGCCACAGCATAGGGGCTGCTGCTCCATCTTGGGGTCTCTCAGAGCAAAGATCCCAAAGCCAGGCAGCTGTGAAGCTCCCAAGGGTGGCTCCGAGGCTCTCTGTGGGGTGATAGGGAAGCCTGGGCTGAGGGGAGAGAAGAAGGGAGGCAGCTCAGAGGGCTCAGGCTGGGAGGCTCCATGGAGGATGGATGTTCTCTGGAGGTTGAGGTTGAGACAGGAGCAGGCTAGGGGTGAAAGGCTTTATGTTGATTCGAGGCCCCTGCAGGTCAGCAGAGCAGTGGGGGTCTGGAGCCAGGGGCTGGGTCCAGGTTCTGCCGCTTACTGCTGTGCAGTCTTGGGTAAGTTACTTCCCCTCTCTGAGCCTCAGTTTCCTCATCTGTAAAATGGGATGACAATAGCTATGGATTCAGTTATATCCTCCTTCTATGCTATTGTATAGAAGTATCTATACCAAGGTGTGGACAGTCAAGCCCTCAATGAAAGGAAGCTGTGATCGGGATTGTGACTGAGATGGAATCAGTAACCCTAGAAGCTGTGATGAAGCCAGGTGAAGCAGTGCCACCGAGTGGGTCTCTGGAGCTCAGACTGGCCGGGGTTTCAGTGGATCTCTGTGACTCATGAGCTGAATGACCTTGAAGCAAGTTGCTGCCCCTCTCTGAGCCACAGTTTTCTCATCTGTAAAATGGACCCAGGCCAGGCACAGTATTTCATGCCTGTAATCCCAGCATTTTGGGAGGCCGAAGTGTGAGGATTACTTGAGCCCAGGAGTTTGAGACCAGCCCTGGCAATATAGTGAGACTGTGTCTCTATAATAACTAAAAAAACTTAGCTGGGCATGGTGGCGCCATGCCTGTGGTCCCAGCTACACTTGAGCCTGGGAGGTTAAGGCTGCAGTGAGCCGTGGTTGTGCCACTGCACTCCATCCAGCCTGGGTGACAGCGAGACCCTGTCTAAAAAAAAAAAAAAAAGAAAAGGATGCGATAGTATGACCTATCTCTCAGAGCTGCCTTGGGGAGCTGAAGAGAGACTCCATGTCAAGTGCTCAGCATCGGAAACAAGAACTGCTCTCTGCTTATGCCTGTGGCGTGGCCAGTGGCAGTGAGACCTTACGGACATGGAGTCCGGGGCAGGGGATACTGGAGCAGAGAGCTGCAGAAGGGGCAGTGGGCAGAGGTAGAAGGGAAGCCAGAGCCTGTGCAGGGAAACTGGGCTGGGGGGCTTCCAGGAGGGTAGTAGTCAGCTGGGTTTGCCTCCAGGATTGACAGGGCCCCAGCCCCCAGATCTGGAGGAGAGGGGGCCTTGATGGAAGCCAGAGGTCAGAGGGACGGCGCCAAGCCAAAGGTGGTGGGAAGTGGAGGCCGGGAGTCCTGCTGCTCCAATCAGAGGCTGGTCATCGGGGAGGAGGGGCGAGGGGCAGTGGGCTCCACGGAGTTCAGGCTGTGCATTACAGGACTGAGAGCGGGAACAAGAGCCCTGGGTTCGAATCCTGACTCACCAACTGGCTTGGATCCATCTTAACTTCTTCCATTCTCACATCTGTAAAATGGGGAGAGCAACGTCAGCTACTTCTTCCAGTTGCTGTGGGGAGAATCTGGAATACATGAAGTCCTCAGTCCGTGTCTGCTGTGGAGTGAGAACAATGGCAGTCATGACACAGCCAGTATTGCCCAGTGCTTAGGAAGTGCCAGGCCCTGTGCTAAACACTTTATGCACACGACCCCATGTGATTGTCCAAATTTGGTGGCCGCTGGGATCCTTATCTCGCCAATGGAGATTCGGAGGCTCAGATACGTTAAGTAAGATGCCCAAGAGCACAAAGCTGGGAAGAGGCAGACTACAGACTCCAGCTAGCACAGGGAAGGGTTGTGTCCTCAGCTCCTTAAATCGCCATCCTTCTGACAGCAAGGCTTAGATTCTGGGATCCTCTGTGGTGTTACCTGGTCTTGGATGGTGGTTCATCCCAGGCTGGGGAGTTGGGTGTGAATCTGCCTGGCAGAGGGTGCCAACCTTGGGATATTAGGCACAAGCAGGGTCTGTTGGTAGGGTTCACCCTCAGGGATCCCCCAAAGATTCTGCAGTTCAGGGAGAGTACCGAGTAGCATGGAGACCCACAGCCAACCGCTGGCCACTCCACATCAGCCGAGGCTGGGAGAGCCTCCTGCCGGCTCCTGTGAGACCAGGCCTCTGCCCTCAGCGGGTGGGGCCTAAATGGGGAGGTGCAGCCCCACACCCAGCCCAGGCCAGCTACCAGCTGCCCCAAGAGCAGACGTGTGGCCAGTGCATGATCTTGGGCAGCCTCCTGAGGGGTTAGGACAGGGAGAGAGTGCCTTGGTGGCTGGGGAGGAAGCACGGAAAGCCTCTTGTGAGGAAGGAAACGGTGCCATGGGGAGAGGAGGAGATAGGCCTCCTAGGAGGGGCAAGGTGGGTGAAGGTGCACGAAAGAGGTTTGTTTTATGGCAGTACACGCACATGATTTAAAACCCAAACCAAAACCGGCAGTTGGCCGGACATGGTGGCTCACACCTGTAATCCTAGCACTCTGGGAGGCCGAGGTGAGTGGATCACTTGAGGTCAAGAGTTTGAGACCAGCCTGGCCAACATGGTGAAACCTGGTGAAACAAAAAACAAACCATCTCTACTAAAAATACAAAAATTAGCCAGGCGTTGTGGCACACGCCTATAATCCCAGCTACTTGGGAGACTGAAGCAGGAGAATCTCTTGAACCTGGGAGGCGGAGGTTGCAATGAGCCAAGATCGCGCCACTGCACTCCAGCCTGGGCGACAGAGCGAGACTCCAACTAAAACAAACAAACAAACAAAAAAACCCCCACAATAACAAAAAGCAAACCAGCAGTTCCCTAGGACCTGATAAGTGGCCATCCCATCCCATTCCCTGCCCGCTGGTTCCCCTGCCTGGAGGAGTCCACTCCCTTCTGTGCCCAACATACTTGGCTCTGGAGTGGGGTTCCTCAGTTTGAATCCTGAATTCACTGCATAGTCGCTGTGTGGCTTGGACAACTTGCTGAAGTTCTCTGTGCTTCAGTTTCTACATCCAAAAAAGTGGGAGTGCTAATGGGACCTGCTTCCCTGGAGGCTGTAGTGAGCATTGAGGGCTTCTTAAGGGTCGTGGTTGAGTGCTCGGTGAGTGTTGGCCATCATCACTGTGGCTGCTGTTGTTATCATTATTGTTATTAATTATTATTGTGCATATATAGCTAAGCATGCCCTGCTTGCAGTTTTAAATGCCCAGCTCCCTGTGCAGGTCCTAAAGCTCAGTTTTTGTCTATTCAGGAAAAAGAGAGGCAGAGGTAAGAAGTCAGCCCAGGGTCAACCCAGTGGCCCCAGACCTTGAGACGGGCCTCTGGTGTGGGCGGGTTTTCTGGACACCCGCTGGGCCCCAGGAAGTAGCTGCTGCTGCTTACAGGGCTCGTGGTTTGGGAACTCAATCCCTGCGCCTGTGCTGGGTACACAGGGTGACTGTGGGGACAGGAGGGGGAAGGGTACTATGGAAAGAGCCCTTGGCCAGGCCCCAGAAGATGGGGGCTCAAGGCCTTCCTCCGCTGCCCCTTTGGGGTACCATTCTTGGAAAGGTTCCCAAGCTCCAAGCCTTTGGGTTCCTTATTGGGAAGGCAGTGCCATTCTCTGAGCTGCTGTGGACAGCCAACGCAGCGCCTAAGATGTGATGGAGGATTGGGGTTGTTCATCAGGGACCCCAGGGATCCCTGCCCTCAGGAGGATTTACAGTTGAGTTGGGAATGACGGTGTCATTGATAAGATCCTGATTCAGGAGGTATTAACATGTAGCTGAGAAGAACCCAGCCCTGGGTTCGAATCCTGGCTGTGCTGCCTAGTAACAGAGTGACCTTGGGGAAATTAATTAACCTCCCTTGGCCTCAGTTTCCTCCTCTGTACAATGGGCCTAGCAATAGAACCTGCTGTTTGGGGTTGTTTCATGCTGGTAAGAGACTTAGCTCAGGGCCTGGCTCCTGGCAAGGCTCTGCGATCCGATCCACAGCAGTTGTAATTATTTTAAGGAACTCAGACTAACACAAGAAACTACCGGCAAATGATACAGGGCTGCAGGCAATCCATTCATTCATTGATTTGTTCAGCACATTTTGATTGGTGCCTGCTATGTACCAGGTCCTGTCATTCATTCCATAAAGATTGCCAGAGCACCTACTCTTTGCTAGGAGCTGTGCTAGGTACCGCCTCTGTGGTGGTGAACAGGACTTGATCTCTGCCCTCTCAGAGCTGGGAGTACCAGGTACCCCCCTGGCTGGAGGTCAGGGGCAGCCTAGGGGCTGGTGTGCTCTCCAGCTGGTTGGCTCAGGAAGCCAGCCCCTGTCCTGGTTGTGCCAGGCTTGCTGAGCTCCAGGAGGTGGCTTCTGCCTGGAGTCCCCCATGCCAGCCCTGCTGCCCTAGTGTCTGGCTCCTCTGAGCCCCCCTTTCCCAGGAAGTAGTGCTCTAGGGAGTGCGGGAGTGCAAGGCCTTTTCCATCACTACCTCCTACCCCAGCTCTTGTCACCTCCTCCCCAGCTGTAGCACTCATTGTCCTCCCTGTTACTTCCGCCCCGCTTCACACTGTGGCCAAAGTGCTGTGTTAAAAATGTAAACCTGACCATGTTCCTTCTCTGTTCAAAACTCTCCTGTGGCTTCTCATCACTCTCTGAGCAAAAGTCACCATGACCTGCAAGGCCCAGCTCTGGTCCCTCTTTCCAGTTCCTTGGCCCCTGCTCACTTTCCTTCAGCCACACTGGCCTCCTGGCTGTTCCCCTGGACGTCACTGAGCTCTGCTGAAATGTCACCTCCTCAGGGAGGCCCTCCCTGATTGTCTTTTCAAAATGTCGTTGGTTCCTATCACTCTCAAGCCCCTTACACTAACTTTGGAGCCCTTATGAACATCTGACAAAGCTGTGTTTTTGTGCGTGTTCCTCTTGGGCTCCATAAGGACAGGAATATTTGCTGTCTGGTTCACTGCTGAGTTCCTAGCACTCAGTGTATATTTTTTAAATGAATGCCTCAAGCCTTGTCTTTATCCATTTTGTGCCTCAGTTTTCTCCTTTGCAAAATGGAGAAGCAGAGCTGTTGTGGGGCCAACATGAGGGCTGGTGAGATGGCCAGGGTCCCCCACACAAGCAGCCTGCAGTCCCATCAAGGGGGGTCCGACCTACCCAACAAGCAGGCTCCTCCAGTTCCAGGACGGAGAGACTCAGGAGCCTGGCAGGGTCAGCAGGGCTGGGTCATCATGGGCCTCAAGCCCCATCAAGAGGATTTCCACTTTCTCTGGCCATGTTGGGAAGCCCAGGTCGGGCAGGGGCACAGGCGGTGGAAAGGAGGGAAGGAAACTGGCTTGAAGGGAGGTGCAGGGCTGGGGAGATATGGCTGGATGGCCCCATAGTGGGGCCCCAGAAAGCCAGATCTCAGGGATTGGGAGCCATTGAGTGTTGTAGAGCAGGAAGAACATGGGGAGGGAGGTGTTTAGGGAGTGAGTCTGGTCCAGTGTGTGCAGAGCAGAGACTGGAGTCTGAGGTCCAGGGAGGCTGTAGGCTCTAGGGGGCAGTGCCCTAAATGGGAGCAGATTTACTCCCATTTAGGAATGAGGGGGAGGGGCTGGAGGGGTGAATCTGAGTCTCCTCCTCATCAGCTGCTTTGCCCTGCACAAAGAACTGTTCATCATTCATTCACTCATTTATCCATTTAGCAACCTGGAGAGGGCCTCCTGGGGTGCACTGTTGAGACCCATAGATGTGGTTCTTGCCCTGGCAGAGTTCAGGGCATATTGTGGGGAACGGATGCTACATGACACAGTTATGGTGGTGGTGCTGATGGTGGTGATGGTGTTGGGGATGGTGGGGATGGTGGTGAGGATGGTGATGGCCGTCATGATGATGATTATAGTGGTGATGGTAATGGTAACAATAGTGGTATTAATGGTGATGATGGTGATGATGGTGACGATAATGTTGATGTGGTGATGATGGTGGTGATGATGATGGTGATGAATATGGTGATGATGGTGACGATGATGGTGACGATGATGGTGGTGATGAAGATGATGGTGATGGTGATGATGATGATGATGGTGGTGGTAATGATGGTGATGAAGATGATGGTGGTGGTGGTGGTGATGACAATGGTGGTGTGATGGTGATGGTGGTGTGTGTGATGGCACACACCAATGATGGTGATGATGGTAGTGTGTCAGCTCATGTTTATTGAGTACTCAGTGGGTGCCAGTCTGTTCTAAGTGCTCTGTGTGTGTTTGCACATTGGGCTCCTGCAGCAACACTGAGAGGCACTGAGATCTTATGCCACTTGCCCAAGGGCCCCTGTGAGCAAAGGGCAGCACCCAGATGTGCGCTCAGGCAGGCGGCTGACCAGCAGCTGCTCCCAGCTATGGCCACCTGCCACTTCCAGCAGGCAGTTTCCTCCCTCTGTGGGGGACTCAGCACAGGGGAAGTGTATGAGTCTGACTTGCCAGAGCAGAGTTTGAGGTCTGGTTTTGCCCAAGTAAGTTTGGACAAATGGTGCCCTGGCTCCTCTGCCCTCAGCACCTTGTCTGTGAAAAGGGAGAACAATCCTCCATGGAGGCCACCAGGAAGGCAAGGAACTGCCACCTCGCCATGGCAGCTAGTGTGTCTGGGGCAGATCCCGTTCCCTAAATCAGGAGGAAGAAAGAAAAGAAGGCTCTGTTCTCAGCCTTGCCTCTGGGAACCGGGATGGAGAGTGGGGCAGGTGGGAAGCCAGGGTCTCTTGGAAGGACACATTCTACACACCCACATTGCTGTTTCCCTGACGCAGCCCCAGGGCGGAGGCTGTTCTCCCACCCATTGTTGGCTCCCAGATCTCTCAGGAGGGGAAGGAGGCAAGGACCCAGGCTCCTGCACCCCTGATTCTAGCAAAGCCAAGCTGATTCCATGCCAGTAAAGAGAGGGGACAGATGCCCAGGGCTGGGCAGAAGGCCAGGACACAAATGCTGCCCCTTCACTTCCTGTGCAGCCTGGGGCCCACCAGCTTTCCTCTCTGGGCCTCAGTTTGATTCACTTGTTCAAATATTTGCCAAGCATCTGCTCTGTCCTAGACACTCTACTCTGGAGGCATAAACAAAATCCCTGTCCTCATAGAGCTGACGTTCTAGGGCAGGCTGACAGTACCCAATAAACAAGGAACAGGCCCACTGTGTCAGACGCTGGTAAATGCGTGGAGAAAAGTAAAGCAGAACCAGGGGAACTCAAGGGGTTGGAGCAGGAGGTGTTAGAATTTTAAACAGGGTGTCAGGGAGGGCCTCAGTGAGAGGCCTTCAGCTATAAAATGTGACATTTTGAGCAGAGCCCCGTAGGAGCAAATTATACGGGAATTGGGTGGAAAAACATTCCAAGTAGAGGGAACAGCAAGTGCAAAGGCCCCGAGGCAGGAGTGTGTCTGGTTGGTTTGAGGAACTGCAAGGAGGCCAGTGTCCCCAGCTCCTCCCACCCCCTGTATTTGGGAATCAAAAGACCACATTTTACTCTGCAGGACCTTGAGCCTCAGAACAAAATGATTTCTGAGCCCTCGTAGCCTGTCCCCACGGGAGTCAGTGATGCCAACCTTGTAGGTGGGGCTGGGGCAGGTGCCTTGCTGCCCATATCTTAAAAGTGCTGAGTGGGTTTGAAGACCCATGGGGACTTGGAAAAGAGGCTACTATCATCCAGCTCCTCACCCTGAGTGACGGATTCGCAGATGGCCCTGGATTCGAATCCTGGGTCCACTGCTTTCCAGCCATGTGATCTTAGGCAAATCACTCTCTGAGCTTCAGTGTCCTCAACTGCAAAACAGGGACAGGAGTTTTGCAGCCCATAGAACCGAGTTGCAATGGGACTTACAGAGACCACTCTGGGAAGCATGTGTGTAAGTGCCCAGCCTGAGGCCTGGCTTATAGGAGCTTCTCAGTAAATGTTTATTTTTATTTGCTTACTTTTTAAGACAGGGCCTTGCTCTGTTGCCCAGGCTGGAGTGCAGTGGTGCGATCACAGCTCACTGCAGCCTTGACCTGGGCTCAAGCATCCCACCTCAGCCTCCCGAGTGGCTGGCACTACAGGGCACATCACCACACCCAACTAATTTTTTTCTTCTTCTGTTTTTGTTTGTTTGTTTGTTTTTAGAGACGGGGTCTTGCCATGTTGCCCAGTCTGGTCTCCAACACCTCAGCCTCCCAAAATGCTCAGATTACAGGCGTGAGCCACTGTGCCTAACGTTTAAAACCAGAACCTAACAACTTAACATTCTGGTATGACTCTGAATTGTTTTCAAAGCTGTTGGAAATTTGTCCTATCACTTGAGTCTTCTAAGAACCCCATGAGGAAGATGGAACAAGAAGTAATAGCCCCAGTTTACAGAGAGGGTAAGTTGAGGCCTGGAGAGGATGTGTGACTTGCCCAGGCTGACAGTGAGGCAGGGCTGATGGAGGGCTAAGACCAGGCTGTCCTGGTTCAGAGAGCCCAGGGGGTGCGGGGCAGGAGAGATCGTCCAGTGCCCTTACACCCCCTACCATAAGCAGCCCCATGCATGCACCTCCTGCACATGTGTGCTATGCAATAATAGCGCCTTGCAGATTTGTGGTCCCCGACCAGGTTTTGTAAGGCACAGCTTGGTGGGACAGGAGGTCTGTTGTAAGGATATTGAAAGGCCCAGAGCCTGGGGAAGCTCAGGCCGCAGGCAGGCAGAGTCTGGGGCAGGTCTCGGCGAGAAGAGGAAGAGGTACCTCACGTGACCGTCCACTCGGCCTGTGTGTCCATCCGGTGTCTGGCCTGGCTGGGCTGGGAGGGCGGGGTCTCCAGACTGTTCCCTCAACAGCCTGGCCCCCAGTGCCTTGTCATCCAGATGCACGCCCCTGTCAGCTTCTCTGAGCCTCAGGACAGCTCTGTGAGGGGCTGCACATGAGGAAGCTGAGGTTGAGAGAGGGGCACGCCTGGTGGGGCTTGGACCCGGGCCTGCCTAATCCCAAGCCCCAGGGCGCTAGTCACAGCTCAGGCAGATACTGGCAGGTGGGCTTCGTGCAGGCGGGCCCCCTCCTCCCTGGGCCAGCCTTCCTGGCCACGGCCCAGCCTCCCAGCCCTTGACAGTGGGCCCTGCCCACAAGTCTCTGCTCCTTGGTTCCTGCAGCCTGAGCCTCATCTCACAGGGCTCCTGGCCCCAGGCTCTAGCCGCACCTGCTTCAGCCCCCCGAGGCACTGGGCTGCTGGACCCCTCGAAGGAGCAATCAGGGAGCCCACCTTTGTGCAGCACCTTGAAGGGCCAGACATACTTTCCCCAGTGCCCACACAACTCGGAGATTCCTAGCCCATTTTACAGATGAAGAAACTGAGGCACAAAGAGGGAAGATTGTGTCCTGAAGCACACAGGACATACGAGGCAGAGCTGGGACTCCAAAGCCCAGCTTCTTCCATTCTGTAGCTTTCTGCCCTCAGTTTCTTCTGCTGCAAAATGGGAGCCTTAAACTAGACAGTCTCAATTTAGATCATAGAATAGTACAAGCTCAGCAGCGAGATGGGCTGAGTTCTAATCCTGGCTCCTTCATGTCCTACCAGGTGGCCTTGGGCAGTTGCTTCATCCCTGTACCTCAGTTTTCTCCCCTGTAAATGGGGCTGAGAGCGGTATCAACCCATGAGCGGCTGTGAGGTTCTGTAAGCAACACACGCAGAGCGTCCAGAAGATGCTGGAACGTTCGTGGGAATCATCCGCTTTTTCAATCGTTAGCTCCCTGTACACCTCCCCTGCAGTGCTCTGAAGGATGACAGGGCCACGTTAATGGTCTCTTCTGGCCTTCCTGGGGCGCGGCCGGGTGGCCTACACCGAACAGAGACTGTGTGGATGTGTCATGGGGACAGACAGACATCCTGGGGCCCGCCGTGGTGGATGGCAAGTGGCAGGGAGCTCTGGATGTGAAGCTGGCTCAGGCTGCACCGGGCAGCCAAGGGCGCCTTTGTCCCTTTGTCTCCTCTCGTGCAAATTAGCAATTACCTTTCCTGCTCCTGCAAGCTCGGCCTTTCCTGGGAGAATTGCTCCAAAGCAGCCACTGAGCAGGCAGGAGCCGCCTGGCTAATTAGCAGGTGGCTGCCGAGGATACGCTTAGGGCCCAGTGACCAGAATTGGGGCCACAGCTGCCTGGGGGCTGCTGCCACCTTGGCCGGGAGACCAGGCAATGTCCCAGGCTCTAGGACGTCGTGGCTTTTCCATCATGGGGTGTAAGTCCTAGCGCTATGGCTTGTCAGCTGTGTGACCTTACATAAGTCACTTGGCCTCTCTGGGCAACAGTTTCTCCATGTTTAGGATTATGTGGGTTTTGGAGCCCAGTGCCTAAATGGTGCCCGTTATCAGCCAGTGTTAGGATTACTGCCGTTGTCACCACTGCCATTGCCTTGGGCCTGGGCTGGCTGGCTCAGGTGAGAGAACATGAGGAATATGCAAGCCCTGTGATGGCCCTTGGGGACCCCAGAACGTCACCTGAGCAGCGCAGGCAGTGGAAAAGCCTAGCTAGGCCTCAGGCCCTTAGGCAAGAGGGAGCCTTCATCTCTCCAACCCTAATCTCCTTTCGGTCCTCTATGAAATGGAGTCATCGAGATACTGGTTGGCCATGTGCCTAGAATAGGGCCTGACCCAGGGCAGGTATTCAGTAAAGGTGAGGCTCGCTCCCTCCCTCCCCTTCACCCTCCCTGTTCTCTACCCTCCCTCCCCACTCTCCCTCCCGAGTCTCCCTCCCCACCCTCCCTGACCTCCACCCTCCCTCCCCACTCTCCCTCCTCACTCTCCCTCCCTCCACCCTACCTGCCCTCCACCCCTCCCCACTCTCCCTCCCTCCACCCTCCCTGCACTCCACTCTCCCTCCCTCCAGCCTCCCTGCCCTCCACTCTCCCTGCCTCCACCCTCCCTCCACCCTCCTTCCCCTTCACCCTCCTTCCCCTCCACTCTCCCTCCTTCCACTCTCCCTCCCTCTACCCTCCTTCCCCTCCACTGTCCCTCCCCTCCACTCTCTGCCCTCCACTCTCCACCCCTCCACTCTCCCTCCCCACCCTCCCTCCCCTCCACCCTCCTTCTCCACTCTCTCTCCCCTCTACTCTCCCTCCCCTCCACCCTCCCTGCCCTCCTTAGGAACACAGTAGCTTCTGGAGCAACAGCGTGGTGGAAGGGCTGTCAGCCTGTGGCTTGGGGTGATCAGGGAAAGGCCCCTCCTGCAGGAGCAGAATGGGGAGGGCCGAGGGCTGTGGATGCTGAGTGAGAAAAGGAGTGCCAGCCGGGAAGCTGTGGAGGTCAAGGGAGGGCAGAGATTCCAGAGATAGGATACCAGGCCGGGAGCATTCTCCCTGCTGGCTGGTGACTCCGGGGAGGAGATCTCCCAGGGCTACCCAGAGGGTAGGGAGCAGAGGAGTCCCTGGCTTGGCCTGGAGTCTGGGCTGGGGAGATTTTCTGGCAGAGTATACCCTAGGGCTGAGGCTCACCAAGGGGCTAAGCAGAGGGTGGGTGTCCCAGGTAGAGGAGACAGCCTGTGCAGAGGCATGGAAGTGTCATTTAAACCTGAGGTGGGCGGAGCCATAGCACACAGGCCTCTAGTGCCCAGCAAATCAGCCTGGATTTTATCTGGGCACTGGGGAGCCCAGGAATGTTTGGGGCAGGCGGCGTTGAGGTCTGATTTTCAGGGTCAGCGTTCAGCACTGCTAATCGGGGAGGTTGAGATAGTGGCTGAGACAGTGAAGCCGGAAGCCTGATGGGCGGGTGGGGGGTGGAAGTCAATCTGACATCTCATGCTCCCCAGTGTCACTAGGCAAATGCCATTCCTCCTGGAGCCTCAGTTCTGCCTATGGCCAGTGAGTGGACTGTGGACTTCCTGCCTCCCTGAGTGCTTAGGGTGAGAATGAAATAGTCCTGACGGCATGCCTGGAGCCAGGCACCCCATGGCCCTCGGAGTAAGCGCGCCTGTGGTCTTTCATTGAGCACTTGCTATATGCTAGATATTTTATTTATTTATTTGTTTATTTTTTTGAGGCAGAGTCTCACTCTGTCACCCAGGCTGGAGTGCAGTGGCATGACCACGGCTCATTGCAGCCTCAACCTCCCAAGCTCAAGCGATCCTCCCACCTCAGCCTCCCGAATAGCTGGGACTACAGGCACGTGCCGCCATGCCCAGCTAATGTGCTAGGTACTTTACACGAATTATATTGTTTGATTCTCATAACCACCCTTTTAGGTCCTCCCCATTCATTGAGGAGAAAACTGAGTCACAGGGGAGACAAATAACTTGCCCAAGAGACAAAGCTGGGATTTGGGCCCATGCTGGGGTGACCCCAGAGTCCTCACTGTTGCTCCTCCACACTCCTGTCCCCAAGCCCAACCCTGGCTGGGGCGTGGCCCCATCCCCAGCCAGTTCCCCAGGGCCCAGTTAATCCCCTCTCAGGGCCACCGGCATGAGAGCCAATTAGTGCCTGCTGTGCTGGGGGCACCACACCTGTCCCCTGCTCTGGGCCCCCCAGAGGCCCAGCCCTGCCCAGATCCTTTGGGCACACCCTCGGCTCTGGAAGCTGATGCTTCTTGTATTGCGCCATTAAGAAAAAGGACTCAGCCTCGTTTTTTGTCAGGGAAGCTTGGGGAAAATAAAGCCAGTGAGAGAAGCATTCCAGCGTCGGGATTTTTCCAAGCCTCGGCTGGGCCGCCCGTGGAGCGCTGACTTCCCGCTGCAGGTTCCCCTCATCCTCCCGGCACCCACCTACCTCCCCACCCGCAACCAGGCCCCAAGGGCCCCCATGGTCCCTGGTGACAGGGGGCTGCTGGTGGGGTTGGCTGCGGTTTCTCACCTGCGTGCAGGGTCTGGCTCCATCGTGAAAGGAGGAAGAGGGAAAAAAAGGTCCTTGAGATGGTGACAAAGGTCTGAGTGTGGGCCGCGAGAGCAGCCTGTTTCCAGGCAACTGCTATACCCTGGGCTCCCCGCGGTGGCGGGCACATCCGTCATGCCGCCGTGGCTCTGCTCGGGAGGGAGTTGGGCCCCCCCAGCAGCCCAGGCACACTGCCCACCGCCCCCAAGCTCCGGCCCTGCTGGGGACATGAGGCCCCTCCGGCAGGCACTGCGTGAGAATGCCCAGTGTTCTTGTGGCCGATGCTGGCTAAGCTCCTACTGGGTGCCCAGCCTCAGGCCTGGTGCAGGTGGGACAGAGCTGTCAATCATCAGTCCCATCCGTCAGTCTGTCCGTCCCCCATCCAGCCGTCCAGGATAGAACTGTGGTTTGGCGCACAGGTTCTGGAGGGCTGGGTTGAAACCCACTCCACCAAATCCTTGCTGTTTGTCCTTTGGTGCATTGCCCCACCTTGCCAGCCTCAGTTTCTTCATCTATGAAATGGATATAATAACAGTTCTTACCTCATAGGGTTGTTGGGAGGATTAAATCACTTAATATAGGTAATGCCTTAGGCACAGTGCCTGCCACATATTAAATGCTTGCTAAATGTTCATTGTTTCTCTTTTTATTATTAATTGTTTGTTAGGTGACAGTTGGGGCAGCGGGTAGCATGCCATCTGTGGCAATCAGGTAGACCTGGGTCGGGGGTGAGTTTGTCCCACTTTGAACCGTATGACCTTAGACAGGTGGCTCGGCCTCTCTGAGCCTCAGTTTCCTCTTGACTACACTGGGGAAATAATAGCTCCCTTGACACGCTCCCCTCCTCAGCCTAAGTGTGAAACCCCATCTCTTGTCGGGAGGATTAGTGGTGTCCACGTGTGCCAGGGCCCCACCCTGGCCACACTCAGTACTCAGAATGGTCATTATTCAGCAGGCCACGATTGGTGCCCACTGGGTGCCTGTGTGACGGGGCTGGGAGAGGAGTCAGGCCTGGCAGGGCGTGGCCTCACCAGTGCTCCCTTCCCCTGCCTTGGGGCTGCCCAGCCCTGCCCCCCATCCTCCAGCTCCTTTGTGAAAAGAACCTCTGCGAGTGCCCTGGAGCAAGAGGAGGAGGAGGACAAGAAGGCAGCCCGAGTGCCAGGGGGCCGGGCACACCGCCGCCTTTGTCTGGGCCACCCTGGAGGCAGAGGGAGGCTTGGTCTCCCAGGGCAGGCCACACTGCTGGCCTGCTGGCGGCTCAGGGAGGCCGCGTGGGCGGCAGGGCCTGGGCAGGCCTGGGCTGGCCGTGGTCCCTTGGGACAGCTTGGCCCACTCAGGCGAGAGGGATGCCCACGCCTGGGAGGAGGGCGGCAGCCAGCTCGGAGGTGACTGTGTCCTTCTGGGGCCCGTTACAGACAAACCTCAGTACCTACTAAGTGCCAGGAACAGTGGCAGCCACTGGGCCCTCAGAACTAGGCCATGCATTCCAGTCCTGGCGCCTGGGGGCCTGGGTTCCAATCCCTGCTCCGCTATTTGACAGCTGTGTGGCCCAAGCAAATTCCCTCCCCTGTGTAGGCCTCCATTTGCTGATCTGCAAAATGAACGTAATAACATTCCTACCTCAAGTGCTCCGAGCAGTGCCGGGAACAAAGAGAGCTCCCAGTAACTCTGGGCAATTTGTCATTGACTCTGCCCTTGAGGAGAAAGGGCTGAATGTTTATCGAGTTCCTACTGTGTGTTAGACTCTGACCTGAAGAGAATCCAATTCAAGAAATATCTGCTGAGTACCTACTATGTGCCAGCATCTAGGCTGGGCTTTGGGGATACCTGGATGCAAGACCTGAGGCAGGGGTGTGGGGATAGAAGGAAAAGGAAAGGGAAGGGAGGTGAGGTATGAGGTCCTACTACGTGCCAGGCTGTTTGCTGAGCACTGGGAGTCCAGAGAGGAAAGCAGTGGCCCCTGCCTTCATGATAGGGAAGGACAGAAATCCAGAACCCGATGATTATGACCCAGGGTAGTCCCGTGGGGGATGCCTGGGGGCCAGGGAAGGCTTCCTGGAGGAGGTGATCTGGAATCTTGGGCATTGCGGCCACACTACAGCTCTCTTCTACAACAGCCCCATCATGTGATCTGGCCTCAGTTTACACATCTGGAGATACGGGACACACTATCCAAGGAGGAATATACTTTTTCCATCTGCAATCGGCTCACCTTCCCTTGCACTGGTTCTCGGCGGCCCCTCCGCTGCCCCTGCTCCGGTCCAGGCTGCAGTGGCTCTTGCTTTGGCCTGCTGGCTCCCTCTCTCCATCCAGCAGCCAGAGCGATCTTCCGAAACGTAAATCACACATCATCAGTTCCTAGCCTAAAACCCTTCAGGGGCTCCCCAGGGGCTCTTAGGACAAAGACCAGACTCCATACCACAGCCTGCAAGGCCCGGCCAGGCCCAGCACCGCTGACCCTCTGGCCCCACCAGTCAGAGGAAAGGGCCACAGCCAGGCCAGATCCTCCACCTGCTGGTGCAGCTGGAATCCTCCGTTACGGCTGTCAGGGGATGAGTGGTGTGGGGTGGTGGGGCGGCCGTGTACCCAGCCGGCTGTGTGATCTCAGCATACAGTCCCTTTCCAGAACCGTGAGTCAGTTTCTTCATTGGTAAAACAAGAGGGCTTCAGCGGTGATGCCCTCAATAGTCTCATTCAGGGTGCTGGGGCCCCTTGGACTTTTGTGAGCTTGCCCCCCTACACACACCCTGGGGCTCCCATGACGGAATGTTTCATGCCCTCCCCAGATCTGATCAAAAGAAGAGACCAGCAAATCAGGGTTAGATTACGATGCGGATTTCAGCAGCTCTCTTGATCGTGAGGAGGAACTGAGGCCCATAAGTTGAAGTGACCCTTCCTGGGCTCCCACTTTTAGCCAAGCTCCTCTGTGGCCAGTTGTCAGTTGTCAGCAGCAATGACACAGGGCAGTGGCACTGGGAATCCCTTAGGAGAGGTCGTGCAAACTCGGGAAGCTGGGGATTTTAATCCCTTCACTTGAAATCTAGATTTTATTATTTTTAATTTCAACTTTGTTTAAATATCAGTGCATTCACATTATTACTGTTACATTGAGACACGGTTTCATTCTGTCACCCAGGCTGGGGTTCAGTGGCATGATCACAGCTCACTGCAGCCTCCACCTCCCCAGGCTCAAGTGATCCTCCCAAGTAGCTGGGATTACAGGTGGGTGCCACCATGCCTGGCTACTTTTTATATTTTTTGTAGAAACAAGGTTTCACTATGTTGCCCATGCTGGTCTCAAACTCCTGAGCTCAAGTGATCCACCTGCCTCAGCTTCCCAAAGTGCTGGGATTACAGGCATGAGCCACCGCGCCTGGCTGTGTTCACATTATTTAAAATGCAAAAGTTTAAAAATACAAACTTTTTCTTTCCCCCAGCCATTCAGCTTCCTTTCCAGAAGGTTCCCCTGTGACTGGTTTCTTGCCTGTCCTTGCAGAGATATTTGATGCATGTGTAGGCAAAAGCTGGTGTGCAAAATTCATTTTTAGCGCTAGGAGGAACTAGTCATTGTCTGAGTTTGCCCCCTGCCCACCATTAACGGCTTGCATGAGGTTGCAGAGCTTGGCAGTGGGTAGAGCCCTCCGCCATCCTCTGCCTGCTGGAGCACTGGGCATGCCCAACCGAGGAGACTTGGAGAGGCTGGCTGGGGCTGCTCTGACTTTGCTGCACAGGAGGCCAAGGAGGCTTCTGCCTTCAGAGCGTCTCTTCTGTATAAGCAGTAAATAGGGACCAAGGAGATGTTGAGAAAGTTCTAATTAGCTACAATGAGCACTTGCAGCACCATCACAATGCAAGTGATAAGGAGGCTTGGTGCTGGGACTCAAATCAATGGGACTCCAGGGGCAATGGGACTGCAAGGGCAGGACGGTAGCGGGGAGGCTGCTTCGTGGCCAGGGCAGGGATGCGTGAGGGTGGACCCCACTTTATGCAATGAGCTCAGCAGTTTGACCCTGCTTTATGTAGTGGATAGGCTCTGTGTTACGGGTTTCACAAACGTTGTTTCAACCCACACATATCCCCACCAGGTAGAACCCCCTGTAACAGCTGCAGAAAAGTCCTAAGGAGACGGAGTTCCTTGGCTGAGATCACAATCACATGGCTGGATTTAAAATCGGGTCTACCTGATTCCTAGGATTTCCCACCCTGCTTTGCATCAGGAGCTCGATCAATATCACACAAGCTGCCTCCTGCATAGTCACGTCGCTGGTGCAGAAGGAGCAAGGTGGCCGTGTGGCGAGGCACTGTGGCTCCGGCACGTCCAGCTCTGGCTCCACTGTTAACCGGTTGTGTGGCCTTGGGCAGGTCACGTGCTCTCAGTGGCAGAGGCCCAGGACCTCTGCCAGGCCCACCTCGGCTCAGACCCGACCTGCCCAGTGGAATGAATGGAGGAGGTAGAGCAGTTTCCCCTGGGGCTGAGGACACTTGTGTCACCAGATGCCTTCGCTGATATGCCTGGAGATGGGACCAGGCCAGAGTTGAGATTCACAGATGGACCAGCCTCTGCTCGGCTGTGTGACTTTGGGCCACTCTCTCTCCCTTTCTGAGCCTCCGCTTCTAGTCTCTGGGCCCCCGGGGATGAGCTTTTGGAGAAGGGAAATTTGGAGTGTAGCCCTTAATAGCTGGCAGGATTTGGGCAGGGCTGGAATGGGGGATCAGGAAGAACAGGGTTCAAGGAGGGACAGAGACAAGTAGCAGAGGACGAGGCACCTTGTCTTTTGCTGACTTCAGGAATGAGTTTCACATTTTTCAGCAAGGATTTGATTTAAAGTTGCTGGACAAAACTGAGCCTGACAGAGCTGAGGGGCTCCAGGGAAACCCCCCCCCCCCACAAAGGAAATATTTGCTGAAGAAGAGGATTGAAGTTCAAAAGTTCCAGAAGCCTTGGTGGTGCTGTTTTGGTCGGGGAATAGAGACACAGAGGGAGGCAGGAGAGCTCCCGAGGCCGCAGAGCCTCTCTGGCTCTTCCCTTCTCATCTCACTCCGCATGTATTTAGGGGGGGCCTACTATGCACCTGGCACTGTGCAGAGACCAAGGCAGACCCCGTCTGTGCCCTTGTGATTGTCACCATCTATGGAGGACACAGCCATTAACCAAATGATCACAGAAATACGCAGAATACTGTGGTCATGAGAGGCGCCGTGAAGGAAAGAGCATTCACAGGGTCTCAGCTTGGGTCTGGAGGGTCAGGGAGGGCTTCTCGGAGGCCACCTAATGAGTCTGCTGGGGCTGCCGTGACAGAGTAACAGACTGGTGGCTTAAACCACTGACATTCTCACAGCTCTGGCGGCTGGAAGTTCAAAATCAAGGTGTCAGCAGGGTTGATTTCTTCTGGGGCTTCTCTTCTTGGCTTGTGGACAGTCACTTCTCTCCGTGTCTTCTCATGGTCTCTCTGTGAACGTCTGTATCCTAATCTTCTCTTCTTGGGAAGACATCATTCCTATTAGAGTGCGGCCCACACTAAGGACCTCATTTAACTTAGTCACCTCTTGAAAGGTCCTGTCTTGGCCAGGTGCATTATCACTCCTGTGACATCCTAGCACTTTGGGACTCTGAGGCAGGAGAATTGCTGGAACCCAGGGGGTTGAGACCATCCTGGGCAACATAGTGAGACCTCATCTCTATGAAAAAAAAAAATTAGCCAGGCATGGTGTTACATGCCTGTAGTCCCAGCTACTTGGGAGACTGATGCAGGAGAATCACCTGAGCTCAGAAAATGGAGGCTGCAGTGAGCACTGCACTCCAGCCTGTGCAATAGAGCAAAACTTGCTCTCAGAAGAAATTTAAAAATTTTTAAAAAGGTCCTATCCACAAATACAGTCACATTAACAGGGGTCAGGACTTCAACATATGAATTGGAGGGGGCACAATTCAGGCCGTAACAGACAGTAACACTCGAGCTGAGGCCTGAAGATCAAGTAGAAGTTAACGTAACACCAGGAAAGAAAGGGTGTTTCAGGCAGAGGGAGCAGCCTGGGCAGAGGCCAGGTGCTGAGAGGGGGCACATGGTGCAGATGTAGCTGGGGGAAGCCAGCATGGTCAGGGTACAGGGAGGCCACAGAGTGGGGTTCAAGAGGAGGCCAAGGAGGCCACATCCCAGTTTGGCTGCTCCATTGCTTTGTTACTGGATCCATTTCCAGTCCTTGGTTTCCTCATTGGGGAAACAGGAGTAATCAAAGTTAGCCTTTTGGGGCTGGGAGCTGGAATGTGGTCACATACTTCTAAAATGTCTTGCCCCATGCCAGCTCCTAGTAGGTGCTCAAGATGAATTAGTTGTCCCTTTCTCCTCCCTTCCTGGACCACCTTTGGTCTCCCTAGCCCCTTCCTTGTCCCCTACCCTGATTTGGATGACCTGGCTTGAAATCCTGAGCTCCAGAGCCAATGACTCTTGACAAACAGTATTGTGACTCATCAAGGCCCTCTGGGCCTCCTGGGAGGCAAGGAGAAAAGGAGGATTTCCTGGGGGGTTTCCCAGGAGAGGGTGCCTGCTTCTGAGTGATACAGGACCAGGGGTGGATCCTCAATGAAGCATCTGAGCCTCCTATGATATTTGGGAAGGAAAGCTCCACCCTCCCCCCACACAACATTGTCCTTTATTGCAAAAGAAATGGATCTTCAGTGACAGGGGCCTCCTTCTCTTGGGGAGGTGTTTGCTGGGTCTCTCTGCCCATGAGCCACTTTCTGTTTGGCTGTGCAGCCTGTGACAAGCGCCTTCACCTCTGAGCCTGTTTGTTCATTTGCACTTACATCCAATACATTCCTTTTTTTTTTTTTTTTTTTTTTGAGGCAGAGTCTCACTCTGTCGCCCAGGCTGGAGTGCAGTGGCGCGATCTCGGCTCACTGCAAGCTCTGCCTTCCGGGTTCATGCCATTCTCCTGCCTCAGCCTCCCGAGTAGCTGGGACTACAGGCACCTGCCACCACGCCCGGCTAATTTTTTGTATTTTTTAGTAGAGACGGGGTTTCACCCTGTTAGCCAGGATGGTCTCGATCTCCTGACCTTGTGATCCGCCCGCCTTGGCCTCCCAAAGTGCTGGGATTACAGGTGTGAGCCACCGCGCCTGGCCACATCCAATACATTCTTAACATTTCAGCAAATGGTTTATTGTAGGGTCAGTTTAGATTTACAGTTACAAAGTTGCAAAGATAGTCCAGAGAGTTCCTGTCTACTCCTTACCCACTTTCCCCTGTGGTTAACATTTGATGTTACTAAGGAACCCATCCAGGCACGTCACTATTAACTCATACTTCTTTTTATTTCACTAGTTTTTCCCTAATGTAAATTTTCTGTCCCAGGATCCAACCACAATACTACGTTACATTTAGCTGTCATGTCTCCTTAACCTCCTCTGGTCTGTGACAGTTTCATAAGACCCAGTTTTATTTTGACAAATATTTCTGAGCACCTACAACGTGCATTGATCTGTTCTTGGTGCTAGAGAAAGAAACAGAATCCCATCTTCCACGGAGCCTGTATGTTTGGGGGTGGGGAGACAGACCATGAACCCTAAATGTAAATGTTAAATATATAGAAAAATAAAGCAGAGAATGGGGCTAGGGCTGGGGGCTGCTGCTTGAGATAGGTGTGGGGAGGCCTCCTGTTCCCAAGGAGACATGGGAGCAGAGACCCACTGGAGGTGAGAGAACATCCATGTGGGGATCTGGTGGGAGAGGATTCCAGGAAGAGAAAAGGACAAGTGCAAAGGCCCTGCGGCAGGAAGTGCCTGGTGAGTAGCGCCAGGAGAAGGCCAGTGGAGTGGGCTGGAGCCCTGGGTGTGGGGGTGAGTGGTGAGAGGTGAGCACAGATCTGTGTGGGTTACAGACTGGGGTTGGGGGTGAGGGTGGAAGCTGGGAGGAGGCTGCTGCAGTGATCCAGGTGAACCAGGGAGAAAGGCTGGTGGCCTGGACCAGAATGGTGCCCATGGTGGGGTGAGAAGTGAGCCGATTCTAGGCCTGTTTTGAAGGGCGCGCCACAGGATTTGCTGGTGGAAATGGGGCGGTGCTGAAACCTTCTGGCAGGGCCTGTGTGAGGAATCTGAGGACGGTTGTGAGCAGGCTTGGCACACTGTAAAGTAGGATTCCTCAGGGGATCTCCTATGCTCTCAGAGCCACCAACCAAGCTCATCCTCTGGCTGAGGGCCAGTGAGTAATCTTAGCTTCCTGCAGCCTCCGCCCCCAGATTCAAGCGATTCCCCTGCCTCAGCCTCCCAAGTAGTTGGGATTACAGGCATGCGCCACCATGCCCGGCTAATTTTTGTATATTTCAGTAGAGACTGGGTTTCACCATGTTGGCCAGGCTGGTCTCGAACTCCTGACCTCAGGCAATCTGCCCGTCTTGGCCTCCCAAAGTGCTGGGATTACAGGCGTGAGCCACTGTGCCCAGCCAGAAAAAGGTGTTGTTTTGTTTTGTTTTGTTTTGAGACGGAGTCTCTCTCTTGTCGCCCAGGCTGGAGTGCAGTGGCATGATCTTGGCTCACTGCAACCTCCGCCTCCCAGGTTCAAGTGATTCTCCTGCCTCAGCCTCCCAAGTAGCTGGGATTACAGGCGTCCACCACCATGCCTGGCTAATTGTTGTACTTTTAGTAGAGACAGAGTTTCGCCATGTTGGCTAGGCTGGTCTTGAACCCCTGACCTCAGGTCATCCGCCCGCCTTGGCCTCCCAAAGTGTTGGGATTATAGGCATGAGCTACCGCGCACTGCCAGAATTTCATTATTAAAAAAAAAAAAATTAATCAAGTACCCGTAGACTGTTAAAAAGAAAAAGTCCCCTTTCTGGCCCTGCCTGCCAGTCACCCTGTTCCTCTCCCCGGGCGAAATCACTGTTATTTCTTGGGTATCCTTTCAGAGATATTTTATACATATATATGCACATATGCATATCTATTTCTGGGTTTTGTTTCTAGTTTTACACAAAATATGTTGTACATTGTTCCATAGGTTGCTTTTTTTAATATAATAGCATTTTTTTGAGATATAATTCACATGCCACACAATTCACCCATTTAAAATATGATTCAGGCTGAGCATAGTAGCTCATACCTGTAATCTAGCACTTTGGGAGGCGAAGGCAGGAGGATCACTTGAGCCCAGGAGTTCAAGACCAGCCTGTGCAATATAGCCAGACCCTGTCTCTACAAAACATTTAAAAAATTAGCTGGGCATGGTGGTGTGTACCCACAGCCCCAGCTACTCTGGAGGCTGAGGTGGGAGGATCACTTGAGCCCAGGAGTTCAAGGCTGCAGGGAGTTATGATTACACCACTGCATTCCAGCCTGGGAAACAGAGTGAGACCTTGTCCCTAAAAAAAAAATAATAAATACAGTTAAGTGACTTTCAGTATCATATATTCAGAGATGTGCAACCATTGCCACAATCAATTTTAGAACATTTGCGTCATCCCCAGAAACCCCCCATACCCCTCACTCCTCATTTCCTCTTGACCCCCTCCCCCAGGTAGGGAGACAACCACTACTGTGCTTTCTGTCTCTTTAGATTGGCCTTTTCTGGACATTTCCTATAAGTGGAATCATACAATACGTGGTCTTTTGTAATGGATTTCTTTTACTTACGTTTTCGGGGTTCATCCATGTTGTAGCATGTATCAGTACAGTCATGCACCACTTAAAGACATTTTGGTCAACAATGGACCACATATATGACAGTGGTCCCATGAGATGAGGATGATGCTCACGATGATGATGATGATGATGATGATGATGATGATGATTTTGAGACCGAGTCTCACGCTGTCGTCCAGGCTGGAGTGCAGTGGCATGATCTTGGCTCACTGCAACCTCCGCCTCCTGGGTTCAAGTGATTCTCCAGCCTTGGCCTCCAAAGTAGCTGGGACTATAGGCACCCACCATCACGCCCGGCTAATTTTTGTATTTTTAGTAGAAATGGGGTTTCACTATGTTGGCCAGGCTGGTCTCGAACTCGTGACCGCAGGTGATCCACCTACCTTGGCCTCCCAAAGTGCCGAGATTACAGGCATGAGCCACCGTGCCTAGCCTAAATTATTATAATACTGTATTATTATTATTATTTTTTGAGATGGAGTCTTGCTCTGTCTCCCAGGCTAGAGTGCAGTGGCACAATCTGGTCTCACTGCAACCTCTGCATCCTGTGTTCAAGTAATTCTTCTGTCTCAGCCTCCCGAGTAGCTGGGATTACAGGCACCCACCACCACGCCTAACTTTTTTGTATTTTTTTTTCTTTTTTTTGAGATGGAGTCTCACCCTGTCGCCCAGGCTGGAGTGCAGTGGTGGCATGATCTTGGCTCACTGCAACCTCTGCCTCCTGGGTTCAAGCGATTCTCCTGCCTCAGCCTCCTGAGTAGCTGGGATTACAGGCACACGCCACCACACCTGGCTAATTTTTGTATTTTTAGTAGAGACGGGGTTTCACCATGATGGTCAGTCTGGTCTCCAACTCCTGACCTCATGATCTGCCCACCTCAGCCTCCCAAAGTGTTGGGATTATAGGCGTGAGCCACTGCGCCCGGCCACTTTTTTGTATTTTTAGTAGAGACGAAGTTTCACCATGTTGACCAGGCTGGTCTTGAACTCCTGACCTCAAGTGATCAGCTCGCCTCGCCCTCCCAAAGTTCTGAGATTATAGGCGTGAGCCACCACGCCTGACCTATAATACTGTATTATTGTTTACTGTACCTTTTGTATGCTTAGATATGTTTAGATATACAAATATTGGCCGGGTGCAGTGGCCCAGCTACTCGGGAGGCCGAGGCCGGAGAATCGCTTGAACCTGGGAGGCAGAGGTTGCAGTGAGCTGAGATCGCACCATTGCACTCCAGCCTGGGCGACAGAGTGAGACTCTGCCTCAAAAAAACAAAAAATCAAATATCATTGTGTTACAATAGTCTACAGTATTCAGTACAATAATAGGCTGTGTCATCTAGGATTGTGTAGATACACTCTATGATGTTCGCACAACGATGCAATCACCTAATGATGCATTTCTCAGAACCTGTCCCATCATTGACACCTGACTGTACTTCATTCCTTTTTATTGCTGATAATATTCCATTGAATGGACATACCACATGTTATTTATTTATTCAACAGTTGATGGACATTTGTGTTGTTTCCACATTTTGGCTATTTTGAATCATGTTGCTATGAACAGTCATGTACAAGTTTTTGTGTTCACCTCTGCTTTTTATTCTCTTCCATGTAGGAGTGGTAAGTCATATGGTAACTCTATGTTTAACCTTTTGAGGAACTACCTGTTTTCCAAATCAGTACATCATTTTACATTCCCACCAGCAGTGCATGAGGGTTGCAATTTCTCTACATTTTTGCCAAAACTTGTTATTTATTTATTTATTTATTTTTGAGACTGAGTCTTGCTCTGTCGCCAGGCTAGAGTGCAATGGCGCGATCTCGGCTCACTGCAATCTCTGCCTCCCTGGTTCAAGTGATTCTCCTGCCTCAGCCTCCTGAGTAGCTGGGATTACAGTAGCGGGCAATCACTCCCGGCTAATTTTTGTATTTTTAGTAGAGACAGGGTTTCACCATGTTGGCCAGGCTGGTCTTGAACTCCTGACCTCAAGTTGCCCACCTGCCTCGGCCTCTCAAAGTGCTAGGATCACAGGCATGAGCCACCATGCCTGGCCAGAACTTGTTATTGGCTGTCTTTTTGATTAGAGCCATCCTAGTGGGTGTGAAGTGACATCTCACCATGGTTTTGATTTGCATTTCCCTGATGGCCGATGATGTTGAGTATCTTTTCATGTGCTTATTGGCCATTTGTATATCTCTATTGAAGAAATATCTATTCAGATCCTTGCCCGTTAAAAAAATTGTATTACTTGTCATTTTACCATTGAGTTTTAAGAATCTTTTCTGTATTCTAGATACAAGTCCCTTATCAGATACATGGTTTGCAAATATTTTACCCCAGTCTGTGAGTTGTCTTTTTGCTTTCTTGATGGTGTCCATTGTAGCATTAATGTTTTTAATTTTAATTAAGTGCAATTTGTCTAATTTTTCTTCTGTTGCTTGAACTTTTGGTGTCATATCTAAGAAGTCATTGCCTAATCCGGGGTCACAAAGATTTATCCCTGTGTTTTCTTCTAAGAGTTTTATAGTTTTAGCTCTTACATTCTTCAGGTTGTTTTTCCCACTAAACAGTAAATCTGTATGCTGTCAGTGCATAAGTATGTTAGAACATAAAGAACTTTCTCCTTCTTTTTTACAGCTGTGTAGTATTCAATTTTATGGATGTACCATAATTTACTTATCCAGTCCCCTGTTAATGGACATTTGGATTGTTTATGATATTCTGCTCTCGCAAGACTTCAGTGAACATCCCTGAATATGGATGGCCATTTCAAGCATGGGCGAGTTTATACCAAGGAGTTGAATTGCTGCGTCTGAGGGCATGTGCTTTTGGAGATGATACAGACTGCCCTCCACAGACAGGGAACCAATTTTCACTCCCGGCAATAATGTCTAGAACGTGAGCCATTCGTGTGATGACCGAGGTTACTGTATATTGAGCATTCAGTGTATGCTGGCACTGTGCATCCCCTCGTAATGACCCTGAAGATCAGAATTAAAATCCCCACTTTACAGAGATCTCAGTTCACATGATCTATCCGACTTCTGATCCTGTTTATTTTTCACCATTTGATTTGGCCCCCATGCCTTGAGAGTGTCTCCGCCCACTTCTGAAATAACTACCAGAAAAATGCAAATTCAGCAGGTGATGCCTGGAGAATCTCTGAGATCATACTTAAGTGTGCAAAAGGCAATTAAGTGTGGAAGCCCAAGGCAGTCAGTTACTAGGGAATCTTGAATGAGCATCTGTTGTATGCCTGCCAGTGAGATGTGGTCTGGTTTAGGGGCTTAGAGGTCTAGCTTTGCAATTTGTCAGGCAAATGTAGGTTCAATCCTGACTCCATCCCACCTGTCTTTGGGCAACTTGCTTCTCCTCTCAGTGCCTAAGTTTCCTCATCTGTAAAACGGTATTGACAATAGTACCTACTGGTACATCAGGAGTGTTTAATACACATTGGCTATTATTGTCCTTGTTGGCAAAGTGTTACAGGAAATTGAAGGCAAGAGACATGTTGGGTTGGGGGTTGGGGGAAGGTCAGGGAAGGATTCCTGGGGAGAGAGAGGACATTTGAATGAAACCACCCAGTTGTGGGCACCCAGTTGTGGGCAGAGGGGACAGTGTGTGTCCAGGCACAGAGGCACGATTGCCCCAGAGCTCATGGGAGGAGAAGCAGCCAGGGAGGCTGGAATGTCAGGTTTGTGCTGGGACCTCTGGGAGGAGGAGACATGGCTGGAGCTGCTTCCAGGGGCCTCAAATCCAGGCATGAGTTTTGGGATGGCATTTGACAGGCAGTACAGAGCCACAGAAGGATTGTTGAGCTTGCAGTCCTGCCCAGCATGTCCCCACCTGCAACTTGGGTGCTTCCTTGGGGCAGGCTTCCCAAACCTCCTTTCTTACTGAGGGACAGCCTAGGACAGTGTTTAAGAATGAGAAAGCCAGGCATGGTGGCTCATGCCTGTAATCCCTGAACTATGGGAGTCTGAGGTGGGAGAATGACTTGAGCCCAGGAGTTCAAGACCAGCCTGGGCAACATGGTGAAAACCTGTCTGTACAAAAAAATACAAAAATTAGCTGGGCATGGTGGCTTGTGCCTGTAGTCCAGCTACTTGGGAGGCTGAGGTGGGAGGATCCCTTGAGCGTGGAAGGTTGAGGCTGCAGTGAGTCATGATTGAGCCACTTCCCTCTGGCCTGGGTGACAGAATGGGATCCTCTCTCAAAAAAGAATGAGAGTTCTGGGGCCAGGCTGCCCGGGCTGGTCTCTAGCTCAGGTGCTTTGTGCTGTGTGACATTGGGCATGTGTGTCACTTTCTTCTCTGGGCCGCAGTTTTCTCCCCCATAAAAGAGAGTTGTCCCAACCTCCTGGGGCTGGAGTGAAGAGTCAGTGAGTTGATATATGTAAAGCACTTAGAGCAGGGTGAGGCACACAGTAAGCACATGGTAAATGTTTGTTGTTACAGAGAAGGAAGGCAGTGGCATCAGATTGTCCTGCCTGTTTCTCAGATGGGAAAATCAAGCCCCTCTGAAAGTTAGTGAATGCCCAAGGTCCCTCTGGAGGACCAGGAGGACTCATTCATCACTTATTCTTTCAGTACACGTTTCCTGGGCACCTACTTTGTGGTCAGCTCTGGCAGATACTGGGGATGCAGTGGTGAACAAGACAGCCTCCATCACAGGGAGCTCCTGACCCAAGGAGTTGAAAGTCAAGACTGCCATTGCCTCCAACACCCATGCTCTCTCCTGTGTCCCACCTATGTCTTGCCCAGGCCAGAAGGGAATTAGAATTACAGCCTTGCCGGGCGCAGTGGCTCACACCTGTAATCCCAGCACTTTGGGAGGCTGAGCCGGGTGGATCACCTGAGTTCGGGAGTTTGAGACCAGCCTGATCATGGAGAAACTCTGTCTCTACTAAAAATACAAAATTAGCCAGGGATGGTGGCAAATGCCTGTAATCCCCTTGGGAGGCTGAGGCAGGAGAATTGCTTGAACCTAGGAGCTGGAGGTTGCTGTGAGCTGAGATCATGCCATTGCATTCCAGCCTAGGCAACAAGAATGAAACTCCATCTCAAAAAATAAATAAATAAAAACATGGAGAAACCCTGTCTCTACTAAAAATACAAAATTAGCTGGGCGTCGTGGTGCATGACTGTAAAAGGAGGCTGAGAAAGGAGAATCACTTGAACCTAGGAGGCGGAGGTTGTGGTGAGCTGAGATCGCGCCATTGCACTCCAGCCTGAGTAACGAGCAAAACTCCATCCCCTCGCCAAAAAAAGGAAAAAAAAGCTGGGCGCACTGGCTCACGCCTGTAATCCCAGCACTTTGGGAGGCCAAGGCCGGCAGGTCATGAGGTCAGGTGTTCAAGACCAGCCTGGCCAGCATGGTGAAACCCCGTCTCTACTAAAAATACAAAAATTAGCCGGGCATGGTGGTGCCTGCCTGTAATCCCAGCTACTGGGAGGCTGAGGCAGGAGAATCGCCTGAACCAAGGAGGCGGAGGTTGCAGTGAGCCAAGATCATGCCACTGCATTCCAGCCTGGGCGACAGAGCAAGACTCTGTCTCCAAAAAAAAAAAAAA
Organism: Homo sapiens; assembly: GCF_000001405.40. Taxonomy (NCBI): domain Eukaryota; kingdom Metazoa; phylum Chordata; class Mammalia; order Primates; family Hominidae; genus Homo; species Homo sapiens. The sequence continues at coordinate 32,545,951 of NC_000020.11, read as the reverse complement.
AGAAAAGAAAGAAAAAAAAAGAATTACAACCTAAGTGTCTTGTAAACAGGCTCTTCCTAGCTCCAAAATCTGGACACAAGAATAATGGCAATCCAAATATCCTGCTCTAGCCCGCCCTTCTTACAGACAATGGAACTGAGACTCAGCACGCTAGAATAACGGCACATGCCTCTCCCTGCACCTCCAGCCCCTGGGACAGCGGAGAATGCAGCTGCATTCTGGATATAGTTTAAAGGTGGAGCCAACAGAACTTGCTGATGGATGGGATGTGGGCTGTGAGAACCAGTGAGCAGTCAAGGATGCCTTCAGGGTGTTTGGCCTAAGCAAGGGAGATGGAGAAGCCTGCTGGGGGAGGAAGTTTGGTGGTGGTGGCCAGGGCTGTGGGCGGGTCGGGGGAAGGGGGTCTAAATGCTTGCTGGATGAGTGGATGGATGTGTCGCCCTGGCTCTCCAGGGGGCCCTAGACACACACTTGCTTTCAGTCCAGTCGGCTGTCCGGCAGCAGAGGAGAGGCCCATGCTGGAGATGTCAACGTGACATCGCACACGTGTGAGTGGCCCCAAGGTGGACGAAGTTCAAGGACTGGGGCTTGGGGTTGTCAACATTAGGAGGTCCTGTCCAAAGTTCATGTTTTTCTTCTTTCATGAAATGTCCCATTTTTTAAAAATTTTTATTCTTTAGAGACAGGGTCATGCTCTGTCACCCAGGCTGGAGTGTAGTGGCACTATTATAACTCACTGCAGCCTCAAACTCCTGGGCTCAAGCAATCCTCCTGCTTCAGCCTCCTGGGTAGCTGGGACTACAGGCAGGCACCACCATGCCCAGCCCCAACTTTTAAGTATCAGCAACAAACTCAAATTGTAATAAACCTCTGTAGGTTCCCCCAGATACATCCATAGACCCCACTTGGCCTGAGACCTCCTGCTTAGGACCTGTGGTGTGGGTCTGGAGTCACACTGCCTAGATCTGAACCTGGCTGTCAATTCCCAGCTGTGTGCTTTTAGGCAGGTGACTTAGCCTCAGTTTCCTGATCTGTAAAATAGGAATAATAATAGTACTCACCTTTTCGTGTCATAGTATGGGTTCTCTGAGAGTCGTGATGAAAAGCTATTTGTGATGGATTTTACTAGTGACCAAGGCTGTTGATAGCAAAGGGGAACAGTGCACTGGATTTTGAGTTCACCCTGGGGTGGGATCTATCTCTGCCATTGACAAGCCGTGTGACCTGGGGCTGGTTTTAGACCTCTGAGAAAGTGGTTTGTTGCTCTTGGAGTTGGGAGCTGGCCAGGATGCCTGCTGAGGCCTCTGAGCCGCCACTGACCACCCTCCCTCCCTGCCTCTCTCCTTCCAGCCTCGCCCACCTGCCACCTCCCACCCCTTTACCCTGCAGCCAAAATGATCCTTCAAAAGCACAAATCTCAGCATGGTCTTTTCCTGCCTGGAGAAAAATCCTTGTTGGCACCCCACTGCCTTCAGGACAAAGCTGGAGAGCCTTAGCCTGGCGCAGGGAGGTGGGAGGTGGCCCTCACCTCTCTTCTGCTATCTCCTTCCACCAACCCTGCTCAGGTACCAGCTGCACACAGCCCCTCACCACGCCTCAAAGGCCCCATGCCTCTTTGTACCCCTTCCCCCTTCCTTTCTCCACCCGCCCCCTGCCTTCCCATCATCCTTCCAGCAGCTCCTGGGCCCTGCTATACCTTGGGTCTAACCACTTCTCTCCCCCAGTGATCCAACTGCCTCCCCATGGCTTCCCTGCCTCTCTCTCACCCCTTCTTCTCCATAGCCCATTTTCCACGAGCAGTCAGAGGGATCATTTAAAAATATCCTCTGGATGGTGTCACCCGCCTGCTTAAAATCCCTCTATGGCTGCCTGTTTCACGTGAATACAGCCGCCACCCCATCCGTCCCTCCAGCACGTTCAGCATAGCCTCCCCACCATCCTACACACCACTGCCCACGATGCCGGCCGCCTGCCTGCCTGAAGACCTTTGCACAGGCTGTTGGCCTTCAGAGGTGACTTAACATCGCACCTTCAGCAGAGGCTCCCTGTCCACCACCCTTTTCACAGGCACAAATCACTCATTCAGGAGGCAGCCAGGTCTGCCTGTTGACTTTGTAACCACAGTGCCTGACCCTGGTATCTTTTTTTTTTTGTTTTTTTCTGAGACAAGGTCTCCCTCTGTCATCCAGGCTGGAGTGCCGTGGCGAGATCTCGGCTCACTGCAACCTCCACCTCCTGGGTTCAAGTGGTTATTGTGCCTCAGCCTCCCAAGAAGCTGGGACTACAGGTGTGCACCACCACACCCAGTTAATCTTTTTTTTCTTTTTTTTTTTGTGACAGAGTCTCGCTCTGTCATTCAGGCTAGAGTGCAATGGCACGATCTCAGCTCGCTGCAACCTCCTCCTCCTGGGTTCAAGCGATTCTCCTGCCTCAGCCTCCCTAGTTGCTGAGATTACAGGTGCCCACAACCACACCCAGCTAATTTTTGTATTTTTAGTAGAGACAGGGTTTCACCATATTGGTCAGGCTGGTCTCGAACTCCTGACTTCAGTGATCCACCCACCTGGGCCTCCCAAAGTACTGGGATTACAGGCATGAGCCACCGTGCCCAGCCCCAGCTAATTTTTGCATTTTTAGTAGACACGGGGTTTCACCATGTTGGCCAGGCTGGGTATCACCCTTTCTGGTGGCAGAAGTGCCACGCATCCTTCAAGACCCAGCCCAAATGTCACCTCCTCTGTGAAGCCTTCCTTCACGCAGCCCCACTCCTTGCCCTGTTCCTGAGGGCCCTCTGGATCATTCTCTCCTATTGCATCCCCTGATGGCAGAGCCAGCTGAGCTCCGTGGTGGCTTCCCGCGAGCTTTATTCTTTTCCCTTTTCCCCACACTCGACATGGTAATGATCACTAGCTGGCGAGCTCCTCAAGGCAAGAGCACCACAGCAAGAGAGCTCGTGTTTATCGAGAACGGCTGTGTGCTCAGCGCTTTCCTGCATCCTCTAAAATCCTCACAACCCCGTGAGGTCGGTTCTCCTAAAAGCCCCACTTTAAAGAGGAGCCAGTGGAGGTTTAAAGAGGTTAAGTCACGTGCCCAAGGTCACCCTGACACCAGAGCTAGAGCTTGGAATGAATCACGGCAATGACTTATATATAGCACCTTCCACATGCCAGGCACTATTAAGGTGTTTCATCTTCACAAAAACTTTCACTGCAGCTTCATGTTATGGCTGGGGAAACTGAGGCATGGAGAGGTTAAGTAACTTGGTAAGGTTCAAGAGACGAGTCAGAAGTAGAGTAGGGGCTGAGCACAGTGGCTCACACCTGTAATCCCAGCACTTTCAGAGGCTGAGGCGGGAGGATCTCTTGAGCCCAGTAGTTCGAGACCAGCGTGGGCAACACAATGAGACTCTGTCTCTGCAAAAAAATAAAAAGATTAGCCAGGTGTAGTGACACATGCCTATGGTCCAGTTACTTGGGAGGCTGAGGTGGGAGGATTGCTTAAGCCTTGGAGGTCGAGGCTGCAGTGAGCCGTGATCCTGCCACTATACTCCAGTCTGGGTGACACAGCGAGACCCTGTCTCAAAAAAAATTTTTTTAAAAAGAAGTGGAGTAGGATTTGAGCTCAGGCTGTCTGGCTGTTGGTCATCTCTTGGTCATGCTCTCAAATGTCATGCTGTACTGGCCATTGTAGCCTTCTCCCTCTGACCTGCCTGAGCAGCTCTCATTGTCTTGGTGCCCCCGAAACCTGGACTAGCAGCTAGCCCGAGGAGGCACTAGTTAGTGACAGTTTCAGGAATAAGGACACAGGTAAGCCAGTGGATGCGGGACCTTGCCCCAGCCATTCTGAAGCTCTGTGTCCTGAAGCCCAAAGATATGGCCACCTGTCTCCTGGGCTTAGCGCCCCCCACCACCCGCCTGTCCAGACAGCCTCAGGGAAGGACCAGATCCATAAACATGAGGCTCTACTTGGGCTGGGAGGAGTGCTGGGCACTGTACAAGTCCTCAATATTATTGCTTTATTGTCATTTAAATGGAGCCTGCCTCAAACAGGCCACCCAGTTCTAGCCACCAGCTCTGGACAAAACCCCCATTGAAAAGCCAATTACAATCACTCCATCTAAATTGTCATGGATTTGTATAGAAAATTACATCTCCATTTAGTCCTAAAGCGACGTCCTGGGCATGGACAGAGGGGAGGCTGGCCCATTTACCCCGCCAGCTCAGCGCGGGTGCCGCGGGCAGACAGAAAGCCCAAGCTGCTGGGTCTTGGCCGGCCCAGGAACAAAGGCCAGTTTGTGGGGGCCCAGAGAGAAGCTGGGCCTCTGAGGGCAGCTCAGATTCCAGGCCCGGGCCGATGGACCCTGCACCGCCAGCTGGTCTCTCCTGCTGGCGGCTGTGGCCAGACGAGCTCCTGACAGCCGGCTTCAGGCGGCCCATCAGCCCCGCCACCCCCACCACCATCCAAGGTGGCTGGAGCTTGGCTCATGTCCACACTACCAGGAAATGAAACTCAGGGAGCACTTGACTGGGATCCTGAGATCTTGGTTTCATTCATTCACTCACTGACACATTCAGTGCCTGCTAGTAGCATGAGAAAGGCAATAATGTAGAAGTGAGCTCCAGCTTCAGAGTGCCCTGCATTCAGTTCCAGACTCTGTCCTCAGTAGCCATGAGGCCACTTGCTTATTCCTTTAGTTTTGAAATAGTTGTCGAGTGCCTACTGTGTGCCAGAGAACAGGACAAAATGGTCTTCACTCTTGGCCCTTAAAGTCCAGTGCCCTGGGGAAAATAAACAGGGGCTGACACGGGCTAGTATCCCCATTTCACAGAAGTGTAAGTAGGCAGCTCAGAGGAGCTGGGCATGCTATATGCAAGTGAGAAGGGCCTTCTAGCCAGAGGGAATAGTGTGTGTGTGTGTGTGTGTGTGTGTGTGTGTGTGTGTGTAGGGGGTGGCGAGGCAGGCTGGAGCAGCACTGTGGCATGACATGAGATCGGTGGGGCAACCTACAGACTGTGGGCCTCTTCTCTGAGCCTCGGTTTCCTCATCTGAGGAATGGGGGCGATGACCCCAGCTGCTGGGGACTTGGACAAGGGCTCAGGGAGATAATGTGTGCCAGGTGTTCTGCGTGGAGCTGGGCATGGGATGCTTTTGGCTAACCAGGATAGCCTTACTTAGATGACACTGTGGGCCAAACACGGACCGAGGGCTTTCCACACATTCACTCCTAACATTGACAGTCCCATGTGGCAGGGCTAGGATCCCCATCTCACAGATGGGGAAACGGAGGCAACAGCACAGGGCAGCTAATTATTTGTTCCTGTTCCAGTCATTCTGATTATGGGTTAGCCCAGGGCCTCCACAGAGAAGACCCTCAAAAAGGATTTGTTGAATCAGTGAATGCATCTGGAAGGTCGGTGCTGGGCAGGTGTGGGGGCCGGGGAGGAAGATTCCCGTGTACATGTGTGAAGCTGTGTGGAGTGCTGTGGGATTCTGAGCATGGCTGTGGGCCTGCGTGTAATTGTGTGTGAGACTGTCCAAGGACTGCAGATGGTTGCATGTGTGAGGCTATGTCCATGTCTCTGTGACCTTAACTGTGTGTGACAGTCACACATTGTCTCCCTGAGTCCTTGCCCAAATGCCCAGTGGCCACAGTGGCTCTGTCAGACTGACTGTGTGTGTGTGGCTGTGTCAGACTGTGTGTCACGGCCTACACACATCTGTCTGGGCCCAGAGGGACACTTGGCACCCTTCCTGGGATGGCTGGTGGGCCCAGAGGCTACCTCAGGGCAGGACAGGCACGTGCAGAGGCGAAGGGGTCAGAGTCCCCAGCCTCCCCTGCCCAGCCCAGCAGACAGACCGGCAAATGGAAAAAAATGTTCACACCCGAGGCAAGCTGGTGGCTGCCCCACCAGAGACTGCTCTGTGCACAGAAAACAAGTTCTTCTGGTATCAGCTTGGCAGGAAGTGGCTTTTGGGTGGCAGGAAGCTGGATTCAGCTCATATCAGCCCCGGCCGAGGGGCAGGAGAGCAGTTATCTGGGGTTAAACAGAGTTACTGAGAAGTGGAGCCCCCAACACACCATGCCCGATAGAGTTGAGGGCACAGCCTACCCCTGGTGGCCCTTTGGAATGATGGGTGGGCGGTCTTGTAAAGATGAGCCTCAGGCCCCAGACAGAGCTCATTGTCCACCTCTCATTTACTCCCATTTAGAAGATATGCAGACTGAGACTCTGAGAGGCAATGACTTTTCCAAGATCACCAGTTAAGAAGAGAGACAGAAGGGAAAAAGACCGCAAGAAATTTACATCTAGAGACGAAAAAGCCAGGACAGAAGAACAAAGAGAAGAGGAGCGATGGGACAGGATGGAGCTAGGAGTCACATGAATGCAGACAGCAGTGAGGCTGCACCATGGGAAGGCCTGTGTGTGCCCACCATGTGCAAGGTCATCACGTGGACGTCACAGCTGACCTTGAGATCCTGAACCCATTTCCCAAATGAGGGGAGTGAGACTCAGAGAGCCTCACTGGCTGAGTGAGGCCTGGAATCCAGTTCTGATTCCAAAGCCCAGGTTCTCTCACGTCATGCCCCCGTGCCCAACTTCCAGGGAAGGGAAGTGGCTGTTCTAAAACAGACACCCAGTTCCACTAGCTGCTTGCCTGGGTGCTCGATTGAGGAATTCACTCAGCTGGCCCATGGAGAGCCAGGGTTCAAACCTAGGCAGGATGGCTGCAGAACTCACGTGCTTAACCACGTGACAGGGTGTGCCCAGTGCTTTGCTGGAGCAGGCAGAGAAAGCCATGGCCCTGCCCTTGGGCTGGGACCCAGAGGGTCCAGCCACTGGAACAAAGCCCTGCAGCTGGCAAGAAACTGAGTCTCCCAACGCCCAGCCCTAGACACTCTGTGCCGCCCCCCACCCCACCCCACCCCCACTGGAGCCCCTGGGCACTGGGCTCTGGTCCTTCTGCTCTCATCCCAAAAGCAGCTCTCAAGCTGTTCCCTGGCTGAGATGCTGATTTGAAGCTCGGTTTGCATGTCGTTTGCACATTACTCAGTGTATGTCAGAAGGTACGAACATCTCCCTTTCCGGGAGAGGGCTGCCGGGCCCCCCTGCCCTCCTCCAGACAGCAAAAATGCCAGCCGGCTAGACGGGAGCGACGCCCTGGCCTCTGACGGCACCCGCCTGCCGCTGCCTCCCCCATTCCCTCCTGGAGCCAAATTTAGGCAGCTCTGCTACTGAGAGATGGGGAGAGCGGAGGCAGGAAACGGTGAGGTTGGAGGCAGCCTGGCCTTGGCCCTCCCAGAGTGGAGCAGCCCCAGGGGTGCCCCTGTCCCTAAAGCTCTGGGTGCAGTCTCCCCCCACCCCTCCTCTCACTGGAATGCTGGCGGGGTTGGGGAACGCTGGGTTCTCAGCTGCAGCCCAGGGTGCTGGCTACCCCAGCCATGAAGGAGGAGGGAGGGAGGGAGGGAGGGAGGGAGGGAGGGAGGGAGCGAGGGAGGGAGGGAGGAGGTCATGGCCGGGGCAGTGGGGAAGGGATCAGATAGCCTCCTCCTGCCCCAGACACCCGCCGCCACTGGGGACACAGAGCCGGTTCTGCTTCTTGGACACTTCCTGCCCCTCCTTGGTGTGCACCCCCCAACCCTGGGCCTGATTGTGGGTGGGGGGCAGGGGACACAGCCAGGCCTGAGGGGACTGAACCCTCCCTGCCCCCCAAAGGCTCTCCCAGGCCATCTCTGACTCAGGCCAGCCTCGCACCTGAATGGTCTTGGTTCACCTACCTGGGAAATGGAAGGGGTGGCCTAGAATGACTTCCAAGCAGCTGCCTGCACTGACAGTAGGAGCTTTTGGGAGGCCTGACAGAAATGAGGGTTGTGGGCTGGGTGTGGTGGCTCATGCCTGTCATCCCAGCACTTTTGGAGGCCGAGGCAGTGGGATCACTTGAGGCCAGGAGTTCGAGACCAGCCTGGCCAACATAGGGAAACCCTGTCTCTATTAAAACTGCAAAAATTAGCCAGGCATGGTGGTGTGTGTCTGTAATCCCAGCTACTCGGGAGGCTGTAGCAGGAGAATCGCTTGAACCCAGGAGCCGGAGGTTGCAGTGAGCCGAGATGGTGCCATTGCACTCCCTCCTGGGCTACAGAGCAAGATTCCGTCTCCAAAAAAAAAAAAAAAGAAACGCGGGTTGTGGCAGTGGCTTTAGGCCTAGAAACTTCTTCGATTTCTCAGGTATGGCTAGGAGAGGCAGCTACTCACGATGCTGGGACAGAACCTGCGTGGGCTGAACTGAGGAAAGGAAGAAGAGGTGTGTGCTGGATTTCAGCCACCACGAATCCAGGGGTGGGACTAATGGAGCCCAGTAGTTGGTATCCTGGGGTCTGACTCCCTGGATTTGAACCCCAGCTCTGTCACTCTGTACCTTGTGACTGTGGGCAAATCGCTTCAGCTCTTCTGTGCCTTTGCTTCCTCACCCTGGGACAACAGATCTCTCGTTGCTGTTGCGAAAGTGAAACGAGGCCGTGAGTGCTTGGCACACAGTAGGTGCACCGCGACGCCAGCCACCAGTGTGACTGTTTTGTCTCCCAGGACGGTTAGGAGGCCCCGGAGCCACAGCAGATGTGGATGTGGACGCGGTGGGAGGCGCAGTATCTTGGTTGTTAAATGGGCACGGGGATGGGGGGTTCAAGTCTGCGTGACCCTGGGCAAATGGCCACACCCCGCTGCGCCTTGGGCGGGGAGCAGCAGAGGCACTGACCGCGGAGGGTCTGTGAGGACTACGGGAGATCAGGCTTGGCACGGCGCCTGGCACATAGCGGGCGCTCCCTGAAGGAGAGCTGGCAAGATCGAATGGTACCGCCCTGCACAAAGGACAGGTGGGCAGCGTCCCGGGGGGGCGGGGCAGGGCAGGTGCGCCGGGAGCCGGTTGGCGGGGCCGGAAGGGGGACGCGAGGCCGGCGGGCGCGCGCGCAGCAGGTGCGCGTGGGGTGGGCGGGGCCCGCGCGGGCGCGGTCTCCAGGTGAGCGGGCGCGCGCCTAGAGGCTGGAGACAGGGGGAGGCCAGCCGCCCTGGCCCGCCGCAGCCGAGCGTCCCTGTGTCTTTAACGCCCCCGTTCCTGCGTGTCCCCCCCCCGCCCCGTTGGTGCGCCCCCCCCCCCCCACTCCCAGCCGGGCTGCAGCCGCGGAGCCGTCCCCCCTGCACTGACAGCTGGTATCTAATTACTGTGTGAGAATGGAAAGTCAGGCTGTCCCAGCTCCGGGGAGAGGGGATTAACGTCTCCTGCAGAATACACTTCCTCTGGTGGGTTGCCATGGTTACTCTCATTACCTGCCTGCCCGCGAGGAGCCCGCGCGAGCCGCTCCAGCAGGCCCTCCGAACCCAGCCCGGCGCGCGCGCGCCTTCCCGCCCCTCCCCGCCGGGGCGCACGCGCCTGCGCCGTGAAGAGAGCGCGGCCGCCTCGCCCCCGCCCCTGCCCCCCGCCCGAGCAGCTGTCAGCGGCGCGCGCGGCCAGCTCGGCCCCAGCGCGCGCTGTCAACAGTCATTAGCGCGGCCCACTCCCCTCCCCCTCCAGCCCCACCTCTTCCCCCGGCCCTGGGTGGGGCCCGCACCTGGGGCTCTCCGCTCGTTAGCGCGCCCAGGGCGCCTCCTCGGCCCGAGAGGGACCCGCCCGCGGGGCCTGGCTGGCTCAGGGCTACCTCCTTCCGCCTAGGACCCCCCCTTCGGTGACTCCCGATTCCCTGTCCTAGGCTGCGGTGCCCCGGGAGGCGGGTCGCCAGAGTAGCAGACAGAGCTCTTTAATGGGTGTCTTCTAGGGCGGGTGCTGTTTGTGCATCATTTGGGTTCCCACACACTTCCTATGAGGTGGCGAAAGCCATTATGCCTATGGTGTCTGCTCACACAGGGGGAAACTGAGGCCCAGGCAGGACAGCCCCTTGCCTGGGGTGGGGGCTGGGTTGTCCTTAGGCCTGTGACTTCACCTCTACAGCACCCTCCTGTGGACCCTCTCCCTGCCCCCGCCAGGCCAGAGTCCTGCAGCCAGGCCCAGACCCTGGCCTGTCCGTCCGGGGATGCTGGACAGTACTCCTCCCTCCAGCCCTCATAAGTCATTGTCATTCGGATCTGCATTTCCCCAGCCCCTCTCCTTCTAACTGGGGGGCACTGTGGCCCACTGTGCCCCTTTCTCTTCCCATTCCTTCCCCCTACACCCATTCCAGACATCCCAGAGTTAACAAAACCCAAAAGAAAGAGAAAAAAGACTCAGAGCTGCTTGGAGGAGATGACATCCTCAAATGTAGCGCCGTTGTTTGAGGGGCTGGTCCCAGGCACCTTTCTCTGTGGCCTGGGGTGTGCGTTTTGGTCCCCAGCGTGATTTGAAAGAAGATGGAGGTTCAGCGAAGCAGAAAGGAGGTCTTGGAATATGTGAGGCCTGTTCCAGATGGCAGGTGCGACTCGGTGGTGGCGGTGGCGGCGGCAGCTACGCGCTAACAGTTGGAGATTGTGCACAAGGGTGGAGAAGAGGCAGGTGCTATATTGAGTCCTCAGCGCCTTGTTTATGTATTTATTTATTTATGGGGAGAGTGTGGTCCCATCCCTCTGCCCCATCCAGGCCTACGAAGCTCAATGGAACTTTGGGTCCTAAAATTCTGGGGTAAATTCCTATTTTGGAGGGTTTTTTTTTTTTTTTCAATTTCCAGTCCCCAGTAGGTAGTATTCAGAACCGAGAGAAATTAAAATACTGCCTTTGTCCCAGTGAAGCAATACCCTCTCTTCAATCACCTGATTGCCCTTTACAAATTATGACAGCTTCTCTTGGGGATGCTGAAGAGAGGGTTTCTGGGTGTTTGGGTGATGGTCTTCATTCTGGTTTTCTTTTCTTTTTGTTCTCTTAGTTTAGTGTGGTTTTCAATTTCCTCTCCACCTCCTCCTTCCTTTCCCTGTGGGGCCCCTTTGCAGGAGACTGACTCCTCCCCCTTGCTTCTTTTTTCAGCCCCACCAGGAGCTGAAATGAGACTTTACAGGAATCCCCCCAGAAGCTTCTAAAACTCCAGTTCTGGCTGACTTTTTTTTTTTTTTTTTTGAGATGGGGTCTCACTGTGTCACCCAGGCTGGAGTTTAGTGGTACGGTCATGACTCACTGCAGCCTACACCTCCCCAGGCTCAAGTGATCCTCCCACCTCAGCTTCCTGAGTACCTGGGACTACAGTCGAATGCCGCCACGCCCAGCTAGGTTTTTTGCATTTTCTGTAGAGACCTCCTGGCGGCGGGGGGTGGGGGGAGTGGGGGTCACCGTATTGCCCAGGCTGGTCTTGAACTCCTGAGCTCAAGCGATCCTCCCACCTCTGTCTCCCAAAGTGCTGGGATTAGAGGCGTGAGCCATTGCACCCAGCCCTGACTGAATTTATTAAGGCTGGGTTTTGGGGACAGGAGGAATGGCATGATTGCAGAAGTTGGGAAGAGCATGCTAGTAATTAATATGCAGGGTAATTTTTGTCTGTGATCTCAGCCACTTTGATGGCCTGGATGGGATGGAGCGGCATCCTCACATTTGCCTGTGCAATCAGCCCCCTGAAGTCCTGGGCTCCCTCCCACGTGGTAGCCAAAGATTTGCTTCCTTTGGGGTGGGCTCTACTGGCTGACTTTCTCGTCCAATAGCAATCTCGTTGATTTTTATTCCTTGTCAAGAGCTGGATCCGAAATGCACCAGAAGGCCTATCCTAAGGCCTTTCTCTGTGGTTTTTTCTTCTACCATCGGAGAAACCCAGTTGAGAAATGTCTCCGCTATTTAGCCGCATCCTCTCAACCATGGCCTCGTCGTTGCTGGAAGGCACACTCTACTAATATAGTGATGGTGGCACACTAAATGGCACCCTGGTGGCCTAAAACTGTGATCCCACCTTGATAAGTATGTAACTTATTACCAGCAAGTGACTTCGAAGCTCTAATGGAGATGACAGAACTGCAATCCATTAGCAACTGGACCTCACTTCACCATCAGGGGCAGGGGTCCATTTAATTGGCTCATGTGGGGAGACAGGCAAGATTCAGTCCGATTCAGGAGCTCCCTGAGGTCGCCCCGGCAGGAGCCTGTCTAATGGCCTGGTAAGACATGCCGATCCCCCTCTTAGGTCTGCAGCCTGGGAATTAGCATGCTGAGCATTCAGATCCATCTGAGGAAAACGAGGAAGCCAGAAAGGACCTGCCAAGGGATGCCCTGCTTAAGTATTTATTAACTTTGCCAGGGAGGACTTAAAAATCTGATGTCAGGATGCAGGGCGTTCCTGCTCTTTCTATCCATAATCCACATTAAGTCTCTGGGCAGATGTGTTGAATTTATACTAATGTTGCCCAATAAGATTCTTTTGTTCTCACCATTAGGAAAATTGGCCTTCATCGGAAATGAAAATATTAATATATTAGGCCAGGAAGCACAGAGCATGTCTATATTTAATGAGCCAATACCTGTTTTCCTACAGTTACCTCCCTGGCTCAATCATGGAGACATTCTGATCAGCAGTTCTCAAAATCTGTCTTGCATCAGAATCATCTGGGGGGGCCTGTTAAAACCCCCAGCACATCAGATTTGGTAGGTTTAAGGTGGAACCTGAAAATGTGCATTTCTAACAAGTTCCCAGGTGATGCCAATGCTGCTGGTCTAAGGACCATTGCTGTAATATTTTGAAATATCAGATGTATTTAAGTAGACATTTGGTGATTTTGTCAATGACTTGCCACCTAGCTTTTCATTTAGAACCCAAATGGGCTGGTGTTAAGGGAGCTGGTGATGTCCAAGAATGTAGCTCCATAAATGTGTAGGTTTTTTTTGTTTTTGTTTTTGTTTTAGAGATGGGTCTTGCTGTGTTGCCCAGGCTAGACTCAAACCCCTGGGCTCAAGTGGTCTTCCCATCTCAGCATCCTGAGTAGCTGAGACTACAGGCATGCGCCACCATGCCCAGCTTCTCCATAAATTTTTAAAACTATTGCCATGTCTGATTCTGTTGGCCTGGCTCTGGCAGGCTGTTTGGGGGTTGGATGGTTCGAAAGGATGGTGTGTGTTACCATGGCAATGTTCTTCTCCATGCAGGAAGGCCCCAGAGGTTGATCCTACACAAGTGACTGTGTGTTTTTCGTGGTTCTTCCCATGGGGTGATACAGGGTTCCATTCCATTACTCCTGCTAGGTGTTTCCAGGAAGCTGGGATAGGCAGGAGACTCCAAGTCCCTTCTTGATCCAGCCTATAGATAAAGTGAACTTCCTTTGTCAATTCACTGTCCAGTTTGCTTAGGGCAATGGATTAGATGAAGCTAATTTGGGTACCAGGCAGAAGGGGGATGGCAGGGGCTTCCCAAGTCTACAGGGAAGGTGCTTTCTGCTTCCTTTATTAGCAGCTCTTCCCTTGCAGCACTGTCTGGATCCTTAGCTAGGGAAGGCCTGCCTCCCCTGCAGCATTTAGCATGAAGGTTATTACCTCCATGGATGCAAGGGATAGCAGAGATGTCTGCGGCACGTGACTACTGTCGGATCCCTTTGTTGCTGTCTTCTCAGGGTTCTCCTTGAAGGCCACGTAGACATCCTGGCGTTCTTCCCCTAGGGTGTAGCACACATGGAATCCAGGTGGCCCTAGCTCACCAGAGGACAGTTCAAGGTATGGCTCTGCAGCCCTTGCGTGGTTTGAGTTCTGGTCGCTCCAGGCCCTCTCCTTTCCTATGTAAATCTTTGCTGTAGAGATAGGTGGATTACAGGACCCAAATTTGAACATTAAGGGAGAAAGTGATCAATTTTTAAAGAAGGAACTAACTGAAAACTGCTTCCCTGAATAATTTTGCTGGGATTAATTTTATGGTCACATTGGACCAGGTGCAAAGCTGTTGTTTACCAGAGTCAACCTAAGAGGGCAGGTGGGAGGCTGGGAAGAGACAGGCCACATGGGACAGTACGTTTTGCTTTTTTATCTGGGTTGGTCAATTACACTTTGACTTTTGGAAAGCTTATTCCAAGTTTGTGGGAGCCTTAGCATATTATTTAGGAATTAAATAAGACTGTGCATCTCTTCTGATGGTGGGTGTTACTGAGGGGGACACATTTTGTCATGGGTCCCCTCTGGACGCGTCAGAGGGACCAGAGATAAGAGGAGATTCCTAAACACAAAATGTCCAGACTCAGAGGGGTCCAAGGGAAGAGATGAACATTAACCAAGTCTGTATGTGCTGGATGCCTGACATACATTCTTGATCCTTGGAACATCCAACTAGCACTTTTTAGGCCCATTTTATAGGTGCGGAAACTGACTTTCAAGAGGTATAAAAATAGGCCGGGCACAGTGGCTCACACATGTAATCCCAGCACTTTGGGAGGCTGAGGTGGATGGATCACCTGAGGTCAGGAGTTTCAGATCAGCCTGGCCAACATGGTGAAACGCCATCTCTCCTAAAAATACAAAAATTAGCCAGGTGTGGTGGCAGGCGCCTTTAATCCCAGTTACTTGGGAGGCCGAGGCAGGAGAATCGTTTGAACCCAGGAGCCAGAGGTTGCAGTGAGCACTCCAGCCTGATGGCAGAGTGAGACTGTGTTTCAAAAAAAAGAAAAAAAAAAAAGGTATAGAAATAAAGTAACCCACCTAAGGCCCCCACAAGCTGGTTAGGGGGAAATTTCCATCTCACCTACATAAAATATTGTCTCCTCATCAGATTGCTTTCTTTCTCCATTCCTTCCCACAAAATTTTATCTCCTTCCTTTTCCAGAAATATCTGTGTTCTGGTCTGAAACAATTTTGAACAGGGAGGTCTATTGGCCTTTAAGCAGCTAAGCCTCTAGAGCTATGCCTCTGGATTCAGGTGATCCAAATGTGGCTGACTTCACTCTATACTTAAAAATGGTAAAGATGGTACATTCTGCATGGGTATTTTACCTGAATTTAAAAATTCAGTGGAACTACCCCCATGATATCCTTTTTAAAAACTGTTTTTTAAATTAAAGTTTATCAGACATACAGAAATACACAGATTATAAATGTTAAGGTTTTTGTTTTTGTTTTTTTTTTGAGATGGAGTTTCACTCTTGTTGCCCAGGCTAGAGTGCAATGGCGTGATCTCAGCTCACTGCAACCTCTGTCTCCTGGATTCAAGTGATTCTCCTGCCTCAGCCTCCTGAGGAGCTGGGATTACAGGCATGCACCACCACACCCAGCTAATTTTCTATTTTTAGTAGAGACGGGGTTTCTCCATGTTGGTCAGGCTGGTCTCAAACTCCCGACCTCAGGTGATCTGGCTGCCTGGGCCTCCCAAAGTGTTGGGATTACAGTCATGAGCCACCATTCCCGGCCAAGTGTTAAGATTTAATGACTTAATAAATTGAACACACTTCTATAACTACTGCCCAGATCAACAAATAGAAACCCAGCTATATTCATTTTTTTTTTTTTGAGATGGAATCTCGCTCTGTTGCCCAGGCTGGAGTGCGGTGGCGCGATCTCGGCTCACTGCAAGCTCTGCCTCCCGGGTTCACACCATTCTTCTGCCTCAGCCTCCCGAGTAGCCGGGACTACAGGCTCCCGCCACCATGCCCGGCTAATTTTTTGTATTTTTAGTAGAGACAGGGTTTCACCATGTTAGCCAGGATGGTCTCGATCTCCTGACCTCATGATCCACCCGCCTTGGCCTCCCAAAGTGCTGGGATTACAGGCGTGAGCCACCGCGCCCAGCCAAAACCAGCTATATTCATTCTTAAGGTTCATTTTGTTTATTTTCACCAATGTGAACCTCTGGTTAGAAGTGTATTATAACTGTACATCCCAAATCCATATCTTTGCTGAGTAAAAAATTTTTTAAAAGTCTAACTGACCTATCATAATATTTGTCCCATCCCAACCCTGTCATGGCAGTATATGAAGAGCCCTGTAATGCTGGGCATTTACGGGTCAATAGTGAACAAGTTAGTCATTGATCAGCCCGTACAGATGGCCTGAGATGTCGGAGGGGGTGGGATACTCCCCAAAAGAGGTAAAATTGATTCCTGAGAGAGGTTAAGAGCAGAAAAGTCATGGAACTTTACAGCTCATCTCATAAATGAAGCTCGGGGAGGTTGAAGGGTTTGCCCATAATCTCACAGCGAGGAAGCTGGACCAGCAAGTGGCTTCTCCTGTACACACAGAGAGAGAGAGATATGTGCTATCTGAGACGTCCCACTGAAATGGGTTCTGACCAGGAAGGAAGCCACTGGCAAGAGGGCCTTGTTGGGGCCAGTGAGGTCACCTCCCAGGGTTACCACTTAGGGACACTGCCCGCTAGCTGTGGGGCTCGGGACCCCACATCCCAGATGCCCTTTGCCCCCCATCTGCTCTCTGCTCTTGAATGGGCTGCTGGTGAAGAGACACTGCTGTTCGGCCATCATGGTGTGTCGAGAAAGCTACTGGGTGAAACCAAGACCTGTCTGTGCCAGAACGTGTTGTGAGCGAGCGTCACCTCCCAGTGTGGCCTGTATTCTACTTGGACTACAGAGTCCAAGGTCTGAAGCCATCTGTGCCATCCACCAGCCACTGTACCTCAGGCAGGTCCTGACCCTAACAACCTCCGAGGGTTGCCCCGGTGTTCGGCTCTCTCATACCTGGGGGAAACATGGTGAACTGCAAAGCACTTCTTAATAACAATATCTAGCAATCCCTGTACTCCAGGCTCAGTGCCAAGTGCTGCACACACAACTCAGTTCTTCATGGGAAAGGGGCTTCTGTTATCCCCATTTTACAGATAAAGGGCCTGAAGCTCGAAGCACAGTAAGTGCTCGGGGTCACAGGGCCACTTCCATGATGGGGCCGTATTCAAACCATGGCAGAGTGTGTCCAAGTGACCCTGCCCAGCTGCCACTTATGACCACTCAGTCATTCAGTCATTATTTACTGACTACCTACTATGTGTCAGGCACTGTTGTAAGTGCTGGAGAGAGCTGAGAAGGAGCAGGCGAAGCCCACATCCTCTTGTTGCTGACATCCTTGAGTTGGGGTCCTTTGGGGAAGAATTCTCTTGGAGATGTGTCTTTTGGGCACTTTTAGAGAAAAGCCTGCTTCCTTTCCCCTCAAATTCCCTCCATATGGCTTGCTCTTGATCTTCAAAGCCCCCTAACGTCCCCACAGACTCCCCTGAAGGAGCTGGTGGCTGACAGCCTAGTGTCTCTGGGTCTGTGTATCTCCCTTGTGAGGACTGCCTGCACGGAGCAGTTCCCCAGCAGTCCGTTCCCTTCCGGGCCCTGGCCTCACCCCCAGCCTCCTGCCCTGTGGTTTCCCTGCAGCCCCCTTTCCTGCTGGAGGGGAGGGCAGGCGTCAGCCCCACAGCTGTTTGCTATTGAAGGACCCGTCTTGCTCCTGGCACACCTAGTCGGGCCAGCTGACACCACTCAGCCAGCCTGATAAGAGGCTCGGGGCCCACGGCCGCCCCGTTCACACGGCCCTGCCACCTCCTCGTGGCCTCGTGCCTGTTATTCTGTACATCTCCACACACAAAGGGCCCGGGTGCCGTTGCTGGCGCTCAGCTGCTGGAGTGGGGAGGGCAGGCAGCCGCGAAAAGCTTTTCAGAAAGGCCAGGGCGGAGGCAGGAGTCACCCAGGTGATCGGAGCTGTTCCCCCGGGACCCCAGCCCAGGCCCACAGTGAAAGGTTACTGCTAATTGGCGAGCTCCTGATGGGGCCGCATCTATTTAGCACTCCCCCCTCCCCAGAGACTTCCAGGATGGTCTTGG
The DNA here is from genome assembly GCF_000001405.40 of Homo sapiens. Taxonomy (NCBI): domain Eukaryota; kingdom Metazoa; phylum Chordata; class Mammalia; order Primates; family Hominidae; genus Homo; species Homo sapiens. The sequence goes on along the minus strand of NC_000020.11, from coordinate 32,528,235 downwards.
CACAGCGTGTGATTCAAGAGCTCCCCGCCCGAGTCTGGCACAATCTGTCTGAAATTGTGAACATGGAGCCTCTTGGTTTTTTAATTTGTATTTTCGTTGTCGCCGTTCTCTGCCCATTGTTGCTGGTAGATTTCATAGCTGCAGCCACCCTGACTCTGGCGTCCCCCTCCAGGGAGCCCCCTCGGTAGGCTCCCTCCCCTCCCCACCCCAAGACCCACTGTCGGAGGCATTGCCCGTCCTGACCCCTTGCCCCGGCCTCAGGGCCCAGTTCTCACCCCGCCATCATTCCTGACACTAACACAGCTTGTCCACCCTGTCGCAGGGGGCAGATGGCCTGTCGGAGCCAGAGGGCATCTCTCTGAAGCGGGTCGCTGTGGTGGAAGATTTCTTTGACATCATCTACTCGATGCATGTGGAGAGCTCAGCGGAGCCAGGCAAAGCCCCCAAGCACGCTGGGCAGAAGAAAACCTACCGAGCGGTGAGATTTCTGTCTCTTTGCCTCCACTGGCAGCCCCAGGCCTTGGCAGGAGGCCACGGGCTCCGCACATGTTGGGCTTGGGGGGCGGGGCAGGGAGCTGAGGCGTGATGAAACGGCCTTTGGGGATCTAGGGGGGCACAGGGCAAGGGCACGGCAGCCAGAGATGGCTCACAGGGCGAGGGGAGGGAATCTGTGGTCTGAGCACAAAGGAAAAGCAGGTTGAAGGGGGTGAGAGGGAGGGAAGGAGAGGGATGAGGGCAGGAGGCGCCCTCCTCTTCCCCGTTTCTGCTTCACTTGCTCCCACCCGACACCACCCCCAGCCCCTTGCAGCCTGTTCTGGGGCTGGGGTGCTGGGGACAGATAATAATCAGAGGAGCAAATGCCTTCATGGCATGGCATTTACTGCATGCCAGGCCTGTCCTGAGCTCTTCCTATGTGTGAGCTCATCCTGTGAAGTCAGGACTGGGAGTTCCCCAGGGGAAGTCGAAGGACCTGCTCCCCACCCTCCAGGAGATCACAATTGGATTTGGGGTGGGGAGGCTGAGAGCAAAAACAAGATACATGAGAAGCAGAAATGTCTCCAAGGCTCGCTTTGAGAGAGCAAGAACCCAGGCTCAGGGGCATTTAGCACAGGCACCGCCAGACACAGATGAGCCCGGGGGACTGTGTGGAGAAGGTGACACCTGTACTGGCATTCTACGCTTTGGGGAGGCATAAGGGCAAAAAAGGCAACCTAGGGGCAGGAAGCATCACAAATGCCAGGGAGGTGGAAATAGATGGGACTGGCCAGACCAGAGGCCCCTCCTCACCCTGCAGAGGGGCCTGCCTGTGTTCTGATCCATCTCCTGCTGACCCACATGTGGGCCTATCCACAGCTCATACATAGCTCTGAACCATTTGTCCAGTGCCCAGGGAAGCCAGTAAAGCCAAGCCCTTCATGCTCATTCAAGCCTTGATGCAGTCCTGTGACCGAGGCACTGAGGACCCATTTCACAGTTAAGGAAACTGGGACCCAGAGAATTGGGTCACTTGTCCAAGGTCAGACGGCAGCTGAGTTGCAGTCAGCCAGTGTCCTCCATGCCGACTTTCTCTGGAGCTTCTAGAGATATGCCCTTCTGTGGCTGGGCTTCCCCACCCAAGGCAGATGTGAAACTTCCCACCCCAAGTTCTTTGTATAAATAGCTTTGGACTACCGTGGAGGTGGCTGTAAAGTCTATAATTTCCCCTTATGGCCCATCTTTTTTTTTTTTTTTTTAATGCAACCATCCGGTTAGTCCTTGTCCTCAGAAAATGGCTTTTGCCCTAAATGGATTTTAAGGATGGACCCATGTGCCAAGAGCCTCAGAGAGGCAAGGTGTCTGCCCAGGAAGGCAGGAGATGGTGATGGTCTCCCCGCCCCTCCTGCTTCTCGGTCTGTGTGCTTTGGGAAGTGACTTGTGGGAAGGGAGTTCTGAGGGTATTTCCACCAGAGGATCATAGAAGAAGGAAGAGGCACCCAGGCTGGGGCCCACATGGGCCCCTTGGCACTGACAAGACCACATTTTCTCAGCATTAAATTTACCATTGTGGGTGGGGCATGGTGGTTGACACCTATAATCCCAGCGCTTTGGAAGGTTGAGATGGGAGGATTGTTTGAGCTGGAAGTTCAAGACCAACCTGGGCACCATAGCAAGACCCCTTCTCTTAAAAAAAAAAATTGGGGCCAGGCGTGGTGGCTCATGCTTGTAATCCCAGCACTTTGGGAGGCCGAGACAGGCAGATCACTTGAAGCCAGGAGTGTGAGACCAGCCTGGCCAACATGGCAAAACCCTACCTCTATTAAAAATACAAAAATTAGCTGGGCATGGTGGCGCATGCCTATAATCCCAGCTACTTGGGAGGCTGAGGCATGAGAATCACTTGAGCCCAGGAAACAGAGGTTGCAGTGAGCTGGGATCATGCCACTGCACTTCAGCCAGGGTGACAGAGTGAGACTCTGTCTCCAAAAATAAAAATAAAAAATATATTAAAAAATTCAGGCCTAGTGGTGTGTGCCTGTAGTCCTAGCTGATTGGGAGGCTGAGGCAGGAGGATTGCTTGAGGCTGCAGTGAGCTATGATTGTACTACTGCACTCCAGCCTGGGTGACAGAGCAAGACCCTGTCTCAAAAAGAAATAAATAAAATTCACCATTGTGCTGAGCAGTCAGCATGTGCTCTACACCAGCACTTCCTACACATGTATGAAGGTTGCATGCATGAAGCAGGTGCTGTTGTTACCTCCATTTTAAGATGAGAAAACTGAGACTCAGAGAAACACATAACCTGCCTGAGGTCAGTCAGCTGACATTCAGAGCCAGGCCACCCACCCCAGAGCCTGTGCCCTGACCACCACACATCCTGCCTCTCTGCAACCCTCCTGTGGTCAGCTAGTAAGCCCTATGACTTGCTGTTGTCCAGGCGGATGGGCTGGAGCCAGCTGGATCATGTGGTTTCCCTGGCCCCTTCGGTGTCCAGCATCAAGCCTCGTCCACAGGCACTCTTTGGGCGGTTTAGGAAGGCAGGGGTCTGCGGCCTCCATGCTGTGGGGAGGGCAGGGCTGAGCTGGTTCTGCCAGCACTTGCATCCCTGGGCCAAGCGGACATCCAGCCCTTTGCTCTGCACTTCCTGGCTTCTCGTCCATATGCCTGCCGCGTGCCCCACTTCCCGCTGCCCAGCCTGGAGCTGGCACATGACTGGCACTGAGCCAGCTGAGCTGCACACAGAGCTGGAATTTCAGCAGCAGGGCCAAGGCTGAGCTGAGCAGGCCAGGGCCCTCCTGCCGTGGGTGTGAGGCCGAAGGGGCTGGCACACCTCCCTCCTCCCCTACGTGCCTCCTCTCCTTTTCCCCTTCTCCTCCCCATCTGTCACCCTTCTCATGCCACCCTTTTCCTTTTTTGGGGGCAGGGGGTGGTGCCTGGATGCCTTTGTGCCCCTCTTCATCTGCTCCCATTTTCCTCGACCCATACCTAGCTCTTCAGCCCCACTCTGCAGACACGAGGCCCCCACCCATCCATGCCTGTGGAAGGAGCCCCCAAGGAAACCCCTGCTGATGGCTGCAGAGGGGCACAGCCTGGCATCACGGGGTACGCATCAAGCTCCTGGCTGAGGACTTTTTGGATCTATCTCTGTGTTTTGCCAACGCTGAATCCTCAGACTGCCTGACAGTCTCTAGGGCACAGGGCCCCTCTGGATTTTTCCAGGCCTAGGAGGGTACTATAGGAGTTAGGACTGGCAGGGCGGTGGCAGACTTTTTCAGTGCACTAAATGAGGCGTGTTATTTGGTAGGGAAAAGAGCTTTCTGGCATCTACTGCTGTCCACCCGTGGATCAGATAGGGCAGGCAATGAGCTTTCTGAAACTGGAGGTATTCGAGCTGGAGTTAGATGGCCATGTGCAATGGATAATGCAGGGATTCCCATTTCGAGTAGGAAGTCCCTGTCTCACTTAGCTTCTCAGTGTGACCTGAGGTGCAGAGGATCTCGGAGGTCTCTCCAGCACCAGGGTTTGAGGAAGGCTCCAGCTGGTTCTACAGAGTTTCCTGAACTCACACAGAGGGCTAGTCCTTTTTCCAAGGGGCCTTCCTGCTTTTCTGATTTCTGCACCCTTCTGGGTTGGAACAAGCCCTTTTGCTTCCTTTTTCCCTCCCAGGGTGCTGGTAGGTCAGATCGGGTTCCACAGTCCGGATCTAGCTGCCCAGGCCACTTTGGAGTTGGGGCCAGATGTGGTCAGCAGCTGCTCCAGGCCCACCACGTGCTAATCCACCCTCAGGGCAGAAGGAGGATCTTGTAAAGTGGTGCAAATCCCCCCAATTGGCCTCATCTGTCTTTGTTGGCCTCTGAGTTGGGGAGTGAAATGGGGCCTTGCAAGTCAGCGACTCTGCAAATAGCTCCTGCTCTCTCTGCCAGTGAAGTCCCTGTTTTTTACCACCAGGAAAAATGTGAAAGGCAAATTCACATACGGGACTCAGTGTCCAGGCAGGAGGCCCGGGGAGCAAGGCAGCAGGCAGCCCAGGGCAGCGGAGGGCAGTTGGGCAGGGACAAGGGTCCTGGAACTTCCCCTCCTTAGACACAGCAGCTCTGTCTTTATCTGTTTCATGTTTTGGGCTTCAGTGTATGAGTCTATTTCTAGAACAGGGTCTGCAGCTTAAATCTAAAACCATCTGAAAACCACCATCCTATTAACTAGAGCATCTGCTAGGATTGTCCTCCTGGTTTCGACTCATTCTGTGGTCCTGTGGCCTTGGGCATTCGTGCACTCAATCAGAAATGGAGGTCCCATTTCTGGTCCCAGGCAAGCCAGGAAGATGAATCAGAAGATGCCTGCTGAAGGTTGCAGGGGGAGGGTTTGTCATCCTCTATACAGGTCCCTACGGCAGTGCAGAGCTGGGCTGGACTCTGCGCTTTATTGACTCCCCAGGGAGCTCTAAGCCAGGCTTGCAGACAATCCAGCCTTGTGGGGCAGGGCTTCCCTCCCTGGCCCTCAGGCAGTTCCAAGGACTTCTCACCTGTCAGCCTTCTATCCTCCCCTTCCACCCATCAATGGGACCCAGGGCCAGAAGGTGTGTGCTCAGCACTCCCCTCCCTGTGGCACGCCAGCCAGCCTTTGCACACTGCTGGGGTCCCTGCCAAGGCCAGGATAAATGTGGCCACCACTCTACCCCTGGAGAGGGAGCCATTCCTATTCCCTCAGCTGGCCAGGCAGCAAGAAGGGCCCTGCCCATCCTGTGTGCAGCCCTCAGCAGAGCAGCCAGGCCAGGAGGACCCCCTGAGCCCTTTAAAAAATATTTCTCTGCCCATTGGCAGGTGAGCAGGCAAGCTTTGGGTAGCTTAGTAGGGCTGCCCTCATGGTAGGGACCTGGCCCTCTTCTCCCAGCTGACTGTGCAACCCTCCCCCGGGCCCTCCACTGAGCTCTCCTGAGGCCTGACCTAGGGTGCCACGTCTCAGGGGAGCCGAGGGGCATCTGTCGGCCCAAGTCAGCCACAGCCCTCTGCTCTGCCTAGCACACGCCCTTCCCTCCTGCACACTTGCTCCTGCAGCTGCCACCCTTCAGCCAGACATCTCTCTCCAGACCCAGCTGGCCTGAGAGGAACGTGCCCCCAGACTTCCAGGCAGCCCTGGGCTGCTCTGCTGAGGGCTGCACACAGGATGGGCAGGGCCCTTCTTGCTGCCTGGCCTACTGAGGGCACAGGAATGGCTCCCTCTCCAGGGGTAGAGTGGTGGCCACATTTATCCTGGCCTGGGCTAGGGATGAAGCTCTCTGTGTGCATGGCAGAAAAGCCCCATCCCTCGGACCTGACACCTGACAAGGACCAGCTGCATCCCTGATGTTGCTCTCCCATCCGCTGCTCCAGTCAGAGACACTGGGGTTTGCCCTTGTCCCTGACCTCCAGAGGAAGGCAATCAGACAGGGAATTTGGAAGGGAGATAACTCATCAAGGAGCCTGCCTGCTCCACAGAGCATCAAATCAGCTGAGAAATAACAATTGTGTCACCAAAATTAACTTCGCATTTGCAGCTGGCAAGAGTGGCCCCTGGACTCTGCCAGTGGGCTGAGCTGGAAGCTGTGCCTGAGCTGGTCCTCCAAGAGCCCAGCCACAGCCTGGGACACCCCAAGCCTTCTGCATCCCCCCACAACTCCACTCCCCAGCCCCGCCCTAGCCCACCTCTACCCTCCAGCCATCACAGAGATGGAGAAGGACATTCGTGCATTTCTAAAGGAGCAAACCCCTGCAGTTGCTGTGGGAAGGCGGGGCCAAGCGCAGCGCAGAGCAGCCCCTCACCCTTGGCCAACTTTCCCAGCCCGGCTGCGGGCTGCGGCGAGGACAGCGGAACGCTTGGGTGATGCTGCCCCTTAGTGGAGAGGTGCGGGAGGACCCAGGCTCCAGGAAGCACATGGAAAACCAGTAACTGGGCAGTCTCAGCCCAGGGAACCTGGGACTGAAGGGACTCTTTGGCCCCACCAGACAGCTAAATCAGGGTCAGTGGCTTTTCCAAAACCCAGAGCAAGAGGAAAGGGCTGGACACCTAGGCCCACAGCCACTTCTTCCCCACTCCCCCACCCAGCCCTTTTTTCATGTTCCCTCCCTTCTTTGTGTCTCTCCCCCAGCCCTCTGCATCCCTGTCCTCCTCCTCAACTAGGGGAGGCCTTCTGGAGGCAACTGTGGAGTGGTGTGACCTGGAACATGGGGTTTAGTCTGGCACTGCCTTGAAAATTCCTTGTGACCTTGGGGAGTCAGCTCACCTCTCCAAGCCATAGTTGCCTGGAACATGGGGGTCCTGCAGAGCCTGTCTAGTTTGAAAAGTCTGATGCCTGGTACTAGCCCTTCACAGCTCTTCCTAAGAAGGTTCTTGACCTGTCAGTGATCACAGGAGATGGCTTGTAGGACCTTTGGTTCTGTGTATGGGCCTGGGGCAGTGAATTTATCTGTGGGTCTCAGTCTATCCATCTCTAAGAGGGGAACTGCTCACCCTACGCTAGAGCAATGTTTGTAAGCCCATTTTTTTGTAGCAGCAATAAAATGTTCTGAGGAATGTTACTTATTAGAATATAGGTTAAAGACTAGATAATGTTTAAAGGGTTTGCTTTTTCAATTTTTAACCTCCTTTATTGCGATTTTTAAAACAAATGGTTTTCCACAAAAGTACTGTCTCATTGCCACAGCTGAGAATCCAGGACACCTGTCCCTTGCTCCTCAAATCCCTGACTTTCCTTGCAAGAGCCGAAGCACCTGCCACCAAAGCTCAGACCTTGGTGACCCCATGGCCAAGTTGCCTCCCCACAGATCCATATAACAAGCGAAGCTCTTCTCTCCTCCAGATCGCAGAGACCTATGCCTTCCTCCCGAGAGAGGCCGTGACCCGGTTCCTGATGAGCTGTACGGAGTGTCAGAAGAGGATGCACTTTAACTCCAATGGCCTGGAACCCAAAGGTAGCAGGGGTGGCGTGCTGGAGGGCTAGGGCGGGGGCCATCTAAGAGTGGACTGTCCCTGAAGACGCCAGCTTTTGCTGGCACAGAAAAGTGTCCAGCAGCTGTTGTTGCTAGTCCCAGAGGCCAGTATGGGTCCGTGGTGCTGCCCAAAGCGCCTTGTTTTGTTTCGTTTAACTTTTTTTAAATCTCAAATTTCACTTAAAAACCAACCATACAAAACAAAAAAGTGAACAACATGTTTCCCCTGCCTTGCAAGGCCCCGGCCAGCCCCTTTCCTCCCAGCCGGATTCCAGTTGGGAATGGCCAGCCTGCCCCGTTCTCAAAGTTCCATCCATGCCTCCCACTGCTTCTCCATGCACGAGGGTCTGGCCTGTACCCTCCCTGAGACGTGTGCATGCATCCTCCCACCCACATACCTGTTAATGATACATCTTCCCTGGTGCTTGTTTCCACCCTGTGCACACCCATGTGGCCTCTGATAAGTAAACCCACGGAGTACTGATGATAATTTTTTTTTTTTTTTTTGAGACAAAGTCTCGCTCTGTCGCCCAGGCTGGAGTGCAGTGGTGCGATCTCGGCTCACTGCAAGCTCCGCCTCCCGGGTTCATGCCATTCTTCTGCCTCAGCCTCCCGGGTAGCTGGGACTTCAGGTGCCCACCGCCACGCCTGGCTAATTTTTTTTGTATTTTTAGTAGAGATGGGGTTTCACCATGTTAGCCAGGATGGTCTCGATCTCCTGACCTCATGATCTACCCGCCTTGGCCTCCCAAAGTGCTGGGATTACAGGTGTGTAATCTGCACCCGGCCGACTGATGAGAATTTAAAATGACCAGGGCAGGCTGGGCACAGTGGCTCATGCCTGTAATCTCAGCAGTTTGGGAGGCTGAGGTGGGAGGATTGCTTGAGCCCGGGAGGTGGAAGCTGCAGTGAGCCATGATCATGCCACTGCACTCCAGCCTGGGTGACAGAGTTAGACCCCATCTCAAAAAACAATAAAATAAAATGCCCAGAGCACTTGTGACCACCAAAGGTGATCCCTTGGACTGACGTCCATGCCCTCCAGCTCTGTCCTGCCCAGTGAGACCAGCAAGGACCTCACTTCAGCACCCCCGCACCCCCTCAAACTGAACATCCCAGAGGCCTCCAGGAAATCTGGGGGCCCATCTGTTTGCAGGTGGCTTTGGCACATTGAGACGGCCCAGCACATTTGGCTGGTACAATTATAATGCTGCCCTGAGAAATGGTGCCCAGGTGGGCGATTTATCAGGGTTTCCAGGACTGCCTGGTGCATCATGCCAGCTCCCGGGCATCGGGCCTGTGGAAGTTGCTGAAGTCAGGCCCGAGGATGGAAACAGACTCGAATGAAGGGCGCGCCGTTTATCCGGGTGGCACTCAAGTAGCATCCATTGAATCTGGGGAAGGAAAAATCCACAGCAAAGCCTGAGCAGACAACAAAGGATTGGGAGCATGGGCGTCAAGCGGGGCTTTCTGCTTGTGTTCATTGTCCCTGACACACGTGAACGGCTTCTGACAGCAGCTGACTCACCAAATCCAGAGGCTTCCATGCCCTTGGGAGCCATCAGGCCACGGCTGTTTCATTGGGCACATGGGCCAACTTCAAAGCACGAGGGGCAGGAATGGATCTAGTTAATCCCTCATAAATGCTGGTTCCCATGTTAAGAACAGGGCTCCAGGGCTGCACTACCATTCAGCTGCTGTGTGTCCTGGGCAAGGGACTTCATCTTTCTGAGCCTCAGTTCCCTCATCTGTGAAATGGGGTTAATCAGAAGGCTGACAAGATATGGGTTAGTCCCTGTACCTGGCATTGGTGCAGGAAGAGAGAGCTGTGGCTGTTGCGGTTCCTGTTATAATGCTGGACACTCCCTCGATGCATGCCTGAGCCAGTGATCCTGAATGCTGCCACCCACGTGGGCTGCCCCTGGCCAGGCAGCAGCTGCAACCCCTGGGCCAAGACAGCATTTGGTACCTGCAGATGGGCTGGAGGGCTTTCCCTGCCCCACTCTCCACCCTGCCAGGGTTTAGGCCGCAGGGGCCAGGGGTGTGTGTCCTAGTGGTGACTGCCTGGTTCCTGCCCACCCATCCGCCTGTCCCCTCCCGTTCCTTTCCTCATTGTTTCCATAGCAACTGGCGGAGTCAGACACAGAATTGCTTGCCTGGAGGAACAGAGGCGAAGCCAAGAGGGGCTCCATTTGTGGGCTGCTCTGGGGTGTCTGAGGCGCCATCCGCTCCCCTCTCCTGCCACACATCCCACGGCAGTATGGAGGGCATTCCTCAGCTCCCTCCGCACTCCTCACTGATGGCTGCGAGGTCTCCCCATGCTGCAGGCTGCACTCCTCATCTGTGGGCTTCTGTGTGGCCAGGAGGGCAACGCGGAGCACAGCAGTGGCCTGCTTCCTCTCCTCGCTGGCTGCCACCACCACACCCCACCCCCAGGGAGGAGAAAGAGGCCAGGGAGCGAGGGAGCACACAGGCCAGGAGCCATCTAGAATATAAACCAGCGCTGAAGCCCATCTTTCCTGGGGCTTTCTTCAGGCTGGACAGAAGACTAGCACCATGCCCATTCTCACCCATCCTCCCCCATCCTCAGACACAATGCCATCTCTGTCCCAGGTAGCGGAGCTTCTCCTCGCAGGGAGAGGAGAAGACGCTGAGGGAGCAGGAGCCCGGGGAAGTGGCTCATGGAAGGGCATGGACTTGGAGTCAGGCAGGTCTGGTGTGCAGCCCTGTTCCCCACTGTGTGTCCCTCGGCAGGACAGGGAACCTCTCTGAGCAGTTCCTGATCATGACAGTTACAAAGATCCTATGAGGTGTTAGTCCTGGCTTACAGGTAAGGAAACTGAGGCACAGAGAGGTGTTGAGGTGAAATCATACATCCAAGCTCTCCCAGGAGATAGAAGTGCAGGCAGGAAACCATATTTTCTCATCAGCAAAGTGGAAGGAATGCCATCCTTTCAGGGTGGTGAGGGTGAGCCTATTGTGGAGGGCACCTGGGACGCAGCGGGTGCCTGGGGAGCATCACCCTGCCTCCTGCCTCCAGCCCGTGTCGTGGCCTACGGTGCCCAGACACAAGGCTGCCAACGTCCAGGTGGCCCAACAGAGACACAAGGTCTGCCTCTACCCAGGTAGGGTCAGATGTGGCCCCCAGCCCTGCCAGGCAAGCATGCTGGGTCCACACCCTGGACAGGGTTAGAAGGGAAAGGCCTGGTTTCTGGAAGCTGCCAGTGGAGAGTTTTGAGTCTGAAAGGCTCCACTGTCTGCTAAGTGGCCAGAGGCATTCGCCTCCTGGACCGTCCCCAGGTTCCCCTCCTCCTGCCCCCGCTGAAAGCCTGCAGATCCTATCTCTGCCCGCCATGCTGGCCACTGGATGCAGCTATAGCCTGCTGTCTCCCAGGCACCCCTGCATTGCCAGCCCTCCCTTCTCCCTCTCCAGCTGCTGGGAAAGCAGAGCCTGCACCAGCCCCAGAGGCAGACCCAGTGTTCCTGCCCCAGGAAGGTGGGAGGGAGCGGGGACAGGGGACAGGATGGAGGCTCCTTGAGGGCTGCTGGGAGAATGCCTGGCTTCCTGGCCTTATGTTAAAAAGAAAGAAAGGAAGTAGAGTGGCCTCCTTTGCTCAGCGGTCTCTCCCCAGCAGAGTGGGGGGGACCTGGACAGCCCCGTGCCCTCCCCCAGTGCCAGGAGCATAAACAAAGGAGGTGGCAGAGGATCAGGAAGTCTGAGGACGGGAAATTCCAGGACCTCCTGACTCCACACTCCTCTTCCACCAGTCCCTGAGGAATTGAGGACACAGCATGCAAAGTGGGTGTGACTTTAGACCAGCCCAGCTCTTGGGGAAAGGGACCTTTGGAGGCATGTCTCTGTTTTCTTTGATGTGACAAAATATTGTTGCATGGTTGCAAACTGGGAGTAGCCAATGGGCAGCAATGCTGACTCTTCCTCAGTAGGCAGGTTGTCCACTTGGGTCTCCACCCCTTCACAACCAGGCCCAGACTCCTCTGCGTGGTTTCCAAGGCCCTCCATGCCTGGCCCCTCCACATCCCTCCTTGCCAGCCTGGCCTCTCCCGGCTCTCACACTTGCTTGCTGTGGGACTGTGGGAAGGTTGCATAGCTTCTCTGTGTGCTGTTGCCTCATCTGTAAAGTCAGGGTATTACTATGAGCACCCACCTCACAAGGTTCCTGGGAGCCTCTAACCAGAGTGTGTGTGTGGAGCCCTAAGCAGGTGCTAAGGAGCTGTCAGCTGAGCAATAGTTCGTGAGTCCCATTCCGATTCTCTCTACGAAGCTTCCTTGAGCGACTCCGGGGCCCTCTCAGCTCTTCCTCCAGTGACCCTAATGGCCTCACGTCTGTCGCACCCTGCTCATCCTTCACCCTTGTTTCCTGAGCCTGGGGACTGCACCGCACACAGTTTCCTCACGTTCCCCACCCGGATAGCATGCACATCAGCACTCCTCGAAGACTTGCCAATTCAATGATTTACTTCCCCAGGAAGGAGATTTTTTTTTTTTTGCCACCTTTTGAGCTGGTCTCAGGCCTGGGATCTCTGTTTCCAAATTTGAACCCCCTGAGGCTGGCTGGTCTCACGGCCTCTCTGTGCCAGGCCCCCATCGTGCACACATCCTTCGACGCCCACCCCTGCCTGGAAGATCTTTCATACCTGTCTCTGGACTGAGAGTTCTTCGTGCTGTAGGTGAAAGCTTGTGAGCATCACCACCTGGTGTTCCCACGAGGAAATGAGGGTCACTCCCATGGTTGAGGTTTGCATTGGTTGATGAGTGCCATTGGCGCCCAGCTGCACAGGCCAGCAAACAACCTGGCTTGGCCCAAGCACCCACATCATTGATTATTCTCGAGACTGCATAAAACTAGGTCTAGTGCCTGGGCTGGTTTCCATTTTTCTTGGCAAAGAGATGTTGAAAGATCTCTCTGGGCTCTTGTTGTGCTTCTCTTGCCAGCAACCTGCTGGATGATTTAGGCTCCGTGACCCTTGCTAGCTCCTAGCTCACCCTTCTCCATGGCAACAGAGTCCAGCGGTGCCGCACTATCAGGTCATTTGTAGAGGCTCGAGTGTGGCACCACATGTTGACCATGGGCAGGGAGGGGGGCGGCGTGTCTCAGAGTCCAAGGAACCCACTTCTTCCTTGTTCACGTTTCCACCTGACCTTGTCCCCCATCCTGGCGTTTTTCTCACTGGTGAGCATCTGACTCTGCGGCTTCCACTGGCCCCTGCTCCGTCTCTTTCCCACTAAGCCCATCCTCTCAGTGTGCACCCACTTATTGAATCCAGAACACCTGGGGCTCCTCACTGCTGAAAAGCTTGCCTGCTTTTCTCCTCACCCTGGTGTGGTTGAGCTCTGACCTCCCACCCATGGCTCCATGGCTCATTTCCTCACCTAGAATGTCCCCTCCCTGCGGAGGTCCTCCCTCCCCCACAGAACTCTCATTCTGGAACTGCAAAATCAAGCATTTCACCTTACAGCAATGTAAGGTGTTCTCCGATGGGTTTAGGGGTCTGCTCGGGATGTTCCAGCTTCCCCAAGACCAGGACATCCTGCCTTCCTCTTCTGAGCTCTCTTGGCTTACCTGCAGGCACGGGAAGTGGTTTCTCATCTCTGGAGACACTGGGGTGGGAACAGGCCAAGGAAGACCTCTTCTCACGCCTCCCAAGGGTGCTGTCCTGGCCACTGTTTTATTTTTCCTAAGCCACACTGTCACTAGCTTTATTAAAGATACTTTCTCATGAACAGTCATGACACTGCAGTCAGGACAGGGGCGACCATCAGTAGAAGAACACAGCTCCCCGCCTCCGTGCCTCCCAAACCTAGACAATCCCTGCAACACCCAACGAAGGGCCGACCGGGGCCGCGAGAGTGCTGGGCGCCCTTCACACTCACCATGATGTCACACTCACCATGGTGCTTAACAGCTTCTCACCAGACAGCCTCCTCTTAGAGGAAACAGAAATGGCAGAATTCTCAGTCCAAACATCCACCTCTGAAAACAGGACCCACGGCTCTTCTGAGCGATACCATCTCAGTGTCATCACTAGACTGCCTGCCTGACATGTGGCATCCGACCCGGTCAATGTATGGGGCTAGGGTTTAAAACCCCACTGAGGTTAAGAAAGTCAAATCTAGGTTGACGGTGGGGTGGAAACCCATTTGAGTTTGGTATCGGTGCAGAGGATCCCTGCCACCCAACCAAGCAGAAGTCTCTCTTAAAAAAAGGAGGAGGAGGGGGTGGTTCCTTTCAGGCCAGTTTCTTAGCCATTCCATTAGTGACATTTACTTTTTTTTTTTCCTTGGGACGGAGTCTTGCTCTGTCACCAGGCTGGAGTGCAATGACATGACCTTGGCTCACTGCAACCTCCACCTCCCGGGTTCCAGTGATTCTCCTGCCTCAGCCTCTGAAGTAGCTGGGATTACAGGCATGCGCCACCATGCCCAGCTAATTCTTGAATTTTTAGGAGAGTGGGGGTTTGTCATGTTGGTCAGGCTGGTCTCCCAACTCCTGACCTCGGGTGATCCGCCTGCCTCAGCCTCCCTAAGTGCTGGGATTACAGGTGTGAGCCACCACACCCAGCCGACGTCTACTTCTTCCTCAAAGAACAAAGAATGAAACATTCTATATGTGACAGGGTAGCTTTAAAGAGCAAAACTAAGTTCTGCATTCCTGTAAAACTTTATTCAAAATGTTATTTGATCTATAAAGTCACCAGAAGTACACAGCGTCAAAGAGGACCCCCATCCTCTAGGCCCCAGCTATTCCGGGTCCCCACCTTTTCTGCAGGGCTGTTCCTATCCTTGCCAAGCAGGAACTTCCCTTGTCCTCTTTGGGTAACTTCACCGCTTGTTGGCAGACTTTTTTTCCTTTTTAAATTATGGTAAAACATTTACAGCACAAAAACTTGCCTTTTTAATAATTTTGTTTGTTTGTTTCTGTTGTTGTTGTTGAGACACAGTCTCTGTCACCCAGGCTGGATCGCAGTGCTGCCTCAACGTCCTGGGCTCAGGTGATCCTCCCACCTCAGCCTCCCGAGTAGCTGGGACTTCAGGCACGTGCCACCACACCCAGCTAACATTTTTACCTTTTAGTAGAGACGAGGGACTCACTATGTTTCCCAGGCTGGCCTTGAACTCCTGGGGTCAAGCAGTCCTCCTGCCTCTGCCTCCCAAAGTGCTGGGATTACATGCGTGAGCCACCGTGCCCGGCTTAATCGTTCCATTTTAAAGATATTATATTCACACTGTTGAGCAATCATCACCACTATCTATTTCCAAAACTTTTTCATCACCCTAAACAGAAACTCTGTACCCATTAAGCAATAACGTCCCATTCCCTCAGCCACCAGTCCCCAGTAACCTCGAGTTACTTTCTGTCTCTTTGAATTTGCCTATTCTAAGTATTTCGTGTAAGTAGAATCATACAGTGGTTGTCGTTTTATGTCTGGCTTCTTGCCCTTGGTATCGCGTTTTCAAGGTTGCAGGGACCCTTTTGGGCTATGGCTCTTGAGGGGCAGGTATTATAAGTCACCCCCGGATATCCTCTGGTCCTCCTGGACCTCGGCCCTGTCACCCTGCAGCCTGTCTCTTGGGCCTCCTTGTGATGGTAGAGGGCACTTGGTCTGGAAGTTGCTCCCACTTTTCCTCACGCTATGGAAATCCCAGCCCATCAGTGGGACTATGTACCAGGGGCACCTTTTGATTAAAAGGCTGGGGCAAAATGAATCTGGCCTGAAGTCCTTGGAAGAAGGAGGAGGAGGCCAGGTAACAAGTAATTGAAACAATTCCTACAGCAGCTTGGTCAGAGATTTTAATGGTTATCAAATTATGTCCCTACCTTTTAATTTCTTGTAATCTGTTCCAAAAAGGCAAGAAATAAGATCAGAAATACGGAGCAATATTTATGCACAAAGATGTCCCCTGCAGTGTTGTTTATAATAGCCCCAATGGGAACAACCTAAATAGCCAATCGTTAGAGAATGACTTAAGCAAATTATGGTAAAATATTACATGGCCATAAAAATTCTACTTACAAAGCAAAATAAGATTCTTGATGTTGGGGAAAATACCTATGACAAAATGTTAAGGAAAAAAAAACTTTTTAAAAGCAGACTGGAATTCTCTGTATGCATTATGAGATCATGTGTAAAAAAGAAAAATCACAGGGAAAAAATAAACAGAAGCATATGCCAAGCTGCGTGGTGCAATTATGGTTTTTAAATTTTTTCTTTACATCTTTCTGTACTTTGCAAATTCTCTGCAAAAAGAACATGCATCACTTTGATCTTCAGGACAACAAAGGAATAAATGGGAGGAGAATGTTCCTCTGCATATGATGAAGGAGGAACCAGAATTTGGGGGCTACTGAAGGCCTGGCTCAGACCTGGGAGGCATAAGGCACCTGAGGATGTTTTTGGGGGATGCTATGGGGTGGCGGGATTGGGTGAGGTGAGAGTGGCATGTGTTCACCTGGAAGATAACTGACTTAGACAGTGGTTGGAAACACAGATGCCTTCAAGGGTCTGGCAAGTATCATAATTGATACTTGCAAATGAGCAAAGCTGTGCAATATGATAAGGAGTGGTGGGGACTGTGGCAAAATGGGAGCCACACACCCTGTCTAAAAGAAGTGGCTGCTGAAGTGGCAGTGGTTGCTTGCCTTCGGGAGTGGGGGCCCCATGTGGCCAGACCTTATGTTCTTCAAAGAAGCCAAAAATTCCTATAAACGTGTGTGTGTGTTGTGGGGGTGGGTTTGCTGGGTTTTTTTGTTTGTTTTTTAGAGATAGATTCTCACTCTGTTGCTGAGGCTGGAGTGCAGTGGTGCCATCACAGCTCACTGCAGACTGCAGCCTTGACCACCTGGCCTCAAGCGATCCTCCCACTTCAGCCTCCTATGTAGCTAGGACTACAGGCACACACCACCACGTCTGGCTAATTTATTTTATTATTTGTAAAGACGAGATCTCCCTGTGTTGCCCAGGCTGGTCTCGAACTCCTGGGGCCTGTGTCCCCTCCTGGGGCTCAAGGGATCCTCCTGCCTTGGCCTCCCAAAGTGCTGGAATTACAGGCATGAGCCAGCACGCCCGGCCTCATTGTTTTTTAACGTGTGAAATCTCTAAATAGAACACTGGCATTTAATAAAAAAAAAATATTTTTGACACCATGCAGTCCACATCTCTGGGCCAGATGTGGGTGAGCCACAGAGTCTGCGACCTCTGACCTGTCCCTTCTCCTCCAAGGTGGCTTCCTCTTCCACGGGCTCTGTTAAATGCTCCATGTGGGCAACAGGCCCGCAGCACAGACTGAAAGGGCTTTCCTTTTGTTCTTTCTGCCAGAAAACGAGCCTCCATCTCCACTGGTCTCTGGGATTATTGATTACAACATGCCCCTCACCTCCACCTACCTGAAGCAGATGAAGCTTCGAGTGATGAATTCCCAGGAGCAGGTAAGGCGGCCGTCTCCCCTCACCCCACCTGGAGGCGTCCTGACTTGCCTGGCGGTGGTTGATTCTTTCCAAGACTTGGGGCCACAGCTTGTGTAAACACACGGGAAATCAAAGAGGCCCTTATCTGGTTATCTGGGTTGTCCAGGCGGAGAGGCGGGAGGCAAGAATGTGTTTCTCGTGAGAGGGTCTCCTGTGCAGACAGCCCTGCAGGTCTTCAGGGAGAAAACTTTCCCCTTGGGTGGGCTCGTGGGAGGAGGGGGAGGAGGGGACGTGGAAGGGAGGGAGCCGCAGCCCTGGCCCCTGGAGTTGTTCTTTCTCTGCTCTGCCCTTTATCGCTGGCCTCTTGCCACCTTCCCCCAGGGAGGCAAGAGAGAGTAGCCGCCTGCCTGTGGCCTCTGTCACTCTTGGGGCCCAGAGGACTAGGGGATAGTCCTTGGAGGGTGGACCTGGGGCCTCCTGGCCGTCCAAGCCTCCCCAGCTGGGGTTTGCCAAGGGCCGTGAGACACCATGGAAACAGGCTATGAAAAGAAACTCCCTCTCGCCTGCCTTCCCACACAGTCCACCTCCTAACCCTTTGCAAAGCACGTAGCCTGACTGTCTTTCAAAGAAGGACTAGGTGAGTTCCCCTCCACCTCCACCCCCCAACCACTGCCTAAAACCAGGGTAATCACTTCTTGCCTTCAGCTTGGAGTGTTCTCATCTCTTATGGCATCCAAACCCATCATGTCCTTGTGGCCCTAGCAGGGGATTGGATTCTTTCTCTCCCATTGAAAGATGGGTCAGAACTCGAGTCTGTCTTCCAGCCCTGGATGCAGCTGTCCTGCGCTGCCGGTCTCCAGCCCTGGGTGCGGCCGTCCTGTGCACTGGTCTCCTTGACAACCCCAGCATGCGTGCTCCGAGGGGGTGGTGGCTCCTTGGCCAGATCCATGGTGATGTAGCAGGACACGTGCAGGTGGCATCTTGGCCCGTGTTACCCAGTTTGAGGACTTCAGCTGGGTGGCTTGAACCTGCAGAGCTGCGTATTCCTTTCAAGAGGCAGGGCGGCCAGCCCTCCTGTCCCCACACTGTGCCCAGACCCTAGAGGCTGTGTGACGTAGGCTTTGCTCTGAGCGGTAGAACTGTTTGCTAGAACTGTGTCTCCCACGTCTTCTCATCTGAGCGTGCCTGTTCTGGGATGGTTGCATCTCCAAAAACTTCACATCATCACAAATAATTCCAGTGGGGAAAATGGGCTTGGGTTGGGTTTCCAACGCACAAAGGCAAAGTAGTTTGAGCTGCAGGAGTGTCGGTAATGAGGGTGTTGCTTTTGTTGTTGGTTATAGAATCCCAGCACCACTGTGCAGCCTCTGCATTAGGTCTCCTCTCACTGCCACTGAAGAGCAATCTGTGGCCTTTCTTTCCTGTAGCCATCCTCACTGTCTCCGGCACCTGGCTTCGTAAACACTGTTATCACCGTGCTCATCTGTGCCCATGAAGAATGAAGCACAAAACCGCACAAACAGCCGGAAGCACAGCCCCCTGGTTTTGTTTCATACAGAATGGCACTAAATCCAGGTCACCACTAGAACCAGTAGTGGTCAGTGTCGTGCAAGTTGCGATCTCTCACTAACAAATCAGATATTTGATCTGGTTAAAAATCCTAACTGTATCTTCACTTGCGTCAATGGAAGGAGGGGAGTTAAGACTATGGGTTAGGTGCTTTAACGAGGATTCAGTCATTCCACAAATATTTATGGAGCTCTGTTCTGTGAGCCAGGCTCTGAGGATTTACAGAAACAGCAGTACCCCTAGATTTTCTTTCTTTTCTTTTTTTTTTTTTTTTTTTTTTTGAGGCAGAGTCTCACTCTGCCACCCAGGCTGGAGTGCAGTGGCCCAATCTCGGCTCACTGTAGCTTCTGCCTCCTGGGTTCAAGTGATTCTCCTGCCTCAGCCTCCCGAGTAGCTGGGGTTACAGGCACCTGCCACCACACCTGCTAATTTTTTGTATTTTTTGTAGAGACAGGGTTTCCTCATGTTGGCCAGGCTGGTCTCGAACTCCTGGGCTCAAGCAATCTGCCTGCCTAGGCCTCCCAAAGTGCTGAGATTCCGGCTGGCATCCCTGTATTTTCTTCTGATCTAGGGGAGACAGACACCAGCCAGAGGATCCCACACAAATGCCCAGCTCACAGCAGGCAGTGATAAACAATGGAGGAAGTGATCAGTGGGGCATTGCCATGGTGCAGAAGGACACGTGGCACTGGGGGTACTTAGGGTGGGCTTGGAGGGTGGACTGAGGCAGGGGTCAGGGAAGCTGTGCCTCAGAAAGGGAGCTTCAGCTGAGAGTGGAATCTGAGGGGAAGAGAGTTCCAGGCCAAGGGAACAGCTTATGCAAAGGCCTTGTGGCTCAAGGGAGGACCAAGCCTTCAAGAGATTTGAGGGGCTGGTGTGGCTGCAGCAGAGAATGTGAGGAGTTCTGTTGCCGAAGCAAAAGGGGGAAAGCACAGTGTTGTGTGCATAAGCACCTGATGAGTATCAGGGGATGAACCGAAGTTCATGACCTGAGATGCAGGAATTGCCCTGGTGAGGCTCTGGTAGCTCCCAAAGGAAGAAAGGACTGTGGAGGGCATTTGTCTCCAGGGTGTTCTGGGAGTCCAGCTGGGGCAGGGCCAAGATCGAGGTGGCCTCTGCTTACAGTGGGGCTGGATGTGACTTCCTCAGCTTCATTAGTAGTTTCCAGGTGGGGGCCTCTGAATGTAGCCAGCTTCTTCTGAGTGCGGCAGGAGATGGAAGTTCAGGCCTGCCTTTCACCACCTGGCAGGTGAAGCAGCCTCCCGCCTCATGCCTAGAGCCCTTCATCTGTCAGTCTTCAGCACTCCATGCAAAGCAATGAGCTCTCAAGGCCTCAGCCTCTTAGGCAGTGCCGTTATCCCTGTTTTATGGCTGGGCACGTGGCGCAAGATGAAATCACATGGCTCACCAGATTATTTATCTGCAGCATCAAGGAAGGGCCAAGGACCCAGCAGTCTTTGATTCTTCAGCTTGAGTTAGAACTAAAAATACATATACTTGAATTACTAGCTTATTTCCTGTGCAGCAAAGGCAGGCCAGGGTGGGCGAATGACTCCCCACCATCCAAACACAGCCGCAGGACAGGTTCGGCTGCTGTCAAATCCGATGTCCCAAGACAAGGCTTTGAGAGTGGTTTCATTTCATCACTCTGACCACAAAATGCCAAAAGAGGACATCTGTAGTGTTTGCAAATTTCTAATGCAGGTTACATGGAAAATAAATCCAATTCTAAAGTAACCGGTAACCAGGATAAATATTTTGTTTTATTTTATTTTATTTATTTATTTTGAGATGTAGTCTCACACCGTCACCCTGGCTGGAATGCAGTGGTGCGATCTCGGCTCACTGCAACCTCCACTTCCCAGGTTCGAGCATTTCTCCTGCCTCTACCTCCCGAGTAGCTGGGATTACAGGAGGCCGCCACTAGGCCTGGCTACTTTTTTTTTGTATTTTTAGTAGAGACATGGTTCACTCTGTTGGCCAGGCTGATCTCGAACTCCTGACCTCATGATCCACCTGCCTTAGCCTCCCAAAGTGCTGGGATTACAGGCATGAGCCACTGTGCCCGGCCAGGATAAATATTTTATTAATGCTGAACAAAGCTCTATATCTGAAAACTTTGGGTAAGAAAAAATCTCAATAATCTGTTTATTTCCAACATCACGTATCCAAGAGACAAATGGTAAGATAAGGAGAACATTTTCCCTCACTTTGCTTTGATCAAAATGCAGGTGGTGGGATTTTCTTGAGGGCTGGACAGAATCATGTTACTTGTAGGCCAGTTGTATCAGATTAATATGCTAGAAAATGAGTCCTTCTCTGCAGAGGGTATTAGATAATATGAAAATTCAATAACAAGATTCACAGAAAGAAGAAAGATTCTTCTTGAAGTCTGGTTCAGTGCACCCAATATTTATAGTGTCCTCAATGTACAAGGCACCGCTATGGGGGTTAGACTCCACCCTCTCGGCACCTCCAGCCTAAGACACAGACCCCAAGAGCTGTCATCAAAGTGGCCACACTGAGCAGAAAATAGTGGAGTGTGGTCTGATCAAAGAGTTTTTTTATTTGGGAATACTCTTAAAAAGATATAAAATGGAAATTGTATTTAGTTGCACAGAGGACTGAGCCATCTTCTTGGAAGGGGCAGGGAAGGAAGATTTCAGGCCCCTTGTAGAAATTAGCTGTGGAAGCAGAGAGACAACTGTGCTCCTTCTCCCACCCAGAGGAAGCCGAGGCCCAGAGAGGCTCAGGGCTCACCTCTGGAGGACTGTGGGCACCTCCCTTGCCTCCCTCTCTGCAGTTCCTGGAGCAGAGCTAATGTCCCGCTAATGGTTTTAATGGTCCTCACAGCAGTGTGTGAAGTGGTGCAGCTCCATTGTCTGAGCCCACGTGATGGAGGTTCTAGCTTGCCCCCATTAACCTCTGCCTCCCTCTCCTCTACTGTTCTGTCCTGGCCCAGAATTTTCCTTGGGTCCTGGAGGGCAGGTGAGGAGGAGCAGACCCCTTCACAGACAGTGAGCTCTTCTTAGTAGAGGGGACAAAACAGCAGCCACAGAGCTGTCACCTGGGACAGAAAACAGAAGGGGCTAGTGCCAGGAAGTTCAGAGGCACTGGCTTATTTATTTATTTATTTGGAGATGGAGTTTTGCTCTTGTTGCCCAGGCTGGAGTGCAATGGCGCGATCTCGGCTCACTGCAACCTCTGCCTCCTGGGTTCAAGCGGTGCTCCTGCCTCAGCCTCCTGAATAGCTGAGATTACAGGCACGCACCACCACGCCCGGCTAATTTTGTATTTTTAGTAGAGATGGGGTTTCTCCATGTTGGTCAGGCTGGTCTTGAACTCCTGACCTCAGGTGATCCGCCCTCCTCGGCCTCCCAAAGTGCTGGGATTACAAGTGTGAGCCACCGTGCCGGGCCTGGCTTATTTTTAAAATGCCTGGCTTGGGCAAGCAGAGAGGGCCTGGGTGAGGGAAGCTGAGAGGTAACAGCTGGAGCAGGACCTGGGGCCAGGGGAGGCTGGAGCCAGTTTGGGGAACAGAGGAGAAGGAGGCCAGGACTCCGAGGAAGCCCCCTCCTTGGAAGCCAGGCCCAGGAGAGAGCGCTTCCTCAGTCAGCACTAGGGATCAAGGTTCAGATTTCCAGCAGGAACTTTCTCAGGCTTCCATCCCCCTAAATGGAGAAGGAAACAAGCCCACCCTGAAAAACTCTCCACATTCATTTTTTTAAGAAAACTGTGATAAATATATAAAACCTAAAATGTGCCATTTTAACCACGTTTAAGTATATAATTGAGTGGCATTGAGTATATTCACAATGTTGCACAACCATCACCAACTATCTATTTCCAAAATTTTTTCATCACCCGAAACAGAAACTCTGTACCCATTAAGCAATAATTCCCCTTCCTCCCCTCCCCCAGCCCTGGTAACCTCTATTCTGCTTTCTCTCTGTGCAGTTGGCTCTTTTAGGCACCTCATGTCAGTGGAATCAGATGTCCTTTTGTCCTTTTGTGCATCATGTCTTCAAGGTTCATCCATGTGGTAGCATGTGTCAGAACTTTATTCCTTTTTGTTAGTTTTTTGAGACAGGGTCTCACTCTGTCACCCAGGCTGGAGTGCAGTGACACGATCACAGTTCACTGCAGCCTTGCCCTCCCGGGCTCAATCTGCCCACCTCAGCCTCCTGAGTATCTGAGACCACAGGTGAGCACCACCACATCTAGCTAATTTTTGTATTTTTTTTTGTAGAGATGTGGTTTCGCCATGTTGTCTGGGCTGGTCTGGAACTCAAGCGATCTGCCCATCTCAGCCTCCCAAAGTGCTGGGATTACAGGCATGTGTGCTATTGCGCCTGACCAACTTTATTCCTTTTTATGACAATAATATTTCATTGTATTAACCATACATTTTGTTTATTGTATTTGTATTAACCACATTTTGTTTACTGCATTTATCTGTTCATGGACATTTGGGTTGTTTCCACTTTTTTGGCTAACTACATTTACTTTTTAATCATTATCTTTTCTCTTTCTTATGAACCCTCTCAATCTCCCCCCTGCCCAGAAAGACCCCCAAAATATGGGCAGACACAAAGGAGAAGGAGTGTTAATGGGTTACTGTGAGAGACTGTCACTTACTCAAACAGTGCTGACTCATGGGGTTCTTACCATGGAGAACCCAAGAGTACTGACTTAGACAACCTGTTTAAGTCTAACTGACTTAGGCTCCATGTTTAGGAGCCTGATAGCAGTGATGATTCCCTTCTTTCCTTCCTCAGGCTGCCCTGCAGCCCAGGTGAACTGGGAGTTCAGAGGAGTAATAGCAGAATGGAAACATGGCCTTGTCTCCTGCTGTGGCTCAATGTGTGTGACCTTTGATGGTCTCTTAAAGAAGCAGAGGTGGCCGGTGCAGTGGCTCACGCCTGTAATCCCAGCACTTTGGGAGGCTGAAGCGAGTGTATCACAAGGTCAAGAGATCGAGACCATCCTGGCCAACATGAGGAAACTCCATTTCTAAAAATACAAAAATTAGCTGGGCATGGTGGCACGTGCTTGTAGTCCCAGCTACTCAGAGGCTGAGGCAGGAGAATCACTTGAACCTGGGAGGCAGAGGTTGCAGTGAGCAGAGATCATGCCACTTCACTCCAGCCTGGCGACAGAGCAAGACTCAGTCAAAAAAAAAAAAGCAGCTGCAGAGGTTTTGAGATGTTTTTTTCTTTCTTTCTTTCTTTTTTTTTTTTTGATGGAGTCTCACTCTGTCACCCAGGCTGGAGTGCAGTGGCACGATCTTGGCTCACTGCAAGCTCCATCTCCTGGGTACACACCATTCTCCTGCCTCAGCCTCCCGAGTAGCTGGGACTACAGGCGCCCGCCATGACACCTGGCTAATTTTTTGTATTTTTATTAGAGACAGGGTTTCACTGTGTTAGCCAGGATGGTCTCGATCTACTGACCTCGTGATCTACCCACCTCAGCCTCCCAAAGTGCTGGGATTACAGGCGTGAGCCACCACGCCCGGCCTCTGAGATGTTTCTTTAAAGTTAAAGAGTAATCTCCATGGACTAGAAATAGAATGTAGAACTTCTAAACCAGTAGAGTGAATAAAAGAAACACAGAAAACTTAATCAGTCCAGCAAGAGTGATTACATGGGGACTAAACGAAGAAACCACAAAAAAGAGATTTATGTATACATATAAAATAAATATAAAGGAATATGATAAATGTATATAATAAATTACATAAAGTAACATAATACAAACAACACCAAACTACTAAATATAAAAAATGTGAATGGGTTAAATTTCATTACACAGTATCATAAAAAGCTCAGATGGGCCTTCTTAAATGGCATTGGGTATTTACAAAAGACATTTATCAAAATGACACAAAAAGGAAAATTAAAAAAGAGGGAGTAGTGCTATTAATGTTAAATAAATGTTCAAGGCAAAAAAAAAGCATTAAGTAGGGCAAAGTGTGATATTTTATGATGATCAAAGACAGTTTCCCAGTGACACTCCAGACCTTGGAGGTCTGCCATTGGGGAGGTGAGGAGGGCTGTTAAGCTTTGCTGTAAGAGGCAGAATCTTTCTAGCTCTCAGCATATCTTTGCCGTCTCCACTCTCTTTTCACCATTTGCAGATTTTGCTACTGTCTTGGAATAGCCATTTCTCTAGACTGTTCAAACTTTGAGCATCTGTGTCTGCTCCTGAAAATGTGCATGGACCAATAAGTGGGGTAGACCCTGTGGCATTTGTGAGGATATGGGGTCTGCTGCTTTGGCTGCCTAGATTTTAGTCTGCCTCATTCTCTCCCCATGGGGCTCTCCCACTGAGGCCACCACTTCCCTCTCAGTTCCCAGCCTCCCGAGCTTCTACCCATCCCACCAACTGTCTTCACTACTCCCAGCCTTGCTTGTCCGCTTCTGGCTTCTTTCCTTTGCTCCATCTATTACCTCCTCTTGTTGTGTAGCTGAGCTGCAGGGGCCTAACCTGCCACCATGAGAGCACGGGAAAGGCCTGAAATGCCATCGACCACATTTTCAGTATCTGAGAATCTATAGCCCAAACCTTCATCCTGTCTCAGTAAATTTCTGGCCCTGTGGAAGGTTTATGCTGCAGCAAGAAAACAAAAGCAGCTGAAATACTGTCCTTGACCAAGGCTGCTGTTGGGATTTCTCTAGGCAGAGGACAATCCTTGGAGCATTTCTGCTGTGAGAGGACATACAGTTGGAGAAGCCGCTGTGAGCTTCTACCTTGTGCCCCCAGACCTTCCACCGCAATCCCAGGGCAGCTCACCTACAGAAATCACTTCTGGGTGGCCCTTTACCCTTTTTTAACTTGTTTTGATTTCTTTGCATTTATTTATTTTTTATGTTTATTTTTTATTTTGAGATGGAGTTTTGCTCTTGCTGCCCAGGCTGGAGTGCAATGATGTGATCTCGGCTCGTTGCAACCTCTGCTCTCAAGTTCAAGAGATTCTCCTGCCTCAGCCTCCCGAGTAGCTGGGATTACAGGCCCCGGCCACCACTCCCGGCTAATTTTTGTATTTTTAGTAGAGACGGGGTTTCACCATGTTGGCCAGGCTGGTCTCGAACTCCTGACCTCAGGTGATCCACCCGCCTCGGCTTCCCAAAGTGCTGGGATTACAGGGGTGAGCCACCACACCCGGCCTGCATTATTTTTATTTTTATAGATAGAATACTTTTTTTTTTTGAGATGGAGTCTCACCGTCACCTAGGCTGGAGTGTAGTGGCGTGATCCTCA
Organism: Homo sapiens; assembly: GCF_000001405.40. Taxonomy (NCBI): domain Eukaryota; kingdom Metazoa; phylum Chordata; class Mammalia; order Primates; family Hominidae; genus Homo; species Homo sapiens. The sequence goes on along the minus strand of NC_000020.11, from coordinate 32,502,535 downwards.
CTGCAGCCTCCGCCTCCCGGATTCAGGCATTTCTCTTGCCTCAGCCTCCTGAGTAACTGGAATTACAGGCGCCTGCCACCAAACCCAGCTAATTTTTGTACTTTCAGTAGAGACGGGGTTTCACCCTGTTGGCCAGGCTGATCTTGAACTCCTGACCTCAGGTGATCCGCCTGCCTCGGCCTCCCAAAGTGCTGGGATTACAGGCATGAGCCACCACACCCGGCCTCTAGAATACATTTTTTAAAATCATATAGAAAAATAGCAGACCCTGCCCCAGCCTCCCCACTTCAATTTCTACTCCCTAGGGACAGCCTCTTTTCTTTCTTATGTTTTAGCTGTCTCTTCTGGTATTTAACTCCTATTTTGGAATAACCTGCTTATACTATAAGTTCTTGATTTTTCAATTGGGGCTTTTGTTGTTGTTAATTTCTTGCTGTAGGAAATAAGTATTTGCACTCTTACACCCTCTCATAAATACACTTATTATTTCTCCTTCCTCCATCCTGCAACATATCTATACCTCTCTATTTAGATAAATTGCTATTCATTGTTTATATTATTATGACTGTGTGCATATTACTCATAGCTGACCCAATTAACATATGCTATGATTACATTTCCTTACATTTCCTTTCTTCGGATTCCCCAGAGTTAGTCATTGCCTCCTTTTCCCCATCCGTAGCTCTCTCTCTTTTGATATTGCCTATGCTGTGTGTGTTGTCATTTTTATTTTTATGTACTCAGATGTATCAATTTTTTCTTCAAATCGCTTCTGCATTTGAGTCTTAAAAAGGCTAACTCCACTCCATCCCCCATGTTTTCTTTTAGTATTTTTATGTTTTCATTTTTTTTTTGATAGACTATTTTTGAGAACAGTTTTAACTTTACAGAAAAATTGGGAAGATAGTACAGAGTATCCACATTGCCCACTCCTCGACACACAGTTTCCCGTATTATCAATGTCTTATATTAAGGTGATACATTTGTTACCACTAATGAACCACACTGATACATTATTGTAAGTAAAGTCTACAGTTTATTTAGATTCCTTTAGCTTTTACCTAATTTCCTTTTCTGTTCCAAGATTTCATCCAGGATACAACATTTAATTTTCATTGTAACATTTAATTCCATTTAATTGTCATGTCCCTTTAGTCTTCTTTGGGCTTTGACAGTTTCTCAGACTTTCCTTGTTTTTGATAACCTTGACAGTTTCGAAGAGTACTAGTTGTGTATTTTGTAGGATTTAGAAATTTGACATTTTTCTCTATATAAAACCGGGGTTATGGGTTATTAGGAGGAAGACCACAGACATGGAGTGTCATTTTCATCACATCCTGTTAAGGGTCCATAATATCAACATGATTTAGGACTGTTGCCATTGGCCTTGATCACACCTGGTTGAGATATTGGTTGTCAGGTTTCTCTCCTGTCAAGTGACTTTTCCCTCTTTCCACACTGTGCACTTGGGAAGGAAGGCACCGTGTGCAGCCCACACCTGAAGAGTGGGGAGTCATGTTCTGCCTTTTTTAGGGTGAATTATCAACGTAAATTATTTAGATTGCTTATGCATAGGAGATTTGTTTCTCCTCCCCCACTTATTAATTTATTCAGCCATTTATAGAAGTCGAGACTCATAGCTGTTTATTTTATGCTTTGATGATCATTCAATACTTCTTCATTTTGTTGTACAAATTGTTCTAGCTTTGGCCATTGGAGCTTTTTCAGTTGTTTCCTGTGCTCTTTTGCCATACCTCATTGGTGTTTGGGGTTTTTGTTTGTTCGTTTCTTGTTTTTTAGTGCTTCTTTGCTTTCTGGCACTGTAAGACTCCAGGCTCATCTTGCATATTTCCTGCCCCAATCCTGGAATCAGTGATTTCTCCAAGGAGCTCTGATTCCTTTTATTGGAAAACCATATTAAAAACCAAAATATCGGATCGAGACCATCCTGGCTAACACGATGAAACCATGTCTCTAGTAAAAAAAAAAAAAAAAAAGAAAGAAATACAAAAAAATTAGCTGGGCGTGGTGGCAGGCGCCTGTACTCCCAGCTACTTGGGAGGCTGAGGCAGAAGAATGGCATGAACCCGGGAGGCGGAGCTTGCAATGAGCCGAGATTGTGCCACTGCACTCCAGCCTGGGCAAGAAAGCAAGACTCCGTCTCAAAAAAAAAAAAAAAAAAATCTGGCTGGGCATGGTGGCTTACACCCATTATCCCAACACTTTGGGAGGCCAAGGCAGAAGGGTCTCTTGAGTTCAGGAGTTCAAGACCAGCCTGGGCAAACCTCATCTCTATATATTTTGTATAAAACAAAACAAAAAAACAAGATCTGGGCACTATGTGTGCCCATTGGTACTGAAGTATCCTTTCTTGCAGGCTCTTCCAGCTGACAGAGCAAAAAGCATACATGTTTTTATTTTCATTTTTTATATTTAATCTTTGATCCATTTGGAGCTTATGCTGACGTATTCTGAGATACAGATTCCGCTTAACCCTTTTGTCTCAGCATCATTTGTTAAATACTCCATTTTCCCCCACTGATTTGAGATGACACCTTTAAAACTTACTAAGTTTCCATCCAAAACAGAATCTACTTCTGTTTGGTCCACTGGGCTCCTTGACTATTCATGTAGCAGCTACCAAACTGTTTTAAGTGTGAAAACTTTATCATATGTTTTAATATCTAGTAGGAATTGTTCCTCTTTTGTTGGCTTTCTTTTTAAAAGTTTTGCTGGCTTGAAAAAAGGCATTACTTTGAAAAAAATAATTGTTCCTTTTTTTTTTTTTTTTTTTTTTGAGACAAGGTCTCCCTCTGTTGCCCAGGCTAGAGTGCAGTCGCAAAATCTTGGCTCACTACAACCTCCGCTGCCCAGGTTCAAGCAATTCTCCTGCCTCAGCTGACTGAGTAGCTGGGACTACAGATGCCTGCCACCATGCCCGGCTAATTTTTGCATTTTTAGTAGAGATGGGGTTTCACCATGTTGGCCAAGCTGGTCTGAAACTCCTGGCCTCAAGTGATCTGCCTGCCTCAGCCTCCCAAAGTGCTGGGATTACAGGCATGAGCCACCACACCCAGCCAAAAATTGTTTCTTTAATGCCTAAAAATGTTTGTATCCGCTTTTTGGTGGAGGAAAAATACTGCAGCAGCACCACTGATCTGACCACATGAGCATTATGTGAAGACACTTTATCCCAGGCCTCTTTGTTCACTGACAAACAGAGGTGGACTGAGAACCAGGAGCACCATGAGCCCAGTGTCAGGATCGGGGGGCTCTAAACATGGACAGCACAGCATTCCCCATCCTCCTAAAATGGTATCATGCAAAATAGGGCATTTATTTAAAAAAAAATTTTTTTTGGCCAGGAGCAGTGGCTCACGCCTGTAATCCCAGCACTTTGGGAGGCCAAGGTGGGCAGATCACAAGGCCAGGAGTTTGAGACCAGCCTGACCAACATGGTGAAGCCCCGTCTCTACTAAAAATACAAAAATTAGCTGGCGTGGTGGCAGGAGCCTGTAATCCCAGGTACTCAGGAGGTTGAGGCAGGAGAATCACTTGAACCTGGGAAGCAGAGGTTGCAGTGAGCTGAGATTGCACCACTGCACTCCAGCCTAGGCAACAGAGCAAGACCAAGACTCTGCCTCAAAAACAAACAAACACAAAAATTTTTTAAGTAGAAACAGTGCTTCACTTTGTTGCCCAGGCTGATCTTGAACTTCTGGGCCTCCCAAAGAAAATAGTGCATTTCTTTTTTTTTTTTTTTTTTTTTATTGAGACAGGGTCTCACTCCCGTTGCCCAGGGTAGAGTGCAGTGGTGCAATCACAGCTCAATGCAGCCTCGACTTCCCAGGCTCTAGTGATCCTCCCACCTCAGCCTCCCGAGTAGCTGGAACTACAGGCACACACCACCACACCTGGCTAATTTTTTGCACTTTTTATAGAGATGGGGCTTCACGTGTTGCCCAGGCTGGTCTTGAACTCCTGGGCTCAAGCGATCCTCCCACTTTGGCCTCCTAAAGTGCTGGAATGACAGGCATGAGCCACCATGCCCTGTGAAAATAGGGCATTTCTAAACTTGAGAGGGAATGATTTATCAGAAAGCTTTTTTTTTTTTTAAGAGAACAGAGAGAGGCGTGAAAAGCTCATTGTCAAACATCTTTTGTTATGGGACATTATTTTTGCAATCAGTATATGTTCTTGAACATCCTGGGGTGCTTTCTAGAAACTTACTACAATTTCCAAATTCTCACAGAAAATGAGCATTTCCTCTGTTTTGTGAGGGCAACCTGAGCTGGGAGAGGTCTGTGTCTTTTCTTTCCTCTCACTTCCCTGAAGCTGTGTGGGAAAGTGGAAAACAGCCACCACCCTGTCTGGAGAGCCAGTGTCTGGTGGGGTTGGCAGATACCCCGAACCTGAACAGCTCATTGTCCCCAGCAGCTCCTTGAGGCTCGAGCCCCTTCCGGGCTGCAGACCTCCACCCCTACAAATGCGAGAATGCCAAGGTGGCCTTTCAACTTTATTATCTGGGGGAAAAAATGCAGGAAGCACTCGTAATTTACTGGTGCAAGCAGGAGAGCTGCCTGGTGCCATAAGCAGCAATACTGCATGCAGGGCTGGCCTCGGGACGCTTTGTGTGTGTCAAGGGAAAAGCTTGCACAGGTCAGGAGCTGCTACCTGGGCGTCCATGAATGAAGGGGGGAAGTGGCTCTGTCCTGTCAGAGCTCTGGCAGTAAAACACCCCTGCCAGGCAGCCCAGGGAGCTGACTCCGGTCTGTTTCTAAGGACAAGAGAGACCTAACAGGAAAGGAGACGTCTTTCCTGGGCTGGGCCAGGAAGGAGCAGCTCAAAACATCCAGATGGTCCCTGTACTGATGGCTGCCCTTGTGACCGCCACAGCCTAACCAAGACCCAGAAGGGATTCGTGATCTTGTGGCTAAGTCCCGTTCCGTTTTGCAACTAAACTCCTCACTCCAGCTTTTGGGTGCCTCTTTCACCCAGAACTAGTGGGATATTTTGGGCAGGGTGCTTTTCTGCAGCCGTCCCTGGTTTTCCTTGCTTTTTATTTTGAATGCGGGACCCCTGATGGCTTTGTCAAGCCTTCTACTTAAGGCACTGAAACTCAGGCAGCTCAGCCCCCTGGCAGCTGAGCATTTAGTGGTTGTGACTTTTACACAGGTTCTTGACCCACCCTGACTCTTGTCAGCCTGATGGGTCCTTTTCATGTGGGGCCCAGATAGGCCCTGTCACCCCCAGCAAAGAGCAGCTCCAGGAGACCTGACTCCATGGGGCGGGTGGGTGGGCCAGGGCTTTGTAACCAGACCTGGAGGGTGCAGGAGGGTTTCAGACGCTTCAGCAGCTGATGTCTGGAGATCAATTAGAGATAATGGCTTTGGGTGGACTGGAAGAAGCATGGCCAAGCTTTTTCCTGGTCATGATTGTGTTTACCTCATTATCGGGCTTTTTTTTTTTTTTTTTTTTTGAGGGTAGGAGGGCACAGTATTGCTTTGTGAATTTGTGCTGTCTGCTTTGTTTTGCTCGGGGTGACTGGGTGTGGATCCCGGCAGGCGGGTAGCTCCCCGACCCCTATTCAGACTGAGAGGCACACAGCACAGCTGCTGCTCACGGCCGACCAGACCCTTGTCCTCCCTGCAACACAGCATTATGTAGTTTTAAAGAAATTTCCTAGGCCAGGTGTGGTGGTTCATGCCTGTAATCCCAGCACTTTTTGGGAGGCTGAGGCGGGTGGATCACCTGAGGTCAGTTCGAGACCAGCCCGGCCAACATGATGAAACCCTGTCTCTACTAAAAATACAAAAAATTAGCCAGCTGTGGTGGCAGGCACCTGTAGTTCCAGCTACTCGGGAGGCTGAGGCAGAAGAATCACTTGAACCTGGGAGGCAGAGGTTGCAGTGAGCTGAGATCATGCCACTGTACTCCAGCTTGGGCAACAAGAGTGAAACTCTCTCAAAAAAAAAAAAGAAAGAAAGAAATTTCTTCCTTCCTTCACTCAAAAATCATTTCCGAGGTTCCTACTACATGCTGGAGGTCATTCCAAGCACGGAAGATACCACAGTGAATGAGACAGATAAGGTACCCATCCCTAGGAGCTCACAGGCCTGGAGATGATAAACAAGGCAATATAAAAAAATATGCAAAAGGAGGAAATTTGGGGTAGATAATTAAAATAGAGTAAGATGACAGACTGTGCCTCAGGGCAAGAAGGCCTCTCTGAAGAGGCAGCATCCGAGCCAAGGCCTGAATGGTGAGAAGTGGCCAGCCCTGCAGAGATGAAGTGGGAGGGCTTTCCAGGCACAGGAGACAGCACATGCAAAGACCCTGGGGTAGGAACAGCAGTGGGGCTCAGATAGAGGAGTAAGGGGGAGCTATGCCTGGGAGCCGTCTTCAAAGGCAGCTCTCCCAGGGCCTGCCAGCCGGGTGCACATGTGTTGTGATGTGAAGCCTAGTGGTGATCTTTCTCTGCCAGAGGGAAGCAGGGCAGGGACCTGGGCCTGTCTCAGGTCGAAAGTGGAGATGAGCACCTGAGAGGGAGTCCAGCGACTCTGGTTCTAGGTGTGCCTCTGCCCCACGAGTCATCTAACTTCTTTTATTGGGGTGCAGTGATATGATCACAGCTCACTGCAGCCTTGACCTCCTGAGCTCAAGCAATTCTCCCACCTCAGCCTCCTGAGTAGCTGGGACCACAGGTGCTCAACACCGCGCCCAGCTAATGTTTGTATTTTTTGTAGGGATGGGGTCTCGCCATGTTGCCCAGGCTGGTCTTGAACTCCTGGGCTTAAGCATTCCCCCACCTCAGCCTCCCCAAAGTGCTGGGACGTGAGCCACTGCGCCCCAGCCATCTAACTTCTTCATGCTGCAGCTTCCCTGTTACTAGATCAGCAGGTTTGGGTCAGACATCTGTGGCTTTCAAATTTTACATTTTGATGGAGGAACCCCTTTCTTCAAGGGACTGTCTTCTGGGGAGGAAGTTGAGTGGGTCAGGGGTCAGCAGCAGACAGGCATGTTGCTGGCAATGCTGGGCACGGAGCCCAGAGCCCGCCTACCTACCCCTTTCGTCCCCAGCAGCCCATCTGCCTCTCCTGCACCACCTCAGGAATAGGCCCGGGCAGCCCTGAGCTTTGGCTTGCGGTGCCGAAGATAGTCAAGGAGAGGGGCTCGATCCAGCACAACCACAAGCAGCCTCCTCGACAGATATGAGTCACAGAGCCCATGCCCTGCCAGCCCCATGGTCATTCTAAGGCTCTGGCATTTAGAATGGCTCTAAATACCTCAAGAGATAAGATAGAAACAGAAGATGTTCTTTAACTGGGATACTCCTGTGGCTGAGGAAGTGCCCAGGCACACTTGTGCTGCAGCCGTGACAGTTTTCCCTCCTTCAGAGTCCACAAGTGAGGGAACTAAATGCTTGTCTGCTCCCCAGGCACCACAGTACGCACAGCAGGTGCCTGGACGTAGCGTAGCACCCCTGTGTCCTCTTCAAAGAGTCAAGAGGCTCCTGTGTCCTCTTGAAAGAGAAAAGGCCACATGGGAGTGGGGGATCCTTGCCATCTAGTCCACCCGCGGACAGGAGCCATGTGAATAAGCCAGGAATGCTTTTGACTACAGGCCCCCAAACCCAGTTGACTATAGCAAAACATGAAGTTATTTTACTCCTAAAACAAGAAGAATGGAGGAGCCGCCGCTGGTGCCATTTGCAATGTTGGGTTGGTGTCTCTGTGATGTTATTGAGGCTTTTCCTCATGGTTGCAAGTTGCCTGCTATTGCTCCAACCTTGTCCACATTCGAGGCATTGTGTTGATGTCTCATTGCTGCAAAAGGGTCACGTGGTTCCCAGTTGTAAGGGAGGCTGGGAAAGAAAGAATTTCATGTTTCTACCCTCTGTGGTTGAAAAAGATAAGGGAGAATGTTGATTCAGGGCATAATATCAAGAAAACTGGTTCACAGTCTCTGCCACAGCCTGGGCACCATCAACTAAACTTTGACAATCACTTTGGGTGTTAAGATGCCGAAGGCTTGGGCAGAGAAAAAGAATGGAAAAGAAAGGAAACGGGGAAAGTGGGGAGGAAGAAGAGAGGAGAGGGAGGTAGGCAGGGGAGCAGGAACAGCAATTGTTGGGGGCCTTCTGTGTGCTGGGTACCCCCAGACACAGAACTCAGTTCCTCAGCACACAGGGAAACTGAGGCTCGGCTTTAGAGAGCTTAAGTAATTTGTTTGTGTGTGTGTGTGTGTTGTGTGTTTTTTTTTTTTTTTTTTTTTTTTTTTTTCCCGAGATTATCTCACTCTGTGGCCCAGGCTGGAGTGCAGTGGCATGATCTCAGCTCACTGCAAGCTCCACCTCCTGGGTTCAAATGATTCTCCTGTCTCAGCCTCCCAAGTAGCTAGGATTACAGGCATGTGCCACCACACCCAGCTAATTTTTGTATTTTTAGTAGAGACCAGGTTTCACCATGTTGGTCAGACTGGTCTTGAACTCCTGACCTCAGGTGATCCACCTGCCTTGGCCTCCCAAAGTGCTGGGATTATAGGCATGAGCCACTGCGCCTAGCCAGTAATTTGTCTGAAGTCACAGAATTAGTAAGAAAGAGAGCCCTAGTCTCTCCAATCTTAATGCTGTTATTTCTCAAGGGAAGGGGTGGGGAAAGAGAAAGGAAAAAGAAAGCAACAGTCAGGGTAGGGACAAGCTGAGGCCGCAGCAGCACCAGCACCATCGGCTCCACATGGACAGACCCAGGTGTGCTTATCTCACCACTGCAGTCCCTGCACCTGGACCGGGCCTTGGAGCATAGTAGGGGCTCAATAAATGCGTGTGGACTGATGACTGAGTTATTACTTAGTTTTCGTAGTACCATCACTATCCATAACTATGGTTCGGGCGGTGCTCTGTGCCCAGCACCAGTCCAGGCCTCTTCAGCTATCGCTGCATTTAGGCCTCACTGCAACCTTCAAAAACAAGTCCCTGCTGTTGTTTCCTCATTTTAGAGATGAGGAAACCAAGGCTTGGAGAGTCAAGTCACCTGCCTGAGGTCACACCGAGCAAGGGCCTGAGTGCAAACAGAGCGTGTCCGCAGCTGCCCACTCCCCTCCACACCTGGACATGACCCCACACACTAGATTCAGCCCCAGAAAGGTCCCCATGCAGCATCCCGGGCCCCAGAGCCTTGGGCCATCATCCACACCGGAGCTGTGGGCTCTGTCATGAAGGGACTGCAGGCCTAGGCAGAAGGTGCTGCCTGCCTCTTTCTCTTGGTAACCTGCCCGTTTCCCTGCATGGCTTCCTTGGACCGAGTGAACGTAAGTTAGTCTCACACCCCCACAGCCTGTGGAGGGTCCTTACCTCTCCTCACCTGCCGGAGAGCCAGCTAGAGTTTCATCCCTTCAGGCTTCCAAGGCCAGCCTCCTTCCAAGGCTTGTATGGAGAAGCCCTGGGGTCCATCCCAAGGCAGGGCCTCACAGCAGTCCTAGCCCATTCCCAGGTCTTGGCCCAAGGGAAATCTCTGGCTGCATCTGACTCGCACTGGTGGATTCCTCCTGCTCTGCTGGAGGTCGGTGAAGCGCAGCACCACGTGGCCTGGCTCAGTGGTCTCACCTTAGCAGGGCCCACCACACACCCTGGAGACCCACACATCTTGGTCCAGCACAGCCAGCAGCTTCTAGCTCCATGATTGTGGACGTGTCACCTGCTCTCTGAGTGCCAGTTTCTCCACTCTTGGGTGACTGGGTGAGTCACTTAATCTTCTCCCAGAAGCCCCTAGTCTTCATGTGCACAATGGCAAATGAATATCAACCTTGTTATTTGGTGGATTAAATAAGATAACACATACACACTGCCCAGCACAGGTGCCTGGTGTCCAGTGGGTTGCAGTAATCGACTACAGCGAGCTCCAGGCTGCTTAGCCATGGAAGCTGACCTGGCTTGCTGTTTCCCCTTTTGAAACTTCTACTGAAGCATAATGCACATTCAGAAAAGAGCACGCATCACTCAGTTTCACAGCTCAGCCAAGTTCACAAACTGACCCCACCTCCTGTGACCCATGTCCAGATCAAGAAACAAAACATCAGCACCACCCTAAAGACCCTTTGTGCTCCCTCTAGTCACTGCCCCTGGGCCAGGGTGACCACTGACCTGACTTCTAGGAGCATACATTGATTTTGCCTGTTCTAGAACTTTATAGAAATGGAATTGTACAGCATGTGCTCGTTTGCTCACAAGCATAAGTGTGTGAGCATCATCTGTGTTATGGCATGCGTCAGTAGTTTGTTTCTTTTTATGGCTGAGTAATATTTCATGGTATGGGGGGCCCACAATGTATCCATCCTTCATTGGTGGACAGTTGGGAGCTGTTGTGAATAGTGCTGCTATGACCAGCCTACCAGTCTGCTATGTGTTCTTTCTTCTTTCTGTCTTTCGAGACAGGGTCATGCTCTGTGGCCCAGGCTAGAATGCAGTGGCACAATCACAGCTCACTGCAGCCTTGATCTCCCAGGCTCAAGCAATCCTCCCACCTCAGCCTCCACAGTAGCTGGGACTACGGGTGCATGCCATCATGCACAGCTAAATTCTTTTTGCAGAGACAGGGTCTTGCTATGTTGCCCAGGCTTATCTCGAACTCCAGACTTCAAGTGATCCTCCCACCTCAGCCTCCCAAAGTGCTGGGATTATGGGTGTGAGCCACCATGCCCAGCCTACTGTGTGTTCTTTAGGGAACATCTGTGTTCATTTTATTGTGTACACACCTGCAAGTAGAAATGCAGGGTTGTGGCTGGCCTTGGTAGTTTCTCTGAGCCTCTCCAAGGGCACCAGGAAAGAAGGGAGGGAAAAGAGGCATGTGCATGCCCCATGGGAGTTACAAAGTGTGGCCCGTGTCCAGGATGGCCCGCTTCATTCTGAGCTCTATCGAAGACTTCAGAGCTGTGCTGGCAGTGGGCAGGAAGGGGCCCGAGTGAGGCAGTGATGCATCCCTACTGTGTGCAGGGTAACTCTTCTAAGAACCTGTCCCAGCCCTCAGAGCGAATGGCCCAGTTCGGAAAATGAAGTTAATGCAGGAAACAGAAAGTACCACAAACGCGTCAGTTCAGAGCCAGCTGGGCGGCAGTCTGTGGAGGGATCTTGATTTGGCTGAGGTGGAAGGTGTCTTTGTTGACAGCCCAGGCACCTTTCCACCTCATGAACACCCATTCATCCTTCAGTGCCCAACTTAAATGTCACCTCCTCAGTGGAGCCCTCCCAGATCTGCTACTTCCTTCTCACACCCTGGGGACTTCCTTCCTAGAATGTTTCAGGACTATCAAGTACAAACTGGAATACACCGCCCATGACCAGCATGCAGATCAGGATCCCATGACATCACTTGTTTAATCTCTCTCTCCCCTGCTGGCCTGGAGGCTCCCTATGGTCAACCCTGAGTCTGTATTGTACATTGCCATGTCACCTGCACTTGTCATGGCGCCTGGTGTGTGGTAGTGGCTCTGTACATATGTGTGGAAGGAACACAGGCCTAAAAACATGTGTGGTCAAAGGCATGGAGGGGTCGCACATGGGTGACTAGGGGACAAAAGATGGCGAGTCCGTCTGCTACAGAGTTCCCAGAGAGGAACAGAAGGAAATAAGGCCAGCAGGCCAGTGGGGCCTCCAACGCCAGACCAGAGAGAGCTATAACTCGATTCCGCCGGTGACTGGGAGTTATTGAAGGTTTTGGAATAGGAGAGCGACATGACCAGAATTAACTGATGACATTTTAAAGCAAGACTTTTTGAAAAGGAGAATAATGAAATTGTAATTTTTACCTTTTATCATGGTTTTCAGGAGAATGTATTTCAACAAGTCAGGCTCAGTTAGTTGTATTCGTAATGGAAAATTTATCTAAATAGAGAAGAATGAGGAAATAGTATTGGACTGTTTCTCCTAGATTTCAGCAAAGGTGTCAAACTGACTGTGAGGTTGCAGGCAGCTATGCAAAAATCAGTTAATATAAAGAATAAATGGATAGTCAGCGCTATGGCCCAGCCCACAGGTCAGGTGTTTTGAATCCAGGCACTTGTGAAGCCCTGGATTCTCCACATCCTCCTCTTCCAGCCGGATGCCTCCCTACTTTCCACCTGTCGCAAGCCTCCCAACTTCTTTGATTCACAGTAAATGTCATCTCTTCCAGGAACCTTCCCTCTCACCCCCCAGTCCCCCAGGAGAAACATCTCTCCTTTCTCCATAAATATGCTGTACCTAGAGTACCCCTTGGCTGTGACACTGTTTCAATTATTTTTGTTATGGTGTGAGCAGGGACAGTTTATGGGGTAGAGATGGATGCTAGCCCTACCTAGTAGGAAAACATATATATACATAATGTGTGTATATACATATATATATGTGTATATATATTTTTTTTTTTTTTTTTGAGATGGAGTCTCTCTCTGTCACCCAGGCTGGAGTGCAGTGGCATGATCCCGGCTTACTGCAGCCTCCCCTTCCTGGGTTCAAGCGATTCTCCTGCCTCAGCCTCCCCAGTAGCTAGGACTACAGACACGCACCACCACGCCCAGCTAATTTTTGTATTTTTAGTAGAGACAGGGTTTTACCATGTTGGCCAGGCTGGTCTCAAACTCATGACCTGAAGTGATCTGCCCACCTCGGCTTCGCAAAATGCTGGGATTACAGGCGTGAGTCACCATGCCAGGCCAGAAAACTTATTTACTTATTTATTTATTTATTTATTTGAGAGGGAGTCTCACTCTGTCACCCAGGCTGGAGTGCAGTGGCATGATCTCGGCTAACCGCAAGCTCTGCCTCCCAGGTTCACACCATTCTCCTGCCTCGGCCTCCCAAAGTGCTGGGATTACAGGCGTGAGCCACTGCGCCCGGCCCAGAAAACATATTTTAAAGCCATAATACTGAGACAGGAATAGGTCAACAGAATATAATACAAATCCACACATAATAGAAAATTAGTATAAGATGACATTTCCAATTAGTGGATAAAGATGAGTTATTTAAAAGATGATATTTAGGCCAGGTGCAGTGGCACATGCCTGTAATTCCAGCACTTTGGGAGGCTAAGGCAGGAGGATTGCTTGAGTCCAGGGGATTGAGCCTGCAGTGAGCCAAGATCATGCCACTGCACTTCAGTCTGGGTAACAGAGTGAGACCCTGTTTCAAAAATAAAAAATAAAAGATAAAAGATGGTATTGACACCACTTAGAAAGCCATTTAGAAAAAAATAAGCCAGATCCCCACTTCATTACTTATATTGAGATAAATAAAAGATGGAATAAAGATTTAAATGTAATGAAGACATAAAGTTTCCAGAAGAAAATATAGGTGAATTACTTTTGTAATCTTAGAGTGGAAAAAAGCTTTTGTTTTAACCTGAAGCCCTAAAGCCCTAAAGGAAAAAAAAAAAATCAGATGATATAAAAATGTAAAATTTCCATATGGCTAAAAAAATCTTGTCATAAACTAAATAAAAAGACAACAAAAGGAAAACATATTTGCAAAATACATGACAAAAGATTAATTTTCCTTATTTCCAAAAAGTTCTTACCAAAAAAAAAAAAAAAAAAAGACCAACAATTCAAATAGAGAAATGGGCAAAGGATATGAACAGGTTAGTCAGAAAGAAAGAAAGAGAGAGGAAAGAAAGAAAGAAAGAAAGAAAGAAAGAAAGAAAGAAAGAAAGAAAGAAAGAAAGAAAGAAAGAAAAAGAAAGAAAGAAAGAAAGAAAAAGAAAGAAAGAAAGGAAGGAAGGAAGGAAGGAAGGAAGGAAGGAAGGAAGGAAGGAAAAGAAAGAAAGAAAAGAAAGAAAGAAAAAGAAATACAAGTGCCCCGTAAACACAGTGCACAGAAACATCTACTTACATTCCCAAGTGAAGAGGAGCAAAGGAAAATAAGAGACACTGTTCTTCCTCCCTCAGATTGACAGAGATAAAAGAGATTGCTAATAGTAAGCAGTGACAAGTGTGCAGTGAAATGAGTGCTGCTAGATATTGCTGGTGGCAGAGTAAACTAGTGTAGCATTTAGAGAGAGGGATGTGACCCCGATTGTGCAATTATGAAATGTACAATCCTGATGATAAAAGCTACCATCTACCAAGTACTCCCTCTGGGGAAAAGATCAAGATGTCTTTTAGGATCTAGCCTTGGCAGTCACACACCCTCATTTCCACAATGCACCATTGGTTCCACAGCCCTGTGCATTGCGATGGTACCAGGGTATGAAACTGGGCGGTGAGGGTCATCATGGGCCATCTTGGAGACTGTCTACCACAGTTTGTAATCTCAAAGAGGAAAATTTGGTGCCAAATGCTACGTTAAACACACGTTAAACATAGTGGGTCTTTGGAAGGCCAAGGCGGGTGGATCACTTGAGTCCAGGAGCTTGAGACCAGCCTGGACAACATGGTAAAACTCCATCTCTACTAAAAATACAAAAATTAGCCAGGCATGGTGGCACACACCTGTAATCCCAGCTACTTGGGAGGCTGAGACACAAGAATGGCTTGAGTCAGGGAGGTGGAGGATGCAGTGAGCCCAGATCGTGCCACTGCACTCCAGCCTAGGTGACACAGCAAGATTTGGTCAAAAAAAAAAAAAAATAAAACCAACAAACAAAAACTGTGGATCACATGTAGATGAATAAACTGTTGCTTAGAGAGGTTTAGGTATGGTGCCCAAAGTCATCCATCTAGTGTCAGAGCCAGAATTTGAACTAGTTCCATCTGATGATACTCTTTCCATTAGACCTCCTCACTGGCCTCCCTGTCATCACTTCTGCTCCTTTATAATCTCATCTCCCCTGATCTAAAAACGTAACTCAGATTGCATCCTCTCCTCACTCCCAGTGTAAAGCCCACACACCTCACGGGGGATGTTCAGGATGTTGCATGCTTGGCCCTGTTTGCCCCCCCGATGCTCATCCCTCCTGCCCTCCCCCTGGCCCACATTGCTCTAGCACTCTGGTCACCTTTCCTTTCATCAGCAGTTTTGCACCAACTATTCCCTCTGCCTGGAAGACAGTGCCCCCAGGTCTTCACCCAGCTGTCAACTTCTGCCCTCTGGGGATTAGGACACCCAGTGGCTTCCTCCTGGGAGAGCTCTTCCCTGACCACTCAGCCCAGAGCCCACCCTGGCCCCCACCCTCATTCCACCCCCATCCTCTGCCTCTCCCCCACCCCTTGTCCACACCTCATTCCATCTCTACAGGATCTAAGAAGAGTCACACATTAAGTTTAGTTGTTATTTCTCTCTCTTTAATTTTTTTTGAGATGGAGTTTCGCTCCTGTCGCCCAGGCTGGAGTGCAACGGTATGATCTCGGCTCACTGCAACCTCTGCTTCCTGGGTTCAAGCAATTCTCCTACCCCAGCCTCCCGAGTAGCTGGGATTACAGGTGTGTGCCACCACGCCCGTCCAATTTTGTGTTTTTAGTAGAGACTGGGTTTCACCATGTTGGCCAGGCTGGTCTCGAACCCCTGACCTCAGGTGATCCACCCGCCTCGGCCTCCCAAAGTGCTGGGATTACAGGTGTGAGCCACTGCACCCGGCTGTTATTTCTCTTTCATCTTATCGTTTAGAAAGTCAATTAGTGACAATGAATGTTTTGTAGAGTCCAAGACTGTTGTGTTGTGGAGTTTCTCTTTCTGGATTTCTTGTCTGGTTGTCTCTTGAGGAGCAGATTCAGGTGAAGCATGTTGGGGGAGCACATGGCTCAAGTGATGCTGTGTCTTCCAGTGCCTCCCTTCAGGAGCCGAGGACATCATGTCTGGTGGCCCCACTTTGGAGGCTGCTGAATTTGATGACTTGATTGGGAAGTGTCTGCCAGATCGCCCCATTGCAGGTACATTTTCTTCTCTGTCATTAATAAGTCATTTGTGGGGATAATTTTTTTTTTTAATGTTTTGACGTGCTTGAACAGTGTCTGCTCTGGTCACGCTAAGATCCTATTTGTCCTAATAATGGCAAACCAGAGTCCCATGGCCAGGTCCCCACTTGTGGGACATGCTTACTTCATATGGGAAGCTGCATGAAAGAAAGGGGTTTGCTGCTTAAAAAGCCCCATCAGAGCATACCCTAATCATCTGTTTACAAAAGCACCCAATGTCTTCAGAGGCTGGAGGGGACCTGTGGCAGCATTGTCCCCCCGAAGCAGATGGGATCAGCTTTCTCTGCCATGGTCTCCTACCAGGCTGGGGCCAGAAGAAGGGACACATCACTGGGAGAATTAGTGGTCAAGAAACTAGGTCACCCGATTCCTCATTGGGACTCATGCTGTGGCCACTTTAAGGAGTGGGGGAGTGGCACAAGGACACTGAAAACAACCTATACAAGGTTACTCCAGGAGTGGCAGCTCCTGTAGGAATAAGGATCTGGGAGATTTCTGAGGGCTTCAGCACACACACATGAAAACTCACCTCATTTGCAGTGCCGCTCAACAGCCAGGTTTCTGCAGGGCTCTCAACTGTTTTCTGTGGGTTGAGCAGGGCTGGGCTGTTTTATCTCAGGGATAGTAAATGAGTTCACGTTTCATGCCTACAGAAAATCACTGCTCTGCCCTCCTGGGCGGTACTAGCTCTCTTTTATTAGTCAGAGAAGAGGTGGGTTATCTGGGTTCAATTCCACCTTTGAACTTCAGTTGTATTTGGCTTTATATTTCAAGCTCAGATGTCCACCACTGCTGTGAAATAGTAATTCAGGCCAGGAGAAGTCAAAGGTCTCTGAAAATGTGGTGGGGAAAGGGAAATCCTGAGTCTGAATTATCTCATTTTCAGAGTGAGGATGGACAGTTCCCGCGTTTGGAAACACATTTCCTGGATGAACTTAAGAGCTGTGGCCACTAGTTCGTTCTAAAAATCATTATTGGGCACCAGCATGTGTGGATAAATAAAGCCTCCCACCTGCCCCACATCACCAAGGATGAGAAGATCCAGTAAACTGGGGAGAGTGAATTGGTTTGAAAACACATTTGATTTCAGGAATAAAAGGTGCAAATGAGTAAATGTGCCTAAACCCTCTTTTAAAAAGAAAGTGTGAGTTTTCTATTGACAGCAGAGTCTTGAGCATGTGCGGAAGGAAGCCTGCGTGGCGCTAATGTGATGTCTTGTCATCATTTTATTTTTCTGACGGGTAAACGCTGGGCTCTGAACCTGTGGGGTTGTACTTCGCACTCGCGGCTGTAGAGGGAGCCTTGTTTACCATGGATTGTTCACAATGCAAAGCTTTCAGAGGAAGAAAGAAAAAAGGCTTTTTACAGAAAAAAAGTTGGAGGGTTAAAGGCAGTCTGTTTCAAAATTGCAAACAATCGCTGTGGCTGTCTCGTTTTCTCTTCTCTGCTGGTTCCACCGTGAATGAATGGTAGCGTAAAGAGTCAGTAGAAATTGCCCTTCCTCTTCGGATGCGACCAGAGGAATCAGGAGGTGGGATCCTTATCAGGGTTTTTTTTTAGTTGTTTTTTTTTTTTTTTTTTTTTTTTTTTTTGGCAATTTCCCCACAGAATTCCACGAGGGCAGTTCCCCATCCTTGTTGAAGCACAAGCTTTTTTCGAGGCTGATCTGTGGTAGCGGAGGGTCTGGATTTGGAGGGGTGGGGTGGGAATGGATCCCCTGACCCATTTTCTCCATCGGGGTCTAATTCTGCGGTTTGGTGATGAGAGTGTTGCTTTTCGGGCCGAGTCCGAGGTTGCTCGGAGGTCCAGGGCTCCCACCCCGCGATGCCAGTCCTGCCTCCTCCTGCGCCCCGGGCAAGGGTCTGTCCGCCTGGGGGACCGCATCTGGAATCCGCGTGGCTCCCCTCCCCGGCGGTGCCGTCTCCACGGACAGTGCGTGCCCGGGTCTGGGCTGGAGCGACGTCCCCGAGATTATCCTATTACTTTACAACTGTGGCTCGCGCGCCGTCAGGACCCGGCCCGGTGTGGGCTGGCGGAGCACAATGACCGGCGGCGGGGCGGGGGCGGGCACGCGGGCGGCGGGCGCTGGGGGTCGCGTAGATGTTTGGGTCGAACAGGTGAGCGCCTCCCGGACACTCGGGTGCCCGCGGGGGGCGGGGAG
Source organism: Homo sapiens (assembly GCF_000001405.40). Classification (NCBI taxonomy): domain Eukaryota; kingdom Metazoa; phylum Chordata; class Mammalia; order Primates; family Hominidae; genus Homo; species Homo sapiens. The sequence continues at coordinate 32,484,489 of NC_000020.11, read as the reverse complement.
GAGGGCGGAGGGGGTGTAAACTAAGTGGTGGGAAAGAGACAAAGGAAGAGTGAAGAGCGAGACGGTGCGGATGGGGAAGGGGGAGGGGCGCGGAGGGGCAGCCGGTGGGCAGCGCGCCGAGGAGCTCGAGCTTGAACTTGATCAAGCACTGGGGGCCCTGCCGTGGGGGTGGGGCGGGGGTACGGCCGAGAGCCGGCCACGTGCCTGGCTTTCCCAGCCCGGGGTCTCGCTCCGGCCGCCCGGGGGAGCCGAACCCCGAGGCCCGGCAGCCCCGCCCCACAAGTACCCGCGTCCCTGGGGACCCGAAAGACGCATGGGGGTCGAAGGCTGCCCGAAGGGGCCCCGGGCGCCGAGAGTTCCTGAGGGTGCCTGAGTCACTTTATTTGGGCCAAGTCTCCCTCTCCTGGCCTGACCGCAGACAGCCCGCCGGGTGCCCTCTCCCCCCAGCCCCCACCGGACCCAGAGACCGCAGCCTCCGGGAGCGATGGGTAGGCACAGATCCCAGCGCCTTCTTTCCGGGCTCAGCCCCGTGCAAGGATCTTCCTCGAAGCGCTTCCCCCTTAAGAGCGCGCTCCCCACCGAAGCGCACGGCGGCGCGTCCAGCGCGCCCTTATCCCCCCCTACCTGGCCCAGCTCCCCCTCCTTCCTCCTCTTCTCCCCCCGCGCCTCTCTCCCTCCTTTCTCCTCTCCCCTCTCCCTGGGTGCCTCCTTTTCCTCTCTCCCCTTCCCCCCGTGCCCACTCCTCCCTCTCACCCGCCCCTCCGCCACCTCCTCCTGCTGCTCCTCCTACTCCCCCTGCCTGCGCCCTCCCTGCGCTCCCCTCCCCCCCGCCCCCGCCCCGTGCCCGGTCCCGCCCCCTCTCCCGCCTCCCCGTGCCCGGTGCCCCCTCCCCCTTCCTCCGGGCCGCGGCGCCGCCGCCGCTGCCGCCGCTGCTCGCCTGGGCCCTCCTCCTGGCCACCCCCGCCCCCGGGCCGGGCAGTGACGCGCCGCGGTGGTGCCAGCCCCTCTCCCCGGGCAGCCGCGGCGGCAGCAGCAGCAGCAGCAGCTGGAGCTGTGGGGCTGTCACCGCCGCCCGCCCCGCTCACTCGCGGATCCCGACCGCCCATCTCCGCCTCGCTTCCAGCCCAGGTACGGAGTCCGGCCCGGATCCCGGCGATCGGGCCGTTTCCGGGGCCCGGGCCGCCGCCCCCCTTCTCCGGCTGCTGCCGCCGGCCGTTGAGCTGCGGTTAGGGGGGCGAGGGGCTGGGGGCGGTTCTGGGGAGGGGGGCGCAGGGGGAGCTTCCTTTGCCGGGGCTGAGGGAGGGGGCGCGGGGGAGCGGCTGCGCCCTGGGCCGAGTGGGCTGGGGCGGGGGGCGGGTGAGTGTGCCCGAGAGTGGAGGGGGGGCGATGAAGGCTGCACTGTGGGGGCCGCGGGGCGCCCAAGAGGTGTGTCTGGCCCTGAGCGCCCAGGGTCGCGGGGCGCACCCCACTCCCGGGGTGCGCGCCGCGGGTCCTGGGGGGCGGTGATTGTGCGCGCAGCGCCGCGGTATTGTGCCACGGCCGCTCGGTGTGCAGCGGGCTCGGCACCGCGTCCCGGCGAGGGAGGCGTTCTCTGGCGGCGGGGCGGGGGCCGGGCTCGGGTTGCCGCGGCCGCCACGAGAAGGGAAGTGGACTGTGTTTGGGGATGTGAGGACGGGAAGCGTTGAGTGTCAGGGAGGGGTTCCCCGGCGCGGCGCGGGGAGTTGAGACGCGGTTTGCAGAGTTGAGCCCACTTCAGCAGGCCCGGGTCCCTCCCGGGAGGGGACGGGGTGTCCCTCTCAGGTGCACCGTCTGACCGGAAGCCGCGGGCGTTGGCGGCCCCTGGCGAAGGGGCCTTCCTTAATGAGGGGACACGGCGGGGCGGGGGCAGCCGGCCGCCTCGAGGGCGCGCGCAGGGGTTAAGTTGGATTTACACCTCCGCCCTCTCTCTCCTCCCTCCACCTTGTCTTCAAGGCTGGACACTTTGGATAGGGAGGAGGGGGGAGTGCAATCCGCATTTTTATTCCAGCCGCTCGGGAGCAGAAGTGACCCTGCTCCCACCCGGAGCTGCGTTTGCCCGAGTCCGGCCGCCCCTACCGGGCTGCGCTTCCTGGGGGAAGTTCTCATTAAGCCTCGCTAATTAGCATTATTCCTGTAGAAAGGTTAAGGTTAGACCGTCCTTTTCCTTATGGGAGGCCCACCCCCTCCTCCCCATTCCCTACTCCCTCCCCTCTCCCCAAGAGCACAAAAGCACAAAAAGAAAGTGTGAAGAGGCTCAGATCAATGGAGAAGCCACAAACCCATTAATTCAAATGGAACCTTTTTTCCCCCTCTAAAACATTGATTTTCCTTTCTGTCTGCTCTGAGGGGAGATGAATAACCTCCTGATTTCACCTGAAATGGTGTTTGGACTCTGTGATTTCCTCCTCTTTCTGAGAAGGATTGTGGCTTGAAATAGATTCTCCCTTGAGATAAAGCCCTACTTATCCCAGAATCAGCTGGCAACCCCAGCCTGCTCCCCCCCCCCCGCCCCGCCCCACCAACTCACACACACCAAAGGGGGTGTGGGGAGAGGTGTTTGGGGGACCTCATGGCTCTTCTGGGGAGAGCCATCTGTGTGATGGGACCAGGCCCCTGTCTTGACCCCTGACACAGGCCGGATTCTGGACTGAGTTGGTCTGGGGAAAAGGCCCGTTTATGGCCCAGGCCCTGTGGTAGTTTAGCCCCCCGGGTAGTAAATTACCCCTTCATTGGAAAGCCATTAGGGCCTAAATGTGTCCTTGAATAATATCAAGCTCCTGTCTAATCCAGGCTCAGGCTGGGCTTGCTTTATAGAGCAGGGTTTTAAGACAGCACCTCTTGAGCTGGGCGACACCACCCTATTCAGCACCTTCCTGCCGCACAGTGGGAACAGAGCTCACTGCGGCCTTCCTCCCAGCTGAGAAGACGGCCTTCCTCCCAGCTGAGAAGACGCCTTTGGGGAACTTTTCCTGCGGCCCCTACCCTGGGGCTCTGTGGAGCTGGACCGCCTGGGAATTGCTCAAGAACTTTTTCTGTGTTGTCTGGGTTCCTTTCTTGGAAGGACAGCCCTGCAGGGGATTAGCTCACAGCGGCTCCCTTCCAGCCTTCCTTTTGGCTGGAAGATCCCTGTCTGCTGAAGCTCCTCTCTCCAGCTTCACTTTTAAAGAAACCCCCATTAATGGCAGGGTCTGAGGGTACCAGCGAGGCCCTCGTGGTGAGGAATGCTGATGGGGAGCAGCCAGGTGCCTTTGCTTAGGAACAAAAGCCTGTTTTCCACTTGATATACAGTGGGAAGGTGTGGGAAATGCTCACTTCCAGCATCCAGGTGTCTATGACAGCAGGGACAACAGAGGACCACATGTAGATGGGAATACGCTTCTGACAGACACAGTGTGCGTGTGAGTGAGTGTGAGGGAGAGAGAGCGAGAATGCCTCCAGTGTGGTAGGTGATTGGCTGTGTCTCAGCCCTTCCTGCCTCATATTTCCCAGAAGAGCTGGTGCTTGCATGGCTAGTAAGCAGAGGAGGCATGTTTGCAGGAAGGAGTGGAATTGTGCAGGGAGTGCTGGAAGGCTGGCCTCCTTCCCTGGTGGCTAGGTGGGCTTGGGGTGTAGCCATGAAGCAACAGCCTTGGGACCCCACACCCCCCAGGAGCTGTGGCTCAGACCACCCTCCTGTTTCATGTGTGCGGCTCCTTCACAACAAGGATTTGAACCCCTGTTGCTTTAGATGCTGGGGGTTTTTCGTCTTCCATTAATAAGCCATCTGATGAACTGAAGTGGTTAAGTTGGGGTCACATGCGGTTCAGTACCTTCTTGGCATGCTCAGAAGGCTGCGTGTGTAATGCTCGCTGACATGGAGACAAGGGGGAGAGTCGCCTCGTGTGGAAGAATGTCCAGGGCCTGGAAGGGGCCTACAGGTGTCCAGAAGGAGGGGCCCACCAGTGGGTTGAGAAGAGACTCCGCTTTGGGATAGAGCTGGTGCTGGGGCAACCCCCTGAGGCTGGTGTTCTTCCCAGTGGGAGCTTTAGCCTCCTGTCGAACAAGCCTGGGGGCTGTATAGAGAGGGGTCTCTTTCCTGCTTGGCCCAGAAACATCCCCTGCACATCCCTGCCCCTGCCCTCCTCTGAAACACACACCCAGGGCTCCTGGTCAGGGCTTATGGCTTAAAATTGCACTAAATTCTCAGCAAATCCTCCTCCTTTTCTTTCTCAAGCAAGCTGTAGAGATAGAATTACAGCTCTCAGGAAGGGTCTGGAAAATACCGTGTGAGGCACGCCCCAGGATCCCAAGTCCTGGAGGATGCAAATGGCTCAACTTCAGAGGCACCAGGAACCCAGTTCCAGAGAAATTGACCCCAGTTGTAAAATAATCAGGTTACTGATAGCACCTGCCCGTAGTTACAAGCCATGGATACAGGCCCATTTCCACCATTTCCCCTCTGGTCTCCCGTTTTCTCCTCCTCCTGGGCTGGGCAGTGGTTGTGCTAGTTACCATGCAGAAGAGGAAGGGCCTCAGAAGCTGGGTGGAGAGAGACTGAACCTGTCCATGAATTTTGGACTGAAGATAAGAGCAGGGAGAGTCTGGTCAGCTCCTCTCCCTCTGCCCCAGAGGCAGGGCTCCCAGGTTGGGGTGTGTCCCAGAGGCTGACTGGGTGCTACCCATCTGCCTGCCTAACTCTTAAGTTCCCTTTTCAGAAGAGCATTTGGCTTTGGCTCTGTTACCCTGTGACCCATGATGGCTTTGGTGCTGGAATAAATGATTGCTGGGTGGGCAAGGCCACGGGCTTCAGGGTGTCCAAAGGGCAGAGGCTAGAGAAACCAGGGGGTAGCTGACTGGCCAGTCACATGGGGACTGGGGAGAGGGAACCCAGAAGTAATGGATTGCACACACTTTTTTTTTGTAAATAGAGACAGCGTCTCACTGTGTTGCCCAGGTGGGTCTTGAACTCCTGGCCTTAAGCAATTCATTCACCTCAGCCTCCCAAAATGTTGGCATTACAGGTGTGAGCCATCACACCCAGCCCACACTTTTATTCTCTAATGTAAGTTTTGTTGAAGTTTGTTAACAGAAAGGGAGAAAATAGCCCTCAATTCATCTGAGATTCCTGAAGGGAAAAGTAAAAAGCGCCCTGTGACCTCTGGGTGAGCCAGTGAGCACCTTGGGTCTCTGAGCAGGCCTGAGGCCTTGGCCACTCTCAAACCTGCACCAGTGCCTCCAGCATGGCCCTCTGGACTTGGGTGTATTTTCCCCCTCTGCACAGTTGTCGTTGACGGGTTCTGATCTGTGTGTACTTGTAACTGCCTGTGTGATTAGCCTGCTTCTCCAGCCTTGGCTTAGGGTGTGAGTGAGGGACTGGAGCTACAGTCTGCCCATCTGCGGCTAGGGGGGCTTACACCCATGAACTGGGCTGTGCTGCGCCAGACAGGTTGCAGAGGGGTCTTGGGAAGTCTTCTTCTCTACCTCAGCCCTTGAAAGTCTGGGTGTTGAAGGGTTTGTGTAAGTCTGACCAAAACTTATTTTTGTATTGTGTGTTTTTGAAAAGTTAGGCTTAATAGACTTGATTTCTCACTTAAAAAAAATTTGCTGTCGCAGCCAGGTGTGGCAGCTCACACCCGCACTCCCAGCACTTTGGGAGGCCAAGGCACTTGAGCCCAGGAGTTCGAGGCCAGCCTGGGCGATATAGTGAGCCCTTGTCTCTACAAAAAATTAAAAGTTAGCCAGGCGTGGTGGTATATGCCTGTAGTGCCAGCTCCTCGGGAGGCTGAGGCAGGAGCCTGGGGGGTCGAGGCTGTAGTTAGCCACTATTGCACCACTGTACTCCAGCCTATGTGACAGTAAGATCCTGTCTTTCAAAAAAGCTATAGCAGTCAAGATATCAGAATCTTAGAACCACTTTTCACAAAACTGGGGTCCACATGGCAGAACCCTGGAGGCTGTGGGAAAACTTCCTGGGGAGCTGGGGAGAAAGCAGTCATCGTTAGGTGACTAGGCAGTGTGTCCACAGTGTCTCCCCACTGCACCTACAGGTGGGTCAGAAGTTTTGCTGGTCCCTTTTCCTAGCTAACAAGGCCTGGTGTAAAGGAGCCCTGCCTTAGTTATCTATGTCCCTAGCACAGTGCCAGCACATAGTAGATGCTCAATAAATGTGCAACAACTCATTGAAGAAAGTGAGCATGCATGAGAGAGAGAGAGAGAGAGTGTGTGTGTGTGTGTGTGTGTGTGTGTGTGTAAATATAGCCTCATCACCCATGAGTTCCCTCTGGGCCTCATCTTGAGACACTTGGTTGTTAAGGAATCTGGTTCCTCCCATTGAAGGGAGGAGATGTGGTGAGGTGGCCCATGGTGCGGTGACAGTGTGATGCAGGCTCTGGGCACAGGCTGCCTGGGTCTACACACCAGCTGTGCTGCTGGCTTCGTGCCCCTGGGCAGTTGGGGCAGGCGGGGCGGGCCTCGCAGGGGCAGTTATCAGAGCTGGAGCTAGGCCTGACGTGGGTGCCTGTGTTATGGGGTCATGGGAGGAAATCTAATAAAACCATTAGCCTGAAGTCCCGTGCCTGTGGGCACTGGGTGCTCCTCCTAATCAGGTGATTTTGATGCCAGGTTAGGTGTAGCCCACCTTTTCCCAGTGGGACCCATCAAGGGAGTGAGGGTTGGAGGGGGCATTTGGGTGAACAGTTCAGTGATGTGAGCCAGAGAAACCCTGGCTGTGTGTGGGGTGGCTGGCAGCGGCAGGAGGGAGGCATTGCAGGGCACCAGGGTGCCACCAGCCCACCAGCCTGCATCCTGGGCTTCATATGCCCTCCATTCAAGAACTGTGCGCAATGGGACCAGAGTCCTTAATTGTCAAATTAATGGAGCGTCCTCATTAAACACCAACACTATGCCAGGCAATTCAGTTGATTCAACAAGTCTCACTGCCTTGTGCGGGATTCAGAGGACATACAGTCTGGTCCCCACTGTTGGAAGGACCGAAGGTTTTCCAGGGAAAGACAGGGCAGAGACCCACAAGACAGTGACAGCTGGATACAGCTTGGAATTGGGATTGTGGTTCACAGCAGCAGTGTGGGTTCTAGGCGAGGGCCAACTCAGTTAGGAGGGCGTGTCCAGTCCTTGGCGATTGCACAGATCTGGCTCTGCCTCGTGTTAGCTCGTGACCTTGGGCGAGCACCTTAACCTCCTGGAGCCTCAGTTTCCTCATCTGTGGAGCGGGGCTGTCAACTGTACCTACCTGGTGGACCTGTAGTGAGGGTGAAATACCACAAGTCCAGGGGAGCGCTGGGCCCCTGAGAAGCTTTGCCTTCTGTTGTTATGGTTTGAACTTGGCTGAGAGAGGCCAGAGTGTGCGTATTGAGTGGAGTTCAAGAGCCTTTCTCCAACCTAGAGATGGCAGGTACGGCCCTGCCAGGGTTACGTGCACTGTGGGAGGGGAACTTTTCGTGTGGCTCCTCTGTCCCCGTGTGCCCGCCCATGCCTGCCCACAGCAGCCTCCTTGCCTCTCCTCAAACCCAGCAGCTTGTGCCCCACTTGCTGCTGCCTGTGCCTGAAACTTGCGTGGAGCCACACAGACCTCATGGGCTCCCCTCCTCACTTCTCGCAGGCCTCTGCTCCAGCATTTCTGACCCGTGGGGTTTTTCTGGGCTGCCCTGGCAAACAGGTCCCTCTGCCCTCTTGCCCTGCTTCCATGTGCTTTGCAGCCGTCATCAATGTTTTTCTGCTCATTGTCCATCTCCCTCGTGGATCGAGGGGTGCCAGGCAGGCCAGGAGTGTGTCTGGTCCACAGCTGAGTTTCCCAGCACCTAGAGCGGAGCTTGGCCCATAGCAGGTGCTCAGTAAATACCTGTCGAATGGATGGATGGGGAGTTTGGAGTAGGTGGCACTTTCAACTGTTACTAGAATACTCTGTCTTTTAAGTCGTGAGCATTTGAACAATACCCAAGAGTCTTCCTCCTTCAGCTGTGACTTCAGGTCAAACCCAGAGCATGGCACCCCCTGGGCATCCAGGAAGTAGCAAGGGGCCCATGCAAGATGCCCCGTTCCTGGTTCCCGGAGCCCGCATGGCACGACCAGCTGGGAAGATGGGGAGCCGGCTGCACCTTGCAGCCTTGCTCAAGGCTCCAAGGAACCTTCCCCCACCTGCCAGCCTCTCTTCCCCCTCCCCTTCGTCTCCCTCCATCCAGTTAGCACAGGGGAGAGTTTTGTTGTCCCTTTGTACCCTTTGTGCAGAGCCTTTTGAACGTGTGTGTGTGTGTGTGTGTGTGTGTGTGTGTGTGTGTCCCTCCGGGTGTGTGAGCGAGTTTTCACGAAGGAGGGCTGTGGGTGGAGGTGCTTGTGTTTATGGAGCAGGCAGCCTGTGGGAGGGAGGCAGAGTGAGTGCGTGTGCCTGTGTGTGGGGAGAGGACACTAGAGGACACGTGGGCTCTGTCCATCCCCCGAGGCCCTGGGTGTGCCGCGTGGGGACTACAGGCGTCACAGCCCAGCTCCTGTCCTCTGGATTCAGCAGAGGGTCCACACTGCACAGAAGCTATAAATTCCAGGAAACTCCCTACCAGCCCAGCCGGTGGGGGAGGGAGTGGAGGCGAATCCACACTGGTTCCCTAGCACTTGGAGCAGATGTGTCTGCCTCAGGGACAGCAGTCTAAGAAAGTTCCAACCAAAGTGTGTTTGCTCACTATAAAAGAGGTGTCTGTGAGGGGGGCCCCGGAGGGGAGGCTTGGGGGGTGCTCTGTCAGAGGTCCTCACTGGGGGCCCACAGAGGCCATTGTGTCTTGCTGGGGGGAGGCCAGAACTCCGGGTGTGGGAGCTGCTGGGTCATCTTTCTTGGTTTTACAGCCAGCTCCCAGGCACAGTTGCTTGCTGCTCCTGAAAGGCTGGGCCTGGAGGAGGTGGGGGCCCTTCCCCCTGGAGGGCTGGGTTGAAGGGGCCCCGCCCCGGGGGTTCCCGGATGACTGGCCAAGGGCCGGCCCGAAGCCGGCAGCGAGGAGAGAGGAGGCAGGCGTGGTCCTCTCTAGCAGGCCATCCGGCTGTTTGGAACGCCCTGGCGGCCCCCCAGGCCCTTGAGCTGAACCCCCTTTGCGGTCTGGTCCGAACCCTGGCCTGCCCCGCCCCCTTCCTTCTCTGCACTTCTGGGGCTGGCCCTTTCAGCCCTGGAAGCTGCCCAAGAGCGTATCTTTGAAGCACAGCAAAGGTTAGGAAGGAGGAAGACAGAAACGTCCTCTGGGCTGGGGGAGTGGGAGAAAGGAATTCCATGCATGCTTCATGGGAGTCAGGGCGCCAGGCCTGCTGGGGGCACTCAGCTCAGCCTCAGTGCCTGGTGGCGGGCATGTGCTGCTGCCCGCTTCTTGCCGCCGGGTCCTGTGCAGAGTGAGCCCCGGTCCCTGGGCTGAGAGCAGGGAGCGGCAGCCCTTGTTTACAGCGCTTGTTTCAACCTTGGCTCACAAGGGTAAGAGCCAGGCCCTGCCATCCGCCCCTGCAGGATGCGAGACCTCATAATTGTCTTCAATTACAGACAGTGCCGGCCCTTAGCCTTGGCTTCCGACAGGAACCAGAGCCGGGGCCACTTCCACCGGGCAAGGGGGAGCACCACCCAGCCCTCACTTCAAGGTTTGAGGGCTCCTGCCGCCTTCAGGGCACTCCCAAACGCCCACTGGCCCTGGGGTCCACCCACAAGGCTGCCTCAGGCTGATGAGAGCCCGTCCCTGCTGAATGCCCACCTTCTTTGTCCCTGCTCAGGATGAGACTTCTGTGAGCAGCGAGGATTTTGATATGAGCGACTCCACATGGATGTCAGCTGACCCGCACCTGGCCTCCAGCCTGAGCCCCAGCCAGGACGAGAGGATGCGGAGCCCGCAGAACCTCCACAGTCAAGAGGACGGTGAGTGCCCCTTGGTGGCAGTTGAGGAGGGGCTGTGCCCGGCCCCCTGCTCCCAGTTGTCCTCAGGTGAGAGGTGTGGACACACTCCAGGGTGGCGGAATCTGGGCCAAGGCCTTTGGGTGGCTCAGGCCCAAGCTTGCACTGCCCCCAGTGTTCTCAGCATCTCCATGGGCCCCAGTGCCCCAGCTCCTGGCTCCTTCCTCCCAAAGATGAGGGAGAGAGCCCATAGGACTGGCAGCCTGCGGGGCGGGGGGTCTGCCTGGTTGCCGGGATGCCATGGGCTTCTGCAATGTGGGTTTCAGAGTTACCAGGGGCAGGCCTGGGAAGGTTCACAGTGTACCTAACCCAGAGCAGTTCCGCTGCCCAGCAAGGGAAACAAGCTGTGTTTCTGCAGCCACATGTGAGGCTATAGCCCAGGTCACCTGGTGAGTGACCAGGCAGTGCAGCTGCCCACATTCACCCTAGCCCCTTGGGATGCGATGCGGCTGGCTGGGGAGCTGTCCGGATTCTTCCCTAGCCCTGACCGCCTCCGCGCAGGGCCTGCCAGGCAGCCTACTCCAGCCTCCCTTGGAATAGAGGCTTCCTTCTCAGGGGTTGGAGAGTTAGGGTCAGGAATCAGACCCCAAAGATCCACCCCGGCCTCCACGTGGACTCCCCCAAGTGGTTGGGCTCTGGGACCCTGGCATCTACCTTGGTGTGCCAGGGTTGTGAGGTGGCCCTGTGAGCACAGCACCCCAGCATCGCCTTTGTTTCCGTGGAGGAGATGGTTGGGGGCAGGGATGAGTGAGCTGGGCCCAAGAACTGGGGTGTAGGAGCCGGAGCCAGCAATTAGGAGGGGTTGAAGGTCGAGGCCTGGAATGTGGGAGGGAGGTGCGGATTAAAAAGGGGTGTAATGTGAACTCTGTGAAACGGGTCAGCCTTAAAGAGTAAATAAGGGGTAGGAGCCTTGCTGTTTGGGTCAAAGTTCATCTCCATGGCAGAACCTGCGCGCCTGCCTCCCGAAGGCCTGAATCCGGCTTTGTTTGGGAGGAGACCCAGTCTGGAGGCAGCTGGAGGTGTCTGGGCCAGGGGCTGGGGAGCACAGGGAGTGGCTGCAGGAGGAGTGGGGTGCGTGGCTGCCGGCAAAGAAAAGGCTTTTGTGCTTGATGCCTCGTGAGGTCGGTGCGACCCCCTCGTGCTGCCAGCCTCCCAGGCCAGTGCCGCCTTCCAGCGTTCCCACGGGGGTGGGGACCGGCGGGGGCAGCCACGTGCTCTGGGGGGCTCTGGGGCTGGGACAAGCGCAGCAGCTGACCTCCCGCCTCAACTGAGCCGATTGAGGCCACGCCCAAGGAACACTGAGGGCGGTGCCTGCAGAGCCCAGCTGGGGCCACAGGCTGTGGTCCCCCACAAGAAGGGTCTGGGACAGTTGTTCAGAAACCCAGAGCAGTGGGGCTGAAGGGACCATGGTCCCCCTACTCATTCCCAAGCAGATCTCATGCTGTTATTCCTCATGACCACCCTTTGAGAGCGTGATCTCTCTTGGAGACACGTCCTGGGGAGGTCTGGTGATTTGGGGGCTGTCAGGATCAGGTAGCTGACAGTGGCATTTCTGTGGGGTCCATGGGGTTCCCTCAGCACCTGCTGCCCAGAGGCTGGCTGGCCTGGCCATGAGGATGAGGCTGAGAGATGCAGGGAGGCTGGGGGGTCTGTAGGTCCCCAAGAGCCCAGTGCGGGGTCAGCCTGGGGTAGTCAGACACCACCTTCCCCTCCTGATGGACACCAGAGCTGGGACAGGGAGGATGCTGTTGACCACAGGGCCGTGGGCCTCACTGTCCCCTCCGAGACACTCATGGAGTTGTGGGCCACCCCGCTGGCTGGCTGAGACCCTGGGCAGGGCACAGGCCTTGGGAAGGCCCAGGCAGCTGGCCTGGCCTCTGCTGCCTCTTCTGGGCCTGTGGGCCTGTTGGTGTCTGTCCAGAGCAGTGGGTTTCCAGCCTAGAGTCCTGGGCCATCTTCTGGCCCCCCTGGAGACATACAACCAGCCCCTCTTGAAGGTGCTCACGGTGCAGAAATGTGAGGTCCAGCTCCCATGAGTGAGTCAAGGGGCTCCCATCAGAGCACTCTCAGGCCCCTGTTATTGACGCAGGACTAGGCAGGGACAGCCCAAGCAGAGGCACCCGCTTTAGCCCTCTGTGTGCTCCACTCCCCGCCCGAGGGTCTCCATTGCAGAAGCCCCCCAACCCCACTGATGCCCAGGTGGGCTTGGTGTGTGGGCTCTGGCCTTCCGTCCTTCGTGGAAGTCTGAGGCCTGCTGTAAGGTCAGTCTTGGTCTCTGCCCTGCCCCTGGGACTCGGTTGCGAACATGGCCCATTGTCGGTACCTGCTGAATGTCTGTTATCCCCGAATGAACAAACGAACAAACATTTACTGAGACCTACCCAAGCACACCATTGCAGAGCAGATGGAGCTCCGCCTCTGATGGGGGATAAGTTGGGTTGTTTGTTTCTGGGGACATCCTTCCCATCTGAGTACCTGGGCCTTTTCTTTTCGCCGGGAGTGTGGGGACTCCCAAGGCTGTGCTGATGACACACCTGTGTTGGTCCGTTTGGTGTTGCTATAAAGGAATACCTGAGGCTGGGTAATTTATAAAGAAAAGAGGTTTATTTGGTTCACAGTTCCACAGGCTGTACAGGCATGGCACTAGCATCTGCTTGGCTTCTGGTGAGGCCTCAGGAAGCTTACAGACATGGCAGAAGGTGAAGGGGGAGCAGGCATGTCTCATGGTGAGAGAGGGAGCAAGAGAGAGGGAGGAGGTACCAGGCTCTTTTAAATAACCAGCTCTCGCATGAACTCATAGTGAGAACTCACTCCATACAGCACCCAGCCACTCATAAGGAATCTGCCCCTCATGACCCAGACACCTCCCACCAGGCCCACCTCCAACCCTGGAGGACACATTTCACCATGAGATTTGGAGGGGACCCAGATCCCAACCATATCAGCACCCCATCCCTGCTGACAAGTGATCCAGCCAGGAGTGATTTCAGGGAGCCAGGCAGTTAGCACAGATCTACAGCTGTGGATTTGTTGGGGCCCTTCTTTAAAGATTTTAACAAAGGCAGATGAAGGCTGAGTGGCAGAGCAAATCCCATGGCGGAGACCACTGGGCCCAAGAGTGAGTTGTGCGGGTGCCAGCTCTCACTCCCCGGGAGCTTGCCTCTGAGCTTCTACCGGGGTGAGTGTCTGCTCTCACTCCCCGGGAGCTTGCCTCTGAGCCTCTACCGGGATGAGTGTCTGCTCTCACTCCCCAGGAGCATGCCTCTGAGCCTCTACCGGGGTGAGTGTCCACTCTCACTCCCCGGGAGCATGCCTCTGAGCCTCTACCGGGGTGAGTGTCTGCTTGTCCTGAAACTGAGCCCAAGAGTGAGTTGTGCGGGTGCCACAGCTTTCACTCCCCGGGAGCTTGCCTCTGAGGTTCTACCGGGGTGAGTGTCTGCTTGTCCTGAAACACAGTTAGGCTTCTGCCCCCAACCCTGCCACTGGCTGCGAGTCTTGGTCTCCCAGACCTCTTTACACCAGTTCCCCACACTCTGAAGTCCTGGGATGCTCCCAGGTCCCTGCGATCACAGCCACTGGTGCTTGGCAGGGAGCACCACTCACAGTGCCCTCATCTCATGGGGAGGAAACTTAGGATCAGGGAGAGACTTGGGGCAACTCAGCCAGAGTTGGGGAGGTGCCAGTGCTTCTCCTCTCTCCCCTTTGGCAGGGGCAGGGGCCATGTGTGAGGGTCCCCAGAAGATGGGCAGGGCAGCTAGGGAACCAAAGAAGGCCCTCTCCACACACTTGGGGCGCTCCCTCCTTGGGGCCCAGGGCCATGCGGGCCAGCTCCTGCCACAGTTTCCTGCCCAGGCACGGGCCAGGTCCCCTAAAGACCCTCGGCCAAGCCCCGGCTGAGGCGTGGGCTTTCTTTTGGGTCTGAACAGGGCTCTGTGCACATCATAGGGTGTGGAGGGAGGATGCCTGAGAGACTTTGTCCAGAGGCACTGTGGTCTGGCGTTGCCTTGGGGCTGAACAGCACATCCGTCTGTACTTACGCCGCCACCTGTGGGATGATCTGTTTGATGCAGTCTCCTCCCCAAGTACCATAAGCACCCTGAGAGCCAGGCCTCCAGCACCCAGCACAGGGCCTGGCACCACGCAGGTGCTGGGGTGCTGTTTGTTGAATGAATGAGTGGATGAAAATGAACGAAGGCATGCACGGAGGCAGGTGAGCCAGTGCGCCTCCTGCAGGCCGGGGCTGGCCCAGGTTCCTGACCCGGCAGGCGGGGCCACTCCTTCCGTTTCCCCTGGATGTGCTTCAGCAGGCCTCTCACTCTGCCCCTTCCTGAGCGGAAAATGTGAGGCCCGTCTGGCCTCCAGAAGGGATGCGTGGGGGCAGGGAGCGGACATTACTCACCTCCTGGGCAGACAGGAAGCCAGCGCCAGGGGAGAGCAGGGGTCTGCTCGCTGGGCCTGCATCCGCCTTCTGCAGGGTGGGCAGTCGGGGGATTGCTGAGCAAGAGTCGTGTGGAGCCCTGGCTGGGGCAGGTCAGGGCCTGGTGTGTGCGCCTCTCAGATGAGGCCGCTCCTCCAACCTGGGCCTCGGGACACACGGGCTCCCGCACTGTGCAGGCCTGAGTCTGGACAAAGGCACTGAGGGCCCTTTGGCTCTTCCAGGTTCTTGGCCACTTTAGTCACACCAGCGTTGGCCTTGTGACACACAGGGGTGATGAGCCCTGTCCCCACCTCCCTGGAGGAGTCTGGGGTTTGGTTGAAGCCAAACAGGCACCAGTGTGGGACCCCTGCAGGCTGTCAGCTTGCTGAGGGCAGGAGCCACATCTTTGTAGAAATGTCCCTTATTTCTCCCCTTATTTCAGAAGTATTACAATTATTGTAGAAAAATAAAGGAGAAGGCCAGGTGCGGTGGCTCACGCCTGTAAGCCCAGCATTTTGGGAGGCTGAGGCGGGTGGATCACCTGAGGTCAGGAGTTTGAGACCAGCCTGACCAACATAGAAAAACCCTGTCTCTACTAAAAATACAAAATTAGCTGGGTGTGGTGGCACATGCCTGTAATCCCAGCTACTCCGGAGGCTGAGGCAGGAGAATTGCTTGAACCCGGGAGGCGGAGGTTACAGTAAGCCGAGACCACACCATTTGCACTCCAGCCTGAGTAACAAGAGCAAAACTCCATCTAAAAAAAAGAAAAAAAAGAAAAAAAAATAGAAAAATAAAGGAGGAAAAAAGAAAATGAAAAATAATGATGTCTGGGGCCCTATTTTTCTCAGACTTTTCTATGTATCTAAGTAACCAGAGCCTCATTTTCTTTTCAATGAGGCAGTATTGGCGCCTTTTTTCTCACATAGTCATTGGCCTCCCTGACACTGATGTGGGCCAGCCACAGTTCAAAGCTTGTCTAGTCAGTCCAGTGACTGGGGTCCCATTCCTGAGCCCGCTGTGTGCCCAGCCTGACCCTGCTGTGTGCCCAGCCTGACCCTGTGAGCCCAGAGCTATACATGTCGCTGTTCCACAGGGCAGGAAACATCGTCTCCGAGGGGAAGTAACTTGCCCAGACCACAGGGACTGGGTCTCTCCAGAGCCAGCGTTTTGGCCACTCCTGTGGAAGGACACTCAAGTCCCTGTTTTTCTTTCTTTCTTTCTTTCTTTTTTTTTTTTTTTTTTTTGAGATGGAGTCCCGCTCTGTTGCCCAGGCTGGAGTGCAAAATGGTGTAATCTCGGCTCACTGCAACCTCCGCCTTCCAGGTTCAAGCAATTGTCCTGCCTCAGCCTCCCGAGTAGCTGGGATTACAGGCGTGCACCACCACGCCTGGCTAATTTTTGTATTTTTAGTAGAGACAGTGTTTCACCATGTTGGTCAGGCTGGTCTGAAACTCCTGACCTCATGATCTGCCCGCCTCGGCCTCCCAAAATGCAGGGATTACAGGCGTGAGCCACCGTGCTTGGCCAAGTCCCTGTTTTTCATTGCTGGAAGTGGCGCTGCAGGGTGCCCCTCAGGGCTGGCCCCATGTGGCCTGAGTCTCCTGTCCTGGGCTTTATCCCCAGGCCCTAGCACTGAATAGGTGCTCAACCAACGGCCACTGAGTCACTCTTGGCAGAGATGGGGAATCAGAGAAAGGGCCTGGGAGGAGGTGGCCTGGGAAGCTGGGCAGAGGCGTGGCAGCAGGGGGCTGGGAAGGGAGGAGGTGCCCGATGCCAGGATTGAGGGTTTCTTGGGTCACCTGTTTCCAAAAGCTCCCTATGACCCCAAGCTCCAACCAGGAGAGAAGGGCAGAGAGGCCACAGCCAGGCCATCTGGGGAGGGTCTGGCATGGAAGGGTTCTGGGAGGATGGAGTGGTCGGGCCCAATATGTGGCATCCTGTAGGCAGGTCCTGGGTGCTGTGCCATGGATCTGGCCGGCCCTTCCCCGAAGTATGGTCTTGAGCTAGCCGATCCCCCAACTCTGGGCCACAGCTTCTCTCTGTGACATGGCCTGGGGGCTGTGGCCCCTCATCCTGGCATGCCCCCAGGAGCTCTTAGTGAGAAGACCAAGGCTTCCTACCTCCTGGCCCCTGCTGCCCTTGGGTGGGGCCCTCCACCACCCAGAAATGCAAACTGGGCAGCAGGGCGGGTCTCTGGGGAGCAGGTGTGTTTCCTGAGTGCCCAGGGCTCGGTATTTACAGCAGCAGTGCTGTTGGCCTCTTCTCCTTGGCCCGGCCCCCTCCCCTGTGTGCCTCCTCCCTGGCCTCCAAGAGGTCTGCAGGGAAGTGTGGGGGCACACAGAGCTCAGATCTTGCTCAGTTCCCTCCTTGCCAGGCAGCCTTGGGCGGGTGCCAACCCCTTGCTGGGCTGGGGGTGATCATCTTGGCCCACCTTGCCAGGCGGTTGAGGACCAGATGTGGACAGCACAGGCCCATTGGGGGCCAGGCTGGGACTGGATGTGGGCGGTCTTCCTCACCTCCCCCAGATTCTCTGAGCCCTGCGCACCACCCCGTTGGTCCAGTCTTGCCTCCTCAGCCAGCCTGGTCTCCCTTGGTCCCCTCTGCCATGGAGGCCTGTGGGACCCTGACTGCAGCTTACCTCACAGCCACCCTCAGCGGCATCCCCACCCCTGCTCTCAGCTCCCAACCACCGCCCGGGTTGTGCTTCTTCGTAAAGGGAGCCGGGCTAGGGGGTCCTTGGTGTCAACCAGACCCAGGCACTCACAGCTTGTCCTGAGTCCCTGTCCCTCCCTCCCCACCCACATGTGCCAGGCCCTGTCCAGGGACCCCAAGTTCCCAAGACCCTGCTTCTCAATCTGGCAAATGCCAGACCCATCCAGGTGCCCACACTGATGGGCAGCTAAGCAGGCAGCGAGGAGTCAGTGCTGCCATCCAAGGAGAAGGTGCCAGGCAGAAGTGTGCTTCTGGCTTCTGGTACTCAGGGTGCCATGGGGTGTCCCCAGCACAGCGTGAAGCCGTTCAAGTGAGGGATCAGGCAGGAAGCCATAAGGCTGATGGGGAAGGAGCTGGTGGGAGTAACGACCAGGCCACCCGGGCTCAGAGACCATTACCCGCATTACCCCTGTGCCGCGGCTCTTTCTAGTGTCCTCCTCAGGTGATGCCCACCCTCCCCTGGGCCCATCCCTGGGTCACAGCAGCCCTCTCCCACCAGGAGGCACAGAACTCCGGCCTGCTGCTGCCTCCCCGTGGACCCAACACTCATGGCCAGACGTCTGCTCTGGTCAGTATTGCATGGCAGGAGGTGTGGCCCCTGCACCAGCCTCCCTGGGCTGGCCTGTGAAAGGCTTCTCTTGCAGTGGGCTTTTAAGCCAAGCCTTCTCCCCAACACCTGCTCATTATGGCTGTGTCCATTGCCCTGACCCTAATTCTCACAGCTGAGGCCAGAAACCAGAGCTGGGCCCCATTCTCTGGGTGCAGGTCCCACCCACCCCCACCCCAGGAGCAAGAGCTGTTTGTTCCTCCTCAAGGCTCCAAATACCCACAACAGATGAGCAGGCGGCGGCCTCCTGGCCTCCCCTCCCCCAGGAGCAGAGAGCTGGGGCCCAAGCCTTCCAGGGATTGGCTGTGGGCCACACTGGCAGTCCCGGGTCACAGGAAAGTGTCCATCATCAGCTGGGCCGCAGGCGGCACAGACAATGCTGGGCTGTGCTGGGCCCCGGCCCGCCAAGGGGTGAGAGACGCTGGGAGACAGCACCGAGAGATCCCTTTATCCAGGAGTGGGCAGGGCCTACACAGCCCTGGCCTTGTCTGGGATGCTGGGGAGGACAAGCTCTGGGGCCTGAGGAGCCGAGAGGTTCACCTACTGAGAAAGTGGGTGAACCAGGCGTGGTGGCTCATGCCCATAATCCCAGCACTTTGGGAGGCTAAGGCAGGCAGATCACTTGAGGTCAGGAGTTTGAGACCAGCCTGGCCAACATGGCAAAACCCCACTTCTACTAAAAATACAAAAATTAGCTGGGCGTGGTGATGGGCACCTGTAATCCCAGCTACTCAGGAAGCTAAGGCAGGAGAATCGCTTGAACCCAGGAGGTGGAGGTTGCAGTGAGCCAAGATCACACCACTGGGCTACAGAGTGACTCCATCTCAAAAAAAAAAAAAAAAAAAGAATGGAGGTGAAGGTGAGCCTGGCCCAGTGGGGCCACGTGGGGATCAGTGCCCTTGCCCTTCGCCACCACCCCTCAGCCCAGGACACATACAGAGCTCCATCCTGCAGGCTCCTGTGTCAGGGACAGGCCCTCCTGAGGCACCTCCACCGGGAGCCTGTTCAAGGGTGACTTTCCCAGGAACCAGGAAGTGACCAGGCCGCGTTGGCGTCATCACTCCGACCTAAGGACTGCAATGCACCGAACCCAGACTGGCTTCCGGGAGGGCTGGAGGAGGGCCTGCAGGGGCTTTGGGGCCAGGGCCCTGCCCCGTGAATCATTCACACATGGTGGCCTGGAGTGGCTCTGTTTGCTCTGAGAACACGGGGAGCAGGCTGTGTGTCTCGGCTCGATCTTTGCACACTGAATTAGTGTTTATTTCTCACCGCCTGTGCTTGGCCTGGAGGACGGGGCCAGGGAGAACACCCACACACAGGCAGTTCATCCTGGGAGCGCTTCCCCGGGGCATCAGTGGCCAGTAGGTGTTGGGGGAGGGGCTCTAGGAAGTGGAGCAGTCTGGTAGCAGGGGTAGGGAATTGTCCCACAGTACAGATGGGCAAATCAAGGCTGGCCTTGGAGGCTCCCAGAATGTCTGAGAGCACTGGGCGGCCTGGGTGGTGCTTTGGGGCCTGTCTGGGCGCCTCCACTCATCCCGGGTGATGGGTCGGTGACTTCCCCCTGGAGCCTCTGGTTCCTCCCTGATGTCTGCTGCAGAGGGTGGTTGTGCAAATCAGGCATGATGAGTTACCCGCCGCCTGACACTCGGGACCTGACGCATAATTGGTGTCCACCTCCCCCTCCACTGAAGGTGGTGTCTGTCTCCAGGGCCCCACCGCTTGAGCCACCTGTCCCAAGGCCTGAACATCATCTGCAGCTTGGACACCTCTCTACGGGCCAGGAACCCCAGGGTCTCTGCAGAGAGAAATGATTTCAGTTTTAGGGGAAGATCTAGGTGTGTGACGTCTAATTCATTAGCCAAGGACGGCTACTGAGCCTTGGAAAAGGCTAGTGCAGACAGGTGTGCAATACACGCTGCGTCTCAGCGGCTCCGTAGGAAAGAAGAAGGTGAAATATCTCAGCTCTGATAACACGGTATCAATTATTTGTTGAAATGGTACTATTTTGGATATATTGGGTTAAATAAAGTAGATTATTAAAATTGATTTCACCTGTTTCTTTATTACTTTTTAAAATGTGGGTACTAGGGCACTCAAATCCCTCATGCGGCTCCCACTCTGTTTCTGTCGGACAGTGCTGCTCCCGACTGTGAGGGCCTAAATTGGCACCTGCCTAAGCAAAGAGTGACCAGAGTTTCAGCAGGAACGCCCACTGCCCGGGCACTGAGGGGCACACGCAGAGGAGGCGCATGCTGTGGGGGTAGAGGAACTGGCGCCCCGGGGCTGCAAATCAGGGGGCAAGTGTGGCACCCAGATGGGGGGCATGGGCTCCCTGCTCCGTGGCTGGGGCCGGGCCAGGCTGTGTGAACCACAGGGACAGAGCTGGGCGCTCAGGAGGGCAGCTGTGCAGGCAGCTGGGGCCTGAGGGCCACGTGGAGAATGCAGGTGCCCCGTGTGGCCCCATCACCCGGATGGTAGGGTCCTAGTGTCCCCCATTTGACCCCTGCACCCCTCCTGCCTTTCTGGAGGAAGAGCTGGGCAGCCTGCCCTGAGCCTGGTGCTCCTTGGAACTACGCATCGTGTAAACACAGCCTGGGCGCTGGCCTTTGTCAAAGCAGGCAGGGGGCCAGTCCTGGGGAGGTGCACGCCTCAAATTCAGAGCAGGGTCAGCACCCCCAGACCACAGCCCATAGCCCTACTGTCCACGCCTCCCTGGCCATGGTGGGCCGTGGCTCCAGCAGTCTCCCACCCCCTCCTCCCCCGTCGCCCTGTTGTGTGTGAATTATTGATGCCCCTCCCATCCCCCGCCTGGCTGCTGCTGTGACAGAGTCTCATGGAGGCGGCACTGCCTCCAGCAGCCACACCTCTGGACACGGAAGGCAGTCTGCACGCAGGGCCTGCTGGCCTCCAGTGGCCGTGTACCTGGCCTGTGGTCCCAGGGATGGTGGGCCTTCCCGTTCTCCGAGCCTAGCCTGGGAGCTGGTGGGAGTCGCCCACCGGGAGAGGGTGCCACTGGCTGTGGGCCCCAGAGCGCGGTGTGGCGATTGGTGGTTCGCACAGAGCTGGGCTTGTGCGGGCTGCGGGGCACTGGCGCCCACATAAGGGCATTGTTTGCTGAGGTAAAAGGGGTTTTTGTCTCCTTCTGGAGACGGGACAGAGGGAGGAACAATTTCCCCCATTCATCACTAATTCCTCCATTTGAATAGCAGCACATTGCCCCATGTTCAAATAGACGGACACGGCAGTCCTTCCCTGCCCGTAGGCATTCTGGGCACAGGTGGTGGGCTCCGGGTCCTGCCCAGATGAAGGAGTCGCCCTTTGCCACAGTGGGGAGGGCCTGGTTTTGTGGAAATGCTGAGAGGGGGTGCATCCCGGGCTGCTTCCCCAAGGCCCCTCAGGACATGTCTCTGCTGCCCACGCAGCCATGGGCTGGGGGCAGGCCCACCCTGCTTTCATCACACTGGGCCCCAGCAGGTTGGCCTCAAGGGTGACCCTCCTGGAGGGGCCTCATGGAAGCAGCAAGATGGGGACCAGGTGGGGACAAGAGGTCACCTGGGCACCCTTAGGTTCCACTTCCAGCTCCAGGTGTGGAGGGTCCATCCAGAACTCCCAGCTTCCCACTGAGCCTCCCAGCTGGAGGCCTGCACCCCGTGAGGCCTGTGTGCTGGGGCTTCGGTGCCCATGGAGCCAGCTGGGTTTCTTCACAGAGTCATAAAGTGCCAGAGCCCAGGAGGGCGTCAGCGGCAACTCCCAGGACTGTAGATAAGAGGAGGCCCAGGAGGTGGCAGTGCCCAAGGTCGCCCAGACTGCAGGACCCTACACCAGCACCATCCCTGCCCGGGCCCCACTGCATTCCATCACAGCAAGGGTTTGTGCGCCTGTCGATGTCTCTTTTAAATCAGTTTTTTTTTTTTTTTTTTTTAAGACAGAGTCTCGCTTTGTCGCCAGGCTGAAGTCCAATGGCGCGATCTTGTCTCACTGCAACCTCCACCTCCCGGGTTCAAGCGATTCTCCTGCCTCAGCCTCCTGAGTAGCTGGGACTACAGGCGTGCACCACCACGCCCAGCTAATTTTTGTATGTTTAGTAGTGATGGGGTTTCACCATGTTGGCCAGGATGATCTCGATCTCTTGACCTCATGATCTGCCTGCCTCTACCTCCCAAAGTGCTGGGATTACAGGCGTGAGCCACTGCGCCTGGCCTAAATCCATTTTTTTTTTAAGGGTTGTGGGAGGAAGAATTCCAATCGGATCAAAACCCAACTGCCCCCAGTCTCTCTTTTCCTTCTTTCCCCAAACAGTGACAGGCGCGTTCTCCTGGCCAGGTGCAGTGAGGGGTGGGTGTGAGGGTTGCAGCCAGCCCCTTCTGTGGGCATGAGCCCTCCTGTGGGCACCACCCCCTCCTGTGGGTACCAGCCTCCTCAGGACTGAGCTGGGCGTCATGGTGAGGTCCCCATGCAGAGCGATCCCAGCCCCCGGGTCCCATCCCTTGGCCTCTGCCAGGGAGAAGACCCTGGACTACTCAGAGACCAAGCCATTGGTGTGAGCCTGCCTCTAGCCGGCCTAACCAATAAGGAAATTATTAGCTCCCTCACCAAAACCTCTAGGGCCTTCCTAGGTGGCAGGCACAGATGGATTTCAGGGGATCATCTGTGCCCCCTATCAGCCCTGCTTTCCCCAGCGTGGGCCTCCCTGCACCACGGGCCCAGCAACCCCAGGTAGAGAGCACCTTCCCAGCCATCGCAGCAGGAGTCCCCGCGTGATGTCCTCGGGCCCAGCTTGGTCACACGCTATTACCAGTTGCTGTGATGGGTTGACTGGCCAGGCCTGGGGCATGCACTCACCCCGGCGAGCCCAGGAAGACTCAGTTGCCCCCACCAGAGGGAGGGGTGTGATCTAGGGGGCAGCAGGAGCCATCCAGGCCCACCCAATACAGCTGCACCAACTCTGGGTCTCTAGGGCTGGGGCCGCTTCTGTGAAGGCTGGGCACAGGCCAGAGACACAATAAACACAGTAGTATTGCAAGGAGAGGATAAGTGCTTGGAAGAAATAGGTAATTTCTTCCAAGCACTTATCCTCTCCTTGCAATACTACTGTGTTAGAGGGGGCTGGGCGCAGTGGCTCACACCTATAATCCCAGCACTTTGGGAGGCTGAGGTGGGTGGATCACGAGGTCAGGAGATCGAGACCATCCTGGCTAACACGGTGAAACCCCATGTCTACTAAAAACATAAAAAATTAGCCAGGCGTGGTGGTGGGCGCCTGTAGTCCCAGCTACTCGGGAAGCCGAGGCAGGAGAATGGCATGAACCCGGGAGGCGGAGCTTGCAGTGAGCCGAGATCACGCCACCGTACTCCATCCTGAGCAACAGAGCAAGACTCCGTCTCAAAAAAAAAAAAAAAAAAAGAAAAGAAAGGTAGAGGGGTCAGTGTGCCAGAGCAGGGTGGGAGCTGGGCTTACCGAGAAGGTGACCTTTACGCAGAGCCCTGGAAGTGAGGGACTGCGCCAAGGGGACACCCGGGACAGAGTGGAGCAGGAAGAGGGAACAGCAAGTACCAAGGCTGGGTCACAGCTGGGGCGGGTGGGTGAGCCATAGGGGCTCGCTGGAAGGGCCTGGTGGGCCCAAAGGAGGGACCTGGCTTCCAGTTGGAGTAAACTCAGCCCTTGCGGCTGCAGCCGGCATCAAATCCACTGCTTGTGGGGCCGAGGGACAGGCTGGACCAACCCCACCCCGAGCAGCACCTCTGCCCCTGTTGGTTCATGAGGCTTCAGCCCTCGCCCCACCGTCCCTGGGATGGCTTCTGCAGAGCCGTGGCCCACAGCCGGTGCCACGATGGAGATCGGGGCAGGTAGGGAGGGCTTCCCTGAGGTGGTGGTGCTCGGGTTAGCACAGAAGGGCGAGCAGGAGTCGCCGAGAGTAGGGGAGACACCATGGCTCAGGGGCCAGAAAGCTGGTGACACCCCTTCAGAGCCCCGTCTCCTCTGGAGCCCTCAGGTTTGATTTGTCGCTGCTGGAGCATGAGCTCCGAGGGTGGCAGTTGCCCCCATCCCCACAGTGGCCCTCTCACTGGGCCCACCTCAGACTGTCACAGGCTGGGCTCCGGGATCCCCAGAAGCCCCCGTTGCAGTCTGGGAGCCTCGTGCGTCGGCAGTGGGTGAGTTATGATGTGAGAAAATGTGGGGTGCAGGGAATTGGGGTTTCCTTTTGAGCTCCTGCCCCATCTCGGGCACCATCCTCACCTTAGAACCGTGTTTTACGGCTGTGGGACCCACTCTGAAAGGAAACGGAGGCTCCAGAAGGTGGAGTAGCCTCTTCCAGCCACTCCGCGGCTCAAACCTGTGGCCTCCCCAGTCGGCAAAACATGGGCCTCAGGTTGCAGGCAGCCCCCAGAGCATGTGGCGCGGGGGCAGCTGTGTGGGGTGGGGGCTGGCATGCCGGGGCTGCCTGAGCGGAGCTGGGGGTAGGCGAGACCTTGGTGTCACTGGGGAAGGCAGGCTTTCGCGATCCATGTTGTCCCTCTGAGTAGGCTCTGTGTGTGCGGCATGAGAAAATGAGATAATGGCAGATAGAGCCTATAAACTAGGGCAAAGGGGCTGTTTTTGGTCTGGGTTCTGTGTGTGTGGTAAAATGTGTGACATAAAATTTGCCATTTTTAAGTGTACACTCCAGAAGCACTGTTATTTCCACAGCTTGTTCATCCCCCAACAGAAACTCTGCACCCTTTAAGTACTAACTGCCCATTCCCAGCCCGTGGAGCCTCACTGTACCTTCTGTCTCTGTGAATTTGCCTGTTCCAGATGCTGCGTAGAAGTGGAATCACTGAGTATCCTTGTCCGTCTGGCCTGTTTCCCACAGCCTCGTGTTTTTATCATCCACATTGCAGCGCTTATCCAAACTTCATTCATTTTCATGGCTGGATACTATTCCATCGTATGAATAGACCACATTTGTGTACCCATTTACTTGTCGAAGTTTTTAAAAATATAAATAATGGGTTGGGCGCAGTGGCTCACGTCTGTCATCCCAGCACTTTGAGAGGCCAAAGTGGGAGGATGGTTTGAGCCTTGGGAGTTTGAGACCAGCCTGGGCAATATAGCGAGACCTGTTCTCTACAAAAAAAGAAAACTTTAAAAATTAGCCGAGGCTGGGCACGGTGGCCCATGCCTGTAATCCCAGCACTTTGGGAGGCTGAGGCGGGCGGATCGCCTGAGGTCATGAATTCGAGACCAGCCTGGCCAACATAGTGAAACCGTGTCTCCACTAAAAATACACAAAATTAGCTGAATATGGTGGCGGGCGCCTGTAATCCCAGCAACTTGGGAGGCTGAGGCAGGAGAATCGCTTGAACCTGGGAGGTGGAGGTTGCAGTAAGCCAAGATCGCCCCATTGCACTCCAGCCTGGGCAGGAAGAGTGAAACTCCATCTCAAAAAAAAAAAAAAAAAAAATTAGCCAAGCGTCGTGGTGTGCGCTGCTGGGGAGATCGCTTCAGCCCAGGAGGCAGCAGTTGCAGTGAGCCCTAATGGCACCGCTGTACTCTAGCCTGGGCAACAGAGCAAGACCCTAAAAAAAAAAAAAAAAAGTAAACCATGTAACTGAGTCGCCAATATTTTAAAATCTGTTTACATAATGGTGCAGATTTCCAGTTTCTTCTAACAGCTTGGAACACTTGGCCATACGAGGTCCTAGCACCTGGTGCCTTACGGGTCTTACCCGCCCAACCACTTCCCTGGCCAGACCAGGGTGGCATCTGAGTGCAGTTAGGGGAGGTTCTGCCCCGGCACTAGTGCCTGTCGATCCCCAGCCAGGCAGCCGGGGGCACAGCCCCGAGGCAAAGGTCTTGGTAGCTGGAGAGTCTGGGCCCCCGTGCCGGGCATCTGACCTGGTAGAGGCTCCAGGAGCACCCTGAGCAGCGTGTCTCTGGAGCTCACAGTGGCGGAGGGCAAGTCCATCTTCTCGGGAAAACCTGATTGGGAGGTGGGTGGTGGGATGATGGGATGTCACTTCTGGGCCTATGTAGGGTGTGGCACTGCAGCCAGCCTTGGGCCTGGTGCCTGTGATGAAGGCAGTGACCACTTGCTCACTGTGTGCCAGGCACGATGCCCACTGAGGAGCAGCCCCTCATTCCAGAGGAGGAATCTAAGGCCCTCCAAGGTCAAGCAAGTGGCCTGTGAGGGTGGTGTCGGTATGTGAAGTCGCACCTGCAAGGTGGGTGAAGGATGGGCCCCCTGCAGCTCATGGGAGCGTGGGTAACCAGCCAGTATGGGTGTCATCCCTGTCCCCCGTGGAGGCTCCTGGACCTCAGGTGCAGGGGCTTCTCTGGTGACAGGGTCTGTCCTGGTGGGGCAGATGGCCCTCACGATGACCCTGGGCCAGGGGAAGGGAGCATGAGGATCCCTGGCAGGGCCGGGCAGCAAGCTGGGGTTGGAGGCGTGAGTGCCTCCTTCCTAGGGACAGTGGAGAAAAGTGCCAGCCTGAAGTGGCAGTGTGGAACCAGACCTTGAAGGCTGGCTGCCATCTGCTCAGCTGGAGGTGTCATGGCAGGCAGATTGCAGAGCTCCAGCACAGGATAGTGAGGCTGGGCTGGGGGACTGCAGAGGTCACAGGACTGAGAGTGCCAGTGGCTGTGGGCCGGACTCTTACTCAGCTACAGGAAAGCATGGGACAGGGGAGTGAGGATTAGGCCTGGCTCTCACAGGTGGGATGTGGGTGGCCTGGGCGCTGGAGAGCAGCCAGTGGGAGCTGCATGAGGAGCTGGTCTGGTTCCCGGGTGGAGGAAAGTGGGCACCCCCATTCTCACAATTCACCTTCCCTGTTACCCACGAGGCTGAGTAAGGCACATCTGTCCCCCAGGAGGTCTGGCACCTTGGTTGCAGTCATTACTTTGTTTCCAGGCCAGCACTCAGTAGGTGCTCAGTAAAAATGCTGGGGAATGTGTTGGCTCCAGACTGGGCGCGAGTAGGCTGTGGGGTCCCGGGGACAGCCAGCGCGGGCCGGGACTCCGAGGATGCAGCCAGTGAGGGGCAGCTATGGGCGGGCTTTGAGCAGAGCCCGGAGCTGCCCTGCGGGAGGATGGAGGGAGTGGTGGAGCTAGGCTGCCCGAAGGAGGACAGGACGCCTGGCCCAGGGGACCTGCTGCAGCCGAGGGGGAGGGGTGCACTGCGCCGCCGTGGCCTCCCATCCCCCTCTGCCCGGCCTGGCTGCATGATGGGCAGCCTGGACCCGCCCCCGGGCAGCCGGGAGGCCAGCAATTGGTTGGGGCGCTAGAGCCGCTCGGTCGCCATGGGGACGCTCTGGAGGTGCGCGTGCCCAGTGCCCAGCACCGGGGACTAAATCTTCATAATCTGCCGGCTGGGAGGGTGGGGGTGGGGTCCGGCGTGACCCTGGCCTGGGGGAAGGGGCGGCAGGGCCCGCTGTGACCACCCCTCCCCCACCCACTCTGGGTGCAGGTGTGGAGCCGCCAGGGTCACCCGTACCTCCCCGGGACCCTCGCGGGTGCTCACCTGACAGTGACCCCGGGAGTTCCCGTGCAGCTTCAGCCTCTGCCGTCTCAGCTGAGCAAGCAGGAGGCCGGGGCTGGGGCTGGGGCTGGGTGGGCAGAGAGGCCTGGAATGTATCTGGAACTGTCTGGTCCCCTGGTTAAAGTTTCCTCCCCCGCGCCCGCAGGCTGGCGGTGCCGCGCTCTTTGCGGCAGGGGGCGCCCTCGCAGTGCTTTGCCGGGGCTGCCCACCCTGAGACGCCGGGCAGGCCCACTCGGGGGCCGCGTGCAGACCCCAGACCTTGCAGCCCCGGCTTTGCACGTCCCAGGCCGTGGGGCCTGCACGGAGCGCAGATTCGGGGGCCACCGTGCCTGTGCCTAGGCTGCCAGGGCTGGGCTTGCTTACAGGAGGGAGTGAATGGCTGGAGGTCACAGTAGAGCCATCCTTCCTGCTTCCGGCAGAGGAAGGAGACATTTGAGGGCCCACCGTGGGCAGGGGCTCTGAGAGCTCGAAGCTGCAAGGCAGTGCCCGGCAGCAGGAGCAGGGTGGGTGGGAGGTGCGGTCCTGGGAGCTGGGGAGAAGGGAGAGCCTGGCCGGGCTTCGAGGGCCTCCAGGGCCCTCTGACAGGCCACTCACTCCCAAACCCTTGGAGCTCGGTCTCCCTTAAGCCTGGACATAACGCTTGCGAGTTTGGGGTGCAGGAAGACCCTCCATGCCCTGCACAGCCCTGCCTGGCCACACCCCTCCTGATGGCCCCTCTGTTCTGGCAGAGGGGACCCTGTGGCTGCCTCAGCTGAGGCTGTGGGCTGGGGCAAATTGCCTCTGAGGTGGGGTAGCAGCACTCACCCCAACCCAGGGACACTCATGAGGAGGACACAGGGTGGGATACTCCGAGGTGGCTGCAGTGGCCACAGTGCCTTGGGTGGGGCCTCACACCCAGGCCTCTCATTCCAGATGACTCCTCCTCTGAGAGTGGCAGCGGCAATGGCTCCTCCACCCTGAACCCATCCACGTCGAGCAGCACGCAGGGCGACCCTGCCTTCCCCGAGATGAATGGCAACGGCGCCGTGGCCCCCATGGACTTCACCACGGCCGCCGAGGATCAGCCCATCAACCTGTGTGACAAGCTCCCGCCGGCCACGGCACTTGGCACAGCCTCCTACCCCTCGGATGGCTGCGGTGCCGACGGGCTGCGGAGCCGCGTCAAATACGGGGTGAAGACCACCCCCGAGGTGTGTGGGGCTGGGGGCTGAGTCCATTTCTTTCTGTAAAGGGCTGTCGCGAGGCGAGAATGAAATTGTATACGCCCAGAGCTTAGCTGGAGCCAGCCCATGTGTGTGACACCGAGCCAGGGTGGTGGCTGTGGCTGGTATGTGTTCGGTTCCTGGTGAAGCTCTGGAATGGGAGATGGCTTGGAGTGTGCCCCCAAGCCAGGCCCCCTTCTCCGAGCCTGTGAAGTGGAGCTGACGGCCCCTGCCTTGGTAGAGGTGGTAGGTGGATATGCATCCCCACAACCCATCCCCCTCCCCCAGAACAGCATCTGCTGGGGATAACAGCAAGTGGCCACTTTCGGCACAGCCAGGTACGAGGCCTCCCACTGCCTGGTTTGTCTGCGTGCCTGTCCCCATTTTATAGGTCGTGCGAAAAAAGGGCGAGGGCCCAGGGATGTGGGCAGTGGAACTCCTCCTTTGACTAGGCTGATGGACGGTGGTAAGGGTGGGCACAGTACGTACCCCTACCAGTGGGCATCCCCCCTGCTTCCTGGGGCCTCCCCCACACTTCCACAAGCTGCCTCCGGGCCACTAAGGTTTCCTGTAGTAGTGCCTCTTCTCCAACCTGGGCCCGGGGGCCAGAGGTGCCTTCCTGGAGCTTACACCTCTGGACAGGCTCTTCTCCCTCTCTGGGCCTGTTTTCTCTTCTGCAGAGAGAGTGGAGTAGGTGCTACTGCCTGCCTCATTTGGAATGTCTCGTGGGGACATTCTGTACCATGGGCTCAGTGCTGAGTTGTTGCTATGTGTCTAGCACAGGTGGCTGGGAGCAGGTTCTGGCCAGAGCAGGCTTTGCCTGGGTCCAAGGGACAGGCATAGCTGCTGTTCCATGAAGGGGGTGAGTTGTGTTCAGCAGCCATTGCCACTGTGGCCACAGGGTACATGGGGGGCCCAGGGAAGTGAGATGAGAGCAGGAACGCCACCAGCAGCTCCTATCTTAGTTTTTTCTCCATCTGTCTGCCCTGGCCCTGGCTCAGGGTTTGGCTGAGGAGTGGCGTGGGAATGTGGCTTGCCTGGGGCCACACGGCCAGTTATGGTAGCCAGCGGGGGCCCTCGGCATCCTGCCCCTATCCAAGTCTGTATGTGGACGAAGAGACAGGCACCAGGCCAGTGACCCTAGGGCACCAACCCCTGCGGGCCTGGTCCCAGGGAGAGAGGCCTGGCGGGGGCCGTGCTGTGGGACCAGGTGCCAGGCAATGCCCTTCTTCCTGGATTTGCTCCTCAGTGAGTGCTGTTCCCTTCCGGGCTGTGCCATGGCCATGCTGCCACATCACAGGGTCTGACCATACCGCCACCTGTTCCCTGAGCCTGCCTTACCTGCTAGATGCCAACCTCCTTGAGGGCAGGGACAGTGTCCCCAGGCTACTGTCAGTCACGATCTGAACGAGTACTTAGGACACATCGAAGGCACAAACTTTCCGAAAGGCAACAGTGGTCCTCAGCCGTCCCAGAGCGGTGCCCCGAGGCAGGGGCAGGAGACAGGTGGTGTGGGAGCTGAGCCATGAAGGATGAGAAGATGGAGGGGCATGGGGGAAAAGAGGGAGCTGCTCCTAAGGAGAGATGGTTGAGGGGCTTGGCCAGGGAGAAACTCGTGGTGGGAGCAGAGGGCTGGAGCCCTTCTCTACTGGAGGACAGGAGACTGCTGGGGGAGGCCGGATCCGGTTCCCTCTCCCTTTCTACCCGCATATTCTCAAGGGGCCACTGTGCTGTCCTGGGTGGGGGGCAGACAGGAGAAGTCCAGCTCAGGAGCTGCGGGAACGCATCCTGCTGAACGGACCTGTCGCCCTGGCTGGCTACCTCGCCCAGCGCATCTGTTCCTCCTCCCGACAGACAGCATGCTCGTTGCTTTGGTGACAGCTCGGTTGTCAACTTGGGGTTGCAGCCCCTTGGGGATCAGGGAGGAAAACCCCGAAGCCAAAATATATCTTGGCACGAGAGGAGGCTGGCGGGTGGTGGGAGTCCTTTCCATGTCTGCCTTTCCCCTGTACACGTGGCAGGTCCTGGTGTTGGCCTCTGCTGAGGAAACAGCTGACACCCTCCTAAGCGCTCAGCAGCCCCGGGAACCAGGTCTCTGCATACACTATTGCAGTCGGTCCTCCCTGCGGCAGCCCAGGGAGGGAGGTGGTAGCATTGCTGTCCCCATTGCACAGATGAAGGGAGCAGAAGAGGGGAGTGACTTGCTCAGGGCCTCGCAGCTATGGCTCTCGTGGCAGCAGGGCATGCGTGCCACCCTGGTCCCCAAGCTCACCGCCTGTAGGAGACCCAGCAAGGGCTTGAGCAGCTGCTTGGCCCAACCCTCTGCCTCTTGCCCTCCTTTTAGTCCCCCCCCTACAGCTCTGGGAGCTACGATTCCATCAAGACCGAGGTCAGCGGCTGCCCTGAGGACCTGACAGTGGGCCGGGCCCCGACGGCAGATGATGACGACGATGACCACGATGACCATGAGGACAATGACAAGATGAACGACTCTGAAGGCATGGACCCTGAGCGTCTTAAGGCCTTCAACGTGAGCACCGGCCGGAAACAGGTGGGGTGGGATGGGGGCAAGGCCAGGGCCAGCCCTTCCCATGGCCCGTGTCTCCACAGATGTTTGTGCGTCTCTTTGTGGACGAGAACCTGGACCGCATGGTGCCCATCTCCAAGCAGCCCAAGGAGAAGATCCAGGCCATCATCGAGTCCTGCAGCCGGCAGTTCCCTGAGTTCCAGGAGCGGGCCCGCAAGCGCATCCGCACGTACCTCAAGTCCTGCCGTCGCATGAAGAAGAACGGCATGGAGATGGTGAGTCCCCCCTGCCTGGCCCACACTTTCCCTCGGTGCCACTACTGACCTCCTGCCACACTCCCAGGATGCCCGGGCCCCTTCACCCAGGGTCTTCCCAGGAGCCCTGGAAGCAAGTACCATAATCCCTGGTTTGCAAATGAGGGAACTAAGGCCCAGAAAGATCACACAGCTCCATAGACTGAGGCGCTGGAGCCCAAACCCCACCCTGTGCCACCCACCCCTGGGGCAGGGTCTCTGCACAAGCCCAGGGCCCCCACGGGCCCCATGCTAGCTCCATCCCCGTTCTGCCTGCAGACCAGACCCACGCCACCCCATCTGACCTCGGCCATGGCAGAAAACATCCTGGCAGCTGCCTGTGAGAGCGAGACAAGAAAGGCAGCCAAGCGGATGCGTCTAGAGATCTACCAGTCCTCACAGGTACCTGCCACCGCAGCCACTACAGGGGCCGCTCCTGGGCAGCCAGGGAGGGCAGGCCTTATATGGGTGTGGACTGAGGGAGCTGTGATGGGTACAGTCGGGAGAAGGGCAGAGGGGGAACAGGAGGGCAAAGACAAGGAGAGGAGGTGGGTGGAGGTCAGGTGTGTTGTTCTCAGAGCTCCTCAGACCTCATACGGAAGCCTGGACTTCATCTGGAGACCAGAGGGCCCTGATCAAATACGCTGACAGGGAGATGAGCAGAGTTGGGGAAAGCCCCCGGGGGGAAGGTGGCTGGGGGAGGGGACAGACAGAATCCCACAGGTCAAACCGCAGCATTGGGTCCCAGGAGTCCTGGGGCCGCAGCATTTATCCACCTTGTGTCCAGGGATGGTAGTTGGGGCCAGCTGCCCCTTGGTTTCCCCAGCGCCCCCCTCTCCCCTCTGCAGGATGAGCCCATAGCCCTGGACAAGCAGCACTCGCGGGACTCCGCAGCCATCACCCACTCCACCTACTCACTGCCAGCCTCCTCCTACTCCCAGGACCCTGTGTACGCCAACGGCGGCCTCAACTACAGTTACCGCGGGTACGGGGCCTTGAGCAGCAACCTGCAGCCCCCTGCCTCCCTCCAAACAGGAAACCACAGTAATGGTGAGTCGGGGGAGGCCTGGGCTCTGGCTTCCCGACCAGCACCCAGCTGGGTCTGCAGAGCAGCCCTGGGCAGCGGAATGGGGAGAGGGAAGCAGAGGCCAGTGATGGAAAGGGGCTGCCTCACAGCATAGGGAGCAGGAGGGGCGGCTCTGGCACCCTTCCACTTCATCGTCTTAGCTGGTCCTTAGATTGGAAGGTGAAGGAGACTCAGTTGGTTAAAGCAAAAACCTACCGCCCCCTTCTCACCGCCAGTGACGCTTGCTCCAACACTTCCCACCTTCACTACCGGCGCCTCTCACTGGTTCCACTCCCCCAGGGTCCCTGTGGGTGCCGAGTCCCAGCCAAGGGCCTGTTCTTGGCCTGAGTTGAATCTCCGCAGCCCCGTCTGTCTCACCCATAGCGACTGAGGCTCAGTGAGACAGCTGCTGGCCTGGCCCAGCTGTGGCCCCGCTGGCCTGCAGGGCGGCTCCCTCCCCAGGCCTCAGCTCAGGGCCTGCCTTGTGAGGTGAAAGCTTTCCTCACCTGGGTGCTGGGCCTCCGTTCTTGCCCCTGCATTCATGGAGCCTACATCTGAGACACCTGGGGTGATGGTGCACACCTGCTCCCTCGCTCCGCTCCTGTAGCTGGGTGATTCAGTAGGTGCTTTTCCGGTAACTCCCCAGGCTACTCTGCGCAGATGGGGCACAGACCATTAGAGGAGACAGCCCCCGAAGAGACAGAGGCTTCCTCATGGAGTCAGGTGCTGCCGTGAGCACGAACTGGAATGGGGAACCTCAGACCCCTTTACTGTGAGGCCAAGGGAAGCAGGGGAGGAGTGGGGTCAGCCTGGTGGGTCACAGGACCTCTTGGGCCAGGCACTCGGGTTGTGTTCTGTGTGCAGGAGGAGCCCCTGCTAGGTTTTAAGCACAGAAGGGCCGTGAATTGTGTGGTCTGTGTCATTCTGTCTGCCCCTGTAAGAAGGTTTGAATGGGCAGAGCAAGAGGCAGAAGCCATGTGCTTTGGGGGTCGTTCAGAAGCCAGGGAATGAAGGGAAGAATTGAGGAACCTGAGTAGGTTGGAGAAAGGTGCCACCTGTAAGCTGGGGAACCCTGGTGCAAGGTCTTGGCTAAACATGCCTGAGGATTCCCTAAGCCCCCATCCTTGGCTGCAGGAGACCCCTCACTGTTCCTGGGCAGCAAGGGAGGGAGCTAGTCCCCACCCATGGCAGGAAGCCCAGGCTGCCTCCACTCGCCTTGACCCCCGCCACCCCCCAGAACCAGGAAGTGTATGCAGGTCCCTGGAAGATTCCTGCCTGGGCTTAACTCCTCATCCCTTCCTAATGCCTCTTAACCTAAAATAAGAGGCCGCCTGGCCCTAATCCCTGAAGCTAAGGCCGGAGTGGCCAGCACGGTGAGAGGTGGAGTGGCTGTCCTAGGCGGGCTCCTTTCATTCCAGGAAGAAAAGCCCTGCCCCCCCTACACATGGGGGTCTGGGGCTCAGCAGGTGAGGTGAGGGTGGTCTGGGGCCTGCTCCCTCCTAGCAGCAGGCGATGGTGACAAGCCTCTACCTGGTGTCCACCCAGCATGACCTATTTCAGGGCTGCGGCTGCCAAGTCCCCCTGACCCTCCTAAGGGCCTCTCATATTAGGGCTGAGCCTGCTTCATGCCTGCCCGTTCACACCTGCCCAAGAGGCACAAACAGCAGCCAGAGAATGATTCTTCCAGGGAGGCAGCTGGCTCTGCCCTTGTGCATCCTGGGGTCTCAGTCTCCCATCTGTGAATACCCTGGTTCCTTCATGGTGGGTGGGGAGGCCACTGACGCAGAAATCTGGTCATTTACCTCCTTGCCTGGGGCAGCCCCTGTCCTTGAGCACTAGTACCTCATTTGAAGAACATTGTTTAAATCCTCCAGCAGTTGAAGGAAGACAACAGGCAGCCACGTGGTTGCAGGGCCACCCAGCCCCACTGGCCTCCCCAGCCTCAGCCTTTCAAGTATTGTTCAATCAGTTTGGTACCTCAGCCGGGCAGCCGTATTAATGGCTCAGAGCTCCTCACTTTGCTCATTATGTTGTCATCTGGAGATGCAAATCAGCTTAGATAGAATCAGGCTCGGCCTGTCTTGCCTGGGGTGCTGGGTAACTCATGCTCACTCCTATCCCTCTACCCACCATACGGCAGTCCCTCGGCAACCTGAGCATCTGGCTGTAACCAGAGTCTACACGGGGGTGTCTCCAGATCAGATCAGCTGCAGGAAACAGGGACCTTCTCCTTTCCAAGCCTCAGCTACAGCCCAGGAGAGAAGGGAGGAAGCTCTGAGCACAGGCATGAACAGGATAGCACTTGGGGAGAGGAGAAAAGAAAGGAACCGGGACCACTGCTCATGTTGACTATGCCAGGAGGCTCTGGCCACTCCCAAGCATGACGCAGAGGGGACCAGAACCACCCT